>NC_000003.12:70010000-71260000 GCF_000001405.40 Homo sapiens
AGACAGTTTGTTATAACTTCTGTTCTTTTACATTTGCTGAGGAGTGCTTTACTTCCAACTACGTGGTCAATTTTGGAATAAGTGTGATGTGGTGCTGAGAAGAATGTATATTCTGTTGATTTGGGGTGGAGAGTTCTGTAGATGTCTATTAGGTCTGCTTGGTGCAGAGCTGAGTTCAATTCCTGGATATCCTTGTTAACTTTCTGTCTCGTTGATGTGTCTAATGTTGACCGTGGGGTGTTAAAGTCTCCCGTTATTATTGTGTGGGAGTCTAAGTCTCTTTCTAGATCTCTAAGAACTTGCTTTATGAATCTGGGTGCTCCTGTATTGGGTGCATATATGTTTAGGATAGTTAGCTCTTCATGTGGAATTGTTCCCTTTACCATTATGTAATGGCCTTCTTTGTCTCTTTTGATCTTTGTTGGTTTAAAGTCTGTTTTATCAGAGACTAGGATTGCAACCTCTGCCTGTTTTTGTTTTCCTGTTTATTGCCAAACCTTCGCCATAGCACCAAGGGGAAGATGGATGCTATTTTCACTGATGTCATTCTTGTGTCTTAGGGTTCCTGTTAAAACCCCAACTTCCTGTTAATAACCTATTTGTAATTTCAGCATATGTAATGTCTTTGGAGTAATTGGCTCCAGAGTGGCGTATGTGCCATTGTATTAGTTAGTTCTTTTGCTGCTATAAAGAACTTTTACTGCTTTCCTAGACTGGGTAATTTATAAAGGAAAGAGGCTTAATTGACTCACAGTTCCGCATTGTCGGGGAGGCCTCAGGAAACTTACAAACATGGCAGAAGGCAAAGGAGCAGCAGGCACCTTCTTCACAGGGCTTTAGGACGGAGTGAGTGCAAACAGGGGAAATGCCAGACGCTTATAAAACCATAAGATCTCGTGAGACTCACTGACTATCGTGAGAACAGCATGCAGGTGATGCTGTTGCCTGGTTCCAACCTTGACAGCAGGATTCAGTTACCTTCACCTGGTTCCAACCTTGACTCATGGGGATTGTAGGGATTACAATTCAAGGTGAGAGCCAAACTATATCAGCCGTATACTGCCCTGGTTTTTATACTTTGGGGTATTACTCAAGGGTTCTTCACCTTTTTATACCCTTTTATTTTTAATTACTGTAGATACATAATAGTTTTACATATTTCTGAGGTGCATGCTATCATCTGTTTTTTGTGAAGTTTACTGGAACACCATGACTTTATTTATATATTGTCTATGGCTACCTCTAAGAAAATGAAAAAACAAAAACAAAAAGTCTTCCACTTTGTTATGCAGAGCAATACAATTTTCCTTAGTTCTCCCTTAAAACTCCATTCCAGGTCTCCTTTCAATTCCAAAGATTTGGTCAAAGCTTTGAAAATACCTATTGTTAGGACAAATGATGTTCTTAAATTTAGGGCCCCTCTTCTCAGCCCTAATATGTGGGTAAGGAGAGTTTGTTTTTTCTATTAGTCATTCAGAATGTGTATAATTTGTCTGTAAATTTAACAAAGCCAACTTTGACCCCTGAGTGCTTTCATTTAGTTGAAGATTTAAGAGAGTGAAGAGACTCCATAATTGTATGTGAGACTGAAATGAAGAGTTTACTTTTTTTTTTTTTTTTACTATGGAAGTGAAGTCAATTGGTTAAGAAGTGTCTGAAAACTGTGGGTATTTCAGTTCCATTTCTCTGATACTATAGCAAAGAAAACAAAGATTGGCAAAATCCTATAATGCCATTCAAACATAGCCTGGGAGGGAATCCAAGAACACAGGCTCTAAAACAAATAAATCACTTGCTATTATGAAGTATGGAAAGCACAGTGATCTCAGACCTAAAGAAGGAAATAATCACTGCTCATACTGTGTTTGAAAACACAAGTATTAAAGAGAGAACTGTGGAAACTTACTCTGGAAGTTTCAGATGAAATAAATTCCCAGAGATGAGTGCATCTGACAACCAGAAATGGCAACGCTGTGAGTTAGAGGTGATATGGTCTTTAGGCCAGAAGAGAAAGGGATGGTGTGAATGGTCTCAACCCCTTTCTCTAGCTCCCTCCTGGACTGAGCAGGAGAGCCTGCTGGTTCCAATCCATGATCCAGAGCTGGAGGAAAGAGATGTGACTCCAAACTGAAATCATGAAGCTTGAAGTTATTTTCAAGCAGCAGTGTCTGTTGGTCCCTGGGGAAGGTAAAATCTCTTTTACCTGCTATGGGAGTCAAAAAATGGCTCCTCAAAAATGTCTGCATCCTATCCTTGGAACCTCTGACTTTGTTACCTTTACAAGGGAAAGTGGACTTTGTAGATGTGATTAAGAATCTTGAGATGTGAAGCATTTTTTTTTTTGTTGATTATCCAGGTGGGCTCAATGTCATCACAAGGGTGCTTAAGAGGGAAAGAGGAAGCCATGAGGGTCAGAGTCAAAGGAAGACTTGAAGATACTACACTGCGGACTTTAAAGATGAAGGAAGGGGCGAAAACCAAGAATGTGGGAAGCCTCTAGAAGCTAGAGAAGGCAAGGAAACAAATTTTCCACTAGAGCCTCCAGAAGGAACACAGCCCTGCTGACCCACTGTAATGTCTGACCTCTAGATGTGTAAGGTAATACATTTTTGTTTTTTTAAGGCACTAAATTTGTGGTAATTTGTTACATCAGCCATAGAAAACTGGTGTACTTACTTGCCCCTTTTTATTCTACTACCAAGAAGGGTCTTTGACATGACCCAGTGAAATCAGAAGACATGAATTGGGCCAGACTGTAGAAGGTGCAACTTTGAGTGTGATGTAGAGAATGGTGAGGCTTTGCTGTGGCAAAGTTTTCTGTTTCTTACCTTTGGTTGTCAATGGGAAGTTCTCGTACATAGATAGGATGGTATAAGGGTCTTGGGGCCTCTTCTACCATACAAGGAAGCACCGTTCTTCCTTTTTATCTACCCTAAAAGGCTGAGTAAAGAAGATAACTGTGATCAATAATCTACTATCCAGTTTGTAGACTCTGGAGGAAGATCATCTAGTTTTGAAACATACTTGCTGTGTCATTTTAAGCAAGTCAGTTAATTTTGGTTTTCCTATTTTTGAGAAAAGGATAAAATTAACTACCTGTTCCTTTATTTAGGTAAAACACTTGAACAGTTTCTGGCATATAGTAAATGTGATGATGATGATGATGATGATGGTGATAATCATGATTTTAAGTTCCGAATTTGTCTAGGTTTTGACTCTGGCTTTGTTATTTTTAGGTTTGTAGTCTTGCCTAGTTTTTTAAAGCCTGAATGAGTTTCTTTTTTTAAAAAAATATGAACTAGAAGCAATAAGAGTAGCCTCCTCAAAGGTTGTTATGAGGAGTAAAATCATACATATAAAGCATTTGGCACATAGTAAGTGCTCAGTTATAGTCAGTCATGTTGCTTTATGAATTGTAGTCAATGGAGCTCCAGGCAAAGGAGGCCAGTACATGAGCCTCCCTAGGATGTAATTCTTCTTCATCTTCTTTCATTCCGCTTCTCCTTCTCTTTCTTTCAGGGTAGTAAGACTGAAAGTCTCAGAAAGGCACTGTTAAATTCTTATTCCTCAACTATGCAACTCAAAACTGGGGTCCTCAGCAGTGAGCGAGGGGTGAGAGAAGACACTGTATAAACATGGCACATCCTCCTGGAAAGTCAACTTTACTCAAAGGTAAATAATTTAACATATTTTTCTTTTTAAAACACACATGGATGTATTATGAAGGAGAATGCAAATTTTGCATGAATTTTTAAGAATAGGTGTGGATTATTCAACCACTTTCTTATTGCAGCTTTAGAAACCCAGCTCAAACTAGCTGAAGCAGAAAAGACATTACTGCGCCTATAAGTTGAAACTTTGGAGGGATAAATTTCAGAGGTGTGGCTAGATCCAACGGCTCTCTGGAAAACTCTGTGAAAAAAATGCTTCCTCAAGTCCAGAAACCAGAAGCTCAGGAAATTGTTGCTTGGTTCCTCTTGTTAGAGGCAGAGATTATTCAACGACCTACAGGGTAGCGTTTGAACATTGTTACCAGGAATCTTTACTTTGCCATCTTCCAAGTCTGTTCTCCTCAGTATTGGTTTCATTTACAAGCAGGCCATCTCTGCCCTCATGGCAATGATGGTCTTTACTCCAGGCTTAAGACCCTTACTATCTACTATTTCCAAAGCGGAGAGAGAACTTCCCACACCTAGTGACCTGTGACACAGGATTTTATCCTTCGTACAGAGGGAATTCAGTTGGCTAACATAATCTGCCTTCCAATGGAGTAAGAATGTCTGGACTCTTTCCTTCACCTACCCCCAAGACATGGAGGCGTCTAAAAGATAAATAAAACTTGGCAACTGACCGAAGGAGGAAGAGGGGATTTCAGGCAAAATCAACGCTGTTCACTACGAGGAGACTTCAGAAAGGTTGCCTGCTTCTGGGGAGCATAGTCCCTGATTCCTCAAGACATACGTTTATTCTTTTCTTCAATGTCTTTGCCTGCAGTCAAAACAAAACCATTACCTTTAGCCAAGTTCACACATTTCAGCCAAATCCATATGCATCGGATCAGTTCTGTAGGTTATGGGTGAGCATGAACATATAAAAGAGGCACCTGCCTGTGCCTATCTACTCCATGGAATTTCAAAAGGGGCCACTTATGGAGAATGTCTTTAGGGACAGAACCAACCACCCTGTCTTTCCTCCAACTCTCAAAGTAACTTCTGGCTTTAATCCTCAAGTGTCTATGCTGGAGTTTAAGAAAAATGTTTTTCATAGAATTCATGTGTATGATATTGCATGAGTTGTCCATCTTTGTATATATCTCAAGACTTGTGGTGTTAGTTAAAGATTCAGAGCTCTGTGTCCTGAACACAGAGTAATACCAGCATTACTAAGGATGATCGTGGGATTTTAAAATTCCTCCCTTAGATAGATCTTACGAACTTATGTTACCAATCAACATAAGTTAAGACAAAAAGAGCAAATTTAGATGTAAAACCATCTTGGGGCCAGGTGCTGTGGCTCACGCCTGTAATCCCAGCACTTTGGGAGGCCGAGGCGGGCGGATCACTAGGTCAGGAGATCGAGACCATCTTGGCCAACACGGTGAAACCCTGTCTCTACTAAAAATACAAAAAAATTAGCCGGGCATGGTGGCAGGCGCCTGTAGTCCCAGCTACTAGGGAGGCTGAGGCAGGAGAATGGTGTGAACCCTGGAAGCGGAGCTTGCAGTGAGCCAAGATCATGCCACTGCACTGCAGCTTGGGCGACAGAGCGAGACTCCGTCTCAAAAAAAACCAAACCAACAAACAAACAAACAAAAAAAAACCATCTTGGGACTTCCCTCAGCATTTTGGGGAAATGCTCTCTGATTTTAAAAAAAGTACTGGATGGCCAGAAGTGCTGTTCTTTTTTTTTTTTAAATGTTAACAAGTCGTTTATTTACCCAGTGTACAGGGAAAATCAACCTATACATCTTGTCTTTGGTAATTGAGACATTACTTAGTATCTGCAATGTTTAGAAATTTGCATTGTTGACATTTCCTGTCATCAGGTCTTACTTGAGGTGTCTTTCTTTCTTTGTTTATTATACTTTAAGTTCTAGGGTACATGTGCACAATGTGCAGGTTTGTTACATATGTATACATGTGCAATGTTGGTGTGCTGCACCCATTAACTCGTCATTTACTTTAGGTATATCTCCTAATGCTATCCCTCCCCGCTTCCCCACCCCACGACAGGCCCCGGTGTGTGATGTTCCCCTTCCTGTGTCCAAGTGTTCTCATTGTTCAATTCCCACCTATGAGTGAGAACATGTGGTGTTTGCTTTTTTGTTCTTGTGATAGTTTGCTGAGAATGATGGTTTCCAGCTTCATCCGTGTCCCTACAAAGGACATGAACTCATCGTTTTTTATGGCTGCGTAGTATTCCATGGTGTATATGTGCCACATTTTCTTAATCCAGTCTGTCATTGATGGACATTTGGGTTGGTTGCAAGTCTTTGCTGTTGTGAATAGTGCCGCAATAAACATACATGTGCTTGTGCCTTTATAGCAGCATGATTTATAATCCTTTGGGTATATACCCAGTAATGGGATTGCTGGGTCAAATGGTATTTCTAGTTCTAGATCCCTGAGGAATTGCCACACTGTCTTCCACAATGGATGAACTAGTTTACAGTCCCACCAGCAGTGTAAAAGTGTTCCTATTTCTCCACATCCTCTCCAGCACCTGTTGTTTCCTGACTTTTTAATGATTGCCATTCTAACTGGTGTGAGATGGAATCTCATTGTGGTTTTGATTTGCATTTCTCTGATGGCCAGTGATGATGAGCATTTTTTCATGTGTCTGTTGTCTGTATAAATGTCTTCTTTTGAGAAGACATTGAGATCCTTTTGAGAAGGATCTCTTCACATCTTTCACTCACTTTGTGATGGGGTTGTTTGTTTTTTTCGTGTAACTTTGTTTGAGTTCATTGTAGATTCTGGATATTAGCCCTTTGTCAGATGAGTAGATTGCAAAAATTTTCTCCCATTCTGTAGGTTGCCTGTTCACTCTGATGGTAGTTTCTTTTGCTGTGCAGAAGCTCTTTAGTTTAATTAGATCCCATTTGTCAATTTTGGCTTTTGTTGCCATTGCTTTTGGTGTTTTAGACATGAAGTCCTTGCCCATGCCTGTGTCCTGAATGGTATTGCTTAGATTTTCTTCTAGGGTTTTTATGGTTTTAGGTCTAACATGTAAGTCTTTAATCCATCTTGAATTAATTTTTGTATAAGGTGTAAGGAAGAGATCCACTTTCAGCTTTCTACATATGGCTAGCCAGTTTTCCCAGCACCATTTATTAAATAGGGAATCCTTTCCCCATTTCTTGTTTTTGTCAGGTTTGTCAAAGATCAGATGGTTGTAGATATGCGGCATTATTTCTAAGGGCTCTGTTCTGTTCCATTGGTCTATATATCTGTTTTGGTACCAGTACCATGCTGTTTTGGTTACTGTAGCCTTGTAGCATAGTTTGAAGTCAGGTAGCGTGATGCCTCCAGCTTTGTTCTTTTGGCTTAGGATTGACTTGGCGATGTGGGCTCTTTTTTGGTTCTATATGAACTTTAAAGTAGTTTTTTCCAATTCTGTGAAGAAAGTCATCGGTAGCTTGATGGGGATGGCATTGAATCTCTAAATTACCTTGGGCAGTATGGCCACTTTCACGATATTGATTCTTCCTACCCATGAGCATGGAATGTTATTCCATTTGTTTGTATCTTCTTTTCTTTCATTGAGCAGTGGTTTGTAGTTCTCCTTGAAGAGGTCCTTCACGTCCCTTGTAAGTTGGATTCCTAGGTATTTTATTCTCTTTGAAGCAATTGTGAATGGGAGTTCACTCATGATTTGGCTCTCTGTCTGTTATTGGTGTATAAGAATGCTTGTGATTTTTGCACATTGAATTTGTATCCTGAGACTTTGCTGAAGTTGCCTATCAGCTTAAGGAGATTTTGGGCTGAGACGATGGGGTTTTCTAGATATACAATCATGTCATCTGCAAACAGGGACAATTTGAATTCCTCTTTTCCTAATTGACTACCCTTTATTTCCTTCTCCTTCCTGATTGCCCTGGCCAGAACTTCTAACACTATGTTGAATAGGAGTGGTGAGAGAGGGCATCCCTGTCTTGTGCCAGTTTTCAAAGGGAATGCTTCCAGTTTTTGCCCATTCAGCATGATATTGGCTGTGGGTTTGTCATAAATAGCTCTTATTATTTTGAGAAACATCCCATCAATACCTAATTTATTGATAGGTTTTAGCATGAAGCGTTGTTGAATTTTGTGAAAGGCCTTTTCTTCATCTATTGAGATAATCATGTGGTTTTTGTCTTTGGTTCTGTTTATATGCTGGATTATGTTTATTGATTTGCATATGTTGAACCAGCCTTGCATCCCAGGGATGAAGCCCACGTGATCATGGTGGATAAGCTTTTTGATGTGTTGCTGGATTTGGTTTGCCAGTATTTTATTGAGGATTTTTGCATCGATGTTCATCAGGGATATTGGTCTAAAATTCTCTTTTTTTGTTGTGTCTCTACCAGGCTTTGGTATCAGGATGATGCTGGCCTCATAAAATGAGTGAGGGAGGATTCCCTCTTTTTCTATCAATTGGAATAGTTTCAGAAGGAATGGTACCAGCTCCTTCTTGTACCTCTGATAGAATTCGGCTGTGAATCCATCTGGTTCTGGACTTTTTTTGTTGGTAAACTATTAATTATTGCCTCAATTTCAGAGCCTGTTATTGGTCTATTCAGAGATTCAGCTTCTTCCTGGTTTATTCTTGGGAGGGTGTATGTGCTGAGGAATTTATCCATTTCTTCTAGATTTTCTAGTTTATTTGCGTAGAGGTGTTTATAGTATTTTATGGTAGTTTGTATTTCTGTGGGATCGGTGGTGATATCCCCTGTATCATTTTTTATTGCGTCTATTTGATTCTTCTCTCTTTTCTTCTTTATTAGTCTTGCTAGCAGTCTATCAATTTTGTTGATCTTTTCAAAAAACCAGCTCCTGGATTCATTGATTTTTTTGAAGGGTTTTTTGTGTCTCTATTCCCTTCAGTTCTGCTCTGGTTTTAGTTATTTCTTGCCTTCTGCTAGCTTTTGAATGTGTTTGCTCTTGCTTCTCTAGTTGTTTTAATTGTGATGTTAGGGTGTCAATTTTAGATCTTTCCTGCTTTCTCTTGTGGGCATTTAGTGCTATAAATTTCCCTCTACACACTGCTTTGAATGTGTCCCAGAGATTCTGGTATGTTGTGTCTTTGTTCTCATTGGTGTCAAAGAACATCTTTATTTCTGCCTTCATTTCGTTATGGACTCAGTAGTCATTCAGGAGCAGGTTGTTCAGTTTCCATGTAGTTGAGTGGTTTTGAGTGAGTTTCTTAATCCTGAGTTCTAGTTTGATTGCACTGTGGTCTGAGAGACAGTTTGTTATAACTTCTGTTCTTTTACATTTGCTGAGGAGTGCTTTACTTCCAACTACGTGGTCAATTTTGGAATGAGTGCGATGTGGTGCTGAGAAGAATGTATATTCTGTTGATTTGGGGTGGAGAGTTCTGTAGATGTCTATTAGGTCTGCTTGGTGCAGAGCTGAGTTCAATTCCTGGATATCCTTGTTAACTTTCTGTCTCGTTGATGTGTCTAATGTTGACAGTGGGGTGTTAAAGTCTCCCGTTATTATTGTGTGGGAGTCTAAGTCTGTTTCTAGATCTCTAAGGACTTGCTTTATGAATCTGGGTGCTCCTGTATTGGGTGCATTTATATTTAGGATAGTTAGCTCTTCATGTTGAATTGTTCCCTTTACCATTATGTAATGGCCTTCTTTGTCTCTTTTGAACTTTGTTGGTTTAAAGTCTGTTTTATCAGAGACTAGGATTGCAACCCCTGCCTTTTTTTGTTTTACATTTGCTTGGTAGATCTTCCTCCATCCCTTTATTTTGAGCCTATGTGTGTCTCTGCACTTGAGATGGGTCTCCTGAATACAGCGCACTGATGGGTCTTGACTCTTTATCCAATTGGCCAGTCTGTGTCTTTTAATTGGAGCATTTAGCCCATTTACAGTTACGGTTAATATTGTTATGTGTGAATTTGATCCTGTCATTATGATGTTAGCTGGTTATTCTGCTCGTCAGTTGATGCAGTTTCTTCCTAGCATCGACGGTCTTTACAATTTGGCATGTTTTTGCAGTGTCTGGTACCGGTTGTTCCTTTCCATGTTTGTGCTTCCTTCAGGAGCTCTTGTAGGGCTGACCTGGTGGTGACAAACAGAAGTGCTGTTCTTAGGAATTAATATTCCATATTAACACATTCAAGGGCCTGAGAAGTCTTGCAGTAAGGAACCCTGTTTGGCTTTGTTTGACAGCCTTTGTCACACTTATTGGCAACTTGGGTAACAACTATTAAAATTTGGTGGAATGTGAGTTCCCTGAATCCTCTCTGTGAAGAAATGCTTCTTCAAGTCCAGAATCCAGAAGCTCAGGAAATTCTTGCTTGGCTCTCTTTTCACAGGCAGAAACAATGCAAAGGCCTTAAAGGTAGAGTTAAAAATGCTCTTGTGCATCACAACCAGACAAATGATGGTGTTCCTGCAGCATATGAGGGACTGGGCCGAGCACCAGTTGCAATTATGTGATTAGCCAAATCCCCACGTCAATTTTGCAGAAAAGAGTACTAAATATGGATCTAAAAGTCATGTTTATTCCCTTTTATTCTTTCCTTTAGCCTTCTCTGTCTCCTCAATTCTTTATTTTTCCACAATCAAGAGCTAAGAGATTAATGCAGAAAGCAAAAATTCAACAGGAACATGGGTCTTCAGGCACCCTAGACGAAAGAGTACAATTTTTGACCTCTCCTAGGAAATGACCAAAGGAACTGAAATTATGCAAATGCTCTGGATTTGCACTGATTTTCTTCTATTAGTCTGCCCACCAATATGGAGACTGTGGCATCTGTGGTAGTGGCAGATGAATCAACAGAACCAGGCCTGGCTGCAGGCAAACTTGTCAAAGAGGTGGTGGTGTTTATTGCAGAGTCTTCCCATCCCTGTGCAGCTTGGGATGGCAGAGCCTGCAAACTCCTCATACTCCACAGCTTTCATCCACACATTTCTCTTCGCCTTCTAATCATCTGATTGAGCCTACTTGGATCTCATTCCTTTCCCATTAGCTAATGAGAATAGTAACAATAATAATTAATAATAATAATGATAATAGCAGTAGCAGCTACTGTTGATCGAGCGCCTTTTACAATTCAGGCATGATGCAAAGTAAGCCCTTTATGGACATCATTCCACGTCATCTTCCCAACAACTGTAGGAAACATGCATCCTTATATAAACATACCTTGTTATTTAGCAATGAAGGAATGAGATTTAGAATGTTTAAGCAAGTTTCTTAGTGCCAGAAAGTGAGAAAATGGCAGAACCAAGTTCTGAAAGTGTTGGTAATGGTGAATGAAATGAAATGTTTGTATTCTAGCAGAGGCCCTCTGGAGATTATGATGCCATAGCTTCAAGAACGGAGTTAAATGTTGGAATTTTATTTTCCATGGAAAGTGACTTTAGAGCATTTCCTCTTTTCACCACATTGGCTGTTCATGGAAAACATTCCCTGTGTGTGTGTACATTCAGGGTGGGGAGGTGGGAAGAGAAGGGAGGATGTGAGACGTGAGAAAACCTTTTCCAGTAACAGGCCACCAAAACACATTTCCTGTCATAATTAGTGTAATGAGTTCTCATTTTCAGTTAAAATATATTTTTTCATATTAGATTTTCTTTTATTTCAGTTTGATATGTTTACTTTTCAAGAAAGAAGCCAGTATATGGCCTCTTTTTCAGCCTTGTTAACCTTTTGCTGTTTTTATAACTGTTTACCTATTTTTAGACATTTTAGTCAATGAAAATGATGAAGTTCATCCACTTATAAAATAAAACATCTGTGGCAAAATGAGGAAGTGGCAAAATGCTAAAAGAGCAGTCAAGAAAAACATAGCTTGTTTAAATAATGCCAAATGTATTTCTACTAGGCCTGATTATATTTAGTTTTTTCACTTTTCAAAACCTCTCTTTGGTCTTCTGTAATTAATTGTCTTTAAGGATCCAAATCATTTTCAGTGGAACGGCTCAAAGATTTTCTCAGATTGTGGTGATATTAACAGGGAAAAAAACCCATCATCATTATATATTTTATTATTTTGGGATTGTTTTCAAGCCACCAGAGTAATTGGACTGTAGCCTGCTCCAATTAATAAGGTTTTTGAGTGCATTTGTACAAATCTGTTTTTTTGGAAGCAAAAATCTTGACTTAAAAAAACTAGCTTGCAGCTGAGACTTATTGCTATGCATAGATAAAACCTGAGGGCCATTTCTTTTTTAATAATTATTTTCAAAGAAACCTATGAAATCTTCATCAACATTTTTAAGAAGTAGTTCTTATCAAGGGGAAGAAAGACTTTGAGGTCTAAACCTGTTTAGGCACCAGAATGGAGGCGGTAGGTGACAGCGTTTCACATCACCTGCTGAGTATTAGTAGTGCTTGCTGGAAGGCAACATCTTAACGAGAAGGGCCTTTTGTTTTTTACCAATTTAAAGATTTTGTTCCTCCAATAATCTGTTGTCCTTGAGTTGGGGCTAGAATATACAGGGATTTCTACAAACCGATTCTGCCCAGTAATTCAGGGGATTCAAATGACAACGTGATATTCCAACTGGCCCCCCAAATGTACCTAATTTGATTTCATTAAGAAATTGTTGCCGGGTGGGGGGAGGGAGGAGGGATAGCATTAGGAGATATACCTAATGCTAAATGAGGAGTTAATGGGTGCAGTACACCAACATGGCACATGTATACATATGTAACAAACTTACACATTGTGCACATGTACCCTAAAACTTAAAGTATAATAACAAAAAAAAAAAAAAAAAAAAAAAAGAAATTGTATTGTGATACTGCCAGTAGGGAAGACAGACAACCAGTTATTTATGAGTCCTCGTGTTTTTTTGGTTCTTTTGGTCTTTCAGTTGGGAACATTTATGGAACTAATTTTATTTCGTATTGCAAAATCTATGTAGCACTCTGACTTGTATCATAAATTCCAAAGACAATTCTAATTGACTAGATGAAATAAAGTCCCTTTGGACTTAGCATCTTACCATTTCACCATGTCTTCTTGGGTTGTTTCTCAAGAATACCATTAAATAATTCACTGATTCTCATCAAGTTTGGTGCACAGCTAAAGGGCCTAAGCCCTTCTAAAAGATTCAAGTTTCATTTGGTTTGACTTTCTCATTTTGAAACAAAATATTAGCTGACACCATTTTCAAGTGGAATAGCTCTGCCATGTAAAAATTGTTTTTGTTATCATTTTATTCTGGGGATGAAGGAAAGATTGAGTGGATACATTTCTTGTGAAGAAAAAGTTGGGTTGGTATTTCATGTAATTGCCTTGAATTAAGACAATGGTTAGAAGAATTGGGTCCAATTTTCCTATTAATACAGTATTCCACTGGACACTAAAACATCGCTATGATCCGAATTGCAAAATCTCACCTCATCTCATAATCTCTGCTTTGATGTTGGCTTCTTAAAATTCATTTTAGTGAAAAGTGCAAATAATTTCCAGTCTCAAAGACTAGGAATCTTATATGTTTCTTTAGGCCAGGCACGGTGGCTCACGTCTGTAATCCCAGCACTTTGGGAGGCCGAGGCAGGCAGATTACGAGGTCAGGAGATCGAGACCATCCTGGCTAACAAAGCGAAACCCCGTCTCTAGTAAAAATACAAAAAAAAAAATTAGCCAGGCGTGGTGGCAGACGCCTTTAGTCTCAGCTACTTGGGAGGCTGAGGCAGGAGAATGGCGTGAATCCAGGAGGTGGAGCTTGCAGTGAGCTGAGATTGCTCCAGTGCACTCCAGCCTGGGTGACAGAGCAAGACTCTGTCTCAAAAAAAAAAAAAGTTTCTTTATTTCTTTATATTCTTTATTTATAATATGTTTCCTTTATTTCCTGTAGTCATGAATTTCTTACTGTGTAGCTATTACTCATGCCACTGTTCAAAATTAACATCTGGGAGGCAGTGTTCATAGTAAGTAAAAATGTGAATCTTAACTCTGCTGTAACTTCTCCTCCTACTTCTCCTTGATTCAGTAATTATCGGTGGCTCCCATTTGTCCACTATCAGAAATTTAGCTGCATTTGCTTGTTGTTTGAAGCAAGGTATGATCTCTATTTCGAGCTCTTGCCATGTCCATTTCTTTTGTCATGTGTATGTATTCCAATAAAACTTTATTTACAAAAATAGGCCTGGGCCAAATTTGGACTGCAAGCCATAGTTTGCCAACCTGTTATTGAGTCTTACAACCTACACCATGTCCATTTCTGTCTCTGTCCTTCTGTTCATATTGAGCTTTCCTCCCAGAATGCCCACAGTTTTTCCTTCTGCCTGTCTCCAGCTGACCTTATCAGGCTTGGTGCAGCTCTTCCTTCCTATTTTTTTCCTAATCATGGTTACCCAAACTGGTCTATCCCTAATTTCACATCTGCCTCAATCACTAGCAGGTCTACGCAATTCTGCCTGGGATTGCACTCTCATTATTCTGTCTGTCTCATTTCCTCAGTTAGATTGGCAGTTCTTTGACCCAAAGAACAATGTCTCACATTTCTTTTATATTCCTACAATGAGCGGTACAAGTCTAGACATATAGTGGAAATGGAACCATTGCATGCTTTTCACTGATATACGATGATAAAAGCTTAATAGTTTCCTATTATTTTTCATGATTTATCTTCTCTGTTTTTACAAATCCACTTCTTCTAGTTGTCACAAATTAAACATTAGGCAGACATATAATTTCTGATTGGAATAGAAACTAGTAGATGATATTAGACCAGCATTACCTCAAAAATAATAATAAAATTAGCTGATATTTGTCAACAACTCATCATATACCACCAAATGAAATGTAGGATTTGAGAAAACAAGCTGTTTGCCCAAAGACATGGAGCCAGTAAGCAGCAAAGCCTCTGATGCCAGGAGACCCCTCCCAGCCACCATGCTCTGCTGCCTCCCAGCTGAATTTTGCTTCCCCGTAATCCGTGGTTCTTCACTTGGTCCTTGAAAGATACTTACATGGAAGAGGCAAAGGAAAGCATTCGGATTTTCCTTTGTTGACAGGGGCTTTGACTACAAACCTCATCGTAGAAGACCGTCATTTAGGCTGGTTCCAAGAAAGGCTTTTTGCTTTGTTTTCCAGAGATGAGAATCTAAACTGAATAATCTGTTTGCTTCTACCTTGTGCAGATCTTGGATCTTAACATTGATAGCAAAACAAAAGATGCAGAGGAAAAGGAGTGAGAGAGGCAGAAAACTCAAGAATGTTTAATTCCTTGGGGCTGTTTAGTCAATTGTGAGAAGAGGTGGAAGATGACCTAAGACTGTTGAGGTCATGAGCTTGCCCCATTCTTGGTGAAAGGGGAGAAGATGGGGCTGGAAGAGGCCTTGAGCTTCCTGTAGATAACACCATGGGCTAAGATCTACATAGTTACAAAGGGCATGTTATTTTATGATAAAATCTGTGAACTCCAGAATGTTTGCCAGTTGGCTGATGTGGTAAAGTCCGAGGCATATTGTCACTTAAAAGAATTTAGAGAAAAAGATATTTTGGAATAAATACCATAGTTTTATGTTAATGCTGAGTCTCCAGTTGTTTTATGTTTTATTTTATTTTTATTTATTTATTTTTTTGAGATGGAGTTTCATTCTTCTCACCTAGGCTGGAGTGCAGAGGCACAATCTCAACTCACTGCAACCTCTGCCTGCCAGGTTCAAACGATTCTTCTGCCTCAGCCTCTTGAGTAGCTGGGATTACAAGTTCCCGCCACCACACCTGGATAAGTTTTGTATTTAGTAGAGAAGGGGTTTCACCATGCTGACCAGGCTGGTCTTGAACTCCTGACCTCAGGTGATCCACCCGCCTCGGCCTCCCAAAGTGCTGGGATTACAGGCATGAGCCACCGTGCCTAGCCTGTTTTATGTTTAAGTAGCTAACAACCACCTTAAACCATAAATCCTGTTCCCAGAAAGAAGTCAGAAAATAGCAAACAGAAAGATGAAGACCCTTGAACAACATGGGAGTTTGGGGCACCAATCCCACGCGGTTCACAATCTGAGTATAACTTTTGACTCACTACAAACTTAACTACAATAGCCTTCTGCTGGCCAGAACCCTGACTGAGAACATGCAGTCTGTTAATACGTATTTTGTATGTTATATGTATTATATACTGTATTCGTACAATAAAGTAAGCTAGAGAAAAGAAAATGTTATTAAAAAAATTGTAAGGAACATATATTTGCTATTTGTTAAGTGGAAGTGAATCATCATATGGTCTTCATTCTCATCATCTTCATATTGAGTAGGCTGAGGAGGAGGAGGAAGAGGAGGGGTTGGTCTTGGAAGAAAATCAGCATATAATTGGACCCATGCATTTCAAACCCATGTTGTTCAGGGTAATGGAAATGACAAACAATGAAATTTTAGTAATTTATAAAAGTAAAAAAAGAGAAAATAATTTTGGAAAATCGTTTAATGACACAGTGAGGTGTTTCTTACTTAGATATTTTATTTTGCTAAGGTGCTAAGTTATTTTATGAAATGAAATAATGTCATTGGAAGATGATATTTACTGCTGCTCTCCAGACATTGAATATATTCTGTTTTAACTTCTGAGAACAGGATTTCTGATTTCAGGAACTAGTGTTCCTGATTTAGTGTAGTTGTTAGCCGATTGAATATAAGACAGTTTGAAGGTCAGGAATTAATTTATTTTATTCATTTTTTTCCATTCCTTCCTTCTTTCTACTTTTTCCTCTGTTTCAGTCTTTCTCACTTGTCTCTCTTTCTTCCTCTATGTTTCTTTCCCACTGAAATCAAGATTTCCTGCTGGTTAGTAAAGCTTTCCTAAATATCTGAGGGTACTGCTTTAGATGACAGACTGCAGAAATATTGAAGACATATCAAGTCCCTGATCACCACAGACAAGTGGTCTAGACTAGGATTTTTTCCTCTGTCCACAACATCCTGTGGGAGGAAAATTGTTAAGATCACATAATATGATAATCTTATGGTAGCCCGAGAGATGCTGATGGAAGCTCCAAGTCTCTTTAGAGATTCATGTTGATGATCACGCAGTAAAAGGAGCAAGGGTCCTCTGAGTTTACCACACTAAGTTTCTGAACTGGTTAGCAATGTCAACCTACTTGGTGGAAATATATTAATTGGACAAAATTGTGTGATGGTGCAAGCATGACATTTTATCCTATCAGTCTTTTCTTTTTCTCTTAGCATAATGAATATTGATTAAACCCAGTTAAAGAAGCATCCCCGGATGGTGGAATAAGGCAACAAATTGAATTGGGACATCATTTTAGCACTGACTCCTGGAGGCCCAGTGCTTAAAATGAGAAAGTAGGGCTGATTCCCAGACTCTACTGGGAGTTTGTAAAATGGGTTCTTTAAAACCATTTTAACAAAGAAGTCTGCGACCCTGCAGATCACACTCCTGTTCATGATTCAGAACGTTGAGGCATTTTCATTTGCTATAATTTTCTTTGAGGTTGAGTGTTCATAATGATTTATTTCGGTAGTTAGCTAAAATATTTGTGTCCTATTTAGACAAAGTAATGGAGAGGGAAGCATTGTGGACTTTGAAGAATGGAAATGGGAGAATTGAGCTTTAGGAAAAATGTATCATCAGCCATGTAGAAAGTGAGAATTTGGTATAGACTAATTAATTGTGACTCAATTTTTGTTCTAATACCCTTGAAGACATCAGATGTTAATCTCCTTTCTCTCCTTTGGAGAATCTACTGAAAAATTTAAGTGAGCAAGAGGTGGACTAAATTAGAGTTTTCTTGAAAGCCTTGACTGAAATTTATCATCAAGCTTGTGCTAGGTTATCTCTCAATATACCAACCCACTAATTTTAGAAACCTTCCCTCTTTGTCATCAAAAATCAATTTAATGTCATGAAGAATCATTTTACTAAATCGAGCAAGTTGTAAAGATTGTTATGAGGGTTGGAGTAGGTTGATAGCAACAAATACTGGTTTATTTTAGAATAACACTACCAAGGTGGATCTATGCATTTATTCTCTTACACCAAATCTATTCTTAGACCCATTCATCCCCAGATGTTGCCATCTTAGAAGCCATACATCATCAGAGTAAGGTGCTCCTATAATGTATTGCACTAATATATTGTGCAAAGGACAGCACTGATGATAAATTTCTTAAATGATGGTGCTGTCTAAGGCTAATGACTCTAAGAGCAAATGCAAGGTAATGCGGTGATTTCTTTTCGGGCCCCAGCAAAGAATACAGAAGACATCTCAAAGCCGTTTTCATTTGGGGGTAATATTGAAATAGACAGTATTTAAAAGGCCTTTGCAACACACAATTCAGCAGTATTAGGGCAAATGTGAATGGCTTTGCATTTTCAGTTAAAAGCCACTTAATACTTTACCTCGTTGAGTCCTTCCTTCTTGCCTGCCTGCCTGCCTTCCTTCTTTCCTTCCTTCCTTCCTTCCTTCCTTCCCTTCCTTCCTTCCGTCCCTTCCTTCCTTCTTTCCTTCCTTCCTTCCTTCCTTCCTTCCTTCCTTCCTTCCTTCCTTTCTTTCTTTCTTTCTCTCTTTCTTTCTTTCTCTTTTTCTTTCTTGTCTTTCTTTCTTGCATTTTAGACAGCTAAAAAACACCTCAAGTTGTTATTTGATGAGGAATAGCAGTTGAGGCCTTACTCTCTCTTTGTGGGAATGATGTGCCTTGTGCTTCTTTGAATATGTTGTGTTTGCTTTCAGGTCTTTACTTTAGGCAGGAGATACATTCCCAAGACCATTCACACAATTGCAGCCAGAGGGGTGAACTGATGGGGAGAATTTGTGGCTGTGAGACTCTTGTTCTTTGAAAAGATTTGTGGGTAGGTGGCAAATTCCTGTCTATGCCACAGAGTTGTGTCACATCCAGGCCCAGGAAATGCCTGGTTATGCATTAGTTGGAAAAAAATCCCTAAATTTGAGAAATTAAGAGGTAAAATGAAATATTTAATGGAAGATTTTGGTAGAAGACATTCCTTTGGGCTGTGTGGTCTATTCTCTTTGTGCTAACCACAGCAAAAACTGTGACAGAATTATTTCTTAGTCTAGGGGATGAAGCCTCTCCAAATATTTTCATTCTCATTCTTTGGGCATACTCAAAATGAGATGTGTCTCATGTTTTTCTAGTGGTAAAAATGTCATCCACGCAGTGGAGTTTTCTCACCGATGATAATGATAGTAGTAAGAGGTAAAACATATTTGTCATTGCCAGCTACTGGTCTGAGTGCTTTCATACATTGCCCACTGAACTCAAGCAGGTACAGTTGTTAAGCCCATTTGACAAGTGAGCAGTCTGGGCTTAGAGAGATTAAGACACTTGTTCCGGGTGACTAGGAGATCTGGTATTTGGACGATATGACTCCTGTGTCCATGAGCTAAACCATTATACCATATTGCAGGTGCATGTAATTTAAAATTAATCCTGTGTCTTCTTCTGCATCACAGCATGTGATAGGAAGTATCAAGTCATAGACTGGACTTGAAAATAAATAATTTCATTGCCCAGTGCATTGGTTTTTATCAGAATAATACACTTAACCCGTCCTTCTTTTCAGCCAGACACATACATAATAATAAGAGTAATTCTCTCCTCTTTGACTGGATGTCATATCAAATTTTAAAGTCTTTTAAACATACCATTATGCCTAATCTTTGAACAATGGATGAGACCAATGTGGAACCTTTTCTTAGTTTAATGTCCCTTCAAAGTTCTCTTCTCTCTGTTGAGAGCTAGAATAGTGCTTCTAAACCTCCCATTTAGCCAGAAAGTAGCATTATCTTTCTATTAATTATCCCTTAATTTGGCGGGGCGTGGTAGCTCATGCCTGTAATGCTCCCAGTTTGGGAGGCTGAGGTGGGCAGATCAGTTGAGGCCAGGAGTTTGAGGCCAGCCTGGCCAACATGGTGAAATCCCGTCTCTACTAAAAATACAAAAAATTAGCAAGGCTTGGTGGCATGTGCCTGTAGTCCCAACTGCTTGGGAGGCTGAGGCACAAGAATCACTTGAACCCGGGAGATGGAGGTTGCAGTGAGCCGAGATCACACCAGTGCATTCCAATCTGCGTGACAGAGTAAGACTCTGTCAAAAAAAAAAAAAAAAAGCCCTTAATTTGTTGGTGAAAATAGCTGCTTATTGAATTAGGTCCTTTGGGGTATAATTTTAACTTCCAATAGGAAGAATTGGTTGAAATCCTTGCTTTTTACTATTTGAGTATCGTTTGCATTAGAAATCATTTCTCTGTCCATTACTTGAGAGATTCTCACTTCTAGAATCGTTTTCTTGAATTCATATTTATTCCAGCTTCCTCCATTGTAAAGAAAAGAACTTGATTTCAATGATACTTTTAAATGAATTTAATCTTGATTCATACTCTGTGGAATATTTGTCTTGTATGAGTGCTAGTAAGAGAGAAATTGGCATGACAATGTAAAGCTTGGTTTAATATTTTTGCCAATAAATTTGTCCAGATGTGAATAAGAAAAGTTAAATAAATAATAAAAATAGCTGAGTGTTTAGTGTTATCAAATCAAATGTTTATAAAATTTTAAAAAATTTCACACATTATTTATTGCCCTATTCAGATTTTCTTTTTTGTTGCTTAAGTGATTGAGAGACTGGGAACTAGCGTCTAACTTTACTTTTCTTCTTTGTCAATTTTCTTTAAGATGGAAGGACATTGCTGGCCACCTTAAGAGACTAGATTAAGCAACCAGTTCTGATGGGTGATCATCTTGCTTCACTTTCTACAAATATAACCAGATAGCTAAGAACAAATAGCTAATATTTTCAAAAGATAACTACAGCTGTTGAGTCCTGACCATATGCCACACATGCTATTAGGTGATTCTACATCATTATCTCACTTATGTCTGACATCAGTATCCTGAGGTGGTTATTAATGGCCTCATTTTTCAAATAAGGAAACTGAGGCTCGGGAATTTTAAATGAACTCCATAGGTCTGTAAGTGGTGGAAGTGAATTTTAAGCATGTGTTTGTCTAACACCAAAACCCAATGCAAAAACAATGAAAATAAATAATCCAATTCAAAAATGGGCAAAGGACGTGAATAGACATTTGTCCATAGGATATATACAGATGGCCAGTACACATATGAAAAGATGCTCAACTCAACATTGTTAGTCATTAGGAAAATGCAAATCAACACCAAAATAAGATACCACTTCACACTCATTATGTTGGCTATTATTTTTTAAAAAAGAAAATAACAATTGTTGGCAAAGATACAGAGAAATTGGAACTCTTGTGCATTGCTGGTGAGGCGTAAAATTGTACAGGTGCTGTGAAAAACAGTTCAGCAATTTCTCCAAATTGAACATAGATTTACTATGTGGTCCAGCAATTCCACTCCTAGGTACATACCCAAAGGAATTAAAAACAAGGACTCAAACAGTTCTTGTAAAAAGGTTGATGGCAACATTATCCACAATAGCCAAAAGGTGGAAACAACCTGTGTCCATCAACAGAAGAATTCGTAAACAAAATGCAGTATATACATGCAATACAATATTATTTTTCCATAAAAAGGAATGAAATTCTGATACATGCTACAACATAAATGAACCTTAAAAACATTGCACTGAATGAAATAAGCCAGACAAAGGACAAATATGGTATGATTCCACTTATATGAGGTACCTATAATAGGTAAATTCATAGACATGGAAAATAGGATAGAGATTACCAGGGTTTGGGGGAGATAGGGGGTATGGAGAGTTATTTAATGGGTACAAAGTTTCCATTTGGGTTGGTGAAAAATTTCTGGAAATAGAGCGATGGTTGCACAGCATTGTGAATGCACTTAGTGCCACTGAATTGTACACTTACAATTGTTAAAACAGTAAATTTTATGTTATGTATAACACACAGGAGAGGGTGAAATATTTCTGGGCAAAGAAAAGACTAGGTAAGAACTGAAATGTAAAGCTAAGTATAGGCATTGCTTAAAATTGTAGTGACTATCAGTTTTAACAGATGGCAAACATTTTTGCAGGAAAAAAAAATCCTTATTTTAGGTGTATGCCTGATTAGTGGGATTTGGTTAGCTTTTCTAAATGAAACCAACTTGGTCTTCCAAGAGAATTCGATGATGAGACATTAAAACACTGTAGACCGACAGAGTTTGTAATGGCAGAGTGGTTCTTCATGCTTAAGAATAAATACAGCCATCAGCACAGTACCAGGCTCACAGTAAGCATGCAACAAAGAGTTGTTGAATGGAACACCTAAAATTATCAAAAAGCAACAGCTATGTAATAATTTCAAGTTAATGGTAAAGATTACTTATGAGTTGTGTTTTACACATTTTTGTGTGCAATGCACATTTTTCCCTAACCATAAGTTTTATAAAATGGAAAAATAATGCAAACTGGCACACTCAATCAAAGGCACTGGAATTCTATTTTTAAATTTATAGGAATTTGGGAACATGATTCTTTTAGGGATGAGAGCTGCCTAGAATTAGGATGAGGCTGTTATTTTGATCAGCCAATTAACATTTCTAGGCTGCCCTCTGAACAGCCACCCATATTTGTATTGAATTTATGTCAGAGTACATCAAGCAAACAGGAGGAGAAGGGTACAGGCAAAAAAAATCTTTTAAATTAATTTGAATAAGTCTGGAATAGAAAAAAAATAGCCACTTGCTTAAATTATTTTAAAGGTAACTCTTTATTGATTGAGTTTATAGCAACAAAGATTTGATAAAAATATAGTAAAGATGTATTGAACCGTGAATTTTAAACTCCTTCAGCCTAGAGGATTTTGCTTTCTCTGTCTCCTTTACTTAGTATTTCTTAAATTACAAAGGCTGGGAAGAAAACAACTTTACTGTAGCATTTTGATTTGAGTGAAAAGTATTTGGTCATATATTTGACAGCTAGGGCTGCAGATCTTACGCTTTCTATTAATGAGTTGATATCCTTTTATCTGTGTTCAAAACATGTGGAGTTTGATGGTTAGTACCATGGAATGGCTTAGGATAAGTTTTATGGATTGATTGATTTAACAAACATCTGAGGAACTGTGGTAGGGGCCAGCTGCTCTGCAGCAGGGTGTGTTCCTCAAGAGTTCAGAGCCCAGTGCAGGGAAGAGAGCACTAAGCCAACAACTACAATCAACTATAGGAAGTGCTGCAACAGGGCTAAGCTCAGAGGACCTTGGGAGAGCTCTTCTCTTTGGACAAATAAAGGAAAACTTCGCAATGATGTAGCAGATGCTTTGGGGGCCTTTCATAATAGCTCCTCAGTCCACTTCTGATTTCGTTGCCCAGGTGGGGGACAATTCTGACACACTGAGAGTGTGAGCTGTGCCTCTCAGCTTGTCTGTGGAGGGCTTTCTCTGAGGCATCAAGATCTGGAAGTATAAAGTGTCCAGTTACTTAATACTCCTGGGGGTAACATCTGACGTGAGGGGATGGAAGCCAATTGACTTTAAGTAGACAATCCTGAGAAAAATTCTCCGTGGTTTTCAAAGGCCCTAACATTGTCTATAGCAATAACCTTGATAATGCAGCTTTACTTACTTTTCCTTCTTCCCTTTCTCAGTCTTCCTACCTCCCTCTCCTACTTCCTATAATCATTTCCCAAGTAAATCACCTGCACTTGAGCCCCTGATTCAGGCTGGGCTTTCATGAGAATCCAAACTAAGAGAGAATGTGGCATTTCAGCTGGGGAAGAATAATGTGAGGAGGGATTTGTTCATGGTGTATGTGGGCAGAAGGGCTGCCATAACATCACCAAGAACCATGGGGTGTTTCTTGGTGGCAGTAAAGATGATGAAGCATCAGAGTATGCTGGCCAGTGGGACCTGAGAAGGGAGAGAGACTGGCGAAATATGCTGGGATTAGTCTTGAAAAACCGTATGAGACATAGCTAGAACTTGGGACTATCTTGCAAGTAACAGCCAGCCAGATAAAATGCTTAGCAGGGATGTCATGCATGGAGGTCAGAGACCAGAAGTCAGGCAGTTATGAGACTATTGTAACAGGCCAGGTGAGAGAGGATGAACTAGGGCAGGTCAGATATGAATGAGGAAGAGGAGACTGCTTGGAGAGAGGTGGAAACAGTAGACTCAATGGATTTGGGGACTACATGGGGGCCGAAGGAAAGGGTGAAGTTCAAGTTGTCATCTAGCTTTTTAGCTTGGGAGATTGGATGAATGACGATGTCTTTAGCTAGAAAATATGGAAAAAGGAGGATGTCAGAGGATGGGGAAGGACAGGAGAGAATTGGGCACGCAAAATCTGAACAGTGTCAGTTTGGGATATGTCCTCTGGAAGACTCCTATGAGCTATCCCAGTAAGATTAAATGGACAGGTGACAAGATGGATCTATATTTAGGGAGAAAAAATGGAGCTAGAGATAGAAATTTGAAAGTTATTAACTTTTGTACTGGATACCATGGAATTAGATGAAATTGCCTGAGAATAAATGGTGAAGGGGAAGGAGAGATGGAACCAAAGCTGGGCCGTCTGTTTGAGCATCACATAAGACATCAAATAAAAGTTTATATTAACAAAATAAAATAATCACCTATATTTCCAACACATTTCCTGGAATATACATTACAAAGTTGCACGATATTGCTATTCTCTATGTATGTGTATGAAGTTTGACTGTCTATAGATTTTTAAAAGGCTATATTTAGTAAAATAATTTGATGAATATATTCACCGAAGAATGGGTTTGGCTGAATTGATTTCTTTGTGATTTTTGAACTTGTATGTAGATACTGCCATTGATAAGAGCCAAAAAAGAAAATGTTTAAGCCTGGAAACCATGCAGTATATATACCCTCCAGCAGTTTGATCTGTGGGTGATTTGAACTTAGGGCACCCCTGGAGTGCAGAGAAATGCCATCAAAACTTTTGTTCTGCCAGGCGTGGTGGCTCACGCTTATAATCCCAGCACTTTGGGAGGCCACGGTGGGCTGATCACTTGAGGTCAGGAGTTCGAGACCAGCCTGGCCAACATGGTGAAACCCCATCTCTACTAAAAATACAAAAATTAGCTGGGCATGGTAGCGGGCACCTGTAATCCCAGCTACTCAGGAGGCTGAGGCAGGTGAATTGCTTGAATCTGGGAGGCGGAGGTTGCAGTGAGCCAAGATTGTGCTACTGCACTGCAGCCTGGGTGACAGAGCAAGACTCCATCTCAAAAAAAGGAAACAAACAAAACCCTTTTGTTCTATGGTGTTGTACCCTACACTATTAAGAGGAAATCTTAGGTTAGAATTGTTCTATTAATTTTTTACTGCTGTGTAACAAATTACTGTAAACTTAGTGGCTTAAAACAATATCAATGACCTCACAGATATATAGATCAGAAGTCTGAGGGGGCTTGGCTGGATTCTCCGTTTAGGATCTCATAAAGCCCAAATTAGGATGTTTACCTGCCTGGGATTTTACCTGGAAATTATGTGAAGGGGGGGATTCACTTCGGGCCCATCCAGGTTATTGGCAGAATCCAGGCTGTGGTGTTGTAGGTTGAAGGTCCCTGTTTTCTTGCTGACTGTTGGTGGAGGACTGCCTCAGCCCTATTCCTTAGGGCTGTCCACATCCTGTTTCATGTGTCCCCCAGCCCCTTCTTGAAGTCAGTAACAGCACACTGAGTGCTTTTCACACTGAAAATCTATTTCTTCTACTGTTGACTAGAGAAAACACTCTTTTATAAGGCTCATGTGATTATATTAGGTGTACCCAGATAATCTTCCTACCTTCAGGTCAACTGATCAGTAACTTTAGTACACCGGCAAAGTCCCTTCATATCAGTATATAGATTGATGTTTAATTGAATAACCAGCAGCTAGGAATCCAGGGTGGCCATTTTAGAATTCTGCCAATGTTATCTAGCAATTCAGCAAATGTTATGCAACTCCGGGAGTACCAAAAGTGACCTGTTAGTCCCTACTGACTAGACCATCACAGCCTTTTAGCCGAACCCTCCGCAGTTTCTCTTGAATTTCCTCATTTATCTATTCTGCTGATTCTGCATTCCAAAAAATTTAGGAGGCAGGCTGGTGATAACCTTTCAACTGATGATAGCGGGAAAGGAAGGAAAGTAGGGTCTAGTCATTTTCAAACTAATTGTTTCTGAGTCACACTCATTGTGTACAAATGTGTCTTGTGATTTGTTTATATCTATCAAAAAGAATAATTCAGTATGATCTATTTAAAAATCCTATATCATAGGTAATGTAACTGACCAAATAAATAAAGTATAACAAAGATTAAAATACAGAATTATAGTTAGAAAGTGGGAGGATATTGGGAAAACAATATATCAAAAATAGTACCTGAAGAAAGTTAAAATAACATGTAAGTCCAAAGGTAAGTATAGATGATTGTCTTCAATGGGCTTACAGTCAGATAAAATGGTTTTAATTTTTTTAAGCTAAATGATGATTTTTTTAGAGAAAAGCTTGTAAATAAGCCAAATATATAAAACCCTAAAAGGTGAGATACTTGGTTTGGAATAAGGGAGAGAGGCCAATAGTCCCACACTTTCAGCTTCTTTATATGCCTCTATTCTAAGGCAAAGTCTCTTTGAGGTCCCTGGAGTATTGTAGATTCTAGTATGGAAACACCTGGGTTAGAGATGAGGGCTGACTACAGTGGACATTTATAATTTCTTGGCGACCCAACATCTATCTCATGTGTCCAACAGCCTGTATTTTCTCCTGGTGAACAAGCTCTCCCCCACTGTCTGCTCACATGGTTTGAAGGGATTGATATCACTCTCAGATGAAGGCTTTTGTTCTCATTAGCTCAATCATAAGTATGTCCTCCTAACTCAGCCACAGTGATTGTTTAAAAAAGTGGGCATATAACCCAATTCTGACCAATGAAAGTTGGACCCAGGACTTTTGTTCTAGCTTTGCAGAAAATATGCTCTTATTCTTCTACTGGACAAAAAGCTGAGAGGAAATAGGTCTGCTATAGCCATGTGACTGCCACTGTGGGAGAACCTGTCTCATAATGAATTCAACCCATAGAACAAAGCCAGGATGAGTCAAATCAAGAGCAAAGATAGGGTGAATTGCATTTTGATCATGTTTTCTGAGCACCAGGAACCAGGATTACTCTTTAACTTTTCAGGAACATAAGCTCTTTCTGCTTGCTCTATATTAAAAAAATTGCTGTGAGGAATATTCTTAAATGATACAATGACCATAATGGAAAGTCAAATTACTTTGTGCTGAATGGAGGAATCAACTAATTACTATGCAAGAGTAAAAGAAGGAAATATGATTTCTTTATTTAGTGTTGGAGGATAGGATTGTAAATAGCATAGGATGATGATTAATAGAATGTCAAAAGGTAGAGAGGAATAGAAGAGGACATTTAATAGAGGTTGAGATTAGTACAGGAGGATGTGGTATGTTTAATATTTTCAATGCCTGGAACATAAGGTATGGTACAGGAATGGGAGTCTATGATATTCATGCTACCTGTAGTGAGCATCTATTGATTTGTTTTTTTTTTTCCACCCCTCCTTAAGGGAACAGCAAACCATTTCCTTTTGATTATGGCTTTACCCAATTCTATCTGGACTGCCATTCACACTGTCCTTCCCCTCTGGCTTCAACAATTAGCCTGAGTGGTAGTCATATGATCGAAGAAGGGTCAAGCAGGGTCCTTCTCTAGAATGAAATATACAGAAAGATGTTAAGAAATCCCTCTCAGGGCCCTAAACTGGGATGGTATAAGTTGAGGATGATTGGTTCATAACTCAATCTCCTCCTCCGCCCCGACTACTTTTATCTCCAGTGCTTATCTACAGTAGAAGAGGATGAGCCCAACAGTCTGAGGGCTGGGCCAAGAGATGGAGAGAGAAAAAGGAGGAGAAATACACACAGACAAATCTGGTGATATTATCTCTGTTGGCTTCACCTTGGGCTTCCCAGTTATGTGAGCCATTATCCCTTAGCCTTTCTTTTCCATCTCTTAAGCTAACTTGAGTTCTGTTTCTGTCACTTGGGAAGAAGACTCCAATGCTATTTCACTCATCATTCTTGCACCTGTGGCAGACATTACTAGTTGATTACAGCACTCTTTCCAGTTGAGCTGGAATACACCCTTAGATTGCTTCTCCATGTAATGCTTCATGTAGACACTCTCAATTGACCTAAGGTGACATGAAAACTATTTTTAAATCTTACGTGGAGAGAGGAATTGTCAGATAAAGCTAATAAAGTTGTTGAGCTCAACATCTGGAAAGATTTGAATGCCATACTAAGGTGTTCGATTATATTAACCTGGCACTTCCATACTGGGGATTATTACACTTGAGAAAAACAAGTCAGAGAATATGGCTTAGCAAGTCTAAATCACTGGAGTGGCATTTGGCATGTGGTGAGTTTCTTATT
This sequence comes from Homo sapiens, assembly GCF_000001405.40. Classification (NCBI taxonomy): domain Eukaryota; kingdom Metazoa; phylum Chordata; class Mammalia; order Primates; family Hominidae; genus Homo; species Homo sapiens. Next base: position 70,038,056 of record NC_000003.12, read on the forward strand.
TGTGATGGTTTTTTGTTAACTCCATTCAAGAGGGGTCAGGAAACTTCTTGAGTATTGCCACGGTTTGGATATGGTTTGTCCCAACCACAACTCATGTTGAAATTTGATCCCCAATGTGGCAGTGTTGTGTGATAGGGTATAATGACAGGCATTTGGATCACAGGAGTGCATCTTTCATGAATAGAAGAATGCCCTTTGTTGTGGGTGAGTTCTCATTCTCTCAGGAAAGATTATTTCCCACAAGAATGAGTTGTTAAAATAATCTGGCTTCCTTTGTCTCTCTCTTGTTTTCTCTCACCATGTGATATCTTTGCACATGCCCCCTCCCTTTCCACTTTCTGCCAGGAGTTGAAGTAATCTGAAGCCCTCACCAGATGCAGCTACCCAATTTTGAACTTTCCAGCCACCAGAATCATGAGCCACATAAACATCTTTTCTTTATAAACTACCCAGTCTCAGGTATTTGGTTATAGCAACACTAAATGTACTAAGACTAGTATCTTAACATAATTTATACAGAAAGGCATTTTGCATCCTGGACCTCAAATACAGCATCAGAATGAAGGTTGAGGTAACTGTTATTCATTGTAAATACAGTTTCAGTAAATGCTGTAAAATTGTGATGGAAATTTTGAAGTAAATGAAATTTCCTTAAAGTATTTATTTTTAGATGGACTCTGGGAGCCCCACAGTCAGATGAAGCCTCTATGAATCAGAAGAGACTGAATGAATAGAAACAATTTTTCAAACAGAGTTGAAACTGGAGTCAGAATAGCATAATTCATAATAGGAGATCATCTTGGGTGAGGCAAACACAAATAGAGGTTTGTGGCTGAGGAGTTGAATAAAACTGAACCAGTGTGAAGTGGTTTAGGAGCCAGTCCGGAGCTAACAGGGAGTATCCTGGTCAGTTTTCTTGGAAATAGAGCCTGAGACAGGGATGTGGTTATGTTATATGTGATTTTTGAGCAACAGGTCATTATGACAAACCTCTGTGAACAGACAGAGAGAGAAAGAAACAGAACAGGAAAGGAAAAAAAGTGAAGCCTAGCCTCAGTCTGATCACTAAAAGTGGGAGAAATCTTGAGACTAAACTGCACCACTGAGTACTTGACCTGCCCCAGCCCTTTGAATCTTGTCTCCATTAGTTATTGGCCATCAAGGAGGTTAAGCAATTTAAAATCGTCCAAAAGCCATCCAAATGGGGAGGGACTGGGAGGAACCTACTATAATAGCTAATTTTATGTGCCAACTTAGTGGGTGTTTTTGGGTGAAGCTGAAATTTAAATTGGTAGACTTTAAGTAAGCGAACTGCCCTCCATGTTGGGAGTGAGCCTCACCCAGTCAGTTGAAGACTTGACTAGAACAAAAATACTGGTCTCTCCAAGCAAGAGGGAATTCTCCTACAGACTGCCTTTGAACTTTATCTGCACCATGAGCTCTCCTGGGTCTCCAGCCAGATGGCCACACTGAAGATTTAGTCTTGCCAGTCTCCATAATTGCAATCGTGTGATCCAATTCCTTAAAACACATCTCTTCACACACACACACACACACACACACACACACACACACACACACACACACACTTTCTATTGGTTTTTGTTTATCTAGTGAACCCTAATATGCCTATTGGAAGTCTCTGTCTCAGGGGAGGTGGTTCCCATCAGCCAAGGACAAGTCTTCTGCAAAGCTCACAGGTACAAGCTCTTAGAAGTGGTCCCTGCAGCAACTGGGTGCACCAGCAAGGAACAGGAATCTTGGTGGAGTGCCATTCTACTTCAGGGAGGATACATTTGGACAATGCTTTTATGGAGTGCTTGAAGAATGCTAGAGGAATAAACAGCATGGAATTAAATTTATTTTAGTTGCAAGTGAAGTTGATGGCCCTTCACAAGTTCCTCCTCAGTATATTGTCAGTTCTTGCAAAGCTCCTTTTAGTAACCATTTATTTGTTAGTATGGCAACATGATATGGTGATTTCAACTTTTTGGGCTTTAAAGTCAGAGACACCTGTTGAAATTCCAGCTCCCTACTTACCAGCTGAGCAACATTTGCACATGTAACTTAACTTCTGAGTTTTGAGTCCACATCTATATGATAAATATTATAATAACCACCTGAAAGATGTGTTGTGAAGATTAAAACTAAAATTGATATCATACACAGAAAGCAGATATATGTCACCTGTGAATACTAAACTCTTCTGTGCCAGACAGTGGGTTAAGCAATTTAAAATCATATGAGGCTAAATTCCCACAACAATTTTCTGAAGTAGATATTCAACCTGTTCTCTAATGTGGCAACTACGGTGCAGAAAGGTTAAGACATGTGCCCAGGGTCACCAGTCTGGGAAACAAAGGAGCTAATGTTTTTCTAAGTTTGTATCAGGAAGTAAAGACTGGTCATCATTCTATCCTTTGTAGAAAACAGCACAGTGAGATACTGTTCAGCTTCTGATAAATAGAATTCTAGAAGCTTTGTGACTTGGTTGTCACTCTGGAGGCGTGGGATCCTGCTCCGGGAATCTAAAATCATGAGTCAATGCTGCAGGCTTCCACCACCCTTTGGAATGCTGCAGTAAGAGAGATGAGAAGTGGGAATGTCTAGGATGCCAGGTGGGAGGGGCACTTGGCCATTGCATCTTGAATCCAATGTGTCCAGTGAGCCTCATGCTCTTCCCACCGCCTGCCAATCATGGTGGCTAAGGGAGGTGAGTAAATGGAATCCAGGGGAAAATGAGACTTCTCAACTTCATTTTTGTATGCCATAATCAGGATGCAAATCAAAGTCTCTGGGACTGAAAAGGTCATAAATGGAAAACCTGCTGCACCTCTGAGTTTTCATAGATTTCAATGATTTGGTCTAAATCCAGATATCGTCTCAAAACAATAAAAAGGCTGCTGAATGGTAACTGAGGAGGACTGCTAAACTCTCAGCGAGCTCCTTTGACGTTACCAGGGGCATTTAATTTTCATGTTCTTGCAGTAAATTTGAAAGCAAATTATAAAAGTAAGGCTCAGTTTTGGTAAGGCTCCAATTTATTTGCATGGGGCTTCTTCTAACTAGGCTTTGGGGGCTGCTGGCTAGTAAAGTTTAGATTTAAAGACCTTTGCCAAAGTGTCCAGTGTAAAAAGTTCCCGCATTTGTGGAATTTCCAAAGACATTTTGTTGTATGCTCCTAGGCCTCGTATTATCCACAGGTTTGGAAAGTGGGATGTGGTTGCTGGGAAGTAATATTTTTAAAGGGCAAGTGTGATAGGAATCAAATCACTTTGTCTAACGTATTTAGGGAAATCACATAGTGTCTGCTTCTACGTTAAAATTTAATTATTGCTTTAGTTTCACAATTTGCCTTTCAAGGGAAATTGAGGCCTGTAAGAGGTGTTCTGCATAGTAATTAGGATCTCCAGGTCTCAGTTTCTTCATCTAAAACATGGTGATAATAGATGAAGTAAATTTAATAATGCTTGTAAAGCCCTTAGTGACATTGGTGACATATATTATATATTAAGTACAGTCAGCCCTTTGAATCTGTGGATTCGAGCAACCACAGATTTAAAAAATTTGAAAAAAATACCAATAAAAAATAACAATACAACATATTAAAAATGCAAATTAAAAAATACACTATAACAACAATTTCCATAGCATTTACATTGTATTAGGTGTTATTAGTAATCTAGAGATGATTTAAAGTATAAAAGAGGATGTGCAGAAGTTATATGCAGATTTTGATATCTGTGGGGTCCTGGAACCAATCCCCCATAGATACAGAGGGATGCCTGTACTTATAATAGGAAGCTAATATAGCAATCATTAACAGGAAAAAAATCTTGCAGTTATAGGATGAACAAAAATTGTTTGCAATCCATGAGGCTGAGAAATAGAGCAATCTACAGGTTTTGACCCAGACATTATTTGGACTCTGGTGCATGATCAATGGCTTTGAATGAGGTTGCTTTTTTGAAGGAGGGAAGATGGATCTCCGTCTACTCTGAACTTCATTCGACACTGAAAAGGATGACGATCAGTGTCATGGTGTATCAGGGTTCCATTTTTACAAATGGTTGCACATATCCCTCATTTGAGAGTTCAAATGAGCAGTTTAGGAAGAGAAAATGAGTATCTATGTTTTTGAAGGCCAACCTGGGAACGCAAATCTGGAATTTGGGATCTCACTAGAAAGCCTGTGTTATTTAAATTTCCAAAATGAGCCCTTCTAATGTCACCTCAAGCTAATGTGTGGGTCTGTTTGAATAACAGCTTTGAGCAATTTCTTCCAACAGTGCCTACTAAGCAATCCAGGATAAAAGTATTGTTTTTCCATGAATGGTGGAATTGTCAGGAAGGCAACAAATTGCACCAGACTTTTGCTGGTGAAACAGAATTCAAGCATGTTTTTTTGTTGTTGTTGTTGTTTTTACTTTTTAAAAAAACCTTTGAGAGACTACTGATGTGAGAATACTATATGCTTGCTAGAGATTCTACAGATGACAACACACTATACTAGAATCTTGCCTTATTTTTCTCTTTCCACTAGCCCCATCAACCATCTCTCACCAGAAAGAATAGGTGAAGAGGTTGAGTTGTAGATCTCATTTCTCCTGTTTTGCTGCTTGTGAAGTCTGCCAACAGAATCCACCTTGACAAAGTCAAGGACTGTGCGTTTAATGTTGAACTGAGTGAATAAATTATGCATGAAATTGTGCCGGAGTCTCTAGTGTGCAGAATTGCTCCTTTTGATATGAAAGGTTAATTCAGAAAGGAGTCCAAAATAGCTGGAAATTGTGGGGATAAGTGGAGAGTATTCACTGTTGTGAGCTGTTATTACTAGAAATTGCATTCCCTCTCTGGCTTCCCCAGAGATTTCGCTTTGCCAGTGAATATAAACTGTACTCAATAGAATAGCATTTAGGAGTAACAAGAGTGTATGTCCACACACAATAAAATATTCTAATGGTGTTTTAAAGAGAAGTTGTCCTTTTTCATGTATATCATGCACCCCAAGGAAGAATTTCTATTGTATTTAGGTCAAGAACAAGGCATATCAAAAGTAATGAGTTTTGATCATATATGTGTTACAAGGGGCTGTTTGAGATTCCCATTTCAGAGCCAGGGCTGGTCCTGCCACTGATTAGTTATGCAAGCCTGGCTTTTGATAAAACCGAAAGCATCCTTGAGAAGGAACCACCCCAAATTGTTTTATCACTGCATCTCACGCATCCGTCTTTAATTTAATCTTCAGTAAATTTATGGAGTTCTTCAACCTGTTTCACTTAAATGTCCTTTTTACACACATCCTTATATCATTTTTACGTTAGTTCATTATTTCCAGCAGAAAAAAAATGTAGTTGGCCAGAAAGCTAAATTTTACTTAAAATACACGTACACATATTTTTGGAGCTTGTTAGAGACTCCTTTTTGTGTTTCTATCACAAGGGAACAGAATTGTGCCACCAGACTGTGGTAGTTGTTTATTTTTGTCGCTCTTATGTACATTTTCAGAAACCATCTCCTTAATCTCCACTGGGTACCAGTAGTTTTTTCTCTAATTATAAAGTGATATCATTTCTGACCTGGGGTAGTTTTTAATTTTAATTTCTGCTTTGTGTTTATAAACTGATAGACTACATTATCCTGTTGGGAACATTGGCAGAAAGACTTCAGTCTTTTGTGTTGGTTTTAACAATTAGATATTCATTCAATGTATTAAAATGTGTTTGGGGCCAACTAAAGATGCATTTTTGATGTAGATTTTTTTCCTTTCTGTGTTCCACTTATCTATATATTTTACATTAGCAATGAAGCTTTTAAAATTCTAGATTGGTGATGGTGAATAGCTGTAGTATTATTAAAAAAAATCTAACAAAAGTTAAAGTGAACAAAATTGATCCAATTACTCTTTTTTAGGTATTCCTTTTTTGTTTCAAAATGTTTATGCAGCAAAATATATATAAATCTTGGCATAGGGAAGATATTCCTACGAATTTTGGCAGATGCTGGGTTAAAATAAAGTAGTTATTGAAACACCAAGGTGCCTGTGGGGTTTTTTTTAAATGTGTTTTTTGTTACTTTATGGCATTACCAATGAGCATTTAGAATGACCAATCCTTAGCCCACTAATTAATGCCAAGTGTATTAAGTTTTTTGTTCTGCTGCCTGTGACTCATTAGTCTGAGCTCTGGATAGCAAATTGGCAAAATGGCCTCTTGTCACTGGAAAATCTTCCTAGTACACAATGAAAATATATTGCGCTTAGGGGGTAAAGGGGATGCAGATTTTTTTTTCAGGTGAATCTGGATGTTTTAGGCTGCTAAAGTTTGAGAAATAAGTCCCAAGACACTATGCAATGTGCTTAACATTCCGATGATTATAGTGGTATGTACCTAGGTAATGTTAGCTGCTGTGTACTTAAACATATTTTAAGCCAACCAGATATTCATTTTTGATGTAAGTTCAAATGCCTTCAACAGATCAAACTGAAAAATCATTAAATCAACTTTGTAGCACTGAGAACAGGTATCAAAGGCAGTGAAGATACGGATTGGTGTCTGGTTATAATTTACACAATGTGCAAGACAGACTAAGGAGTAGAAATTTTCCTATTACTGTGTAACACACACATGCACAAATAAAACAAAAACTGGAAGTTCTTCTAAGCAATATTTATTGTAGCATTGATATACTTACAATATATATTACATAAATAAAATGTAACTGTGTTTACATATAAAATCTATACTTCACATAAAAAGGAAATAATTGTAAATATTTTATATATTTTAAATGTTTTATATAATTTTAATTAAACTTTAAATAAAATACTTTAATTATATTAAAATATTACATAAAGTAAAATACTTTAATTAAAGTATTACATAAGGTAAAATACTTTAATTATATTAGAGTATTACATAAAGTAAAATACTTTAATTATATAATTAATTATATATATATAATTAATTATAATATATATTATAATTAATATATATAATTAATTATAATATATATTATAATTAATATATATAATTAATTATAATATATATTATAATTTATATATATTAATTATAATATATTATAATTTATATATATTAATTATAATATATTATAATTTATATATATCGTTAATTATAATATTAATTATAATATAATTAAAGTATTTTATTTAATATTATTTATTTAGTATGTTTTAAATATTTTACTTAAAAGTATGGTGACAGAATGTTGACTTTTACCCCAGACATTTTTGCAGGCAAAGAATCACCCATCGAAACAATTTAGAAGCAAATGGAGGATCTTTTCCATAAGTAATTAATACCTTTAAAAGCATGTTTGAAATAATTAGTTAAGCAAGAGAATCAATCTCTTTTAAAAGCTTCCAATTCACTAGAGGCTCATTCAGTAGCACACACCTGCTCACCAATAGTCCAATGCCCTGCCACCATTAATATATTTTTTTTTCATCCAACCCCCTTTTTCTTTGAGGGGAGGGAAAGTTGATATATATTTTCTTAAAAATATATTTGCTTCTTCCGCCCCCACTCCTTTACCCCAAGGTCCAAAAACATGATGCATTCATTTCTCACTCCAAAGTGAAGCGACTAGTGAATATTTAGAAGCTCGGGTTTTAAATTGCATATATTAAATGCACATAAAATGAATATATTGTTTGTGAAATATTAAACCAAGTAATTTTTTCCCAGTTGTTGAGCACAAATGTGGGCTTTTAATGCACATGTGTTACCTTGGGAAAATCTGGAGCTTTATTAGCTCTTCTTTAAATCATACAAATTATTCCTTTTAACTGTAAATGATCTCTTCTTTTGGTAAGTTTCCTTAACTAAAGATAACTTCACAAAAGCACATGTCAGCTAACGAGAAACGCAAGGAGAAAATAACTCTGTTCAGAGGTGATTTATCTTTTTAAGCATCACTCGGGGGCCATATAAAAGGCAATTTTTAAAATGCAAGTAATCTTTAGGAAAATATTATGAAAGGACACTGTTAGTATTCTGTTGTGTTGTATTAGCATCCATTTCTTGGGCAAGATGTTTCATTTTAACAATATCCTCCACTGCATGAAAATTAATTTATTTTCTTCTTTGGCACAACTCCATGCCTTTTTTTCTTTATCATCCCAGTGGATGAAACGATCTGAGTGAGCAACATATTTTTTTTGAAAGAACAAATGTATAAGTGAAGGTGACCAATGAAAATATTTAGTTAAAAAGGGAAAAGTGATTGATGCAGATCTTCCCGGTGAGCACTTTGGAGTCCTGCTGATTGGCTATAAGAAACAACCATCTACCCCAACTTTTGAGGGAAATCATTTTAATCCATGAATGCTGCATATTGATTTTGGAAGATTTGCAATGCGGTACATGTAATGGGTATTTTTGCAGCTGGTACCAAATGTATCCAAAATTAATATTTATTTTACATTATTCATTTTATTCTTGTACTTTCCAATTTTTAGGCATACAAATTAATACTTACCTTGAAATACTTTTGAAAATCAGTATTTTTATTACTTGGAAGCCTGGGAATCCTGTTTCTTTTGTTGTTTCACATTGCACTACTTTTCTATTGCTTTTGCAACAAACTACTGTAAACCCTGCAGTTTCAACAATACGTATTTATTATTGTACAGTTCTGGGGCTCACTGAGCAAAATCATGGTGTTGGCAGGGCTAAATTCCTTTCTGGAGGTCTAGGGGATAATTTATGTCTTTGCTTTTTCCTGCTTCTAGAAGTGGCCCACATTCTTTGTCTGGTGGCCCCTTCCTTTATCCTCAAAGTCAGCCCTGTTCATCCCTCTGGCTCCCTTCCATAGTCACATCTTTCTCTCCCTCTGACATCATCAGGGAAAGGCCTTGTTAAGGACTCATGTGACTAGGCTGGGCCCACCCAGGTAATCCAGGTTAATCTATGAGCTCAACATCCTTCACCTTTGTTACACCTGCGAATTCCCTTTTGGCAGGTGAGGTCACATACTCACAGGTTCCAGGGATTTGGATGTACCATTGTTCTGCTTACTGCTCACAGAAAGATAAAGAATGTTAACAGTAATAGCAGTTACTGTCATTTTTTAGTTGATGCCTCTTTTGGACCCCTTACAAAAGTGATAAAGTATGGTGCATAGTATGCACTAAGTATTTTTTGGGCTAACGAATGAATGAATTAAGGATAAAACTATTGCACAGGAACAAAAAAATATAGTAGATGCTCAGCAAATAGTAGGTATTATTATTATTATATAATTTCTCTCTCTCTCTCTTTTTTTTTTTTTGAGACAGAGTCTCGCTCTATCACCCAGGCTCCCAGGCTGGAGTATAACAGTGTGATCTCGGCTCACTGCAACCTCTGCCTCCTGGGTTCAAGCGATTCTCCTGCCTCAGCCTCCCGAGTAGCTGGAACTACAGGCACACACCTCCATGCACAGCTAATTTTTGTATTTTTAGTAGAGACGGGGTTTCACCATGTTGTCTGGCTGGTCTCGAACTCCTAATCTCGTGATCTGCCCACCTTGGCCTCTCAAAGTGCCGGGATTATAGGCATGAGCCATATAATTTCTCAAGTATCTTCAAATTGTGCCAGATGTGTGTGTCTTTTTCCATTTGTGATACTATAGAAAAACACCTGAGACTGGTTGGCTTACAAAGAACAGTTCTGGAGCTTGGAAGTCCAAGATCAAGGTGCCTGCTTCTTGTTTAGACCTTCTTACTGTGTCTTTGCATGGCAGAAAGCGGAAGGGCAAGAGAGCGTGAATGTTGAGTCACCACATGGATGAAGAGCAGAAGAGAGTTGATCTGCTCTTGCAAACCATTTTTTATAGTGGCATTAATCTATTTATGGGGAGTGGAGCCCTCATGACCTAAACTCTTTCCATTGGGCACCACCTCCCCACACTGTTGTATTGGGGATTAAGTTTTCAACACATGGATTTTGAGGGACATATTCAAATCATAGCAATGATTTGAATAGCAAAAATACCACTCAGGTAATTAAAAGACACATTTTGGTTAAGAGTTTAGACTCTGGATTTATTCATTCATTTTTTTTTACACATTCCACAATTCCCTATTACTAAATACGTACTGTGCTACCGGCTGTGAATACAATGATGAGCAGAACAGATGTGCTCTCTTGCCTCATGATGCTTTCAATCTAGTGGAAAGGGCAAACTATTAGGTAAATAAACAAATTAAGGTTCATATCCTGGTGCCATAACTTACCAGCTGTGTTATGTGATTCTGGGCAGATGACTTAACCTCTCTGAAACTTGATTTCCTCATCTGTAGCTGAGGTTAATAGGACTTACCTTGAGAGGTTTTTATAAAGATTAAATTACTTATTACACATAAATTTTTATTACAATCCTTGGCACATAAGAATCATTTTTAAGTAACTTTTAAAAATGATCATTATTAGGCACCTAAAGAAAGCTTGACTCTATTTTTGATGAGGAAGTTTCATCCTTTATAGGGACAACACCAAATATCAATATAAACTTTAAGAGGGTAAAACTGTATCCTAACTTTCTCTCACTGATTGCTCATGCTAAATTTTCAAGAAAATACTATTACTACTACTATTGCTACTATACCTATAACTATTAATATTATTACAATACTTACCTTTACTAACTTCTTCTTATGTGTCAGACACTATTCTAATCACTATGTCTGCATTATATTATTTAATGCAGATCACAGCCCTGTAGTGTGAATTGGTCGCTCTTATAGAACTCACTTCACAGCTAAGAAATTTGAGAGAAGACGGTTAAACCCTACATCTACAACAGGAGAGTGACAGAGCCAGGATTCCTACTCAGGCAGTCTGACTCAGGTGTCAACCATTCTTTGGAAGGCGGCAGGATTTGGGATAATTTTCCAATGAGGCAAATTGCATGGTGTAGGATGGTGTGAAAACAGAAGAGGACTATAGCACTGAGAATTTCATTTTGCTCTGTATTTTCTAAGATAAAAGATCAAAGAGACATAACTCCTAAGATAAAAGAGACATAACTCATTTGTTCATATATTTATTCTTTGATCAAACATTTACTGCATACCTACCAGGTAGTGGGTACTGTTAGAGGTGATTAAATTTGTGTCCTCAAGGAGCTCTTAGTACATTGTCGGGACAAGTAGTCACCATGGAGTTTGCTGCCTGTCTTAATAGAGGTCTGTGCATATGATGCTTAGGAAACTTCAGTACATCTCACCTAGCATTCTCACCAGCCTTTTCCTGGGTGGCCAGGAAAGGCTACCCAGAGGAAATATGTCATGAGGAACAATTCATTTGCTTACTAAAATCTTAGAAAATTACTTACTGGCAAGATATGTGGATATGTACATAAATGCATATCACAATGATTAATGATACAGGCTTTGGAGTTAAAACTGGCTGCTTTCAAACCTTGCCATTGCCATTTATGAACCTTTGACCTTATACCCTTTAAGTCTTAAGAATATCTCTTTCTTTAGGTTGAGGTGAAGACTACAGGTAGAGATCTTGGTACCATGTCTGGTGTGTGGTAAATGGCCAAAGCCCATTAATGTTTATTATCATCATTATTGTTGTCACTAGCATCATCATCACCATCATCATCATCATTATCATTATAATTCTTTTAGAAATAATTCTCAAACAACATGACAGGAAATGAGGGATTTTTTGTTGCTGTTGCTGAATTATTAAGAAACAGTACGTTGGTCTTAATTTTTAAAGCTGGAAAAATTTCAGTCACTTTATAAGTCCCTGTGATCTCATAGAAATATATATTACTGGAATTGATGTGTGGAAAGAGCACAGTTTGTTTTTACCCCAGCTGAAAACGTGCAATGACATAATGTAACCCTTTAAGATAACAGAAGCCAGCTGCCCCATTCACATTTAAATATGAGTCACCTTCCAGGGAGACTTGCAAGATTCTATGTGCCAAGCTGGAAAAGTAAAAAATTGCCAGCAAGGAGGGAAAGAATAAATTCACAATTGGAAGGAGGTATTACAAGCTAAAGGCCCCACCTAGCCAATTCCCTCTCAGAGCAGAAAGTGGCATGCTAGTGGCCAGAGAGAAGAACTGCCCCACCGTGGCATTGTGATCTATATTACTGAAACACAGAGGCCTTGTCACATTTAGAAAATTCTTTCTACTCGATTAAAAATATTTTGCGTTCTGTGTAAATGGCACATTTGCTCAGGTACAAACACAGTCTGCTGCAATGAATTTCTGAAAAACGCAATATAGTTATTTATGAATTCCTCCATCTCACAACCCCACCCAGGACCTTGGCATTGGGTTGGCCAGCCACTTCCAATGTCTTCCAGTACAGCAGAGCAGCTCTCAGAAGAAAACCGAAGGCTATAGGGACAAGAAAAGACAGGCTTGAAATTTCAAATGATGTCTTTGTGAGTGTTTGCTGAGAACCTATCAGAAAGAAGAGACCTGTATGTGGTGCTTGGGACCAACATTTTAAAAATTAATTACATATGTTAATTGACTTGACACATAGGCAATTAGAAGAAGTTAAAGGTTAGTTTAAAGGAATGACAGACTGCTAATTAGGATTCCCCTCATGGTTGAATCAGATTTGCTATGGATCTGTCTTGGTCAACTTTCACCTGAATGATAATTCAGTGATCAATGATCAGTTGGTTGACTCGAAATCCAGAAGTCACTTTAATTTTGGCAGTTTGGAGAGGCGGAGGCATAGACTAATCCATGTGCCTGGAAGAAGTCATGCTCACCAGGCACAGCAGTGGGTGCTGTTTTCAAGAATAGAGGCAGACTGGCTGGGTGCAATGGCTCACACCTGTAATCGCAACACTTTGGGAGGCTGAGGCCAGCGGATCACTTGAGGTCAGGAGTTCAAGACCAGCCTGGCCAACATGACAAAACCCCATCTCTACTAAAAATACAAAAATTAGCCAGGCATGGTGGCACACACCTGTAATCCCAGCTACTTGGGAGGCAGAGGCAGGAGATTGCTTGAACCCAGGAGATGGAGGTTGGAGTGAGCCAAGATTGCACCACTGCCCTCCAGCCTGGGCCACAGAGTGATACTCCATCTCAAAAAAAAAAAAAAAAAAAAAAAAAAGAAAAAAAAAGAATACAGCAGATTGTTAGAGAAGGTAAAATGGGAAGTATAAAGGTGAACTTGAATTTGGCTTTTCAAGAAAATCTTTTGGAGGACAACTTGATAATATGAATCCTACACTTTGACTTCTAATTTTATTTCTACCAATTAAACAACATAGTTCAAGATGTACATAAGGATTTAACAGGGAAGATGTTCAGAGTAGCATTGTTTAATGAAAGATTGGAAATCATATATAAATATTTATTAGGTTGGTGCAAAAAGTAAGTGCGGTTTTTGCCATTCTAATGGCAAAAACCACAATTACTTTTTGCACCAACCTAATAGAATAGGGGATTGATAAATAAATTATAAACATCCATACAATGAAATATTTCTGTGCTGTTAAAAGGGTTGTTTAGCGTTATATTTATGGACACACGAAGATGGGATCTATTTATTGCTATGTGAAAATAAGGTGGTAGATCTGATTTTGGTTATGATTTTATATAACTAGCATCTTTTTGTACAATGTTATTTAGGTTAAAAAATTGTAGAGTGTCTCATTAGATCTCTTTCCATTTCTATTAACTTAATAAATTTATGTTGGTGGAGTTCTGACATTTAATTTCTTAGCTTTGTAAAAAGTAATATTTAATTTTATTAAAGAGAATTCAGGCTGGTGCAGTGGCTCATGCATTTAATCCCAGCACTTTGGAAGGCTAAGGCAGGAAAATCACTTGAACTCAGGAGTTCAAGACCAGGCTGGGCAACGTGGAGAGACTGTGTCTTTAGAAAAAAATTAAAAAGTAACCAGGCATGGTGGCATGTGCCTATAGTCCCAGCTACTCAAGAGGCTGAGGTGAGAGGATCATTTGAGCCCTAGAGTTTGAGGCTGCAGTGAGCTGTGATTGCACCACTGCATGCCAGCCTGGGCAATACAGCGAGGACCTGTCTCAAAAACAAATAAATAAATAATAAAAAAGAGAGAGAATTTAAAATATATAACCTATTTATTTTCTTAACTCTGTAACTACTTATTCACAAAAAAAGCAAAAATAAAGTATTACCCACAAGAATATTCCCACTTTGACAATGTCCCCAGAATAATCACAGTCTCTCACATACTCTATGTGGCCAGTCTAATATCAGTGTGACCCCACTGCAGTGTCAAAAAATATATTTTGCAGGAGTAAATGACGGAGGAGCACTCCCAATCTCCTTGAGCAAAAGCCACCTCATCTCTTCTCTCCCCTGTTACCTCAGCAGCTTCCTGCAATCATAGAAAAAAATGGGAGAGTAACACATTGTCCACTAGATATATGTGAAGAAGCACTTTATAATTTCAGCATTAAATTTTATTTGTACACTGCATGTATGCTACTAAAATAGTAGCAAAAATTGGTCAAATGTGAGATTTGGGGAATGCCATTCCACCTAACATTTGGTGGTGGTAAGTGGAATTCTGGCATTAATGTTATGTAACATATGCATATTTGCATGTATGTTTAAATCAAGGTTTCTCAGTCTTGGCATGATTGACATGTTGGGCTGAATAATTCTTCATTGTGAGGGGGTGTTCTGTGCATTGTAGGACGTGTAGCACCTGTGAACAACCAAAAATGCCTCCAGAAATTGCCAAATGTCACCTAGGAGTTAGAGGTTGGGAGAATGTAGGGACAAAATTGCCCTCATTTGAGAAGCACTGGCTTAGATTGATATATATGTATTCCAACGTTAATGCGTATTATTTCAGGGTGGCAAGAACGTGAATGATGTCCCCTTTTCTTTCTGCTTCTCTTGTTCTACTTTATACATCTTGACTTGTGTTTCTTGTATATTAAAGAAAAAAGTCAAAAGACAAAAAATGCGTAATAAGCCTATCAGTGCTCTGAAAAGCAGAGCATACAGTGCTGTCACTCATGGTCCTTGCAGTTGCATAGTGCTTTGGAATTTGCAGTTCCCTTCACATATGCTTATCATCCTTTTGGAGCATTCATATCCTGGGAAATAGGTGGATATGGATTATTACTTTTCTTCTTTACAGGGAGAAATGCTGAAGTCTAGATCAAAGTCATTGTAGTGGTTAAATAGCAGAAGTTGCACTAGAGCTGCAGCTTCTTGACTCTTGAATTACATTAACCACTGCTCACTGATAGGGAGCCTGTAGCCTTTTCCATGCATTACATGTAGGCATGGCTCTGAGCTGTGTTTGCCCTAGGGGCTTGTGTGCATATCACTGTGATCATGAAGACTTGTCAATGGGGCAATTGAACTAACACATAGAAAAGAGATCAGAAAGGCAAGGCATTCCCCTGTTAAAGATGAGAGCCACTAGTGGTGAGGTCTCAGATGGGTGACTCATTTCCTTGACTGAGCTCCCACATAGAGTCCCAAGCCATTCTGAGGTTTTCAACACACAAGGAGACTGACACGTGCTAATTTTGTAAGATACTGTCTGTGAAATATTTTATGCACTCAGTTTTTCTGTCCTGGATGCATATATATTTTGAGGAATTTTAATGGAATTAGTTCAGTTAATTCCCAGGGAAACAGACCCTTCCAGGTTTCCCATTATACTACATATCTGGGGGTCTTTCTTTTTTTCACTGGTGCATTTCCTATGGAACTATTAACACTGCTGGGAATTATGCATGTGCATTGACAGGTGGATATACCCACATGTTGGGAATTTAATTTCTCAGTCTATGTATGTCTTGGATAAGGTACAGTAATTATTATTATCCATTAATACTAGAATGCACAAAAATACTCTGAGAAGTAAATATTTAATATTTCACACTCATTGCCTTTTTTTTAAATTTACTGTGTGCATAACAAGCAAATTGTACACTTTGTCTTCCTGCAGTCTTAAAATTAAGCTCTTTTACTTTTGAATAACAACTGGTTGGCAAACACTTACCATTTAATTTTCTTACGTTGAGTATGAAGCATTCCAGCATATCTGCAAAGTAGTCAACATATAGATATAGGTGAGTGTAAGAAATCTTGCTTTAGATTTTAATTTTAGTTTTAATTTTAAGAGCATTAATATCTTGCCCCAGTGACTACACTTTTAATTTAACCTGCTGTACTCGCATTCTCACATTTCAAAACTGACAAGTGAATGGGGAGGGAGGGAAGGCTTTATGTAGTGTTGAACTTGGCATAACTCCTTTAAAAGCAGTAATACCCATCTCTGGATCTTGGAATGCACAGCAAGGAAGAGAGCCCAGCACATAATTTGGTTCTCCAAATAATTCCTGAACTAATCAAAGAAATCTGTACCTCATAACGCCTCCATTCCTCCTCTTGGATCCTGTGTCTGTTGACTTTGCATCCTCTCTTGTTCGGTCCTTGGTTTGACCTTCAAATCTGACCATTTGTCTTTAGGGTTGTGACATTCTTTTCTATCTGTGACTTACTCAAGTCTAGCAGGCTAAACTTGACCATGGTCACCATGTATAACATTAACCCCCAAAGTTAAAGGATGAGTTTCTATCATCCAAAATTCCTCTTAGCTTAGATTCAGCATTGCAAACTCTGTTCTGTCCAAGAGCCAGGCAGGCAATGTTGACTGGTGGAGCGGGCAGTGGGCAGGACAACATGGAGTGATGAGGACTGTGGTCAGCTAGAAAAAGTTCGGGACTAATCTCAACAGGGAAGTAGCTGCTTCATCCCTGCTCAATGTTGCTATTTAGAAATGTGTACCTAGACTTGCCAGATCTTTTTAATTTTTCAGGAGAAGTCAGAAATTTAGACTTCTGGCTGAAATATCTTGATTTTCAAATGTAGCATAAAATTTCTAATTTTTAAAAACACCATGCATATCAATTACAGAAATTTGAAATGCTATTTGATGATGTCAAGGAATTATTATTAAATTTTGGTGTGATCTTGATCTTGAAACTGTAGTTGTTTTTTTAAATGTCCTTATATTTTAGAAATATTAACTGCAATCTTAACAGATGACTGATGCAACATTTGAGATTTGCTTCAAAATGATCCAAGGGTTGGGGTGAAGAAGAGGATATAAATGAAACAAACAAGGCTGGCCAATAGGTTGATAATTATCAAAGCTGGATGATGGAGGAATATATACATATTTAAATTTGTATATGTTTGAAGTTTCCATAATAAAGAATTTTAAAAAACCATGGCCACAGGCCAGATTTGACTTCAAGCTACTAGAGTTGTCTCTGATCCATGAATTTGTCTATACACATCCCAATCTACTTATATTTTTAATCTGTACTATATTTGGTTGTAGTATTTTTAAAAGTTTATCATAAATGTACCACTCTAAGGCTATGAGAGCTGTCCCTTATTTCACAATTCGTGAACTTTTTTGAACAAGTGCATGTTCATCCCATTTACTTTGTACATTTTTAAACCTCCAATGATATTTCCCCTGAGCTTTCATCCTTCCGGAAGAATTTATTATTCTCTCCTTATATAAAAGTTCTCAAATTTATCGACATGCATTTCAGAGGCTTTCCGTTGAACTTATCTTATGTGACCCATTGTGTCTTTTCTAAGGCATGTGGAATTTTGCATAAATTCTAAATAATGTGTTGTTGTATGTTGGAAAAAGGAGAGATTAATTTCCCTTTCAATTATTGTCACCTTGTTACCTATTTCTCCTTCCTTTTCTTTCAGGATCTGAACCATCCTATTTATTCCTTCCTCTTTGGACTTTGAGCTCTTTGAGGACAATTGTAGTGTGCCATCTTAGTGCCTAGCCAATACCTACCTCATAAATAGCCTTTCATTTACTCAGAGATATTTATGAAGCCCCTTACTTCTTCCCACTCCTTCAACTCCACTCCTTTCTTGCCAAAAGTGTTGTCTCACTCTCTGAAAGAAGAGAGCAATATTTCAGTGATCCTTTGGGCAATTTCTGTTTTCTTTCCAGGATCACTGCAGACTGAGCCAGAGCCCCATTTATAGATTAATCTTGACACCTTTCTTTCTTTCCCATTCTTTTCCTTCTTGTCACACCTCAAAGTTAGAGACAAAGGGCTTCTTGGAATTCCTTTTGATTTTTACTAATCTCAAATTTGATAGCCATCACCATGTGATTGTCCATCTGGCCTTCCTTTGCTCCTTTATTCAACAAAGATTTACTGGGCACATATTATGTGTCAGTCACTATGTGTCTATTATCAAGGATCTCTTGGTAAACAAAACAGACAAAAAGTCTTTTCATAAATAAATGAAGAGGATGAGTAAGAGGATTTCAACAACAGAAGGAAAGACTTACGAGCTTCTTAAGAACTGTATCTGTTCATCAACCGTTCGGCTACCTTTCAGGTTTTCTAGTTTTGTTTTCTTTTTGTACATAGTTATTTAGAAACAACCTGTCCCCTTTTCCAATTTTCATGACCCATTTAATGTTTTACATATTGTTTCTCTCTCTCTCTCTCTCTCCCCCTCTCTTCACTAAAGCTTTTCTTGGAAATACACTATCGAGGTGGAAAGTGATTTAACAAAGTAAAGTTAAATAATATTAAAACTCATAGTGTATCTATTAAAATGTTTATATTTCACATCTAACACTTCTTATTACATGTTAAAATACAGTGGTATTTAAATTAACAAAAGATTCTTACTCATGCTACAAGATAAACAGCCCTAATCCAGATACTCTTTCCACTGTATTAGGCAGTGTTCAGTCCTTATCAGTTGCATATATTTTTCCTATGACAGGAGGCCATATTTTGATGCCAAAGTTAAGTAGTGCTATATTGAAAAAAAGCCTAATCTATATAAATGAACTAGTTTAAAAATATGACGGCATTTAGTCAACTAATCAGCTATGAAAATAGCTGCAACCAGAGAAAACATTTATCTGTAGGAAGTATCTAATCTATTTGTGTCCCAAAGAAGGCAGGCAGGAATGTATGGATGTGATAGTTAGCCAAAGAGACTGTGCAAAGAGAAAAAGAAATAGTTTCTTAATACTCCTACTAAATTACATTCAGAGCACTTCCTTTCTATTACTTTGTCACCACATGACCTTGCCCAATTTTAGTCAAGTCAGAATGCAAAATAAGTTTCGTGGATAATTTTGTTATTGGGGAAAGGGGGTTAAAAATGATATTCTTTAAATATGCCCTTCTTTTCTATCTTACCCCCTTCCCTCTCTACTTTTGAATGCGTATCTTCTTTTGAAAGTTACCAGATCTTCAAAGGGTACAGTATTTTTAATTCATTTTAAAAGAATGTTTCTATATACATTTTTTAAATTTTGGATTATTCTCGTGGGACTAACACAACACTGAAAATTTGGCATCTGCAAGCATAATTCAATGAAGAATTGTCTTTGCCTTGTTTGAGGACATTTAGTTTTGAAATAACAGCATTAGAATCTTTTGAAAATAACAGAACATGAACAGAAAATTATTTCCCTTGGAAAAAACTGTAGCTAATTTTTCCTTTGGCTGATTTGCTGCTGAAATCACACATTCGTATAAATGCCAAGCTATACATATGCATATACATATGTATATGGATGAGTGTGTGTGTGTGTGTGTGTGTGTAAAATTCCACTCTACAATCATGCTATAAATTGGAGAATTTGTCTTTTTAAACTAACACTCATTCATATACAGGTCAGGAAGTATTGCAGAATGTTGGTGTTGCTAACACATTTCATCCAAGATTTCAATTAATCAAGTTTTACAATTCCCCCATGCAGTGGGCAAACACTGTCATTTTCTCAGCTTTATTAATGGGAAATTTGAGTGGAAAATCCTGTTCCAGGTCAAACAAAATCCAGGTCCTCAGAGCCAAAGAGAAAGGGAAACTTGAGATATCTATTTGATATTTCAGTTGAAAACAAGTATTTGTTGAGTGAATGAAATATACCTATTAACAAAAAAGGTTTTGGGATCTGAATTAGTCAAAATATCTCTTCATTTTTTTCCTTTTGAGAAGAACGCCATCTAAACTGTGAATTTAACTGAACTTCATTCAGCCTCAAGAAAGTTGATGAGGAAGAACCAGATACACATACATAAATGTAGGCAGTTGAGGCTTGCATTGCACAGGGGTTGCAAGTGAGACAGAGGTAAACAGTTCTCACAATCCAGTTTGCTGAATGCAAAAGGATCCTGCCATCATGAATTAGAATGGGCACTGACCTCCTTAGCATAAAGCTGCATTTCTGCTTGACTTTACTTTGAACCTGCAGTTAAAAGTTTGTCTTAGTTTGGATGCGGTAAAAGTTCCAGCTGATTCAGAACAGATTTGGGTATTCCAGACAGAATCACCAGATCTAACAAAAAGGTCTTCTAAAAATTCAAAGGGGTTTCATGAAGCTATGGGGAAAATTTCAGGTTTATATACTTTGAAGTATAATGTATGTCCTGGACCCAGTTCTAGTCTCAGTCCATAAAAACCCTGTGCTGGCTTTGTAGCCACAGTACTGAGGAGAAGTAAGAATTTTGTTTAGATGGATGTTGGGCAATTGATACCATTCTCATTTAACTTGCTGATAATTGCAGTTATAAAATGGGTCAGCCCCAGCAACCATTCTTGTCCAAAGTTCTTTTATAATTACATTGTCTTGTTTGTTCCTCTATAATAGGAGGCCTGCAATTGATCACTTGCTACTTACCAGTGACTGTATATACCATCATATAAATCTCAAAATAGATAGGTTCTATTCTAATTTTACAGTTTAACAAATCAAGTCAGAGAGATTAAATAATTGACTAAGGACACACAGCTACCATGAAGTGGAATTCAGATTTGTATCTAGTTTGTAGGATCCCAAGCCCTAAGCCTATAGGAACTATCACTACTCTTGTCAGCGGGAAGGTATTAATATACCCGTTTTATAGGTTGAGGAAATCAGGGAGGCTAGTTGACCTGTTTAAGTTCATAAGAAGTTAGTTCCAGAGCCTGGGCTATATCTGGTCTCTATTTTTTCTAACAAGGAGCTCGTTCTACCAGACCCCAGACTTGTAGGATGATAGAAGTATGTGCTGGCTAGAAGAGCTTTATATGTATTATTTGTAAAGTGACATGTTTATTGTAAAATAAATAATAATTCAACCTAAATCAATAGAAATTTAATTTTAAATCAGAGGACGAGAACATTAGGTAAGCATTTTAGATAGAGATCATAAATTCAAAATTTAGTTCCTGTAGTAGCCAGGGTTATTCAGATAAAAAGAACCAATGGGATATATAGATATATAGAAGGAGATTGATATGAGAGATTGGCTTACACAATTATGGGAGTTGAGAATTCCCATGATCTGCCATCTGCAAGATGAAGGCCCAGGAAAGCTGATAGTGTAGTTCTAGCCCAATCCCCAAAGACAGAGAACCAGGGGGAACTAATCATGTAAGTCCCAATCTGAGTTCAAACACCTGAAAGTCAGGAGCACTGGTGTTTGGAAGTGGGAGAAGATAAATATAGTGGCTTGAAAAGAGAGAGCAAATTTATCCTTTTGTTCTATTCAGGCCCTCAGTGGATTGGATGAGTCTGTCCACATTGGTGAGGACAGTCTGATTCAAATGCTAATCTCATCTGGAAACACACTCACAGACACACCAGAAATAATATTTTACCAGCTATCTGAGCATCCCTTAGCCCAGTCAACTTGACACATAAAATTAACCCCCCCAGTTGGCAAGTTAAATTGGCTATGGGGGACTTTCTAGCTGTTTTAGTGAATGACACCAGCATTTATTCATTTGTCTTACAAATATTTAGAATCATGTACTAAATGTTCACTGTTAAGGGTAATAATAAAAAGTTGAAGAAGACAGACTGTCTTGAAGATCCTGAGTGTTATTGGTGATAAAGATCTGATATACAGGAATCATGGATAACAAAAATCTATGAAGTGCTGTAGAATGTATGAAAAAAGAAAGACCTTTGTCAGTTGATGTTAGTGAAGGACTCTTCAGGGAGATTGTTGATCTTGAGCTATGTCTTAAAGGAAGAAGAAAATTGGGATTTGTTGAGAATTAGATGCAGGAGAATCACTCTGTTAGTGCAAGACTTACTTATTGCTGGAATATTGAGTGCCCACTTCATGCCAGGCACTGTGCTAGTTGCTGGGGACGTGGCTATGACAAGGACAGAATACATTCCCTTATGGAGTGTTTGGCCTAGAGGGAAACCAACAGTTAAACAAGGAATTATTATAAAGTCTGTGCTGTGAGAGCTTGGAGAAGGGGAACTTGACCAGCAGGAGAGTCTGGGAGGCAAAACCTCCCAGGGGAAGTGCTATTTTCTCTAATAAATATGAAAAAGTCAAAAGATGCACTGACTATGGTCATAGGCACTATAATTCATATACAATAACTTTTAGTCAGGAACCAATTTTTATTTTCCTCTGCCATTCCACCATTTCTGAGCAAACTTTTCTGCTATCTATTGATAGATACTTAGGCTTCAAATTAATTTGAAGGTTATCCTGGGGAAAATATTATGATGGCTTATTATTTCCATCACCTCCTATTTGCTGTCACAACTTGGGGGGAGATGCTACTGGCATCTGGTAGGCAGAGGCCAGGGATGCTGTTAAACATCCTACAATGCACAGGACAGTCCCCACAGCAAAGAATGATCTGGCCCAACATGTCAATAGTGCTTCAGTACCCTGATCTAGACATAGAAAAACTTGGACTGAGTTTGGGAATCTGAGCAGTCCATATTAGCAAAGCTTAGAATATGTACATATGAAAGGGAATAATGGGTTAGACAGGCCATACTGTAGAGGGTCATGGATGTAGGTCAGTGGAAGTCTGTACTTAAGTAGTGGAGAAAAGATGAGAGGAAGAGGGAGTGAGTGGGAGTGGAAAATTATCTGGATATTTTAGATTGGAAGTCGTGAGAGCTTAAACTGGAGACGATGCCAATGAAAATGGAGGAAAAAGGATGTATGCCAAGATGCAGACATCCATGCATAAAAGGATGTATATCCTGACTTCAGGAGGAGAGGGAAGGCCATTCCAAAGGTGGTAGCTTTGGCAGTGGTGCTGCCATTCATGAGTAATAGACAAGGCAGGAAGAGGGATTTGGGGGAGAAAAATGAATTTGGGTTTGCGTGTGTTGTGGTTGAGATACCGACAGGACCTCCAGTTGGGACTGCCTAGCAGGCGAATGCAACTGTGAGTCAGGAGCTCAGAGCCATGACCAAGTCTAGGGACCATGCTAACATCTTTGTTCTAAGCCAGAGGTCCTAAATTGGCAACCTGTGGGCCCCATCTGGACTACAGATGTGTTTTGTTTGGCCTGCGTAATGTTTAAAAAATCTTTAAGATTTGTAACAACATACACATCGAGAGACTGCATATAAAAACCCATCTTTTCTGCTTGTCTTGAAATATCAGAGCATCTGGCAATTCTGGGTTCTCGTTTCTGCATGGGCAAAGCCTGAGCTGAGGCTTGGCTGCCCACTTTCCACAGGGCATGATGTCTCCAGTTTGCCTCAATCCCCACCATGCCCTGTTAAATGTCACCTGGCCAGCCCACCTCCCAAGTTTACTTTACCTGCCTAAAATTTGCGTTTGCAACGCCTGGGTTAGGTTATGACTGTATCAGATGCTAGCTCCCTCCGCATCTACCCACGGCTACATTCATTCCCCTTGTGTCTCCTCAAGTGTGCCTTATGCCTTCAGCATCTCTGGTTACCCTCTCAGGGTTTTCTTTTGCTGTAGATATGCACAGGTCTCTTGTCACTTGCAACAGCTTCACTTGATTCTGCCATCTCCCAAGTTCTTTTTTCCTTTGACTCATTCATTTTGTTGAATGAATAAATGATTCTATGTGTAAACAAACCAGCTGCTTACACTTATGTCTTTGGAACCCCCAGACTCCCATTCGTTCTCTGCAGTATTTTTGATCCCTGGCCTTAGTCTTCACCATTCTACAGGCAAACCCTCCACAGTGATCATCCAGCAGCCAAGTGCGTTGGTTTTTTCTTCTCTCTAAGCACATTGCAACCCCATAGTCTGTGTGCCACTGTTTCCTCTGCCCATGGTGCTGAGACACCCGCATGGCCCGTTTCCCCACTTCATTCATGCCCATACAAATAATAATATCGGCATGTTAAGGAGGCCTCTCCTGACCCCACTGTCTAAGAAGGCCCCTCTCCCCATGGCATGCTCTTTCTCCTTGCCCTGTTTTATTTTCTTCACAACATCTGCCACCACCTGACATTATATTAAGTAGAACCACATGAGAATGCACATTTTGTAGGTCAAAACCGGACAAATACTGGCAATTTCTTGTGGTTTGATTTAACATATTAATTTGCTCATTTTCTATCCTCTCCTCCTTAAAATGTAAGCTCATTGAGGACAGACTCTGGTTTGCTCACTGTTCTATCCTCAGGCCCCAGAACAGTAGCAGGCACATAGTGGATGCTCAGTACATATTTGTCAGACACAAACATTTTGAGATGCTCTTCATGATCTTTCTGTAGCAGTCACCAATAACCATAATCTCTTTGATATTGCACTGCTCTTCTGTCATTGTGACTTTTATCCTCCCTCTAATGTCTCCTCTCTGCCCATTCTCTGGCTTCTCACATCACTCCTTTCCAAAGGGGAATGTCCCAAAACGTTCAGGCCTGGCTGGCTGTTTCGCTCTGCCATTTCTTGCCTCCTCTGAAAGTCAGTCGTCCTCATGTGTTCATCTCTGAGTTTGGTGTAAATGACTTCCACATCTGTACCTGCAGCCGTGAGCTCAGTCCAAAGTGAGCAGTTAGTATTGGCATCAGTTGCATATTGGACATTCTATTTTGGGTTGCCCATATCTTCAGAAATACAGTATTCCAAAAATTTACATCTTCCTTTATTTTTGAAAATGTTGACTTCATCACCTGGTGTCCCTTCTGCCCTTCACTACAAAACTGAAGCACTTGGGAAGTTCTTTGTCTCCTGCTTTGTCTGCAGGGACCCTCTTCCTTCTGTCACCAGCCCCCCCCACCCCCGCCGCATTGACTTTCCTTGAAATGCTTCTCACATTGGTCCCTTTCTTTTCTTTCTCTTGACAAATATCTTGATTAATGCTAGAGCCTTTTATCTCACTGCTTCGTACCTTTTCCCTCAACCCTGCACATTGAGAACAGATTAACTTTTGTATAATATTTGAATAGGTTCATTATTCTACACCAAATATATCTTTAGACCCACCTGCAACTTTGTGAATATTTTGGTCTTTTTCCAGCCTGCTTTTCAAATCCCATTTCCTGTGATGCCTTCTGAACCGCTTAGCTCTCCAACCCCATTGGATTCCTTGCTCTTGCTTGAAGATGCAGCACATATTCCCAGTGGCAGCAGCCCTAGGTGTTCTGGGAGGCTAGCCCTTCTTGAGATCCCCATCAGCTTCTCTTCTTTTAGGTAGGATCCGTGTGCCTCCTCTGCAAACATAGCTGCAAAGAATTACATCTTTGAGCAGCCCTTCCCCCGCAAACAGATTTTCATCTGAAGTCCCTCCTACAGAGAAATTCTAGAGCTGCCACTGCATATCCCTGTCTCCATCTTTGCTGACTTTGTTTCCTTCCCCCAGAAACTCCTTTCTGTGAATCAAATCCTTATCACAGGAGACAGTACAGGAGAGTGGTTCAGAGCATGAGTTATGGTGTCCAGGTAACTGGAGCTTGAGTCTTAACCTTTTACACTCCCTTGCTGGGTTACCCATCAGCAAAATTCAGCTGTTTAATGAAGGCAATATTTGTAAAGGGCTTAGCACAGTGCCTGGCATATCTTAAGTATCATTAGCATCAGCATCATCATTCTTCATCATAATTTAAGGGCCACTGTCTACAGTAAATCTTTTCCTACAAGGTCAGTCCTCAGATCTCACCTCCTAATTCCTATTGCACTTCTTGTCTGGGCTATTCAGAATACATCCACTTTACATTTCATGATTATATGACTAGGTTGTAAGCTCTCAGAGGGCTGGAACCATGTCTTACCCTTCTGTGGGTCCAGTTCTAAGTGCCAGATCTATACATGGCTTTCCACAAATATCTGTGGGATAAAAAATTATTTGAGACTGTGAATGAAGCACAAAGCTGTATTAAAACAGAGTTCCAGTGCCTTGTCATTTAATCAGAAGGAAAATGCCCTGTGTTTCTGTCTATTGTGCTGTCTTAAAATAGGAATAATGAAATATACCAAGTACGTACTAATTTGGCAGTCATTCTCAGAAATCTGGGACTTTACACTTTAATTAAGCACTTGTAGTTAAGCGTTTGGCCAGAAGATGGTGCAGTGTTCAAGGGATCCTTCTCTCTCAAAGTCAAAACTGATTTTCAAGGAATAATATTGCAATCCGACCAAGTCTATAAAGAAATGGGAGAAAGTGATGCCAGTTCAGCTTTGACACCATCCTAGGGCTTAGCAAGTGTCATGCTTTCATGTAGTTTCTTCCTTCCTACTGCCTAGCATAATGAGCTGGAGGACTCTTCTAATTAGCTAAATATTATTGTACATCAGAGTGGGGCCATGCTTCCTGTACATTCTTATTTGGGTTTTGCCAGCCAAGGGAAGAAAGCTGTTAGAGGCAGGAGCAGATGTAAGGAAGGCACAAAACATGCCAAGAAGTCATGGCGCGTCTTTGCTATTGGATGAGTCATTTTACTTCTCATGTTTTTATTCTGATATTAGTAGGAATTCTTCAAGTCAATATGTCTTACTGGAAAAATCTTTTGTGTGTGGTGTGTGTATGCATGGCGTGTGTACAGTGTGTATGTCAAAGTTTTCTCTACCCCTGAAAAAGTTATATAAATAGGATTTGATTGCTAAAATATCCAACGTAAAATGCAGACTGACATAATCTTCTCATTATTATTATCTTTAATGCAATGTAATGTACTGAGCCAGAAAAATAATACTGCAGTTTGATTTCAGATGTGCTGTTTACATTGGTTGGAAACTAATTTAAAGAAGAAGACTCAAAGTTGGTGCTGATCAGCCATCTTTTATCAAGTTTGTGTATCATACACTTGTTCCATTTTTTTATTTTTTTTGCTATGTAAAGTCTTCTGAAAATTGAAAACTAATTTATTATCATGTAGTTATTAGCACAATCACAAAAGAGGTCACTGGTCTTTCCTTTAATTTCTGTCACAGGCTGCAGGCCGTATTATGCTAAATCAAGGATACGGGGAGATAATTAACATAGCAACTCTGGCAATTTTAATAGGTGAGTGATGAACATTTAGAGTTTGGCTTCGAAATCCATGTCTTAATTACCACCCGCCTGCGTGCAGTGACGAGGATGGGGCTCTAGCACACCTATTACAGATACAGTCTGTTGGGCCAAAGTTTTCATGAGTTGTCCATAAAACTATTATTAGATTGAGAGACTTCAAGGCAAGAAAGAAAGAAAAGTGCTTTGTGTTTTGTTTTTTTTAGAAAAAAAAATGTGAGAAATCTGAAGCCATTCCAATGTGTGCCTCTTTCAGAAGTATCCACTCTACTGCAAGAGTTCTCCCTGGGGGGCTGTTGTCCTCTGTGGGACATATGGTACCGTCTAGAGACATTTTTGGTTGTCACATCTGGGGGAGGATGCTATTTGCATCTCGTGGGTAGAAGCCAGGGATCCTGCTAAACCTCCTACAATGCACAGCACAGCCACCCCCACAACACACACACAATAAAAAATTGGCCCCAAATGTTAATAGCGCCAAGGTGCAGAAACCCTGCCCCAGAACTGCCCACTCCATCCCTTGTTATTTTTCACCGCTGGTTGCCAACAGGTGTCACCGCAGGCCCATTTCTATCTGCAGCATTATCAAAGAGAGTCCATAAACTCTTGTAACATATGGAACGAAATCCCAACTGCAAAGCTTTTGTGGAAGGCAGTTACATGCTGGTGAGCTGAGGCCTATGTAACCAAAATTGATCAATTACACAAATTAAGCATAGCCCTTAAGGAATTTATTTTATTGGTCTGGACATCTGTTGCAGTATTGTCCAAATCCAAAACTCAAATGGTGCCTCGGGTTGCCAAGTTAGGCAAGAAAATCTAGTAGCTATAAAAGTACAACTGAAAACCCTATATTAATATCACGTCCATCTGCTGAATGTTACATAAATATGCAGACTTTTTATTTTCCTTGGGAATAACATTTATTTTTACAGTGCCCAGTTTGACATTCTTATGACATTCTGTTCAGTTTATTACATTGTAACTTCAAATGTTTCTTCAAAAATGCATTTATAATGTTGTTGTTAATCTTTTTTCAAGGGTCTGTACCACCTGTTTAACTTATAGTTAAATAGAGAAGTCCTTTTTCTTATAGGAAGAATGGGAAATCTTTGGACAAAGAGTCTCAGAAAAGATTTTGAGTAACACTTGTGTAGTGTAAAGGGAAATTATATAACAGCCATGAATGCTAATATTCCATCCTGCTCTTTTACAAGTTGAAATGTAATCTCCATTTTAAACTAAATTAGCATCATTTCCAAACAGAGTATCATATTTATATCAGATTTATACAACCACATCAGATTACTATTAACATGTAAAATAGTCTCTTTTATGCTGCTGGTAAAAAATAGATTGAAGAGAATGATTTGATTTCCACTTTAATGTCAGGGATTTAAATTAATCTGAGTGGACATGTTTAGGTTGAGAGTTGCTCCAACATTGAAGAAACAGCAGGTAGGGGCGGCTTTACCTTAAGAACCTGTTGTGATCCTGGCACGAAGAAAACCTTGCAGTTATAAAAGTACATCTGAAAATCATGATGTTCCTATCATGTCCATCTGCCGAATGTTAAATAAATATGTTGGTTGGTTATTTAAATATGTTCAGTGGCTAAGCCAACTGGAAAATTATAGGATATGTGTAGGAAAACTTAGAGGACATTTTTCTTCATGTTTTTCCCCTTCATTCTCAGTCTATATATTCAGGAAAACACTTTTTAGTAGTCAATTGTTGAAAGAATTCTAATCTAATAATAAGACCATCTAGAAGGGTCAGGGAAACTTAAAAGCAAAACCAGAACTGAACAAACAAACAAACAAAAAAACCAAGGCAAACAAAACTTGGCACAGGTATCGGAGAGATTTCCTTACGGTATTTTCCATTTTAAAAGAAGAAAAAGATAGATAGAATTTTATCAAATTTATTTTAAAAGAACACTTTTAACTGTAAAAGTGGTTCATGTTTACTATGGGACATTTAAGTAATATGAATCTAAAAGTGTATTCAAATAATTTAATTTTAAAATTTTAAGTGAAAATATATTAACCCATAATTAGATGGGTGGGAGATTCAAGAAAAGGGTAACAATAGGTACTGGTTTTTTTCTTACTAGAAATTCATGATTCATTGACTGTCATTTGTACCAGAATTCTTATATACCCCTCCACCTCGCCCCCACTTGGAACTAAAGAAAGGAGGGTTGTCTGGATAAAACCCAAATACATTCACTTTTAGGGAAACACATTTCCATTGTAAAAGAAGATAAACTTTCAGGGAAATGAGGAAGATGTCTGAGAGTCTGAATTGGTCAAGAAGGCAAGAAGAGCCAGTTTCTTGTCATTTATGCATTGGTGGACTAATCCTGTTTGAAATAAGATAAGCTGCAGCTGTGCCTGTACTGGAAAAGGAGGAGCATAACTCCTGCAATGTCACCTGCAAAGAATTTTCATGCCAGAGGTTGCCTTATAGTAATGTGGGGTGAATAACTCATTGAGGTAGGGTGACATAAAGGAGCATCTACCATGTACATGGGAGACCTGATTTTTTGCCCTGCTTTTGCTACTGTCATTTCCAAATCAAATCAGTTATTCCATTTTTAAAATAACCAACATGGAAACTGTTTCACAAAACAATTTGTAGTGGTGGGGGTAGAGTCTATAAAAAGGTATCCATATCTCTGAATTCAGCAGTTTATAAATATCTAGGAGGCCTTGTGATTTATATTCATGCACCCAGTTATGTAGATGGATGGTTGAGAAGAGAAGGTAACTTGCTTTTGGAGAGATAGACTCTAACTGGCCAAACTAAGAATAACTCTTTTGATTCCCAATAGTCTTAAAACCAACAAGCATTTTCTTTTCCTGTTATAGAACCGCTGCATTTATTGAAGTCATGAGCCCGTAGTCTATCTTTAGACTCCTGATGTAATTTCTGAATCACCAACCATTTCTGAGACCACAAGATATTTAAAAATAAGATAAGAAATATTGACTGAGACTCCCTGAAGCCTGCAAGGGAAACGAAGATACCGCGGCAGAGGTTTACAGTGGAATTTCTCTCCTGTAGTTCGTGCACATTGAAAATGACATGATCTATCCCAAGGAATAGCTTAAGACCTGATCCACTTAAACAGCTCCAAGTGATTTATCATAAATGTGCTTATTTGGAAGGTTTAGCAGTAACCGCTTATGGGAGGTGGTGGGGTTAACTACCAAAATTGTACATAACTTGGATCCTGTGTATGGCAATTAATCAAGAAATTATATTCTTTGACTTTCTAACAACCCACACAGAGTGCTACATCTGTGGCATGTTTAAAGAGAGAGCGAGGGATGAAATATTTCTTCTAATAAAATGCTAATGGCTTTGTTTTGGAGAAAAAATATTGGATTATTGTGGTGTTAGATTTATCTGTATGAGGATTTCTCGAGTCACAGTCAGTAAGTACTTCTGACAGAAAACCAGCTATGTCCTGAATACAATATCCCAGTCTTCTAAATGACTTCAGGATTATGGAGAGGCCCCTTTATAATACTGAAGAAAGAACACAGGAATAAATGGTGTGATAGAGAACTGTAGCAGTCGAAGTTATTACTGTGAGCATTTGTTAAATGTTCAAGAGTATTTATTTAACCCAAAGCACATTGGAATATGTTAATTAAGACAGGTGAGGCATCCCATTGATTTGTGGTGTCTCATGGGCATAACTTGCACCCACTTAGTTGCTCTAGTCCTTAGGTTTTCAAGATTTTGCGGGGATGCCTACTGTGGTTAGGAACCCAGAGCTCACTCCTTGGAGGGTTAGTTTCACAAATTCAATATCTGAAAACCTAAAAGTACCATCATCTAAAAAGAAAAATTTGGGGCAACAAAAGCGCCAAAGTATAATGTCATTTTCATTCCTATGATCCTTTGTGATGTGGTTCAAATGGCTTATTTTAATATTTCACTTTTCAATCAGTAGCTTTTTAAAAATGACAATTTCACAAATGCTTATGGAGCATCTACTTTGTGCCTACACTGGCCAAGAGACAGAAAGATGGAATAATACCTGACTTCTACCTTTTAAGATCTCATAGTGCAGCAAAACAGAGAGCTGTAGCAAATATTTGTAATGTGAAAAGAGCAACACTCATGAAACAGTCCAGTGCTGGACACTTACTGTAGTAGAGACACTGCATCAATGATTCTCTTTTACAGGCAAGGGAACTGAAGCTTGTAGAGAGGTTAGATCACACAGTTAACAAGAAGAGGGACAAGCATTTACCGGAAGCCCTGTGTGGTTCTGGATACTCACATAGTGCTTGCCAGACGCCCGGCATTGTGTTTAGGGCTTTACACTCATGACCTCACTCGGTCCTCATGACAACCCTATGCAGGGGATACTATAATTATCCCCATTTCACAGATGAGCAAACTGAGCTCTGAGAAGGAGCAACTTGACCAAGGTCATGTAGGTAATGTCAGAGCAGCAATTTGAATATAGGCTCTTGACAACTAAACTTTACTGCTGTGAGATGTAGAGGCATTTCTGCCTGGAGCTGCGGGAAGGTACAGAGATTAGGGCAAATAAATTATAAGAAGATTAGAAATATGGTCTTGATAAGGACTTTGAAGATAATGCTTATATCAGACTTCCTTCTGATCTGAGTCAATTGAAGGATGTATTTTTGAACCTTTCAGAAATCTCTCTATAAGTTATAGATCTGAATTTTAGTGAGAATCTATTCCATTCCTCGGAGTGCGAAAATCCAACACAATGTCTGGGAATTCAGACTTATAAAAATCATACAGAAGTAATTCTTAAAAAATCTTTTATTTTGAAGTAATTGTAGGCTCATAAGAGGTTGTAAAAATAAGAGAGTTATAGTATGCCCTTCACCCAGCTTCCTCCAAAGTTAACGTTTTATATAACCATAGTACATATCAAAAGTGGGAAATAGACTTTGACAAAATACTATTCATTAGACCACAGATCATATGGGGATTTCATTAGTTTTTAGATGCACTCTATTGTTTTGTATAGTTCTTTTCCATTTTATCACCTGTATAGATTTGTGTAACCACCAAGAAGTAATTTGTTTTAAGCTGGCATAAAGAAAAAATAAAATAAATTGTTTTGAACAATCTATCATTTTGTTGTATGGTATTGTTATGTTTAGGGGCTGCTTTGCCAAATATCTTACTCTTTTAAAATAATTTATGTTTTAATGGAATATTACCATGGTGTAAGAATGATTATTCATAGTAGAAAAAGGTTGCTAAAAAAAAAAAATCCCCTTGGGGGACATAAATTGATCCCATTAAGAAAAATAAGGTTTCCATATATTTATTACTTAAAGCTTACTTGTTAGATTTAATTTTTAAACATTTACAGATGGCAGTGATAGGCTCTTGATTTTTCTATGTATTTCTGTGTATCTCAAATGAGTATGAGCAATACTGTATTGAGGTGTATATTGAAAGACATCGTCTTATATTAACATGGGAAACTGTCTATTGCCATTCAGAGCTTTTTATTTTGTAGCTCTTGTTTGGAAGAAGGATATGGAGGTAAAAACCCAAATTTTTAGTATGTTCCTAAAAGCCCCAGACGTCTGAGCTTAAAAAGGGGTTAAATTTTAATGAAAACATACCCTCTAGTCAATGTGCTTTAAATTATAATTTTAAAAGCCAATCATTTTCTTTTTTGACTGACATGTGGCATTTTGGAGAAATTTTTAAATCTTTAAAATCTGTAAGAAATGAATTTGGGGGTCTTATAGGTATCGTATTTAGAACAGGGAAAAAAAAGGGATAGCTCATAGTGAAGGGGTTGAATTAAAATCATTTGTAATTATGCATCACAAAGAGGTACAATCACAGTGCATCCATTTATACGTGCATCTGTGCATCTGCCTCTGACCCCAGCTTTCTGGTTTCTGTCTCCTTTCTTTACAAAATCTTCAGTTATGCGTAGATGCACACATTAGAGAGGAAATTGGGGCTAATGATTTAGGAATGTGCTAATTAATTCTCATTATGTTCTATGAACCGAAAGAAATAGTGAAAGGTTGTCTGCATATGCGTATACACTATGTATATTTTTCCACAGTGTTTTCTTCTGAAGGAAAGTTATGCTGGTTTTTTTTTCTTTTTTTCTTTTTAGGTTCTTACACACAGTGACAGCTAGCAGAGTCTAAAATGCTGACATTATGACTTAGAGATGTGATAAAGAGAAACATCTATTGCATTTTCTGTAAGTAAATGTGGTGCCGGCATTGAGAGAACATACGTAATCAGATACCTGTTCTCCCTGAGTTTCTTAATTTAAGCCTCGCGATTCCTAATTAGCAGTTAGATTGCATCCATTGTTATTTTGTCTTTGGTTATCAATGATGATCAACCTTTGCTAAACAAAGATATGTCATCATGCTGGGGACACTCATGGATTTTTTTTTAAAGGTTTTAACATTTGATAATAGGTTTTCCAATAGCTTGAAGGGTAGCTTTTAACATTTCTTTTCCA
Source organism: Homo sapiens (assembly GCF_000001405.40). Classification (NCBI taxonomy): domain Eukaryota; kingdom Metazoa; phylum Chordata; class Mammalia; order Primates; family Hominidae; genus Homo; species Homo sapiens. The sequence goes on from NC_000003.12 coordinate 70,071,836, forward strand.
GCTGAAGTATTTCCTGAGTTCTGTCCAAGCCCTCTGTAGTTAAAGAAAAGGCTTTTTGACACTGAATAGACAATGTTGTGGCTTTTTTTTTCCTTCTTCAGACAAATGTATAGGCATTTAGACCGCCACGTTGTACTCTCGTAATTGAGATACCTTGCAGAAATGGCAATTAAGGGTGACTCGTGTCAAAAATATTCAGGACAAATTACATTTTACTGATTTTTAAAAACTTTCAAAGGTACTCTCTCCTCTTTCTTTCTCCTTTCTCTCTTCCTGCCTCCCTCCCACCCGCTCCTCGTTTTTTCTTTTAAATATTAAGTAAACTATTTGCATTTTTACGTCTCATCAAAGTTGTTCCAGGTTTTTTCTGGGTTTACTGAAACTCCAAATCGACTACTCAGATCAAAACAATTAGTGAAGTCTAAGGTATTCTTAATTCCTGAAATGAAAACAGAATGGACGTTCGGGACGTTCTGTTTTGCTCTGGCTACCCGCTTGGCTTCTCGCTCAGAATATTCTTGCTCTCAAGTTAGTTCCAGTTCTGTTTATTTTGTCCTGAGCTCAGTGAACTTTCCAAAGCCCTACTCTTCAAACAACACTTTTTTTCCCCCGCCCCGTGAGCTGGAGTTTATTTTGTGCTCACCCTTCATTCTGTGAGTTGTGAATAATTTTAACACAAAGAAAAAAAAATCTCCTCCTGACCACGGAGAGAAGAGGGGATTTTAGAATAAAGATAAAAATTGCTGTTTTAGCCCCCAAAGCAAAGGACTTGGGAAAGAAGAGAAAAGGGGGGAAAATAGAACAGCAAAGGAAAAAAAAAAAAAAAAAAAACAGAAAAAAATTTTTTATAAGGGTGTCAGTACAAAACAGGTGTTTGATGAAGCTCAAGCAAAACAAATGACAAAGTTAGCATTGAAAGGCCAAATACGTGATACACATTTAAACTACTTAGGTAAATTTATTTATGAAATAAATATGCAGTTTTTCAAATTTGAACATGGAGCAAATGTTTACAGATTGAAACTTATCATTTCTTGATTACCAGTATGAAGTAGGGCAATAGTCCTATTGAAAGCCATTCTTAATTGGGCTCATTGTAAATGTTTGGTTAAAAGAAAAGATTAAAGTGAGCTTTGGCCTCTGTGGAATGCTGAGGCTGGTGAAATTTCTGGTTCTAGCATTATCCTCAAATTGTCTCACAGAGAATTATATTTTACAAAGTTAGAAGGCGGAAGAACCCTACTCTTTGTTTTAGGTTTGCCTAGCATCCAGTCAGAGATGGGTAAATAAGGACAGAACCATGGGACTCCAGTGGCCTTACTTAGGAGGCCCATACTAATGGCAACGGCAAGACAGTGCTACATAGACATAAATAATCTGTGATTGCAGATGTGCAGGTACAGTATAAAAAAATTATTCTATCCTTATAGTCTTAGGTGTTGGCACATTTCTTTTGAGCCCATGTATAGAAGAGGACAACATGAAAAATGAAATATTCAAGCCGTGGAGAAAAAGAAAATATATTGTTGTATTTTATTTATGGAATGCCCACTATGTGCTGGTTCTCTACTGGCCCTAGAGAAGTACAGCTGTGATCAAGACAGACATAGTTCCTGCCCCCATGGAGCTTACAATCTATCGCAGAGCTAGACCAGGGAAAAGAGTATGAAGTGTGTAGAATGAGAAGTAGAGAGTGTTACAGGAACACCCAGAAAACTAAGGTTATTGGTTTAGTTGATTTTTCCCCCTCTTTTTTTCTTCCCTCTTTTTCCTCTTCACCGTCTCTTTTCCTCTTCCCTTTCTTTCTCTCTTTCCCCTTTCCCTCTCTCTTTGTTCCTCTCTTTCCCTCTTGATCTTTATTTTCCAAACAGAATTCAGCCAAACTCATTTTTTAAAAGAGAAACAGTCTAACATTATTTAGAAAGAGCAGCATATTATAAGTGGTTACAGCCATAGACTTGGAAGGGTGTGACCCAGATTGGAATCCTGGCTCTGCCATCAACTAGCCTGTATTCTTACTCAAAAGATATTATCTGTGTCTTCTTTTATTAAAAATAGGGCTAGAAATATGTACTTTTAGGAATTTATAGGAATTTTAGATGTGACCTTGTAAGTAAAGTCTCTGGCTTCCTTTCTAGCAGGTAGTGATCATGCTAAAATCGTTAGCTACTACCATATTATTATTATTACTATTACTATTATTATTTTTCTTTTTATTTTGTAGAAGCAATGTCTGTATTATACAACAGCTAAAAAATAGTGAATGATGATATTAATCAATTGAAAGAATTTTCTCCAAAAACAATGACTAGCTTTGGAATTACGTAATTCTTATGTTTTGTTTTGCCTATTCACAAAAGCTGTTGTTTTTGAATGTTAAATATAAAAACCATTTTCAATAAATAAATTTTTAGATAAGATACTAGAGCCATATTATTTACAATTGTGTTGTCTTTTCCTGTGAACAGTTTTAGGATTAAAGCTTGAGCCAAATTTCAATGAGCCCCTTTAGGAGATAGGGAAATTTATTAATACTTACTTTGATTCAAGAGTGATTGAGACATATTTCTTAATGCACCCATATAGAGTAATGTGATAGATTTTTGTGTGTTTCTTGTGAAATCAGTTGTACTGTATTAGAGACAAACCCTATGCAGGTGTGAATATGTATTTATATAATTTGATAGTGCTAAAGCACAAATTTATATAATTTGATAGCACTAATTCAAAAATTAAAATTGTTATAAATTTGTCCTTAATCAGGACATTTAAAAATCAGTCTTCGTGAACACTTTTAGATTCTGGAAGTGCTCACACTACATCCCCATGTACAAAAGGTGAAGGTGACATAATCACATGTAGAATTTAGATAGCCTCCTCTCTGGTTTGTACATAGTGTGCATGTCCCCCACCTCCAATCCCAGCCTAGGCTTTAGCATCATTGAACATCTCTCTTCCAGGAATGGTCCATTTACTCACATGCCTTCTGTTTTGCTTGTGTGGTCTGATCAGCCTGAAATGCCTTTCCCTGTCGGGATGAAATCTTACTTATCTTTTCAGGTCTGGTTCCAGTGTCGTCTATGGTGTGATTCATCTCCCAATACCCCTGGGTGCAATAAAACTGGTCCCTTCTTTGTACCCCGTAGCTCTTTGTTCCTCTCCTCGTATGTGATGGCTGTTTGAGCATCTTTTCACCCCTCCACACCAGGAACTCCTCAGTGAGTTCTTGAGATCTATGCCCTATTCACCTTTCCAGAAAATTTGATTCCTGTCTTCAAGGAGTTTCCAGTCTGGGCAAGGAAGCAGACATATAAACATGGAATTACGTTGCAATTTGGAAAGTGATGTAAAACAATTATCTAAATTAGTGTACACAGATGAGCACTAATTTACTAAAGAATCTTGCTTTTCTCATATAACAACTGAGCAGTCGGCATGTAGGTGTAGTCTGTTTCTTAAAATAGCAATGTTTTCCCAGTCTTCATATCAATATTTATGTTGTTACTCATGCTCTGTTAAAACAAAACAAAATAAAACAAAATCTCTCAAATGACATTGTATATCTAATGTTAGTGATGGGGAATTTAGGAGTCTGTTGAAAATTGTGACACATAGCAGGACTGATGCTTCATACTCCAAACCAAATAAAGTTTCACTGGACCTTAGCTGTAAGCTAAGACTTTAAGTGCCACTTATTTGTTGAGTTTTGCCACTCTAAATTGCTCAGCTTGGCACAAGATCTTTAAAAGAAGTTATAGTTCAATTGGTTTGTGGTTTATTTTCTATTATATTAAAATGACCTGCTTATATTAAAATGACATGCCTTTCAAAACCTACTAGTGCTTTAAAACATTGTTGTAGTGATAAAAGATTTCCAAATGTTATTCTGAAAAGCAAGGAAAAGGATTTCAGACAAACTCATAGCGCAGTATAGTGGATTATGTCGAGCTCCTGGATGTAGCTATAAAATCATCTTTTCTTTCATATAAGCCTAGAGTTTTGGGCTTTTGGAAAATGTTTTCTATAATTGTTATTTTTCGATACCTGTTTTTTTTTTTTTTTAATATTCATTCTGAGGTAGTCCTATTACAGTAGGCTCATAACACCATAACTTTACCCATATATAGCCAGGCAAAGCTTTCTGCTGTTAAGTAGAACTTATGAATACTTAAGAGAAGCAAAGCATTGCTATTCTTGAGCAAATTCGGAGAGTTTAGAAACATTATTTTGAAATGTGCTTCCTTTAAGTCAGAAGAACTTAATTAAGTTCCCAGGGTTAATTGTTTCTGAAGTGTTAACATGTCATTTGTCTATTCAAACTCCAAAGCAAATCTAATACGGGATTTAATAACCTGTTTATGTGAATAGAAATTTAGGGTGAGGGTGGCGTGGGAGAAGAAGGAAAAGCTAATAGGCTTTTACCTAGTTAGTGGGTTTAAGGAAGAATTCTTTCTGTCTTTATTTGAAACAAAAGGTAAATCCTATGTTCAAAACTCCTTCTATTTGGGAGTATAAATTGGGATGACAAGGAAGTTTTGGAACAAAACAGTATTTTTACACTTTGTTCATTTCATATTTATCACTAGCTTGTTTGCTAATTTTCATTTGCAAGAGGCAATTCTTCCAGCTAACTGGGTGCCTCAATGGGCCACTGATTTCTTTGAAGTGACAGTCTGTAAATATGCATAAAAAAGGGATGCAATTAGCGTGTGTGTGGTTCAGTGCAGCCTGATTCCATTGGCAAGTTTACCCACAGTGTTGATAAGCTACATTATCTAGAAAATTGGCCGCTGAAAAACAGCACCTCTGATTGCCAGCAAAGGTTCCAGATAACAGGGTGCTGAAGAGAAATATAATTGAGGTTGAATATATTAACCAAGGTGTCACATGCTCCTTAGAAGCTCTAATTTATCAGCATGTTGGAATTTTTATTAACATTTGGAATGCGTTTCTACCACACTAATGAAGTGGAATTGGCAGTTCAGGTTTTAGTTATTGTCATTTCTGAGAAGTTAAATGTAATTTCTCGTTAGACACAGTTATGTAAATATATTTGTTCAGGGGCTGAAAAAAATTATACATTTTACAAAATACAGATATGTTGTTAAGAGGCAGTGTGACAAATCAGTGGTGGCTTGAGTCCTGAAAATCAGCCATGTATTTATGCTGCATTTTGTACATTACAGCTCTTCTTTGTGGGGGGAATTTGAGAGAAATGAAGGAAGCTTAATTTCATTAACTCTGTGACTGGCTCGCCTTTGTGAAAAACAGTTAAAATTAGCCACTGTTTTAGTAGGCTAGCACTTCTAAAAGGATTTTATGATTAAACTATTTTTTTAAATGAAAACTTGCTCAAATTATAAGGTGAATTAAGCTTTCATGGACGATATCTGCTTTTCTTTTTTCTATTCTTCTTGGAAATGCCCAAGATTTATATTCATTTTCTAATTCCAACAAATAGGTTTGAAAGATATTTGTTAACAAGACTATTAATTTCTATTATAAAAATAAATTGAGATGTGCAAATTTGAAATTATTTTAGATTGCATACATATGTGATAACACTATATGTTTTTTGAAGCAAGGAAATAAAAATCATAAACTTTGGGATAATGTTTCCTTGGGAATAAAGAGGAGGAAAGAGTCAGAGGTATCAGGGGAACATACACAGGCAGTTTCAGCTGTATATTAATAGCTACTAAGTTTGGTGATAGATTTTTGAGTGTCTGTTTTATTATGATAGTTCGTAATTACATATATGTAACATGTGTTTATATAGATCCTATATCAGAATATAAAACATTTTCAAAAGGAAATAACTCAATTTCTATTGACTCGTAAATTTTGTTTTCCCATGGAAATGATTATGAATTACAGTCTGTAGAGCACTGTGTATTTGTAACATGCTTAGTATTAGTTAATTGCACACATCTCCGACCTCAGGGAATGATGCCACATTTGTCCTCCATTAGTAATAGATACGCTGGTCACAAGGCATTGGTTCCCTAGAGACAAATGACCCACGGAAGAAATTCTCAGCTTTCCCTTTGCATTCACTCCTTAGCAACTGCCAGTCTTCTACTGTCCTATAGGGCTCCTGATTTCATTCCTTCTTCTTCTACTGGCTGCAACCACTCTTGGCATTCCTTGACCCCGTTTATCCCTGCTGCAATACTTCCGTGCATTTCACACACTTAACCTTTAGCCCTCAATGGTAAACTTCTCATCTCTATCACCTATCCCATCACATGTGTGTGGGGGGAAGATTTAGAAGATGGGGGTGGGGAGGAGTGGTGTTCCCTTTATTAGAAGGAACTTCTGGTTGGAATTGAACTTGACACAGGAGAATCTCATGCCCGTTGGACAGTTACTCTTAGGATACCCATTATGGTAGATGTAGTAAATTGTCGCTTAGCACACATTTTGCTTTTCTTCCAGTGTCACCAGTTAGATAGCAAAAATCTGTAATTCTCAGACTCTCTTGCAGCTAGGGTTCTGCAAAAAAATTAGGTTCACATAGGTGCATGCAGGTGCCGTTTGAAAGGTAATATTCTAAGTGTGGTTCACTAAGTCTCTGGGTGTGGAGTGGCAATGTGGTGGCCCTGATTCCAGATCATGCTTTTATCACTGTGTCTTTGAAATTAGCTGTTCTGTAGGCAGCCTTCAGATTCCCCACATTCTTGAGCAAGCAGATGTGGAGACTCCCCTGGCCCGCCAATTTTTCAGTGTGGTTACCTCGATTTATCTGCTTCTTTGGCCCTTCCTACAGTTTTGCAGGCTCTTATTTCTGTGTGTTAAATCCCTTTCTGCCCAAGTCCTTTACTTTTAAGCAACTGAACCCTGATCAATACCCCTGCAAATCTGGTTCAGATGACTCCGTAACAGGGCCAGGCCCAGAGTAAAGCAATACAGGCACCCATGGCACAAAACTTAAGTTGTTGGGCACGTTCAGGGTCATGGAAGTGTCTCTTTAAATTTTATGTCCTGGGCAACTCTCTTGCCTCACTTTAGTGCTGGCTCAGCTCAGTAAGCAAATAGCAGATGTTATTTATTTAAAAATAATTAAATCACATCTATAACAGATGTTGGCAAAATACAATCCATGGACTAAATCTGACCCACTGCCTGTTTTTGTAAATATAGTTCAGTTGGAACACAGCCGTGCTCTTCTTTTATGTACTATCTATGGCTGCTTTTGCACTGAAGAGCAGAATTGAGTAGTTGCAACAGAGACCGCAAAGCAGAAAATATTTACTCTCTGGCCATTTACAGAAAAAGTTTGCAGATTCATGCTCTATATGCTACTGTGGATATGCCTAAATGTGTGGGGTAAGACTGCCTGAGATCAAATTCTGGTTTCTCTATGAGTCTCTGGCTAAGTTGCTTAACTTCCATGAGTGGTGTGCTGGAATCACCCAAAACTTGTGGGTATCTCTTCTTAACTCTAGGTCCATTGATCATCTTGATAGCCTGAAATCAGCCATGGTGGGAGTATTTACTTTAGGAAAATTGGGAAATGCTACAAATCGAGGCTTCCCCAGAGACCCACGAACTGAACACTTGCTGCCTCTATAAGTATGGATGGACCCTGACTTATGATGGTGTGACTTATGATTTTTTTGACTTCACGATGGTGTGAAAGTGATATGCATTCAGTAGAAGCTGTGCTTCAAGTACCCATACAACTGTTCTGTTTTTTCCTTGCAGTACAGTAGTCAATAAACTAAATGAGATATTCAGCACTTTTCTATAAAATAGGCTTTGCGTTAGATAATTTTGCCCAAATATGTGCTAATGTAAGTGTTCTGAGCACACTTAAGGTGGATTAGGATAGGCTATGATGTTTGGTAGGTTAGGCATATTAAATGCATTTTTGACTTACGGTACTTTCAACTTATGGGGGGTTTATCAAGACGTAACCCCACTGTAAGTCGAGAGGCATCTGTACTAGATTCTTCTTTTTCCAAATGATGTGACACACACACTTAGTGCCACATCTGGAGCCTCTTTAACCATCAGTGCACCAAGCCCCCAGCTGCTGTGAGTGCTGCAGCTAACAGCTTATAGCTGTGCTCTCCTCAGGGGCAGCAAATGGCTTGCTGATATGGGTGGCACAAAAGCCCAGCTCCTTTGAACTATTCTGTCATGCAATTTATGCTCCCGAATGCCTCTCTTGCCATGGTTTAGACCATGGCTAGACTTTGCCTGGGATTCTTGATTGGCTTTTTCACCTTCTCTATCTGGCTTCACTTTTTTCATTACAGGTTTGTTCTAAAGAATTAAGTCCAGGATCCAGACTAGGTGAGGTGAGGACAGCGAAGTGCCTAGAGCACACAATATCAGGAGGCACTCACTGTCAGGCCAAACGAGTTGTACAACCCTTCTAGGAGGAAGAAAACAGGTGCCTCCTAAAATTTTATGGCTTAGCTGTTTCCCTCTTCTTACCCTAGTCTGGTCCCTCCTTGCCCAGATAAATCACATGCACTTGAATTTCTGCTTTAGCCTCTATTCGTCAGCAACCCAACCTAAGGCAAGTGGCAGTATAATGGATTGTTACCTATTGATTGTTTTAAGGACTAAATGAGTTAAGGTATGGGAAACAGCAATGATTGAAACAGTAATGGGGAATGAACAAATACATGTATAGATAGAAATGGTGATGAGACAGATCACTCCTGTGCCTTTGTATGTACTCTTCTCCCTACCTTCAGTGCATGCTCTGTTTCTATTGGCTTATCTAAATGCCATTGTCCCCCTCCTCCCTCCAAAACCCTATTTTGTCTATAAAACTCTTACTGGCTACAGCATTCTAAATGACATTAATTTACTCTACATAATTCTCCAATCCCTGACTCCGTTTTTTTTTTTTTAACCAAATAATTTTTTTCCTTCCATTGTGTTTATGTCCTATAAATCATCATCTGTATAACTTACTTGAATAGATTGACAAATGTGGTAAAATCAATATAACGATATTGCAAAAATGATCCTTAGAAGTGTGAAAAAAGATCCAGCTGATAACCTTTGAAGATGTGGTTCCTGTGCTTTCTACTAAGTGTTCAAGTATAAGGACAACCCAGGGCCTATAGTTCACTCCATGTGCAGCCCAGGGAGGTGGGTATTTTGTAATGCCTACAAAAGTTGTTTCTTTGAACGACAGACTTCTAATTGCTATATTGATAGGTATTCCCAGATATCTTAGCCAGTTTTGTTCATTGATACTGTCACCATCTATCTCAGCACTCTAATTTCTTCATAGCTTTCTTTGTTGTTGTTTTGTTTTTGTTTTTGTTTTTAAGACGGAGTCTCACTCTGTCACCCAGGCTGGAGTGCAGTGGCGCGATCTCTGCTCACTGCAAGCTCCGCCTCCAGGCTTCACTCCATTCTCCTGCCTCAGCCTTCCAAGTAGCTGGGACTACAGGCTCCTGCCACCATGCCCGGCTAATTTTTTGTATTTTTAGTAGAGACAGGGTTTCACCATGTCAGCCAGGATGGTCTCCATCTCCTGACCTCGTGATCAGCCCATGTAGGCCTCCCAAAGTGGAGGGATTACAGGCGTGAGCCACCGCGCCCGGCCTCTTCATAGTTTTTATCACCACTTATAATTTCCTAATTAATTTGCTTACTGACAATCTTTCATCCTAACAAGACTGTAAGCTCCATGAAGACAGGCTCTTCACTCACTCCCCATTGTTTGTAGCCCACCTTGTGCATGGCAGGCACTCAATGAATATACGTTGCAGTGACTGACAGAACAAATGAATTATGTAGACATTTTCAGAACTGGTGTATAGTGACATAGTATGGGCTCAGTATATATTTGCAGAGTGAGTGAATGAATGAAGTCACTTAAAGGAACCTTCTGGCACATGTTTCACTGGCAAAGAGCTTCTCTTATTTGAGTTTGATAAATATTGTTGCACTTTTCTACAAAGTACAATGAACAATCAATAGATATTCACAGGTGCTTTTCCTGAAATTAATCCTCATGGAGAAAATGCAGGAATGTGACACCTAAAATTGAAAGTGTGACACCACAAATTATTGACTCTAGAAGTACCCAAGTCATGAGGAGAAAGATGAGTTTAGGGTAAGGAGTGTAGCCAAAATGATTAGTGTGACATTCAAATGCTTTACAGATTGACACAAAGAGGGATGGGTTCACATCAGAGCTGTTGTGCAGGTGTAGTGCTATGACTTGGTAATGGGAGGCCCTGCTTTGACTGTTATTCCAACACAGGAACAAATCAGTTGATGTTGAAGATATCAGTCAACTCTGTCCTGATGTTGGCCTAAGAGCCTCCCTTAGAACTTATGTAGTGGGCTTGTTTGGAGATCATGGAGTGAACAAGGGCGGTGGGTATTAGGAGACCCACTCTGGCTCAAATAAGAACAGTGCTGCTTCTGTCTGGTAACACAATGGGAGAGAGAGTCTAAACAAATAATCCATATAACAAATAATGTCGATATAATTGTGATTAATATTAGTTAATAAAAGTCCAATGTCTTTAAAAGCATTTCCCAGAAGGAGCTAACCTAGGCCAGGGGTTCGGGGCAGTGTGTGTGAGTGTCTCTGCAGAAATGACATTTAATCTGAGAATGGAAGGTTAAACAGGAGTTAGGCTACATGTTGGTGGGGAAGGTGGTTTGGAGAGAAATTATTGCCGGTAAATTCTCAGCCTTTTTTCCTTAGGAAAATGAACCCTCAAACCACCTTGGTTTCTGCTCCTTTTCTTGCTTTCACATGCACTTACTTGCCAATACTTAGAGGGAACACAATGTAGTCAGTGGAAAAAATGTGGAGTGGTATGAACAGATGTTTGAACCCCAGCTCTGCTCTTCACTGAGCTGTGCATTCTTGGGTAGCCTTCTTGTTTTCTCTGAGCCTTATCTGTAAAACAGGACTGTCCATGAAATGTAGGGAGGATTAACAATTACTCTCCCAATGGCAAATGCTGCTATAGCATCTACCATGTACTGGTTTTAAAGTAACTCATTTAATCTTCCTAACAGCCCCATGAGATAGATGTGGTTGCTATCCCCATTTCTCAGATGTAGAAACTAAGGCAAGAGGTTAAATAATTTGACCAAGATCACATTGGCTGGTAAATGATGGAGCTAGGATTCAAATCCAGACAGCCTGGCTGTAAGGTCTCTGTGTTTTGCTACTAATTCTTGATTTTTAAAGTGGTCCCCAGGAAAGGGAGCAGAAGTAATCTTCGTTGTCATTTCCTTGGCTATTGGTGAACCTCAGACCCCAAGGACTTTTGTTGATCCGTAGGACTCCTCAGGGGCACAGGGCTTGGTTATCAGAAGCAAAAGCACTCACTTTTATTTAAGAGCTCAGTATTGTGATCATTTGCCAGAATTGGCCGTCTTGAAAGGATTGTATCGCTTGCCATTTGGTTTTCATTCTGAGGCCGCATGTGACTATAACGTAAATACTTATGGGGGATATCATTACTCTGAAATTTAAAGTTTACATGTCAGCTCCCTGTCTTTATAGCAACTGCTTTGGGTCATCTCTCTTCTTGTTCAAGCCAGGAACTCTGGAAAATCATTCTCATGCACAGATTTCTATGTCACCTCTATCCCCGACTTCTAGCAACTCAGGGAAGGGTGGAAGTGGTTCCACCTTATCCCATCTGTATAAGTCACCAAATCTTGGCCATGACCTGTGTTCAAAGACAGCATCAGGACCTTAAATTATGAGTTGTTCTCCAACAATTGCTGGATTTCTTTGAATGCCTCTGGGCGTTGAGGGCATCAAGGGGGAGGTCTTCTTCAAGGCAGTAGGGATTCATGCTCTTTTGGCTGCCTTCCTTTCTTTCCTGAAGCTTTGTTTGGTGAACTCCTGCAGATCCTCTGGTCTCAGTTCTGCATATCATTTTAGAACATAGCCTTCCTTCCTTGACTTCCTTCCCTGCATTGAATTCTGACCTCTTATTATGATCTGTCATCTCATCCTTACTTAACCTTCACACAGTATCTCCCTCTGTATATATATTTTTGCATGATTCATTTTGTTGTCTGTCTTTCTAGTGAAACTGTAAGCTGCATTCCAAGTAGGAGCTCCGTAAATAAGGGTGGAATGAGTGAATGAATGAATGAGTGGAGATGAGTAGCACTTACATAGCTATGATTCCTAGCATTAGCTGTTTTCATCATTCAGGCTAATTGGAATCCCAACCAGAGACCTTGAGATTTACTATGAAATATACCAGCACATACACTTTAAATGAATTTTGATTCCCCATCTCACTCTTCCACCTTGACACTTTCACATCAGGATGCCCATCACACGCCTCTTTCTCACTTTTTTTGTGTGTCGTTCTTCAGCATGAGATTCGTAAACAAACCTCAGTGGGAGTGCCCTCAGGAACTCATCCAAATCATTTTGCCTGGAGACTGTTTATTAGGGGTTACCTCTAGCCTGCTGCAACCTTTTCTAGAATCATGTAAGGGTAAAGTGGCGAACAAGAATGGATTTGAAACAGAAACCACCATAGCAATTAACACTAATTAACAGAGCTAAGAAAATCTTTCATTAGGAGCGTCTAAATCATGCAGCCTGCTTCTACTTAGAAGGGAAAGAAAAGTGGCCTGTGAACCATTTAATAAAATTTGAAGAGATTATTTTTCTTCCTCATTTCTCAGAGGATATACTGGGGTTGGAGAAGACAATTTGTTTAGAAGTGGAGTAATGGGAAAGGGGTACAGGCCCCTTGCCTTCGTGCCTGTCCACACTTCCCATGGTTCCGACCCTTGTGTTGAGTTGCTCAGCCAGGCACTTCCCTGCGTTACCTCCATGACAGCTTTCCCTCCCCATTAATTCTATATTTTCAAATTCTAGAGTCATAACCATGAGACTGACATTTTATTACTTGCAGACAACAGCAGCAACTACAAAAAGAGACAATATCTATTCAGCACCTACTGTGTTCCAGGCACACTATATGAATTACTTTGTTTAATTTGCAAGCAATTTTGTGAGGTAAGTGCCACTAGTATCCCCAATTTGCAGATGGGAATGGGACTATAGTATGGTAAAACAACTAATTACATTGACAAAGTAATGGACTGCAAGCTTATCCCTCCCAGACACAAAGTGTACATTAGAATAGCATGTGCTTGGAAACAAGATGTCTTACCTCAAGACTGGGTGGATGTAGGTGAGTTCTGGGGAGGAATCAGTGATGGCAGAGGGGAGAGGGTTAGTTACGGTTTCTGGATAAAGCGGTCAAGAGGTCATATTAGGAAGTGGCATGGCTTCAGAAGCCTCTCACATCAAACTGTAGAGTGGGCACCTTTTCCAACTGTATACTGGTTTGACCTTAACTATATATAGGGTCAATGACTAAGTTTTTACCAAGCTTCCCAATCCTGAAAAAAATATTTTGACGGCAAGAAACAGTTAATAGTTATCTGCTTAATATCCTTCTTGTTGGTAAGGGCTGACTCACTGAATAAACATGCGAGAATTCTTTCTGGGTTCCCCCTTTTTCATTATCACCTTCATGACTTGATTACTAGCTGGGATATTTTATTGCCACTCAGGACATTGAGACAAATGTAGGGAAGCCAGTCCAGTAAGGCTCGAACATTTGTAAGTTTTAAGACACCCTTCATTTGCTAAATTCCCTCCACCTGGGGGTGCTCAGTGGGACTACTTTGATTTGGGTAGGTTTCCTAATTTGAGTAAGTCTTCCATTACCAAGTTCACATTAAATTCACTTTTGGGGACCTCTTCTTGATATATTGAAGGAAGTCACTCTTCCTCCCAAACTCCTGACTTACCCAAATTTTATGAATACATTTTATGTTTCTTCTGGATTTTGTTAATATTTTAATAAGCATAATATGGTTGTTGTTAGTAGACTCAGTTTAAACACAAATAATTATATAGTGTCAGCTTCTTACAAACTCTACATTGCAGTTACTATCAATTTCACAATCTAGTTCCTCCCAAATACAGGAAGGACTAGTGTGAGACACAGAGCAATAGAACAAGTTCTCTTGCAGTGAGATACTCTTTTAAAGAAGTCATAAGCTGATCAACAAATGAAACCTTAATCATAGCCTATGGCTCTAGGGCTTCTGTTTCAATTTTAAGGAATAAAACAATACTAAGAGGTCTAGGCTGTTTAAGAATATCTAATAGTTGGCTATGGGTTTCTTAAAAGCATCACTTCTCAAGTAAGTATTTATCACAGTCACTGTATTATTTCCAAACACCTTTTAAAAAATTCTTATTGGATGTGGCAAGTCATTTCAACAAAAGGTCAGTCTGTTATTACTAAGAAAACCAGTGAAGGAAGCAAGTTTTATCTTTGGTGCTGACAAAAATCTCTCCTGAGCCTGGCTCAGGGGCCATGGCTTGCCTTCTCTCTTCTCACATCACCAGGGAGTTATACCTGATAGCTCTACTTTGTGGACTCATGGTTATCCTCTGTGGGTGTATCAATCTCTTTATCTTCTGCCTCAAGTGTGAAAATAATTTTCCCTCATTTTAACCAAGACGAATTTGGGTATTTTCAAAGGGATCTATTACGTAGTAATGAAAGTAAAATAAAATACATGCAAAGATAGAGATCTGAGCTTTTCCTGCCCATAATTTTACTCTGGCATGGTTGAGCTAGGATAAAATCCACTGGGTTGTCTGGTAAAGCTTATTGGGCAGCCTGCCCTGGTTTCTTTCACCATGCTGAGTTCTGTCTGGGTTGGATGCTAAAACAAGAGCCTCAGACTTCCAACTTGAAGCAGATTTTGGTTACAAGTCCTCCCAGGCCTGGTAAGATTTTTCTGTCTCTTCTAGAACTGGCTTCTTTAAATTCTGTAAATTCAGCCCCCTTAATCTGGGGCTACAGGGTTCTTGAATTCTTTCAAATGTCCTTGCTGGAGAAGTCTTTGCATGTAATGAGTTCTCATACTGATTATGATTAGTTCCAACAGCAGAGTTAACATGCGTTGAGCATTTTTCCCTTGCAATGTAGTGTCCTCAGTAATTTACACATGTATGGGTTTATTCATTTAATCCCCATGACAATCCCAGGAGGCATTATTAGTTTTATTTAGCTGAGGGGAAAAACTGAGGTATAGAGAAAGTAAAGCTACTTGCCCAAGGTTGCAGAGCTCCTGGCTGAGCCCCAAATACAGCCCGCGGCTGTTTGATTGAAAAGTTGAAGCACCATATAACCCCTTTCTGAACCTGAAAGATGCCATCTCTGAGCTTCAAGCAATCTTTAACTGGCCTTTGCTTTCTCCAGGAGGACACTGAGGATTCACTATATTGAAGTTCTCTTGCCCTGGATCTCCGCCATGTTGTTTTTCTGAAATATTCATAGTGGCCAATGGTTAAAGGATACTTTCCTTATTTGACCCTGACTTTGTAGCTTTGGGCCATAAATTGTCTTCTATTTTGACCAAGTCTCATTCCAGAATTCTATCTGCAAATAAACATTAGCTTATTTAATTTGATGGAAAATTAACTTAAAAAGTTTCCTGAGAGATACAAATGTATATTTTTGGAGGAGTAGCCAGTGCCATGCACTTTAGGTACATATTCTTGCCGACTTAGGGGTCTCAGCCTGAGACCTTTTTCTCTGTATGCACATTCGTCCAAAAATAGATTCAACCTTTGAAATGAAACAGATCTATTGACTCAGTAATTTTGTGGATTCCTTCCACAGGGAGGAAGGAATATCCTTCCTCTGAGATCCAAGTGGTATAGCCACGCATGTTCTCATTAGCAGAGATGACACTGGAGTTATTTTCTGACTCAGTAGAAAACATGAGAGAAGAGAAGGAAGGCTTTCCCATTTAAGAAATGGAGTGGGCTGGGGAAGGCATTATCCTTGTTATTTATCATCAAAACTGCATTTGGAGAAATGTGCCAAGAATGATCAGAAGAGAATCATGGGCACTTCAGTTCTCCAGAACTTCACTGTCTATAGCAGACACACACTGAAGCAGTCACAGCTCTAAAAGAAGGCAGTGTGCTTATTTATAAATAAATATAAATAAATAAGCATACTAATTTATGCTTGTTTAAGGGATGTATGGATGAGTTATTAAAGACAGGGGCAAATATCAGAAACCTAGCCATTTTTTAGTAAATTAAAATGATGCTTTATTGGCTGGCATAACTAAAATGTATAGGGGAGAGCATTGCTTAAGGTGTGGCTGAATCCAGGGGCCTAACTAATGATACAAGCATTTGCCTTCTTTCCGTTCTTTGGTTCTGCCTTCCTCTGTGATGGCTTTATTCCCAGGTAGGTTTTCTTCACTTAGGGTCTCCAAATGCTCTAGGGTTACAGTATAGAGTTCATGCAACCTTAGGATAACGATAGCTTTTCTTTTCTAATGCTTCCAACAGACATTCAACAATAAGCTTAGGTTGCATGCCAATCCCTGAGTTGGTCTCTTGGGTTAGAATATATGTGTTCTGATTGATTAAACCTGTGCCTATGCCCAACCATGGAGCAGGGACTAGGTTAGTCGTACTAACTAAGTCATGTGGACAGAGAGTGGATTAAGGGATAGTTTCAAGGGAAAACCATGATATTACAAGGAAGAGGAGGAAGGCAGAAATAACAGATGTTCACCATGGTGCATCCAACGTGCACCATGGTGCATCTCAACGGAAGTGAGAAAGTAACTAGGGATAAAAGGCAAGGCATATGGATAAGAGAAAAATGAGAGAAAGCCCATGTATAAATTGGCTAAGCCCTTCTCTGTTAAATTTGGGATCTTTTGTAGAGAAGGTGAGACGGTAGCTGAGATGTGTATTTGATATGGATGAGCTATCGTCATTCAGTAACTGAGCCTCAGTTTCCTCTTTTTTGAAACTGTGATAATATTTCTATAATAGTTTTGTTGGGAATTATCAAAAGAGATAATTCAAGGGAGAGAGATTAAACAAGTCAAAGGTATTATAGTAGTTCCTTGCATTCAGAAACTTGCAAGCCTCTCTATTGGTTATGATTTTCTCTATACAATAAGGTAGAGATGATAAGAAAATATGTTATCCCTCAAGATCTCAGATCAGAGTTATGTTGATAACCATGAACTGTGAGATGGGTACTGGGCAAGTGACTAGGCACATTGTGTATTTTCACTCAGAAAATTTCTGTTTCATTCCAGGTTTATGCCTCAGCAAAATGATGAGCAGACCAGGGTCTGCTCAGGGTCACTGAGAGTCAAAATAGAAGTTGCTAAATTTAAAAATATGTTTCCTCTGCACTAAAATGGGGCAATAAAAGAGGACGCTTGAAAAAACAAACTGCTTGTTATATTGCTTGCTATAATTTGCTATATTCTGACTTTTCCCAAGAAGATAGGTTTATTTGAGGATCTCTCTAAATGCCCAGACAAGAATAGAAGAGTTTTACTAAAGTAAGCTAATACATATATACTGAAAAGCAATCATAATATACTAATTAACATTTATTAATGAATGTACACTATGAGTACAGGTTCTCTGTGCTTAATATGCATCAGCACATGCAATCTTCACAGTAGTTTTATGAGGTAAGTGCAATTATTATCCCCAATTAATGCAAAGGAAAACTGAGTCAAACAGAGAAGTAAATTAGCCAAGGTTATTCAGCTTGGACGTAATGAATTTAGGATTCAAACTCAGAAAGCCTGTTCTGCTAACTGCTTCACTGTGATAACATCGTGCATTTTTTAGGCAGATGGACGGGGGGTGGGGGTGGGGCTGAGGGTGATGGGTGTTGGACTCCCAGCAGGACCAGTCACCACTATCACAAGTGATAGCTTGTGTTTCTCCATTGGGAAAATGCGTGTCAGAACGGCACCTACCTCTTTGGGTTATTTTGAGGAAGAATAAGGTGATGCTTTCAAGGTGTTTCGGTAGGGGCCATTTTTGGATGTTTTCAAAAAATATAGTTATTCTTGTTAATAATAATGATGATAATTTTCGCAAGGTTTAAAAAAAGTATTTGTCCAGGAGCAACTTTGACTCCCATGGGTCAATCTTTACAGGTAGAGTGTGGGAGTCTGCTTTTCCCAGCCCTGCATCTCTCCCCTTTGATGGATTAAATGCTCCTATTAAGCAGATGGCTGGGTAAATGTCCCCATTTTGCTGGCCTTACTTTTCTTGAGTGATTTCCTATTATAGGAAGGGAGTATCCCATAATAATGAAAAATTGGCAGTAGCTATTGATTAAATTCTTTCCTACCCTTTTTTTCCTTGACTTTCCCCCATTCGTTAAATATGAACACCTCAAAGACAGATGTAAAAAGGTAAAGGGAGGTTAGCTGGGATAGGGCTGCTTTCTTTCTCTTTAAGAACAAAATAGTATTTTGTTTTGTTAAAGTCCAATCTTCCTAATAGATCAAGGAAAGAGAAAAAGTTTAGATTACCCAATTACTGGTAATAAATTATTATTTTTTCTCTGGGACATATGAAATCTTAGGGTGGCAAATACCATCTGAGAAATGTTCTTTTTATTTTGGTAGCACAGCAACTCCAGAAAATAGGTTAATTGGTTCAGAGACTTGCTCTTACTGTTAATGGCATTTAGCTTGTGAAATTGAACAACTGTATCTCAAGACAGAATGTTCATAAAATCGATATTCTGGTTGCTAAGTGTGTGTTTTTAAGATATAGTTTGAATTAATTTATTCAAAGCCAGCTGGTGTTGTTCCCAGTATAACCTCTAGGAGGAAACCTCAACCCATGTTGTGTCTAAAATAATCGGGTTTTCGTTCTCTCTTTATTCAACTTTCATATTGTATCTAAGTTAGTACTTTTGATATTTCCAAGTTTTTTTTAAACATTTATGTAGAACACCACATAATTGCAGAAAAGATAATAGTCACATACCCTAGGGCCTACTGTACACTTATGTTAAAAGTACAGCTTTTATTGGCAACTAAAGTAATAACCTTTCCATGTCAAATTGCTTTAAATTAAACTTAAAAAAAAAAAAAACCATTGGCTGATACCCACACTTAGTAATTGTCAAACATTAGCATAATGTGGAATACTAAAGCTGCCTGAATCTTAGGCTTAAAAATAATTATTTACTTAGATAAATTTTGTATGCAGTAGCATATTATTAGAAATCCTTTCTTCCTCCTCCTTCTAAAAATGCAGGATCAATGTATATGTTAATATTATACTTAGGCTTGACATGTAAGTGGGACTGTAACTTATGTTAGCCTCTGAGAAAGGGGTCTTATTTAATCTCAGCTCATCCATCCATCATAGACCACATACAAATGGGGTGAATCGACACTTTGGATGGCTTAGCGTATTGTACTTTGTGTTGGGTGACCTAACACGTGACCCAAGGGGGAAAAATGCACAAGTCTATTTTTGATTAGGCTGCAACATGGCACAGTCTGCATAATTTCCAACCATTTCAAGGCACTTGGGAGATGAGGATCCTAAATGATTGTGTATGTGAAGCCCTCAGGCATGGGTCGCAGCCGCCTTTCACACTAATGCATTTGTATTTCCCAGATCTCTCTTGGCTCAACCATAGAGATTTCCACTGAAACAAGCTTACAAGGGCTTCAGGTTGGTGGGATTTGTGTGGTTTTCAGGCTCTATCCCAAGACTGGGGACTATCTGGGCACATCTGACTGCTGCAGCCAAAATAATTTTTGTCAACTTTATGGCACATTGATAATTCGAAGTAAAACTTTATCAGTAGGGACTGACTTCCTGTTGTTCACTGATTTTATAAAATCCTGCTTGTAGTCACCTTGAGCAATTCCCTTCCAAATCTGTTGATGAGGCATCTTGAAAGTAACCACTTCCAATATCCAAGAATGCTGACGTATATGGACAGCCTAATAAGCAAGTCTGGCAACATCATAAGCTGGGAGTGACAGGCAAATATTTGGTGATGTCTCCAGAAACTAGAGACTCATAGGACAGGCACACAATAGATGCTGGAGGAGCCTTCATTTGTCTAAACTGTATTCTTCTAAAAGTCAAGAGGTATGCACTCAAAGATCTCTAATGATAGTGGACAGGCAGGGTTCTCAGAAGGAATAATATTATAATCTCAAATATTCAGTTGAACTCCATGTGCCTACATTTTGGAACCCCTGTCTGCCTTCTTTCAGTTCATACACGAAGTAAAGGAAATTAAGGGGTTTTTTTTGTTTTGTTTTGTTTTATTTTTTAATTTCTCCTCATTGAACCTGAAACCACTAATATCCAAGAGGCATCTAGGAATAAGGAAGCGAAGATCTAGGCTCTAGGCCTGGGTTTCCACTGTGCTGGTTAACTTTGATTTGGAAATGAACCTCTCTGGTCTCAATTTGCCTGTATGCGAAGTGATACTTGCTTTGAAATTAAGTCACGAAATGAGAGTGGAATTAGATGAGGTTTTCAAAGATTATGCTCCTGAAGCTATATATAGTTTTAGTTTTTTTTTTAATTTTTAAGTTTTGTGGGCACATAGTAGATATATATGTATTCATGGGTATATGAGAATATACATGATGGACACTTCTGTTTCCTCCAAACGTGCCTTACTCATTCCCACCTTTGGGTCATCAGTTGCATCATTTTTCACCTGGAATAACTTCTACATTCCATTTCATCATCTTTCTTGATCAAACTCATGCTGTTTTTTTTTTTTATAAAGCTTTCGTCTCATTGTTTTCTCATCATTCGAGAATCATATGACATGATCATCTCTCCTACATCATCTATCATTTTATTATTTCCTGCTTTGTACTGTTTAATTTAAAACTGCTATTCTTTCCTCCCACCCAAAGAAGAACCTTTCTTCTTTGTTCCCAAGCTGGGGCCCTGCATAAACTCGTTCTGTATTCTGTTCAACACTCATTACATTGCTCAGCACACAGTCGGAGCTTAATAGACACTGGATGCTTAATTTTTTAATTACCTGTTCACTTGGTATCTCATCTTATCCTGTCGTAAATGCAAATGTACTTTTGTGTATAGATGTGACCATTACTCCTTTTATTTGTGGAAGAGGTACCTGAGACAGACAGGTTTAGTGATTCGCTTGATAAAGTTCTGAGGGAGGGTCTCCGGATGTGTTGTCTAGTGTTTTTGTTTTTTTTTTTTTGTTTTTTTTTTCCACCAGATAAATATTCTTCAAATTTTCTTCTGCAAATCAGTTCCAGAGATCCTCAGGGGGCTCTCCTGGGATGGGAACAGTGAGAACCATGGGATGAGAAAGAGAGTGGAGTGATCTGAGGCACGGCTGGGTATCTTTGCTGATCCTCATATTTCAAACCCTTGCTTGTTTCATGTCTCTTCCACAACAATGTGAGCTTCCATAGCTAAAGGGCTGTCTTTTCTCTGCCTTCAATGTTCTTGCCTTCTTCTCTGAATAGCATGGGACAGGGCATAATCAGAATAATGCGCACTGACAGAGAGCACACTCAATGTCAGGCAGTGAGTCAAACATCTTTCATGGATAACTTCACTTAATTCCCACAGCAGGTTTATGGGCAACTGTGCCCATTTTGTAGATAAGAAAATTGAGGCTACCAAAAACTAAACAAGAGCTGCAGAAATGATCTGGACCAGCTGTTAAGACTCTTGAGGATGATACTATCTTAGATTGTCAATGGCTTGGATTGTAGATCTTTCTGCCTCAAGAAAAGGCAACTTGGTTGTTTGTAGATGACTAAATGACTTGCTCTGTGTTAGACCTCTGCCACAACCGTCTTCTGAATTAAAGAAACTGTCTTTAAGATAATTTCTTATTTACATGGTGCACACAGGTCTCCTCTTTGGGTGACATTTAGTAATGTCCTTCCAGCTGGATACAAGGGTGGGGTTTGGGTATGGTGCACAGAGATCCCTGAATAGCTATGCAAAGAAGGAGTCAAGATTGTGAAATTCCATGTATCCCATGTGGCACGGTGGAGTGGGCAGATCTCTTTGGTTCTTTAGTTTAGAGATGCAAACTGAGACTCAGAAATACTTCTGAAGAAAGTGTTTGAAATGACGCCTGGAGCAAAACCATATTGGCCCATTCATTTAAAAAAATCTGTTTTCTAAAACCAAAGCTTTTTGATTCTTAAATGGGTGATTGAAGTCCTCAGTCAAAGCCCTTAGGTGCCTTTGAGGGACGTTTTGCAACCCCTAACCTTCTGTAGTAAATTTTCAATGTTTTATTTTGTGATATATGGGGAACCAAAAACCTGACTCTGGGGGCCAACATTCCTGAGGCTCTGCCTTTGACTTTGGAAAACGGGAACCATCAGCCTGAAATTGGTGCAAATTATATAAAATTCAGATTGTGCACGGCTGAAACCTTTGAATCCTCCTTGATCTCTCCTCTCACCTTCCCTTGCCCAATCACTGTTTTCATCTCCAAAATATCTCTTGATCATGCCTGCTGCTCTCCATCCCTATCGGCTCCACTGTATAGGCCACCACCAGGATCTCATCTAATAGCCTCATGACATCTGTTCTGAACTCATCTAATAGCCTCAGACATCTATTATTGACTCCTTCCAGTGTATTCTACTCCAGAGTTCAGAGTAATGTTCTCAAAATGCAA
This sequence comes from Homo sapiens, assembly GCF_000001405.40. Classification (NCBI taxonomy): domain Eukaryota; kingdom Metazoa; phylum Chordata; class Mammalia; order Primates; family Hominidae; genus Homo; species Homo sapiens. The sequence goes on from NC_000003.12 coordinate 70,094,365, forward strand.
ATATGATTACGTGAGCCTCCCACTTCCCCATCCCCACTAAATACCTTTGATGACGTTCCACTCCATTGCTCTTAAGATAAAGACAAAATTACTTAATATGCTCTAAAATTCTCTGCACTGTCTGGCTCTTCTGAGCTCTCTCACCTCTCCCCAATGTCTCAGTCCCACCCTGAATGGCCTTTTTTCATCCTGTCTGATTTAAATTGTCCCTTCCTGCCACAGGGCCTTTGTGTTTGCTATTCTCACAGCCTGGAATGCCTGTCTCTCTTTAATAAAGTTTTACTTAAATTTCATATTTCAGCTTAAGTGGCCCTTACTCCCTGGTTGGCTAAATGTTACGAACTGAAGGTGGGTCCACCTATCCTGTGCAGCAAAGCCAAACACTGACATTGAGATGGCAGCGAGAGAAAGAGTGAGGCATTTGTTGCAGGGTGCCAACCAAGGAGAATCAGGCAGCTGATGCTGAACTCTTGAACTTCTTGACAGGTTACAGGTAAGGGTTTTTAAAGGTGGGGAGGGAGAGGTTACAGGCAAAGTCATAAATCAATACATAGAGGCTGTACATTGATTTCACCTAAAAAGGCAGGGCATCTCAAAGCAGGATCCCACAGGAGTCACAGGTAGATTCAAAGATTTTCTAATTTGCAATTGCTTAAGGAGGTGAAACTTTGTCTAAAAATTTGGGGTCAGCATGAAACAATGTTAGCTTTGGCTAGTAAGCGTCATCACCTCCAGGCCCCTCAGGAAGAAATTTAGAGCAAAGAATGGAGGTCAGGGTTCAGTCCTCAGTTTTCCCTTATCTTAGGTCTACGTGCCAGTAGATCCATTTGGTGGAGGTCCAGGTTTCTGAAAAACCACAGGAGGACATATGTTAAGAGGTTATCTTTAGTTCCCTTAGGGAACAAACCATCTTTTGACTCTAACTTCCATGGCTGTGTTTTTAAGCTACTTTTACCTTCTTGCTTATTAAGTTGCTCATTTGCTTCTCAGGGCTAGCTAGGTGCCTGGAATTTCCCTTAAATAAACTCAAGATTTTCCTTTATTTCCATGCTTGATGGGAGAGGGAGGTGCCTGACAGGCTCCTAAGAGAGGTCCCTGCTCCATCTCAAATCCTTTATGAGAGACTGTTGTGCAATCACATACTTTTCTTTGTAGGACTCGTCGTGTTATATATTTCACATTTGTTAGCATGATTTTAGCATTATGTTTAAAAAGTAGGCTCAACACCCAGCTCTGCCAATTGCCAGGAAGGGGAACCTGAGCACTCAATTTCTGTTGGCCTCAGTTTCCTCACCTATAAAATATAGACAGTAATGGTTCTTAGGAGTTGTTTTGAGGGTTAAATAAGAAAATATATAGAAAGAACTTAGGCTATTTATGTGCCACAAATAAGTGCTATCTAAGTGTTAACTATAATATTCTTGTTAACTATAATATGTCAGTGCTTATCTACCCCACTTCACTAGAAGTTCTGTGGGGTCCAAGAAAATAACTAATTTGACGTATGGTTGCATCTCAATGCATATCACTGACACATATAAGATTATTGCCACATTACCACAAACTTAGAGTCTGAATCTAACACATGTTTATTTTTCCACAGTTTCTGTGGTCATGAGTCCAGCATGACTGAGCTGAGCTTTCTGCCTCAGGGTCTCTCACAAGTCAACGTTCAAGGTATTGGGCAAGGATAAGGTCTCATTTGAAGGTTTTACTGGGGAAGGCTCTTCCTCTAACCTCACATGGTTATTGGCAGGATTTAGTTCCCTGTGGGTCATTGAACTGAGAGCCTCAGTTTCCTGCTGGCTGCTGGACAGAGGCTGTCACCAGTTTCTTGCCAGGTGGGCCTCTTCTACTTGGTCACTTGCTTCATCTAAGCTAGCAAGTTAGACAGTCTTGGCTGGTGCAGTGGCTCATGCCAGTAATCCCAGCACTTTGGGAGGCCAAGGTGGAAGGATAGCTTGAGGCCAGGAGTTTGAGACCAGCCTGGGCAACATACTGGGACCTCGTCTCTACAAAAATTACAAAAATTAGCTTGGTGCGGTGGCGCATACCTGTAGTTCCAGCTACTCAGGAGACTGAGAAGAGAGGATTGCTTGAGCCCAGGAAGTTGAAGCTGCAGTGAGCTATGATTGCACCACTGCGCTCCAGCCTAGGCCACAGAGTGAGCCCTTCTCTCAAAGAGAGAGAGTCTGCTAACAAGACAAAAGTCACATCTATGACTAATCCTGAAAGTGACATTCTGTGACCTTTTGTTCACAAGTAGGTTACAGGTCCTATTTATACTCAAAGGAAGGATACTACACAAGGCCATAAATACCAAGAGATGAGGGCCACTGGGGGGTCATCTTAGAAGCTGCCTACAGAATTAATTAGTTAATTAACAGCAACATGTTGTTATTGTCCATGTAGCTCCTCATTCTGTTAACAAGGTCACAGAATGTATGTCTAGAATAGCGTTGATCAAACCCTGTTCTGTGTAACCCTAAAGAACTATGAGGTGTTGAGAGATGTCTATGGCCTGGTGAGTTTGAGAAACACTGGATTGAACCATGTAAAACTAGCTTGTGACATTTTCTGAATTGAAAATACAAATACGACCTGTGATCTTCCTGGAAGAAGACATGATCATATGGCTAAAGAATCATAAAAGTTGTTTTTCTCCCCTTGCAGATCACATATAAGCCTCTTATAGCACAATCTGGGAAATGCTGACCCATATGTGAATGAATATTGGGTGCCACCCCAAACACTGGTTTTAACACAGCTGGTAAAAGAGAACTGTGAAAAGCCATACCTCTGGTAGATGATTGTGGGATGAATGAATGAATTTGGAGTTTACACAAAGCAGTCAGAATTGTTGTTCAAACAGAGAAAAAACAAAGCCAAGGTCAGGAGAGATGTGGGCCCTAGATGGCACTCATGATTCTGTTTCTTCACCATGAGGCCTACTGTTCTTTGAAAGCAGGACAGTCTTATTCCAAGTATTGGTTCTTTCTCCAAAGGAGGCTAGGCACAAAATTGTGGATGAACCGGTATAAACCATTACCTGCTATTAGGAAAACTACTTGAATAAACTTCTTTTGCTATTTTTATAAAGCATCTAGTCTATATATTTCCATTAAATTTTATAACTTGATTTGTTGCCTTCAGCCCAAACCCTAGTTTATTCCTAACAGGCCCCAAATCAGGATGAATCGTATTGGCAGATGTTGGGTGCCAAGACTGAAGTCACTTATTCGAAAGGGCTCAGAATTATTACGGCAAATTGAAACTCCAAATACAATTTGTATCATTAACCTCTTAGGGATTATATTTTTGACTTTCTCCTATGTGACATATATCTGGTCACATATTCATTGTGAACCAGTGCTTAAAATGCATAATCCTCAAAGGTTACTCGCAATCATTTAAAAGACCCTATATTCATCTCAAAACCCAGAACCGGGAGATAAGGTTTGAGAAATGGCTGAATGGGATACTGGAATAAACAAACCATTTCATAGTTCTTAAAATAAAGCACTTATGGAGCACATTTTTATCTACAAAGCTTGAGAAATGAATGTATTAATCCTCACAACATTCTTCATATTATTCTCACCACATAATAAATAGGGAGCAAGGGGTTGAAAGGTTAAATTAGCTTTTTCTCCCCTCCTTGGGGAACTTGATATTACTTTTGAATTAGAATTAAGTCATTTGTGTTCTCCAGCTTTAAGTTTGTGCTGCTTTTGCCAAATTTACCCACTTGTGGATTTTTGGGGGATAGAGAAATTATTGCAGGGCAATTTTGCCTCTAGAGTCCAGGTTTTTTGAGACTAGAGTCCAGATAAAGTCAGCATCTTGTCCAAACCTTCTTGGGAAATGTAGGGTTTGTGTGTCGTTTCATCAATGGCAGGAATCCCTGCAAACTGAAAGCGGTCTCACACATCTTGCCTCTCTCCCTTCCCTCCTATCCTGTTCCGTTCTCCCTACTGCCACCTGAGTGAGCTCTCTTTTTCTTTTTTCTTTCTTTTTTTTTGAGACGGAATCTCGCTCTCTCTCCCAGGCTGGAGTGCAGTAGCACAGTCTCGGCTCACTGCAACTTCCACCTCCCTGGTTCAAGCAATTCTCCTGCTTCAGCCTCCCGAGTAGTTGGGAGTATAGGTGCCTGCCACTACGCCTGGCTAATTTATGTATTTTTTAGTAGAAACGGGGTTTCACCATCTTGGCCAGGTTGGTCTTAAACTCCTGACATTGTGATCCACCCGCCTCGGCCTCCCAAAGTGCTGGGATTACAGGTGTGAGCCACCACGCCCGGCCTCTTTTTCATTTCTAAAATTTTACTTTGAAGTATAAAGTGTACAAAAAGGTACAAAGGATAGTACAATGTATTCCTATGTCCCTATCACCCTGCTTAAGAAAAAATATTATCAGAATAAGGAGAAACTCCCAGGGGTTTTGTGCCCCTGTAGTAAAAAACCCTTCTCTTAAAGTGTGGCGATTATTGTTTTCATTTACCTTGCTTTTCTTTACATTTTACTATATCTATGTGTGTCTTGAAGCAATATAGATTATTACACCGCATGTTTTCAGACTTTATATATATGACTGGCATGATAAGGCTTATATCTTTCTGCAACTAGTTTTTTCTCTATGTCACTTAATTTTAAATTTAAGAGATTCACCTTTGATATGTAAGGCTCTAGTTCATTTTTAATGCAATTTAATGTTTCACTGTATGAATAGATCACACTTTTGTGCTATTTCCTTTTGTCAGACATTTAAGTTTTTATATATATTTCAAATATTGACACTACTTCTATTAAGATTCTTGCACATGTATATTTACACACAAATATTATATTTATTTCTAAGGTCTATTACAAAAAGGTGAATTGTTGGATCAAAGGTATTGGCGTTTTAAACTTTTATTGACCATTGCCACATAGTTCTCTTGAGTGATTATACCAATTTACTCTCCCATTAACAGTGTATAAAAGTTCTGCTTGTTCCACATTTTGATTGCACTCGGTATTGTCAGATTTGTGTATCTGATGGGTTTTAAATGACACTTCATTGTGTTTTGACTTCCATTTTTCCCATTCCTACCACAGCTAAATATCTTCTAAAATGTTTCTATGGTCATTTAGGGTTTGTGTTCTGGAAATTTGTCTAAAATTTTTATCAGTTTTTCAACTGGATGGTCTTTTTATTGATTTATAATTGTTCTTTATATATTCTGGATATCAATTGTTTGTCAATTATATGTTTTGCCAAAATTATTAATATTTTCTTCAAGCTTGTTCTTTGTTGCCTTCAGTTTGGCCTTGATTACTCCTGCAGTCTTGTTTCTAAACATTCTCCATCTCCTACTTAAGTTTTGGCAAATACGTCTCATTCTTCCAAGTTCTTGCTCACGTGGTCCCCTCTGCAGTTACCTGCTCTTTGGCTGGTTAACATTTATTACTTTTTCATAACCCAATATTCTGGGGAGTTTTTGCTACCCTGCACCGTCCCTCTCTGTGTACTTGCATGTTCCCTGTGCAGACCTGTGAAGACCTGTCAGCTTATCTCCTCTCAGAAGTAACTGTCCTGAGGAAGAACATAGTGCCACATGAGTTTTGCCAACTTCACATATGGCTTTGGTGAAGCCTTCCTGAATGGCCTACCAGAAATGGCTGGTGAAATGGCCTTCCGAGGAAATGTTCAGCCAAGGCTCAGCTACAGAGTCCAGGTCCTATATCAACACTCTGATTAATTTAGTTTTGGCAGTATTTTCATTGGGGGTGCATATTTTCATACTCTTTTTTTTTAATTTGAGACAGGGTGTTGCTCTATCACTCAGGCTGGAGTGCAGTGGCACCATCACAGCTCACTGCAGCCTCAACCTCCCAGGCTCAAGCAATCCTGCCACCTCAGCCCTCTGAGTAACTAGAACTACAGATACGAGCCATAACATCCGGCTAATTTTTGTATTTTTTTGTAGAGACGAGGTTTCACTGTGTTGCTCAGGCTGGTCTCGAACTCTTGAGCTCAAGCAATCTGTTTACCTTGGCCTCCCAAAGTGCTGGGATTGCAGGCATGAGCCACCATACCCGGCCCATCATAGTCTTTCAAACCAGCAGCATTTTTATCCAGTTTTCAAAGGCAGTTATCCACTTGAAAGAGTGGGGGGGGGGGGGGGGGGAAGCACCAAATGTAGTTTTCTGAAGTCTAGAAAAAAACTCATAGAAATTTTTCCCTAATTCTTTCCCAAGAATCTTTTCCAAATGGAACTCATCGAAGAACTTCCAATTTCCTGCCTAAAGTGAACGTGAATCTGAACGATATGTTAATTTACTCTGTTCTCTTGTGTGAGTGACAAGGACATGCATTGGGACATCTATTATTTTGAAGCTGGGATCTAGCCCAACTAAGGGGGGAAAAAATCAACATACCAAACTGTGTATTATTTACACATTTCAATATTTAATTTCCTGTCTCCATTACACATATTTTAGTATGCAGATTATTTGCCCAACATAATTTATCAGTTCCTTGTTAGATAATATTCTCCTCAGGGTACATATTGTTCATATTTAGAAATTCTTATTAATCTTGAGAATCACATTGTTTATCCAACAAAATTATTACAGCTTTGATGAAGCTTTTAAAGTGTAACATGTAAATCACTATTTTCTCACTTTCATAAGCAGCTGAATTTTTGATCTGGTGGATTATTATGGTTTAGAAGATATTTAGTCTTAGGGAAAATGCACAAGATGGTGCAGTAATGTGTAGATGAGGCTATATAATTACAACTGCTGTTAATGACAAATTGCTATCACTGTAGCTACCCCCTCCTCCAAATTGCCTTTGTTCAATAGATAAATGAGTAGTGCTATCCAGTGTTGTTATAAATCAGATGGGTCCAATATTTAAAACCATACATATTATAATAACAAATGACAGGATGGAAGAAGTAAACACATATTTAGGTACTTATAATTACTTATTTTCTAAATTTTATATTGATTACTTTGCCTGGGAAAATATTGGGGACATTTTTTATGAAAAAAAAACGTACAAGAATTGCATTATAAGAGGCATAATTATTATTTGATAATTTACCTCGTTGTTTACATATAGGTTTATTTTGATGCTGGATGAGGCCATCCCAAGTGCATTAATTGTATAGATTAAAGAGTGAGAAAATAAATATGTCTTTTAATTTTTTAGTGTTTTTGAGAAAAAAGTACCTTCCTTCTTTGTGAATTATGGTTTTACATGAGACAATAAGCGTTATTTACACTACATGCTAATGTATTTAAAATACCTTACATCTGGAGAGCCTTTTACCTCTTGCAAGCATATTTATATCCGTGGTTGCATTTTGTCCCTCCAGTATCCCTGGAATTATAGAATTCCTCATTTGACTCGTAAGGAAACAGACCAAAAAGGTTAAGTGGCTTAAATAAAGCTGAAAAATCAATTAATAACGAAACTAAAATTATAATTTCCTGACTTCACAGATAATGGCTTTTTGAAAACATAGACAAAATGTAGAAGGTTGAACAATGATTAAAAGTTATGAGGTTTTGTAATACAAGTTATGAAGGTTTGGTAGTGTTCCAATATTGGAAACAAATGATCAGTTCCCTAGTTATATCCACTAGTTTCTGTCTTTAATATATTTTCAACATTTCCTTTGTGTTCTTGACTTAGGTCTTTTCCTTCATAGTTAACATATAGCTAAAGTCCAGTGAGCATTCAACGGAGGAAACATGCTTGCCATTTTCAGGATGTTTAGAGATTCCATCTTAGTCTTATCTGAATTAAGTTGATAAGCTCTACACATTTTGTTTTTACTAAAATCAGCAATTTCATCTTTTTCTCCTCTTCTCTATTCTTAGCAATAATAATATAACTTTCAAACAAATTCCCATAAGCTGCTACCCAGATGAAATATAACAAAGCCATCATGAAACTGTGAGGAATATCTGTTCATCAGCTGATGTAAAAATACTTCAATTTGGCATCAAAAAACTGTTTTAACTGTGAACATATAACATACTGAAGTATGATTCTTATCAAATTTGAAGACCATCTGTAGTAATTTTTCTAGGGACGTCTGGGATCTTTCTGAGAATCCCACTTCGTAGTTGAATGGAAAGACCATTGGAGGAGCATCTCTAGTCTCCAGTTCAGGCCACTTCTTTCCCAGATTTTTCATTCCTCTTTCACCAATGAGCTGGGTGGCAGGGGTGATATCATGTCTATTCTGTAAGGTAAACTGGGTAAAGGAGGGAGAATTCATCACTGATCTTGTACGAACAGCTCCAAGTTCAAGCTCACAGTCAATGAGCTTAGAGAGTCAGCTCCTGGTTCAAAGGATTGCATCTTGACCCTGGTCTCTAAATGCGTGCAAACTGGGTCTCTGTAGTCATCAGGAGAGAATGGACATAGAGAGCGAAAGTTAATGGATGTATTTGGTTGTTCCTTCGGCTTTGATTGCTCTGCTCTGCTCTTTGCTTTGGCCCAGCCTTATTCCCCTTTCCCTCTCTTATGTACAGTGCCTCTCTGTTGAGAATGGTGTGATTAAAGGGAAGCAGACCAGCCCCTTTGATAGCCAATTTGGAAAACTTTCTACTAAAAACCATTTTTCTACTTCAGGGATTGCAAACTCAAATGCACAGTGAAATGGGTCATATAAATATGTAAAGCAGGCCAAGGTTGGCACTTGAGTGATGTGGACTCTGGCAAACTGGAATGCCCCACCTAAAGGAGTGGCTTCCACTAAGCTTCAACAAATTGGTACCGTGCTGGAATGCAGGCCCACGGTTACCTGAGTATCTCAGGTTTTTCAACAAAACCCCCAAATCTGGATTTTTGTATGAAATCTCTTGATTTAACAAATTAAAAAACAAAGCAAACCATCATGTAGGCCAAACAAAATATGCCAGATTGCAATCAGTATTTCCATGTGAATGTGGAGACCAGATTGAGGGAGAGGGAAGAAACGAAGGCTATGGCAATGTTTCCCAGTTTACATAAGTTACCTGCATCTAGATGTATGAGGTTAATCCCAAGCCAAATGGTTTCCTGCCATATAGAAATGGCAGAGCAAACTTCTTATCCCAGTGTATGCAAAATTTGCACATCTATACATTTTTATGGTGAAAATGTCAATGGCTTTTATTAGATTCTCAAAAAGTCTGTCACCCTAAAAGATTGTGAATCTCTTCGGTTACATCCTTGACAAGTTGTCATCTAGTTTCTACTTGAATTCTCCTGGGAGCAGGAAACTTACTACTGCACAAGATAGCCCACTCCTAATTTAGACAGCTCTGAAGGTAGAAAACTTCTTATTGGCGAAAATTCTTACTCAACTCTTTTGTTATTGGAGGCTAAAAAAGGCATCTAATCTTTAACTAGGAAAATGCACTTGAAACAATCATCTTAGAAATTAAGAGGTTGCTATAATTTCCTGTAACTATCACACATTCTTGCAAAAAATGAGCGTTATTAAATTGTGATAGTTACTAATGGAATTTCTAATTCTTTTACAATTAAGGTCATTGAATCTTTACGTCTTGCCCTTCATCCTGAGACTATTTGCATGAAAATAAAGTCTCCAAGTTTCAGCATGTTCTATTGATTCATTTAAGCTTTTTTTTTTTTTTTTCCTATCATAGATTTCTAGAAACGTAGAATTGGAAATGACCTAAGCTTCTGTGGTAGAACGGAAAACCCAATGGTGTTCAAGTCAGAAGATCCTGGATTGATTTTTCTGCTTTTTATTAATTGTATGATGTTAAGCTGGGAGTCTTGGTTTCCTCTTCTGAATGTGAGAGTCCAATAAAGTCTTCACAGGACTTTTATATTTGTTAAAAGCAAATACGAATAGGCAGTTTAGTGTAGCAATCAGCAAAACCTCGTGTTTTTTTTTTTCCTACGCTGCGATACTGTGCGCTAGTTATTTAACTTCTCCAAGTCTCAATTTCCATATCTGTAACATGGAGCTACCAGTTCCTACCTCTAGGAGTATTTTAACCAGTGAGTGAAATCATGCATGCAAGGGATTCTCAGGGCGCCTGACAAGCAGTAGATATTCAATTAATGTTTGCCATTTGATGATGCTGATAGAAGTAAAAGCCCTAGGTAATATGTAAAGTTTAAAACGATTATGATCACTGGAACCCTTAATTCTGAACATGGAGAGGAGGATGCGAACACCCCCAAGGGAAAAGGAGCTGGGTCAAGGTGTACCCCAAACCGTGTCGGACCTTTACAGAGTGCCAGGAGCTTAAAACTATTTTAAAACATCTTTCAAATGAAAATGCAAAACTGTCATAAGTTTTTAGAACACCTCAAGAGATTCCACAGAAACTTGCTTTTGTGGCAGTCCATATAAACTGGGTGTCAAGGCCTGGGGTGTGTATCTCTATGTGTGGGTATGTTGGAAATTTAGAAGCTCAATTACCTCCAGGCCTTCGTTTTTCACATATGGATCTCCCATGGGAAGTAATCTGGCAAATTTTAGGATTCTGTTCCCTTCAATGTGAACTTCTGAACAGAAAGACTCCTTCTAATGTAGGTTCTCAGTAGCCTCAACTATTCTATTTAAAGTAGTAATTATGTGTGAATTTGGGGGGAAAGCAGTAAAAAAAATCAACATTGGGAAAGGAAACAGAAATATGCCTAAGCCAAGCACCCTTTCTCAAGGATTGCCATCATATATAGAACCTTACTCAGGGAGAGATTTTTTTTTTCTCCTTTCATAGTCTCCAGACAGAATCAAGGGAAATGTAACCCCAATTTTAAAAGATAGGCTGAAATTATAGGAAAGTAATCTTTCCATTGACTAATTCACTTTGCTTTCCTATTGTTGAAGAAAAAGTTGTTGGTTTTATACTTTGCTAAAAGCAAAAGAGACGTAAAATAGCAATTATTTTTCACCATTAGTCTGCCTTTCTTTGTGTTGGGGGCATACCACCACACAATAACTGTCTGTGATTCAGAAATAATGAGTGGGGAGAAGCTGGAGCTGGAGTTTATATATCAGTACTTTTACAGTGAGTACATAGAACGGTTTTATTTGGGAATTGAATATTTGAGGGCTAGGGGCCCCTCCCTCTGAAAGTGCAAAGACCCTGAAGCGTGACTGCTCCCTCCGTTTCAGTATTTGAGTGGCATGTCGAGATCTTTCCAGCACGAGGTGCATAATGTATTGTGCAGGCTGACTCCCATGTGGAAGAGAGCACAAAACTTCCTTATGCATGAGGCATTTTTAGCAAATTGGACCCCATTTCAATCTTGATGAAACTTGATGACATTTCCAACTTGCAAGTGCACAAAATGAAAAAGCAAATTTTTAGCTATTTATGTGTCAGAACATCAAAAGCTCAAAAGCCATAATTAAGGGTGTCAGCGTGGCAGGGAGACTATATTTCTCCTCTTCTCAGGGGTCTTTTGGGTCTCTCCTTAGAGGTGAGAGAGAAGCTCTGTTTCTCCTTGAACACTCGAATCAAACAATTTGGATTTCATGAGCCCCACCTGGGAAACCCCCTCTTCATTCCAACTCTGTCATGTTGATATTTAGTGTTTTTCATTTCCTTCATGGAAAGAGAAATTTCAGGAACAACGATATAGTTGGTGCTCCCTACTCCTTAACACTTTCTCTTGGCTGCTTTCTGGAAGTCTGAGGGCAAAATGCAAGAAACAGTGATTTGAGATGGTATTTTAATTCCTTTTAATTCTTGTTTTCATATTATGTGCAATTAACTTCTTGACTTTAAATTCTACTAAATATACTGAACAAGCTCTTCTGATATATCCACTGAATAAAATATATGGGCATAATATATTTGGGCCTAAATATATGTCCAAATAAATGGACACCAAAATTTTAATAAATTTCCATTTAAACATTTAAACCAGAGCTTCTAAATTTTGTGTGTATTTGTTAAAATGCAGGCCTAATCCCATAGGTCTGGAGGGCAGCCTGAGAATCTGCTTTTTTTTTTTTTTTAAGAGACAGGGTCTAGCTCTGTTTCCCAGGCTGGAGTGCAGTGGCATGATCATAGCACATTGTAGTTTCAAACTTATGGGCTCAAGCAATCCTCACACCCCAGCCTCCTGAGTAGCTGGGACCACAGGCACATGCCACCATGCCTGGCTATTTTTTTTTTTTTTCTAGAGATAGAGTCTTGGTATGTTACCCAGGCTGGTCTCGAACTCCTGGCCTCAACCTATCCTCCCACCTCAGCCTCCCAAAGTGTTGGAATTACAAGTGTGGGCCACAGCGCCTAGCCAGATTTTGCATTTGTAACAAGCTCCCAGGTGGACCCATGCTGACGGTCTCTGGACCACACATGGGGAGGCAAGGCTTTACAAAGCTTTTAAACTAAGGGGCGACTCTTAAAATTCAGCTATGGTCATTGCGATCATCAACAGGTACACTTGTCTGGGATATACATGTGTTGGTTAAGATAGCCTTTGAATTTTATAACAGAAATATTATTAAAATTAATCCCCAGTACTGCTGCTGCCTGTTAATGATTCATAAAAGCCCCTGCCTAATAAGAGCTATTTTCTGAACAGCTCACGTTGAATTGCAAATACTACTTCCAATCTGAGTGACATCCACAACTCACATTGCTGGAGCTGGGGACAGAGCAGCTTCTGCAAATATTGGACACCCAGTGTATGTAATGCATTGTCTTGAGAGCTATGTGGAAATAGAATGTTGAATAAGGCATAAATATGCCATCAAGAAATTTAAACTACGTAGAGGGGGACCGGGTAAAATGGAGACTAAAGTGATAAAAGACACACCCAAATTAAATGTTATTTGGATTCAAAAGAAACGGAGGGAAAGCTCATTTGATGGCAGAGCCCAAAGAGAGTCCTAACAGAGAAGATAGCATTTGAATTAGGCCTTGAATTAGTTACCAGGATTGGGCATGTAGAAATGAGGCTGTAGGATATGGAACAAGGTAAGAAAATATAAAAGGGAGGGAAGGTTTGAGAAAATATATGAAGTAGGAAAACTAGCTTATGTGTCATAAATTGGGAGTGGTCTCGGTTTGGCTGAAATGAAGATTTCATGCAGGGCAATGGTTGCCAATAACCCTAGAAAGGAAAGTTGGGATTATAACAGGAATGACCTCAAGAGCTGGGGAAAGGTGTTTGGACTTAATTTAGTAGAGAGCAGGGAGCTGTTCTTTACCCAACCCTCTTGTTCTCAGTTCTACTTTCCGAATTTCTTCCTTAGTTTTTTTTTTTTTTTTAATTTGAATTATTTGTGTGTGAACTGACATTTTAATCCTTCTCAAATTTCTTTTGGTAGTCTATAAAAGAGATCATAAAAGGAAAATAGATTTGTCATACGAATTAATAGGATATAGAGAATGAGGGGGAAAGAGGATTCTACGTACCAACCTCTGAAAGGTGATTCTGTCTTACAAATTGCAATGAAGGGACCCAGATACATGGAGAATTTTACCTACCATGTATTTGGATTCTTGCTTCTTAAATTGAAGACATCCTGCAATGTGTTAGGTGAGATGGGAAGGATACACCTGGTACATCTTCCTGGATCATCAGTTTCATTCAATCACAGTTTCACTCTATGGTATATAATTTAAAGACTTTAAAAATATAATTAGAAACAATTATATTTAATCTTCAAGTTAATTTACACAGTAATTAATAATAATCTAAAGTCAGTCACAGGTACCATTTTGGATTTAGATGTGTTTTCCTCTTGTTCTTTAAACATGAATATTTAACCAATGCTGATTGTGTTAGACTGGTTTCTTGAAAAGCTCTTTCTCATTTTTTTTAAGAGCTGTAATGAAATTTAAAAATCATCTCTCTGTTAATGTGAAGGCCAGCTGCTCAAGCCACATGGCTCTAATAGCAACAAGGCGCCCTGGTGGCTTCCCCTGGAATTGCAGGTATAAGAACGTGGGGAAAGGGATGAATTGCAGAAGGCTAGGTTTACGCAGGCAATATAAGTGCTACAAATAAGGTCAGCCGTCAGCAAGCCCCGCATAGCTTATCCATGTTAGTGTTTCTCAACTCTTGCGGTTCCTTTTTTTTTTTTTTTTTTATCATAACTCACCTAAGGAGCTGAGTTAGACTTGTTTTTCCCTAATTGCTACTTCTCACCTATTATATTTTAAAGCCACATCGCACAGGCTGAATGTTTGTGTTCCCCTCCACCACCCAAATTCATATACTGAAACTCCAATGTAATGAGAGTTGGAGATGGGGCCTTTGGGATATAACTGGAGTTAGATGAGGTCTTGAGGGTGGGGCTTTTATGATGAGATTAGTGCTTTTGTAAGAGGCGACACCGGAGAGCTTGCTCACTCCCTCCCCGCATGCACACAAAGAAGTCCTGTGAGCACACAGTGAGACAATGGCTGCCTACAAGCCAAGAGAAGATGCTCCAGAATGAAACCAACCTTGCTGGCATTTTGATCTTGAACTTTTCAGTTTCCAGACCAATGAAAAGCAATTTTTTGCTGTTTAAACCATCCTGGCTATGGGTGTTTGTTATGGCAGCCTGAACTGAATAATATACCACAGATGTATCTGCTTATGTTCTGTGGCCAACTGGATGGCTAAAAATCATTATAGTATCTAAGATTTTAAACCCTTAAGGAACAATTTTTGTCCCCTTGGAGTGATGTTGGCCCCATTGATGATGCGTGAACAAGAGTTTTGCAGCCTCCCTTTCTCTTAGGTTATGATCTTATTCTCATACCCCTGTAGCAGCTCTAAACTGAATCCTCTGGAACCACCCTTCTATCAACCAGAGATTTATCAGAGTCACTTATTGAGACATCTGCTATTGAAATCAGATGTTCCTTTACTGCCCACTCACATAAACACAAGTCTACCTGTGTCACCAAAATAACTTGTCCCGGTAATTGATTGACCATTTAGTCACTCTCCTAGACTGGACTCCTACCATTCCCGGAGCTCTCCTCTTCTCTCAGTCATTTCCCCTAAGCCCCCAATTGTGTGGAGCCCACTTCCATCCCGGCTACAATTCCTCCGGCTACAATTCCTTGAGTTCTGCATGCTAAAGTTGGCAAATAGCACATACAGAGGTGCTTAAAGCTGCACTCTTAATCCCACCAGCCAACTTAAAAATGGTGTAGAGAGAACATGCAGGGGAAGAGCTTGGCCTCTGAGGTTCTGCAGTTTCATCCTATTTTCTTTCCCTGAAAGCCAGACTCTACCTCGTATGAGTATGTGTGTCCTTTCGGATACTCTCCTGCGCATCATATTCACAATAGCTCTGTGAGATACTGATCAAGAGCATCTCCACGTTTCAGATGAAGAAAAGATTGTGTGGCTAATACACGTGGGATCCACTCTGTGATTTCAGGCATCTCTGGCTCCAAAATCAGTGCTCTTATCTTGTACATTATACTGCCTCCTTAAAAGATCCTCTAAGGACTTCCCAGATAAAATTAATTACTTATTCTTTCTTCTGTCCTATTTGTGTAGAGGTACCTTCATTTGTTTTTACAGGTGGTCATTTGTTTAGCAAATATTTATTGTGCAACTGCTATTTCATAGAAACTTTGCAATTTATTTGGGATACTATGGTGAAAAGCACCATTTCTGTTTCCAAAGAGCTCACAGTTTACAAAAGAGGTGGGCCAGTGAATAGATAACTTATACAGTGTTTGATACATTAGTGATCGTGATAACCACAGGGTGCTGTAGGAGAGGCACCCAACCTAGTCTGGCTAGTGGTGTGGAAGTGGAGATACACAGAAAACTTTCTTTGAGGTGGTGAATTATTTTGTATTGCATCATATGTTCGTGTGTCTTTCTCTCTACTCTTACTCTGTAAGATACTCCAGGGCTGGAGCTGTCTTTTTCGTATTTGATTTTTCAGCACCAGCTATTGTTTGGCACATTGTCAGTGCTGGACAAATGCTGATTGTCCTAGAGCTCAGAGTATTTCCCCTGCTATCTGCCACAGACTCTATTTGTATCCCCAGGGTTAATGTCTTAGGATTTTTCTGGTTGCAAGACATGGCAGCCAATTCCATCTAACTCAAGTGAAGAGGGGTGATTTACTATAAGGATGTAGGGGGGTAGTGTGGAAATCAGTGTAGAAATAATGCAGCTGGTCCTCAGGAGAAAACTAGAATCAGAAACTGGTCCAATGTCAGAATTCTCTTTCATCCCTATTTCTCTTTCAGAGCTGCTATATCCTTATCTCTCTCCATGGTGTGGAATCCAGTCACCTTATACCTCTCAGGTTTAGATACTGTAGGTCCAGCCACAACTCGAATTCTATCTGTCTCAATTCTAAATACCCTGAAGGGAAAATGAGATTGGCCCAGCTCAGGTTAGTGAAAATATGGCTATGGGTGACCCATTGTTGTGGAGATGAGGGCGGTGGTGAAAAGCAGTTTCCAGAGAAAGGGTAAATTATTGTGAAGTGAGTAGACACCTGAACGTACGCCACCTACTTGAAAAGTTGAGAAGACAGTCCTTAGGATGATCTTAAGTGTGGCAAGACACTTCTCCCAGGACACAAGAAATTAGTAACCAGGGAGAAATGTTTCTCTGATCAAATTTAAGACCCTCTGTCTAAAGCCATTTACTCACGATGCTCCTGGCTTGCCTGGGGGCCTCTCTTCCTCATTAGGTCAATTATTAGCCAAATGATGGGAAGGCCAAGTTATCAATAAAGGCATGTCTCTTGGTCCATTGAAAAATGATGTCCAAATCCATTGGTAAATGATGATTCTTCCCTAAGACTAGTGTGTTATATTGTTTTTAAACCTTTACATAATGACATGGTGTTGGGATGTCTAGGTCTTGCAATACAACAGTTAGTGAAGGTGCTTTCTGACCCTGCATAAGAACACATGATAGACTAGATAAGAAAGAAACAAATGAAACACTTTTTAAAACCAATTCGTTGTTGGGTTCAAAGGAAATAAAAATAAATACTCAAGTGATTTATAAATACTGGGAATCATCCAGAATAATGATCAGGATAGCAGACGTATGCATAGTTTTTAAAGACAAAAGACTGAATTCTTAACACTAACGTGGAAACTTAAGACACAGGACAGATCACCTATCAGACCACATAAAAAACTGTAAAACAGAATTGTTTCCATAATTCATAATGCATAGGACTCCCATATGAAAAAATAACCTCAGCTGATGATGTGTCCACAATATAAAAATTACAAAGCACATGAGGAAGTGATTCACTACTAGGGAGAATCAACTAAGTTTACAAATAAGAGGACTGATACTGAAATGAACTTGAGCTTATAAAGAGGATATTACATAAGTAGGTTTAAATTTCCTGAAGGCTTCATAAATGAGGAAAGAGAGTATAAATAACAGAACTGGCAATTTTGGTTCCAAAATCAGGAGTTCCAGAAACAAAAAAATGTTGTAATATAAACCTCAATGGATAGGTCAAATAGCAGATTAGCTATATAGAGGAGAGAGGGGAAAGGGAGAGACAGAGAACGAGAAAGAAAGACAGATCTAAACAAATAATATCTATTGCTGCCCAGAGTCATAGAGAATTGGAAAACAAGAAAGGGACATTAAAAGTCTTGAAAGGTAGAATGAGAAGGTCCAAATAATTTGCTAGATTTTTCCTGAAGGAAAGAATAGAATGAATGAGAGAAAAGCTACATTATAGTTGATAATGTGAACTATTAATGAAAGATACGAATCTTCAGATTGAAGAATTACATTGACTCCGAAGCAGGGTAAGCAAAAATAATTAAACAACTAGAAATACCACAAATAAACTGTAGAACACCAAAGTGAAAACGTTAAAGACAGCTAGAGAAAAAAGACAGATTACATATAAAGGAGCAGTAATTCCTCCAAGAGTAGAATTCTCATTAATAATAACAGGTGTCAGAAGACAATGGAATATCTGCACAATGCTGGGAGAAAGAACTATCAATGTACAATTACGTACCCTACAAATCTACTATGCAGCAGTAAGGGGTGAAGCCAGAGAGCATGTTTCTCTCATAAAACCCTGCTAAAATAGTCACTAAAGGAGGGGCTTCGGGGAAAGAGAAAAATGGAAACATTGGAAGGAAAGAAAGAGTGGGACAGAAGAAGCAATTGTGAGTCAGGAAATTGGAAATTATATGAGTTAGCCTGAAAGGATATTGATATGGGAGAAAAGACTAATATGGCAGAGGGTAGAAAATAGGATAGAAGAACAATAGTTCACCCTAATGCCACGGATGTATAGGATGCAAGTGCTCTTGGGTACATCTAGAATTTTTCTTTACATTGTTGAGAAAGCATGGTAAAAATCAATTAATAAATGCAAAATAAATTGAAATATTTAAATAATCACAGTAAATATGAATGAATAAACTTGCCACTTAGAAGTCTGATATTTAAATTCGTTTTCAAAAATCCAATTACATACTCTTTCAAAAGATGGATTTTAAATACAAAGACACTTGCTGATATAGCAGACTTGGTTTTCTTTTTATCTCTTGAGAACCCAGAGTGCTTCGAATGAGGTCACTAAAACTCCATTCTCACAATAGATGCCAAAACTCACAGGAACATATTTTGGAGTATTGAGTGCTTTCTATGAACAAGATATAATAGCAGTTGAACATGTCTGGATCTAGGATTCCAAGTATTTTAACGCTTTATAACATCAAATTGAAGAACTGCTGATCCATGTTTGCCACAGGATTAGTTTTCACAGATGGCTGAGAATAAAACATATGAAAGGACATATATATATCTCCTTTCAGAATAAAATGGACACATATAACAGCATATGGTATAGTTATTTTAATTATGAAGTTTTATCACACCATAATTAATGATAAAATAGAAATTTAAAAGACATGAAAGCATTAATTTGTGTTGTAATGCTATGATATAAATCTCTTTCTCTCTTACTTTCCCCAAATCAATTTTTCCATGTTATTAGGCCATTCATATTTTGATCATGCACATAGTTTTTAAAAGCCAGAGTAAATAATGGGCTGGGTCATATTCATGTGACTGCACATAAACCAATGTTACAAATAATTATATACAAGCAGTCTATTTACAAAGGCAAAATTAGATGGCTTTAAAAATTTTAGATAATTAAATCTCACTACGTATTTGTCTGAAGACACTATTATTTTTATTTTATTTGACCACTGATTTAAATAGTGAAGGCAGAGCTTGCCTTAAGGGACTTAGTCCAGCACACTCATAAATGTAAAGGGATGTGTACAAGTTTATCTCCTGCTATGAGTTTTGGAAGTCATATTTGGTACACTGACATGTCGAAACAAATGTTATGGGCTGTATTTTTATGTCCCCTTGACCACCGCCCCAAACTCATGTAGTGAGGCCTTACCCTCAGTTGATGGCATTTGGAGGTGGGACCTTTGGGAAATAATTAGGTTTAGATGAGGTCTTGCGGGTGGGACCCCCATGATGGGATTCCTGTCATTTTGAGAAGAGGATGAGACCAGGACTGTCTCTCTCTCTCAGCCATGTGAGTGCACAGTGAGAAGGCAGCTGTCTGCAAGCAGGAAGAGGGCCCTCATTAGGAAGCAAAGCAAATGGCACCTTGATCTTGGACTTCCAGCCTCCAGAACTGTGAGATATAAATATCTGTTGTTTAAGCCATCCAATCTGTGGTATTTTGTTATAGGAGCCTGAGCTGACTAATGCAATAGGGTTCCCTGACGAGGTCGGAATTGACAAGTGGGTCAAATTGGAGGCACCGATTCATTCATCTCAGTTTTGTGCCCTCCAGAGGAGCGGGTCAGAAGGAAGTTTGACCTTGAGTAGCCTCTGATTCACATGAGCCTAAATCTCTGGTGTGTGCCAGTTTCCTTATGTGTGTTTATAATGAGAATGTTTGAAACCAAATCTTACTCTATGTTTTGTGGAGCATTGCAATGAGTAGATTACCCCGTGTGTACAAGGGTCTAGATCTTGTACTCTTGCCAGATGTTTCTTTTGACTTCCGGTAGAAAATATTTGATAAGTTTCTTCCTCAACGAAATCTCTTTGTCGACAGAGTAAAATATAAATCAACATTGAAAGTGAAGTAGACACACATAAGTTGTTTATGCAAACAGGCAATAAAACACACCACTCAAAGGCATTTTTAGTAAGTTTTCTATTTACAGTATTTGTCAGGAGACTCATTTATGCTAAAGTAGGGTAGAAATCATTTAGTTTTACACAACAGTGCTTATATTTTACTGCACCTTCGTGCCTCTGTTTAGTCCATTCTCATGATCTCTTGACCAAAAAATGAAAGGATAGAAAAGTGGAATTTTTGAGAAATGAAGACACTGGGGAAAGATTTTAAAGAAAACATCTTCAACAAAGGCCAAGTAGAGATGATACACAGTGAATCTATGTGAGAAAAATATCCCATGATGGTTCAATTATAATATAGGATTCAAAGCATTACTATATATGAAGATATCAATTCTTTAAGTGAGATTTCTAAACAAATTCAAGCTTTATTTAAGATATAGCTTCCTTTGGGACATTCTTTTAGCATTGCAGGAAGTACTTTATTTTCATTTTCTTTTGCTGAGCATTTTATAGTCACTTGGGGAAATTGTAGAATCAAGTATATGATGCTGGATTTGAAAGGGACCAAATCTTACATCAGACCACAGTTTATCTTGACTTACGTAAACTTTGATAACATTGCAGAATATGCCTTATTACTTCAGATTATTCATTAGAATAATTCACTAGTCATCAGCACATATTCATTAAGTGCCTGGTCTGAAAATTTTGATGTTTATTTCCTTTGGCCATCTCAATAATCCATGAGGTAGCTATTATTATTATCTCTATTTTCCAAAAAAAAAAAAAAAAGAAAGAAAGAAAAAAAGCAGAAGACTAGAGAGGTTAAGTTAAAGCTTTCTAGTAATTGGCTGAGTCAGAATTTGAACCCATGCCTCTTAGATCTTAAGGACTATGTGTGTTCACTATATTAGGGCTACTTTAATTTTCTCAGTAAAGAGATTTTCAAAAAGGATTCTAAAACAAAAGTTACCTCTTCAAAGATGTTTCATGAGTATTTTCACGGAAAAGATCATTTCCCCAATATTCATGTCTTAGACATACTTACGTATCTAGTTTAAATTAAGCTAATTAGGATACAAGCATCCACATCTTGTTTAGAGAGTCAGAGATACTGATTAAGGGCCAACGTGGATTCTCTTTCTTTTGTTTTGTCATTAAAATCTTTGTCATTGTAATAAACTCAAAGTACTTTGTAAAGTGGAATGAGGGACATCAGTAGATGAAGGCATTTGTAAGAATTTTCTTCTCCCCTCTATTCTATGAGTCTACAGACATAGGAATTTATTCCCTTATTCTTGTCCCAACCTAGTTTCTCATTGAAATGAATAAACAAATGCTTTCTTAAACAACATTTGAAAAAACAAACAAAAAGACACATTGACTCTAAAATAATATTCAAAAGAAATCACTGAATTTGACCCCTCAGGGTGCTAAGTTGCCCAGTGTTGACATCTCAACCATGTCAGTTTGGATTTGTGAGTTAAGTTGGTGATATTTATTGGATGAGAACTTCCAATTTATCTGTTATTGAACTCAGGAACACATCCCGTAGGTCTTGTGTAAGTTTGGAATATGTACCAGAATTCTACATGTAAAGTCTTCCAGTCAAAAGTTTCATTGCAAAAGTTTTGCACAAATCTAATCACTAGGTTAAATTTCTGACACCCTCTTCAATTTTAAGGTTGGAAGATTTAACGAAAGTAACTAAATTCATGGCAAGAGAAAAGAGAGCAGGGAGATATAAAGAATCTAGCATTTATCTGAGCACAGATATTGGAAATTATTGCAAAGGGGATATAGAAAATGACTAAGTTAATGACTTGTTTTCAAGTTTTAGGAGAAGGGCGATGCTTTCTTTTTTTTTTTTTTTTTTAAAGAAAATAGTCTGCATTGCCCTTTTTCATTTTGTCATATTTTATTTTGATTTAAAATATTTTTCTGGGATTCTTTAGTTTTGCTGTATTCTGTGCACTTTCCAGTAAATGATCTATTTATTTACATGAAAGGCAAGATTCCGCAATGCAAAGGCAACACGAGAGACTTTTTCCTACCAATTTTCTAATGAAAGCCAGTGACAGTTTTTTTTTATTTGGTTCTAAGTTTCATTTGCTTAAAATGAAAATGTATTCTTAAAACTAAATAAAAAAATATCATATTATCAGTATTTCTGGCTGCAAGTGAATGAATACTTATTCTGAAAAGACCCGTCTGAATGGCCACTCTATAACTACCGTGTTTTGTTAGAAAAGTATATTAAAAAGTAGAAACAGCATCATGAATGAAGAAAAGGGATAGAAACAAAGTATAAAATATGTAATCTTTTAAAAGGACCTTATCAAGGAGAATCTTAGTGAAACTTTAAATGGGAGATTCATACAATCCCAAAGCTTTCTTATTTCCTATTCAATGAATAATTTACTTTTTAGATGAGATTCACTAACATTATTGCAGAATAACTGTAATTGAAAATTATTAAAGCTCTATCTTTATTGCATTTTAAAACTCGTGCATTTGGTGTTTGACCAGGTCTGCCTCATCATTAAGAGTTTTGAAGAAACGCAAAATCTCTGTCTCCCAAAGAATAAAGAGCAAAAACCTTAATTGCTTTCTTGTTTCCCACAAAGATGCTAATATGATGAACTGAATGTCAGGAATAATAAGATAAAATGATGGTGTACACCCTGGGAAGAGAAAATAAAACATCTTTTTATGTAAACTGTCACCAGAACCTCAAGGAAACTCTTTGCTCTTTCTCTGCCCTGATTTTGAACTGCTTCATTAAAAGTAATTTTGTTTTTCAGAAGGATAACACCCACATTATTCTATTAAAAATTTTAAGAGAAATCTTCAATTAAGAGGTTATTGTTGTCTGAAAGATTTTTCCATAGTTGGTTGGTAGCTGAAAATGTGATCTTCCCAAATTTGAATGGAAATATGACATTCATCATAGTTTAAAATAGATAAATGTCTTGTCTGTTTGAAATGCCAATGAACTTGATATTATTTATCAGATCCTTTGAAAATGTTGTAATTTTCAGAGAAAGAATTTTAAAAAGGAGAGAAATGAATCATCAATTCTTCTTGCCTTCAATTGATTGAAAAGTTAAATTATACAGAGATATTTATAGAGCCCTTGTTCCATGCAGTATTTTGTCTTTTAAGAGTTGAAAATAAACAAGGGATCATGGGCCTCAGTATAACCCCCTGATAATCTTCCTTTGCGTTGGTCTGGTGAGAAAGACCATAAAACCCACATCATTGGCCACCAATATCTTACCCAGGGCTTGTCCTGATCTCAATTTAGATACCTGCTTGGTCCACAGTGCAACTTGATAATTGTTTAGATACATAAATACATTTAAAGCACTTATAAGGAAATCTAATTTAAACCATTAACAAATTCTTTCTATGAAAAATATTTCTAGCTATTTATTTACCTAATAAATTTGTCCTCTGGATAATTTTTTTAATTTAATTTTATTTATTTATTTATTTTTTGAGACGGAGTCTCGCTCTGTTGCCCAGGCTGGAGTGCAGTGGCGCCATCTCGGCTCACTGCAACCTCCACCTCCCGGGTTCACACCACTCTCCTGCCTCAGCCTCGCAAGTAGCTGGGATTACAGGCACCCCACCACCACGCCCGGCTAATTTTGTTTTTTATTTTTAGTAGAGACGGGGTTTTTACCATGTTAGCCAGGATGGTCTCGATCTCCTGACCTTGTGATCCGGCTGCCTCAGCCTCCCAAAGTGCTGGGATTACAGGCGTGAGCCACTGTGCCTGGCCAGATAATCTTTTTCTTAATATGCACGGACAAATACACTTGGTTGCCAATTTAGACCATGAGAAGCACTTTGCAACTGAGGCAGTAGTGACCTGAATTACCAGATAGTTTCTCCATTGTTGTTACATTGTCTTTATGCCAGCAAGTTCAAATGTACCATTAAAAAGTTTATGTTGACCTGAGATGTCTGTTAGAATCTTTTTTCCCCCAACCTTTTATTTTGCACCCAAAATGTGTTCTGAGAAACGTTAATCCCCAGAAACACTCATCATAAAAGGATTTCAGGTCAAATAATTCTGTGGAAATCTGAATACTGAATTATATTTTGATTAAAAGGAGCATGGGAAAGGCTCTGAGAAGCCCTGCATTCTGTTCTGTAAAACAGAAATCTGTTCTGCATTGTTCAATGTCCCACCTCTCAAACTGATTTAACCATGGCACCCCGAGCCCTTTTTTAGCATCCAACATCTACTTGCTTCCTTTCAAACTAATGTTGTGGGGACCCTGCTGTGGTAAATATGTCTCAGTTAAACAACCTTTGTGAGGTAGCTGTTACCCCTATTTTACAGGTGAAGAAACTGAGGCTCAGAAGTTAAGTAACCTGCCCAAAGACATACTACTCTTAAGTGATATAGCTAAGATGTGAAGCCTCAAGTCTGAAGCCTATCCTATAATCTGGCAATGTGACCAGAAAATATGAGGAGATAGATTTGTTTGAATATATGGACCATTTCCAGCTACACTTAGCAACTTTATCTGTTCTGCTTTTCTGTGCACTCTTTCCTAGATTTCTTTTCTCCTCGTGTTCATGTCATTGGGGTTTTGTAAGAAAACTACTCTTATTTATTTATTATTATTTTTTTTGAGACGGAGTTTCGCTCTTGTTACCCAAGCTGGAGTGCCATGGCGTGATGTCGGCTCACTGCAACGTCCACCTCTTGGGTTCAAGCAATTCTCCTACCTCAGCCTCCTGAGTAGCTGGGATTACAGGCGCCCGCCACCACACCTGGCTAATTTTTATATTTTTAGTAGAGACAGGGTTTCACCATGCTAGCCAGGCTGCTCTCGAACTCCTGACCTCAGGTGATCCACCTGCCTTGGTCTCCCAAAGTGCTGGGATTACAGGCGTGAGCCACTGCCCCCTGACCGCTACTCTTATTACATACAGTATATTTACTTAGAAAACGGTAATTGAATTCCATGTAATACAGTAATTAGGACTGGGCTGAAATAGCACATAGAACAGAAAATTTTATAATAAATATATAATGGCACAGAGGAAAGAAAAACATGTACATTACCTCAAAGCTGGGAATGACATTCAGGAAAATATTGTGAGTCCATTGAGCAACATGAAATGCAGGAATCCACTTTCCTGGACAGACCATTTAAGCAAATTTCAGAAATATTCAAAAGCTTCAATTTTATATGTAATATTAAAATAAAGGTTATATCAAGAAAAATGTTTAAATACATTAAAAGATTCCTCATAGTGAGAAAAAATGTTTTTAATTTGTGTGTAAACACATTATCTATGTATATATCTTTATTCTCTATATATACATGTGCATTTTTGTGGTAAGAAAGCATGCACATGAATATACAAATATGCATATATATGTAACTAATACAAACAACCTTGTATTTGAATTGTTAAAATATCCATTTTGGTTATTTTAAATGTAATAGAATTTTAGATTCCTTTAATAAATGCCCAGTGGATAGATTTATTATTATTATTATTTTTAATTTCCTGCATCAGATCTAGGTCTTTGATAAATACCACAGACAACCCCAGAACTGTAGGATGGGCTTGACAGTTCTTCAATAAAGGGCTGTGTGGTTTTTTTTGTCAGTGTCTTCCTTCCAGTGACAGCTGCTTTGTTCTTTTCTAGTCAGATTTTCTAGTTAACACATCAAAAGTGTATCTGTGTACATGAAGTACGAAGAAAACAGTTCAAAGAGGTAAGAGATTCACTTTTAACTCTTCACCACATTTTCCCCACACTTGTCACGAGAGACACTTCATATGGGGGCTTTGGAATAAGGTGAGGAGTTCAGAATGGAACCCAGGGATGTATGGCATTTGGTGATTAGCATTTTAGAAGGCGAGTCGGTCAGCCAGTGCTCTGAGAGAACCCCAAATTAGCGAGAGCTAATCTAGGATGAAGAATTTGATTTTTTTCAGGACAGTCAAGCCCATGCATTTGATTGGATGCAGGTTTTTACATTCAATTCACGTCAAAGTTTGGTTTCTTCTCGCCATACCATGATGGCCCGCCATGATGACAGAAGCTGCCTGCTTCACGCATGTACTCTGGAGTGTTGCTCTCACCTCTGCCAGCAGGAGGAGCTCTTGCACTCATGTGAGAACTGAAGTCAGCCATGCCTCCATGCTCAAGCAAATGTCCTTGGAGGTGACACTCCAAGATTGTTTTTGACTGAGGCGACTAAACCTGAATTGGCAGTGAAATATTAAAAACGCAGGAGAGTATCCTCTAGCACCTAGTCTTCTCTTGAAGCTCTCTCAAGTGTCTGCTGAGTCAGGGATGCACTGAAGCAATGATCATATAGAGCAGTGATCCCCAACCTTTCTGGCACCAGGGACTAGTTTTATGAAAGACAATTTTTCCACGGACTGGAGGTGTGGGGGGATGGTTTCGGGATGATTCAAGCGCATTACATTTATTGTGCAATTCATTTCTATTATTACATCGTAATACATAATGAAATAATTATGCAACTCACCATTATGTAGAATCAGAGGGTACTCTGAGCTTGTTTTCCTGCAACTAAATGGTAAGCCGTATCTGGGGGTCATGAGAGACAGTGACAGATCATCAGGCATTAGATTCTCACAAGGAGCACG
Organism: Homo sapiens; assembly: GCF_000001405.40. NCBI lineage: Eukaryota > Metazoa > Chordata > Mammalia > Primates > Hominidae > Homo > Homo sapiens. The sequence continues at coordinate 70,121,089 of NC_000003.12, forward strand.
CAATCTAGATTCCTTGCATGTGCAGTTCACAATAGGGTTCGCGCTCCTATAAGAATCTAACGCCACTGCTGATCCGACAGGAGGCGGAGCTCAGGTGGTGATGTGAGCCATGGGGAGCAGCTGTAAACACAGATGAAGCTCCACTTGCCAGCTCACCTCCTGCTGTGCAGCCCTGTTCCTAACAGGCCACAGATCAGTACTGGTCCCTGGCCCGAGGGTTGGGGACCCCTGCTGTAGAATGCAGCCTTTCATCTCCTCCTCTCAGTCATACCTAGCATAAGCCCTGAGTAGGAGGATGTCTAGAAAGAACTCTCCATCAGTTGAAATGGGCCCATACTGTACTGTATCGTGTGTATGTTTGTAGTGTACCAAGCAAGGCAAAAAAAAATACACATTTACTTTAAAGAATTTTTACATTTGATCTTTTAACAAAGCATCAGAAGAGTCATCATGAGAAAAATAAAGACTTTCTTGGACTTTCTTCAGCTTCCTTTATAGTCGAGCATGGTTTTAAAATTTGAATTATGTAAGCTTTTCAGTAACTTGGGGCTTTGAAAGTCTTAAGCCGGCCCAAGCAAAAGCCAATACACACAGCAAACAAACAAAATAGTGCTGAATTTCCTGAGCGTCCACTGTGTTTCTGGTGCTGGTGCTGCCTTAGGCGTGAAGGAGACAGGACAGTGACAGGGCAGGGACAAAGACTGGTGGCCGACTGCCTGGAGTCAGCCGAGTCAGCTACGTAGCTTAACTACTTTAAGCTTGCATTCTCCCATTTGAAAGTGTGGATTCTAAGGATCCCCCCTGCACAATGTTGTTGTGTTTGAAGCGGGGTGTTACTTGGCACAGTCCAGGCACTTGGTATGAATCTCGTAAGAGACTCAGAGGGACACCACCATTGACCAGGGTCTCGACAGACCTGGGATATAATAACAAGTATCGATTTGGTGCCAAAAATTATCCTATTATACTGTTTGTGTGGGACATTTACTTTGGAATTAATAATAAGAGGTAAAAAGTATTAGTCATTGAGGATTTTATTTTCACTAATACTATGCAGTCTATAATCAGGAATGTGATGGTCTTTATAATTTTATCTCTTTCCTATTAATTTTCCTTTTTTGTAAGACAAAATTTCTCTCTGTCACCCAGGCCGGAGTGTAGTGGTGTGAGCCTGGCTCACTGCAGCCTTTACCTCCTGGGCTCAAGCAATCCTCCTACCTCAGCCTCTTGAGTAGCTGGGACTACAGGCGTGTCCACTAAGCCCAGCTAATTATTATATATTTTCTTTGTGTGTGTGGAGACGGGGTTTGGGGTTTTACCATGTTGCCCAGGCTGGTCTCAAACTCCTGGGCTCCAGCAATCCACCTGCTCGCCCTCCCAAATTGTTAGGATTACAGGCCTATGCCATTGCACTCAGCCCAATTTTCAATTATTAAAGAACATAAAGAATATAGATATGCTTATTAACAAATGTAAAATAACATTATGAACGTTTAAAACAGTAATAATTTAACATTAACTGTCAATAAGAAAACAAATAGTGAAAAAAACATGTTTTTTATTCAAGATGAAAAGCTGTGAAACAGAAGATTTTTCTCTATTTCAGGCATGTATTCCTTAAATTGTTTCTAGAATAGATAACTTTTGAAAGATTAGTTTTCTAGGTCTCAAAATAGGATTGTTTTGCAAAATAAGTTTTTTATCCTATAGCATAACTTTTGCATGTACTGTAATTAATAGCAATGCTTTTCAATTTTTAAATTGTCTGCCAAATTTTTCCAACCTTACTGTTCTCGAATGTCTTCTCCAATATTTTCTTTTGTATAGCATTCACCTCACCGTCCTAGGGCATTCCAAAGTGTGTTTTTTGCAGTGAGGAATGCTCTCCTTGTGGTTCCCAACTCTCTGGACTTCTAAATTACCTGAAATACTTAAAAATAGTCCCTAGCCCTTACCTGATAACTCCTAGATAAATAGTTACAGCCTCAGAACCATTCAGAGGGCTTGTTAGAGCACAGATGATGGGGCTACCCACAGACTTCTCATTCAGTGGGGCTGGGGAAGGGGCCCAAGACTCTGCATTTCTACCAAGTTCAAAGATTCTACTGATGCTGCTGGACTGGGGACATACTTTGGTAACCTCTATATTAGATCATGCCTTGCTGGTAAGCTAGTTTGTTTTGTTTTGTGTTTTTTGAGATGAAGTCTCGCTCTGTTGCCTAGGCTGGAGTACAGTGGTGTGATCTTGGCTCACTGCAACCTCTGCCTCCCGAGCTCAGGCAATTGATTCTTGTGCCTCAGTCTCCAGAGTAGCAAGGATTACAGATGCCTGCCACCACGCCTAGCTAATTTTTGTATTTTTGTAAAGACAAGGTTTTGCCATGTTGACCAGGCTGGTCTCGAACTCCTGAGCTGAAGCGATCCACTTGCCTCAGCTTCCCAAAGTGCTGGGATTACAGGCATGAGCCACCATGCCCAGCCGGGTAAGCTAGTTTTAAAGCACACTCCCTCACTCCCCAGCCCCTGACCAGGTGATTATGGCGTTCAGCCATGCTTGGAAACCAGTGTTCTGGGAATAGTTTACATGGCTTTGTCACTGCTCACATGTCACCTGGGCAGGGAACTGAGCCAGGGAGTAGAAAGCCTTTAAGGTGCCTTCAAGTTTGTAGGGAGGAGCAGATCCCCTCTCAGAGATGTGCAGATGTGTTGGGGGCAGGGAGAGTGCAGGAAGGTAAAGCCTTCAGGCTTTTGGAGGGCCTCTGAGGATTCCCTTTCCAGAATCATTTTAAGGTATCAGAATGAAATGGAGCCAGCATGTGTGAGGATAAATGAGCACCCAGCACAGGAAGTAGCATAGCAGGAATGCAGGGAGTGAGAGCCATTTTCAATGTTGTTGCCTCTGAACAGATTGGGCGGATGCCCGGAAGACAGATTCTAGGTCCAGCTTCCTCGCTGACTAACTGGGTACCCTGGGGAAGTCACAATCTCTCCTGGCCTTGGTTTCCTGAACATTCTCTCACCTCTTGAATCGGTCACTGTGATTATTTGATTGTCTGTCTCCTGGGTTGTACTTTGTCTTATCCCCTACCATATCTCTAGCACACAGCAGAGAGCCTACCTCACAGAACTTATTAGATGAATGAGTGAAGTTAATGACTATGTTTCTCTTCAATGTTCTATGGGAGTACTTGGCTCAGAGTAGGTATTCTATAAATAACTACTGAATGAACTAATGAATAAACTTACAAGTTACAGGTGTGACTAATCACAGGCTTTTTATCATTTGCGGGAGAAATGCGTATTTTTAAAAAGCTTGTTCGGTAATTAGGTACTAGGGAATCACATATACAAAAAATTTCCAAGTGTTATAATGTTAGTTGATAACATTTTTACCTGACATGTAAGCATTCTTTTATTATTAGACTTAAAATACTGTACCTGTGGCCGAGTACCGTGGCTCACGCCTGTAATCCCAGCACTTTGGGAGGCTGAGGCGGGTGGATCACAAGGTCAGGAGATCAAGACCATTCTGGCTAACACAGTGAAATCCCGTCTCTACTAAAAATACAGAAAAAAATTAGCTGGGTGTGGTGGCGGGCGCCTGTAGTCCCAGCTACTTGGGAGGCTGAGGCAGGAGAATGGCGTGAACCCGGGAGGCAGAGCTTGCAGTGAGTCAAGATCGTGCCAGTGCACTCCAGCCCAGGCAACAGAGCGAGACTCCATCTCAAAAAAAAAAAAAAAAAAAAAAAAAGAAAGAAAGAAAGAAAAAGAAAATAATTTATTATATTTGAGGAAGGTCATTAAAATACATATAATATAGTTCCAATACACTGATTTAAAGGCATATGTATTTAATTTTTAAATATACTTTCAAAGCTGTTATGCACAGTTCCATAGTCCAGGTGGTCAATTTCTTCCTGTCCAAGTTGGAAAGCCCTTGAAAGATACAGGATTCAAAAGAAACCTTTATTAATTTTTAACACTTTCTTTTTCCTTCCTTAGGATCTGGTTTTTGTCTAGCAGATCGAGCAAATTGAACCACCATGGGTTTTCCAAAAAGCACATATCCATTAGCTTCCTTTAAGGCTTTTGCTGCTGCTTTTTCATTAGGAAGTCCAATGGAAGCTTGTCCTTTCATACGACCTTCTTTCATCAAACGTATATCAAACATGATCTACTGTGTTTCTGATGAAAAGTCAACATATCTTCCAAAAATATATTTAAGGTCCTTTTCTTGAACATGTTTAGCTAAATTCTTTACATAAATTCTACAGTTTGGTTCACCAGGTTCATAACTTCTGAAAACTGAAAGTGTTTCCATTTCTTCTCTAGAAATTCTGTCCTTTTCCAATTCCCTTCTAGAAATACATTCCGATGGCATTTCATCAGAGTCTTTTTTAATCTCTTCTGTGATGTTCAAATTAGGTTTGGGAAAGATTTTTCCAAATCCTATACTGGATGCATCAGCTTCAGTAACAGGTAGATCATTATTTTTTTCTCACAATTTTGTTTCTTCTCTAAATCTTTCTTAAATGCAGCTGGCATGTCGGTAGATATATGGAATTCAATTCTTTTATTACCTACAGGTTGTGGTTGGTCAAATACATCCGAAGGTAACAGCACTAGATGTAAACTGTTTTGTGAAGGACACGAAAGTATGTTCAACATATCCTTTATTTTTCTCTTTTTTCTCACATGGCGCTGCCTTATTGTTTTGGGTCTTTGGGGCTGAAGATTTGCTAGTTCCATTAGTTTGTTCATTTTCTGTTGGTCCTCATCATCACTGCTGTCATCTTCTAATTCTTCACTAGATAATTCCTCATCGTCTTCTGGCCAAGGAGGTTCCTCAGGTGGCTGAGGAGATGTGGGTGGAAGAGGTGGATGCAATGGCATATGGTCTTCATAGATGGGAGGCTGCGCAGTAATTGATCTAAAAGCTGTGGGCAAATTCATTTTATTCATAAGATGAAGGACCTGTACATAGAACTTAGGCACGCTTGCCAAAGCATTTACTCTGTTTGTTAGGATTGTGCTGGAAGGTGGTGGGTACATATACTTGAGGCATGAATTAAGAAAAGTCAGCCCATGGTTTGGTGTAATTACATTTTCTACTGTTAAATAACCAATTCTTTCTTTTCTTTATCGTCTTCAACAGGGTCATCAGACCTTTTTTTTTTTTTTTCAGAGACTGGAGTGGGACATGGGGAGTGAACTTGATCTTGCTCTTTTGCAAATTCAAAGACTAAAGTATGACCTAAAAGTTTCAGCTGATGGAGTCTTGTCAATGCCTTTATAGCTGCTTTTTAGGGAATGTGGCAAAAGCTGTATGTTTCAGCTGCCCCTTATCTGACAGGTCATGCACCAACCGTGCCTTGAAGTACTTCAGCAAGTCCTCTTTCTCCTCAGCGGTCAGCTCAGCTGGCAGGTGCCTCACCAGAAGAGTTCGGTCGGCCGAGGCAGGGAAAGTGGGGAGGAGCTTGTGCATCCCCTTGATATTGCAAATGGCTGATAGAGAGCTGGCATTTTCAAGCAAAAATTGGCCCAGAGACATGTGGGACTCACTGTCAAGATTAATTGTGAAAAGCTGGGCAAGGCTAAGAAGTTAGGTTTTGTTTTTGTTTTTGTTTTTGTTTTTTGTTTTTTTTGAGATGGAATCTTGCTCTGTTGCCTAGGCTGGAGTGCAGTGGCACAGTCTCTACACACTGCAACCTCTGCCTCCTGGGTTCAAGCGATCCTCCCACCTCAGCCTCCCAAGTAGCTGGGATTACAAGCATGTGCCACTATGCTGGGTAATTTTTGTATTTTTAGTAGAGACGGGGTTTCACCATGTTGGCCAGGCTGGTCTTGAACTCCTGACTTCACCTGATCTGCCTGTCTTGGCCTTCCAAAGTACTGGGATTATAGGAGTTGGCCACTGTGCCTGGCCAAAATTAGGCTTTTAATCAAATAAAATTAAGTGGAACATTTTGAACTGTCCAAGATGGGTAGCATATATTATACTTATGTGAACGAATGTTTTAAATTATGACAAAGGCTGTACCACTTAAGAGTGTGGGCTTCTATGTTTCAGAGAAATTGGTATCTAAAGCAAAGCTTCCCAAATAATGATATAAGATGTCATTTATTTTTATTCTAAAGGAAAGAATAAAATGTTTACATCCATACTTTATCATCACTATTATTATTTTCAACTTTCAGGATCCTCTTACTACATTCTTCCTTCTAGGGAAGACAGTGGTACAATACCCAGCAAACAGCAGCCCATGGGTGTTTATCAGGGTCAGGATCATAAATTATCAGAACTTAATGAGTCCCTGGTGCTGGATGGCAGACAAGAGGCCATATGTTTTCATTCTCCACACCTAAACTCTAGGCAGACCAGGGAAGTTGATAATGGCTGCATTTCCTATCCTACTACCAATGAGATATAGGATCTCATGTCTTCGAAAAATTTATTTTTATTAACAAATATAAATGGAAGCTACTAGGATTGATCAGCATCTGCAAGTGGAATGACTCCTATTTGCCATAACTAAATTAGTCCATGCCCCACATTTTGTTCTATTTTTTTGAGACAAAATCTTGCTCTGTCACCCAGGCTGGAGCACAGTGGTGCAATCTCGGCTCACTTCATCTTCTGCCTCCCAGTTTAAAGCTATTCTTGTGCCTCAGCCTCTCAAGTAGCTGGGACTACAGGTACGTGCTGGCATGCTTAGCTGATTTTTGTATATTTAGTAGAGATGAAGTTTCACCATGTTGGCCAGGCTGGTCGCTAACTCCTGACCTAAAGTAGTCCGCCTGCCTTGGCCTCCCAAAGTGCTGGGATTACTGCATGAGACACTGTGCCCAACCATGCCCCACATTTTATAGATGATAGTTCATACTCTGGAGTACAAGGATTAGTAAGGACCAGAATGGATAACGTTCCTGGGTCAGGCATCATTTTCAGTTCACATGTTGAGTGAATGGAATAGCCCGCAGAAGTATGTAGGATCAAAGGAAATACTGTAAAGTGATTTAAATGTGTCTGGGGGAGCATCCCTCTTCCTGTTCCCAGTTTCTAGGCATTCTTGCCTTCCGGCTGATCCTGACATTTGGAGTCCTGCAGTAAGTCACTCCATCTAAGACTGTCTACACAAGAAGTGCCTCAATTCCCCTTATTCCTCTCCCGAACCAAAACTACCATTTCTCCATCTGAATAGCTGCCAAGAATGTGTATATTACTGATAAGTTCACCTTGACGGTCCCTGAATGTTCCAATAAATACTAGTCCAGCAAGAAAAATAAAAATGAGTTTTGAGGTTAAATATATACTTCACAGACCCTGCTTGGAGATTCCCAACAAATATTAGCTCCAAAAAGTCCCAGGTCAGGAATCCAGTTTAATATTTTAAACCATTTCATATTTTAAAAGGTAGCCTGATAATTCAAAAGACAATGATTGAAATACGGACTCTCATGATTGGAATAAAGACATCATATGATTATGGGAGATTTCCCTATCTATCCTCTTTCAGAAATGTTTTCCTCTTATTTTAGAAATTCTTATTTGAAAGGTTGCCCTTTCCTATTCATCTTTCGATTGTCTGACTCTTTAAGAAAGGGAACCAATCCTTGGCTATGTTTTGGGGGTGACATGAACCTGAGAGGTCCAGACAAGGAATTCTTTTCAATTAGGAGCAAGATAAGAAGCATTTGGGGCATGAAATTAACATTGTGGTTTATTACTAATGATGTCTATTAATAACCCTCAGTATCTCTCTTAAACATTTTTGCCTGGTATATCTGGTAGTGCAGGAAAGTGAAAAGTATGAAAAATTTAGAGAATTTGTAGCAGTGTAGAAAGTAATATTTCACGGAGTAGGTAAATATAGTAATTTTCAATTTAAAAACTGCCTTATAAGGTTTATGTAAGCATCAAATGCATATAAATCTTTAACACCCGGTCTGGCACCAATAAATATTTTCTATTAAAAATAACAGAAAAGAGCAATTTCCTTTCACATTTATTGGATACTGGGATTATATGTATCTGGCCTGTGTCTCTATCTTCTGATTTAACATTTTGATAAAAGTAACCTCTTTTGTAACTGATAAGCTTTCCAAGTGGTCAAACTAGTGTGGTTGTCAAATGTGATGCAATTTTCTGTTAAATAACGGAAAACATTTATTAAGTACTTACTGTGTTCCAGGTTTTACTTTAAGCTTTTTGACATATATCATTTCATTTCCATAACAACCTTAAAAGATAAACATTTTTATGATTGCACTCATTTCCCAGATGAGGATACTGATGTTTAAGCAAAATTAAGTAAACATCAGATAAACAGCAATTGGTGGAAAACATTCGAGTATCTTTTAAAATAAATGTGTGATAGTATATGTTTGACATGGAAACAATGTTAGGGATGGCCTATTTTTAATATATCTTTCATAAATAAGAGTAATGAGGCCTACAAAGGGATTGAATCTTATTCTTGATGACCCAGCTGGTAGTCAGACTCAGATCTTTTATCCAGCAAGTTCATTTTATTCAATGATCCTGGGACTGCTTATAGATTATAGTCTATAGATATGAAACTAACCCTAATTAAACATATCTCTGAGCTAGTTGCAGCAGATTGTATTTTCCATAATGAATGAATGTATAGCTATAGCTATATATTCCATCCCACATTCTCTTTTTAAAATATGATATGGACACTGTTCCATCAAGAGATGGGGACTTTGTTCTGCCACTTTGAAAACAGTTAGACTTTATTTTATTTTACTTTAAAACATTATTTATTTAATGTTATATATTTAAGCTGTACAACATGATGTTTTGATATACTTTATACATAGTGAAATGGTTACTATACTCGAGCAAATTAACACATCTATTATGTCACAGGGAAGTAACCCTTTGTGTGTATGTGGTAAGAGCCCCTCTAATCAATGGAATGGCAATATACACCTGTTTGAATTTTAGAACTGTGGTGAAACAGTGATGACAGTCTCCCATGCCCCCTCTTTATGAATAGGGCTGTTCTTAGCAGGGAGTCTACAGCTGTCCCACCATTGAATGTTGAATGTTTCTGGAATAGATAAATTGTCTCATTGATTAACAGTCTTAAGATGGAGACGAATATAGTTGAGCAGCTGTAAGTCAAAGAATTGCATCTGAGGAGCCACGTCTGTCTGTACACGGACCTGAGGTGATTGTGGCGACAAGATCATGGACTTTGAGTTGATGCTGCAATAAGACTTGAGGGTTTCAAGAGAGGAATGGTATATTTTGCATGTGCTAGGGTTGTGAATTATTGTGGCCAGAAGCAAACTGTGGCAGATGGCATTTCCAAAGTTGGCCATACAAATATACATCCCATGCTGTATGCTATTCTTACAACGTGATAATGACATTTCTTTGTTCCCTCTGCTTGAAACTGGATGTAACTTGGTAACTGTCCTGAGCTATAGAATGCAATGGAGGTGGCACTGGGTGACTTCTGAAGTTAGCACATCAAAGGTGATGTGGCTTCTGCTTGGCCCTCACTCCCTCTTGGGATGCACACCTGTGGAACCGAACTCAGTTATTATGTTTTGAGGAAGCCCAGGCCACATGGAGAAGCCAGGTGAACATGTTCTAGCCAACACCTTCAACTAGGTTCTCAGCCAATAGCTAACAAAACCATGTGAGTGAATGAACTTTTAGATGATCAAGACCTCAATCTTCAAGGACTCTAAAGACTTCAAAGATTTTTAGGCCTCCATCTCAGGCCTCAGGTATCATGGAGCATAGACATGCTATTCTCTCTGTGCTCTGTCCAAGTTCCTGACCTGCAGAATCTATGAGTACAATAACTGGTTGTTTTATGCCACTAGGTTTTGGGATAGTTTATTATTCAACTATATTAAATGAAACTCTGGTCAGTTAAGAATAATATTGAATGCCCAAATAAGTATATAACCATTGTTTGGTTACCACTGGTATAAAATAGGGTACTTTTTGACTGCAAGTAACAGAAACTTAACTCAAGCCAGTTTTAAAAATAGAAGATATATCATCTCACTTAACAGAGCCCAGAAGTCAGACGAGCTTTAAGTCTGGTATTCTGAGTGGCTCAGCGATATCATTGAGGAACTCAGACTCTTTGAATTCATAGAGCATTCTCAGGATAGCATTATTTTAGTCTAAAAGCAGGATGCTTTTGAAAGTTGCAAGTTTCCTCTACAGTCAAAATTATGTCCAGAAGAAAGAGACTTCTGTGGTTCTCTCTTAGGAGTAGGAAATTTGCTTAGAAGCAATCCCCAACCCCATGAGGTTTTCCCTGCTATCTCATTGTAAGCTGAAAATTCTTATTTACTAGACTATGAAATGAACATGATTGGCTCAGCCAGTTGTCTGGGGCAGGGTGAATACTGGGAAGTTGCCTTCATGTCCATTATTTTCTTCTCTTATTTATCTTACTCCAATCATGAACAGGAAGAACAGGGTTTAGTTAATGCAAGGCAATATAATTTGCAATTAAAAAAAAATAGAGGGTTTCGCTTTGCTGCTGGAGCCCAGTGGCATGATCATGGCTCATTGCAGCCTCAACCTCCTAAACTCAAACGATTCTCTCACCTCGGCCTCCTGAGGAACTGGGACTATAAGCATACCCCACCACACCCAGCTAGTTTTTTTGATTTTTTAAGTAGAGGTAGGGTCTCACTAAATTGCTCGTCTAGAACTCCTGATCCCAATTGATCCACCCACCTCAGCCTCCCAAAGTGTTGGGATTACAGGCGTGAGACACTATGCGTGGTCAGGATTTGCAATTCTCGATCATGCTTACAAGTAGCCTACCTATAGTCAGATCTAGAGAATAAATAGGAGATGATATTGAGAAATAAAAATAAAATTCCAAGCTTCCCAAATGACTGAAAGGACCCCCTCTTGGCCAAGGGGACCCTAGAGAAACCTTAAAAACTGAGTTCTTAGCCATGGCAGGGTAGGAAGTCAGACACACCTCATTATATCCCCTCCCTCACTAAACACCGTTAGGCTTTCTTCCCTAAGGGTTAAACAAAACCAGTCCTTTTGAAAGACTGGGTCCTCCACTGATATCAACCAACTGCCTGATGCTGCCCCTCCTTTTTGTGACTTCAATACAGCAGCCAACCAGCATTTCTTCCTGATAAAAGACCGTTGACCATGGGATGGTTCTGGACAGTCTTTGAAGGCTATGCACAGAGGGCCTTTTTGTCCTCTGCTTCACATTTGGCTGTATAGGCCCTAATTGTAATACATTTAAATGTTAAGTCTCCACCCCAAAGTGAACATGAGGTACATGCTGTGTACATGTTAGCCTACTACACATGCCCATGCCTCCCCTTCACAAATGTTCACAGCTCCTCCTATAATCTGTGGGATATGTGTAGTTGGCAACCCCTATCAACATATATCCTTGTCTTATTCTTCCCAGCCTCAAGGTGCCTGTTTTTGGCTTCTGGCAGGAAGCTACATTTTCCAGCCTGTCAGAATGGCCATCTTGCAGGCTGCAACCTTTATGAGAAATAAAACTCTCCTTTCCAAATTTCGGAACCTTGGGTTGGGTGTGGTGGCTCATGCCTATAATCCCAGCACTTTCGGAGGCCAAGGCAGGTGGATCCCTTGAGCTCAGGAGTTCGAGATCAGCCTGGGCAACACGATGAGACCCTAAAAAAAAAAAAAAGAAAAGAAAAAAAAAACAATTTATGAACCTTGTCATTCTTCAGTTGACAATCAATGTGCAATGTTTGAAGTTTCTTTAAAGATGAGCTTTGTAAGGCAGATCTTATAAAGGCAAATGTACATTCCCATCGCTGACTTAGACATGAGTGTTTGCTACCAGGTGAATGGTGTCTGTTAATGGTCTCACCTGTGAATAAATGAGAGAAACAAGTATATAGGGCACTGTGATATTGTGATTATAATACTATATTATAAGAAATATATCCTTCCAACCCCCATTTTCTAGCACGCAGCTTCTACAACCTCTGGAATCTCTGAAGTGATATATCTTTTTACATGCTGATGAGATGACTAATGGCTGGTGGCCCCTAGATAGCTGCAGGGTGGGGGCTGGTTTCTAGGGGAACCAGTCATGTGATTAGAGAGTTGTAACTTTCAGCCCCACTTCGTGACTGAAGGTTGAGTTGATTACCAATGGCTGATGATTTAATCAATCAGGCCCGCATAAGGAAGCCTTCATAAAAACGCAAAAGGACAGGGTTCAGAGAGCTTCCGAGCTGCTGAACACATGCAGGATGACCTGCTGGAGAAGGCATGGACACTCTGCCCCTGTCCCCCATGTCTTGCCCTAAGCATCTCTTCTGTTTGGCTGTTTCTGAGTTGCATCCTTTTATAATAGATCATAAATGTAAGTAACATGTTTTCTGGAATTCAATGAGCTATTCTGACAAATGATTGAGCCCAAAGGGAGGTTATGGGAGTCCTTCAATTTATAGCTGGTGAGTTAGAAGCACAGGTCACAGTCTGGGGCTTGTGACTGGTATCTGAAGTGTGGGTAGTCTTGTGGGAATGAGCTCTTAACCTGTGGGGTCTGACACTGTCTCCACATAGATAGTCTCAAAATTAACCTAAGTTGTAGGGCACAGTTGAGTTAAATTTTAGGCAGTTGGTGTCTGTCAAAGAATTGATGTGTACTGAGGGAGTGTGAGTAAAGAGAGGTAAAACAGTTGTTTTTTCCTTACTCAGTCATAAATATATGATCCACATGTTAATTAATTTTCTGAGGTATAGCAGGTAAGAATCCAGGCTTTGGGTTCAGACTGATGTGAGTTTCCTCATCTGTAAAGTGAAGATAATATTTTCTACCTTGCTAGGTGGTTGTAAAATTAAACAAAATGGGCCAGGTGCGGTGGCTTACGCCTGTAATCCCAGCACTTTGGGAGGCCAAGGCAGGCAGATCACGAGGCCAGGAGTTCGAGACCTGTCTGGCCAACATGGTGAAACCCCGTCTCTACTGAAAATACAAAAAAAAAAAAAAAAAAAAAAATTAGCTGGGCATGGTGGCAGGTGCCTGTAATCCCAGCTACTTGGGAGGCTGAGGCAAGAGAATTGTTTGAATCCGGGAGACGGAGGTTGCAGTGAGCCGAGATTGTGCCACTGCACTCCAGTCTAGGTGACAGGACGAGATTCCATCTCAAAAAAAAAAAAATATTAAATGAAATGATGTATGTGAAGAAGTTTGTGCCCAGTAGTGTTCCTGATACATAGAAAGTATTCAATAAATGATTTTTTTAACTTTTTTTTTTTTTTAATAAAAAGTACTCAGTCTGACCTATGAAAAAGTGTTAAGTACTACTTGGAGGTATCCCTGCATTTCAAGTGTTTTTGTTGACTACAGTTGCAATGATACAATATTTGCCAGCCAAATAAAATATTTCCCAATGGATATATACTGAAAGTAGCAAACAAATAAAGTGTAAACATATGACTTAACTTGCATGCTTTACATAGAAGCATAGTTATATTTAGCTTAAGACACAACTAAGGTATTTCATTCTTTAAATGTATATATTACAGTATATAATTTAATCTCAGTAAAATAGAAAAACATTTTTATGACATATTTCTAATTCATTGTTATTTTATTACTTATACATATGATACATATTTATTTCTAAAACAAATATATGTCTTTGGCCACCTATTTTATTTTCTTGGGATACAGGCGGTACATTACTCATGAATGGCAGTGTGTGTCAGTTATTTATCTTTCCAAAGTATCTAAAAGTGAATGAAGCTTGAATTGGGCAAGGAAGTATCATAAATTAAAAAGTGAATCTCTAAGAAAAGCTGGAAAAAGGTTTGAATAAAATTAAAGTACATTTTGCCATAAAATGTAACTGTCAAAGTGGCATGAACCCAAATATGAATTAGAATTGAATTGAATTTGTATTTTTATCTGCACTAAAGAATCATTTTGAAATCATTGATCTTGGCCAGCTTAAATCTTTATTTTTCTGATAACATGTCAATCAGGTATAAAGGTGGTGAGAGACAATTTAAACCTGTGCATTTATTTGTCAATAAAACCTATGGTCTTATTGGTTTTTTCTCAGTTGCATTGTTTTATCATGTCAATATTTCATAAGATTATATGACTGACTAATGGGAATAGCTATTACCACTGTTGATGTACTTTGAAAATAGCAATCTATATTTTATGGACCAGAAAGAAACAAAATATGTACCTTTGACCTTATTGAGCATAAAAGTAAGTTAATGTAAATGAAATTTATCTATTATTTCACCTATTCACAATTAGCTTCTTATAGCCTCAGGAATAAACATTAGAATGGGTAATTTACCCTTTTTGGGTTTGTAAGAATGACTTATGAATCTCAAAATTCTTCAAAAGGCAACTTAGAGAGCAGAAATACCTTAATGCAAGCCGGAAAAAAACAGACAATGGGCATTTTTGCATAAGTCTTTTTCTCATTAAAGTGATTGATGCATATTTTCTGTGGACATAAAAGATAAAAACACATAAGCCAAAGGAAAGCAATCCTGTTCAATCTAATATCCAGAGACACCCACGGTTAATATCAGTGCATATCCTTCTAGTCTTTTTTCCATACATAAAATTCCTTTTCCAAAAATATATTCTATATGTTATGTAATAACCTGATATTTTACCAAATGAAATTCTGTACTTTCTATGTTATGTATATACTTTGTCAAGAAACTAATAAGCTGAAGCAGTTCATTTTTACTATACCATTTTTCTCCATCTAATTCCTTGCTTCTTGTGTTTAATCACTTGAGCATGTGGCTTATGCAGCTAGATAATTTGCTTTTATAAAATACCCTGTGTTCTCTAAGTGTTTTTTTTTTTGCACTGATTTGTCGGTTGTTATAGTTAAGTTGTAGTTTAAATATACTTTCAATATAATGTAAAGGTTTTTCCCTGCAATACATCTCCACACAAAATTGGAATATTTTAATCAGATTTTTATTTGTAAAACATGGTTAATTGTTAGATTTAAGGCCATGCCCATAGCTATTTTGGTGAATATGTCTGGGGAACGTGTGTAGTTGCCAGCTTCCAAGATGGTGCCCAATGATTGTTGCTTCCTGGTATTCACACCGTTGTGTAGTCCCCTCCCACGCTGAATAGAACTGAGCTGTTCACCAAAAAGTTATTGTGGTTGTGTGACTCCCAAGTCTAGACTATGAAAGGCATTATAGCTTTCTTCTACCTTCCTCTCTTTTGTACCCTCATCCTGGGGGAAGCCAGCTGCTATGACATGAGTACATTGAGTGGATCTATGGAGGGGTTCATGTGTCAAGGAACTGAGGCCTTTGCCAATAGCCATCTGAGTGAACTACTTGGAAATGAATCCTCTGGCCCCAGTCAAGCCTTCAAATGATTGCAGCCCTGGCTGACAGCTTGTCTGTGCCTCTTGAGAGACTGTGAGCCAGAACCAACAGCTGAACGGTTCTTGAATGCTTGACGTACAGAAACTGTGTGAGATAGTAAATGTTTACTTTTTGCTTCAGACCTTTAAATTTTGGGGGAGTAATTTGCCATGCAGTAATAGATAGCTGGTATAAACTGAAAGTAGAGACATGTATTAAGTATTTTCTGAAATAAAAATAGCTTAGGAGAATACTGTATTTTATCAAGAGCTCAGATAAGGTTTAACTATACTTACTAATGCAAAGTGTAGAATTTGAAGGGCAACAATATCTTTAACTTAAGACATTTTATGTCATTGAAGTTTTGATCTAAGTTTTTCTCCTTAGTTTTTATAGTTATGATCAACAGAAAACATATTCAAAGGAAATAAACAATAATATCAACATTTCAATAAGAGTCTTTATGTGTATATGATAAAACTTTTTTTGAAATTTATGTACCTTTTATTTTATCACAATATTATGAGTCATACATAATTGCTGTGATCCAGGAAACCCATAGACACAAAACCAAAAGCTACACATTTTTCTTTTTTGTCTCCCATCTTACGTCCAATGGTAACAAGTTAGATAAACAGTTTGGTGTGTATCCTTCTATAGTCCTTTGGTCATATAGAATTAGGTAAACATATAAATATAGTAATTTTGCCTTTTTTACAAATGTAAAATCATGCTCTACATACTACTTTGCAATATATTGTTTAGAGAAAGTATGTATAGTACAGATAGGTCTAATTTATTTTAAAAAAACTCCTCGATAGTTTATAGAAGAGGTTAGCAAACTATGACTTATGGGCCAAATTTGTCCTGTTGCCTATTTTTATATGGTTTATGAGCTAAGAATGGCGTTTACATTTTTGAATGATTGGGGGAAAATTAGAAGAATAGTATTTCTTGATGTGAAAATTACATGAAATTGAAATCACAGTGTCCATACAAAAAGTCTTATTGGGACACAATCATGCTCATTTTTTTTACATATTGTCTCAACTCACTCGAGTAGTTGCAACAGGAATATTGCAAAACCTAAAATATTTCCTTTCTGGCTCTTTACAGAAAACATTTGCCAGTTCCCAGTCTACACTTACACTGTCCAATGGAAATACAATGCAAACCAGAAGTGTAATTGTAAGTTTTCTAATGGCCACAGTTTTTAAAATAAGAATAATTAATTTTAACATTTTATGTTTTAGTTAACTAGAACATTATCATTTCAGCATGTACTTAATATAAAACATTATTGAAATTTTTTACACACTTATTTTTTACCATAAGTCTCTAATATCCAGTATAGATTTTACACTTCTAGCACATCTTGGATAGCCACATTTCACATGTGACTAGTGACTACTGTATTGGGCAGTGTAGTTCTGTACTGCAGATATATCACAGTTTTTAAGTATATAGCTTGCTAATATACATTCATGTTGTTCTGAGTTGCTATTGTCATTATAAGCATTGGTATCCTTATAAATATTTATTTCTAAGAAATATAGAGTCCCAGAAGAGGAATTGCTGAATAAAAGACGTGCACTATTAATTTTAATAGATACAAGAAATTTGTTTTGGGAATGAGATTCAAATGTAAAAGCATGCTGATTGTAGTTTGTCACAAAAAGTTTTTTGTGTTCTTTATAGAAGAAATAACATTTTCATTGGCACTTTAAAATCTGTATTAAATAAAATCCCCATTTTTTGTTTGTTTGTGTGGTAACTGGCTTAGTCTGTGCCAGCTGCTATAACAAAGATATCATAAAACTGGATAATGTATAAACAACAGAAATTGGTTTCTCATAGTTCTGGAGGCTGGGAAGTCCAAGATCAAGGGACTGGCAGATTCAGAGACCCACTTCCTAGGTGGCTGTTTTTTCCCTGTAACCTCACGTGGCAGAAGGGGTGAGAGATGTCTCTAGAGGCTTTTTTTGTAATCCCATTCATGAGGGCTTTGCTCTTATGTCCTAATCACTTAGCAAAGGCCCTACATTTTAATACTATCACCTAGGTGGCTAGAATTTTAATATATGAAATCATGGGGGGACATAAACATTTAGTCCATTGCATTCTGCTTTTGTTCTCCCCAAATCATGTCTTTCTCACACACAAGATACATTCAGTTCATATCAATAGCCCCCAAAGTCTTATCTCATTCTATCATCAACTTAAATGTTTAAAGTCCAAAGTCCTATCTAAATATCATCTAAATTAGGTATGAGTGAGACTCAAGGTATGATTCATTCTGAATCATGTTGCTCTTTGGCTGTGAATCCGTGAAATCAAACATATAATGTGCTTCCAAAATATAATGGTGGGAGAGCAAACAACATTAAACCTTGAGTCTTTTTAAGTAAAAAAGCTTTTTAGAGACAGAGTCTCACACTGTCACCCAGGCAGGAGTGAAGTGGTGCAATCATAGCTCACTGTAACCTCAAATTCCTAGGCTCAAGTGACCCTCCTGCCTTATTTGAAATTGTGTAAATTAATACATTTTGATATATCTTCATTACAGAGCTACACTCTTCAATACAGTAATCACTAACCACACTTGAAATGTGCTATTCCAGATGTGCTATAAGTATCAAATCTATACTGGATATTAGAGACTTAGTATGAAAAATAAAATCTGAGTAGCTAGGACTACAGACACATGACACCACACCCAGATAACTTTTAAATTTTTTGTAGAGATGGGGTCTTGCTATATTGTCCAGGCTGGTCTTGAACTCCTGGCCTCAAGTTATCCTCCCACCTTGGCCTCCTAAGGTGCTGGGATTATAGGTATGAGCTACCACACCCAACCAAACCTTAAGTCTTGAGAATAATTTTCTTTGGCTTATCCAGACCCACTGGGACAGTGGTCCTGTCTTCAGGACCCACTGTGGTTGCAGCCCCATACCCATGACTCTGGGTAGCCCTACCCCATGGCCTTGCTGGGCATTGTCCTTGTTGGGGCTCCTTGCAATGGCTTTTCCCCACAGGCAGCCCTCTGTCTGGGTCCTGTGGCATAATTTAAAATCTAGGTGGAGGCAGCCATGCCTCTACAGCTTTGCTGGGTGCAGCACATGGGACTCATACCTGGAGTGATTGAGGAGTACGGTTATGGAGTTTGGGGTAAGGAAGCCCATGACGTGATGTGCTGAACAGTAGTGGCCCCTCATTTGAAATTGCTCGGCCCCCTGGGTGTTTGAATTCTTGGCCTGTGATTTTAAGTATAGCCTTGATGTTCTCCAAAATGTCTTTGGGGTCATTCTTCCATTGTATTGGACAATAGAGTGTGCAATACATCTTATTTGGACTTCTATTTAGATGGCTGACTAATCTCCCCATTGTCCTGATGAATAGCACCTGGCTCCATTGAGATAGCTGATCCATGCTACTTTCCTTATCAAATTTGGTCACACCCTTCATGTTCTCTTCCATACAGGCTTTCTCATTTTTTTTCTAACATGAATAGGCTGTGAATTGTCTAAATCTTTAAGTTCTGCTTCCCTTTTCATTAATAATTATTTTGTAAGTCATTTCTCTCTTCTCACACTTTGCAAGAAGCAGTCAAGAGAAGCCAACTGTACTTTCAACACTGCTTAAAACTTTCCTCAGCTGATAAGTCCTTCTTGATTCTGAGGTGGATTAGGTGCCGCTGTTGCTGCTTGAGTGTGTTGAATTCAGAACCATAGCCAGACATGGGACTGGAAGATGAGTGAAAGATACTGACCAGGTCCGAAGATCTCATGGAGGAGGAAGAGCAAGAGGAGGAATTACTGGATCCCCCAACAACAGAAAGAGAGCAATGCAAGCAGCTGGAGAAATGTGTAAAGGCCAGGAGTGGCTAGAGCTCTGTGATGAGTGTATATCCTTCCAGTCACAAAGAAGAGAATGCCATGGAGGAGCTTTGGACTTTTTGCATGCAAGGGACCACTGAGTGACCCACAAACTCTTTAACAGCTTGAAATAAATGTGCAGACATATTTACTTCAGCCTTCATCACCTTGGCATAAGGATCTTTCCTTATGGTTTTGAATATGCCATTTGCTTCTAATTTGTGTAACTGTAAGTTTATATTAACCTCGTGGATTTTGGCTTCGACAAGTAGCTTCTAGGTAATTAGCAGTGATTCTATCTTAATGAAGTTCTGTGATCTACAAAAACAAGGTTTCCTCAGCCAAATATCCAATTTCTTTGCTCACAAATTCTACCTTCCACAAAACACTAGAACATGAACACAATTCAACCAAGTTCTCTTCCAGTTTATAATGAGAATTGCCTTTCTTCCATTGCCCAATAACATGTTCCTCTTCCTCATTTCCATCTGAGTCTTCATCAGAATAGCCTTTATTGTCCATATTTCTACCAACGTTCTGTTCGTGACCACTTTGGAATTCTGTAAGAAGATTGAGGTTTTCTCTACAGCAAACTTTCCTCCTTTCTCTCTGGGACTTCATCAGAATTGCCCTTCGTGGGACATTCATGGCAATGTAGGTTTTTTTTTGTTTTTGTTTTTATTTTCTTTTTCTAGCATGAACCTTGAAACTCTTCCAGCCTCAACGCATTACCCAATTCCAAAGCTGCTTCCACATTTCTAGGCATTTGTTACAGCAACATGCCCACTTCTTGACACAAAAATCTGTATTAAGATTCTCCAGAGAAAAAGAACTAATAAGATCTATGTACATATAAATATTTATTATGAAAATTGGCTCACACAATCATGAGGCTGAGAAGTCCCATGACCTGCCGTCTGCAAGCTGCAGGCCCAAGGAAGTCAATGGTGTAAGTCCCAGTTTGAGCCTGAGGGTCTGAGAACCAGGAGTACCAATGCCCAAGGGCAGAAGAAGATGGATGTCCCAGCTCTAAGAAAGACAGCAAAGTTGCCTTTTCCCCAGCTTTGTGTTCTATTTGGGCCCTCAACAGATTGGATGATACCCACCCATGTTGATGAGAGTGATCTTTACTCATTCCACTGATTCAAATGCTAATCTCTTCTGGAAACACTCTCATAAATACCCCCAGAAATAATATTTACCTGCCACCATTCATCCCTTATTAGTTCAGTCAAGTTGACACACAAACTTAACCATCACAGTAACCAACTTCGGTAGTAAAAATAGTGTATGTTTTTAAATGTCTTACATTTCCCAAACAGTTTCAAACATATTATTTCCCATGATCCTTTGGCAACCTTGTGTAGGATTGTTTTCTGTTTTTTTCTTCTTATTTCACAGCTGAAGACACTGAAACTCAGAGATGTTAAGTGACCTCCCTGAAGACAATACACAGCTAAAAGAATAGAGCCAGGACACAGGATAAGTTCTGCATTAGAGTAAGATGTCCTTCCTAGTGCTATGTTGCCTGTCTAGTTCATTTGTTAATCTATTAAAAAAGTAAACATACAAAAATTTCTCAGCATCACTAATGATCAGGGAAATGCAAATCAAAACCACAAAGTGATACCACCTTACTCCTGCAAGAATGGCCATAATAAAAAAATGAAAAAATAATAGATGTTGGTGTGAATGCAGTGAATAGGGAACACTTCTACACTGCTGGTGGGAATGTAAACCAGTACAACCACTATGGAAAACAGCATGGAGGTTCCCTAAAATCTAAAAGTAGAACTACCATTTGATTCAGCTATCCCACTGCTGGGTATCTACCCAGAGGAAAAGAAGTCATTATACGAAAAAGATACTTGCATATGCATATTTATAGCAGCACAATTCACAATTGCGAAAACATGGAACCAACCCAAGTGGCCATCAATCAACAAGTGGATAAAGAAACTGTGGTATATATATATGTATATGATGGAATACTACTCAGCCATAAAAAGGAATGAATGAATGGCATTTGCAATGACCTGGATGAGATTGGAGACTATCATTCTAAGTGAAGTAACTCAGGAATGGAAAACCAAACATCATATGTTCTCACTCATAAGTGGGAGCTAGGCTATGAGGATGCAAAGGCATAAGAATGACACAATGGACTTTGGGGACTTAGGGGGAAAGGGTGGGAAAGGGGTGAGTGATAAAAGACTACAAATTGGGTGCAGTGTATACTGCTCGGGTGATGGGTGCACGAAAATCTCACAAATCACCACCAAAGAACTTACTCATGTAACCAAACACCACCAGTTCCCCAATAACCTATGGAAAAAAATCTGACAAAAAATAAAAAATAAAATTTATTAATTTTGTCAGTCAAAAAAATATCTTCTTGGTATCTGTTGTGTGGGAAGCACTATGCTCATTCTTAAGGTTTCAGTAGTGGATAAGACCAGTGAGCTCCTGCCCCAGCCAAATCCTGAGGGATATAAAAGGTGGCAAATCAGTGAAGCACCTGTACAAAAGAAACATAATTCAATTGCTTTAAGCATACTTGAGTCCCTATTTCACATGGAAGAAGCCCTTCATCTCATTAGAGGGATTGTGATCAAGTGATGATAAAAAAAGACAAGGACACAGAATGATCTCAGTTTGCCTCCTGAATGAACCACTTAAAGCCTCAAGCACTTTAAATCATTGAGACATTTAACTACTTTCAGGGATGCATGAGAATTTTAGACTTGTTACTTGACCATTTGCTTTCCCAACTCCAAGCCCAGTCAGTTAATATAATGGTCAAATGCAAGTATAGTTCTTGTAACTATATTTGTTAGAAAGTAACATAATTTATCCATGTGATGAAACATCTGGGCTTGGAATTCTAATGTACAACATCAGTCTTTCAACTGGCACTAGGAGAATCAAAGGCTTGAATTTTAGTAAAAAAAAAAAAAAATACACGAGACTTATAACTATTTTCTCCATAAGAAGAATCAGGGTATATGTGTGAATGTGTGTGTGTGTGTGTATAATGGCCAGTGGAGGTGGAATTATTTCAATTATGAAATGCCCAATAAGAATTTTGTTTTTCGTGTACCCATTCTCAATGCTTTCAGTTGTCTGGCCATCCCTCACCCTGCCAATCTACTCTCTATTCTTCTCTACCCTGTTCCTGGCTCCAGGAGGTTCACCTTTGTGGGTCAATCCATTGCATCCTATTGGGTTTGGCCAATGGGGGTTTCCAGCAGAGAGTAAGAGGGTGGAAGGAGAGTGAAGTAACACTCCAGCAGTTTGCTGGGTGAGAGTAGAGGGTGTTCTTCACAGTTACTTTGGAAATCACTCCTTCCTTGTAGTCCTTCAAGTCAAAGAGTGAGCTCCCTGCAGTTGCTAGCATTGGTGTGTTTCACCATTCTTTGTTGATTTCCCTGAACCCTGACCACATCTTTGTAAATAATTTCTTTTCAACTCCTCTCAACATTCCTTTGATGTAGCAACTGTTTTCTGCTGTCCTGCCAGGACAGCATATGATAAACTTCTTATTTTGTGAGAAGTTATTGTTTATTATTATTTGTAGACCTTTATAAGTACATAAGTGGCAGACCATCATTTTGACTTTTGGTAAACATTTTTGAAGACAACTTTGGATTCCTATCAAAGTACACTTAGATATTCTTAAGTTGCTGGAGTATGCATTGTATGCTAACTATGCATTTAAAAACAACTTTCCTTGGTAGAAGAACTCATCAAAAAATATTTGGAAAGGGCAATGACCTTTTGTAAAGACATCCCATTTAAATGTTTTATATTTTTACCTTGACTTTTTTTCATTAAACAATATGCATTATTTATTAATAAGGCCATTCACAGGGACAGGCAGCAAATTGGCAAATTGGCCTTTCCATTAAACTTTTAATGCTAACTTTATAATGAGTATGCTGAACTGCTATATATAAAATAATTCTCTCTCCCCTCTTTACCCATACAGAGAAAAACTATAGTAGGTCCCAGTGCTGGTGTGTATATACAAGGTCTATTTCTTTCTGAATGCTTTTCTGATCTAAATTAATAAAATTCACCCCTTCCAATGCTGCTGTCATCAGATTCCCAAGTCCATTCATTAGAATTATGTATGCATGTATTTCAAGTTCATATCTCCCCCTGTGGAATCCTGAACTTTATCTAAAATGTCCTCCGAAATATACTTAAGAAATAAAAATCTGATTATGTTACTGATATGGTTTGGCTCTGTGTCCCCACCCAAATCTCATCTTGTAGCTCCCATAATTCCCATATGTTGTGGGAGGGACCCAGTGGGAGATGATTGAATCATGGGCACAGGTCTTTCCCATGCTGTTCCTGTGATAATGAATGGGTCTCACAAGATCTAAATGGTTTTTAAAATGGGAGTTTCCATGCACAAGCTCTCTCTTTGCCTGCTGCCATCCATGTAAGATGTGACTTGCTCCTCCTTGCCTCTGCCATGATTGTGAGGCCTCCCAGCTATGTGGAACTGTAAGTCCAATTAACCTCTTTCTTTTGTAAATTGCCCAATCTCGGGTATGTCTTTATCAGCAGTATGAAAACAGACTAATACAGTTACTGTCTGCTTAAATGTCTCTTTTTGCTCCCTGTTGCCCACCAACTAATTCTTAGGGCCACACAAGTATGTTTAGAATCTGTTACCCATCTTTCTCCCCTTACCTCCTGCTTTGCTCCCTTCTTCTTCATTCTTACCCAGGACTGCTGCAGCCATAGAAAATCTCAGGTCACAGAAAACCCAATGCGATTATTATCCTCCAGATGCCCTCACATGCTGAATTCACCTAACAACAGAATTTCAAAATTCCTGAAGCAAAAACTGACAGAAATGAAAGGAAACAGACAAGTCCACAATTGTAGTTGGAGATTTTAAACTTCCTCTTAAAGCAATTGAAAAACCTAGCAGACAGCAAATCAGTAAGGCTGCAGAACTGAACAACACTATCAACCAACTGGAATCAAATTGACGTTTTTAAAACCTTCCATCAAAAACCAACGGAATAATAGCCTTTTCAAAGTATGTAGAGCATCTTCAGGACAGATCATATCCTGGGACATAAAACAAATCTTAGCACATTTAAAATAGTTGAAATCATTAAAAATGCTCTCTGAATACAATGTATAAAACCAGAAACCAATAAGAGAAAGATAACAGAAAAAACTCCAAACACTTGGAAATTAAGCAACACACTTCTAAATAATCCATGGGCTGAAGAGGAAATCTCAGGGAATTTGGAATATATTTTGAACTAAACAAAAATAAAAACAAAACATAACAAAATTTGTGGGTTGTAGCTAAAACAGTACTTAAATGAAAATTTATAGCATTAGCTGCTTATATTAGAAAAGAAGAAAGATCTCAAAGAATTAATCTTACCTTCCACCTTAAGAAACTAGAAAAAAAGAGAAATGTTAACCAAAATAAGCAGGAATGAAGAAATAATAAAGATAGGAGAAATCAATGAAATTTAAAAAATAGAAATAAAATTAAAAAATAAAAATATCAAGTGAAACTGAAAGTGGATTCTTTGAAATATCAATAAAATTGACAATCCTCTAAGAAAACTGACAAAGAGAAAAGACACACATTCTTAACACCAGGAGTAAAAGAGAGAACATCACTACAGACATTAAAAGGATAATAAAGGAATACTACAAACAACTCAAAGCATACCAATTCAGCAAAATAATTTACCTTTTCCCCAAAAACTATAAACTGCCAAAGCTCACCCAGTACAAAGTGGGTAATTTCAATAGTCTTCTACTATTAAAGATATTGAATTCATAGCTAAAAACTTTCTGAAAAAGAACTCTTCAGACCCAAATAATTTCACTGGATGAGTCCACTAAACATTTAGAGGAGAAATAATCCTAATTATGCCCAATCTTGAGAAGCGGAGAAAATACCTCCCAACATGTTTTATGACACCAGAATACCCCAATATTAAAACCAAAGACAGTACAAAAATAGAAAACTATAGGAAAATATCTGTCATGAACATAGATACACAAATCCTCAGAAAATATTAGCTAATCATATCCAGCAGTTTATAAAAATTAATACACCATGACCAAGTGGGATTTATTCTGGTACTGCAAGGCTGGTTCAATAGTTAAAAGTCAATCAATGTAATCCACTAGATTAATAGCCTAAATAAGAAAATCCACATGAATATATCAATTGATGCAGAAAAATGATTCCACAAATTTCAAAACCATTAATAATAAAATCTCCCAGCAAACTAGAAATGTAAGAAAATTTCTTCAATCTGATAAAATCTATTTTTTAAAAAACCTACAGCTAACAACCTACTTAAGAGGCTGTCTTATAGAGAAATGTTCTCCCTTTAAGACAGGGGACAAAGCAAAGATGTACACTTTCCTCACTCTTATTCAACATCACACTGCAAACCAAGCTAGGAAAATCCAGTACAACCAAGCTAGAAGAAGAAATAACAGGCACTCATATTGGAAAAGAAGAAATAAGACCGTCACCTATTCACAGATGATATAATTATTAATGTAGAAAATCCCAAGGAATATTTAAGATATTCTCAGAAATGAGTGAGTCTATCAAAGACAGGATCCATAATCAACACAAAAATTGATAGTATTTCTAGACAATATCATTGAAAAATAGGAAACCAAAATTTAAAAAATTACTGTTTATGATAGCTGCTGCAAAATGGAATACTTGGTTACAAATCTGACAAAACATCCTTAAAAGCTATTTGCTGAAAATTATAAAACACTGATGAAAGAAATAAAAAATGAACTAAATAAATGGAGCTACATCTGGTGTTCATGAATTGGAAGATCTATACATAGTGAAGATATCAATTATTTCCTAATTGATCTATAGATTTAATAAAATTTCATTTGAAATTCAAGAATATTTTTTTGTAAGAATAGAATGTCTGGTTCTAAAATTTTTATGAAAAGACAAGAGATTTACAATGGTCAAAATCAATTTTGAAAAAAGAATAAATCCAGAAGAATCAATCTACTCAATTTTTGGACTTACTGTATAGCTGCAATAGTCAAGACTGTGTGTTATTGTCAAGGGATCACACGTAGATGACTGGAATATAGTCCAGAAATAGACCCACATGAGTATACCAACTGAGTTTTTTAAAAAGATGAAGCAATTCTTTGGAGAAAGCATAGTCTTTTCAACAAATAGTCTTGGAACAATGGAAAAACCATATGCAAGAAAATAAACCTTGACCTAATCTCATACCTTATATAAACATTAACTCAAAATGGATCTTTCATCTAAGCATAAAATTATAAATCTTTTAGAAGAAAACATGGAGGAAAACTTTGTGATCTGTGGTTAAGTGAAGAATTCTTAGACATGCCATCAAAATATAATCAATCCCTAAAAGAAAATAATTATATGTTGGACATCATCAAAATTAAAATCTTATGCTCTGCAAAACACATTGTTAAGAAAATGAAAATCAAGCTGCAGCCTGGGATAAAAGTATTTAAAAATTACATTTCCAACAAAGGACTTATAGCCTGAATTTATAAAAAACCCTCAAAACTCAATAGTGAGAAATTTGAAAATGGGCAAAATTTGGACAATTTACCAATGAGGATACACAGAAGGCAGATGAGCACATGAAAAGATGCTCAATATCATTATCCATTAAGGAAATGCAAATTAAACCCAAGATCAGATGCCACTATACATTTTTTGGAAAGGCTATAATTAAATACCCTGATTATACCAAGCACTGGTGAGAATGTGGAGCAACTGGAATTTTCAAACATTACTGATGGGAATGCCAAATTACATAGCCATTCTGGAAAATAGTTCAGTGGTTTCCAGTAAAGTTAAATACACACTTATATAACCTAGCTATTCCCTAGTAGGTATTTACCTTAGAGGAATAAAAACAAGTTCACACAAGAAACTACACATGAATTATTATCCTCAGAATGAAAGTACGTTTTGTCATGAAAGGTAATTTGTTTCTTATTCTTGCAGATATTCAATTACAGAATTAAAAATCTTGTGCAATAGCTTGTACAAGTAATTTGTCTTAGTCTGTTTGTGTTGCTATAAAGGAATACCTGAGACTGAGTAATTTATAAAGAAAAGAGGTTTATTTGGCTCACCATTCTGCAGACTGTGCAAGAAGCATGGTGCCAGCATCTTGTGAAGGCCTCAGGCTGCTTCCACTCATGGCAGAAGGTGAAGGGGAGCTGGTGTGTGCACAGATCATATGGCCAGAGAGGAATCAAGAGACAGAGAAGGGATAGGTACTAACCTCTTCTTAACAACCAGCTTTCATGGGACCTACTAGAGCAAGAACTCACTCACTACCTTGAGGGCAGCACCAAGCCATTCATGAGGGATTCATTTCCCTGACCCAAACACCTCCTACTAAGCCCCACCTCCAACACTGGGGATCAAATTTCAACTTGAGGATTGGGGGAACAAATATCCAAATGATAGCATGATTCCTGCAGAAAGCGTGATGGTTTGGAATGGATTTCTGAGATTATGCCATCTGAGATTTGGTGAAATACCAGGAGCCAGAGGGATGTGAATGCATCTATTATGGAAGGCGAGGAATAATGCTGGTTGGCTAAGTTGTGCAGCACATTGCGTCGCTCACAAAGAACAAGTTCCATCAAAATTATTCTAAAGACACCAATTTTGGAGCTTGATCTATCAGGCTAGTTAGAAGTTCTGAAAATTGTTTCTCAGCAGAAGGTCAAATGTGGTGAAAAGAGTGACTCCCAGTTTATTTATTTTTAAAATCTTTCTTATAGCTATTTCCAATAGGTGTTTAGTTTACAAACCATTTATGTTGATTTTGATGTAAAGCTGTTAGTCTCTTTATATACCAGACAATTCCTTAAGCTTCTCTGGTCTGTTAGGGGACAAAGCAGAGCTAGTAACCCTGAAGCCCTTTTCTAGTTTGCTAATGTAAAGACGCAAACCTGCTTCTACAGTTAGTAGTGGCTTAGAACAGTCCCTAATCATGTGTTTGAGCCTGTGGTTCTTAGTTGATGGCCTAGACCAGCAGCATCAGCTTCAGCTGGGCGCTCATTAAAGATGCAAATTATCAGGACCCACCCCAGACCTACTGAAGCAGAAACTTGGCAGGGGGTAGCAGGTGGGGCAGGCAGAAAGCCATGTTTTAATAAGCTTTCCAGATGATTCTGATGCAAGCTAAGGTTTGGCTGATGCATGCTAAGATTTGACAAGTATCGTACAGTTAACTTTGCTTCTGATTTATTTCAAGCGGGGCTCTGGACAAGCTGCCAGAGGTGATTTTTAGGCCATGGGGAATTTGCATTATGTTGTCCCAAGCTGTCTTATCATACAAGTTCCACTTGGACCACTATTGGCTTAATTCAACATTAGGCATCAGAGAAATCAAAATTCCATCATAGGTCTGTCCATTTCCTACTTACAAGTTATCTTGGTTTGTGGCCCCAAGTTACAACCCCTGATCAGAAAGCAGAAACCCAAACATACACTACTCTTCAGCTCTTATGTGATTAGCTCATTATTAGTCCATTTAAGAAGGCATACTCTCTAAATTACGTGTCCAGCTCTTTCTTTCAAAACTTAATCATTACCCTCTCACCACTCCTTTTTTTCTTTTTTAAATTTCCAATTGGTAGTTATTGTCTCGTGGTGCTTGCCAGACTGAGTTTAAAACTTCACTGTCTGTTTTAATATCTCAGTTGGTTGCCATAATATGACTGTAGAGGTTTTTCGAACCAAAAGTATGTCTGCCAAGTAAAGCTTTCTGTCTGAAACTTGAATGTGACATGTTTCCTCATCATTTAAAGCACTGTTATAATTAAGGATTGGTGAACCCTTTTTCAGTTTCAGTTAGTTGAATGTCTAATGTTTATTCAAACATCCTGGTTTCAATAAAAGCTCTAAATGTGAGTTGCCAGCACTTTTTCCATTAACTTTTAAATCCCTGTGTGTTTCAAGGGAAATACAGTTCGTATGTTTCTGATTCATTTACACTTAACTCATCAGAATATTATTTTGCTAGAGCTAGTTCTTATCCAAGTATCACGTACCCCTTGAAATCTTTAGAGATATGATGTTAGTTAAAATACTGCAAAATAAAGACCAAGCTGAAGCTTGGAGGAGTTGAACCATAGTTGGCTTTGTTTCTGAATTTGGCCCCAAATACCATATGTTTAAATTTGAAATAGATTAGCAGGATTCATTCCATTATTCTAGAAAAAAAATAGCTATTTACTTTGTACTCTGGATGTAATCGCATGCAGAATATTATTAGAGGTAACTGTAAGATTACATGAGTGACAATAAACTACATGTAATACCATTGTTTTAGCTTCAGTGATGAGGATGCCTCATTTTGTAAAACGTGCATATGAAGAGAAGCCATGTGCCCATTTAACAATGGAGCCTGGGAAATATGGAGGGAAAACAATTGGCTAGCTGCCATCCCCTTAAAGGCTACAAATAACAAATATCCAGGAACACAGAATCGTGTGAATAAATGTTCAATTTTTTGAGTAGGGCTATACTAAAAAATGTGACATTCTGGGTTATCAGATTAACAGAAATATATATATCTATATGTAGATATATAGATATACACACAAATAAATGTTTTAAAATATGTATTGTTTACATGTTTCTATTAGCATCCAGCCAGGAAAACAGATCCACTTTATTTCAACAGAGAGAATTTAATGGAACTGGTTAAACAGGTATGAGAAGTCTCAAAAAGCAAAAGGAGAAAACTGAGGTAATGAAAAACTAATGACTACAGGAAGCAGCTATCATGCCTAAGACTTGAAGAAAAAGGGGAAGAAGTTGGGGTTATCACACCAGGAATCTGGGAAGAGACTCCTTGGTGCTGGAGCTCAGACTTCTGAGGATGGTGTCGGGGTGTTCAGCTGGTGGAAGTACTTTTGGGTTCTGCTCCATGAGGCTGGTTCTGGGAATGCTGAACAAAGCTGGATGCTAGAAATGATTCTTTGCTACTGCCAGCATAAAGAGCTCTATTATTATGAGTTACAATCCCAACTGGATTTCTGTTGATTTACATGTATTTGTCATCCTTCAAGTTGAGATGCTATAAGGCTATGTTTTCCTCCTTTCTTTGCCTCAGTCTCTAAGAACATCATCCTCAACCACAAAACAGAACCAATAGTCTTTGCACTACCCATCTTTATGGTGTCTTGGGAAAATAAAGAAATGTTAAAACACTTGGTAAATGATAAAACAGTGATACATTTTAGTATTTCTTTACTTCAAAATACAATATTCAAATAAGATAAATGTAAGAAAAAATTGCTTATAATGCCGTCATCTCATCATGTAAATGGGTTGTTTTTCTTTTTTTTGCATAATCATTCAGTTTTATTTGCTTTCTGCTTTTATTGTCATTTTAAACATGAAGCTCTAGAATTTTTGACTTTGAGTACATAAGTGAATTGTTTCTCAATCTCTCTAAAATAAGTCTAAAATTTTTAAACATAAGTTTGTTTTTTATAGAAACATATATAGAGGAAGGAAGCAATTTTAAGTAAAATCATATTATTAAAAAATAGTGTTAAGGATGTTTTACAGCTGCAGATCACAGCACTAGAAGGAAAGCATAGCTGTGTTTATAAAATTCTAAACAGAAATATAATTCCATGTTCCTTGATCCTTTTTCCTAATTATGCTGCTTTTATGCAGGTTAGAGTAAAAATATTTATAAAATAAGATACAGTTCTGGCACCTGTTGCAGAAATATGTTTATCCTTAAAATTTTAAAATATTACTCTATTGAAATTGAACACTTGATTTGCGATACCATGAAAAAAAATCATCAAACAATTGGATTTCAAGTCACCATATCAAGTATATGGCTTTGAGCATTGACAGTCCCTAAAAGTATGAATAGGTGGCATTTTCTGAATAACAAAATGCCATTTCAATGCCCCTTGCATTTTTGAATTTTCATTTAGTAAACCAATGTACAAGTTGAGTGAAATGCCTACTACCAATGGATCTTTTTTAAGCACTCTTCTAATCAAAAGTGACAGTGGGTACCTTCTTCTATATGTCCTAAACAAGTATGGTTTTTATAATTTTTCTTTTACTTTTTCCATCAAAACATATAGTATTGGCATGTTATTTTCTGCAGACCCCAAGGTGCTTTATTATCTAACCCTCTCTGTCACCATCACTAAAAGTGGGTGGCAATGGACTATTTTCCCCTTGAGATATTGTCGGAATAGACTGCCTTTATGTGTATTATTTTCTTAGTCAATGAGCTTTGGAAGACAAAAAGCTATCAGTCTGCTACTCAGTGACTTGCTTCAACACAAAAATACCCTTAGGGGAACCACAGTGACTGGTAGAGTAGAAGGTATTGCTTCATGTTTAGACTTTTCCAGTGAAAATGAATTGGAAAGTTAGAGCTGTTGTAATATGGGGGCGTTCCAGGGGGAGTGCCACAATCAATTGGAAAAGGGAAATGTGAATTTGAAATAGCTATTTGGTCTTCCCACTCCACTAGCAGAAAATGTTAAAATTGTGTCTGGTCTGAAGCATTCACAGTCACAACTGAATTTCAGTAGAAGTGTCTCATGCGATGCGTAAATGTATGCAGTCGTCATTCCATTGGCCCTTTAATGAATCTGAAGGAATTGCAGAGCCAACACATTGTCCCTAGAAGTTATATATATTATACACATATATATTTTTTCTCCCAAGGAAATGATCCCAAGGTGAGGGGCGTTATTCTGTCAATATAAGAGCCCTTGGGATGTCAATGAAGTGTTTTTTTAATCCTCACCCCAGCCCCGCCCAAGTTTTTTAAATGACTTTACAAAGTCAAGAGCGGTCTCTAATATGGTTGCACTGACAGTATATAAGGTTTGAAAAAGCTGTCACAGCATCAATCAAATGTCAGCTCTACAGAAACTTTACAATGTCAGTGAAATTTTCCCTATTAATGCTCAGGATTTTCTGTTTGGGGGAACCCTGCAAGTCACAGAGCATTCTCTATAGCTCCAGCTCACTGCAACGGATACCACTGAGGAATGTTTTTGTGGTTGGGTCAATTTCCCATTGTACCTATTAAAAGTGAGGTCATAAATTTAAAAAAAAAATTATTGAAATGTGGCCTTCACCTGGGGAACATGAAAGAGATGAAAGAATACAAGTGGGATTTTAATAAACCGAAAGTAATCTTGTAATCAGGGAAAACTACATTTAACTACACCTAAACTATATTAAATATATTCTATATTTTTGCGATTTTTAAAAAACTCTCAACATTCTTTTTACTATGGTAAAATATCATAATATAAAGCATACCGTTTTAATCGTACAGTTCTGTGGCATTCAATGCATTCACACTGTTGTGCAGCCATCACCAACGTTCCTCTCCAGAGCTTTTTCATCGTCTCAAACTGAAACGCTGTACCCACTGAACTCATTGAACAATAACTCCCCTTTCCCCCAAAACTCCCCGTTCCAGAATACTTATTCTACTTTTTGAATTTGACTACTCTAGGTACCTCATATAAGTGGAATCAGACAATATTTGTCCTTTCGTGTCTGACTTATTTCACTTAGCATAATGTCTTGAAGTTTCATTTATCCTGCTATTTTTTTTCAGGATGTTTGTTCTCAGTATTAAATGCTGGAGCTTCTGTAATACCAAAATACTCCTTGAAACTGACTTTTTTTTTTCCAGCACAGTGTTAGGGGCTATTTAAAGCAACATTTAATTACATTTAAATCAGAAAAATGTATTAATCCTCATAAACAAATCACTGTCCCATATCTTCAAGTATTATAATAATAGCAATACTATATAGGGATTTCTATGTGCTAGACATAATTCTATGTACTTTGCATGTGTTAGTTTACTTAATTCTCAGAATATTCTTACAAAAGTGGTCTATTATCTTCCTCATCTTATAAAGAGTAAACTGAGGCAGAGGACAGGTCACTTGCCTATGACCATACAACAAGTAAGTGGCATAGCCAAGTCATAAGGCCAGGCTGTCTGGTCCCAGAGGCTGTGCTCTTAAGCACTGTATTACATTGCCTCTCATGTACCCCTCCCACTAACAAGAGACTATACTTGAATTGATCTGGGGTTGGGTCTGAGCGCTCATCAGCTGTTAAATCTCCTCCAGTGATTCCAGTTGTACAGTCAAATTAAGATTGCCTGGGCTAGAGCATAGGAAAATAATAAAAGATGACTCTGGGTACTTGAGCGAATGGCCTTGAACATCAGTCTCCTTAAAGAAGTTTGACTTTGATTTAGTTAGCAATGGAGGAAACCATGAAAGTTTAGGGTAGTTATATAAGCTGAACTTGTTTTAAGAAAGTTAACCTGGTAAAGATTTTAGTAGTCACTTATGGTGGAATCTTATGGTAGGCCATGCTACTTTTGTTGACTTTGGCTTTACCTTTGATCCTATGGAGAGGGGCATCCCCAGGGACAACTTAAATATAGGCTGGAGAGAAAAATGCATTGGGGAGGCAATATCTAAAGGGTAGGGGTTCATGACATGAAACAGAATAATGTTTTAGGACAGCAAAGGAAAATATGAGAGGTATGGACCAATCAGATCACTTGATAACATTTCATGTTTTTTTTTTTAATTTGCTTATTTGTATGTTTAGTGGTCAGATAGTTCTGGTGGATATCATACACCTATATTGGCTTACATATATTAGCTTTCTTTTCTCTCAAAATGCTATAATAGGTACCTATATCTGCAACCTCGGTCAGGTCACCTATTTGGGCCTCATTTTCCTCATTTGTAAAGTATGGTTTCAAGGGTCCCTAGGGGCCTTTGGGTATTGACATCACGACTCTGGGGGTTGGGGTTTATTTCTCTGGATTATGAAATCCCTCAGCCCAATGCAAAGTTCCAGGGTAGCCTAAGGCCTGAGGAAGGAAGCTCTTTCAGGAGATAATGTTATCACATTAGAACTGGGCCATAATGGAAGATGGAATCCTCATTCCTCTTCTTGTTGAGACAGTCACTGGTGATCCATCTTTTGCCTCTGTCACCCTAATTTAGGTCATTCCTATTGTGAGCCTTCTCAAACAGTACCTGTCTGGGTATAAAATTTATGTTGAAGAAGCATTAATGCAAGCTCTTAATAAGATGAAGAATTTAACAGCATGGTGTTATCTGAGGATGATATATTTTATATACTCAAGGCATGTTTAATTAGGTTTGCAGAAGTCAAATTGGCTTGGGCAGTAATGAAGCTTTCTTTCTACCCCTTTCTTTCAGATTCTGCTGTAATAACATACAAGCCATTCTTAACAATCTCCTTTTAGTTTTGGTATGTTGGCAAATCAGTCTCTCTCTTTCTTTGTTCTTGCAAAACTGATTTGTTTTGAAAATCCAGTTTCTGCTTAGGGTGGAGGGCAGAAGAGAGAGCTTATTGAGAAATACACAATGGAACAAATAATAGGGCTAATAGGTGTTAGAGCTCCTCAAATATTGAACATGCATCCTTTTGAAATAGAGTTGCTAAATATTTAATAAGCATTTACATCTAAGCAGCACTCAAGGGTTTCATAACCTTTGATCCTTGCTCCCATTTTGCAGATGAGGACACTGACTGCAGAGTTCAAGCAATTTGCTCAAAGCTTTATGTGTTGGAGCCAAGACTCAAAACGAACCCTCTGCCCTGAATCCCTGCCTCCTTCCAAACAGAAAGACCCAAGTTTAATTTACTAAGTCCATTCCCCTACTTAATGAATAAAAGAAAAGATGAAATCGACTAACCAGGTGGTATCTTTGAACTTCAATGGTCGGATGAGGGTTTGTTTCTGGTGCACCCACCCATTCAGAGCTGAAGAGGAAATACAATGAACATAATAATGAATTTGAATTTTGATCCCAAATCACTGAAGTATTTTCATACTTGTGGTCTCAGTTATTTTTTCAACATGACTGTGCAGTCGAGTATTTTGAGCCCAGTGTATATTTGAAAGTCTCTCTTATCCAGGGTCAGTCACACACACAGTCAGTGTTCAGGCAAGGTCAGGAAACTGCTGCTCCAAGTCTCCAACTGGGATAACCATGAAGTTTTATCAAAATTTTCAATAACTCATAATTGATAGAGACAAGACCAAAGAATAAATGAGAAAAGTGAAGATCTTATCAAAAGTGACGAATAATGGAAGGATGTAGGTCGTTATCTGTTGTAAATGTATTTTAAAAAAAGAAGGGGGCAATTTAGAAATCGTTTGAAGAATGAAAACCTTAGCAAGAACAGTTACTTCCTGTGATAAAGACAGGTCTTTTGGTTGAAATTTTGATGTCTAAACTTCTGGAAAATGTCTGATTTTTTTTCTTTTGGAAGAATTATGGAAAGTGAAAGAAGGGGAAATATTCTTACAAAGCATCCTTCTACTTTAAGAAACAGAAATTCTAAGTTGTTGCTAATAAGAAAGATTAATTGTATCAACTGTAGTCCATGGCTTCATTCACTAATTTGCTACTTAATGTTTGCAGTATTTTGAGAGAGTTCAATAGAGTTTAACAGAGGGGTCAGAATTTCTTTACAAGTTAGATATTTAACACACCTAAACTTATTTTCTTGCCTATTTTTGCTGAGTCAATATCTACTAGTCTTGGATTCTTAACCCTTTCGAAAGCAGGGTAAAAAGATATAGTCATGGGCTTCTTTGTCAGCAGCTAAAGAAGGATGTTAACAAATATACTTTACAAATACCTTAATATGTATTTTAAAGGACTTTTACTTTTTCCTAAACATTTTTATTTATTCCACAATCTCTGAGCATTGCTTGATGCAAATATATGACCATAAAGATTTTATCTAGATTCAGGGAGAGTAATTGTCAAATCACCTGCCACTCTGGCTACGAGGAACGATGGTGAAGAAGGATTTAAAAGTTACACCTGAGCTGACGAGGCAAGCGTAGCATGATTCCATACCTTAGAGCCCTCAGGCAAGGGGGAGTGTGGTAGCACATGAATCAAAATATACGCTGAGGAGAAGGTAAATGGCAATAGTATGACTGTGCTTATCATTCACATGAGTGATATGGATATAGTAATTTGCAAGAGTTTAGGAGAGAAAGGTCCCTAGTGGAATGAAATGCTTAGAAGGAGCTTGAAAAATAAGTAGTTTTGGTGGCAGGAGAGGTAGAGACCTTTAGGTGAAGAGAGTGACAATACAATTGCCAGATTAAGAATGTCTAGGGGTAATCGTTTAACAAAAATGGCTGAAGCAGAATTTATTTTGCAAAAGCCTAGACATAATTTGAAAATGTAGCTAATGATTTTAGCTACCAATGAGTAAGGATTTACTCTACGCCTAGCATTTGCTGAACGCATTATGAACCCTGCCTCCTTTAATTCTCATAACGATCTTGCAAGGAAATGCCATTTATTGACCCAATTTTACAGATGAATATTATAAATCTCAGAGAGGCAAAATCACTTGCTTCAGTCACATCACTGATCAGTGGAAGAGTCAGATTTGAAGTCAGATCTGTCTGACTCCAGAGCCCCCACTCTTGTACCCTCACAGTTTTTGTGTCTTGGGTAAGATAAAATCAGTGTGTATTTTATAGAACTTTCAGTTTAAATGTTAGGTTGAGCTTTGGATGTTTTTAATAATAACTTCATTCAGCATATTTAGCATATCAGATAATTTACCCTTTTGACGTGTACAGTTCCAAATTTTTAAAGTAAATTTACCAAGTTGTGCAACCATCACTACAAACTAGTTTTAGAACATTTTTATCATCCTGGCATGATTCCTCATGTGCATTTGCTGTTAATCCCTCTCCCTTGTCCCTGCTCCCACCTCCAGCAACCACTAATCTATTTTCTGTATTTATATCTTTGCCTTTTCTGGGAATTTTATATAAACGGAATCATACAATATATGGTATTTTGTGTTAGACTTCTTTCACTGAGCATAATGTTTTTGAGGTTCATCAGTGCTCTAACATGTGTCTATAGTTCATTCCTTTTTATTGTTGAATAGTATTCTGTTGTATGGTTATACCACATTTTGAGTATTCATTCACCAGTTGATGAACATTTAGGATGTTTCCAAGTTTTAGCTATTATGGATAATACTGCTAAGAACATTCATGTTCAAGTCTTTGGGTGGACACTTTTTTTTTTTAATGCAAACAAGAAAAGTAGTACCTTAAGTAGGGAAATACATGGCTTTTAGTAAAAGCATGGGAAATTTCCTGCTTACATAGAGAAATTTAGACACATCAAGAGAAGCCAAGAGTATAGAATCAAGAAAAACATTGCTTGTAACTGTAAATCCACAGTTTAGGAGATGGTTGAAAAGTTTATTTTTAAAAAAACAGACTTTAGAGTTAAATCAAAACCTCTTGCAAATTTTACTGAGTAGATTAATACTTTAGGAAAACCTTGCTATTCTAATATAGGGGACCAAATTTATACTTTTGTATTAGTGTATTTTTAATATCAAAGCTCAATATTTAGAAAGACAAAAATAATTTCCTTTTAATTGTAGGCAACTTGTAAAAATTTCCTCTATATATTTGTCCTTTCCAAACCTTTTGTGACTTACTCAGACTTTTCATGACATGTTTATATTTTCTGTTTTTTTCCTATACTTTTTAAAAAATTGACCAGTCATTTTACATTAGGACAAAAATTTATCATATATTATTATTGTTTACTTAAAATGATTTTCTTTCTACAACCTTTTTTGATACCCAAAATATATTTTCATACATGTAAGGTTTTTATCTTTTCCTTTTACTTAGTGATTTTTTTTTGTTATACTTTAACTTTTAGGGTACATGTGCACAATGTGCAGGTTTGTTACATATGTATACATGTGCCATGTTGGTGTGATGCATCCATTAACTGGTCATTTAACATTAGGTATATCTCCTAATGCTATCCCTCCCCCATCCCCCCACCCCACAAGAGGCCCCAGTGTGTGATGTTCCCCTTCCTGTGTGTGGACACCTGTTTTCATCTCTCTTCAGTATATTCCTAAGAGCAGGATTGCTGGAGTTATGTGCTAACTATATTTAGCATTTTGAGAAACTTCTAAACTATTTTCCAAAATGATTGTACCATTCATACATTGATATCAGCAGTGTACGAGAGTACCAATTTCTCTAATCTTTGCTAGTATTTATTATTGTCTGACTTTTTTTTTTCAGATGGAGTCTCGCTCTGTCACCCAGGCTGGAGTGTAGTGGTGAGTTTTCGGCTCATGCAACCACCTCTTGGGTTCAAGCGATTCTCCTCCCTCAGCCTCCCAAGTAGCTGGGACTACAAGCATGCACCACCACACCCAGATAATTTTTGTATTTTTAGTGGAGGCGGGGTTTCACCATGTTGGCCAGGATGGTCTCAAACTCTTGACCTTGTGATCTTCCTGCCTCGGCCTCCCAAAGTGCTGGAATTACAGTGTGAGCCACCGTGCCTGGCCCTGACTTTTTAAATTATAGCCATTCTAGTGAGTGTGAAACTGTCTCCTTGTGGTTTCTATTTGCATTTTTCTAATAACTAACGATGTTAAAGAGCTTTACAAGTGCTTCTTAGCCATCTGTATGTCTTATTTTTTGATTAGATTGTCTTATTGAGGTGTAAGATTTCTTTGTAATTTCTGGATATAAATTCTTTGTTAGACACATATTTTGCAAATATTTTATCCCAATTTATTGCTTTTATTTTTGTTTTCTTAATGAAGTCTACTGAAGTACAAACATTTTGAATTTTGATGTGATCCAATTTATTAATTTTTTTTGTTTTATGAATCATGCTTTTCATGTTATATCAAAAAAAAAAACCTTGCCTAATACAAGGTCTTGAAGATTTTCTGTTTTCTTCTATAAGTTGTATTGTTTTAGCTCCTACATTTAAGTCTATAATCATATTGAGATAATATTTGCATGTGTTGTGAGGTAAGGATTTCCTTCCTTCCCTTCCTCCCTCCCTCCCTCCCTCCCTTCCTTCTTTCTTTGCAGTTTTTTGCAGGCAATAGCTTATTGTACCAGTACAATTTGTTAAAACTCGAATTGTTTCTTCAGTGAATTTCTGAGGTGGGTTTGTTGAATATCAATTGACAATCGACCATTCATAGAAGGATATATTTTTGGACTCAACTCTCTTCCTTTGATCCATATGTCTGTCCTTATGCCAGTATTATGTTGTCTTGATGACTGTAGCTTGGTAGTAAATTTTGATATGAGTAAGTGAAAGTCCTCTAACTTGGTTCGTTTCTCAAACTCCTTTATCATCTGGGTCTTTCCCTTTCCATATAGATTTAATGATCAGCTTGTCAATTTCTGAAACCGCAACAAGGAAAAGCCTGATGAAAATTTGAAAAGTACTGCATTGAATCCATAGATAAATTGGAGCATAATTACCATCTTAATTCTGACTCTTCCAATCCATAGATATAGAATATCTCTCCATTAGTTTAGATCTTCTCAGCAATGTTTTATAATTTTCAGTATAGAAGTCTATAATTTTAAATTTTATTCCTAAATATCTTATTCTTTTTGATGCTATTGTGAAACATATTCTCAATTTTATTTTTGGATTTTGTATTCATATGTAGAAATACAATTTAGTTTTGTATGTTGATCTTGTATCCTGTGACCTTGCTGTACTTCTCAGTTCTAAGCTTTGGCTTTGTTTGTGGATTTCTACACATGGTATCATGTTATCTTCAAATAAAGACAATTTTATCTCCTTTTTTCCAGCCTAGATGTCTTTCTTTTGTATGCCTTTCATTTCTTCTTCCTATCTAATTGCACTGGCTTAAACTTCCAGTACATTGTTGAAAAGAGGTGGTGAGAGAGCATTCTTATCCTGTTCCCAATCTTAGGGGACTTCCTTCAGTCTTTTATGAGGAAGTATGATGTTCACTGCAGATTTTACGTAGATGCGCTTTATCACATTAAGGAAATTCCTGCCTATTCCAAGCTTGTTGAGAGCTTCTATCATGTATGGATGTTAGAATTTTTTGAATGCGTTTTCAGTATCTATTGAGATGATCATGTGGTTTTTGTTCTTTCTCTGTTACTATGGTGTTTTATATTAATTGAGTTTTAGCTCTTAAACTATCTTACCATTCCTAGCATAAATTCCACTTGGTTGTGTTAATTCTTTTTATATGTTGAATTTGGTTTGCTAACATTTTGTTGAGGATTTTTGTATCTATATTCATGAGGGATATTGGTCTGTGGTTTTTGCTTTTTTGATGATGTATTTGTTTGACTTTAGTATCAGCCTTCTTAGAATGCCCTCATAAAATGATTTCAGAAGTTTTTCTTCCTCTTTTATTTTCAGGGGAATTTGTAGAGTATTGATATTATTGCTCCTTTAAGTGGTTTATAGAATTCACCAGTGAACCATCTTGACCCAGGCTCTTCTTTCTGGCAATTAAATTATTTTCTTTATTTGTTATTCAAATTTTCTATTTTTTCTTGAGTCAGTTTGAGTAATTCATTTTTTTAAGAATTTATGTCATCTAAGTTATCCAATTTGTTGACATAATGTTGTTCTTAGTACTTTATAATTATTTTAATTTCTAAAGATTCAGTGGTAATTCTGCTCTTTCATCTTTAATTTTTGTGATATGTGTCATCCTTCTTTTCTTCCTGG
The DNA here is from genome assembly GCF_000001405.40 of Homo sapiens. NCBI lineage: Eukaryota > Metazoa > Chordata > Mammalia > Primates > Hominidae > Homo > Homo sapiens. The sequence continues at coordinate 70,162,039 of NC_000003.12, forward strand.
CTGAATTTTGCTTTTTCAATTTTGTCAGTGATTCCAAAAAACAATGTTTTGGTTTCATTGATTTTATTTATTTATTTTTCTGTTTTCTAATTCAATGGTTTTTCACTCTAATCTTTATTGTTTCCTTTCTTTTGACTGCCTTGGGCTTAATTTCTTCTTCTTTTTCAAGGATCTTAAGATGTAAGATTAGTAAATTGCTTTGAGATCTTTCGTCTTTTTAAATATAGGCATTTAAAACTATAAATTTCTCTCCAAGCGTTGGTTTAGGTGAAACCCACAAATTTTGGTATATGTATTTTCATTTTCATTCTGCTCAAAATACTTTCTTATTTCCCTTGTGATTTCTTCTTTAACCCTTGGGTTATTAAGAAATATGTTGTTTAATTTCCAAATGTTTGTGGACTTTACAATTTTTTTTTCTGTTACCGATTTCCAGTTTAATTCCATTTGATTGAAGAACATACTTTATATGATTTCAATTATTTTAAATGTGTTATGATTTGTAGTATAGCCTAGTTTATCTGTCCTGGAGAATGTTCCATGTGCACTTGAAGTAAATATGTATTCTGCTGTTTTTGGGTGGAATGCTCTCTAGATGTATGATAGATCAAGTTGGTTGGTAATAGTGTCCAAGTCTTCTATATCCTTGCTGATTTTATGTCTAATTGTTCTATCAGTTTCTGAGAGTGTAATATGAAGTGACCAACTATTATTTTTGAATTGTCTCTTTCTCCTTTTATTTCTGTCAGGGTTTGTTTAATGTATTTTGAGGGTCTGTTGTTAGATGCACATATGTTTATAACTGTTATATATTTTCCTGTTGAATTGATTAGTTTATCATTATAAAATGTTCTTCCTCTTTGTCTCTAGAAATATTTTTTAATCTTAAAGTCTATTTTGTCTAACATTGGTATAGTTACCCAACTTGTTTTTTGTTTACTGTTTGCATGGTGTTCCTATTTCTATTTTTTTACTTTTAATCTTATTTTATCTTTGAATCTAAAGGGTATCTTTTATAGGAAGTATATAATCGAATCCTTTTTTTTCATTATCTAGTCTGACAACCTCTATCTTTTGATTGGATGCTTAATCTATTCACATTCAACGCAATGATTGATATAGTATGATTTATTTTTATTTTGCTATTTGTTTTCCATATATCTTATGTCTTTTTTGTGTTCTTTGTGCCACCACTACTGCCCTCTTTTGTGTTAAATATATATTTTAAGTGTACCATTTACATTTCTTTATTTTCTGACATATAAATCAGAACTATATATATATTATCTATCCATCTATATAGAATATATATATATAGAGAGAGAGAGAGAGAGAGAGTTATCTTTGGTTGCTCTGGGTATTACAATATGCATCTTAATTTTAAACAATCTAGTTTAGATTAATATTAGCTTACTTTCATTAGTATATAGAAATATTCTTCCAGTATAGTTCCCTTCCCCCTCTCCTCATTCATGTTATTATTGTCATATAAATTACATGAAATACTTACTTTGTAGGATTTTAAAATGCCAGGTTGGGGTTTTAACTTACTCTCATAGGCAGTGAGGAGACATTTTAAAGACCTTGGGCAAAAGAAAGAGAGTCATAACAAAAAGCACATTTTAGGAATATTAGCCAGGCAGTGGCATGAACACTGTGTTGGAGCTGACGATGCGGGGAGGGATTGGAAATTAGTAAAAAGAAGAAAGAGCAGTGACTTAGTAAAACAACGGCCTCTTAATTTTACTGAAGTTCCCAAATTGAAGTTACAGTTATTCTGGAGAAAGTTAGAAAAAAATTGCCTCAAGCATTTGCACTAGCTACCAAACACTAGGTTTACTTGTGAATGGATTCAATGGTTCAAAGCACAGATATGAAAGTTCCCAAGGTAATTGCCTTGTATAGTTTAGCCATGTGCCCCATAAACCCATGAACCCTATTTTTAAGGGCAAATTTCTTGTGGTAACTGGCAAAGTAATCCCTTTAACTTATCCATAAGAGTTGATTAATTGGAGACACTGGTCCATTGGCCTTGCAGTGATTGTGCTGATGGATTTAGGTTCATAAAAAGCCTAGTTTTTATTATTACCAATTCATCTGTTTGTCATTTGAGGGGGAAACAAGTAGAAAGAATCTGAGATTCTGATGCAGGCAGATGAAAGCTCATATTTTAGTTCTGCCTCTAACTAGCTGTGTCATTTGGAGACACTTGCCTAATTTTTCTGAACCACAGTTTCCTCATCTACTCATGGTAATAATACTTATCTCTCTATGACAAAATATGTATAGAACCCCTAGCACAATGACAGGCATTGTTTAATTAATAATGGCTATCATCCAAAGAGGGCCTATCAGAGAACAATATAAAATTTCAAAAAAAGATCTGTTTTCTCTCTTTCTGTAACTTCAAGGGATTTATTGAGGTGAATAGTACTTATTGCATGAATTCTGTAAACCTTGTGCCTGCACTTTTTCTGGTTAGATCATTTGAAGACCAGCAAAATTTTACCAGGTAGCTCCTGACCTCCCACCTGTGCAACAAATAAGGCTTCCAAATCAAGGTAGTATGCATAGTGTTCTGTCCGTGAGCTCCATAGCCAGACCATCTGGGCTCACTCACTCTGTGAGCTTGGACAAGTTTTTTAACCTCTCTGTGGCTATACTTCCTCATCTATAAAATCCAGAGGATAATAATAGAACCTACCACAAAGAATTAAGTGAGTTATCACATATGAAGTTCTTGGAAGAGTGCTTGGCACAAAGCAAACTCCGTGTACATTTTAATGTTATTGTTCTTGCTGTTGTTATTTGAGTTTCACATAAAATTTCCTCCGGAAAAGACTTTGGGGCTTTAAAAAAGAAAACTTACAAACTGCTTCTTTGCATTATTGAATTTGGCGGCATAATATTTTGAAGAAACAGTGCATTAGTATCTGCAGTTTCAAGATATGTTTCAAGATATGTACAGATAGATTTTTAAGACATATATAAGATATGTTTTCAAGAGATGTTCTACTAAATGGTCAAGTTAACTGGAGAGCCCCAAGAAAATGAATTCTCTGGACATGTGGAGTAAGGGTTTGAGAATTTACTATGAACAATCCACCACATGTCCAGAAAAACAAATCTCTTAATTAGGATGTAATTTGTGTCAATTATATAATCATTTTCTAGATGATATGGAAAGAACAAGACTTGATGCAGACTTATCAGATAACACAGGCTAATATAGTGTTGTGGTCTGAATGTCTGTGTCCTCCCCAGATTCATGTTGAAAACCTAATCTGTTGGTATTAGAGATGAGGCCTTTTGGAGGTGCTTAGATCATGAGGGCAGAGCCCCATGAGTGAAATTTGTATCCTTATAGAAGAGGCCCCAGAGAGTTTTCTTGGTTCTTCCACAATACAAAGACACAGAGAGAAGGCACATCTATGAACCAGATGAGCAGCGCACCCCAGAACCGAATATGCTGATGCTTTGATCTTGGACATTTCAGCCTCCAGAACCATAAGAAGCAAATTTCTGTTGTTTACAAGCTACCCATTTTATGGTATTTTGTCATAGTACTCCCAATGACCTAAGACATAGAGGAAGTTGTTGTCCAGAAATGCTACGAAAAGCTCATTCCTGAACACTCTGTCATGGCTTTTCTACCAAGGATCAGAAGTTTCTCTTAAGTAAAGGATATGGAAGATGCTTCTCTGTCTACTCTTTTAAAGTTCTTGCTCATCAAATTTACCATTCTTATAGGACGTGGTGTCATGGATATGTCTCCAAAATTCAATGCATCATATTCCCAAAGCTATTGCCATCGGAAAATGTGCCATCCAGCTCTCTGGATATTTTATCCAGGAGGTACCATGAAGTGGAAAGACTGGGAGTTGTGATGGTTCCAGATTTTGCACTAATTAATTATGGGAAATTTAGACAGGACATTTAATTCCTCTGAGCCTCACTTTCCTCATCTGTAAGATATGTAGACTGAATTAAAGGAGCTCCAATTTTCCTTATAGCTAATAATGGCTTCTTTATGAAGCTTCTAGAAATTTCGGGGGCAATAATTTTGATGGAGCCATTGTTTTGTGTTCAGTTGGTTAAGATCATGGGCCTCAGAGTCAGCCAAACCTGGGGTTGAATTCCAGCTCTGCAGTATGATATTAGGCAGGTCACTTAACCTCTCTGAAACCATTTTAAAGCATATGTGAAAAAATGTCCTGGTTATTAGAGTTTTACAGTGAAAATGTATGTACTGGATTTCTAAAAGGATGAGGCTTTGTGGTAAGTATTGCTATGATGGTGGCTTGCCTTCTCTAGGTTGAAGAATTGCTTCCAATAGCTAGAAGAATAGCAGTTACCCCTGGGCAATTTTGCTTTCTCATATCCTATGTTAAATGTAGATCTCTAGAAGAGGTGTTCTTGAAGATAGTATGACTTCTTCCAAAAAGAACAAGATAACACAATAGTTTATAAACCATTTACAGCACCCGTATCCTCCATGGCATTCTTTAATAATTATTGCCCTCCTAGAAGCCACTGACCTTCAGGCTGCCCAAGAGTGTCTGGCTGCTCCCGTAGAGGTAGAGGGTGATTTAAAGAAGAGCAGAATTAAATTTAAATTCCTGTTTATAACCCCACAGGCCTATTTGGTTTTGAATACCAATGCTGAGTCCATACCTTCCAACTGAAAATTGCCTGTGACAATTTTCTTTTAGAATATTAACATTGAATACTCACCCAGGACAAAAATTTAGTGAATTTGAATCATTGATGTCCATGGTTTGTACAATAAGTGTCAACAGATTTTCCTTTCCTTGCCCTCCAAGGAAAGAGAATATTGGAGATAGGTGGGGCTAGACATTATTATATTTTATAGGCATTATTCTCTTTAGTTCACCTTATTTTCTATATCAATGCTGTCCAATAGAAATATAAGGTAAGCCTCAAATGTAAGCTACACAAGTAATCTAAAATTTTATAGTAGTTACAATAAAATGCTTTAAAAAGTGTAAAATTAATTTTAATACTACATTTTATTTAACTCATATATCCAAAATATTATTCTTTCCTCATATAATCAGTATAACTTTTTTTAACTTAGTCTTTAAAATCCAATGTGTACTGTACACGTTATATTTTAAGTTCTCATAGTCACATGTGGCTAGTGACTATCGTATTGGAGAGTGAAGTTCTATATCCTTGCATATTAAACTATAGTTGGCTAATAAAAATAAGTAGATTGGTAGAAACACAAATGGCTTGTTATTTTCTACCTAGTAATGGGTACAGAATATATAGTGAGTGATTTTTGCATTTAAATAGTGAGCAGAATTCTAACATCTTCTAATAGATGATCTTCTTGTGAAATAATACACGTACATGAAAATAAAGATCATGCTTCAGATGCAGCATTTCTCTAAACGTAACATAATATATATTTTCACAGCCTTTGGACACATTGTATTTTGAGCAATACAGATCTAGTGATTTTTATCACTAGAAGGGAAGGTGGTGACTGAGGCTGAGCTGAGAAAAATATGGCCAGAGTACTCCTTTCAGCTACCTCCTAAGAAGTCCTGATTTTCTTCTACTGGGAGATCTTTATCTCCTGGAAATCTGGTCAACTAGATGCATCAGCTTTCTTGCTAGCACAAAGAGCGTTAGGGGAACAAACAGGCATCACAGACCCTGATGAACGTCAGCACCAATTGCATTATGACACCCTAGCTGCTAAATCTTTCATGGTAATGGGCCACGCTGGAGATGACTACAGCGATAGGCTTCATAGTAGAAGAAGCCTGTGGTCATCGCAGGTGGTGCCGATGCTGTCCTTATCACTGAATTTGAAGGATTGCTTGAACAGCTTGTAATGAGAGTGGCTAAAGTATTGATTTTGGACTACATCTGAATATGGAAAAGGCGACGGTTTTGAATCTTGGAGAGCTGACCTCACAGGGAAAAATAGCATCTTCACAGAAGCAGTTTTTAGGGAGTGAAAAGTAAAGCATTGTTTCCATGGCCAAAGACGTCTCCGTGAAAGACTCGCATATTCTGAATTAAGGACAAAGAGTGGTTCTCCTCCAGTTTTCCTATTCCATCTTTGAGTATCTTGTTTGGAGCATTAGATAGCTGGGTTCACAAGTCAAGGGCACAGGTTCAATCATCACGCAGGCTAGTGACCTTCAGTATTTCCTGGCCACAGATACCTGCCTTCTTCTAGCTGTTGTCTTGAATGACTGTGTAGTTGGTTCCAAGGGAATTAAGGGAGGAAGGGGTGACAGATGAAAGCCATCTATGACCTCTATTGGCAAAACAACTCATAACCTATAGAGCACAGGTCAGTAGTGGCGCCTTTTAAGGAAAATCAGCACATGGAGCTTATGCCACCAGGAAGAGTCATGTGCTTATAAACTGGATCATGGTAAATTTTCATTGAAAGTATGCATTGGTACTAATGCTAAGAATGGATGCAAAGCCAGTCAACGAAGCAGCAGAAAAGGTTAGCTCTTTGAAATATGCGACTATCAGAAAAGCCTAAAAGAACACAAACGATTGAGATCAATGAGCACAGATAAGAATGCTGTTAGGCATAGAATTGGTAGCCAACATCAGCACTAATGTTTCCATATCAATACTTATTTATGGCCCCACTTGTCAACATTAGGCGTACGTGGAGTGGAGTGTTCTCAATAGATAGCATCTTTTCTGCTTGTCCATCAATTTATTAGCATATACCTTGCTTATTATGTTTCTCATCATTGTAATTTCTTGTACTATTCTAAAGGGGGTTATTGGTTACTTTTTGCTAAGAAACAATGTGTTACATTTGGAACCCACACCAATATGTTTGCTGACACCTCATTCAAATTCTCCTGCTGTTTTCTGTGTTTGTTAGTTTCCACCCAATTCAATAGCTGTGTGTTGAATTGCACTGACTATGCTAAAGCTGCTCTCCTAATAGAAACAAGGGGAAGACATCATGGCCCCTGTCCAGAAGGAGTTCTGTATCTAGCTGGGGAGAAAGAATCACAAAACAACTAAAATATAAAAAGAAAGTTTCTATCATGGAAAGTGGTTTTGCACACATGTGTTTAATGTCACAGATCTGGGAGAAAAAAAGATATTTTGGATAAACTTTGGTTTTGCTTATATTGCTACCTATGAATAATCTTTCAAAGCAAAAGTGCTTCTCAGTTTTAAGATGGAAAATATCATTTGAAAAAGCTTAAAATAAACATAAGTATCAAATACACTATGAAGTCATTGAGTGAAGGCTATTCAGCCACAGCTTTCAGGATATCAAAAAAGCATATGACGTTTTATGCAAGGAGAATTTGTGGCTTACACTTCAAAACTTTATGGATCTAGGAAAATGTTTGTATTTCTTATTTGGTATGATTTAGGGTGATATTTCCTTAACATCTCCTTTTCATATTGTGCAATTCACACTAGAGACATGTCTATGAAATATTTACACATGATTTTTATTTGAAAGGAAGTAGCTGGTTGCTGCATGAAAGCTTCATGGCGAAGGTTCCTTGCTTTCAAAAGAAAATTGAAGCTAAATAAAAAGATTTCAGGGAGAGTTTAGAGAGGTCTTTTCTTTTTTCTTTTTTTTTTTTTCCTTCTCAAGAGGTAATTGATTTGCTCCCCAGAACAGTCTTTCTAGAACTCTAGGTAGACAATGCTCTAACCTTGTCAGAAGAGGATAATAAATTTAGAGTTAGACTGGTTTGGAAGGAAGGACTTAGAATGAACTACATTTTATAGGAACAGAGCACCGAGGGTCTGTTGTTAGTTTATAGGCCCTTGATTAGATAGCTTATTGATTTTGGCTGCTGGTGATAGGGTTCATGTTCAGAAGGTATCAAACTCATGCTGAATAAAATAGAAGCAAACGCTTTAGAAAAAATACCCCAGAAAGGAGGGGGACACTGGCTAGCAGTCTAGTTGTAGTTCATCAAATGGAATGGGCAGCTGTGCCTTATTGCCTTTAGCCCTCTGGAAGCAGTTATGTGTATTAAATACTGGAATAACTTGATATTTTAAAAGCTCATATGCTCATCCAAGTAAAATGGTTTTAGAAGACTACCGGGAGTTTTATGATTTTATAGTTAAATCAATACCCAGATTTATGCCTTTTGGACAGAGAAACTTGAATTTCATTGAGAAAATGGATCTAATGAGGATAGACATATTTTGTGCAGATGTAGGAAAGGTTTTTTTTTCACTTATTATCTGAAAAATGAAACAGGTACTTTTGTCATGAAGATGAATATAGCTTTACAGGAAAAATGACAAATGTTCAAAAATTTTAAAAGAAGATTTGTGATATAATATAGAGGTTCCTGAATGTCTGGAATCTGGCGGAATAATTTTTTTGTCTCTTTTAAATTCTTGAATTTAAAATTCATTAATTATACAGAAAATCACATAATATTTTTACTTTATACCGCACAATTAATGGCCATATGGTATTAAATTGGCAACCAGACTTTCAAGAATAACAATTTTAAACAGAATCACTTGCAGTCTAGATTTTCCTTTTTTTTTTTTTTTTTTTTTTGTATTTTATGATGCTTTGAATAGAAATTCGTATTTTATTCACTGGCTAAACAGAGGTGAAAAATTTTTAAAAGGAAATTGTGAAGGACATTGTTAATTTTTTAAGAGCTAGATATGAATAAAGATTCTCTAGATATTATTTTCTGTATTCTCAGAAGTCTTGGCATTTTCCAAATAGAAGGGAAAATCAAATAAGAAAAATTAGCGAGTGCAGAGATGTTTTGGTGATCTGCAATTTATTTTCCACTAACCCAAACTCTCCACAGTCTTTGACCACATTTTGTTGTAGGAAATATTCAAATACACTGTTCTTAAACAAACAAAATTCAATTTCATGGAGATTCTGCCTGTGTAATAACTGCGTGATTAGACCTTGAAATGCAATGAAGCAAATTCAGCTTCTAGAAACATATGGACTCAAGTAACTTTAAGAAAAATCATCGGAGGGCAGAATTTGGCTCTGTGATATTTTTATGCAATGAAAGACTTCCAGAAATAACTGTCTGCTTTCCTGCTGTCCAGAAAACACTCTTAAAAAAACACATACACAACATTTTTTTTAATTTTACTTTTTCCCCTAGACTCTATTTCTCACAAATTAAGAGCTCTCTTCTCTCAGGACACTTTATGAACATCAAAATTTTAAAAGTGGAATTTGTCTATCAAAGTGCCAGAGACAGGCTAACCTATGTTTTTCATAAGTATAGAGAACTGATCACTAGTAAATCTGGGAGCACCTAAGAGTTATGTCTAGAAGGTTAGCTGAAGCTTAACTTCATTGCCATATATTTCTCCTGGAAGATATTGTGAATATAAGTTTAAAAAAATCTTCAGACATATCAAACCCATACTGTTCAGAGAATTTATAGGTTTTATGTATAATGCTATAAATAAAAATACATTTTCAAAATGAGCACTGCAAAAAATAGAAAATCTGAGTATAGTTTTGGCTGAAATAATTTTGAAAATGCATGAAAAAAATGGACATTGATGTAACTTAAAAGGCACAGTCTTTGGGGGGGGGAGCTTGACTCCCAGTTTTTACTCAAATATGAATTATCTTCATTAATGAAAACCTAAAAGATGTTTATACTCTTCAATTTCACTTCGTGTGTTTTGGAATTTATTCTCGTGTCCTTTAAACCTTCTCTACTCTTTTCAAAGTGCATACTCATTATCCCAGAAAATCAAAACAAGAATCACTGGATACTCAAAAATGAATGAATCTCCCACCCCTGCCACATATTTCAGGAAGACACCTGGCGTATTAGACTAGGAGAGGTATAGAATTCAGCTGAAAAAGCCTCAAGTTGCAGGTTTCTATATTTTAAGGCTATAGTGGAGTGATTTGGCTGGTGCTGGTAAGTGATTTGAAAAGTAAGCAGTGATTCAGTCATTTTGTCTCTGGAAAGTAACCTGAAAAAGAGTTGCTATCTGGGGAGAATCTGCTAAACAACAATGATTTAATCTAGATAATTGATCTGATCCACTAGAACTACATTTCCTATTACAGAGAACTTTCTATTGAGCTTCATTCAATTAAGTTTCATTTCTTACATCTTTTGCCTTTATTCAATTGGTAACCACAGGCCAGGTAAAATATTTTTAAAGGCTAGTTAGTTATTGGAACAGATTTTCCCCCCAAATTGTTATTTTGTTTCATTAGTGGTCTTTTTTTTTTTTTTTTCTTTTTAAGGTGACAGTCTCATGTTGGCCATGGGGTACTCTCTGCGTCATGCTAGAAAGAGTTTATGGTCCCACCTGCATCCATGAGAAAGAGAAAACAAAGCTTCAATTTTAAGTCCTTGGAAATTCCATGCCATTAAGAAACTGCTACTGCCAGCTTTCTGGCGTTATTCAAAGGGGTAAAAAGTTCATTACACTAGTGTTCTTATAAGTGTTGGTTTTATTTCATATTATTTGAAGAGCTATTCTGCTTAGTAACAATAAATTGCTTGGAAGATGTCAGACCTGTGTTTGGGTTAGGGGTTGCTTTTAGCTGCAAGTAAGAACACTCACAAAAGAGGGGCTTAAATGCAACAAAAGGGGAAGGGCTAAGGGCAAAAGGCACATGACTTCAGCATCTGTCCCTTATAGCGATAACCATATTTTCTCTAGATGCTCATTGGACAGAACTATTTCTCATGGTCAATCACAACCAAAAGACAGCTGGGGAAATTCAGGATTTTAACAGGGCACACTTCCTATGCTGAACAAAATCTGAGTTCTTAATTTTAAAAAAGAAGAGAATGATATTAGAGAGATACATGTTCCATAATAGTTATTTAACTGTTCGTTTTTAATAAACATCACTTCATATCAAATGTCAGCTTTACACCTGTTATTTTTTCTTTATTAGAACTTATATTGTCGAAGAATTTTCTACTCTTAATCGTTTGCTTCATAGCGTTCTCATGTTAGTTCTTTCCTACTGAGGATGTTGAAACCATCCATATAGGGATTGGGAGGACATGTAAATTATTGCTTGCATACTTGACCACTAAAAGCCCACTACATTTTTCTTCTTGGATAAATATAAGCAGTTTAAATTTATACTGATAGAGATATTATTACCCTATCATATTAACGCATTGAGAGTTTAATAGATTGTAATACAGGTAACTGTTTCCTCAAACCATTTATTTTTCAGCAGACTATTTTACCTTTAAAGTAGTCTCTGTTCTGTTTGTCACAGGACCCGTGGGATGTGCTGCATTAATCAATTGAGTTTAATTTAAAAACATTTATTGAATGACTACTATTTGCTGTGGCTTTTCAAAATCCATTAAAAATAGCTTTTGGATATTTCAAATAATGATATAAAATTTGTTCAAAATTTTCACAGCAGTAACAACCAAAATCTACTTTAACTAAAAAAGCAAATATATGGTATACGTTTTAAATCCCCTGTCTAGGCATTATATTATCCTTGATCTTTACCTCATCTGCCCTCTCACGACTTTTGCATGTGCTTCTCATAAGTAGGAGAATTTATATATGCTCAAACTAGATAATTTTTGCAAAAGTTTTAAAAACATTTTTCCCTGAACCATTAGTTGCTCACAATGATCACGAGCCAAAATGACAAAAATAAGTACTTTTTTTGTGTTTTTACAGTCTTGTTAATCATATTTGCCAGGTAAAAATCATATCTCTATTTAGTTTTTTTCTTTAAGAGAATAAAACAGTACTAGCAGCACTAATACTCATAAAGTTTTCTCCTTGAGGTGATATTTTGTTACTTTTCATTATAAGAAACAACTTAATGCATTTAAGTTGCAGGGAAATAATATAGATATACCAGAACATGTTACCAAGTTCCACATTTCTGCATCTGGGGAATGTAGAATGGATAGGAATCTGAATGGCTGATTAGCAACAAGCAAACAAAACCAAAAAACTTCCCCAGGAAAGTTGCTCAAGTTCTTAACTCCTAAATTACATCCTCCCTTTGGACATCTGGACATTCTTTTTATGAGGCATCTTGTCCAGCTTAATCTCATATAATTCTTAGGTTATGAACAGATTTTGTTTTTTGACTAGAATTTTACATTTTGGATAATTACATTGATTTGTATTCATTTTCAGGTTTAAACCACACCTCTACATCTGAGTGTTTATTAAGATGGTATGAAGCACGGTGAGAACAAAAATTGTTTGTACTAGGAAACTGTATTATTTCATCTTTTGGAAAAAATCTAAATGATAAACCTAATCACATGTTGATATATTTTTAAGTACACTTTAAGGGAGTGTAAGTGGTTAAATAGGGAGTGAAGTGTTGGTTGCTTTATGAAGCAGTTGTATCTAAAATCCAGGCTCAGGGTCCAGCCAAAATAGAATGTGCATCATCAAACCATGCAGAGTAGCAGAGCTAAGCAAGGCATAACGTAGAGATAAAGAATCCTGGAAGTGGTTGTAGATATTTAGTAGCCCTAGATTTAGGTAAATTACCATTAATTATAAGAAAAAAATATGCTAGTGAGAGGTACTTCATGGTGTCTAAGAAGAATTTTCAACTTTTCTCAATAGCATATCTATTTTTCTACAGAATTTAGTTTTATTGTATTCATATGCCTACAAATGAAAAAATATTCTAGAAAAGGTTGACTTTCTATCCCTTCAATTATCTATTCAATTAGGGTCAACAAGGTCTAAGATTTTTTTTTTTAGGCTGCCATCTATGAGGAAGTAGCCACTGAACTGGAACCATTTCTAATTATAGATCATGAATCCTAGGTGGACAATCTAATTTCAAAATCATGAACCAAGCCAATTCTAACATATTTTCATGTACAGTTTATTTCCCAAATTCTAATAAGTACTTCCCCCCACCTTCCCACATACATTTTAATGTTTTCAAATTGAAATGCATCTTAAAATCAATATGAACACTTAACAAGGTGGTTTTTCTTTTATGTCACAAAAGCTGGTATTCGATTGGCTTAAGTAATAAGAAAATTTGTTATCGCAATTAATAGAAAGTCTGGAGATAAACAAGTTTGCTTTTTGATTGACACAGTAGTTTAACTCTATTGGGGACTTTGGTTCTTTTCATCTCTCCTCTGCTAATGATATGAATATAGGTCTGGCATTGATTTAATCATGACCATAAGTTGGCTGCCAATAGCAATCAAGACACCTTACTTTCTTGCTCATGCCAAATGAAATAGAGAAAGAGTACCTCTCCCCCTAGTCTAATACATATGTCCTTCCTTTCAGTCTGATTGGGTCAGTTTAGGCATCTTTCAGACCAATCAGAGTTATCAAAGAAATGCCTTCCACTGACTGGTTTATTCTCATCAAGCCCTACCAGAGAAATGCCTGAGTCTCATGAATCACTTGAACTGTATGAGAGACAGGAAGTATAGGATTCACATTAGGGCTCTGTTAGGAGAGAAGCAGAAGGAATAGATCTAGACAGACAACTTGTCATGTCCACTTTTGAGAAGTGGACATATGTGAGCTGATCCAGAACCCCAAATCTTCTGTGCTTTTAAAAAAAATGTTTCTGAGACTTCATAGATATCAACCAAGAATTTGGATATATCCCTTCTCTTACCCCAGTTGCTCTACAATCTCCTCCAGAAACTCTGCCAAATGACTAAATAATGAATTCCTGATAAGGTGATAATGGCTTAGAATGACTTAATGTGGTAAGATTCTCAGGACTATTGCATTATAACAAGACACTCCTAGCACAAAATTTCTCTCTGACGATGGTAAAAAGTTGGGTCCTGGGTTTCAGTAGGAGAAAGCTAGTTTAAGGTGAGGTGTCCTGACCACTCGTGGTTGGCTTTACATGGGGCCACCGAAACACCTTTGCACATAGTAATTAGGCTTACATTTTTATTGTTTGCCATTCAAGAGCACACTTCATCTAGAGATATTTCTGCCTTTTCTCCAAGACTCAGATTCAGCATACCCATGATATCTCCATGCCTTAGGGATTCAGACTTAAGGTCAGAATTTGAGTTCACTAAATTCACCAAGACACAAAATATTCACAAGTGGGATGTAAAAATCCCATTTGTTCACTGTCTTCTTCATGCTTTAATATATTTCTTTTGGTGGCATTGAGGACCAGGCAAATCATGGAGGTAGTGCTGAGGACTAGGGGAACTCAATTTATTTGTAGTTCACAGGGTTATACCTGTAAGAGGCCATTTGGTAGAACTGATTGCTCAGGCGAAACCCAAGAAATGTACTTGAAGGAAACCCCATAAGCCTCTGTTATACACAAGTAATTAGAGGCATTAAGGAAAGCAGAAGAAGCTTCTGTGGGTGAGATAGACCCCGTTTATGAGATGACATCATCATTTGAGAGTTTAGCTTCATCAACTTTTCATCAATGTCTTGACCTGACGTGGATGACAAAATATTCTTTTGTAATGTGAAATTTGGAATTTTCTTTCTTTTCCAATGCCCCTCAAAATGATGTTCTATGAGTTGTTATTAATACAATGGTAATTCAATAGAAGCTTTCATATCTGACCCCTACTTAAACGACTTTTCAAACTAATAATTCTCTTTTTCTACCAGAAAACAAACTCTGATCCCTTGCAATGAGAAAACTACTCTAATACACCTATCATTTAATTTGTATACTAAAAAGATAAGACTAGGTGTTCAAATATGTTAATGCCTAATGTACTTGTTATATACATAAATGATCAAATATTATATAAACTGGTTAAATAAGAGTATAAAAAGATGATCATTTTTTTCTGAAACTAAGTTACATATTATGGAAATACTTGATAAGGGCTTAAATTTAAAATTTCTCTTCAACCGGGTGGAGAATAGATCAAAGTCTGAAGGGTGCGAGTATCACAGGTATCTAGAATTCTTCACACAGGAATTTTATTAAAGGTCTATGAGATGTTTGCTTTAAGAGCTAAGGACGAAAACTTTACATGATGCATTAAGGCGTTGGTATATACAAGAAAGATGATGCAGGGTGTTGAAGATCAGACATCCACCTATCCTTTGATGTTAATCCAAACAACTAGAGAATATATATACATCTATTTGTTCTCAGTGAAAGAAAATATGGAAAGAAAGTATGTGTCTTTTTTAGGTTGTTTTGCTTTATCTGCACATTTTTGTTTAAGAGATCAGCTTTTACTGGAACAATTTACACTGGTACATACCCCTACCTGACCAAATCTGACACTTCCCTGTGTGCTGAAAGATCTGCACAGGGTGTGCCATCCATTCATAATAATCTGTTCAATCAATATTTATTGAGCACCTACCGTGAACTGGTCTCTTGTCCAGAAGGTAGAAAACACAGATAAAAATATGCTCTCTCTGACTTCAAGGTCATAGTCAAATGAAAGGAGAGAGATACGACAGGTTAAGTACATATGTCTGGGGTGTCGTGAGAAGCAGAGGAGTGACATTCAGTTGTCGAAGTATCTAGATGGACAATGTATAATATGCTGCCATTCATTTTGACCTCTCTTGTTTCCAAAGACTTTTGGTGGTCACAACCTGGTATGTCACCTCATATTAATAATACTAAAATTTATTGAGAATTTACCTCGCACTGGACAATATGCTAATTGCTTTACATGCACAATCCTATGGGGTCCTCACAGTTATCCCATGAGGAAGATTCCATTATTATTCCCATTTTACAGAAGAAGTTGCACCACTGAAAAGGGTAAAACTGAAATTCAAACTGAGTTCTGTCCATCTTTAAAATATGCCTTCTCAAGTGTCCACTTATGGTACCGCCGGCAACTTTTAGTGTAAGGAGATCCTTATTCGTTCATGATATAGTTTAAAAATTGTTTGAACATATGGACAATATATGTGCGTGTTTGTATGTCTGCAAAATATACAGTTGGATGTTCTCTATATGTACTTGCTGGGAAAATGTATGGTGTATGTATATATCTATAAACACTCCCTGCCCATATGCCGAGCGTTATAGTTAGCAAGATGAACCAGTTGGCCGTTACACATGCTGGCAGGGCCATCCTAGGAGCAGTTGCTGGGGATGTATATCACCCCCCTTCCCCCAGGAGGGCTGTCCTATTGTCTTATGAGGGCTCTTCAAAACAGTTCCAGGCTCTTCTCTAATGCCAGCATTTCTGTAGCCAATGGATATTTTCTGCTTTTCTCTTATGCTGGGGATGTGTGGAGGAAGGAGGGGGCATTAAAATAATTTTCTGCTCTAGGCTCTGATACACTTAAGACAGCCCTCTTCCTGGAATATATAAATGCCAGCAAATCAGCATTTCTTAAACTGCAGTATCCTTCCTGGAAATCCTGTTAAAGGACATACCCTGGCTGCTTGTCTCGGACCGAACAAGAATATAGCAAGCCTCATAATTTCCAGTGCTGAGATATTAGCATAAATCTCCCACTAATGCACCTCTGTCTTTTAGTGGAAGAGTCACTGCAACCTAAGAAAATGCGTTAAACTGAGAAGGGACTAATGTTTTGAAACTGGGGCATGGCACTATGAAGGAGGCATTTGCTGGGAGTTTCCAGTCCTGCAAATACCACTGCGGAGGCATTTAGAAGCTTTTCTTGTTTGGGCCATGAAAAATGATTAGATGTCTCACTAGGAAAAATGGTTTTGAACTGCTTATGGAGCAATAATAAGAACTTTGTGCTGGGCACAGTAGCTCATGCCTGTAATCCCAACACTCTGGGAGGCCAAGGGGGAAGGAGCACTTGAAGCCAGGAGTTAGAGACCAGCTTGGGCAAAATGGTGAAACCTCATCTTTACCAAAAATACAAAAAAATTAGCTGGGCGGGTGGCATTCCCCAGCTACTAGGGAGGCTGAGGTAGGAGAATCACTTGAGCCCAGGAGGTCGAGGCTGCAGTGAGCCATGATCATGCCACTGCACTCCAGCCTGGGTGGCAAAGCAAGGCCCTGTCTCAAAATAATAGTAATAATAATAATAAGAAGAAGAACTTTATAACTGATCAGTTTCATTTTATATTTTTGCCTCTGGCATCACAATAATCTCATGAGAGAGGCAAGATAATTAGTCCCATTTTAAAGATGTGGAAATGAAGACTTAAGAGGTTAAGTGACTCTGAGACTTAGAATGTCAAACTGGAAGGGCTCTCAGAATTATTTTGGACACCTGGAGCTCTCTTCTGTGGGTGCTGTCTCTTTTTCCCCTTCTCACTTCTTAAACCTTGGTTCCCCTTCTTTTTGAGAAGTGAAAGTTTTAGGCACTTCTACATTTCTTGGAGCATGGTGTTTAATACAGACATTTTTGGTGTTTGTTGAATGCGTGTTAGGTGACTTTACACAGAATCCTACGTGGGACTGCAGTACCTAAGACAGACAGGAGCAGAGTTGCAGAGGCTGAGGGGGAAGAGAAGCCCAGCGCCCTGCTCCCTCAGCTGCTCTTGGCTCCCACCTTGTCCTGTTGACCAGTCCAAGCAATGCACAGGGTACACCCCTAATAGAGTTCAAGATCTCATTTTACTAAGGCCTCCTTATTTGCTGAAAGCCAGTAAGTTTCTTTATGGCAGAGGTGGGTCTTAACACTAGGATCTTTATCTACCAGCCCAACACTTTCCTTCTAAGCAAGTCTGTACTTGTACATGAGAGTGGCTGACTGTGGCTTAGAGTTGGAAGAGAACTTAAGAGTTTTTTTAAATTGCCTCTGGACATTGGAATATCCTCTGTTCTATATCTGAATGGGGTCAATGAACTTCTGCTTGAATTCTTGGATTATAGTCACAGGCTTATGTCCAAAGGACATTAAGGAAAAGTTCAACTGCTAAGAAAGATGTGCTTCCTGAGTGAGTGGATGTATGGGGAAAGATGCCCAGTGGATAGTGTCAACAGTCCTGTGACCTTTATTCTCCTGGGATTCTTTTCCTCTCATCATGGGATAGATTTTTATTATTTTACCTGTGCTTCGTATGTGTGTGTGTGTGTGTGTGTGTGCGCGCACGTGTGTGTGAAGAAAAAAATGGGTAGAAAGGAAGGAGTTTGTTTTCAGTTTTGAGTGATGGCATAATAAACTGAAATTCAGTTGTCCTTAAAGAAAAAATGATTTTGAGTCAACTTAGGTTTTAGTCTTGGGTCTGAGAAACCTCACATAGATAACTTGATGGTCCTAAGCAGTATTTCTTCATAGATAAAATGAGTATAGTAATATCTTTTTATGGGGTTTTGTGAAGATTGAACTAAATAATGTATATAAATTGCTTTGGCCAATGTCTAACACACAGCAAGTTTTCAGGCCAATAGAGGCTACTCCAATAATAACAACAATAATACAATTATAATCATATTGACAGTTACTCATATATGTGTAACTGTATATACTACCTACATATATTACACGTATGTTGCATATATAATATCTAGTATATATTTATATGGGTACAAACACACATATGTATGTATGCTTAATACTGAGGCCTTAGAAAACAGAAACCTAAGAACTGAAACCCTTTTACAAGCCTGGGTCTCTTTTATACACCGACATAAACCAGAATCTCCTTGAATTGCATTACTGCCCAATCAAGCAAATGTTCAAGTTCTTTGAGCCTTCAGATATGCTATACCTCACTGAACAATTAGGGATTACAGAAGTACACCGTGCTACTCCGAACCCATTTAGTCTTCCAAAAATATTATATCTGGGCCAACAATGGGATATACAGTGGTGCACAACAGACAGACTGTTCCTGCCCTGGTCATGGAGTTACAGATTCAATTAAGTGCTGCGAAGGCTAAGAAAAGTTCTATGAGTCAGAGAAAAGCAAAGGCCCCCTAATTTAAATTGAGGTTTCGGTGGGGAAAGAGAACAAAGCTTTAGGCCTGAAGTTAGCCAGATGAAAGAACAGCAACAACAAATGGGCTGAGTTAGGAAAGAACTGCTTATGTTGGGGGACTAGCTGGGCTAGCCAAGGCCTTGCACGGGGTCAGATCTTCCCGGCCTGGCAAGTCATGGTGAGGAGCTTGGAATTTATCATGGGAACAGTGGGTGAACGTTGAGAGTATCAAGCAAGGAAGTGATAAGTTTCAGTTTGCATTCTAAAGAGACTTCTTCAGGACCATCCTCCCAGCAGCATTGCTCCTTTCCTCTCTGCAATGGCCAAGTTTATTGCGTGAAACATGTCCACAGAAAAGGATCCAATTTTCTCACTCTTGAAAGGCAAAGTGGCCAATGAAGCTGCGTATGTGGTCTTGAGAGGACATTTATATTTTAACAGAGGTTCAAGTTTTAAGCTAAAGGAATAAAACTAAAGTTTTAAGCTAAAGGAATGCAAGTGTGGTTTTTCTTGCATCAGCAACCTCAGGAGTTGAAGGGGCTTCTTTTGGAGAGGGATGTGGCCTAATAATGTGTGGAAACTCAGAGATAAGCAGACCAGGGATAAAGTCCAAGCCCTGCTTCCTACAAGTGTGACTTGTGTATACTCAATCTTCTTAACCCGCAGTTTCCTTATCTGCAAATTGGGAAGAGTCCCCACCTCATAGGGTTGTTGAACTGAGTAGAATAATGCATGGGAATAAATACACCATTGTGGGACTGTTTATATTAAACCCTACCATGCAGGGTGGGAAAAGGACCTTCCTTCCTTGAATTCTTCTTTTGAAAACATGATCACAAGATTCCAGGGTAATTTCAAATTGACTTTCTCATGATCTGTATCACATCATCTATGTTTAGACATTTTCACACTTTCATGCGAAAACATTTTGGGTGTTCTTCCTTTAAGAAACATATACTTTCTTCCACACATATTTTTGCATGTTACAAACTGTGTCAACGTGCAAATTATTTCCTTGAAATAATTGGCGATTTAGTATCAGTGATGGGCAGGGGTGAGTCAACTGGAAGCTCAGGAAAGAGATTTCAGAAAGACTGCAGGGAAGGAGCATTGGGGAGGGAGTAGTCTTCAGAATCACAGGGTTTAGAATCCTGTGAGACACTGGCAGGATGAAATGAATGTCCAGGATGCTCCAGTGCTCTGAATTCCAGGCCCGAGATGGGCTGGAGGTCCTCATTTTGCCTTCAGAAAGGGGCCTGGGTAGGAAGCAGGTGTCTAATGGTGCTAAGGAGGTTTTTTTTAATTCCTATGGCATATGCCCTCAGAAAGCTTGCTTATCTCCCCAACCCCCGCCCCCACCTTCGAAAGAAAGGGGTGGGGGAGCTGAAAAACACTTGGCACAGGTGCAAGAAAGCTGAAAACGTCTGGCAGAGCTCACAGACGTCGTTTTCCACTCGGCACCAAATGTTTTACAGTCTTCGTGAGCCCATATAGATTCTGGCTTCTGCCCAGTCGTTTGTTTGAAACTGTAGGCTCTGAGAAAAGGCTCCACGCTGCAGCTGGCCTTTAAACTGTGTTTTATGGGGGGAGAGTGTTCAGGGTACAATTGGAATTAGGAGAGCTTGCCTTTGACGTTGGACGTAAAAGTAACAGATTGGAGCGGGGTGGAGCTCATGCTAAGGAATTGTTGGTCTGTTCATTTTCCCCCTCCGAAGACGAAGCTTTTGGAAATTTTACCTCAATCTCAATGATTTCACGGGCTAATTTACAGCGAGGCCCCCAAATGTGACTTTAGCCCAATTTGGCTCAATTTGACTCCAACATAAATCTAACAGTTCCAAGTAATGGAGATGGCAGAACCGTTCTTAGTGATGTAAATTTCTTGCTAATTTAGGGCAATTGTGGCTTAGTTCCCACCTGCATGCATGTTCATTATGAATGAACATTTAATAGTTAACTATTTGTCTTTCTCTTTCTTTGTAACCCTTTTTGGTTCCTTATCATGCTTATGGCTCATAATTTCAAAGGACTAATGACTAATTGGATTTTTTTTGTAACTGTATATTAATGATGCAAACGAAAAAGACTTCAACAAGAGAGTTAACGCTGAAATCTGAGCATTAAAAAGTCTTTCTTACTCTGACAGTTTAGGGAAAAGTAGGCATTTGGGTCCTCCTCAGGTCTCTGGATTCAAATAATAACTATTCTTTGTTGAACACTCGCTACATGCCAGCTACAAGCCTAGGTGCTTCCCATGAACTTTCTCATTTTTTCTTCACTGTAACTGTGAAGTATGAAGATGAAATCCACGTTTCAGCAGAGGAAACTGAGGCTTAGAAAATTTAAGTGACTTTCCCAAAGAGATGATTATGAATGTGCATTATGGATTTACTTATTTGATCCTTTTCAGTTTTCAGGAACCATGAAGAACAAAATAGTTCACAGTTCCCAGAGTAAATATAACACCCACTTCTCTGTTCTCAGTGGCTCGTGTGGAATGACTTATCCTGGAATTTAGAGTTGAAGATAATCCTGATGCTTCAAAGAGAAGAGTTGGAACACAGTCCTTTTTTCTAAACAGAGGAATTGTTGAATATGCGACTGAACCTCTGACTTAACTAATTAGTTAATTTGGAGCAGAGTTTGAACACAGTCCTTTTTCTAAACAGAGGAATTGTTGAATATGCAACTGGTCCTCTGACTTAACTAATTATTTAATTTGGAAGTTATAGGTTTTTTATTACTTGAGGAGCAGCTTTCTCTGAACAAATACAGTGTCCCCTGGGGTGTCCAAATTGTGACAGAAAAGTAGCGCCAGCTTGAAACTAGCTAGTCATCACATAGTGGCATCATGTGAATGAAGAATCCCCCAAATCTGTGACCCTCTTCTATCCTTATGAACTAATTCAATAAATAAATGAGCACTTTCTCAGTTCCCAAACTGAGAGCAGTTTAAAAAAATAATGAGAGCACAGATATCTATTTAGAGAGATGGCGAGATAGAGGAGAGAGCAAGTTGCACACCACGAAACAAAGGGAAAGATAAGAAGAGAGAGTGTGTCACTACTTCCCCGTGGCAGAATCACAATCTTTTTTGGATGTCATGTTGAAAAGATTCCCAATTCGTAGTTCTGTGAGCTAAAGCAGATGGATGCTCCATGTTGGTACAAATTCCTATTTGAAGCAGTGTGGTTGCAAAGATGGGGTTTGGGTCATTTGATTTTCTCCGAAAAACAATCTTGTGTAACTGTTAAAAGAATTTATAATACCCAATGCAATGTATCATCCGTGATGCTTCTTCAAAAATGTTAAATAAATGCTGAAACCAGTGTTTCAAATATATTTGTCCAGATTAATAAACAGGGTTACTTTGGTTAATATATGTTTGGGAAATGCTGAATTTAACATATATAGACAGGTTTGTTTTTCCCCTGCAGGACTTCTCAGAGCCTTTACTATTGCCCTGTGATTCTCTAAGAAGGGATAATACTATACCACTTGATCTTAGAGTGCTTTTTCCATAAAGTATCTGCTTCACACTACTGTGCTTCCAAACAACCTTCGGAAAATGCTGAAATATTATCACTTAGGTAAAGAAGGGTTTAACTTTTTCACCCGATTTTGGATCATTATGGCTAAGCCTCCACTTACATAGAAGTTTATTATGAAAATTTTTGATAGTTAACACGTATCTTTAGTCCTCTTTGGTTTCTTATATGTTTGTTAGCACATAATTCCTAAAGATTGATAACTGATTAGATTTTTAGACAATCAGAAATTAAAGACATACATGAAGAGATTAAAGCAGTAAGGTAAATCAGAACAGAAATTTGGAGTCTCAGTTCCCATTGAATAATTTAGTTGCCAGCCCTTGCTAGACTAACCACATGAGGTCATGTCACCTTTCTGGGGAATCTTTGGGAAGAATCCTGAAACAGAAGGCAAAATACCTCTCAGCACACCACATTTTACCTCTCAGGTTGTCAGGTGAAACTAATGGACTGTGTACTGTTCTTAGCATGCTGGACCAGGTTTGCAGTGACCTTTCCCTGTAAGACAGCGCTATCTCCACCAAGGAGAATGCCAGCATATGCAAAGTCTCTGCTGCAGTCCTTTTTGATTAGGTGTAAACTTGACGTATCCTATTGATGTCTGGGTCTCCATCAGTAGCTTGCAGAGAAACTTACTGTATTGTATCCCAAATAGAAACACTGAGCCCCTTTCAACATATCCATGTGTTTTTGGAAAATTGCAAAATTAAGGTATTTTTTGCAGTCTTGATCTTGGAGAGATTCTCTGAAGTTTTAAGCATCAGACTCCACAGAACACGGATCTACTCCCATCACCAAAGAAAGCCTTAACTGGATTTGCCACAAAAGGAGAAACCATATAAAAATTTCCTCCATGGCATATATCTTATCCCATGGAAATAAGAAAAAGGCTCAGAATAGCCCTTCCACTATGTAATGTGGTTGAAATGTCCACTAAAAGTTTCATACGGGAGCTCACATGTAGCTGGGAGCTCCTTCTGTCTTTTCTTCCCTATAATTAAGGGGGCATGTCAGGTCTGGGGCCCAGAGCTCTCCCATGATTGAAGTTTGCCACCCTCTTGCAGACAGAGGATTGAAAGCCTGGCATAGAATATCTAGCTATTGTATAAGTTTTATAGGACAACAGAGAGCATGAATAACCCTTGGGTTGTCTTTGGCAGTTGCTTTCTAGAAATTCCCTTTTCACAATAAGTAAAAGAATCAAAATATCACCCCCAAGATTGGCAGATGCAGAAGTATCACCTAAAGTCAGCTTCTACCTTCTAAACTCTTCCATGGGTCATTCAAAGAGGTTGTGCCAGCCAGGTGTAGTGGCACATGCCTGTAGTTCCAGCTACCAGAAGGCTAAGGTGGGAGGGTTGCTTGAGCAGCATAGCAAGACCCCGCCTCTACAAAAAAAAAAAAAAAAAAAATTAGCTGGGCATGATGGTGTGTACCTGTAGTCCCAACTACTTGGGAAGCTGAGGTGGGAGGATCACTTGAGTCTAGGAGATTGAGGCTGCAGTGAACCATGACTGTGCCTCTGCACTCCAGTCTGGGCAACAAAGTGAGACCTTGTCTCAAAAAAACCCAGAAAACAAAAATTTTATGCCATAGTCCTGACCCACTACTGCTATGAGCTTCCACTGTGACCTACAGAGATCTATTTATTCTATCTACACCTCAACATCCCCACTTCAAACACAGAAAGAGATCCTTTCCTCATCACAATGTATGTCACACGAAGCTTTGCATACTCCAGAAACTGGAGGACTTATTAAGTTTTCTTTACTTCAAATGACCATATAGTCATTCATTGTATAAAAAAAACAAATCTCAGTAATGTTCTTCTCATTTTCAATAATGGGATTTTTTTTTTTTTTTAGACAAATTGTGCTCTGTTACCTGGGCTCTAGTGCAGTGGCATGATCTTGGCTCACTGCAGCCTTGATGTCCTGGGCTTAAGGATCTTCCCAGCTCAGCCTGCCAAATAATTGGGACTACAGGTGCATGCCACCATGCCTGGCTAATTTTTATTTTTTTATTTTTTGGTATTTTTTTTGTAGAGATGAGGTCTCACTCTGTTGCCCAAGCTGATCTTAAAATATTGGGCTTAAGTGACCCTCCCGCCTCTGCCCCCTCAAAGTTCTGGGATTACAGGCGTGAGCCAGCACACTCAACCATAGGAATTTTTATTTTGAAAGGTTACCTAATAGTTGAAAGGGGTTTCATTGATGGCACCGAATTGAGGGGTGGTTAGGAGGAGAATGAGAAAAACCTTTCTTAGCTGAAAAAGGAGCCCCCAAGAAGCTTCCACTGTGTGATGGGAAACAAATATCACTAGCATGTTAAATAATCAGTGCTCATAAAGTGTCATTATGAAAGCAACTTTGCATTTGTCTCTTGCCATTCTTTTATATTTATTTGTCAGAGGGAGTCTTTTCCTAGCTCTTGGAAGTAAACTCAGGGAAGCCCCATGACATGTCTGTCAGACAGCCTTTAAGTCATAAACGTAGTCTCAATTCATAACCTAGTTTGAGTACTAAGAACCATAGTTCTGAATTTGATTCAGTCAATGTCTTCTCCTGTTCTAGCTGGGGACTACTGTGTGGACTGGCTGCTGGAAGAAAGGTCTGTCATGGGCCTTTCGTCTTTCTCTAGCTACCATGTTTCCTTCTTCAGTGGCACTGTGGCTCCTGAACCCACCAAGGCCGAATGGGGAGTAGGAGGGTAGGAAGAGGATAAAGAGGATAGAAAGCTTCTAATTTGATTGATACTCTTATAGCATTGTGGCATATTCTCTGCATCTTGCATACATTGAAGGTGCCAATTTCATTAAAGGGTGCCTTTTATGGTTTCATCAGAGTACCCATGATGGAGAAGGGTCTCCCACGTGTGTTCCTTTGACCTGTGAATACAAACCCTATTTATCCAGGGCTTGGTGTTGCACACATAATTTCTTTTTGCTGAAGTCTCATAGACATTTTTGGTGGCCTTATGAGACAGAGCATGAGACAGCTCTGGGACCAACTCTTTTTTTTTTTTTTTTTTTTTTTTTTTTGAGACGGAGTTTCGCTCTGTCGCCCAGGCTGGAGTGCAGTGGCGCGATCTCGACTCACTGCAAGCTCCGCCTCCCGGGTTCACGCCATTCTCCTGCCTCAGCCTCCCGTGTAGCTGGGACTACAGGCACACGCCACCATGCCCGGCTAATTTTTGTATTTTTAGTACAGACGGGGTTTCACCGTGTTAGCCAGGATGGTCTCGATCTCCTGACCTCGTGATCCGCCCGTCTCGGCCTCCCAAAGTGCTGGGATTACAGGCCTGAGCCACCGCGCCCGGCCGGGACCAACTCTTTCTCAGGCACCTCACCCATATGTAGTCCATCAGACCACACAATTCCCAGCCTATGCTTGCTCTGCAGTGTGGTGCTTTTTTTTCTGGGCAAAGGCAACTCTACCTCACTCTGCTGCCATAGAAGCTCAGCCCTCTGGTTTCCTGGGTAGGAGTCCATGCGGTTCACTTTGTCTCCCTATAAAAAGAGGCCATGTAGCAAGCTCTCTGAGTGTTCACTTGGACATACCTCCCACCACATTAAGGAGAAGGGCAGCCACCCCACCTTTCCCCTGGGGAGGCATCACAGAGAAGGATCTCTAAGGAAATCAACACCATAAACTCGTCTCTATCTGTCTGCCACTGTCCTACCTTTTTAAATCCTCAAAATGTTGGGTTGGCCAGCCTGGCCTTCAACCATGGCCATCTTACAGCTCTCTTTATTGTCTTTATAGTAAAGTGAGGAAGACATGGGGTTTGAAGTCAGACAAACTCTAGAGTTCAAATATCTACTCTGCCATTGTGTTGTCTTGGTGTTAGAAAGCTATTTCAAGTCTCCAAGACTCACTTTTCCTCATCAATAAAATGGGGGTCATAATACCTTTCTCAGAGATCATTGAGGTAGTTCAGTGAGATAATGCATTAATGGCTGTTTATACAGCACTGACACATAAGTGCTTATTAAAATTACCTACTACAGGAGGTATTATGCTAATCTTGGGAGAAAAGTGTGTGGTATCTAAGAGAAGAAAAAATAAAGAGATATGGGAATTAGAAGTGCTCATTTCCTGGAGGAGTGAACAGGAATAATGAAAGGGATGGTATATGGAATAAGTCTCAAAAAGTTGATATGATGTGGGATAGTGCAGAAATAAAGAATAGACATCTCTCATGTGTTACGGAAACAAATGAACTAGGTAGTGATAAGAATAATTATAGCTGAAATTTAGTGAGTTTACCATATATACTAAGCCTACGCTAAAGACTTGGCTGAATCATCTCTTTTACTCCTCACAATGACCCAATAGGGTAGGTATTATTAACAACACTTTATCATCTAGCAACCTGAGGCTCAGAGAGGTTTAGTTACTAACTCAATGCATTTGACTGGTAAATGGTGGTGACGACTAGAACCAATGTTTGTCTGCAGTCTGCAACCTTTTTTTCTGCTATTACAAAGCTAACATGAAAACTTTTCATGAACTATACCTGAATTATAACAGGGCATTCTGGAGCAGGAGTCTCCTAATGGTTCAAACACCCCAAAAATCAGAAGAGAGGGTGCTTGAGACCATGAATCTTTAGAATGTTTCTCCAATTTTGAGTGCCTAAGTAATATACCGCCCCCAGCACAAAGAAGTATAATCCTTCTAAGATGGTTTTAAACTCAAGGATGACCTCTATTCTCTTACTTTCCTCACCCCCAGGAGGAATCTTGAATTACTAATAATTGCTGTGTTCACAAAGGATAAAGCCAGGAGAATTGACAGGAATTTTTTTTTGCATAGATGGTATTAGTTATAAAATTTATGCTAGTTCTAGAGTTTCATAGGGCATCCTGGTAACTCTCTCCCTCATGCAGAAAGCCCCAGTGAGGGCAGAGAAAAGTACATTTCAGGCATGACCAATAATATATACACTAAGTTCTAAGCCATGCAAATGTGCTGAAAGTTCATCAGTTAAGTGTTCACTGATTATTCCTACAGGACCAATCCAGCTATTGAGAAGTCAGTTTCCATTATTTTTCTCCATGAAGCAGAACTTGCCAGGGGCCTGGAATACAATATAGAGTGTAGTCAGATGGGTTTTGCACTTCGCCCAACCTAGCAAAGTCACTCCTTGGCTATTATTTTTCACTCTATTGTAAATAGCAAGAGGCAGATGAAAAGGTAAAAAATATGTTGGTTGGAAGATACTTATTCTCGCCTACCTAGGGTAATCAAGAATAGACATCAGCTCCAGATTTGGTAAGTAATAACTCACATTTGACTTTAATACACCATGATAAACTTTTAGGAATATATCTTTTAAAACATAAAATGCTTTACCTCTGATTTAAAGTTTGGGGGATTGGTCCTGCACCGTAGGCACATTAGATTTAGCATCTCTGGAAATTCCAGAGCAATTTTAAACTACTCTTTTTGATCACTTGCTGCAGCTCCAGCTTTCAAAGAGAATGAGATGTTTTGGGAATGAATTGTGATGGACTTATATGAAAATTTATATGGCCAAGAATTGGATTTGTTCCCCTGGAATATTATAGATTATATTTTATGTTGGAATTACATCAGTGTGCAGAGCAGCAGAAGGCTGGCTTAATGTAGCTAAAAATATACCTTGACTTTCCACTTGGAATAGAACTCCCCCCTCCCCAACCCATTTCTTCCCTAATGAAAATAATGGCTTCATGACTCATATATGTGATAGACAGTAGGCAATATTTGAGTTTTAAAATAAGAAGAGTTTGAGAAAGGACTAATGGTCCTTTTCTAATTTCTTTCCCATCCATCTCTTCCCTCCTGTTTCCCTGTCACCATCCTATTTCAAGCCTTCATCACCCCATGCCTTATTGCAATTGCACCTTTCTCAGTCTCTACTCTCCTGGCTTTAATTTGTCCTGCATGCTGCTGCCTGGTCAATCTTCCTCCTCCACCACTTTAATCATGTAATCTCCTGCTATTCTTCAGTGATTTTTCATCTGCTCCTTAATAAATTGAAAGCTCACTTCACAATCACCATCTTAGTCCAGGTCACTACTAGGTCTTACCTGAAGTTGGGCAGTAGCCTCCTACCTGGCCACCTAATTGGTCTCACCATTGCTTTGATTTGACCTAATGTTTTCCAAAAATATTATTCAAGTACGTTTGGTTACATGCAGGAGGATTTTGGTGCCACACAGATACTTTTATTCACAGAATTACTTATAAAACATTGCTAATATAGTATTATAAATGCGTAACAAGGAATTTGTGTATATTGTTGCTTGGAGTGAAAGGCATCAAGAAAGTGAGCTAATAAATCACTTCATGGGGTGTATACATTCTAAGGGATGTAATTTTCTACATCCCTTAGAATACCATCTTCACCTCACCTCCCAGGGGCAGTTTTACAAACTCACTTTATGTGCCAGGTGGTTTACTGCCATGCCCACATTGGCAATTATAGGATCACAGCAATGGCAGAGTAGTGACAGTGGGACCATCCTGGCCTCTTGCCTTCATCCCTGATTTCAGGGACTGGCCCCTAGTATTGCCAACTACACAGCAGTAATTGGACACGTTAATGCAGCTTTCTGCAGTCTCAACTTTAAATGATGAGTAGCTTAGCTACTGAGAGGATCTTCTTCTATATTCTTATTTTATTTTTTAAATTTTACGGGAACTTGATATTAAATGAGGAACCATAGGCAGAAAGTGCTGAAAGAGGAAACAAAGAGGATGTTGGGGAGTGCTGAACTTAATGAAAGCTCTGTATCCACAAAATAAGTTGTGGCTTTGTAAATTCATTCTAAGTACATTTGAGGAACAATAAACCATAAAAGAGGTTAGCATGACCTTGGATTCTGTATAGCTTTTGAGATAAAAGGTCTAAGCATCAGAATGCATTTTTTGAGCATAGTGTTGTTGACTGATTAAAAACAATTCATGCTCCTAGAACCCTCTGGTGGAATGCTGATGAGGGGCTGGCCTGGGTGCATTGTGCACGAATGACTCTCTTAAAGCAAAGATCAAAGTTGCTTTTCTAAAATGGAACACTAAAAGGTAAGTCTTTGTAACCATAGATAAATGAGGCAAAGCTACTGACATAAGGATTAAATTGCAATACATTGACTTTGCATTTATTACTTATTGGGTACGTATCTTAAAAGCATTTTGAAGATGTTCCAAATTCTAATCATTGTACAGGATAACAACTCTTAAAACATTTACTACCAGTGAATGTTTTTCTTTGATATAGCCATAGTATTTTTCTGAATGCTTTAAAAGTAACTACTTGAACTTTATCTTGGTTTCATAATTTTTCACATGTATAACTTTTTAGGCTTAGTGATTAAAAGCATGGGTTTTGGAATGAACAGATTTGGCCTCAAACCTTGTGATAATTGGTTATTTGCCGTGTAACCTGGGACAATTTACTTAATCTCTTTAAGACTCTTTCCCTAAAAAAAAAAAAAAAGGAAATAATAATAAAATCTACTTTAGACGGCTGTTAGAGAATGTAATAATATACCAAAATACTTAAATATTTTCTATATGATATTTTTTCTCATCTGTAAAATAAATTAATAAAAATAAAAATTATGTAGAGAACACATCAATCTCTCTGGTCCACCCCTAACTATATACTAAGAGTGTAAGGTGAAATTCGGATTTTAGTAGATGGCATTGCAATCCATGACCAAGAAATGTCTCCATCTCGCCCTCCCACTTACCCCCTTTCCCCCAAAGTGCCCTAACAGCGATATATGGAAAGGAAAATTCCGGAGAGAAGAAAATACTCCTTTATAGCTGTGCAAGCACCTCTAATACAGGTCCTTCTGGCAAAGGATTGAATGAGAAAATGTGTTTTAGATCTCCAGGCCTAAGTAGTTCTGCTTCCCACCCTTTGAATCAAGATAACCCTTTGGCTGAGGGTCCTCCTCAGTTGCCAATCAAGATGTGAAGCAGAGAAGGAGACTTGGCCAGGGTAGTCCAGGGCCATGGGCCCTGTGTAAGCGGCAGACAGGAAGGAAAATGCCATGGAGGTGATCTTTAAGCCAGACTCCCCAAACCTGTCTTAAATTACACCACATTGTAAATTGTGGCCCAATGAATGTCCTGGCCTCCCACCAAAAAGATAAACAACCCCTACTCTCTTGAAGGCTGGGAGAAAGCTGAAGGTTCATCACTTCTGTTGACTCCTTCTCAAAACGTGGAGTCTTTAGAACTAGCGTTGCCAGATTTAGCAATTAGAAATAAGGAGCATCCAGCTACATTTGCATCTCAGATAAATGAAGAATCATATTCGTAGTATAAGTAGGTCACATGTAATATTTGGGACATGCTTGCTTGTTGTTTTTCTGAAATTCAAAGTTGACTCGGCATCCTGTGTTTTGTCTGGCAACTCTATTTTCGACAGTTTCTAAAGGTGAATTGGTGATGGATAATTGAGACTGACAGAATGCTTCAGAAAAATGCTGTTGACATTTAGATATTTGTTGGTGGGCGCGGGGGGTTGTGGCTGTCCTGTGCCTTACGGATGTTTAGCAACATTTCTGGCTTCTATCCACAAGATTCTAGTAGCAGTCTCCTGCCCTCCATTGTGACATCAATTGTCTCTCCAGGCTTTGCCAAATTGTGAGGGAGGGAATTGAGAACCACTGCTTTAGAGGCAGTGGCAAAAGCAGAGCTGTGAAGCATATCAAGATGGTAGACCAGAAGGAGGCATATTTATCCAAATAATGGCACAGCTCTGGCCCCCACCTGCATTTCTTGTCCTCTCCCCACATTCTGGGCTCCTTCCCTGTAATATTAGGAGCAATTCAGACCTCTGTTGGAGAAGCCCCAAAATATAATTTTAGTCCCATATTAATTAATTAATTATTTTGAGGACAAGGTCTTGCTCTGTCACCCAGGCTGGAATGCAGTGGCGTAATCATGGCTCTCTGTATCCTCGAACTCCTGGGCTCATGCCATCCTTTCACCTCAGCCTCCTGAGTGGCTAAGACTACAGGAATACACAACTATGCCAGCAAATTTTTAAATTTTTATTTTTTGTAGAGACAGGGGTCTCACTATGTTACCCAGGCTACCAAGTCCAGCCCCTATGTTGATTATCACTGGAAATTTGTTTGACTCTATTCACTTTGCCTTTCTACACAGCTCACCTGACGATACATGTGGCAACTGTTTAGGTTTTACTCAGATCTTCTTCAAAAAACACCCAATAAACTCTTAAACCAAATATTTATATTTTATCAGAGTCTATAGTTTGTGTGGACTGAGGGAACTTAGTATTTGATGGGCAAAATTCTTGCAGTCAAACAACTTTACTTAAGTTTACATATTAATATTTTTCTCCATTTTGTTGAGAGAAAGAAACTTAGAGGCATTGGGTAATTAATTCTGCCTATCAAATATTTCCATCTATACATTTATCCTTGAAAAAATGCTAATATGACCTCCCATGATGTTTCCTATTTATAAAGTTTCTCTGCCTGGATGTTTTCTTGCTCCTTTGGAAAAAAAACTGAAGCGACTTTCGCTCTATTAACTTTGATTGTCCAGCATTGATAATTAATTTTGTAGGCCTATCAGCTTATGTAGTGGGAAAATTTCATTAGCAAGTCAAACGTAACTTCGTATCTTCATTGCTTTCCATATTTTGTCGGCTTTTACAGAAGCAATGGTTTTATAAAAAATCCATTGAGCAGAGCAAAGACAATGTAGCTATGTCGTTATAATGCTGTAGGAAAAAAAATGTCTGTTCCTCATTCTATATAAAGATTGTATGTTCTTAAATCTCTTTTATAAGAGTGTGCTTCCTTAAATCAGAATACTCTGTTCCCTGAGAAGTCCCACCTTAAAGAACAACATTATCTTTATTTGTAATCACAGGCCT
This sequence comes from Homo sapiens, assembly GCF_000001405.40. Taxonomy (NCBI): domain Eukaryota; kingdom Metazoa; phylum Chordata; class Mammalia; order Primates; family Hominidae; genus Homo; species Homo sapiens. The sequence goes on from NC_000003.12 coordinate 70,194,325, forward strand.
TCATCATTGCAGAAAATATCTGAGCCTTCTCAGATTCTGATATTTGTATTTAATCAATAACCACATCCCTTTTTGATCTGCCTTACTTCTGCAATTGTATTTCCCCAGCTGCGTATGTTTTATTGTGTAAGAATTCAATTGAAAAAGCCATTCATGTTTGCAAAAAGGATGATGTTTTATTATTGGTTATAAAGAAAAGAAATTTCACACTTTGTATAACCGACCCTTTCTGTTATAGCACAGTGAATTCTGAAAGTGAGGAACAAAGTTAACAAACCGTGGAAAGCAAGGCCACAGAAAGATCTTGTAGTGTTCTGACCACATTACCACATAAGACCTGGTGATTTTTATGTCTCTAATTGACAAGCATTCAATTCACATTTGAAATGCACAATCTTTGCATAATTTGAGGGTATGTAGAGTAGAAAGAATAAGGGAATGATAATTGAAATATTTAACACCAATATGGCATGGCCTCACCAATGATACCAGGTACCATATTATAGGAATAGGGTTCCAGAGACCCCCAGGTGTTCCTCCTTTAGTGACTAGACCACGGGTAGAGGGGTGGGTGCTCAGAGAGGAGCCAAGAGGGATGGGACATAAGGAAGCACTAGGAGGTGCAAGGAAACAACTGTTGATGAGTCAGTCTGGTAGTGTTTTAGTATTTTAACAATTGTAACACCTGCACCACTGAGTACCAGCTGGACTGAGAATTGGGTAGTGCAGGTAGTCAGAAAATTAGAACCCAAGTTAGAGTTCCTGACACTGCCAATAATTCACTGTGTGGTCTTGAATAAGTCAGTTCATGGGGCCTCTCTTTTCCCCTGTGAAATATAAAAAGGTTGCATAAGAACAGCCTTATGTTCCCTTCCTGTTCTAGGAATCTATTTTTTTTTCTTCTAATGATCTACAAGTTCTATGCATTGAGTATAGAGCTGTTTCTTCGAGCTTCTGAAAAGCAGAAAGACTTTTTCATGGAAGGTGTGGGGCACTTTCATGCTCCGTGGTTTGTGAATAACATGGTCATCAAACAGGAATGAAATCAGCATTAACCATGGGTGCACTGCACTTCCAGGAGCAAGTTGAGAGTGGTTAAATGCCTTTTTAGAGGCAGTTTACAAATATTTTTAACAGATGAATAGTTTTCAATGTTTGGGAGAGTTTATTTCAAATTGGAAAAATGTGCTAGTTTGCTACAGAAATAAAGCAAATGGTGATTTTGCCTGAAATTACCTAAGTCAGGAAAAAACAGGTATTTTGGAGCTTTCTTTTGTTGTTGCTGTTTCCCTAAATTACACACAAAAAAATTCCCTCAATTCTCCATTTCACTTTTGTGTTCTTTGTTTGGTTACTCATGCATGATGCTTTTTTATATTCAGTGAAAATATTAAGATATATCCATGGAAATTAACACAAAGTAATGAGCAATGTATTTGCCCAAGGACTATAGAATTGTTTCTACAGAAAGTAAAGAACATTCCAAAGTAACTTTAACCTAGATGTGTTTTCACCACAAACTGTTTAAACTTATTTGAGTCGAAAATCACTTTCCAGTCTATATCACATCTTTTTCTTAAAAAAATAAGTAAAATAAGTACTTGACATAATTATTGATCACTTTAATTATCAGACAAAGAAAAACATGGTTTCTGAAGCACATGCTATATTAAGAAGCTTGGTGCTGAATAAGTACCCTCAACGCTTATTTCTTTCTGGTGTCTATACAAATGATAGTTTTGTAAAATGAGCTGAATCTGTTTTAATATCCTGTTGCTTATTGTACCTGACAAATAAAAATGAAGAAAGTGAAGAATTGAGATTTTTTTGAAACTTGCACATAATTCTCATTTATGCTTATTAGAATAACTAAGAGCCTTTCTGTAACGAATTAAGAATATGAATAACCTGTTATGACATAGTCATAGACATACAATAATATGGTCTAGAATTATAGTACTCTCTTGAAGTACACCATATTCAAAATTCACTGGAGATGTTTTAGAGACATCTGTTGTAATTACAGGAACATGGTTTCTAATTCATTTAATTCCCTTTCCTACCTAAACTGTACATATAAGTGAATTTTAAGAGACTGTATAAATAAATTTTTAATTACAAAATGATGTTATACAATACATTATTAATAATAACCAACAATGCATAATGTTTATGCATGAGTCCATTAGAAAGACGAGCTAATGTATGTCAATTCTAAAAGAATGCACTAATTTGTCCTGAATTTGTGAATGAGGTTGAATCCATAATGCAAGCTGATGAGTGCAATAACGCAGTGGCTTAACATGCTATTTTATAGTCAAGAAACATCTTGTACCTACAGCATTTAAGAGGTATTTAAGATTTGTTCATCACATGTGATCAAGAATCTTATTTTTCAGTGAGCCATGCGGTTGTGAAATTTGGAATAAGACCATTGAGTTGATAATACTAGCTTTCCTAGACAGGTGCAGAATAAAATGGCCTATAGCATCCAAGAAATGTGTACAGTCCTTACATTTCAGCACATGGAAATCAGTCTTGTTGTAATGGAATTTCCCACCGTGGCCAAAAGGACTGCCGGAATGTGGTTACTTCACTGTGCTAGCGGTAACAGATTTCTGAAATCTCCATGGCCAGTTCCAGACACTCGCTGGTCTCATGGCAAGATTCAAAAAGGCTGCAGTCCATGTCACAATTGCAGCTGCAATCATTCCGAGAGTGGTTTTCATCCGAGGTGTGGTGATACCGGCGAGAGGGGCAGCACATTTTGGTACACACCGTTTCGCAGGTGCCGGGGAGCATCAGGAGACAGTCCCAAAACTGGCAAAACAGACAGGCGAGGATAAGGGAGGCACACTCCTCTGTTTAAAGAAGAAGACCAATTAATAGTGGCACATCTGGGGGCGTCTATGAAGGACAGGCATGTGTGCTGGGATACTTGATAACTTGATAGCCAACTCTTAATTATTTATCCACATTAGGGGTAATGTACACCCTTCTTCTCTCAAGCTCCCCCACCCCCATGTCAGTACTCACTCTACTTAAGTAATTGCTTTATTAACTTCCTGAGCATTTCCTATTGATTCGACATAATCTGGTTATTTAAAGTGCTGTCAGTTTTCTAAACTCCTTTATTTACTTTGCCTGCAAGGCTCTGGGAAGCCACACAATTAGCTACCTCTCTGGAAACCTTGCAACTGTCTGAAAAATTGCAGGGACTCCCCAAATACAAGGGGCTTAAGAAGCAGTTAGGATTGGGGACAAGGAGAGACTGTACAAATGCCCTGTTTCTTGTCACTAGGCTTTGTTATTTTTCGACATGGATTCCCATAAATCTGCCACACCCATATTCCAGTGCAAGCGAAAAGCACATTTCAAAACTTAATATAAATGCTTTTTAAAATAATCACAGCTTTTGGGTTGTGTTTTATTTTTAATCTCTGTTTCCGTTTCCCTCCAGTTATGTAAAGCCTTGATTTTATATTCAAGTTGTTTAAGTGAAATACGTCATCATATGCCTAAAAGGTTTTAAATCTTATCAATCCTCTTTAAGAAAATTGGTTTAAAAATTTACTACACAGGCTTGTAAAAATCTGGAAAGTATCTCTAAGGCATTGAAGGTAACTGGTAATTTCTAGCCAAACAGCTGTGATGGGTTATAGATTATTATGTTTTTTGTTTGCATAAAGGGAATTAGTTAGAAGATGTAGCAGTTCTCTTGTTAAAATTTTAACTTTTCTTTCTTTTAAGTTAAAAAAGTCTAAAAAATGTGTGAGTGCTTTGTAAAAGGGTAGGTAAGTGTTCATGTGATATATTACCTAATTAATTAAAATCAGTAATCTGAAGATTATTGATGATTGAAAGTAACATTCTAGCATGAATTAGAGAAAAAATTTCTCCTCTAGATGGGCTTATCAATTGATTTAAGTTTGACTTTCATAAGGATCTGTATTTTTCCCAATAAGAATGCTAATAACTTTGGTTTTCAGACTTTAGTCAATGGGGAGTATATAAGCATATAGAAGAGATTTTGCCTACAGTATAAGTGCTCTTATCGCCGTATTCATTTACTTTTATTTTCCAGAAAGCTCTTTTCTTTCATTATTCATATAATAGTCTTTAAGTGAAAGAAAAATATGGAAACTTCCTATGAAAAGGAACAAATATTTTAAAGAAAGCCACTTTGGTTTCTTGTAAAAACACTATATAAAGTTATAAGGTGAGTCCTGAATATAAGTAAACAGAAATCTTTCTTCTTTCCTCTTTTTCTCTCCATCCTCTTTCTCTTACCTTCCCTTCCTTTCTTCCCAGAAAGATGGTGGTAAAGAACCACACCATGACTGTTATGACTACTTTAATTGTCATATATTGTTGCAGGTGCTGTGGCCACTACTCAGTATTTATAGTTCAGGCAGCATATTCCACAATACCTCTACTGTGTACAAACTCATCTCTTTGCCAGATTTGCTGTATTTTTCTTCACTTAGAGCCAGCTTTTAGCGTGTGACCAACTCTCCCATATCTCATAAGTCACCACAAACCTCCCACAAAAATGCAAGAGTAAGTTAGTAATAGTATATAGACTGTTTCAACTATGCTTTTCTGAAAAGGAAAAGATGGTCAAAGATGAGGGACATACAACCTCATCGAGTTTTACCAATATGAAGACCACTACTATAGCAGTGGCTGCACTGGCAAAGAAGAGGCTGTCAGCAGACAATCTCCAAGTGAATACTCTGTGATCCCTCAGGCTGAATGCTCAAGAGACTTACTCAAGCTTATGACCATATAAAAATGAGTCCACTGGATCCTGTCCTTTATACATGCAAGGTTAAAAGTTTGCTTTGGAGTTAAGTAGGGTGGGAATGCAGGTGACCTTAAGGATTGGAGCTGGTGTTTCCTATCAGAGTGTGAAGGACCTGTTCGTAAAGTGGTCTTATAATTTCCTGAGAGTGTACAACCTTTTGGTTCAATTGCTCTTGCCAATGTCTCCTCAAGTTGGCAGACTCTGGAGGTCTCCTCTTCTAATGTATACTGTAGATTTTATTTACAAAAGAAAAAAAAAAGTTTTGGCTTAATCCTTTGGCCAAATTGGCACTTGTTTCCTTCTACCTCCCTATTTTGCACTTGAGAATAGAGCCCATTTTTTTCTGTTTCTAAGTCAGTCCTTTTTATTTGGTTTTAAAAGGCAGAGTCTCTTGCCCAAAAACAACATGGTAACATTAATGAATTGAAAACAGATTTTTCCGATCTTTCAAGTGAGTTCCACACTTTTCCTAAAAGGCATGTTAAATAGTTCTACATGAGCAGGTAAAACTGTTTTGCATATGGCCAATTTTTGTTTGCACAAGCAGTTCAGGGGAAAATTTGCAACTGTTTGAAAAGAGCGTTGGATTTCCTCTTGTCCTGAATGAGTATATTTTTCTTTGCCTGCACTATTTCCTGGTGCTTTAATGTTTAATAAATGTGATATTCAAAGTCCTATCCCAGGATTCGCACCCCTTCTCTCAGCCCATCCAAAAGTGTATACCATATATGCTATTGCCTGCTGCACGTCTCTTCTGCAACGTCTTCAAAACATCTCACTTACCAAGGCCAAACTGCATTTTGGATCTCTCTCTCCCCAGTCCTACAAATCTGTTCCTCCTCCTACTTTCTTTTATGGATGGCTTCTGAACACCCAGATGAATTCGGCAGAAACCTGGTAGTCATTCTTTGTCATTTTGCTTTTCCTCATCATACCTTCCCCATGCAATTCATTGCTGAGTCCTGCTGTTTCCACCTCAAATTCGTATTCGAAATCCACAAGCTGCTCACCACCTGCAGGGCCACCATTTTAGCTCTGGCCACCATCAGCCACCAGCAGGTCAACAGCAATAGCCTCCTGGCAAGGACACTCTGCTTCCACATGAGCCCGCTTCAAATTCATCAGCTCCTTCAGTATTTTTAATTCTAAATTTAAACAACTCACTCTCCCCTTAGAGAAAAGTGCCAAATCCTTGCCTTAGCCTACAAGCCCTTGCATGATTGGATTCCTGCCTATTTCTCTGACTTCTGGACCTACTTTACTTACTTCACACTCACAGCACTCCAGCCACACTGACTAAATTGCAGTATTTGGAATGCACATGGCTCAGGGCCTTTGCACATGCTGTGTTTTTGCCTGCATTGCACACCCTCCTGCCCCTCAACTTCACCCAACTCCTATTCAAACATTTAAGTTTTTAGCTTTAAACACCTTCCCTTTAAATCACATCCTTGCTGAAACTCTCACAGCAATCTGTTTTATTTTTTCTTCATAGCACTGACCATACGATGGCATGAAACTAATTAGTTTGTTACCTCCTCCTATTAGAATCTACGTTGCAAGAGGCAAGAAAGCCATATCTCTCTCTCTGGTTGACTGACTAAATCAATGAATGATTCTAACAAGTAAATATTGTAATCCTCATTTTTTAGATGCAAGGACTAAGGTTCAGGGATTGTTTCTGACTGTCCTAAATCCTACCAACTGTAAGATCGTAGAGCAGAGATTCAAATCTAAGTCTTTCTGAATCCAAAGCCTGTGGTCTCTATCCCACTGTTATATGTGTCAACTATTTTGCCAAAAGCCAATCTACAGCCCTCTATACTTTTTTTGGGGTGGGGGTGGGTGTTCATTTCTCTTCTCCTTCTATATTTAGAACCTTTGTTTTGTAACTTTTTTTTTTTACTTATTTAAATTCTTTTTTTAACATTTATTAAGTTCAGGGGTCATGTGCTGGTTTGCTACATAGGTAAACTTGTGTCATGGAGGTTTATTGGACAGTTTATTTCATCACCCAGGTATTAAGTCTAGTACTCATTATTTTTCCTGATCCTCTCCCTCCTCTCACCCTCCACCCTCCAATAAGCCCCATTGTGTGTCGTTCCCCTCTCTGTGTTTATGTGTTCTCATCATTTAGCTCCCACTTATGGGTGAGAACATGTGGTGTTTGGTTTTCTGTTTCTGTGCTAGTTTGCTAAGGATGATGGCATCCAGCTCCATCCAAGTTCCTGCAAAGGACATGATCTTGTTCTTTTTTACAGCTGTGTAGTTCTCCATGGTATATATGTACCACATTTTCTTTAACTAGTCTATCATTGATGGACATTTAGTTTGATTCCATGTCTTTGCTATTGCAAATTTTGTGCAGGCCTCCACATACAGCTTACACAGGCCTCCAGATCACCCTGAGTTGAGTACTATTATGATCCCTGTTTATGGATGAGGAAACTGAGGCAAAGAGTGTTTAAGAGGCATGCCCCAGGAAACATAGGCTATTGCAGCACTGTAATTTGAACCAGACTGACTCCTCCACAGTTTTTAACTAGGAATCCAACCTGCCTTCCATAATATGCTCCCAGTTTCCTTCTGACACACTTGAGCATGGCACAGGCCACTACCAGCTTCTTGATGGCCTGCTTCCCTCTCCATTCCCTCCTCTTGCCCTCCTCTGTGCTGGATTCCCAAGACTGGCAAAGATCATTTTCCACTTGCTCTTAGTGGCTTCTGTCTAGATTCAGCCAGTAGAAGGCAGTAACTGGAACCTGCAAGATGGGAGGAAGAGAAAATTCAGGGTGCTTCTCCTCCTGCTCTTTGCTTTGGGTGGTGTCTTAGGCAGTGGTTTTATCTTCTCTTTGCTTTTATCTCTCTCTGAATGTATATCCCTCTGTGGCTCTGGCTAACCACAGTGACTGTGGTCTAATAGTAGTTAGTGACTAGTGGTCTATCTGATAGTGGTTAGTGACTAGTGTTCTAATAGTGGTTAGTGACTAGTGGTCTATCTGATAGTGATTGGTGACTGACTAGTGGTCTATCTGGTAATGGTTAGTGACTAGTAGTCTATTTGATAACAGTTAGTGACTAGTGGTCTATCTGCTAATGGTTAGTGACTAATGGCCTATTTGATAGTGGTCAGTGACTAGTGGTCTTTCTGATAATGGTTAGTAACTAGTGCTCTATCTGATAGTGGTTAGTGACTAGTAGTCTATCTGACAACAGTTAGTACTAGTGGTCTCCAAGTTCATACCAGTGCACTAGTAGTCTGGAGGGACAAAAGGAAGAGGTGGGAGAGCCTTCTTGTTGTTGCTAATATCTGAGTAGCTTACTGTTCACTGTATTTGACTTTTCTGCTCTTCTAAAACCTTTGTCACAAGTTCTTTGTATATTAAATCTCCTCTATAGAACACCTGGCATCCTGGCACAGGCTCTAATCACTGCTATTGAAGTGCCCACCTGGCTTTCCTATTCCTTAAACCTGAATTAAAGAAGGTTTAAGATGGATCAGAGACCTGCAGGCTGCACAGTCAACAGTGGTGTTTTGCTGGGAGCAAAAAGCCATGACAAAAACCCCTTTGGGCTTCATTTCCTTTCTACACCCCAGGGTACCTTTAGGACATGGAGGCTGTGATGAGCAAAGTGATACCCTAATGACACTGAAGAATTAACACAGCTTCCAGAGGTGTTAAATGTACAACTGGGGACTGGCTAATTAGGAGGGAGAATCTCTCTCACTAGAAAGCATCATCTTTAATTAGAGTGGAAAAGGTGGCAATCCAAGGAGGTTCCACAAGTGTGTTTGAGGGGAGCCTCATGGCTGCAGTCTTGCACTCCCTGATTCTGCCCTCCCAACTTTGGGTCTTGTCACCTTGGTGCCCATGATTAGGAGGTGGGAGGGATAAGAGCACCCACAGAAGTTCCTGAAGCATTTCTGAGCTGCTGAAGCACACCTCCTGCTACCCCAGGACTCCTTATCCTAAGTGGCAAGAATCATTCTCCCAGAAGTGATCCCAGACAAATCACAATCCCTCCTCATCCTCCCCAAAGCAAAGAAAAAGAAAAGAGCCAGCATGATACCAGCCCCAAGCCAGTATTTTAATACATTAATATGTTATCACAGAGAATTCAGCATCATAATGAGATTCATGACACAATGAATCCACTGATTACTAAAAGTTTCCAAAAGTGTAAAAATCGGTTCCCACTCCCCCACACTGAGTTCTTTAAAAAATGTCTGTAATGTAGAATGGGAATAAATAAAGAGTGATTGAATGCCTTTCTCTAGCTGGGGTATCATCCCTGATGTTATCAATTTTAATAGCTACTTAAATATGTCAAGATCTATTTAAGTTCAGACAAGCACAACTAACACTCAAGTCAGTTCTTTAGAACTAGAATGACTAGATTTGGGTGATACTAAGTAAATTTGGGCTTATGTTTTTTTCTGAGCAAATGAACTGAAATAATTATAAAATTGAAACATTTTATAAGGTGACACTGGTGCATTTAATTGTATGAAATTTACAGTGTAGAAAATGTAATCATTTTATTCAGTAGTCCATGGTGTAATTAAGACTATTCTTTTGAGGTATCTTGTATTTATGATTTTCCTCTTCCACCTGGATGAGATGTCTCAAATTCAAAATTATACATCAATTAGGTATAGTCTCAGGATTATTTTTAAGGGGACTGTTTTCTAATATCATGTATATTTCTGACTTTCTTATCCACAGAGAAGCTTTCACAATCAGAAGTTTGCAGAAACAGAAGTGGGGACATGGATAGTCCTCTGGACACTTTCCATTTTATTCAGGAAAGGGACCACACACGATGAACCACAATTTAGTAATAAAGTAATGTTTCAGCACACAGTGTGTGATGTGCAGTAAAGATCCTTTTAAATTCCCATCAGAGCACACACCATGAACTGTGCTAATGGATGTAACACATTTTACAAAATCTGCATGTGTGAGGCTTTTCCATCCTGTTTTAAGTGGGGCAATGTATATAAATAATAGATATTAGCAATTAAGCATCTATTACTATGCACTCATTTATACATTTGAAAATAAATTAGCCACAAACTACATGAAAGTGGATGCAGTATTCTCTTTTCCCTTCTGTTTTCCCTGCTGTTCCTGAAAGATATTTCTGTATTTATCTCAGTACGAACAATGACCCCAGCTCTCAATTTCTGCATCCTTAAATTAATTACAATTACTATCGAAAATTCTCTAAAATGGAGTGAGTCTGACTTAACTCTTGTTTTCCTTGTTGTTTGCTGTTTAGGATAATGAGAGTTTCTTATCACTCTTTGTGGGTCTTAGGTTGGCTTCTTTTCCTTTCTCTTTTATCCAGGTACCAAAAGCTCTTACTTCACCGGGGAGATTTTTCACACGGGAGGAAAAGGACAAGTGGACTATCACCTAGGTGGTCAGCTTACAACCTGAATTTCTTGGAAATGACCTAATTTAATTATCTTCATGGATCTCCTTTGCTCTTTGAATGAAGAGTAGTCAGCTATTTTCTTTCTTTTTTTTTTTTTGAATGGGGCTCTTGAGTGTCAGTTGCCATTTTAATGAAGTAGTGATTTGGGCCCTTTCCTGATAATACAAGAGTTAGGTGTCATGCTAGTTGGCTTGGCCCCTCTTATTCCTCCAGTATCCCTGATAGGTCAGATCAGAGTGATTCTGGAGGGAAAGTATGTTTCACTGTGGATATGTACAATGGCAATTCCCAGTTCTGGGATTTAACTTAATTCAATTATTCACATGATGAGTAGCATCCACACACTCCTGGTAAAATTTGATAAAATGCTGTAGCATCAAGATGCTTTTGTAGAGGCCTCTCTGCCATTACCTGTTTTCTTGACTGGCATTAATCTCTACCAAAGCTAGAGACTTGAGCATCATCCTGAATTCAGAGTCATAATCTGATAGCTACAGGTCAAAGTTGGCCCAACGATGTGTTGTTGGGAGTACCTTGAGCTTTGAAAAAATAAATAAAAGTAATTATCAACCCTGGAAAACTTAGAAATTTTACATAACACTCCTGGTCTCTGGATTTTCTTGGAAAACTTCAATATCTGGCAACTCTGGCCCTGTATTTCCTTCTGGCAACAATCAGCTGGTACTGTGTCGAGGTAGTGACATTTAGATGAGCCATGTGCTCTCCAGCTTGCCATAGTCCTCACCAATCCCTGTTGTTTACTTCCAGCCTACTTAGTATTCATATTATCTGCAGGCAACTACAGGCAATTAAGCCTGTAGTTTCTGGCCTAAAGCATTCATGACAACATGTGCACAAGACACCACATACATAATATATGATAGAAATCTTCCTTACTTTCTAAAAATGTAATCACAATCATGGCTGAAATTGAGTACCTTCTGTGTACCAACTTTTGTACTAGGTGCTTTATACGTTATTTTTTTTTGATCCCCAACATACCCCATGGTGTGAACTAGCCTATCATATAATCAGAGACTAAAATTTAGAGATGGTAAATTTAAAAAACGTGTCCAGTACTGTACAGTTAATAGACTTCAGAGGCAGAAGTGAAACTGATGTGATTCCAAAGGTGCTGTTATTCAAAGTTTATTTAATCTTTTTTCTTATTTTCAAAAAGTAAATATGTATTTAAATGTAGACCAGAAACCATACCTTGTTACATTTTCCTTTGAGAAACTCCAGGCTTTCTTTAAATGCTAATGTAGATACTGAACACTACAAAATCTTGAATGGTTTTTCTCCTGTAAAGGTCATTGCAAAGTTAACCTAAGTAAAATTCCATATCTTGGTGTGGAGTCCATAATTTTGAACTTTGTTTGGCTGATTGTTTATTTAGCACCAAAACAATTTGAAATTGGCTTTGCAAACGAAATGTACTCTTTATGTCATATATAGGGATGATTGGGTCTAGGTTTGCACTGATCAGGATGCCTATGGATAATACCCAGGGGAACCACTCCTTTCTCATAGATTGCTGATGAGATTGCTTAATCTCATAGATTAAGATGTAAACATCTTAATTTTTTATGCTGTCTATATTTATATATTTCCGGCATTTTAATACTATTTCTCTCTGCCTTCTTTTCTCTGACTAGAGTTATAGACTGAATAGTTCCATGTCTGAGGAGAGAAAGAAGTTTGCCATTTTTCTTTATCTGCCTCATAGCCCCATAGCAATAATGATTATGTTCCACCCCAGCTATTTAAAACATGTTGCCTCTGATTCCCAGCTTTGAGAGCAAACAATCTGCCAAGCGCCTCATAACTGCAAAGTGACCTTGACATATGTCATTCACCAGAGTTTTCAAATCGAAGTCTTCGTGTTTAATATTCATAAGGACTTTTTTTTTCCTAACAGCATATGTGATGATTTTACAGGGGATGGGGGTTGGGAGCTTTATTTAGAGATGGGTTGAATTCTGAGAAACATACCATCAGTGTCTCTGTGATGAACTGAAGTATCAGTTTGGAGGTAAGAAAATGTTGTTTGGCATTCTTCAAGGGAGGACAGTGATGTGCTGGATTCTGACAGTTTTTTCTCATTGGGGTTTTCCTTGGCTGGTCCATCTGTGATATTGAAGTCAGATACTGAATTTATAACAATAGCATTAATGGGTTTCTCATCTGCATGCTTTGCATTCGTGAGTTGCGTATCTAGAGGAAAAAAGAAAAAACACATACAGAAACCCACTATGGTTTACGTGACCTAGTGACCTAAGAATGCAGAAATTTTCACATTTGACTTTCCTAAGATTAAAGTCTTAAGAAAACAAATGAAGTATTATTGAGCAAGACAATTTTGAATAAAAATATGAGAAAGAAGAGTGCAATCATTATAAAATTTTATACACATTGCAAACTTTACCTATCATGGTAATTTGTAACACTTATTTCTACTTTTTTTTTTTTTTTTGGTAATAAGTAGGGAGAATCAAGCAATTCATTCACTTGGATCAACAAAATCTCATAGTACATTGTCAGCCTCCTGTCACAGAGTATTATTAATCTGAGGAAAAGGATAAGGATCTTATGTGGTGGGCAATACTGCTGAGTTATTCATATGAGCTCAATCAAGTCACTTTATTACTTTGTTTTTACAAACCTCATTTTCCTCCTCTGTAAAAAGAAAAATGCATATAAATGAATAGTCTATAAGCTCATTCCTGCTTCTGTCCTCATAACCTCACAGTGGCTTTCTCTGCCTTGGTATTTAAGTTCCTATTCAGGTGATAGCCTGTATGGCTTTGGGGATATGCTTCTTGGGAACATGCTTTATTTCCACATAACTGTCTGGCACAATAGCTAGAGATGTTCAGGGAATTTCTAGCGAAGTTCTTGACTGAAATTCTGGTTTGGAGAGCCATAGAGAAGGCTGAGAAGCCCCAAGCGTTGTATGTATTTTACATCTCCTATACAGTTGGCCCTCCGTATCTGTGGGTTTCACATCCCCAATACAACAAATCCTAGATACACAGATTGAAAATATTCAGAAAAAGCTCCCCAAATAACAATGTAACAATAAAAATGATACAAATAAAAAACAATACAGTATAACAACCACTTACATAGCATTTACATAGTATTAGGTATGATAAATAATCTAAAGGTCAAGTAAAGTATATGGGAGGATATGCATAGGTTATATGCAAATACCACATCATTTTATATTAGAGACCTGAGCATCTGAAAATTTCGATATCTGTGGAGTCCTGGAACCAGTTCCCCTCAGACACTGAGGGACAACTGTATGCATTCTCCTGCCATGTAATGATTGGGAGTCTGCTCTGCAACAAGCGCTGGGCTGTATATTGGGGATAGAGGGATGACTAAGACAGGCGTGGACCTTGACCTTCATGAGCATCAAACAAATCGTCAAAGAAATAACTGAAAGTTACAGGATTGAGAAGTGTATAAAAGAGAAGCATATCATAAAATCATGTTAGAGAGAGGACCAGACTGGGTCATGGTGCAGTTAGCTTATAACTTCCTTACAGGCTGATGATGCCCAGGAACAACTTAAAACCTGAACAAGCAACAGTCCTCGTGGTTTGGTGGCACAACTGGGACGTGGTCAAGAGGTGTCCTTGGGAATTGCATTCCCATTGTTAACGCAATGCCTGGTTGGTTCAATAATGCTCATTGAGTTACTGAAATTGATAATACAATTGGCAACCTGGTTTGATTTTACCATGCTTATGCAGCTCAGTGCAAGGAACATATTCTTGCCAAGTCCATCTTTATTTCCCTTTCCAAGGTTGTTTCTTAGTTTAGGGCCAATGGAAATGTCTAGTGGGTTCTGCTTTCTAAGGCAATGGGTTCTAGACTTTTCTGCAGAGTAGAATCACCTGGAAAATCTTTTTAAAATTCAGAATTTTTAAAGCTCTGGTATTCCCCTATTCAGGAGACCAATTAAATCACAATCCTTGGTGGGATGGGAGAATTTTTGAAGCTCCTCAGGTGATTCCGACATGTAGACAAGTTTGGGAACCACGATGCCAGGGATCTTCTGCATTTGAGACAAGAAAAAGAGAGAGAACAGCCCACTGACTTGTGCATCAGTGATTTTCAGAAACCAATCTTAAGATGGTTGCTTTCCAAAGACTCCTAACTGGCACCAGAACTATCAGTCTGGTAATACACAACTGTCTTAGGTCATTTTTGTTTCTTTCTGATCCTCCAAACAGCCTTGGTTTTCAACAGTGTTTAATTTCTATTCTCTTCCTTTTATGTGCTGGCTTTAAATTTCTTGGTTGTGGTTTCATCCACCATAAAAGGGATTGGCAGAAATAGGGATTCAAGAAAACATCTGTCGTTGAAAGCAATTAATGTAGTATTGAATATTGAAGTGGAATCAGCCCTACAGATGAGAGAACACTAGGCTTCCTCTAACCCAAGAGGGATTCACCAAATTAATGATATAATGATGATGATGGTGATGAAAATCATAATTAGTTTATTTTTCTTACTTGGGTATCAAGGCATCCAGTAATCAGCTAATATTGCAGATAGATGGACATTCAAATGATGTCTTAGAACACTAAGAACAGCATCAATATTTTGGGCCAGATAATTTTTTGGCATGGAGAGATTGTAGGATGTTTAGTGGTATCGTAGTCTTTTATCCACTAGATGCTAGTAGCACCTGACCCTCTAGCTCATGACAATGAAAAATGTTTGTAGATATTGCTGCATTTCCCTTGTGGGACAAAATCACTGTGGTTGAAAAGCACTGCTTTACACACACACACACGAACACACACAGAGTGGCGTGTATCTTATGTCAAGTTCTATGTTACCGCTTATATACCTTATTGAACTTAAGCATCACAAAGAGTCTAGGAGGTAGATATTGTTAGCCTCCTTGAACAGATGGGAAATGTATGAATGGGTATCCCCAGTTAGCAGATGAATGAAGGTAACCAAGGCTTACAGAGTTTATTTAGGTAAATTGTCCAAGGCCTCCTCCTTATTCAGTAGTAGAACTGAGATTCAAATCTAGGCCTGGTAGATTCCAAAAGCTTTGTGCTTGTCCTTTTCCCTTTTATATTATGCAATGTTTTCTCTGATTTATTCTTAGCTTTTATCTCTCCTTCCTAACTGCTGAGACTGCACATCAGCAAAACCTCCTCACCCTAAATACTGTGATGTGTCACCTGCCCAAAATCGAGCCTTGCAAATAGCTGGGTTTTACACACTCGCCTTTCCCTTAGCAGTCTTTGCAAAGCAAAACTACCTTCTTTGCACACTCAGGGAATCCTTCTTGTTCCATTACAGCTGCTTTATCCCATACATTAGAGAGTAGCTCAGAAAGAGCTGATAGATAACGAGACCTTGATGAGTATGGAGATTGCAGCAGCTATTTACTTAACAGAATTAATTAACAATCAGTTCAAATTATCACACGTAGTCAGGCTGCATGTAATTTAAATTGCTTTTGCACAAAGTAATTCAGTAACAAAAAAAAGTTGGATAGAGGTTACTGGAATGTAAGAACATGCGGCGAATACAGTATACAGCCAAGTGGTATATGATTCTCTTTTTAATTTTGTGACAATTTTAAGTATAGCATTTTGAATGTAAGTGGTGTGCTACATTAAGCAACCATTTGGAGCACACTAGGCTTGTACTGAGAGAATTTTATGGAGAAGTTAAACTGCCATTCATAAAGTTATTTTAATTCTATATCTCTGTTTATATTTTTATTTTTTCTCATTCCTCAGTGGGAACTATCTGTTGCTCATTAGAAAATCATCTGACATACACACATTTGAGAACCCAGTCTGTTCAACCCAGAATTCTGACATCTGAAGTGAGTCACAATTTTTGGGTGAATGTTACTGACATCTTCCATCTTTTATAGATGATGCTAACAATAATTTCATCAGATTCAGATTCCTTCCTTTATTGTATTATTCGACATTGCACCCAAAGTACTGTAAAGTAGCATAAGCTCAAAGTAGAAACATAAAAAGTAGTGTCATATCTTCTGTAGAGAAAATTATTTTAGAGTTAAATAAGGAACTCGTGAAACTATATTTGGGATGTTATTCATAGTTCTTGACATTAATTTAGAGAAAATAATTTTTACCAATAGTTAAAAACAAACCAAAATTAGGACAAAAAATAGAAGCTCATCTATATTTCTTGGAAAAAAATTAAAGTGAATGTTAAACAGTTTGGGCTACAGGTAATTGCAAGAACAAATGGACATAAACTTAAGTCAGAGAAAAGATAGACAGCTAGTTAAGTTTTTATTACTGTTGAGCAAATGTTATTAATTTAATTCAATTAACATTTATTGAGTACCCACATGCAACAGATGAATCAATGTGACAGGAGCTATTAATTTATTTACTCTAAGTTATTAAGAAAACGTTTTAATGATTTTCATTTTTGATCACTAAATGTGACTTTGTAATTTTTGCATCCATGTTTTCTCTCATTTGACTCTTCATAGATAAAAGCATTCAAATGATGAATAAGTACTAGGTCCTCTGATTCTATTCTTGTTTCTTCCTTTCTTTTCCCATTTTCCTTTCCCTTCTTTTTTCTTTTCCTTTTCCTTTCCCCCTTCCTTTCACTTCCTTTCCTTTCCCTTTTTCCTTTTCCTTCCTTTCTGCTTTTCTTTCTCCATTCCCTTCCCTTTGCCCTTCCCTTCCCTTCCCTTTGCCTTTCCCTTCCCTTTCCTTCCTTTCCCTTCCCTTCCTTTTGCCCTTCCCTTCCCTTTGCCCTTCCCTTCCCTTTCCTTCCTTTCCCTTCCCTTCCTTTTGCCCTTCCCTTCCCTTTGCCCTTCCCTTCCCTTCCCTTCCTTTCCCTTCCCTTCCCTTTGCCCTTCCCTTCCCTTCCTTTCCCTTCCCTTCCCTTCCCTTTGCCCTTCCCTTCCCTTCCCTTCCCTTTGCCCTTCCCTTCCCTTCCCTTCCCTTTGCCCTTCCCTTCCCTTCCCTTCCTTTCCCTTCCCTTCCCTTTGCCTTTCCCTTCCCTTTCCTTCCTTTCCCTTCCCTTCCCTTTGCCTTTCCCTTCCCTTCCCTTTCCCTTCCCTTTCCTTCCTTTCCCTTCCCTTCCCTTTGCCCTTCCCTTCCCTTCCTTTCCTTTCTCTTTTTCCTTTTTCTTCCTTTCTGCTTTTCTTTCTCCCTTTCCTTTCCTCTCCTTTCCTTTCTTTTCCTTTCCTTACCCTTCCCTTCCCTTCCCTTTTTCCTTTTTCCTTTTCCTTCCTTTCTGCTTTTCTTTCTCCCTTCCCTTCCCTTCTTCCCTTCCCTTTGTCCTTTCCTTTCCTTTGTCCTTTCCTTCTCCCTCTCTGGTGTAATTCCTTGACTGACCTAGCCCATCTCCATTATCAGCTTCTGCTATCCTCCAGCTCCTTCCATGTATTTTTTCCTTAAGACTTTGTCCTCTTAGTTTCTTTCTTCCTACCCTGCCCTTGAAGGCCGTATTTGTCCACACTCACATCGTCATTGATTTCTTTGTGAAGTTGGCCACTAAATCTTCATC
Source organism: Homo sapiens (assembly GCF_000001405.40). Classification (NCBI taxonomy): domain Eukaryota; kingdom Metazoa; phylum Chordata; class Mammalia; order Primates; family Hominidae; genus Homo; species Homo sapiens. Next base: position 70,212,125 of record NC_000003.12, read on the forward strand.
CAGCCATCCAAAGATGCAGGCAATATTTGCCAAGCATAAACTACACTCCTGGCACTGCGCTAACCACTGCAGAATTCAGAGAAGCACAACAAATGGTTTCAGTCCTCAAGAAGCTCACAGTAATCACAAATTACAGCTTCACACTTGTAACTGTCTATTGGACATTTTTTGTGGGTAACTAGCGAAATCCTTTCAATTATGATGCCTCTTTCTACTAAGCCCCTCATTCTTCTCCCCAAACTGGAATAACTCTGGCTATCCCTGGAGAATTCACAGTTCAATTTGTCTTTATTGTATTGTCATTTTTCCAGTTCCCTGGGCTTAAAACTATTATTTGACTGGCCCTGTCCCTCCATCCAATCATTTACAAGTTCTTATTTATTCTTCCTACTAAACATCTCTCAAGTCCGTGTCTGCTTTTTCATTTCCATTACTGCCACTCAGATTTAATCTTCTCTGCCCTCACATCTGGACTCTTTTTCAGCAGTCATTGGCTCTGAATACAGTGACAACTCTCTTCAAGATATCTTATGCATTATAATCAAAATTATACTTTGGACAATATTCTTCTCGTCATATTAGTCATAAAGAAAGCAAAACACACACATCATGAACACACACACACAAGTATTAATGGCTCACTATTACCTGAATATTTTCCCATTTTCTCTCTCTTTTTTTGAGACAGGGTCTCACTCTGTCACCCAGGCTGGAGTGCAGTGGTGGTGGTGCAATCACAGTTCACTGCAGCTTCAACCTCCCAGACTCAGGTGATCCTCCCATCTCAGTCTCCTGAGTAGCAGGCACTATAGGCGTGCACCAACACAGCAAGCTTATTATAGTATTATTATTATTTGTATTTTGTGCAGAGACTCGGTTTCACCATGCTGCCTGGGCTGGTCTTGAATTCCTGGGCTCAAGGGATTCACCTGCCTTGGCCTCCCAAAGTGCTAGGATTACAGGCATGAGCCACCATGTCTGGCCTTCATTCTCTCTCCCTCCTCTGTCTCTCTTTATTTTGTTTTTCTTTATAGAGACAGGTTCTTGATATGTTCCCAGGCTGGACTAGAGCTCCTGGGCTCAAGTGATCCTTTCACCTCAGCCTCCTGAGTAGATCTTTTTATTCTCATTTAACCTACAAATTCTATTGCCAAGTTGCCTGTGGAAACAGGTAGCTTGTTGCTAAGTTTTTCTTGTGAGCAGTAAACTCCAGAAGAGTATATGAAAATTATTAGATAAGACTTTAAGGTAGGGTGATTTTAATTTTAGTTCTAGGCCAAAACATTTAAAATGAGTGTATATTTCAAACGTATAGACCATTTTTTAAGCTATAATGGTGAATTATGTTTTCCCTTGGATTTAAACTATACTCCAGCTTAGAATTTAGTACTGTAGTTATCCGTGGCTGAAATCAGACCAAGGCAGACAAGTGACATTTCAAGGTATAAGCTACCAAACCATTAACAAATTATTGTGGTTAGTAAAAGGAGTTAATTGAAGTGACACTGTATAGAGAAAAAAAGTTTTTTTCCTTTGTATGAAAATTTTGTGAAGTTCATTCAAATGTTAGAGGTGATTTTTGTTGTTAAAATGTATGATTATACTCTCTGCAGCTTGGTAGGTAATAATACAATATATAAAATACAGGAAATCATTCAACATGATCAAACGTGGTGAAAATTATCAGCCAGGGTCAGAATCATCTTTCTTTACATGTGTAGATCACTATTATTTTTATATTGAGTAAAATTTGAAAACATACTATGGCTGAAGACAGAACAAAATTAGGAAGAGGAAGATTTCTTGACATTGAGAAAAGCATAATAAAAGGTGATTGATACCCAAAGAAGCTATGTTTTCAAGAAAAAATATATTTTCTTCTTTGAAAGCTGGGTAATAAAGCTGAGTGGATAATTTTCTCCAGTTGAGGGATGAAGGCTTCTAAAATTTCCTCACCTTTTTGAAATGAATGGAAATAAGTAACTATGGAGTATTCAATTGCTACATCCTGATAGATTGGATAAGACAAAACCTTGGGTTCATTAAATCTAATTGGGGAGGGAGGATAAATAAGATACATATATTTGACATTTTTTCTTTAATTTTCAAATGGCAGCTCTGGTTGGAAGACGTCCTTTAAAGACTTTCAAGTTAAAGTCACAGTCGTATAAATCGTTGTTTTGATTTGTCTTCTGTAGCACTTCAACTAAAACCCTGCCTCAAGAAACGTTAGATGAAATGTTTATCAAGGGCTACGACAAGAGGACATTTTAAGCCTTTTCAATCAGGCTTGGTAAATCTTTTTTAAAAAGAGAGAAAAGGCTAAAGTATATTATTCCTCCAGAAATAATAGAAGTGAGTGTTCAAGGTGAAAAGGATTAAAGAGTACAAAAGAACTGAGGGAAGAAGGCTGAGCATGGCCCCCTCCCCAAGCTTCCCCAACACCTGCAAAGCAACTTCAATTTTTGGGGGCTGAAGTGGGCTTTTTTTTTTTTTTATCTAACTATTCTGGATAATTACTTCAGTTTTCTGCCCGCCACTATACTTTGCACCTGTAGACAGACATAGGCTAAGTGATGTACTTTTATAGCTAGATCATAAGCTGGTAACGAGGAACAATTGACTCCTAAGAGATAGTTGAATCTTCTTCAGACATGAAAGCAGTTTGCAATTATGAGTCTCCATTTCATTTTTATGCAGTTACCTTCAGTTTAATGTTTGTAAAAAGTGTCTCAAGAAATAAAGATTATGTTATCTGAGAAAAAAATAGTTAGCAGTTTTTATAGTTTGATGCACTTGGATTAATAATAGGTTTAGGGCTCTGAAAAAATAAATGAAGCCAATCAGGCTATAAACTCATGCATGATTGGTATTACATATACAGTCAATTTTTTTACTATCAGTGTTTAAATATAAATGTTAAAAATAAACCATAATTATTCAAAATATTCTCTATTATGTTAAAACCATCACAATTTATTCATCCGAACTATTTGAATGTCACTTAAAGTCTCTTATGTGCATTATCACATTTGAAGCTCACAACAGTTTTGCAAAGTATTATTATCATTATTACATGAATGAGGAAACTGATAGAGGGTCAGAGATTTTAGTGGTTTGCCCAAGATTACCCCGCTGGTAAGGGGCAGAGCTAGTACTTGAACTTACGTCTTCTAATTCCTATGGCAGTCAGACTTTGCATTTCGAAACTGCTTCAGAAACGAAGCACTCTGATATGAGCTTGAGATACTTTTCTGAAATAAAACTGCTTTGTCCCTTCTGACTTACCCCTCTCCAGGTTAATTGATCCTGCTGGTATTTGATTAGGAGGTACTTTTTATGTAGGTTCAAACCTAGAATTCCTATTTGATAACTAATAACTGCTTTTTCCAAACTTAGCCCTCAAAGCCCACTATAAGAAGCTTCCTACAACTGTCCCCTGCAACTCCAATCCCAATTGTTTCCTTTGGGAGCCCCCAGAAATCCAGGTTGATATCCTTACTAGATCCCTTAGTTTAGTTTATAGTACTGTGATTAATTTTGGATGTATTTCTCCTCTCCTTTCTGTTGTGAACTCCTTGAGGAAATACATAAGCCATTCAGCTCAATTTCTCAGAACCTAGCATGGTGTCTGGCAGAAAGCAAGTAATAAATACATTTTAGCCAACTGATGAACTGACAGACTAAAGGTGGCGTGTCTTGGTTTTCAGTTGACAATGGACTCATCCTTAGGGGAGGTTTTCTGAGTACATCCCAGTGGTCCTCTTTCCACATTCTCTGTAGACTAACTGATCCTAGTAAAAGTCTATAAATTTCTGTCTTTTGTGGTAAAACACATCTTGGTATTTTATTTTGATTTGAATGCAACATTTGCATTGATATCTGTAGAACTGTGAAAATACAAAAAGATACAAATAAATTAAAATCTATAATTCTACCATTTTAAACACATTGTTATATTTGTTTCACAAAAATGTAAATATCTGGTATATGTGGAATTTATGTTTATAGATGTATATGTATATATCTACATATTTATATTTATGCTTTATATTTGCATATTAGGATATATATTCTAATTCTACTTTATATATAAATCCATATACAATTAGAATATATATCAACATAATTAGATTAATAACAAATATACTATTCTAATTAGATATCTGATTAATACTACATATTCTAATTATAATTTATATATATATATAAACTTGTAGTGCTTCCTAGATGTCATTCATTTTTCTAAGAGTTTTGCATATATTAACCCATTTAATACTCCCAGCAACCCTATGTGGTAGGTACTGCTAGTGTCATTCCCATTTTTCACATGAGGACACAGAAAACGCGGGGATATCAAATAACTTACCCAGAGTCACATAACTAGTAAGTGATGGAGCTAGAATTTTAACTAAGGCAGCCTGGCTCCAAGTCCATGTTCCTAACTAATAGGCTATACTATCTAGATAGAGATTTTTTAAGTGGAATTTTATTGAATATAATGTATTATAGATGTTACCGTTGTATAGTAACCATTTCCCTTCATCCTAAAGCTTATTGAAAAACATACTCAGGTCTCTGCTCAAATGTCACCTCCTGGGTGAGGCAGGCCTTCCCTTACCTGACATCAAAAACAGTGCTTCCCAATCAGGGCAGATTTTGCCCCCCAAGGGAATGGATATTTGGCAATGTCTGGAGATAATGTTTATTGTTATGACTGGGCTAGATGCGCTAGCATTTTGTGGGTGGAGGCCAGGGATGCTGCTGAACAACCTATTATGCACAGGGACCCCTTCCCCTCACCACCAAAACCCATAAAAAATGTGGTTTCAAATGTCAATTGTGCCAAGATTCAGAAATCCTTTAATCTCATAGCCCTGATCACCAGCCATTGCTATCACATCACTCTTTCATTTTTCTGCACAGTGATTTTTAAAAATATTTTATTTGTTTACTTGCTTATGGTGTACATGTATTTCCCACCCTTGACCAAAATGCTGCCTAATGAAAGTTTGTCTGTGTCAATTAACTGCTATATCCTAAAAGAGGACCTGGGAGACCGTAGGTACTCAACATACAGGGAATTAAAGAATGCTTAGCATTTCTTACATGGTGAATCATAAGCTAACAGTTCCCCCATTCAGTACAAACGTAGATAGTTTCTATTTTTTGATACCATGAATACTCTTGAAATAAGCATTGTTGTCATGATTTTAAAATATTTATTGATTTGTGTAGGTTGAATTAATAGAAAAGGACCTATTGAATTAATGGTTGAATTTCTCAAGCTTTTAATATAATTTGCTAATTGCCTTCCAGAAAGATTGCGTCCATATAGACTTGTACCAAGAGGGATTGGGAGAAGTTTGTCTATGCTCTGAGCTTTCTAGGTTTTACCACTAAAATATTTTATTTTTATCAATTTAAAAGGAACTTTGATTTAAGTGTCCAATTTTTCCTAGAGCTGAAAAAACAGTTTTTCACTGTAAGAGGTAGAAGGTGTTTTCATATCCACCACCTTTCTGTGGAAGTTTTGTTTCACAACTAGATTCATTGGTAATCTGAAATCTCTTGCATGATATCGAATTGGGCAGTTAAGGACATCCATTCTGTATTTATAAATCAGTAAATTAGTGTTGAAAAATACTTACTGAATGATCATTGAACCTGGTTTATTTAGCTAGTTCTGTCTCTGAGTTATGAGGGCTTGGGGGTGACATACTGTTGGATGGACTTAAGAGGCTCCCTATCAGCATCTATCAGGTTAATATCCATTTGTGATGTGCCTGTATAAATGTAGGATAGAAATAAGATGTATACAGAGGCCTTGGAGAGGCCAGAAATCAAGCCACATTTTTGGAAGGACAAGAAATCACAGGAGCGAGGGAACAGAGGAGCAAATCATATGCTTATTTTTAAACTCCTTTTGCCCACTCTGTGTGCCCAATGAACTATGGAATCTATCAAAAGGCCTCACTGGGGATTTAAGATCTATTTTCTTGATAGTCCACTTGGTGGAAATTTAGCCCAGTGGTCTCCAAAGTGGCATATGTATACCTGGAGGAGGTGCAAACCTATGCAATGGGGTTAAAACACTTATTTCTATTTTTAAATCCTAATATGATAACTATTTCTGCATGTTTTATAACGTATAGTACAGTGAATATGGTAGCATGTGCCTCCATTGTGTATGCATGTGCACATGGATGTATATAGATGCATATAGGCATGCATTAGGTGGGCTTGCTATTTTTCCCTTTTTTACTAGTAAAGGTTTATAAGCTTTACAGTAAAAAATCTGGAGACCACTGGTCTGAGTAATAGACTGAGGTCAGTACTCTACATCCCTCTTTTACTAAAAAAATTCAATTTTCTTTTGCTTCCTTTCGGTACCCAGGGTGTGGTTGCTGGAACGTTTACAGCCACAGCAGCTGCAGTAGTGGCCTGAGTAGACTTTTCCTCAGAGTTTCTATAGTGGTAACAGGATTAACAGACTCTATTCTGGAAGTACTTGGGTGGCATAACACCTCCCAGCAGAACTATTCCTGACAAGGATGTGCAGATGGAAATGCATATTTATGTCACTTAAAGCCTACAAGAGACACAAGGATTTGAGCTATAACAATAAATAGAAAAAAAAATTCTTCAGCATTTTTGGTAACCCATACTCAAGTGCATTGACTGTGCTTGGCGAAAGACCTACAGTTTGCTCTTTGTCCAAGCATAAAATATTCAGCATTCAAGCATGTTGAGGTGAACTATTCTGAATATATTTTAGAGTGTTAAAATAAGCTACCACAAAGTTAGTTTAAAATTTCAGGTCTTAAAAATAACAGGACAATTTTATGAAGTGTTTGGGCCATTTCAAGAAAAAAAAAGTCCCCTTTAAAAAAGAATGTTCATTTGTTCCAATTTTTAGTAAAGGCAGGTTTAAAAAAATTATTTCTAAACACCAAATAGTCATTATAGTCAAGGCTTTCAAGTTTAAGGTATTGTCTGCATCACAGTCCTTGAAACAGCCTCTCCTAGCTTTCTTCTAAAACACCTTTAAAAATATGGAAAAACAAGAATGCTCACATCTGCAAATTTGGGTTTGATAGTATTGGGAAAGATTTACACTAAATATCAACCCATTAGAATTGAACTGAATAATCCAATCAGTCTAGCACTTACAGAGCTCTGCTGAAAGTAGAATGGAATTAGTGTTGTTTTCTGCATGCTCCCGATTCACAAACCATATTTTGTGTCAACAAGAAAATTAGGCTGTTAAGTTTTTTTAGAGGTGTTGATTTTTGATGTGACCAAGAGAGCTGTAGTTCTTTGTCACCTTAACTGATCCAGAAATAATTTGTTACCATAAACAGAAGAAATTTTTCAAAAATTGTGCAAGGTTTTCATTAGATTGCAAGAATAAGTTTGTAAAGAAAAGAGAAATACTGAGAAATAATCTTAAGGATCAAACAAATTGGGATGAAAAACCAACAGAATGGATCCAAAGGGACATGTGTGAACCAAGAGAGATACTGAAGAATTCAAAATTGAAATGACAGAATTAAAATCTGCATCAGAAGCAGTAAAATACAGAATTGACACTGCAGAAAATATCATTAGTAACACAGAGATTAAGAGCAATTCTGAAACTCTCCCACAGTTCAAAAGTGAAGGACAAAGAATTCAAGTTATGATGGCAAAATGATGCCAAACTCAAAGGTCAGAACATACAGATCTCACCTAAGAGATACAGTTTCCTGGAGAAGAAACCAAAACCATCTAAGCATAAGCGTTGTTCAAAGATGGTACTGCGATGTATTTCCTGAGCAGAAACAATTTCTGAGAGTGTGCTCCACTGCCTAAAATTTAGTAAAAAGAGACCCACAATTCTAAAAAATATTTTGAATTACAAAAATAAAGAAAAGATTTTTCAAGTACCCAGGCAAGGAAAACTAGATCAAATGAGAAATAACTGTTCCTGAAGCTGGCCTCAAATTTTTTTTGTACAAAACTAAGCATCAGAAAACAGTGGTGAGATGTATTAAAATTTTGAGAGAATAAGGTTATATTCCATGAATTTTATCCTCAGTTTGTCTTTTCTGTGTGAGAGTACAATAGTCTCATGTATTATCAGAAGAAAATATGCCGCATTAAAAAAACTTTCTTGAGGCTAGGCTCAGTGTCTCATGCCTGTAATCCCAGTGCTTTGGGAGGCCGAGGTGAGAGGATAACTTGGCTCCAGGAGTTTGAAGCTGCAGTGCTGCAGTGAGCTATGATGGCACCACTCCACTCCACCTGGGAGACAGAGCAAGACCTTACCTCTTAAAAAAAAAAATTACTTCAAGTTATATTTTTGCTGACTGACAGCAAAAATTAAGAACTGGTGCACAATTTCTAACTGGTACAAAATTGAATTTACTACCAAAGCACTGAAGTGAATTTCAACATACAAAACTAACCCTGGTTGGAAACATAGTCAGGACCCAGGAAGTATGTTAGTGTGTTGAGGTGTTTGGTCTCCCTTTAGAATGGCATCTGGGTATCATGTATGAGGAAACCTTCAACAATTAATTTTTATTCAACAAATATTTGCTGACTGCTACTGTATCAGGCAGTGAAAATATGGGGATGAATAAAATCCTTTGCCCACCCTTATGAAGATTTCAGTCTCTCTGAAGCGTTCCTAGACTTGCACAAAAGAAGGTCATTTCCTTTTTTGTGCTTCCATGACATTCAGTTGTAAGTGTGTCTTTCCCACCATCAGGGAGGGGAACCATGCCTTGGCATTCCTGAGCTTAGCACAGGGCTTGGCGTAAAGGGTGAATGAATGTAGTAGCTATGCATCAGCTTACTAAGTGGTAGGTAATGACATGTTTTAAATCTGGTTCTAAGGCTGCTAGTCTATTTGCTTTTTCCCATATTATATTGCATCTAAACCAGGTACAACAATAACTAGCACTGGTGAAATATTTTCAGATGAGAAATTTTCAGACGTGAAGTTCTTTGGAAACTGAATAGAAGTATAAAATTTTAGATGTGGAATAAACCGTAGATGTCAGTGAGTTTCCTCTCCCACATACCCATTCATCCATTCATTTATTCATTAGTGCCTGCTATAATAATAAAAATAATGATAGCTAACATTCACTTCACACTATGAGAAGCTTTGCCTAAGTGCTTTAAATGAATTCTCATTTAATCTTCACAAAAACCCAATGCGGAAGTTATTATACGTTCAATTTTCCTAGTGAGGAGAATACATCTTAGAGAAGAAGGGCGCTGTGCCTTATTCATTGCTTTTTTACTAAACTGGTAAAGATTAGGAGGAAGAATTTGAATTTGGGCATTTGGATTCTACAGCCTTTCCTCTTAACCACCGTGATATATGCAGGAGATACAAAGATGAATGAGGCCTGGTTGAGCCCTCAGGAGCTTTATGGCCTATTTAAAGGAGAAACACATGTCAACAGATAGCTTACCTACAGGCATTCCTTCTGTGCTGTCTCTAACCTGATTTTGGAAACCAGTATAATTCCCCTGAATGACAAGTGACTGGTCAATGATGCCAAGGTTCAAATGGAAGGGGAAAAAGGACAATGAGGTAGATCTTGGATGATAAGGAAATTTGGCTGTTGTCCCAATCCTTGGGACCGTGATTATATCGAGCATCATTGTTAAGGTGGTCTTGCCATTTACAGGACATTGCTAAATTTTTTGGCTGGGGCAAAAGTAATTGAGGTTTTGTCGTTACTTTCAATTGGAAAAACCGCAATTTGTGCCAACCCAATAGATAATGAGTGTTAGTACTCATCCTATCAGTTGGGTAGATTAGTCACCTCATTCCCTTTTAAGCACCTTGATCAATTAGGTTGTCATAGAAAAATGTCAAGTGTTCCATAGGCGAGTGCTTTGGCTCTATCCCACTTAGTAAATAACAACAACAATATTAACCATTGCCACACCCACCCTTTATCCTTTAGGTTTCTCCCAGTGCTTTTATGTTCCACAGCTTCTCCCTGTCTCCCCAGGCTTACACAGGCAAAGGTATTCTGCTGGTCTCTTTCTCTGAAAATCTAAGGCAGGTGAACAGTCAGAGCCTTGGAGAATTGTGGGTTTGGGTAAAATTCATACTTGCTTTTGGCAACTGGAGATGAAGACTCTTTGAAACTTCAGGTCCTCTACTTTGGAAGTTCTTCTGTGTTACCATGAAGATAAAACTACTCATTTTAGCTCATTGCTAAGAGCTCATTGGCATTTTTATTTTTGTCAAATGAGTTATAGAAAACTATACATTTTAAATCTATTTTAATAATTGGTATTTATGGATTTGTTTGTGTCTATGTGCTTACAAGTTAGCACTTTGGATAGGTTGGTTTTCGGTAAAGCAATTCTTCACTACTGCTAGATCTGCTTTGGGCTAATCTCACTTAAATTGAATTCCAAATAAATTTGAAGAGACTCAAAAGGGTTGAAAACAGTAATAGAAATTCCAAAAGAATAATACTTAAGATGGAACCTTAGGGCCTCCTAGGTTACTCAGACATCCTTACCACTTAGCTAATGGACTATTCAAACCTGAAGTGAGCCAGCCATACTTTGTACAAAGTTGTCTCTTGGTGATAGAAACTGGTATAAATATACAGGTGCCTCCTATTAAATAATTGTGGTAGACTGGAAAGAGTATTTCCTCCCTAAGATAGCTCCATAAGTCATTAGAAGATACTGCTGATGTTTTAAAGGAATGCTATTTGCTATTGTCAAGGTCAATCTGAGAGGAATGCCTTTTCAGGTGATCAGCTTGGTAAGCCCAAATGGTATACCTACATAATTTATATATCATGACCTGGAGTGCTTGTTGAAACACATATTGCTATGTTATACTTTCAGAATGTCTGATTCTGTGAGTATGAGTTAGGGGCAGGCTTCAAATTTCAGATACATTATATTAAACAAAGAGTGATGGAAAATGTGGCAAGTCTTATGGCCAACCCTCTGACACCTGCTTCTGATGATTGTCATTGTTCTATACTACTCTTTACGTCTATTTGTAACAGGGTGCTAACATGTGAAAGTGACACTTTTTGTCTAAGTTTTCCCTTATTGTGCTCTTATTTGTGAGCCACAAAGCAATCGAAACTCAGAGAGATGAAGTTATTTAGCCAAGGTCACACAGTCAAGACTCAACTCACTTTTTTTTCTGACTCCCAAGCCCTATCTCTTACCACCACCTATCTCTGCACAGATTCCTTAAAAATCAACTGAGATGAGTGCAGAGCACTGATATAAACACTCATATCCAGTATTTTGAGCCTACATATGTTTAAGAAAATGAGATAGAATTAAAAATGATTCCATTTTTTCCTTCCTGAGCAAAAGTTACTCTTGTAGATTTCAAGGAAACTAGCGCAGTGCCTCAATTTGGAAAGGCTGAGGTTGTCTCCCCCACCAAAAATGAGAACTTGATTGAAAAATTATTGTCCTTCGGGCAGGTACAATGAGTCTTACAGGCTATTTCCTGGTACCCTGTCACAGGTTCATTCCCAAGACTTAAGTCTGAAAAATTTCTTTTCCCAAGTTATTTCCCAGTTTTAAGAGCATCCTAGAACAGGACCAGGTCAGCTCCAAGCTGGTTGCATGCAATCAATTTAATTCACATACAAATGAACGTTAGCTGCTTTGGATTTCTTTTAATGGTTTTTCTCAGAGGTGAATTTGCTTTTAGGCACCCTTTTAGACTTAATCTTTTTTCTCCCTTTATCGTGCTCTTTCTCTTACTCTGCTTCATCAATCTAACTTTTGTACTCTCCTCTCCCCCCACCCTTTTGGTTTTGTTTCTTTCTTGACTATAACCTGATATGCTATCTCTATTGGAAATATGCAAGACTGCAGTATCTACAGTCTTTATATATTTCCCCATATATCTTGATCTCTATTCTTTATCACAGTAGATACTGTAACAAACACCAGGTTAGTGTAAAATCCAAATCCCTGTGTGTATCTTTATCACTAACAAGCAGAGGGAAAATAATTGAATGTGGATGAAACTGGATTCGTAGACTTTGGTAAATAGCCAAAATATATTTTCTTCTCAGTTTATAAGTAGGCTGATTCGAAGTCCCAGCCAAGGTTTCTACATGCACCTGACATGTTGCACTCTTTCTCAGTCCTCCAAGCACACTGCAATGGTGGATAAATCCAATACATTTGGAGAGATGACTCCATGCTGCAGCGGATGGTGCAAACTTCCATGGCTGAGCTGCTTTATTTCATTATGTTCTCCTACCTATTCTAGAAGCCCTTTGGATGGGCTCCAGATGTTCTATAAAAGGTGGCCCTTTTTTAAAGAAAAGCGCTTCATTCTCTTGTTGGCAGCACTTAATGAGTGTGTTCTCTGAAGATAGGAAAGCACCCTGCAGAGGATACATTTAACACAACACTATAATTTCCGCAATGCTCACTAAGTGTCTGACTTTACAACTGCCCCTTTGGCTTCTCAAGTGCCAGAGGCAGTAACGGGGTCAGTTAGAGAGCTTCCTGCAATACTTGGGAATCCACTCTCTGAGACCCGTGGAGTTAAATATCAGGAGAAAATTCACCCTTGGTTTTTTTTTTAATTCATTTAACCATTGCGCTCGGCAAAATGCTATTTCCAATTTTGCGCTCTATTAAAACATTGCAGTTGATAATATCACTGTAATTTTTGCAGTTTCCCCCCCCACACCTCACCCATCCAACAAAGAAAGGAGATGGCTGAAAATGTATGTTAAGTGAAAACATAATATTATACCCTCTTTTCCTTTTGCAAAGTGTGGTGAAACAGATTCATTAGTTTTGACTAAATACAAGGTTTTCATGAGGATTTTGGATAGGTGACATGACAATGTTGATACGTGTACTCAAGACAATGGAGGTTAAAACTGTTTGGAAAATATATTTCTCTAATATATCTTGGGTGTTGGAAAGTTACAGAATAAATATATGGTAGATCTTTCTCCATATAAGAAAGGAATTTTCAAAGCAAGTACATCCTTTCATGAAACACCTTTTGTGCCATGATGAACTAGTCCACAAAAGAAATTTTATTTTTTGGTTTAATAAGAGAAATGTATAATACTGATATGTCAATATGTTTTTCAATAAACTTTTCCCCAGATTTTCTTGAATTCTCTTCAGTGTGAGAATTATAATTATATGTCTTCCTCCCACTTGGAAAGTGGCACAAGGTGCTCATTTGCAGAGTTCTGCCGTTCAAGTCGCTAGAATAGAAATGTCATGACTCAGTTAACAATGCTTTATTATTCACATTGATCTTTTTTTATAGTGTTCTTTATCTCAAAAACATTGTAAATCAGATATCTACCTCCCACTCTTTTGTTCATTTGCAAATTTCTATTATTCTAGTTTAAGAAAGCAACGGTGTGTCAAGAGTCAGTGTATACTGTTTATATTCTCCCTGCTTCAAAATCCTTTTCTCTGTAAAAGTGAAGATGCTAGAAGCATGCCTAATTCCAAGTTCTCTAAACACATTCACAAGAAACACTGTTTCCCTTCTAGATCAAAAGCAGTTTAGTGTTTCTTGAACACCCCCAAAATGAAACAATAAAGTAGAACGATAGTTTGGTGATAAGAACAAAAACACTTAAGATTTATGTCTTTTAAAAAAATGTCATTTGTCAGTTAAAGATACATGGTGGTGCCATTGTTGAAATAATGTTATAATGAGCTTTGTTTAGACAAACGTTGCTAGTGGAAAGAGTTCTGGCCTCTGAGGGCTTAAGAATTATGTTATCAAATCTTTGTTCCCTCGCCATCTACCAAGTGGTCTTTTGATGATGCTTACGTCATTAACAATGTAGACAGGATGAGACATATTGCCTTAATTTTTCAATTCCTCTCTATATTGAAGAATATGGTAGGCATTTTCCAGGATGGATTAATCAACATTCACTTAAAAAAAATAAAAGACAACAGTGGATCACATCCCTCAGAAAACACATACAACATCCCCACCTAATAGATAAATTTGAAGGAGGACAGTAATCAGCATTTCCTTCACTCATTCGATAAACATTTATGAATCTTCATAAAGTGCCAGGCAATATACTAGCTGCTGGTAGATAATACAAAGATGAGTAAGACCTGGCCTCTGCTTTCGGAATTTGCTCTTCAATGTGTGAGAGGCACTCAGGTCATTTTAATAGCATGTGATGAGACGTATAACAGAGGCACACACACAGCTTTGTGGATGCAAAGCCCAGGAATTTCCTATTCTGTTGGGTATAATATGCAGAAGGGTGTCTCAGTGAAATTTTCACTGGATCTTTAAAAATTAGTGTTCAAGGCTGGGCGCAGTGGCTCACGCCTGTAATCCCAACACTTTGGGAGGCTGAGGCATGTGGATTACCTGAGGTCAGGAGTTCGAGACCAGCCTTGCCAACATGGTGAAATCCTGTCTCTATTAAAAATACAAAAATTAGCCAGGCATGGTGGCGGGTGCCTGTAATCCCAGCTTCTCGGGAGGCTGAGGCAGGAGAATTGCTTGAGCCTGGGAAGCGGAGGTTGCAGTGAGCCGATATCGTGCCACTCCACTCCAGCCTGGGCAACAGAGAGAGACTCTGTCTTAAAAAAAAAAAAAAAAAAATAGTGTGCAATTTCCAGGTGGCAATTAAAAACAAGATATTCTGAAGAGAAGACAAAGTTTGTAGAATATGGAAGTGTAAAAAAAATAGTGCTTAGCAGAGCATGGTAAGAAGTGGGATGGAAAAGGAGAGAAGAGGGACTGGTGGGAATTCTGATGAAGCTTTTGATCTTTACCCATAGATTTTTTATTTTAGCCTATAGACAATGGAGAGGCACTGGAGCAGTGGCTCTTGATTGACAGGGGATGGACCTCGAAAAAATACATGCATCTTTTTCCTGGGAAAATATACCATATGCAGACATATGATATAGATTCCTTTGATCCCCAGCACACAAATTATATCCAAGTTCCCTTAACTCCTGTGTAAGATACTTGAAATACAGGTTAAAGCAGGACTACAACAAGATCATATTTTTGTCTTAGAAATGCCATGATGGAGGATGAATTAGAAAGGAAATAGACTGGATTATAGTTGTTCTTATCTCACTGTTCTTTTTAAAATTAATCTCTAAACCTATTATAGTCTCCTCCTTATACTATATTTTCCTGGAGAACTGTGATAACAGTCTCTCTAGTTTGTTTTTGTTTTTTCCATACCACTTCTTACTCAAGAGATGAGAATATGTCAAGAAAACAATGTGATTCAAAATATCAAGTTCTGCAAAGAAGGCAAGTATACTTTGGCAGGAAAAACAGACCACTGACTTTGGCAATATGGAGGTCATTGGAGACTTTTGCTAGAACAATTTCGATAGAGGGACAAGGCTAGAAGACAAAGTGAGTGGGCTGAATGAAGGAAACCAAAAATAAGAAAGTGAAAAGTTGAACATAGATTACTCTTTCAAAAGGTATTAGGTTTTTGCCATTGAAACCGCAATTACTTTTGCACCAACCTAATAATACTACTTAACAATTTCTACAGGCTTTTGAGATGCCAGATAGTGTTCTGAGGCTTTCAATGAATAAGCTCTGATAATTCTCCCAATAACTCCGTGGGATAAGCACTACTACCCTCCATGTTTTACAAATGAGGAGGCTGAGGCACAGAAAGGTAATACAAACTGTGAATTATAAATGCAGATAGTAGTAAGCGGCAGAGCTGGGATTTGAATACAGGAAGTCTGGTTCCAGAAAAGAGCATGAGCTTTTAACTACCATGGTGCACTGCTTCTGCTAAAGCAAACTTAATAGGTGAATAGTATAACATTCATAGTAAGTATAATATAATAAATAATATTGATAATATAGTAGTATAATAGTAATATAATAAGCAATATAAATAATATCCAACAGAGAATCTTAATGATATCAGATTGAATAGGTCACTACTACTGTTAAAATAACATGTACTAAATAGTTCAACATTTAAAAGTGAAGAAGGTGGTAAGAGTTGTCTTTACTGTCCTTAATTTTTAGAGGTTTTAGTATCAAGAAAGGCATTTTACAGCTAATATCCACTATGCTATCTACTAAAACATTGCAAGCATGCCAAGATGCTGAAGAAAACATAACACTATATTATATATTTTATGTTTCACTAGAATGGAAAATATTAACCAAAAAATCTTTTCTTTAATCAAAGTTTCATTTGACAAGTAATTCATCTTCAGGATAGCTTTTCTTTCCTCTCAGAAGGAATTGTTGTCTTATGACTGACGTTAGGCTGCCAAAAAAAAAATAATGCTTCACTGATAGAGATTCAGAAATAGACTCTGTATTTTAATATAGTACAGTTTTGGGAGAAGGACCCCTGTTATAGTTTTTCTAAGTTCTTTGTTTGTTTGTTTGTTTTCTAATGTCTAGATTAAGTAAATGAAAGGAAAATATTTCAGAGTCGACTTACTGGAACCTGATGAAACATTTAAGTTTTCTTACTTTTTTTTTTTTTTTAGTGTGGGGCTAAATGTTAAAAATTGAAAACAAAATAACAGTTTTACATTTGATGAAGGAAATGTATATTCTTCTCATTAATTTTTTCATGAATCTTTTTTTTTTTTTACTAACAACAGTCAAGTTTCATTTGCATTCTCCTTTTCTCTACCTATTAAGATGGATAGCTGGGTTATACCTCAAAATTCCTTAATTCCTTTAGCTAATGCTACCAAGTGTCTATTATGTGGCAGACTATGTAGTACGTGAGGAGAAACTCAGCTAAAAGGTGTGAGTTAGCTTTCAAATAGCTTCTAGTCCAAGAGCAGAGTCCAGTGAAGAAACACGGAGAATACCATGTAATAAATGCTACAACAGAGGCTAATGGGATACCAATGCAGGGCACCCCACTTAGCCTCCACAGCTAAAGAGGTCTTCCCAGAGAAGATGAACCAATAACTGAATTTTGAGGAAGAATAGAAAGGATGTACCCTCTCTTTTATCAAAAGCATAACACTTTTTGTAAACTTTACCACAATTTTTAGTTATCAGCATCTTACACATACAAGAAAAGAAAAGGTGTCAGAGGAGGAATGGTCAGGAAGCAAGAGAAAATTCCAGAGATAGCCAAGGAGGGTGAGTGTGTGAAAGAATTTAGTGGGCAACCATGTCAGTGCCTATATTAGGAATATTCTGTATTCAGAATGATCCTTATTTGCATATGCTGGTATATCCGATCCTTCAAATATGGCTAAAGAAGATCATTTTAATTACCCTCTCTTTAGCTCATAAAGATTTATGTTGGTGACAGAGACTAGCTAGATGCTACATAGCAGAACTTGCTTCCTTTTTCTGGGCACACGGTTAAACTATATTTTTCTGGTTTTCTTGCATCTCAGCAGGACATAAAAATAGTTCTGGCTGAAGGGACATGGGCAGAAATGATGTAGCTCCCTTGCATGTTAGGCCTCTAAAATATATCACATGATTCTTCACGTTTTATTCTCTACTTATTGGCCAGCTGAAAACAGAAAATATGGTAGACAACTCTGATGAGCCCCTAAAAATGACAGAGCCACAAAATAGAAAAAGCCTGGATCCCTGAGTCACCACATGGTGGAAAGCAACCTAGGGATATCTATCTGCATTGAGATTTTGGTGGCCAAGAATTCACTTTTATTAAATTTGGATACTAAAATTTGGAGGTCAATATTTGAAACAGCTACTGTCAATCAGCCTAGCTAATAACATGTTAATTTGGGATACAACTTATATGTGAATTAATCAAGAATATTTTGGGGTATATATTATGGAATTATAATGATACAAATATTTAATATTTATTGAATTCTAAGATTTGTACAAAGTATAATATATTATTATCTAATTTTATCATATTAAAAGTGCTATGTCTTAGATGCTGTTGCTGCCATCCCCATTAAAATGGTTAAGAAATTGAGCTCAGGGAGTTGGAAATATTTACTTAAGTTTATAGAATTAAAAATGGTCAGGCCGAAATTGAAATCCATGCTATCAGACACAAGAGCCATCCATTTAACAGCACATTGTCTCTTACTGGTAGATACCATAATTTACATTGGACAGTGAATGCCCTTTTAAGAAAGTAAACATAGTTTAACACCACCCAATGCAGTTCCCTTCATTCTGTAGACAAACATAGGAGATTCATTTCACTGCAACGAAATTTCACTGCATAGCAATAGAAATTTTTTTCACCAGGATATCCTTTCATAAAAATCTGTGTATATTTGAGGGCTGGTGTCAAACGCTTATTTTTTGACCACTAGAACTTTTACTTGGATCTCAAAACCTCTATGAAATTATTGTTACATTAGACAAATTCGAGATGAATCATATATATATATATACAGTTTTGCAATCCTAGCCTAATAGATGTTTGAATAATGGAACTCTCTCTTGAAATTACTGGCAGAAGTTGTCTACTTATTGTTTATTATTTAAAAACTGGTTTAATTTAACAACAACAAAAAAAGTTGAGCTGCAATGACAGCAAACGGTAATTTGATAATCAATTCTAGGTTTCTTTGGTGGATTCCTCTGTAAGTGGTGGTTTGTCTGTGGAAGAATTCATCCCATGCCTTCACCCTCCTTGAGTTTTAAAGGCAATGCTTCATGGTGAGACCAAGGTCCAAATACGTCTTCAAATCTCAGGATGTTCATGCCCATGCCACACCTGCTGTGTTACTATCTTCCTCCCAAGTCAGAAAAGAGAATCTTAACAAACCCAGCTCTGTTGAAAAGGCAAACTTCCACTTTTCAATTTGGATGAAAAGACCACAACCTGATCCCATTTCGCAGTGATTCCCTGCTCCAGGATGCTGCACTGACCCTCCAGGGCCTAGCAGCCCTGGAACATCGTGTCTTACCATCGCTCTGCATTTGCAACAAATGCTTTTCTACCATTCCTGACATAACAGCTCTATTGTTATCAATTGTAAATGTATTAAAAACACACAAGGGCATTTTCGTACATGTACGTGAAAAATATTATTGCCTGACAGGCTCCAGTCAGCAAGTGCAAAGAGGTTTTATTGAAGGAAACAGCAGTGGCAAACAGCTAGCCATGCTCAAGGAAGGGAATAGTTCCTTTAACACTGGCGGCACACGTTCGCTTAAGACGACGCTCCTGCCCCTGCCTTTTCCACACCCAGAGGACCTGCTAGACAAGCAGCCCGCCATCTCTCTCTGGGATCAAGCTGTCAACGCAAACTTGCGTTTTTTCTCTTTTTCTGAGCTAAGCTCTACCCCCAGAGCTCCCGACGCCTTCCTGAGTGAAAGCTCTAAAAGAGCTCCCTTCTAAATTGCATCACACGTGCCGCGTACTCTTCAAACTGACAGAACAAAAGAGCCAAATTCCAAAATTCTGGTCTGAATGACTTGTTAGTTGTGCTGGATGATTACCCCTTAATGGGCTTGGAGAACAGGCTGGGGTGTCCTTCCCTGGTTAGTTACCAATTAAGGCTGATTTGCTTAATCAGGGAAACACGCTAAGGAGAGAGAGAGAAGGGAAGAAAGCCACACACGCAGAGAGACAGAGATACACGGAGAGAAGAAATGGGACAAGGAGAGAAGAAATGGGACAAAAGCCAGTCCCACGACTGCCCCCTTGCCCCTACTAATTAGGTGGCAATGAAATTACTTGGACCAGGAGTCACAAAAATAAATTCTCATCTGGAAGCTACTAAACAGGCCTGCTGTGATGTGTGCATGTGTGTGTGTGCATGTGTGTCTGTTTTTCCCTTCCAGAGCTGATGCTACACCAAATAACAGTCGTGTATTCTTGACAGTTGTTCAGTGTTGGGAGCCCCCAAAGCGTTATTGTCTGCTCCTTCCACCCTTCTTCCCCTTAGCCATTAATAAGCATATTCAACTGCTGAGGGTCACTTTGTTATTCTGACATAATGAACTGGGAGATGTGCTTTCCAAGTGCTGAGGCTGACACGGTGACACTGGCAGCGAGATGTTTTCACCTCGAGGTGCCCCAACCGTACACTCGACACACTTGGAAGAATAAATATTGATCTGCTCTGTGAGGGTGTGCACCATGTGAAATGTTAATGCTTTTCAACAGCTTTGGACACACCAAGTAGCTATTATTACTACTGTTATTATAAGGTAGAGAATCCCAGCAAGTGTCTCATCTTCAACCTTTATCCTCATGATCAGTGCACATGTGTCGAATGCCCACAATATTCACACCTCCACTCATGTGGCTGGACACAATGATGATGTTCCTATTTTTTTTTTTTTCTTGCGATGGAGTCTCGCTCTGTCGCCAGGCTGGAGTGCAGTGGCAATCTTGGCTCACTGCAACCTCCGACTCCCGGGTTCAAGTGATTCTCCTGCCTCAGTCTCCTGAGCAGCTGGGATTACAGGTGCCCGCCACCACGCCTGGCTATTTTTTGTATTTTTGATAGAGACGGGGTTTCACTGTGTGGGCCAGGATGGTCTCAATCTCCTGAGCTCGTGATCCGCCCGCCTCAGCCTCCCAAAGTGCTTAGGATGAAGACATCATTCCTGAAACCCCTCAACAAGAGAGGTAATTAGTCACAATAATAATGTAAATACGTATTGTTTTTACCAATAATAAATATTTATTCCATCACAGGGACTGACTTCTTACTGGGTTGGAGATTTTCTGTTTGTCTTCCCAGGGTGATTCTCTCCTTTGTACAGAAAGAAGGAAAAAAATCTTGCCATTTCTAAAATCATAAGTGCCTATGAAAGTTTGAAGCCCTATGCTAGGCGTGGGGGTTCACACCGGTAATCCCAGCACTTTGGAAGGCCAAGGGAGGCAGATCGCTTGAGGCCAGAAGTTCAAGACCAGCCTGGTTATCATGGTGAAATACAGTCTCTACTGAAAATACAAAAATTAGCCGGACATGGTGGCATGCGCCTGTGGTCTCAGCTAATTGGGAGGCTGAGGCACAAGAATCGCTTAAACCTGGGAGGCAGAGTTTGCAGTGAGCCAAGATCGCGCCACTGCATTCCAGCCTGGGCAACAGAGTCTCAGAGTTTGGGTACTAAAAGCGAGCTCTCCCAAAACCCTAGTGTAGGAAAGAGTCATAATTAAACTGCTCTGCAAAAGATAAAAGCTGAAATCTGTGGAGTGGGTGGCCCTGGTGATGTTTGAGGGAGATAGGAGTGCAGCAAGATGACAGGAGCAAGATTTCAGCGTGGAATAATGACCTGTGACAGTAAGCAAGTGACACAGTTCACAATACAGGTATCTAATATCTCATTTTAAATCACTTGCCAGCTGGCATTTTGATGATAAAGCTTCCCTTTTCGTTGTTTGCTGTTTAAAACCTTTTTATAGATTTAAGATATATTACATACAATAATTGACAAGGCTTTAAAGCATAACATTTGATGACTTTTGACATATGTGTGCACCAAGAAGCCATCCCCACAATCAAAACAACAAACATTTCCATCATACCCTCTGCCAGAGTTTCCCTATGTCCTTTTGTAATCCATGCATCCCTCTACTTCCTTCAGTAGGCAACCTGCGACCCATTCTTCTTACTACAGATTGACTCAACTTCTAAAATTTCATGTAAACTGAATCACTCAGTTTGTACCTTTTTTTGGTCAAGATTTCACACAGCATAATTATTTTGAAAGTTATTCAGATTGTTGCATATCTAAACAATTTTTTTTAGCTGAGTAATATTTAGTTGCATGAATATACCTTAATTCAGTTTATCTATCCACCCAATTGAAGGATATTTGTATTGTTTTCAGTTGTTGGCTGTTGCAAATAAAGCTGCTATGAAAATTCCCGTGCAAGTTTTTGTGTGGATATTTCTCTTGGCTAAAACTCTAGGAGTAAAATGCTGAGTCATGTGATAGGTGTGTGCCTTGCCCATTGTTTTCTCATTTTTGACAAACTTTAATAAAATTCTGATACACACATTAAGAATAAAAAGACTGGAGTCATATCTAATGAGACCCAGAAATATCTGAGTGGGATGTGGACAACTACTTACAATGAATGACTTAGGATTGGGTATGAGACAATTCCACTTTTCAAGTATTCTAGACACTTAGAGGGCTGGGTTGACACCTAAAAAATACATTTGTTTATTTTTTAAGCTATTTAGTCAACTCATGTTTATTGAACATCTACTATATGCTAGGCACTCTGATGAGGTTTGGGATAAAAAGCAAACAGTACTGATAAAATTCCAGTGCTAGGCTAGGCACAGTGGCTCATGCCTGTAATCCTAGCACTTTGGGAAGCTGAGGTAGGTGGATTTCTTGAGCCCAGGAGTTTGAGACCAGCCTGGGCAACATAACAAAACCCCATCTCTACAAAAAATAGAATAATCAGCCAGGCATGGTGGCATGCACCTGTAGTCCCAGAGGCTGAGGTGGGAGGATCACTTGAGCTTGGGAAGTCGAGGCTGCAGTGAGCCATGACTATGCCACTGTACTCCAGCCTGGGTGACCAAGTGAGACCCTGGCTCAAAAAAAAAAAAAAAAGTTTCTGGTGCTTAATAGAGCTATGGTCACAAGTAATGGACACACATACATCTACTTTGCAGCAATTTGAAATCTTTGTGATCTACTCACAGACCAACTTTTCTATTTCGTCCCTCACTTCTTCCTTGCTTCGTTTTAAGCAAATTAATTTTTTAATTGGTGCTGCTTAAGATGTCATCACATGGAATGCCTCCTCTTCTTCTCACTTATTCAAATCTTGCCTGTCACTTTTTAAACGCTGCCTTGGACATCTTCAGCCTGAAGAAACCTCACGGTTTCCTGATTTATTTGGTCTGGAGTGCAGTCTGGGCATCACGATTTTTAGCAACTGTGAAGATGATTCTAATGTGTAGCCAGGCTTGAGAACCTCTGCCCCAAAGAGATTTTATCAGTACGGTTTCCTATGATTGCACTTTGCTGCAGAATGTCCTTGTTCCTTTATGTTTTTTTCCAACCTCTATTGGAGAAGAAGGGGCCCTCTGTCTTTTAAAGGTGAACCTTTGCATGAGGGGTTTACATCCCTATCTCTTTTACCATCCACAAAAGATGTGTCTTCATCAACCGTCGTTCTCTTTCCTTGCATCTTCAGTCTTACTCTACTGACTGCTTCCTCCCTCTGGATGCATTCTTAGGTGTACTAGAGACTATAAATCCTTTGTGCACTATTTTTTCCATCTTCAAATTCCTCTGGGTAGTCCTTAATACATACTATTTCATCACCCACTCACTCCTTAATCCCTCACAATTGGCTTCCGTCTCCTCGCAAATTAAACTGACCTTTCAAAGCTCATGTGATAATACATGCTAGGTGCTTAATAAATAATTGTTGAATGAATGTTAAACACATGAATACATGGCTCTAATCACCAAATCAATGATCTGTAATCAGTTTCCATCCTTGACACATGGTCAGTCAGGCTCACGGCTCTGTCCTTGTCTTCTTTAATGTAGAATCCTGGTTTTTCTCCTCTTTTAGAGGTTTCTCTATGACCCCTTTGCTGACCACTCTTGAATATGTTAGTCTGCACAATGTGTAAGGGTTCTGGTGGCAGACAAAGTTGGCATTCAAATCAGGCCATTGATAATTTATTGCTGTATGACTTAGGACAAATTATCCCTTGTCACTAAGCCTCATTTCTTTATCTATAGAAAAGAAATAATTATAGCATTGTTTCAAAGGTTGATGTGCTACTTAAATGCCACAGCAAAGACAATACATGTTCATTAAATGTTCATATTAGTGGTTCAATGGACGTAAGCTTCCTATGGGCAGTCACCACGCCATTTTTCCCACCATCATGATTCTGTCTTCAAAACCTGCACAGGATTTGTCACAAGGTGCTTGAAAAAATACTAGCAGCGAATGAATGAGCAAATGCATCATTCTACTTCTCTTAATGAATAATCTTTCCCACGACCTTGGCTTTAGCTCTCTTCACTCTTTCCCTTGCTAACCTAACTTATTCTCTAATGACCTGTTGACCTTATTCATTCTTCAACTCTCTCCTTCGCATAGATGACTGCTAAATCCAAACTAAAATCGACTTGGCCCCTTGTGATCTACAGATCCAGATGTGTTGTCTTTTAGACACTTCCCAAAATAACTTTTCCAGAGACATCACTTTGAGACTTTAAACTCCCTGCACTTAAAAAAGAATGATTATCTCCCCTTAATCCATATTGTTCACTCATATATATTCACTTCTTGTATATTTTATGTATTTTATTATACATTTATATTTGGAATGGCCTCTAAAGAGTTCTACCTGCCTATTTGTTTATTAGCCTTAAGATATTCCCACTTGCAACATGTTCTTCTTACTAATGTGTAAGCCTTCATGTATTAGCAACCTCCACATTGACAACCAAAAATAATGATAATATTAATTTTTTAAAGTCCATACTCCTTTTGGGGCCTGTAAATTGACCCTTATTTTACTAGAAAACTTTTTTTTTCTGAGACAGGGTCTCACTCTGTCACCCAGGCTGGAGTGCAGCGGCACAATCATGGCTCGCTGCAGTCTCAACCTCCCAGGTCCAAGCAATCCTCCTGCCTCAGCCTCGTGAGTAGCTGGGACCACTGGTGCATGCCACCATGGCTGGCTAATTAAAACTTTTTTTGTAGGAATGGGGTCTTTGTATGTTGCCCAGGCTGGTCTCAAAGTCCTGGCCTCAAGTGATTCTCCCTGCCTCAGCCTCCCAAGGTGTTAGGATTTCAGGTAACAGCCACTGCGCCTAGCAGAAAACCTTTATTTATGTAAAAAATATTTCTTTATTAAGCAAGTCACATGTAGGTAAGTTTCTATTGTGAAAAATCATAGCTTAAGCAACACAGATGTGTCAATGTCAAGGCAACATCTCCACTTCATTACTGCAGCTTGCCCCATTCTCACTGCTCTTTGACAAATTTATTTGGTTCCGTATTATCAGTTTGGGATAAAGCTTTTCCAGATCTTTTGCATTCATTCTCGAACATTTGCATATCTGGTTTTTACTTAATGTAAAGGGGGCCAAGCTGTATTTATTAATGGGAAGCTATATTTTTCCCTTTGTTAGTATATCCTGGAGGTGTGCTCATTTAGATCTTCCTCATCCTAAAGAATTACTGCATCATATTCTCCAGTGCGGATACACCACAATATAGACAGACCTCTATTAATGAATGCTTAAACACTACCTTGCTATGTTTATTTCCCATCCCTCTCATATGTGTGATCTTTTAACCAAATAAAAAAGCCCATTTCAGACTTTTCTATCTTGACCTCTTTGTGCATGCCTTTCTTTTCCGATTCCTTTCAGTGAAACGTCTGCTTATCCTCCAAAACTCAGCTCAAATGTTAACTCCATGTTCTGTCCATCATGCTATGCTAAAATTGATGTCTTACACCTCTTACTCTTCTTCTTCAATCATTCAAGGACAGGCTCTAATGTTTTTATACTCCCACAGAGCTAAACCTAGTGTCCTACATATAGTAAACTTGGAATCCATGTATTGCCTAAATAGGGAAAAGATTGTTAACCTTTTGTTATCTAACATGTATACACACACAGATTATAAGCAACTCCAAGGTGAAACATACCTCAATGGGCTTTGAATAATGTGCATGTGTTATGATTTGTATGCCGGTGCCATGGCAGCCATATTGTGGGCATGGACAAAGGCAGAGTATTTTTCCTTAAATATTGCACTGAAAGTGCCCCTTAATCACTATAGGAAGCTACCACAAAGAAAGGAGGATGAACTTACCAGGATCTCCAAGAGGATTTAGAATTGAGGTGGATAATCCTAAAAGAGAAGGGAAAAGAAACTAATTGAGTGGTATCTTTTTTTTTTTTTTTTTTTTTTTTTTGCCTGTCCAGGATCCCTTTTTCAGGAAAGAGAACTGTACTTTATAGTGACGAACCTATTCTTTATACCTTGAGTGGAAATGGCTTGCCCTGTCCTGCTCCTCACACAGACATATGATAGCCAGAGTCCTCTATCTCCTAGCCACAGCAGCTTGTTCTAGGATGCTTGTGAGACTCGCATAGCACCAATCCAGGCGTTCCCTGACACTTGAAATTAGCATACTGGGAGTAACAGTTCTCTCCTTCTATGTAAGGTGTAAACACTATTTGGGCTTTGGGTAGACAGAGCCATTTTTCTGCCATGTGTAAAAAGTCTATCTGAGGCTGGGCATCGTGGCTCACACCTGTAACTCCAACATTTTGGGGAGGCTGAGGCAAGAGGATCATTTGAGCCCAGGAGTTCAAGACTAGCCTGGCAACATGTAGAAATCCCATCTCTACAAAATAAATAAATAAATAATTAGCCAGGTATGGTGATGCATGCCTGTGGTCTCAGCTACTTGGAAAGCAGATGTAGGAGATCTATTAAGCCTGGGTGGTGAAGGCTGCAATGAGCCATGATCACACCACTGTACTCCAGCCTGGATGAGAGTGAGCACTTGTCTCAAAAAAGAAAAAAAAAAGTCTCTCTGAGAATAAACCCCCAAAAGGGGGCCAAGAAAAGAAAGTAAAGGCAGGGCACTTTAGCCACAGGGACAAATTCCAAATGTATTGTTTGGGTCCCCATATTTAGTTGCTCCTGAAGCTTGTCTCCATCTGGACATCCTAGATATGTGAGTCTACAAATTCCCTCTTTATCTAAACTGGTTAGGTTTCTATGACCTGTAATGGAAAGAGACTCACAGAATTGCATAGGAGGTTTAATTAATTTTATATATTTCTTCTGACTCTATTTTCTTCCCATCTCTTTTTAGAGGATGCATGCTGATTAAATTCTCTAAATCTAATTGTTTAATCTCTGCTTTCTAACTCCTAAAATATTCACAGAGTGGAAATGTTTAATTTTGTGAAGGTATGCCAAAAATGATCTACAAAAATGGCTTAAAATTGGAGGCTGAATCTTATGCTAAAATGAATGGAAAAGAATAAAGAAACTGAGATGTGGTTTCTGCTGAACTGGTCTTTCATCAGTTCTATTCAATTTGCAATAGTGAAAAGTGGGGCTAGGAATTTACGTATGTTATGTTGAGTACGTACTCAGTTCAACTATGTCATGAAATTTACCTGTATCTTGTAGATATTGTTATCTTGATTTCAAAGATTGTTTTAAAAAATCAAATGGTTTTCACAGTTTCTTTCTTGCCCAAGGTCCAAGTCTTACCCTAGCTATTAGGTATAGAAATGGAAGATTAGACCCCAGCTGTCTGAGTTCTCAACGCTTCTCCACCATTCAGGATGTTATGCAATTAGGTTGGAGATTGACTCTGTTCCCAAAGAGAACATTTCCAACTTTAGTCAACTGTCTTGAAGTTCATGGTTTGATCATTATTGTTTTGGAGGAAAACAAAGCCAATCACTTTCTAGGGAGTACATTACTATAAAGAGAGTATAAAATTTGAATTTAGAGACACATAAATTCCAGCTTCATTTTCACTAAAGAGCTCTGTGATTCTGAAGCTTAACATTTCTAGACCTCAGTTTCCTCTTTGGTCAAACAAAGGGAATGAGGGCCGATCATCTCTCAAGTCTATTTCATCATTTCTCTCCTGGTAAGTGCTTCCCCAGAGCCCTGTATTTTTCCTGTAGGAGATCATATCGCCCTATGTTATGATTATATGCTAAATACAGTGACGTCTCGTTCAACTCAGTGTTTCCCAATAGTGAGTCCAGCGTCTGGCAGATAGATCATCAGTGAATATTTGTTGAATAAATAAATGAGACAATTAAGTCTATTTACTCTTGCGGACAAAATATTACTTTGTGTGTGTGTGTGTGTTGTATTTCTTTCACTGACCAAAGTAGTAAGCTTTGAAATTGAAGAAAATACCTAATATTCTAATTTTGCTGATGAGAAGTAAAAATAGGTTAATGATAGTTTTGAGTGCTTCAATGCTCAATACATCAGTATGGATTTTACACAGGACATTTCTTTAACTAGAAGCCCAAGATAAGCAAGGACTTAATGTAAATTTTTAAAATAAGAGACGTATTTTAAAGTGTAAAATGGCCATTTTAGATAACCATTGTAATTCAAATTTTAAGGCTTGGTAACAGAGCCATCCTGGTGAACTTTCTATGTGAAAAAAGTTTCCTTAATCAGCTTTTCCTATATTATCTCATCTTGGGGAAAAAAAACAGTAGCTAAGCCAGAAACAAGCAGAATAACCAATTACTTTTTTTTTTTAATCTCTCCACTTGTGTTTGTGAAGTAGAAGTGAGCTATGTGGTTTTTTGTCTTTGTTTAGACATTGGACAATAAAAATCATAAGAACATATATTTTTGACACACTATTTTTTGGTGTTCTTTGGAAGTTGGACCCTAACTAAAAAATATGTGTTTCCTAGCCCTTCTTACTGTGAAAATCCTTGGCAATATAAACAGATGCACTGGTTGGCTTTTAATTCTGACACCAGACTGTCTGAAATAATAGCTCTAAGAAAGTGTGAATTCTTTCATTCCTTCAGCGTCAATTATAAGTACTTAATTTGTTTATCTTTCTATTGCTGACTATAGTACCAATCTGGTTTATTTTTCACCTGGCTAAACATGGTGCATTTCAGAAACCCCTAGTTTATTCTGCACGAGAAGACAGAAGCAAGCCACAAGTCTGAGTTATTTTCATACACCGGGGCACATCACTGTAATTTAATAATTAAGATATTAAGTGGTGTTCTGAAAAATTCAGTAATATAGGCCCATAAGATGACAGAATTAGGGTACTTGATAAGCAGTATGAAAACACTGAATATTTCTTATAAAAGTTGATTCATCATTTGATAAATGAGCCAAGTTAATAGCTTACTAGCTCATCTTGGCCTTTCACAGTCAAGGATATTCATTTTTTCGTGTCCACCCATTTTTACACCTTGTAACCAATTTACTGTCACAGTGTTTTTAGCCTGTGATGTGACTGCGGTGACACTGACTTCTGTGACTTCTGTTCATGGATGGAGTACCATAAATGACATACGGGCTGATAAATTTATCAGTTCCTGGGAGTTGAGATATTTTGGAAGAATTGCTAGAACGGTTCCTCATAAATATTGTCATATTTCTACTTTAAAACTCCACTCTTTAGAGGTGTGTCTTTATATACTGGAGGCAAACATAAAATCAAAAGGCAAATTATTGCTGGAACTCATGATAAACATGATGAAGAATGTGCTATGCTTCTCCAATTGTTTTCTTTCAAAGTCTGTCTTTGTATATGCATTCATATTTTGAGATGTTTTCACCAGTCATTTTGGTGACTAACACTAAAAAAGTTTATATCTCATTTGTAAATATGATGAAAAGAATTATTAGGGCTAAAATGTAATGGGAGGTATGGTAGGAATTGTTAAGCCCTTTATTTTTATTATCACACTTGAATCCTCATAACATTGCTAAAGGTATTCTTGTTAGTATTTTTCTCATTTTAGAGGTAAGGAAGTTGAAATTTAATGATACTAAGTACCTGACCCAAGTTCACAGACTCAGAAAGTGGTGGAAGCAAATACTTTAACCAAATAGGGCCAGAGTGTTCAATCATGTCCTGCTGTTCCTAAACATTGCGGCTACTAAGGCGTCTAATGTCTCACACACATGAGTCCATTTAATCCTTCCTAAAAACCATTAATGTTGAAAATATTATACCTATTTTACAAATGGAGAAACTGAAACTCTGATGAAGTGATTTGCTCAAGCTCACACAGTGTGTAAGTAGTAGAGATGGGCTTAGAACGAAGGTTTGCCTGAGTCCAATAACCTGTGCTCAAAAGTTTCATTCTAAACTGTATAATAACATTTGTTTAGGCCCTTAGAGTTTATTATCTAATCCTAGTAGGTGGCACCAACACAGTTCTTCTGTGTGCAACGGCTGACTACACTATCTTTGATGCCAGAAAGACTAGAGACAATTTCCTCGTAAGGGTAAGGGCCAATGATGTGTACTGCTATTGTGACATATGTATAATAGGGATGAAAAGGAGTCTTGGAGGATATGTATTTCTACTGGTAAAAGCAGAGGCTGGGGATTGGGCTTCTGGAGTATCTTTCCAACCTTTTTTATATGACACATCATTTCATTCATATGCCTCCAATTAATCTCCCCTAAAATCAAGTTGGCTCTGATAACATCTCTTTGGAAATGGTGGGAAAAACACATAGTGACATCCTCTTGATCTTTTTGCAAAAACACAGCTATGATTTTGTCAGTTTTTAAACTTTTTTCCCATTTGTGGAAAATTTCTTTTTGTAGAATTAGATAATTATAATTGAGAATATGAAATCTCAGTGGCCCATAGGTCCCATGACCATCCTTTGGGGCAGTTACTTGGACAAGCATGATAGCTTCTAAGTTGTTTCCTGTTGTTCTTGGCCTCATTGCAATCCTTTCCAAAACTTCCCTCCTTCTCTGCTGCATTAGTAATGCAAAATGAAATTCATTGTGCCCATTATATCTGTTAAATGGTTTCCATTTTAACTTGAGAAAAATGTATTGACGTTCATGTGTTTGGCATGAAAAATGTGTATATCTATCGAAGATAGCAACTTGTCTGGTGGAATTACAGTGCATTATGTATAATGCTGCTTTTAGCTGTGCATGTACATTTCCTGGAATCTTATTGTGTCAGAGCTTGGAAAGTTTACACAAGCATTGGTAATCTAATTTTTGTCTGGTGGGTGGCTGTGGAAATATGGAGTATTTGAAAAAGCAAATGTCTTGGCCATCTGTGCCAGGGAGGGGTTTGGTGGCAGGGGTGTCTAGGCAGGTGGGTAAAAAACAACCATCAAAAAAAGACTTTAAAAAAATTGCCCCAGGCCTAACCTAAATACTAATTTCCCAAGAGCAGAACGATATAACCGTTTTGTGACATGGGTTTTTAGCATATTTCTGGTTATTCTTTTTAGGAGTTCTAATTGTAAGGTGGAGGAATCTGTTTTATCTTTCTCCTGCCTCTTAATGATAATCCTTCTCTAGACTATATTGTTTCCTGTGCCTTTTGTCTTCTGCAGACAAGAGTCTTTGGCTCATGAACATCTTGTTAAGGTCTGTTGAGGATTGGGGGCTGTGACACAATTTTCTTGCTGAGTCTTTTTATTGGGGATTTTTCAGCTGGTTTGTCTTGGAGGCCTTTGAAATGTCTTCTATCAAGCAATAATTTTCATTTTTCTTTGTTTTCCTTAAAATTGGGGTTGTATTTGGCTCAACTGTTCCTGGGGTCTAGGTAATGAATTGTATTATTTAATAGGCCAGTGTGAAATTCTGTGTGCAGCAGCTGCACTGCTCTCTTTCTTTCAGAGTTGCTTAAATCCTACTCACTGCACTGCTGCTGAATGTGATGTAGTTTTCGTTTTTTGGCTTTAAGTGTATTTCAGCCACACATCTAAAGCAAGATTTCTTAATTTCTGCACTATCGTCATTTTGGACTGGAGAATTCTTTGTCGTGGGGGTGCTGTGCTATGCATTCTGGGTTGGGTGGCAGCGTCCCTAGCCTCTACCCACTCGATGCCAGCAGCACCTTCTCCAACGTCTCCAGGTATTCCTAACGTCCCCTGGGGAGTGAAATCACCCTCAGTTGGGCATCACTGATCTAAAGCAAGATTGAAAGACAAGGCTGGCATGATGTAAAGGAATTTCCATAAAAAGCACTGAACTCAAGCAATGCAATGACAATTCTGAGAGAGCTTTGTGTCTAGGAGGATATGTGGAGGAATTGTATCACACATCCCTGGAGAAAATACTGTAATAATTGTCTATAGTTTCCTAGAGTAAGTAACAGAGGAGGTAAGGGTCACCTTTTAACTGCTTTGCTTCTGATCTGCTAATTATCTCCTCACCCTGTGATGCCTTTCATCTCCCCTCTACGCAACTTGACTCACATATGGAAGATTCTAATTCTTCACAGATTTTCCACCGTAACTACTTTCCTAGCCTAACCTCCCTGCTCTTCGGTTTCCCCCACTGGTTTTCTTTGGCTCAAATGGGAACAAGGTGCCCATTATTTCTTTAATCCACTTCACCACCTAATAATTGCTGAGGACCAATTTTAACAAGATGCTTCCTTACTCTGTAATGCACTCCAGTAAGGAACTAATGTTTACCGTGATGAGTATTCTCTGTTCTAACTGAAAAGCTGAAATGCTGCCGACCACTGCAGTGTAGACTTTTTCATGTTTAACATTTTCTCAATGCCTCTTTGAGTGAGTTACATCTATTATATTTAATGGCAGTCTTATGGGCCTGTCAAAAGGGCATTCTATTTGCTACTGAAATATCAATTAAAATAACATGTAAAGGAACGGAGTAATCAAGTGCATCTGATGATAATATCAAGATTATTTTTAATTTTTTAATGCTGTGAAAGCTGTGAGTAGGCTAACAAATCTATTTGATCAATATATGGGATGTAAAAAGAAGAAGAGACAAGATTGACTGGTGAATAAAATGAAACTGACACAAACAGGCTGACAGCCAGCTGTAAGTCTCTTTAGGGCAAATGCAATTAACTTAGAATAATAGACTCAAATTTGATGGTTAGAAATGCATTTTTATTAACAATCACAGGCTGAATCATTATGCTCTTATGAATAAAATGGTACTTATATTTTGTGCATGTGTGTGCACACATATATAAATACATACACATACGTCTCTATGTATATATCCATGCCTCTCACATTCCTATGTGCTCTGCTTACAATTTGGGTGGAAAAGTTGATTTTTAGAATAATGTACTTTAAAAAGGAAATTCATTCATAAATAGTCTTCAGGACTATAAATTCTGAATATTCCCCCAAATTATATATATAAAAATCATACTACTTATCTGGTGCTATTAGACATAAAGCCAGTGAGCCCTGGTCCCAGAACTGCTGGTCCTTAGGGGATTTGGAATTGCAATCAGGGATTTACAGATTTCATTTTGAAGAGGAGAAGTCATTACTAGAAACCTAAGCTCATTTCCTCTCCTTTAATAGCTATTTTAAATCATTCATTTAGAAAATACATTAACTATTTAGGGTGCTTGCAATGCATTTCTCTTGGCGTTAAGTCTGCATTTTTAAAAGAGTTTTTTTCTAAAATTATTTCAAAAGAAGATGAGAATTAGAAAAAAACCAAATGAAATTTTGGTGATATAAAATTACTTTTGGATAACATTTTCCTCTCTCATTGCCTAAGAGAAAACAACTTAAAGCTTTAACAAAATATTAGAATATTAACACACTCTTAATGTTTTAATGCTAGTATAGATTTAAAAAGTACATGATTCTTGGAAAATCACAAACTTGACTTTGAATATGATTAAGAAATAGCATATGGTCGATGGCCTCTTTAAATGACTTTGTTAATAACTTAAATAGAAAGCAGTTTTAATTCTGTACTACTTACTTAATATTGATGCCAACCTTAACTAGTAACTGGGTAATAAAGGGAAACGAGATTATAGTAAAAAATAAGTAACTTTAATTTCTACAAAGAAATCAGAATATGGATTCTTGCATAACGTTTTTGCAAACTGCTTTATATATATATATATATATATATATATATATATATATATATATACACATTCAAATGCAAAATAAAGCTCCCTGAGTTATGTAATTGCTATTCTTCAAAAGGACATCATGAAGGTTGACAATTTAAAATGTGCTCTTCCTGTCACCATCCAATTTTTTTGAATGTCTACTGATGGTGTTAAAAACAATCTCCGCAGAAGAGGGCTGCCATTGCCAATTTAGGACACTGGCTTTGTTATTAGCATAGGCATATTAGATCATCCTCTTGCTCTTCCTGCCTGCTTTGTTCTTTTGATATGGTAGGGAACTGAAATTGACAACAGCCTACATTTATATAACAATAACTTGCATTGTTAAATATATATATGTAGATAGACAGATAGAGAGTTCTTTTATTCCCAAAAGATATCAAAGTTCACTACACACCATAAAAAAAAACCCCACAGATATATGCAGATGCTTCTGGGATGAACCGTAGCAACTATTTAAAAGCATAAAGTATTGACAGCCGTAAGATTCTTGGAATAGTACATCACCATTTTTAATTTTTGATATTTTTATCTCCTTAGAAAATTTCTGTTTTGTTCACCAGGAGGAAAGGATAAAGGTCACACTTTGTTACTTGAGCAACATGTCAGAAACAGTTTGAACGTAAGCTGGAAAGAAACTGTCTAAGTCTAAATGCTTGAACAACACTGCTGTTGTAAACACAAGACCAAGTAGGCTGCTTGGTATCTCATCATTGTTCAATCCACTGGTCCACTGAAACAACATAGAGTGAACTCAAAGTGGGGAGTTTGATCATTGGATGGGCATCACTATACATAGGGCTATCAGACTTATCAAACAGAAACACGAGATGCACAATTTAATTTGAATTTCAGTTAAATAATGAATCAGTTGTTAGTATAAGGATGTTCCATGAAATACGAGGAACATACTTGATAACTGAAACGTATTTAAGGGGTTGTTGACAACAACCTACATTTATATAGCAATACGTGGGACACAATACTAAAAAAAATTATGGGCACTCTATATTTAATCTGGCAATCCAAACTACGAAAGCAAGACTTTGTGTATTCTTTATAAAGTAGACTATCATTGGTATAAAAAACATTTTTAGAGGGAAAAAAACCCAATAGACCTTTATTTTTTGTCACCCTTAAAACAACCCTACCATCTTAAATATTTGTAAATATGTTTTCTTCTTCACAAAATAGAAATAATATTATATTTAGACATGACTCTTTTTTCAATAATTCGTAATTATAGGTTCTGGATGGAATATTCATGAACAATACAAGGCTCAGGGCATATCATAATAATCAGTGAGTGGTCGCCTATCTGTTTCCATGACTACCACGAAGGATAGTTATTTTTTTTTCTTTAGTTTATTTTCCTGAATGCCAATCATAGTACCAAGCGCATGGTAGAAGATCAATTCATGTTGCTTGAATGAATTTATTCTTGGCCATTGGATTGATTTTTCTCCTTTTTTCTAACTTTGGATGACTTCCCTGTGTTTTCAGACATAATGGTAGTTTTACCTCCATGGTTTTATTTCCATTTTGAGATATTCTTCAGCAGATGCAAGGTGAAATTTGACACCTTCCTATCAGTAAGTTATAGGCTGTGTTTCTCTGGCAGTATTTCTTACAAGGATGAAAACAGAGGAGTTCTGAATGGTTAATGCGGAGAGAGTTAGTGAATAATTTTTTTAAAGCCCACCAGGAAGGTTGTATAACAGAAAGTTAACTGTGCTCTTGAGCACTTCATATGTATTCTTTATCATATAATATATATTATCTATTATATGAATTAGTTGAAAATTTTCTAGAGGAGTTTAAACATATAGGATTTTTCTATATTATACCAATTTTTTGATCACATATCAATGCCACAACTCAATTCTATTAGAATTTTAATATATAACATTATATCTCTTTTAATCTTCAGAATTTATGACTCTAATAGCACAAGGTAACTATTTTTATCCCAATCATCATTATCATTGGTTTTGTTTCTACTGTATACATGCTATGAGCATTTGCCAATGCAATATAAAGCAAGTGGGACCAAGGTAAAAAAAGAGAGTGAGACAGAGCCTAAAGGAAGATTCAAGGTTTCAAACACACAAAATAGGGTTATGGTCATTAAAAAAAATAGATATAAAAATATTCATGAAGCACTAAAATAATATCATAAGTTATTTTTTATAAGTTTCTGTTTTCTGTAGTAAAGAGATGTGTATTCTTTTAGATGAGATCAATCATTACATTCACAAATAAAGTAGAATTTAATGCTACAATGATCAAAATAAAAGTCT
Organism: Homo sapiens; assembly: GCF_000001405.40. Lineage (NCBI taxonomy): Eukaryota > Metazoa > Chordata > Mammalia > Primates > Hominidae > Homo > Homo sapiens. The sequence continues at coordinate 70,247,999 of NC_000003.12, forward strand.
AAACAGGTCAATTCGATCCATCTTTGTAGTATTTGAAGGGTAGGAAGGAGAATGGTAAAGGAGATAGGCTAACATTTATTGAGTATGTATTAAATTCAGACACTGTGCTAGACAATGAGAGTAATGAACCATATTATTCTCTGTCCTGAAGTCTCTGACTCACAGTCTAATAGGACAGAAACATGAGTAAGTAAATAATTGCAAAGCATTGTAGTTATGTGCTATAAAAACATAGTATATTGTATAGATATGATCTTACGTAGAATATTATCAACTTTCTAAATAGATTGCAGGAATGTCTTCACTGGAGAAATAATGTTCCACCTCTGAAGGAGTTTATAAATGGAGAAAAAATTTTGAAAAGCATGTTATATTGAGAGCAAAATTGCCAAAAAGTGTTGGGTTATGAAGCAGAATTAGAAGCACACTGGTTTGAACTGGAGTGTAGGGTTCAGGGTAGAAAGAATGCCAGGAAATGGAACTTGAAAAGTAGGCATAGCTCAGAACTTGGAGGCTCATATATTAAACAAAGGAGAATTTAAAACAGGGAAAATACATAGTCAAATTTAGAAAGAGAATGTTGGCAGCAGATTGGAAGGGACAAGATTGGATTAGAAGAGCAATATTTAGGCTTTTACAATCAACAGTAAAGACAGGAGTTAATTAAAGCTTAAACAAGATGTTAATTTGCCATTGGAAATGGACAGAATAACCAGATTCAAGAGTTAGTGAACAAAAGAACTCAACAGCTCAACATATTGGAAAATGGTGATTAACCTGGTTAATATAAAACAAGATAGTATTGAGTAGGCTACCATGTGTGATATGTTTGCCAGTGGTGGCCTACATGACTCAATTGAAAGGAAATCAATTGAAAGGACTCACTGGATGGTAAATCTACTTACCAGGAAATGGGCTAAGAAGCTTTAAGACATTATTCCAATTGACAACTTCACTGTCATTTTATTTCCTAGGGAGTTCTATCCCATTCGGCTAAAGAATTGGAAGCTCAGAGATATTATCGTAAGTTCACAGTGCTAGGAAATGAGGAAGTGGAGGTCCCTACTCAAGTCCTTCTAACCACAAAGTCCCTGATCTTTTCTTTAAGGTGTGCTTCCTGAGGTTGACTTCAGATCGATGTGGATGTACACTTGGACCAAGTTCTACATTAGGAACACTTTAAGTGATTGATCTAGAGGTATGAAGTGAATCAAGAGCTTTGTGTCCTTAATATTTACTAACCGGTTTGAAGGGACAGAACTGGATTCATTCATTCATTCACAATTTATGTAGTGCCTTCTTTCTGATGGAAGTTATAATGTGAATTTGGAGCTACCTCAGGCTTCAGTGTCTAAGGGGGGGATCTATCATATTGTGCAAATATGAGCATTGATTGGAATGCAATTTAGGAGACAACTAACAGATACTACCATTGCTGTGACCTCTGCATCATAAGAAAAATAAATAAGCAGGATACAATTTCAATTTTTCCCTCACATCTTTCTCTTTCTGATTAATCATCCTTTCCCCTCTCTCTTTTATGCCTGCCCCTTTAGGTCTAAGTAAATTTTTTTTCTTAAAATATATCATTGCAGGTGCCCCTGCTGTGAAAATGGAAAGAAATGTAATGTTTTGGTCATGGGAGAGCTGCCAATTCCACAGTACCAGCACAGTGAGAGTCATCCTTCATTTATTTCCCGCCTTCCCCTTTTTCGGATGTTGATGAGACATTAGTATGGCGCGAAGCCTGTTTGCTCCTTGCTGCATTTATTTTGTTAAGATTAGAGTTGCTAAGATACGGTAGTTATTTCAAATTGTAACCACTGATGCCAGTGGTCATAAAATAAGATGCTGAAATTCCTTTATTTGCTAACGTTAATAAAAAAATTCTTGAGGGGGCAAGAGAATTTTCTGGCAAAAAAGGAACAGTACTCCAAGTGGCCTCTGTTATAGCACATAATTAGATCCACTAGCCTAGCTGGTGTTGAGCTATTTTGGTGTAAAATCTAGAGAGAAGTTCTGGCTTCGAGTTGTTTATTAAGTTATTCTTTTAAAATAAAGGGTGTGGTCAGGTTGTGCAAATTTTACATCCCTTCTTCTATTTAGTTGTTTAAGCCAGGGGATTTTTTAGCCTGTTGCTAGTTATTCTTCTCTGTTCAATAAATATTGTGAAGGATTTGGAGTTTTTAACACTTTCTCACAACTTCTTGAGTTGGGCCTCTTAATTCTTCTCATCTTGTGCTGCTGAAGCACCAAATCTCTCACGTTCTATTGATTAATTCTACTCTCTTAGGATATAATTTGTAACTTGTAATTTTACTATTGCCAGCGACATTTTTTAGGTAATTGAGAAGTCATGCCCTGTGTTTTTATTGTTATTGACAATATTCGGTATTTTTCTTTTAATGAATCTCACACACACACACACACACACACACACACACACACACACAAACACAAACCTCAGAATGATTTCCAACGAGATGTAAATCAACTCCAGGACATTTCTTTGAGCTTTTAGATAAATATTTTCAACTAATACTTAAAAGAAAAACCATTAAACTATTCGGGTGGAAAAATAGTCTCTGAGCAGCCAGTTTGGCAAAGGTTTGTTCAGCGAATGTGTGTAATTTCAAATTACGCTGTGTTTTTATTTCACAAAAATTTCCAGCTTCCCTAGAACACTTCAAATACTAATATCCAGAGTTTCCACTGGCAATTCTTTTGTTTGTCCTGGAAGCATCTTGCAATTTGGGACTAAGAAAATATTGTGTTCTCTTTGGATTTACAGACATAAACATATGCATTTCTTCTTCAGCACACAGTTCTTTTCAGGGAAAGCCAGGTTGAATGGGCAGACTGTCAAATAGTAAGAAGGCTTCATCAAAAATATATAGTACATTTGGCTGAAAAAAATGGTCTCCAATAAAATTTAATCTATTTAGAGAAAGACAAACTATTAAGTAATGACATCCCAATGTGATTTGATTAAAAGTAATATTTTGTGAAATCACCATTTAAACGCCTTTCCAGAGAGACTTAGAGAATATGCTGTACACGGTTGAATCGTATTCATTAAACCAAACTCGTAATACCCAGTGGAGCCTTATTGTACAACAGGCCTGTGGTTAATTGTAATTCCATTAGAGAAATTGCAAAAAGGTGGTTTCTGCCCACATCTTTGGAGACAGAGCTACTCCTCAGGTTCTGTGGTTATTACTGTCTCAGAATTTTGAGATGCCAATGCTTTGTAGAGTTTCATTTCTAATATCTGAGTTCTTAGAACTCAATGTCCAGAAAGTAAAGTGATTTACTGCAGTCTTCAGTCTTCATTTTCTATGTTCATTGTTCACCTATGCCATAATAGGGGGACTATCTGATTTTTTTATCTGACTATGCATCCCAAGATTTAAGGTTACAGATATATCAGGTATCTGTCTACTGGCATAATAGTGGGTATATATTAGATCAATGTATTGGTCTACACTTTTTCATTCCCTTAAATAGTATTTTATAGGCATAGCCTTGCTCTGGCCTCATGATGGTGGAGTGTACATTCCTGCTCCTTTCTGGAAGGCTTAGTGGCTTGACTTGGCCAACATAAACAATATGATGACAGCAATATACCTGCAAATTTAGGTTCTGCTTTTGCATTGAGAATATTATAATATTGCCATTACTTTTAATGGCAAAACCCGCAATTACTTTTGCCCCAACCTAATACCATACCTAAGTAGTTGCTCGTCTAAGGAAGATGAGGAACCTGTAGAACGGACCTAGGCACACCTGCAGCTTTGAGTCAAACCCTACTGCACCTGATTCAGATTAGCCAAACTGCAGCTGACTCATAGATAAGCAAGAAAGAAATAAATGCTTGTTGTTATTTGCCATTGAAATTTGGGATGTCTTGTTACACTGTAATTATGGCAATATTTAACCAATACAGTGTGCCAATTTTACTTCCTTAACTGTCTTCAAAACACGTGTTAAGGAACTAAAATTGAAGGCAAAACAAGTGCCTTCAATTCTGCATATGTGAGGAGGCAAAAGGAGTTTCTCCTGTTATTATTAAGTCTTTCAATTCTAAGCTAGCTCTGAAGCTGCAGCTTGAATTCAGCTCATATAGATCTGAAAAGTTTTAATAAAGTTATGAGTCATGTGTAATTGACCAATGTCCTGAACCTGTTACTTGGCAAAATTGAACAAAATGGGGGAATTCTGCAAACCCATAGTTTCAGTGGAATTCTTATCCAATGTATGACTTAGGCTTAAAGTATATGTATCGTATGCTGTGATTTTCCATTGGTGTATGGTGTGGCGTACAATTCTCCCATAAGCCTTTCATAGGTGTCACCCCATTTGCTTCAGTGTATGACTTTTTTAGACAATTGGGTGTTGGGGAGTGGGTCTTAACTGAGGACATAAACTATTGTGGTAATAACTGTCGATGGATTATGGAGTCAAGTGGTTCAATTAAGATGGGTCAGAGAGAATAATAAGTTACAAACGTGATTCAAGGTTACAATTGCAAAAGCTAAGTGAGGCTAGGCAAACAATATAAATCAATAAAGTGGGCCAGATAACAGGAATGAGATATCCATGGTAAACCGGAGAAGATGTGCCCCATTTATAGGAGGTAACTATTTGGTTCCAACTAATTTCATCATTCAGGCACTGTATTGCCCTATGTTTATTTATTTATTTTTTTAAATTGAATGCCTCTACATGTCAGGAACTGGTTCTGTGGATACATCAGTGAACAAAACAAACTAAACCATTAAAAAGAAAATCAAAAAGAAGGCCAGGCGCGGTGGCTCATGCCTGTAATCCCAGCACTTTGGGAGGCTGAGGCAGGCAGATCACCTGAGGTCAGGAGTTCGAGACCAGCGTGGCCAACATCGTGAAACCCCCTCTCTACTAAAAATACAAAAATTAGCCGGCTGTGGTGGCAGGCGCCTGTAATTCCAGCTACTAGGGAGGCTGAGGCAAGAGAATCGCTTGAACCCAGTAGGTGGAGGTTGCAGTGAGCTGAGATCACACCATTGTACTCCAGCCTGGGGGACAAGAGTGAGACTTTGCTCAAAGAAAAAAAAAATCGAAGAGAAACTAATACCTAAAATAAAAAAGTATTTTGGATTGTGATAAGTGCTAAAGAGAAAAATATACAGCAGGTGAGTGAGATACAACATTTTGGAAAATATGGTAGGGTCAGTCCTTACTGAGAAGGTGCCTTTTAGTGAAGTCCTGAAAGAAGTAATAGAGGGAGCCATGTGGATAGGGAAGACCATTTTATTTATGGGGAATGGGAAGTGCAAGGATACAGAGGCAGGGGTGTGCATGGAGTCCAAGGTGGGGGATAAATGTGCAAGGGGCTGAGTGGATAAAGTAGAGAGTGGATGAAGAGTTGTAGAATACCAGAGCCTTGGCTGCTTTCGGTGGGGCACCTTATTTCCACATTGAAAATGTTTCATCCAGCTGGGCACAGTGGCTCATGCCTGTCATCCCAGCACTTTGGGAGGCCAAGATAGGAAGCCTGAGCAACATAGCAAGACCTCACCTACAACATACAAAATAATTAGCCAGGTGTGGTGATGCACCTCTGTAGTCCTAGCTAGTCAAGAGGCTAAGGCAGGAGGATGGCTTGAGCCCAGGAGTTCAATGCTGCAGTGAGCTATGATAACACCACTGTACTGCAGCCTGGGCTACAGTGCAAAACCCCAACTCTAAAAAAAGTAAAAATACAAATAAAAAAAGAAAATATTTTATCCAGATGTTGAAATCTGAACATAAATACTCAATAAGACTATACCATAACCCATTTAGAAAGATGTGAAACTCTTGTATTAAATAAGCTTAAGTGAAAAAAATTCTGTTCCTGGAGATAAAACTTTTTAAACATACTAAAAATGTATAATCTCTTTTAAAAACAAAACAAAGTCCAGAAGCTTTCCTAGTATGCTCTGTGGCATAATATAGCTAGCTCAGAAGATTCAAAAAAAGGGTTAACAAATGCAGAGATAAGACTAATTATGAATCTGTACAGTTTGATTCAGATAACAGTTATTTAGTAGGCATATTTATATTTTTAATATTCTTTTCAGAGCATTAAAATTTTTTGGTAATTGTACATAACAAAACCCAGTTCCAATTACACAAAAAAAATTGTATGCTAACTAGTAATGATAAAACATTAGTGTCAATTGCATGATTTTAACAGCTGTGAAGTCTGCATTTGAATTCTGTTAAGTTTAATGGATAAATTAAAGTCATATTTTAAGACTACTTAAGGGATTCTTTTTTCAAAAAATCTCAACCCCAAACATTCTAAAATTGCATATTTTTATTCAATCCATGCAATTATTCTCAATTATTATTTTGTTTTGTACAAGTTGTACATTATTATAAACAGATGTGAGCATGAACTGAAATAACATGATCCATTTTAGACACAAAGGGCGTAAAAGAAAAATAGACCTTCTTTTGGGCTTTCCTTCCACTAAACTTTGGGGAAAATTAGTTTTCACTTAGAGAGCTTTTGGAACAATAAATACAAATCTATTTTCCCTAATGGTGAGGTGGCAGAGGTTATCATACTTAGCAAACCAAAAGTGGAAAACAATTTTCCACTATGAAATCAGGGACTACCTAGAAGTTTACTATTTAAGTTTATCACAGTGGTAGATAATCTTTTTCTTAAGATTATAAAATGAAAAGCAGAAGTTCTGTCATGACGCACTCTACTCAATAGAGATATTCTATCACCTCTCCATAGTAACTAAACAGTTGGTAGCTTCTTGTGCATTCTTCTATACAAGATTTATGCATACATGTCTTTATTTATGCATCCCTTATTTCTGTTTAAAAAACTGAGAGCATATTATATAAAATTGTCATTGTATTTCCTTTTCCGACTGTAACATTCCTCTGTAATGGTTTCCTAATATTCCTATTATGAATGTGCAATAATGTATTTGACCAGTAATAGACTGATGGACATTTAGATTGTTCCTTATAATTTTACAACAATACTTTTTGAAATGAGTGGAAAATCAGCTTGAGAAAGAGAGAAACGCAGGTAAAACCTGTGGAACAATTGAAAGTTCAACTAATGAAACAGTGAACTAGTGGAATTCTTAAACCATGCTGCTCCTTTGGTATCAAAGAAGTTAATTTGATTTATGTTGTCTAAAAAAAGAAAAGTAAAAACTTAAAATATTAGTAAACTATAAGATGAATAGTAGCTTAGTGGACCAATGACACATAAATTTTTGTAAAACAAAACTTCTATGAAAAAACATACATACTGTGATTTTATAGTCAGTAAAAGTGCAGAAATAAAAGGACCAAAGAAGAGGCTTGGCTGTTCTTGACATTTGGTTCATAATAAGTAGATATGGAATAAGCATTTTGGTTCTGTGATTCAGTAATTTTTTTTTCTTCTTTATTTTAGAGACAGAATCTTGCTCTGTTGCCCAGGCAGTGGTATGAGCACAGTTAACTGCAGCCTTGACCACCTGGGCTCAAGTGATCCTCCTGCCTCAGTCCTGCAGCCTCAGTCCTCCTGCCTCAGTCCTCCTGCCTCCTAGTCCTGCAGCTAGGACTGCAGGCATGCACCACCAAGCCTGGCTATTTTTTTTTCCTGTGGAGGTGGGGTCTCATTATGTTGCACAGGCTGGTCTTGAACTGCTGGGCTCAAGTATTCCCTCAACTTTGGCCTCTCAAGGGGAGGATTACAGGTATGATCCCCCGTACCCAGCCAGGGGGCTATTTTTCAACTGCAGCTTATGTGCCCTCTGAACATTAGGAATTGGGAAATGATCAATGCACACCAATTGATGGAAGCCTCCATAACTTTAGAAAATGCTTTAACTTCTTGTTTAGGTGCAAACTGTGTGGATCCTGAGCATTTACAGGAAAAAAATTCTAATTACAGGGAGAATTGGTAAACTTTTTACAACACGTAATTGAAAATCAAGATCTACCCACTTTTCTTTCTCCACTGGCATTGAACCAGTTTATAGGTGTAATAGTACCACCCCAAATTATTTTTTTGATACACATAGTAACAATATACTTAGAAATTCAGGGTTTTAGGTAATGGAGCAAGAACTAACAAGGTCAAATGATTTTATCTATTGCTTTCCCCATGGTTACGAATGACTCTTTAAGATGGATCCTTTTTATTCAGAGGGAAACATTAAAACTTTAGTTGTAAAGTTTTTGTTTCTAATAAAAATGAAGCCACTTTCTGGGAATCAAGATGACACCTTTGTTGTGGATTTTCTAAGTCAGACAGAGAGAAATGTACTCGTTATGTGAAAGACATAGTTTGGCCTTTTTAGCAATCTTCCCTATGATGATCTATTATATAAACTAATCTCTAAGATTCCTTTAAAATGCCATGCTGACTGTAAACTGCAATTAATAAAAGCTTATGCTCTCAATTCTAATTTAAGGAGGTATATTAACTCTTTGAGGGTCTCAGGACCTCATTTAGTTCATTTAGTTCTTCTTAAGTGCCATGTATTGAAACCCTAGTGACTTTAAAGAAATTAATACAATATTGGAAAACCTATGCTATGCCACTTGCTGCTCCATCAGTAAATAATGGGAAAGTAAAGTAAATAATGGGAAAGGAAATCCTCAAGCCATGAGATGCGTCCCTCCTTCCCTCCTTTTCTAGCAGTATGGGGAAGCAATGGAAAGGGTCAGATGGCATTACTGGCCTTCTAGGTCATTCTAACTGTCAGGAAGTCCCCTATTAATCATTTACTTCCAAGTTAAGAGTTCTCTAAACATATGTAATATACTAATACTGGAATGCAAAGTAGATGGGCTGTTTCACCTATGTCTGCAACTAGAAGCTTAAATAAACTTCTGTAGATGGATGCTTGGGATTTCAGCACATGTTCTCACTTCCCTGGGAAATGGATTATAATTGGTCCACCCTGTGAAGCACAAGGAAAAGCCCGACTATGGGCTGAGCGAAGGAGAGGAGGGCAAGTCCAGTGGTGGAGAGAATATCATAATAATTCAGAGATCTGATGGCGAAAAGCAGGATTAGAGCATAGACCATGAAAAATGAGAGAGGATATTTATATACTGTTTAAAGCCAGCGCTACTTTTCTAGAAAATGATTTGATAATACATGTCATGATTATCATAGGAAATTTTGTGAACTATACATTTGGTCTTCCCTATACTTGGGACAGGTTTCTTTGGCAAACCCTTCCCCATTCCTTAAAACCTGGCACATCTGGCCATTCAAAAAAGTTCAAGAATAGACTTCTTTGGTAATTTGGTAATGGAGATATTGGGGAAGAATCTTCCCTTTTTGGATCATGGGTTTTAAGGAATTAGGTTTAGGAATGTCAGTAGCCATCATTTCTTTTGCAGAGAACCTGTTCATGGCAGGAGAGAATGTGGCCAAGAAGCAAAGAAGAATCACAAATGAGCAGAGCTGTAAGATGGACAAAGAGAGGAAGGGAGGAAGGGAAAGAAGGGAAGAAGGAAGGAAGGGAGGGAGAACTGGAAAATCAATTAGAGGAAGATACGCTTTGCAATGCCATCAAAACCCATGAAATACTGAGGAAGAGATTTAAGGAAGTATATGTGAGGCCTGAACACTAAAAGCTATGAAACATTGCTTAGAGAAGTTAAAGACTACCTAAATTAATGGAGATACATACTTTATTCATGCATCGGAAGACTCAATACTGTTAGCATGACAATCCTCTGCCAAATGACTTATGTATTCAGTGCAATCCCAATAAAAATCCCAGCAGCAGGCATGTGTAGAAATGCAATAGATCTAGGTAAGCCTTAACCATTTTGAAACAGAACACAACAGAAAGGCTTTTACTATTTGATTTCCAAAGTTGCAATAAAGCTATAATAATCATGACAGCATGGTATTGGTGTAAGGATAGACATATACATCAATAAGACTCAATGAAGAGTTCGGAAATAAAGCTATGTAACTATGGTCAATTGATTTTTGACAAAGATGTCAAGGTAATTAAATGGGGGAAATGGAGAGTCTTTTCATTAGATGGTGCTAGAAGAACATCTGGATATTCATAAGGAAAAGTTAAATGAATCCCAACTTTCATTTCACATCATAGACAAAAAAATTAATTTGAAATGGATCATCGATCTAAATGTAAGGCAAAAACTATCATGTTCTAGAATAAAATATAGGAGAAAATATTTGCAACTTTGAGCAATAGGGTGGGCAACAATTTCTTAGATCAGACACCAAAAGCATGAGCCATAAAACTTAATAAATTGGCTTTCATCAAAATTATAAATCTTTGCTCTTTGAAAAATACCATCAAGAAAATAAAAAGCGAGCATATATGAAGAGAATATTTACAGTTCATTTATTGGAAAAATAACTTCAATTGAGAATACAGAAATATGTATTTACAGAGAGAGAGAGAGAGATTTACTTACATTGTTACAACCTCTGGGTTCAACCGAAACTGAAGATAGATCCATTTCTAGACTATCCAGTCACATGAGCTAGTAGAGTCTCATTTTTTTAAGTTAGTATGATCTGAATTTCTATCCATTGTAAACAGGGAATACTGATTGGCACAATCTTTTAAAATATTCATATGCTCTGACTTAGCTCTCACACTACTGGAAATTTATAGAAAGTAAAAAGAAACTATGCAGTCAAAGCTTTATGTATAAGAATGTGAATTGAAGCATGTTTTTAATAGCGAAAACTTTAAAATTATAAAAATAACAAACAATAGGGAAATGGAACCTTGCAAAAAGTGTTATTTAGCCAATAAAATATAACCATAGAAGGAGGCACACAAAAACGCTGAGAGCAGGTGATGACCCTATGATTGAATTTTTCTTTAATTTTTTAAATTAAATTAAATTTTTCTTCAATTTCTTTAATTTTTTCACAGTGAATCTCTTATTTTTATCATTGAAATTTAAATATATATTTGAAAAACTGCTAAAAAGATAAAGAAGGGTGCAAGATATATAATAAAGGTACTCAAGTTAGTGCTAATTAGAGAAAGATACAGTTGATGTGCTTATCAGGTCAGTTTGCTCATTGAAATTATACGGTACCTCCTGCTAGCACTCAGTTTATATTCTGAATGTCTCAGGATGGCAGACAAGGCCCTTTTTCATATGTGGTCCTTTTTCCAGTTACAACCTGAGCTCTAGCCATTTCCCAGAACACATTCTATTCATAGTCTATGCTAAAAACCTACAAGAAAGAGGTAAGAGTTGGAATTTCACATTACTTTGGGAGAAAACTGACATTTATCCATTTAAAGAAAGTAAGCACCATCTTTTGACTCCAGCTCTTTAGAGGATCTAAAGTGACCTTGATAGACAGTGGAAGAAATCACAACATGGAATTCCTTGAATAAAAATTTATTGACTTTTAAAAAAAAAAAAGAAAGAAAGTAAGCACCAAACCTCACACCCAGGTCTGGGAGGTAGCACGCAAGCACTTGAAGGGCAGGGAGTCTGTCTGCTCTATTCATGGCTGTTTCAGAAATCAGAGCCATGCAGGGCTTTCTGGATTACCCCTCTGTGAAATATTTTTAATTTACTCCTCCAAATTCACTTTCTGCTTTCTTTTAACCATCTCTACACCCTGAAAGTCTGACGTGTAAGGTCTTCATCAGTGGGCTCCCATATTAGTTTCCCATGGCTACTGTAACAAAGTGCCACAAACTGGGTGGCATAAAATAACAGAAATGTATTGTTGTATTAGTCTGTTTTCATACCGGTATAAAAACTGACCGAGACTGGGTCATTTATAAAGGAAAGAGGTTTGATTGACTCACAGTTCAGCACAGCTGGGGAGGTCTCAGGAAACTTACAATCATGGTGGAAGGTGGAGGGGAAGCAAGGCACCTTCTTCACAAGGAAGCAGGAAGGAGAAGTGCCAAGTGAAGGGGAAAGGGGCACTTATAAAACCATCAGATCTCATGAGAACCCACTCACTATCACGAGAACAGCGTGATCCAATTACCTCTATCTGATCTCTCCCTTGACACATGGGGATTATAGGTTATAATTCAAGATGAGATTTGGGTGGGGACACAAAACCCAACCATATCAATTGGCTTACAGTTCTAAAGGCTAGAATCTGAAATCAAGGTGTCGGCAGAGCCATGTTCCCTCTGAAACATCCTGCCCTCTTCCTAACTTCTAGTGGTTTGCCAGCAATCACAGGCATTCCTTAGTTTGCAGCTGCCTAACTCCAATCTCTGCCTTTGTCATCGTACGGCATTTCCCCTGTGTGTGTCTGTGTCTTCCCATCGCCACTTCTTATAAGGATGCCAGTCATATTGGATTTAGGGGCCCACTCTACTCCGGTACGACTTTATCTTAAGTTAGCTAATTACATCTGCAACAACCCTATTTCCAAATAAAGTCTCATTATGAGGTAATGGGGGTTAGTACCTCAACATATTTTTTACATCCCCTCAGTTCAACTCGTAACAGCCCCATTCCCTATCATCTTCTGATTGTGTTAAGTCAAGGGCTAGGAGTCCCTATCATGAGACCAGAGGATGGGAGGAAGGGAAGGTCTGCATATTTTATTTATTTATTAATCTTTCCTTTCAGGTTCCCTAGTGGCTGCATCACTCCATGAAAGGTTACAACTTCTGTCAGACTGCCCTCTTTATACAGCTGTTCTCTCCAGATTCAGCACCTGGGATACCTATAACTTATCCCTCCCCTTTCACTTTCAGATTTAGGGATGGTAATGAACTCACTTCTCAATTATTGCTAGCTCCAAGGTACTATTGTCCCTCTTGGTGGGTTCCCAGACATCTGCCCACCCTTTTAAAAGCAGTCCCTTTATAAACTCTCCTCCAGTTAGAGAATGTACCATCTTTTCCTGCTGAGATCAGGACCAATATACTTCTAGCTGATGGAGAAACTGAGTCCAGGGAAGATAAGTGATTTTCTCAAGTTTATAATATTTGCAGAACTTGTGGGCCCCAGGTCTCTTGAAAAATTCCGCTTGACATGAAACAGACCTTGCACAAATTATTCAAACAGTAAGAATATAAGCACTTCAACGTTTATTTAAAGTTCAATTCCATTAATTTTAGAAAAAAGGCACAAAAATCAGATGTCCATTAGCAGATAATATTGTATTTCAGTTTGGTTCCCTTATGCATTGCTTGAAATTTACTCAAAGACATTTGGTGGTCAAAGCTTTGAATCATTCACAAGAGTCAATCTTGGATTCTTAAAATCAAAGCCATGCTATCTCTTTTAAGAGAGTTAGTGCAGTGTGGCTTTCTCCTTATTGCTCTCTTGGCTTGTCCCTTCATCATAATCTAACAACTATGCTTCAAAAAAAGTTGATGTGAACATGCATATGTTTAATCTGAAACCTCAGCAGCTTCACTCTCACTGTATCAGCTGCAGCCATCTAGCACTTCAGATGCAACTTCCCTCCATGGTTGTGTTTGTACTTTCCTTGATTCATTCTCTATATCCTGATTAATAATTACATTTCAATTTCCGTGGTAATGACTCACTTCCATATCATTGCTAGTTCCAAGGTACCATGCTCACCCTTTTTGGTTTCCCTGACATCCCTGCCTGAATGGGCTTTCTTCACTTTCAACAATTTCTACCATAAGTGCAGGACCAGCCAAAACTGGCCTTATTTTGTTGAAAACAGAATGCCAAGTTATCTTGCAGATGTAGCAAAGCCAAAACTGCAAGTCATATAACCTGGGCATGTGCAGAGGAGGAAAGCCTTAACCTCAAATAGCATTTGAAACCAAGATTTCCTCCCCGTGGAACCAAGAAGACTAGGATGTGACTGGAACCTGAATGCCCGAACCCTTTTAGAAACAAGGGGTTTGTTATCCAAGAAGATCCGGGGCTGAAATCCACTGTTTCATACCTTACCATAAACGGCCAAGTTTAAAGCCCTTGAACTCTGCCCTGCCAGCACTTCTGCATACCAACCTGTCCTTCCTTACCCATAAGAGTTTGATCTAACCCCAGATAGAGGAGACGGATTTGAGCCATTCCTCATGTGTCCTTGCTGGTCAATCTCACGATAAAGCCTTTTCTTTTCTCAAAAGCTGGTGCGACAGTATTGCCTTCTATGTGTGTTGAGCAGCAAGGCCACTGCTCGGTAACAATACTTTCAATAGAATTATCAAATAAAGATGAAAGAACAAAAATCATATGATGAAAGGATGAAAATGCATGAATAATTATACCAATAACGTGAGACTGAAAACAGGCAGTGAAGCTTCAAACAAAATTTAACTCTGAGTTTCCAAGGAGCCAACGCAAAATAGAAAATGATGCATTGCTGAGCCTCACCATCTGATAACATAAGTTTTAATGAGAAAAATATAACGGACAATAACTTCAATCAGTGTTCTTTAAAAGATGCGGATGCATTCTTAATAAGACTGTAGAAATGAAATAAGACCAGTTATAGTAAATGCAGAGCTCTTCAGTGTTTATTATGGGGATGGCTTGGGGGCTCTGGAATGCCGTTTCATGTGGGCCTTATTTACTGTCATAATAAAGGAATTTTGAAGTTATTTCCAAATGAAGTTGCATGTAATATTATATTACAGAAATATTCTGCTAGGTTCAAAGCAAGCAGTCATTGACTCTCAAATTTTACACTTGTGTCACATAACAGGGTTGGCGCATGCACCATGCTTGCCTTGCTTGGGGTTATTGGAGATTCCGGGATCTGTAAGTTTATAGTTTTCATCAAATTTGGAAGATCTTTAGTTGTTATTTCTTCAAATATTTTTCCATGTTCCATCTCTCTCCTCTCCTTCAAAACTATGTTAGATGACCTGATATTGTCCCACAGGTCAATAAGGTTGGGTTTTATTTCTCCCAATATTTTTGTCTCTGTGTTTTGCTTTGGATAGTTTCTGTTGCTACATTTTCATATTCACTGCTCTTCCTATCTGTATTGTCTAACCTGCTGTTAATACTATCCAGGGAAATTTTAATTTTAGGTATTGCATTTCTCTAAAAATTTTATTTCATTTATTTCTAGGTAATTCATCTCTCTCTTTATGTTTGTCTTTCCTCTATATCTTTGAGCATATAGGACAGATTTATAATAGTTGTTTTGATACCCTGACTATAAACTCTATATTTGTCATTAATGGTTCTGTTTTTAACCAACTGATTTTTCCTTCTGGTTATGGATCATATTTTCCTGCTTCTTCTTTCTTCAGTAATTTTTACTGTATGCTGGGTATTATAAATTTTATGTTATCGAGTGCTGGTTTTTAAAAAAATATTCTTTTAAGTGTATTTGACTTTGTTCTAGTGACAATTGTGATCAATATAGTTCTTTTTAATTTTATTTTAAAACTCTTTTAGGGTAGGTCTATAGGAATAATTACTCTAGAGCTAATTTAGCTTTTCTAAGGTGTGATCCTTCTGCAGTTGTGACCCTGAATGCTCCCATACTCACAGATGTTTCTCCTCTTGGGCTGTTGGGAATTCAAGTAATTTTCAGCCCTGAAAGATCTCTGGAAAATGTTTGGTTGACAGATCTCTAGTAGTTGTTCTTTCCCAGAAAGTTTGTCATGCCTAGCCTCATAGGGTTTCACTTCACACATGTAGATGGTATTCAGCAAAAGACTCAAGGGAGCCCTACGCAAATTTATAAAATATTTATCTACCGAGCTCCCTTCTCTTGGGTTCTCTGCCCTATAAATTTCTATCCTCTCTGCCTCCCCAAATTTCAATTTGTCTTTCCTTCATCTCAGTAACACTGTCTGGCTCCATCTGGGTTCCCGTTGCTATATCACAGTCCAGAAATTACTCCTAGGCAGAAGGTCTGGGCGATGGTGGAACTCACTTTGTTTCCTTTCTCTCGGGGTTCACAGTCCTGCAATTGCTGTTGTCCAATATCTCAAATGGTTGTTGAATACATTATTTCTAGTTCTTTAGGTGTCAACAGCAGAAGGATGATTCAGGCTCTCCTACTCTGTCATGACTGGAAGCAGTTAACTTTACTATGAATTATCATTATGTTATAAATTCTGTAATCATCTTGTGTCTAGCACAATCACTTTGCATTTAATATTTTTCCAGAAAGGATTACTTTTTAAATGATTACAAAATATATATGTTTAAAATGTAGCATATGTTTTGCATTTATTCATTTTAAAATATATACAGATGGTGTAAATAAAAATGGCAATGGCAATGACTTGAACATCTCTTGACCTCTCTTGACCTTAAAAAGGCCTTCGTGTTATCTGCTGTCTCTCTAGTTAAGTATACTTTTGCAATTTGCCACAATGCAGGCCTTTATCACGTTTACATATTTAGAAATCTGCTCTTGTTTAGTCTTCTAAGAGTGGATTTATTTTTAGAGGGCAAACACAGCAACAGGGCTTATCCAATGACTGTCTAAGAACTGAATATCGGCTTGCTAATTAACAGATCACAAGGATCAATGTGCCTGAGTCCACATGACCAGCATATTCTCTCCCTGTTAGAGAATAACCATGAGAATTTATTGGTGAGCATGGACTTTGAACAAAGTGAGTTGGGTGAGTCAAACAGTTGCTGGCATCAGGCCATATACTAAGTCACTCATCTCATCAACAAATGTTTACTGAGCACTGAAAGTATGCCATTTACTTTGCTAAAGACTCACTTTGCTAAACACAGTGAACATGGCAGATGCAGTCCCATAATAACAGAATTCTTGGACAAATATTAAACAGGGAATAATAGCAGTGTGATGAATCTCATGATAGGGAAAATACAGGGAGCTATGGAAACTCTTGGGTGTGTGTGTAGGGACATCGGGGATGTATTAGTCTGTTCTCACACTGCTAATAAAGACATACCATAGACTGGGTAATTTATACAGGAAAGACGATTAATTGACTCATAGTTCCACATGGCTGGGGATGCCTCACAATCATGGTGGAAGGTGAATGAGGAGCAAAGTCACATCTTACATGGTGGCAGCAAGAGAGCATGTGCAGGGGAACTCCCCTTTATAAAACCATCAGATATCGTGAGACTTATTCACTATCACAAGAACAGCGCAGGAAAGACCTGCCCCCATGATTCAATTACCTCTCACTGGGTCCCTCCCATGACATGTGGGAATTATGGGAGCTACAATTCAAGATTGGGTGGGGACACAGCCAAACCATATCAGGGGGAGAATGTAAAGTAGGCTAGTGTTCATGTAAGTCTCTCTGGATAAATCATATTTAAGTTGAGATATAGGGGATTGAAAGGAAGTATTCAGGTGAAGAAGGGAGAAAAAACTAACCTAGTGAGATATTCTCCCAAGTGTGATATTCTTTTCACTAATGGAATGCAAGAGCAGGAAAGGCATCAATTTTGGAGCAAAGGTAAAGGAAGATGGAGATTGCAGAGAAGGCAGGAAATCTCTTGATTTTAGGATTTGATGACCACCACCCCAACCCACCCCACCCTGCTCCATGCTACCTCCATACTCCCTGCACACACACACTAACACACAAGTTCATGAGCGAACCTTCCCAGCCATCTCAGGACTTTTAGGGTGGGGTTGCATTATCAAGGTGCTTCATTAATATTTTTTCAAACTGACTGGCAAAGGTAAGCAGATAAGGGACATTTTCTCCATGTGCTTTGCACCTTACCAAATGTATTAGTCCATTCTCACACTGCTGTAAAGAACTGCCTGAGAATGGGCAATTTACAAAGAAAAAAGGTTTAATTGACTCACAGTTCAGCATGGCTGGGGAAGCCTCAGGAAACTTATAATCATGATGGGAGGCACCTCTTCACAGGGTGGCAGGAGAGAGAATGAGTGCCAGCCGGGGAAATGCCAGACACTTATAAAACCATCAGATCTCATGAGACTCACTCCCTGTCACGAGAACGGCATGGGGGAAGCCATATCCATGATCCAGTTACCTCCACCTGGTCTCCCCCTTGACACGTGTAAATTATGGAGCTTACAATTCAACATGAGATTTAGGTTGAGACACAAAGCCTAATCATATCACCAAAAAAGTTTGCTTATTCAGAAAAGAGAATGAGAAATCTCTTTGTCTTTTGAGCCAAGTTTATTGAACCAGTCTCTCACACTATTTTGGCTATTATATCTTTTTCTTCAGTTTAGTAGCCTTAAGCAGAATGTTGCTTTATTAAAAATATTTACAAACATTTATGTTTTTTTATTGAAGGAGGAACTTATTTTCAGCTTTGTATTTTTGTGAGTTGATGTGACCTATTATGACTTATATTTAATTATGTACTTCTAATGTCAAATTTTTAATTCATATAGCTCAACACTGTTTTGATTAAACTGTAATCGTTATTAAATATAAACATTTTGGGGCAACTGTAACTGCTTCACTTCTCTACTTATCATAGAGATATATATTTTTAAATTATATTATTATTTATTTATTTAGAGACAGGGTCTCATTTCTGTCACCCAGGCTGGAGAGTAGTGGCACAATCATGGCTCACTGCAGCCTGCATCTCCTAGGCTCAAGTGATCCAGAGTCCTGCCTCAGCCTCCCGAGTAGCTGGGACTACAGGCACACACCACCACACAAGGGTGAATTTTTTTATTTTTAATTTTTTTATTTTTATTTCAGTGAAGACAGGATCTCCCTATGTTGCCCATGCTGGTCTCAAACTCCTAGGCCCAAGAGATTCTTCTGCCTCCGCCTCCCAAAGTGTGGGGATTAGAGATGTGAGCCACTGCACCTGGCTTATACTTTTCTTTTAAAATATATTTCTATAGTATTTGAAACATGAATCAGCTTCAAAGCAAATTAGTAGATATCAGTCCAGAAGGTACACAGATATAGTGAACACCATTAAGGGAGAAGTTTGGAATCATTCGTCTGACACATCCACTGCCTGCCACAGAAGGCATGGCCTGGCAATGGGATTAGATTATTGGAAATTTGTTGGCTGAGGAGCCTTCACATATGAACATGCTTGGATGGAGACTGCCAACATTTTCCGGTCATAGTTTTCTTAGCTAAACTCTCATGAAATAGCTTCCTTCTGAGCAATGTCGTGCCAATGAATGAAGTTGGGTCACTCCCCAAAATTGCTAGCTGGGGAGGGGGTGGGAAGGAGAATAGGAAGTACCAAGCTTCTATTTTTATAAATTTTCTCTGATTGATTATGTAGGGATTTTATACTTAATTCCCCCTTATGTTTTAGACAGTAAAAGAAGTCTCATTTTTACGAAGGGCAGAATGCAAAACAAGAATTGATGGGTAAATCTTAATATTGTGAAGGTATTTCTACCATATTCTAAAAAATATCATCTAAGTATCAAGTTTTCCATGAGACCTACCTTTACAGGATTATAGACTCTACTCTCTTGTACAGATTCTTTTTTAATAGCTTTTTTTTTTTTTTTTTTTTTTTTTTGAGCGGGAGTCTCGCTCTGTCACCCAGGCTGGTGTGCAGTGGCGCGATCTCCGCTCACTGCAAGCTCCGCCTCCTGGGCTCACGCCCTTCTCCTGCCTCAGCTTCCCGAGTAGCTGGGACTACAGGCGCCCGCCACCATGCCCGGCTAATTTTTTGTATTTTTTTTTTTTTTTTTTTAGTAAAGACGGGGTTTCACCCTGTTAGCCAGAATGGTCTTGACCTCCTGACCTCGAGGTCCGCCTGCCTCGGCCTCCCAGAGTGCTGGGATTACAGGCGAGAGCCACCCCGCCCAGCCTAAAATAGCATTTTTTAATGGCAGCTTCACAGTAAAAGATTTCAGATAAAGGGTCTTCACTGGATGAGAGTTCAGTTGTTTTTAGGAAACAAGTTTTGTTAGGTAAAAAATGGAAATTTAATATGATTACTAATATATCCAGATAACTTGTTTACCTTTTGAAAAGTAGACTTGAAAATTTGAGCCAAGGTCCCAGTTTCCTTTCCTTTTCTTCCCATCCCCTTCCCTTCCTTTCCCCTTCTCCTTTCCTTTCGCCTCCCCTTTCGCCTCCCCTTTCACCTCCCCTTTCTCCTCCCCTCCTTCTCTTCCTCTTTCTCCTCCTCCTCCTCCTCCTCCTTCTTCTCCAATATTTAAGGACTTCATTGTTTTTAGAGTAGTTTTAGGTTCACTGCAAAATTGGGCAGAAGGTGCAGAGATATCGCATATACTCCTGCCCCCACACATGCACAGCCACCTTATTATCAACATTCTCCGGCTGGGCGCGGTAGCTCACGCCTGTCATCCCAGCACTTTGGGGGGCCAAGGCAGGCAGATTGCCTGAGCGCAGAAGTTCGCGACCAGCCTGGACAGCACGGAGAAACACCCACCGTCTGTACTAAAATACAAAAAATTAGCCAGGCGTGGTTGTGTGCACCTGTAGTCGTAGCTACTTGGGAGGCTGAAGCAGGAGAATCACTTGAACCCGGGAGGCGGAGGTGGCAGTGAGCAGAGATCGCATCACTGCACTCCAGCCTGGGCAACAGAGCGAGACTCCGTCTCAAAAAAAAAAAAAAAAAAAAAATCCCCACCAGAATGGTGCATTTGTTACAATTGATAAACCTACACTGACACATCAACACTCCAAGGCCATAGTTCACATTCGGGTTCACTCTGGTGATGTACCTTCTATGGGTTTGGACAAATGTATATTGACATGTAGCTTTCTTTGTCAAACCATTAAATTTTCAGTATTCTCTCTTCTTTTGTTTTTGCAGCTGATTTTTAAGAGCTTCTTTTTAAAATCTATTGATTTTGGCATCTGCTTTAGAGAAATACTTCAATGAAGTATCTACTTTATATCTGATTATTTGCATCATAAATATTTTTCCTTCATCTACAAAACAAACTATTCTTACTAAATATTTTGTATCAATAAATTTATAAAATCTCAGTTTATGAGGATTATTTTTTCTGGAGCACATATTATGTATGGCCTCTATTAATAACTGACAATGGAAGCAATTAAAATTTAGTGCTCTCCTTTGAACCAGGAAAAATCTTAACCTTCTTGTATATTACAAAGTTTAAATAAAAAAAGAAATAGAAAAGAATTCTATTGTGATAGGATATATTATTGTCCCTTTATCAACCTGTCAAAAGTTAAAAAATATATACATATATAAAGAGTAAAGAGTGGAATAATAATATTTACAAGGCTGACATATCAGATAAATAGGTATTTTTAAACATCTGTGGAATATATTTATTTGGAATATTCACATACAATACTCATAAAAATTAATTAATTATCAATTATAGGCTAGGTCATAAAAGAACCAATAAATTCCAAAAAGCAGTGTTAAATTAAGTTTAGCCTAAAGCTGGCTCATTATATATTTCACATTCGAGCTAAAGGTTTCTATGAATATACTGAACTGTAACCTGTCTGGATACATAGACACCCTGTAACCTACTTAGGTCTCAATCCCTGAGTTTTGGCCAATCAAAGGCAGTCAACTGTTCTAACCATGTTCAAGTAAGGCAAATGCTGAACTCTAACCAATCTGGCTGTAACTCACTCCCATTTTCTGTATATCATTTTCTTTTTTCTGTCCATAAATATTTTTTGACCACGTAGCAGGGTTGGAGTCTCTCTGAACCAATTTTGGTTCAGGGGCTGCCCAGTTCTTGACTTTTTCTTTGTTCAATTAAATTATGTTAATTTAATTTGTCTAAGGTTTTTGTTTTAACAGCAGAAAATGTACTAGCTATATTTAATATAGTGGCAAAAAACTAGGAATTAATGACAAAACTGTTTTAAAAAATGCCTAGTCTATTGAATGTTTAAATATTATTCTCCAAATTGCTAAAAGGACAAAGAAGAAATTTAAACGAAATCACATCTCATTTCGAAAACAAAGGCCATGATAACACTAAATATCCAAACTTAAGGAAGAAGTCAAATATAAACTTAGAAAAATTACTATTCTTAAGTGACAATAACTGAAATAAATATTCATCTCAAGAAATGTGAAAAAGAAAATGATCCTCAAATAAAGAGAAGGAAGGGAAAACAGATCGAAACAAACAACTGGACAAGAGTACAGTGATAAATAAATCCATGAGTTTATTTTTCCTTCAGGTAATGAAGAACAGCAAAAATACAATGTTCTAAGAAATCTAATGATGCCATCCACAGCATTATGCACATACATTTGAAATGTTTGATTATTTTGAAATTTGGAATACGTAGACAAGTAGAATAGACTAACAACTTTGAAAAAAAGTGGTGGAAGTCTCAATGACCAGTTGGTTTTACAAATGAGTTCTTTCAAGTTTCTAAGGTACAGCAAATCCTAGCACATTACAAAATATTTCAAAGCATGGGAAATAAATAAAAACAGCTTCCAAAAATAGATGTACAAAGAATATATAACCCTGATCCCTAAACTAGTATTAAATTTTTTAAAAAGAAAAGAAAAACACAGACCAAACACATATAAATACAAGATCTGTTTAAGCACTAAGTTTTGTGTTTCATTCACTTGTTGACAGTGGCTACCTCTCATTATTGTCAGTACTGGGGTACTTTAATTACTAAAACTTTCTCAAGTATGTATATACATGGCTGCTTTCTTAGTCTGAGTTCAGTGTTTGCAGAAAGTTGGCTGGAATTTCACAGCTGGCCAGGGTTTTCTCTATGTATATACAGGAGTGAGTGACTTCCTGGGATGGATCTTTAATATATTAAAATTGTATTTTTAAAATACACCATGGAATACTATGCAGCCATAAAAAGGACGAGTTCATGTCCTTTGCCAGGACACGGTTGAAGCTGGAAACCATCATTCTCAGCAAACTAACACAGGAACCAAAAACCAAAAACACAAGTTATCACTCATAAGTGGGAGTTGAGCAATTAGAACACATGGACACAGGGAGGGGAACATCACACACCAGGGCTTATCAGGGGATGGGGGTCTAGGCAAGGGATAGCATGTGGAGAAATACCTAATGTAGATGATGGATTGATGGGTGCAGCAAATCGCCATGGCACATGTATACCTATATAACAAACCTGCACATTCTGCACATGTATCCCAGAACTTCAAGTATAATAATAAAAAAGAAATATTGAAAATAAAAAAAAACAGTAAATTAAATCATAGGCCATTTATCGAAGCTGGGAAGTTGTATATACTAAATTGGTGCAAAAGTCATTGTGGTTTTTGCCATTTAAAAGTATGCCAAAAACAGTAATGACTTTTGCACCAACCTAATTATCTTGAGGATCTGTTATTTATCATTGATCTACCTTAGGGTTCGCAAACTCAAGATGACCAGGACTAGGCAGGTAAGTAAATCATGAAAAGGACCTGGTAGGAAGCAGAGTAAACTGGAGAGCATTATGCACAAATAAACTGTGTTGTGGCTACTCACCTCCATTGGTGAGCTCACTGGTGGAACTCCAATGGTTCCAGCTCACTGGAACCATTTGGGATGCAGATTCAGTATCATCAAATCTGTTTTTCAGAGAAGCCAGAAGTCTGGAATTTGTATGACAAATTTCTGAATTTTAAATGTTATTTTGCTTAACTATTTAACAAACATCACCCTGGCCTTGCAAATGTTGACAAAATTTGACTCACAGGCCACCAGTTGGCAAATTCTGGTTGGTCCATTACTTTCATCTTATAGCCAAAACAATAGACCCAGCTAAGAAACTGACTCATCTAAGAAGGTCTCTGGAGTTAGGGGCACAGCAGAGCCTTGAATCTGAGCATCTGAAAGAATGAAATTGTAGCCCTAAATCACAGTGGCCAAAATTGCTATGGCTCACACTTATTTTTTATTTATTTATTTATTTCAGATGGAGTCTTGCTCTGTCACCTAAGCTGGAGTGGAATGGCGTGATCTCGGCTCACTGCAACCTCCACCTCCCGGGTTGAAGCGATTCTCTCGCCTCAGCCTCCTGAGTAGCTAGGCTTACAGGCACCTGCCATCATGCCCAGCTAATTTTTGTATTTTTGTAGAGACAACGTTTCATCATGTTGACCTGGCTGATCTTTAACTCTGAACTTCAGGTGATCCGCCTGCCTTGGCCTCCCAAAGTGCTGGGATTACAGGTGTGAGCCACTGTGTCTGGCTATGGCTAACACTTTTTTAAGGAAATAACAACAATCCCCAAATATCACATGCCCAGAGTTGCTCAGCACATTTATTTTGTCCGAAGTATATGTAATGTACATACAATAAAATGTACCCATTCCAAATGCATAGTGGGGGTTTGACAAAAGTGCACACCATCACAATTAAAATGAAAAATATTTCTATCTCCCCAAGATGCTCCTTTACGCTCCTTTGCAATCATCACACCCTTACCAGCCAGCCCCCAGGCAATCACTTTCTGCTACTATAGATTAAATTTGCCTTTCCTAAGATTTCATACACTATGTACTCTTTTGTGTCTGGCTTCTTTCGCTCAATATAATGCTTTTGAGGTTCATCCGTGTTGTTGAGTTCATTCATTTGCAATGCTGGGGCATAATCCATTGTATGAATAAACCAAAATTTGTTTATCTGTTCTCCCCTGATGGATGTTTGGATGTTTCCTGTTTTTAGGTAATATGAATAAGGCTGCTATAAACATTCCCGTACAGGTCTTTACGTGGACATATGTTTTTATTTCTCTTGGGTAAATACCTAGGAGTAGAATTGCCCAGTCGAATGGCAGGTGTATGTTTAACTTTATAAAAAACTGCTCAGCACAATTTGAATTTTGATTTTAGATAGAGTACATTGCATTGCTGGAATGTACAAACATTATTATCCTTCCTCTAAATTCCCCTTGCTTTCTTTCCTCCATTGGAAAGCATAAATGAATATTGCTTGTTTCACGAAGTTAGAATTTTCTTTCGGCAAGACTTTGGGAAGGAAGGGAAATAAAAAAGAGATCAGAGGAAATCACTGAAACAAAATTCTAAGGAGACAGCTAGCAACTAACATTCTGCAAAAACCCTGAGGAGTCATTTACAGCCCTGTGCATTGTAATTGGCATCTTTTCGGCTTCAGTCCAGGTCAAATCACTTCCTCCCTTATCACTCCACCTCCAAATATCCTTCTCACTCTCCTGCCTACCTGTTGTCAAGGGAAGTTCAGCCAGTGACCCAAGTTTTGTCTGGGAAAGGCTGCCGTTACAAGGAAGATGAATACAATCCTAAAAGGACTGACAAATCTAAGATTCATCCCGGTGATCACTGACACTTGAAAGGTATGCATGAGGTTTCATGCAGATGTGAATGTTTGTCCCCAGAGATGGAATAGCAAGTGTGCTAAGCCCAGTGAGTTCATTAAATCTTAGTCGACTCAACAATTTCTCTGAAGACTACTCTAAGGAAAATATGTGTTTATATAGTACTTATCACCTCTTTTTTCTTCGTAAAAATGAGATGCTAAGACCTTTAATCCAAAGGGAAGTCTTAAAAGCTTCAGGATGAGATCACAGAATTGTTTCTCTCCAGGAGTATTTTGGGATCATTGCCATCACTCAGGAGATCGTCCAGAAAAATCTTCCCTAAAACAGTAAACTCCAGATAATACAGTTATATCACCTAATTGGGAAAAGGTCAAGCCTAGTGAAACACTTGAGCTATGAGGACATTAAAAAAAAGAAATGCAGGTCTTGTGTTTGGTTTATAAGAGCATTTTGACAGTATCAAAGGAGGAAAAGGCAAGGTACAGATGGACTTGGCACACATATGCTGCCATTACTCAGGCCTGTGCCACTGGCAGGCATTACTAATCAATCCCAGTTTTTAAAGAGTAGCTTTTTCAGATTTGTTTAGCAGTCAAATGTAGAAAGAGGTCCAGAATTTCCTTTATTTTTCTCTTTTGTTTTGTTTTTCCAAGGCAGAGTCTCACTTTATTGCCTAGGCTGGAGTGCAGTGGCACAATCATGGCTCACTGAAGACTTGAACTCCTAGGCTCAAGTCATTCTCCCTCCTTGGCCCCCAGAGCAGCCACAGGCACACAGCACTGCACCCGGCCCAGAATTTTCTTTTTGACACTAAAATTTATTGGCTTCTCTCAAAACTAAGATGCCATTATTAATATTATAAATAAAAGTAAGAAATTAAACCTCCGTGTGTGTGTGTGTGTGTGTGTGTGTGTGTGTGTGCGCGCGCGCATGTGTGTGTGTGAGACTGGGCTAAAGAAATACCTTTAGAAAATAATGTGAAATTATACTCTCATACATATGTGTAGGGGGTGGGGGATGTGAGTGTTTGTGTGTTTGTAGAGAAAGACAATTGATATGTTTTAATACTCTCAGTTAGTTCAACCAGGCAACTCAAATTTTAATATTTTAGAGCTTTTGATTGCAGATAAATTATCACTTATGGAAATGAAACAAGGTTGAGAATCATCATATTCAACAAAATAAACTTAATTCTCTTGAAATATAGAATGAGTATGTGATAGAAATGAGCACTGATATATAATTTTTAATGACATTGTTCATCAACTCAGTGTTACAAGATATATTTGAAAAGTATTTTTCTCCAAATAATTAATGTTAAGTTGACTGAAGAACTTAGTAAGAAACTTCCAAATTGAACAGAAAACCAAACACTGCATGCTCTCACTTATAAGTGGGAGCTGAACAATGAGGACACATGGACACATGGTGGGAAACAACACACACTGGGTCCTGTTGGGGATGGAGCGGTGGGGAGGGAGAGCTTAATACCTAGGTGATGGATTGTTAGGTGCAGCCAACCACCATGGCACACATCTACCTATGTAACAAACCTGCACATCCTGCACATGTACCTTGGAACTTAAAACAAATATAAAAATATTTTAAAAAGGAAACTTCCAAATTGAATAGGTATTAAGGAATATTATAAAAACTACTAGATATTGCTAGTGATGTAACTAAAACCCAAATGTCCTACTATTCTTTCTGTAAACTCTGGGATTTGCTCTGTTAAAGATCTTTATTAGTTTGGCAAAATGAGTTATATAAAAGTGGGAAATAAAATCTATTACTGTTTGAAACTATTTATCTGTGAGAATGAAGATTCTCAGAACCTTGTTTCTCAAAGGAAACTACAGAAACTCAAAGGAAACTACCTCTTCAGGTGATATAAGCCTGCAGCTGTTATTTATAACCTCCAAACAGAAGTTCTTGTGGTCATCATTCTCACTGACTTTATAGTTATTTAAATATTAGAATTTTAACTTATAAAAAAGTTAATAAACTATTGCCTGTTTTATATATTGTGCTTCTGAATAGCATTCATGATGATTAAGAATACAGGACTTGGGCCGGGTACAGTGGCTTACACCTGTAATCTCAGCACTTTGGCAGGCCGAGGCAGGAGGATCACTTGAGCCCAGCCCAGGCAACATAGTAAGACCTCGTCTCTACAAAAAATAAAAAGAAAAAAATTAGTTGGGTGTGGTGGCATGTGCCTGTAGTCCCAGCTACTAGGGAGGCTGAGGTGGGAGGATTGCTTGAGCCCAGGAGGTCAAGGCTGCACTGAGCAGTGATCATGCCACTGCATTCCAGAGCCTAGGTGGCAAAGCAAGACCCTGTCTCAAAAAATAAAACAAAACAAATCAAATCAAAAAAACAAAGGAATTCAGTCCTTGGGACTGCACTGCCTAGGTTTAAATCCTGGCCTTGCCACTCATTAGCTCTGTGACCTGGGCAAGTCATTTACTCAACCTCCCACGCCTCAGCTTCTTCATCTGTTCATCAGCGATAACAATACTTACCTCAAAGCGTCGTTGAAAGGATTAAATAAATTGTGAAGTACAATTAAATAAGTTATGAAGTACTTTCAGAAGTTTATAGCATATAATAAGTGCTATATGAGGACCTGGTAAATAAATTCCATTTAAAATAAGAACTTTTCTGCTAAAATATGCTAAAACCCATGTTGTACCGTGTGTTTAATTAGGCAATAATTACTTAAAATCAGATTGCTCATTGTCGATGCAAATCATGGTAACTAATCAGCTTTGATTAATATTCTTAATCAAAATAAATGGAATTACCCATGATTTTATTCCCCCACAATAAACTTTTAAAAATATTTTGATGAAGAGCATTTCAAACTTTAAAAAAAAGTATATATACTCTTTTTAACAAAATACAATTATAATTAAGATAATATGATAATATAACTTATGTGGACAGGAGTTTTGCCAGTTTTTTTCCTGCTGAATTCCAATGTCTAGAATAATGTTAGGTATATAGCAGGTGTTCAATAAATATTTGTTCAGTGAAAAATAATTTCTTGCAATACAATTTTTTACTAAGTGTATTTAAAGCTATTTTAAAAGCATAAATATTATTCTTCCAATTTTATATACTGTCATTTTAAATAACTTTATATTATTCCATCTTATGAACACACTTTCTTCACCCACTTTCTTACTTCTGGAAATGTATGTTAATTCTATTGTCTTGTGATTATAAGTAAACATTGTAACAAATACCCATAACAAATCTTTGCATATGCCTCTCATTATTTTTTTAGGATAATACTTAGAAGTGGCTGTCCAGTGAATTATACGAAATTTTAAGAATTATGATTCATTCCATGTTTATTTAGTAAATATTTATCACATATGCAATCTGTGCTTTGTGTTAGACACCTACCTGAGGATACCATGGTGTATTTACCTTTGTTTACCTTCTAATAATCTAAGGTAGAGGTCGATAAACTGTGACCCATGGTCTACATATGGCCTACTGCATTTTTTTGTAAGTCAAGTTTTGTTGGAACACAGCCATGCTCATTAATTTATGTATTATCTGTGTTTTCACACTATAATGGCAGAATTGAATAGTTGTGACAAAGACTACATGGCCCACTAAGCCAGAAATATTTACTATCTGCCCCAACACAGAAAAAAATTGACAAATCCTTCAAATTAGATTGTAGTTTTGTCAAATTACACTCCAGAAAGTTTATGTTCTCAACTGTAATCAGTGAGAAATCCTCACATTAATAAAGTGAACATGTCTTGGTTTTTCACTGGATTTTTTTTTTTATTCTTTCTTAAGGAACTCTTCACACACACATAATTTTTAGCATGGCATTCATGGATAATTACCAAATTTGAAATGAGTGAAATCAGAATTATTGAGATTTATTTTCAATGAGGCGTGAGAAACATTGGCTAAGTCTGTGTGATTAGGTGAGACCTCGGCAGTTTTATCAAACTTTCCTGATAGGCTCCTAAGGATTGAGAAGGCTGGAACAATGAACATAGCCCGTATCTCCAGCTGCCTGGAAATACAATACGAAAAAGGCTGGAATTGTTGAAAGTGTTAGTATATCATTTTACATATGAAATTCATTTTGTTTATTCTGAAACTAACCAACAATACCTTAAAAACTTATGTAAACGGAAATATCTGTTATTTGACTTTTTTCCCCCAGCACTGGCCTCACACAGGCACTCTAATGATTATTTGTCAAAGTCACACTGTTTGCTTACAAGGTATGAAGGCTTTTTAGACACTATAATGACGGCTCTTGATTCACTTGATAATATTTAGAATAAGCCATAAAAGCTGATCTCTGAACGAACAGACCGCTTTTATTGGCTTTTAGTGCTATTACTGCTGTCATAAGTGGAAAATTGGCCTAATGCAAGCAATAATGCTGTGTCATACTTCAAAACTGCTACTTGGTTTTATGGTTTATTTCTTCTAATGAAAGTATGGTCGAGTATGGGGAGGATCTCACCACCTCCCGAGCTTCAGGGCATGATGCCACCTCAGTCTAAGATTCACTTAAGAAACAGGGAGGGGTGTGCTTGAGGATGGGTGGGAACTTGCTTAATGTCACAGGTGTGTGCCCATTTTTTATACAAATGGTTGTTGAGATCTATGTGCCAGGTACAGGAGACGAAAGGGCAAGACAGATCTGATTAAGGTGGAACTCAGTCTTAATCAGAGGAAGATGATTGAGACCCTACTGGCCAGATTTCATTAGCCCTCTCAATGTTTTAAATTTTTGTTGAGCTACAACTTACATAAAATAAAGCGCGCAAATCTTAAGTATATACATTGATCCGTTTTTACAAACGTGTACACCTATCTAACCACCACCCCATCAAGATAAAAAACACTTCAGCAACATAGACAGCTCTCATCATTTCCCCCGCCTCCCAGTCAGCAGCACCTTTGCCCCCAACTTCTTCTATTACAATTATTTTGCCTGTTCTTATATAAATGGGCTCATAGTGTATATTCTTTTATTTATATCTAACTTTATTTGTCCAACGTTTTGTCTGAAAGATTCATTTACATTCTTGTGTGTACCGGTAGTTCAAAAATTGCTTTGTAGTACTCCATGACAGGACTACATATGTGTATGTACCCAACCTATTCTTGAGGAACATTTAGGCTGTTCCCAGTAGTTGGATATTATGACTGAAGCTGATATGAACATTTTTTGGTTGACATAAACACTGGGGAGGAAGCCCAGAAGTAGAAATAATTGTAGAATGGGAAGACTTTTAGCTTTAGGTGGATACTGCCTAGCAGTTTTCCAGAATGGTCCCAATTTATACATCCGTCAAGACTGTATGAGAGTTCAGTCACTCTGTGCTGTTGTCAGCATTTAGTGTTTTCAGGTGCAATATTGTTTTAATAGATTTGAATGCCTTTATTGACTACTTGCACAGAAAATATACTTGGCTCTAGAATATGTCTTTTATGTACAACTGAGCCTGTATGATGGATATGCTAGGGCATATCCAACCTGGTTGGAACCCAGGTTTTGAAATCAGAGACATCTAAGTTGGTGCTCTATTTCTACCAAGTAATAACTAGGAGGCCTTAACAAAGTCACTTATGTTTCCTATGCCTCAGATTCTTCTTCTATAAAGGATAGCAAGCCACCTCAAATCAAAGGGTTGTTGTAAAAACAAATGAAATAACAATTGTAACGTAGAGAGCTAGTGTTTGACATGTATCTGGAGCTCAATGAATAGTTTCTTTCTCCTCTTCATAGTGGTCTGGGTGGTCAAGGAAAACAGTGAAGTGGCTCTGAGAAAATCCGTCTATATGTAGATGCCTATCAGTATCTAATTTTCTCCCTTGTCAAGCTTTCTCCCTTTCCTAACATCTTCTCATTTGCCCAAGCCTGACTTCCAAATGACATACTAGATAGATTATTTCCTCTGTTTCACTCACTACATGCAATCATGACAACAATAAGTGCCATTCCATATTTTTATTTAGCAAGTGCACTGTGATAAATGCTTTGCATGTAGTGTTTCACAAGAACCCTGCAAAGTACATATTATTATTTTCATTTTACAGATGGGAAGAAACCAAGACTCTGAGAGATCAAACAAATCATCCTTGAACACATATGGAGTGGGTGATACAGCTAAGATTTGAAACCAAATCCATTCGATTCCAATGGTCATTTGATTAACTACAATTCTGTATATCACACTCGTCAGAAAGACCTCTGGACTTTATCTCCTTCACATCTCTGAGTACATTGTCATTTTCTCTTCATCCCCTGTACCACACACAAATCTTGTGCACTTTCTCAGTTCTCCTCCACTACTTTCTTCTTGCCAAATGTGTCACCCCATCATCACCTTTCCTGGCACTCTTGATGAGCTCCCAGTCCAGACGGAATCTGGGTTGAAGGCTCAGATTTGCGTTGCTCTCTTGCGCTACATGCTGAGTCCTATTTGCATTAAGCAGCTCCTCCATTTCTGCATTTACAGATGCAAACACACACCCTGGGGTGTGGAATCAGGCTTCCTGAGTAGTTGCCAAGGAGCTGGATGGCATAAATGCCATCCCTCTTTTCCTTCCATGGGCTGTTCTGGGGCATGGCTTCTCCTTGCATATCTTTTGGAGAAGTCTCCTGGGCTGCACAACTACACCTGCCAAACCACCTGCTGTGTCATATCCTGGTTCTTTGTCAAATGGTGGCCAGAAGAGAAAGACATCATATTGCTTGAGATCCTGTCTTTGCTCCATTACTGTAGTTGTTTTTTAGGGTTGCTGTAACAAAGTACAACCTTGGTGGTTTAAAACTCTCCCAGTTCTTGAGGCCAGAAGTGTGAAGTCAGTTTCACTGGAGCAAAATCAAGGTGTCAGCAAGGCTGCACTCCCTCTGGAGCCTCTGGCAGATAATCTATTTTTTGCCTCTTCCAGCTTCTGGGGGCTGCCTGCATTTCCTGACCTGTGACTGCTGCACTCCAATCTCTGTCCCCATGGTTGTATCATCATCTCCTCTTCTGTGTGTGTCAAATCTCCCTCCTCCTCTCCCTTAAAAAGATGTTTGTGATTAAATTTAGGTGCCACTCATGTGATCCATGTAATCTCTCCACGTCAGGATCCTTAACTCAGTCACATCTACGAAGACCCTTTTTCCTTAAGAGGTAATATGTACAGGTTCCAGGAATCAGGACCTGACATTCTGGGTGGCCATTATTCAACCTACTACATTTACCTTGTTTCTTACCCTTACCACCCTAGGCATGTAACTCTCAAATAAGGCATCAATACTTTCACCCTTGCCTCAAGCCCTGCTTTCTAGGGGAGCTGAGCTGAAGCATTATCTCTACTTTTGCCTGTATTGAATGTTGGGACTCAGAAAACGATATCCTAAAATGAAGGTCTCAGAAGCAGCCTCAGAAGCAAAGGTTCTTCTCTGTCCTCCTTTCTCTCAGTCTCATTCTCCTCTGAGGCTGGCCATAGAAACTAGAATACCTCTTCCCCAAGGCAGGTCTCCAAAGCCAGCCATAAAACCTAAAAACATTACTCTTAGTTTCCCCCGCCTTTCTGTGTAAAACCCGGCCATAGAGACATGATCTGACCTAACTTGTTTGACTGTAGGTCATGAAACACCCATCCCAGAGACGGTACTGCCCCACACCCAGAAGGAAGGGACGCTGCACAGAAAGTCCAAGAAGAATCTAAACAGATAGGACTTGCTGGGTTTCCCTACTCAGTCTACTAGCATTAGATCATATCATACCCTTTTTGTGTGATCGTATTTCTACACAGCTGTACATAGTTTGTTAAACTTACGTATAAAAAAATGACAATTTCCTTTGTATCTTTGGGTCTTCATGCTGAAGGATCTCATGTACATGTTAATAAATTTTGTATGCCTTTTCTCCTGTTAATCAGCCTTTTGTGAACTGATTTTTCAAGGATGTTTCAGAGGGTAAAGAGGAAATTTTCTCTTGGCCCCTACAATTTTAGTGTAGTTGTCAGGATGCCAGAAGGATCATATTAAAGTTCACATCTGATCATGTTCCTCTTCTGCATAAATTTCTTCAAGGTAACCTCCCCAGATTCGTGTCAATGCCCTAAATTCTTGGTTACAGGAAGGCATTCAGGAACCTCCTGATCTTATCCATTCTCTCTCAACTTCATTATTTGACTCTCCTCTGTCTAATGGGTACGATCATAAGCTTCAGAATTAAACCCCGTTTTCTAGAATTCTGTCTTTACCATTTTCTAGGCAAGTAATCGTGAACAGGCCACTTAGTTTCTTGGGTTCTCTGACATGCATTTTCCTTAAAGTCTCTTTAATAGTAGTGGAGGTGATAAAATGAGATCATATAAGTGTCTAGCACAGGGTAAAAGCTCAAAACAAACAAACAAATTGCTCTAGTTATGTCAAATCATACACAGGAATCTAAACGTCTGATATTTTATGTCTCTCGGTATTTATGCACGATGGTTCTTCTCCCTGAGGAATCCTCACCATCATTGCTTTTTGCCCCACCTCAAGTGAACTCCTTCTCGTCTTTGGAATTCCGATAGAGAATCCCATCCTCTGCAAAGCTTTCTCTGATTCCAGCAGTTCAAAATTCTTGCACATATGAATCATAAGTGCACCTTGTTTACAATGCAAATTCTTTAGCTTCAGCCACAGAAATTCTAGTTCATCATACCTTGGGTGAGGCCCATGAAATCTTCAGTTTTAAAAAGCATCTTGGGTAATTTTTGATTGTACAGTAACACCCTGTGTACTGCACAAGGCCAGTCCTGGCTTAGGATGGAAGTCCACCTGGACAGACACATTACCAGAACACCAGGGGTGCAGTCTAGGTCCCTTTGCTTGTTGCATATAAAGCCAATCACTGAGACAAGTACAGCCAGGGAAGAAGGCTTTTTTATTCAGGTGTTTCAGCTGGGGAAATGGGTCAGGGAACCAAAATCTGTTACTCAACAGATTGCTCCCATCTCCTGGGATGCAGTAATCAAAAAACCCTTCTTTCCTGGCAGTATTTGCTGTCTCAGGGATTGGCTTTCTGTGCAGTGAGCAATGGGACCTAGAAGGAACACCTGGTGTTTCAGTAACAGACACACCACTTAAGAAGATGTATCCACCACATGGAATCTGATGTGCTCCCCTATCAAATTCCCAAATGCTAATGTGTCTTAAACCTACCACTTAAACTTTGTAAATCCGATCATGTTAGTTACAGAAGCTAATGATTTTCCCTATCTCTCAAATGGAAATTTAAAGTCATATCATGGCCTGCAAGGCCTGCTATGATTGGGCCCTGAGCCTCTGGTTTTAGCTCTTATCACTCAGCCTGGTTCATTCTATTTTGTTGGCTTTGAACATTCCAAGCAGTCTCCTGAATCAGGAACTTTGCACTTGCTATTTTCTATGCTGGAAATCCTTTCTTTCTAGATCTAAACATGGTTCTTGCCCTCATTTCATTCTGCTTCTGCCAGGATGCTGCCAAATAAGAGAGGCCTTCCTCGACTACCTTGTCTATGCCCTTCTTGCTTATTTGTCACCAGACTTACCACAGACTTGTTACTTTACTTATTGCCTCCTATTCCTGACTAAAATACAAATATCTATGACTGTTTGGTTTATTCCTTATGAAGGATGACCATAGCAGTGCCTGGAAAAGAGAGGT
Organism: Homo sapiens; assembly: GCF_000001405.40. Taxonomy (NCBI): domain Eukaryota; kingdom Metazoa; phylum Chordata; class Mammalia; order Primates; family Hominidae; genus Homo; species Homo sapiens. The sequence continues at coordinate 70,282,860 of NC_000003.12, forward strand.
GTAAATATTTGTAGAATTCATGAATCTGCCAACATTCTCTCCCCAGGATGAAATAGTAAAAGGGGTAATAAAAGATGACTCTTATAACCATTGAGTGTCCAGGCAGGCCTGTCACTCAGAATAAGAAAAAAATGGAGCAGGAGACTGAAAAAACAGTTGATTACATCTCAATCACAAGACGTTGAGGCTAGTGACTCAGGAACCTCAGTATGATTCTCTCCACCAATAGGTCTTGGGTATATTAATAATAAAGTCAAGAAAATGCATTTATCTTGACATCAACAGTAGCACTAGGTGGTTGTGAGCATAAGCAGTCCTGTGGCAGGAGATGCCAGTGAATCCCAGCTTCATCAGGAATGAAGACACTGAAATAGATTTGCGGGAACCTTGTAAACTCATGCAGTCCTCTGATTGATTGCTTTTTGGTTGGTCTGTGTTTTCAATGCACTGTGCCTGGCAGATAGTAAATGCTCAATAGTGGCTGAATGAATAGGGCCTGGACTTTGGAGAACCTGAAACTGGATGGTTATTGTTCAGGCTGACGAATACTGAAATTCTCCCTGGATACTGTAGAATTGTTCAAAGAGCAAGGGCCTTGAAGAGAGGATTTGAATCCCACATACAGCATCAAATTACTTTGAGGTCAGTCTCAGAACTAGACAGAACTGGGTTGAAATCACAAATGTCAGCCTCCCCTAGCCTCTGTTACCTCATCTATACAATGAGCTTGGTTGTGTCCACCACCTACCTGGTTCTTGGGCAGATTAAAGGGATTCATGCTGGGGTCAGGCTTTTGGAGCTATTTTCACAATAACATTTGGGTTTGGATGACTGCATTTCAAAGGGTTTCAAGTTAGAATCTTGATTTCATACAGAGTAACAGAGAATAAAGAGTATGTAATGCTTATTTTTTGTAAAAAAAAAAAGAGAGAGAAGAAAAAGAAAAAGGCAAATATGGCCAAATGTTAACATCTGTTAAATCTGGATGGTGAGTACATAATGTATTTTTAAGAGAATGTGTAAAATGTCAATAATCAAGTATTTAATACATGTGCTATTAATAATCTTAAGATTATTAACTCTGCTTTACTTCTGATCCCTGATCTCTAGTTTTCCCACCACCCTACTGTCATACAGAAGGGGTTTCCATGCCTTTGGGTGGCAGAGGTATTGGCTATTGGTTTTTTAAAATCCTGGAATGAACTTGGTTTTAAACCTCAGTTGGACTGGTTTTCATGAGTGCAACTCTTAAAACTGTTACAACGTTCTAGTTAAAATTTCATGAAAGCAAGAGTCACAGTGTATTTCATTTATAGGTTTTATCTAATTAGAGAGACTTAATGAATATTAACTACCAAGAAATGTGTTAATAGTAATTAGGACAAGGCCAAGATAAGTGTACTTGCTAATCCCTACGATTTATTTCTGTAAACTGCTCTACAATTTTATAGAGTGAAGTTAGCCTTGTTCCAAGTTGTAAACTAATAAAGTTTGCATTTGAGTTTTCATATGTTTCCAGCAAGACTCTATTAAACTTTCTAAAAACAAAAGCAAAAACAAAAAGAGAACCTCTCACTTTGAAGAATGACAAGAGATTGGAACCCATTTACTCACACAGCAAAGACATGGCATCAACCTAAATGCCCATCAATGATAGACTGGATCAAGAAAATGTGGTACATATACACCACGGAATACTATGCAGCCATAAAAAAGAATAAGATCATGTCCTTTGCAAGGACTGAATGGAGCCAGAGGACATCTTCCTTAGAAATTAACACAGGAACAGAAAACTAAACACTGCATGTTCTCACTTATAAGTGGGAGCTAAACAATGAGAACACATGGCCACAGGGAGGGAAACAACACACACTGGGGCCTATTGGAGGGTGAAGGGTAGGAGGAGACAGAGGATCAGGGAAAATAACTAATGGGTACTAGTCTTAAAACCTGGGTCATGAAATAGTCTGTATAACAAACCCCCATGACACAAGTTTACCTATGTAACAAACCTGCACATGTACCCCTGAACTGAAAATAAAAGTTAAACAAAAAAGAGTAAATGGCATTGGTGTAACTGATTCATGTGCTTTTGAAGTTTCATTAACAATGTTACATGGGTTAAACTTAAATCACTGCAGTTCCAAATTACCTATTTTTTTATTTTTTATTTTTTACTTATTTTTTTTTAACTTTTTTTTTCTTTTATTATTATACTTTAAGTTTTAGGGTACATGTGCACATTGTGCAGGTTAGTTACATATGTATACATGTGCCATGCTGGTGCACTGCACCCACTAACTTGTCATCTAGCATTAGGTATACCTCCCAATGCTATCCCTCCCCCCTCCCCCCACCCCACAACAGTCCCCAGAGTGTGATGTTCCCCTTCCTGTGTCCATGTGTTCTCATTGTTCAATTCCCACCTATGAGTGAGAATATGTGGTGTTTGGTTTTTTGTTCTTGCGATAGTTTACTGAGAATGATGACTTCCAATTTCATCCATGTCCCTACAAAGGACATGAACTCATCAGTTTTTATGGCTGCATAGTATTCTATGGTGTATATATGCCACATTTTCTTAATCCAGTCTATCATTGTTGGACATTTGGGTTGGTTCCAAGTCTTTGCTATTGTGAATAATGCCGCAATAAAAATACGTGTGCATGTGTCTTTATAGCAGCATGATTTATAGTCCTTTGGGTATATACCCAGTAATGGGATGGCTGTGTCAAATGGTATTTCTAGTTCTAGATCCCTGAGGAATCGCCACACTGACTTCCACAATGGTTGAACTAGTTTACAGTCCCACCAACAGTGTAAAAGTGTTCCTATTTCTCCACATCCTCTCCAGCACCTGTTGTTTCCTGACTTTTTAATGATTGCCATTCTAACTGGTGTGAGATGGTATCTCATTGTGGTTTTGATTTGCATTTCTCTGATGTCCAGTGATGAGGAGCATTTAATCATGTGTTTTTTGGCTGCATAAATGTCTTCTTTTGAGAAGTGTCTGTTCATGTCCTTCGCCCACTTTTTGATGGGGTTGTTTGTTTTTTTCTTGTAAATTTGTTTGAGTTCATTGTAGATTCTGGATATTAGCCCTTTGTCAGATGAGTAGGTTGTGAAAATTTTCTCCCATTTTGTAGGTTGCCTGTTCACTCTGATGGTAGTTTCTTTTGCTGTGCAGAAGCTCTTTAGTTTAATGAGATCCCATTTGTCAATTTTGTGTTTTGCTGCCATTGCTTTTGGTGTTTTGGACATGAAGTCCTTGCCCATGCCTATGTCCTGAATGGTAATGCCTAGGTTTTCTTCTAGGCTTTTTATGGTTTTAGGTCTAAAGTTTAAGTCTTACATCCATCTTGAATTAATTTTTGTATAAGGTGTAAGGAAGGGATCCAGTTTCAGCTTTCTACATATGGCTAGCCAGTTTTCCCAGCACCGTTTATTAAATAGGGAATCCTTTCCCCATTTCTTGTTTTTGTCAGGTTTGTCAAAGATCAGATAGTTGTAGATATGTGGCATTATTTCTGAGGGCTCTGTTCTGTTCCATTGATCTATATCTCTGTTTTGGTACCAGTACCATGCTGTTTTGGTTACTGTAGCCTTGTAGTATAGTTTGAAGTCAGGTAGTGTGATGCCTCCAGCTTTGTTCCTTTGGCTTAGGATTGACTTGGTGATGCGGGCTCTTTTTTGGTTCTATATGAACTTTAAAGTAGTTTTTTCCAATTCTGTGAAGAAAGTCATTGGTAGCTTGATGGGGATGGCATTGAATCTGTAAATTACCTTGGGCAGTGTGGCCATTTTCATGATATTGATTCTTCCTACCCATGAGCATGGAATGTTCTTCCATTTCTTTTTATCCTCTTTTATTTCCTTGAGCAGTGGTTTGTAGTTCTCCTTGAAGAGGTCCTTCACATCCCTTATAAGTTGGATTCCTAGGTATTTTATTCTCTTTGAAGCAATTGCGAATGAGAGTTCTCATGATTTGGCTCTCTGTTTGTCTGTTGTTGGTGTATAAGAATGCTTGTGATTTTTGTACATTGATTTTGTATCCTGAGACTTTGCTGAAGTTGCTTATCAGCTTAAGGAGATTTTGGGCTGAGACAATGGCGTTTTCTAGATATAAAATCATGTCGTCTGCAAACAGGGACAATTTGACTTCCTCTTTTCCTAATTGAATACCCTTTATTTCCTTCTCCTGCCTAATTGCCCTGGCCAGAACTTCCAACACTATGTTGAATAGGAGTGGTGAGAGAGGGCATCCCTGTCTTGTGCCAGTTTTCAAAGGGAATGCTTCCAGTTTTTGCCCATTCAGTATGATATTGGCTGTGGGTTTGTCATAGATAGCTCTTATTATTTTGAAATACGTCCCATCAATACCTAATTTATTGAGAGTTTTTAGCATGAAGGGTTGTTGAATTTTGTCAAAGGCCTTTTCTGCATCTATTGAGATAATCATGTGGTTTTTGTCTTTGGCTGTGTTTATATGCTGGATTACATTTATTGATTTGCATATATTGAACCAGCCTTGCATCCCAGGGATGAAGCCCACTTGATCATGGTGGATAAACTTTTTGATGTGCTGCTGGATTCATTTTGCCAGTATTTTATTGAGGATTTTTGCATCAATGTTCATTAAGGATATTGGTCTAAAATTCTCTTTTTTGGTTGTGTCTCTGCCCGGCTTTGGTATCAGAATGATGCTGGCCTCATAAAATGAGTGAGGGAGGATTCCCTCTTTTTCTATTGATTGGAATAGTTTCAGAAGGAATGGTACCAGTTCCTCCTTGTACCTCTGGTAGAATTTGGCTGTGAATCCGTCTGGTCCTGGACTCTTTTTGGTTGGTAAGCTATTGATTATTGCCACAATTTCAGATCCTGTTATTGGTCTATTCAGAGATTCAACTTCTTCCTGGTTTAGTCTTGGGAGAGTGTATGTGTCGAGGAATTTATCCATTTCTTCTAGATTTTCTAGTTTATTTGCGTAGAGGTGTTTGTAGTATTCTCTGATGGTAGTTTGTATTTCTGTGGGATCAGTGGTGACATCCCCTTTATCATTTTTTATTGCGTCTATTTGATTCTTCTCTCTTTTTTTCTTTATTAGTCTTGCTAGCAGTCTATCTCTTTTGTTGATCCTTTCAAAAAACCAGCTCCTGGATTCATTAATTTTTTGAAGGGTTTTTTGTGTCTCTATTTCCTTCAGTTCTGCTCTGATTTTAGTTAGTTCTTGCCTTCTGCTAGCTTTTGAATGTGTTTGCTCTTGCTTTTCTAGTTCTTTTAATTGTGATGTTAGGGTGTCAATTTTGGATCTTTCCTGCTTTCTCTTGTGGGCATTTAGTGCTATAAATTTCCCTCTACACACTGCTTTGAATGCATCCCAGAGATTCTGGTATGTTGTGTCTTTGTTCTCGTTGGTTTCAAAGAACATCTTTATTTCTGCCTTCATTTCATTATGTACCCAGTAGTCATTCAGGAGCAGGTTGTTCAGTTTCCATGTAGTTGAGCGGTTTTGAGTGAGATTCTTAATCCTGAGTTCTAGTTTGATTGCACTGTGGTCTGAGAGATAGTTTGTTATAATTTCTGTTCTTTTGCATTTGCTGAGGAGAACTTTACTTCCAAGTATGTGGTCAATTTTGGAATAGGTGTGGTGTGGTGCTGAAAAAAATGTATATTCTATTGATTTGGGGTGGAGAGTTCTGTAGATGTCTATTAGGTCCACTTGCTGCAGAGCTGAGTTCAATTCCTGGGTATCCTTGTTGACTTTCTGTCTCGTTGATCCGTCTAATGTTCACAGTGGGGTGTTAAAGTCTCCCATTATTAATGTGTGGAAGTCTAAGTCTCTTTGTAGGTCACTCAGGACTTGCTTTATGAATCTAGGTGCTCCTGTGTTGGGTGCATATATATTTAGGATAGTTAGCTCTTCTTGTTGAATTGATCCCTTTACCATTATGTAATGGCCTTCTTTGTCTGTTTTGATCTTTGTTGGTTTAAAGTCTGTTTTATCAGAGACTAGGATTGCAACCCCTGCCTTTTTTTGTTTTCCATTTGCTTGGTAGATCTTCCTCCATCCTTTTATTTTGAGCCTATGTGTGTCTCTGCACGTGAGATGGGTTTCCTGAATACAGCACACTGATGGGTCTTAAATCTTTATCCAGTTTGCCAGTCTGTGTCTTTTAATTGGAGCATTTAGCCCATTTACATTTAAAGTTAATAGTGTTATGTGTGTATTTGATCCTGTCATTTTGATGTTAGCTGGTGATTTTGCTCGTTAGTTGATGCAGTTTCTTCCTAGTCTCGATGGTCTTTACATTTTGGCATGATTTTGCAGCGGCTGGTACCGGTTGTTCCTTTCCATGTTTAGCGCTTCCTTCAGGAGCTCTTTTAGGGCAGGCCTGGTGGTGACAAAATCTCTCAGCATTTGCTTGTCTGTAAAGTATTTTATTTCTCCTTTGCTTATGAAGCTTAGTTTGGCTGGATATGAAATTCTGGGTTGAAAATTCTTTTCTTTAAGAATGTTGAATATTGGCCCCCACTCTCTTCTGGCTTGTAGGGTTTCTGCCGAGAGATCCGCTGTTAGTCTGATGGGCTTCCCTTTGAGGGTAACCCAACCTTTCTCTCTGGCTGCCCTTAACATTTTTTCCTTCATTTCAACTTTGGTGAATCTGACAATTATGTGTCTTGGAGTTGCTCTTCTCGAGGAGTATCTTTGTGGCGTTCTCTGTATTTCCTGAATCTGAACGTTGGCCTGCCTTGCTAGATTGGGGAAATTCTCCTGGATAATATCCTGCAGAGTGTTTTCCAACTTGGTTCCATTCTCCCCATCACTTTCAGGTACACCAATCAGACCTAGATTTGGTCTTTTCACATAGTCCCATATTTCTTGGAGGGTTTGCTCGTTTCTTTTTATTCTTTTTTCTCTAAACTTTCCTTCTCGCTTCATTTCATTCATTTCATCTTCCATTGCTGATACCCTTTCTTCCAGTTGATTGCATCGGCTCCTGAGGCTTCTGCATTCTTCACGTAGTTCTCGAGCCTTGGTTTTCAGCTCCATCAGCTCCTTTAAGCACTTCTCTCTATTGGTTATTCTAGTTATACATTCTTCTAAATTCTTTTCAAAGTTTTCAACTTCTTTGCCTTTGGTTTGAATGTCCTCCCGTAGCTCAGAGTAATTTGATCGTCTGAAGCCTTCTTCTCTCAGCTCGTCAAAGTCATTCTCCATCCAGCTTTGTTCCGTTGCTGGTGAGGAGCTGCGTTCCTTTGTAGGAGGAGAGGCGCTCTGCTTTTTAGAGTTTCCAGTTTTTCTGTTCTGTTTTTTCCCCATCTTTGTGGTTTTATCTACTTTTGGTCTTTGATGATGGTGATGTACAGATGGGTTTTTGGTGTGGATGTCCTTTCTGTTTGTTAGTTTTCCTTCTAACAGACGGGACTCTGAGCTGCAGGTCTGTTGGAGTACCCTGCAGTGTAAGGTGTCAGTGTGCCCCTGTTGGGGGGTGCCTCCCAGTTAGGCTGCTCGGGGGCCAGGGGTCAGGGACCCACTTGAGGAGGCAGTCTGCCCCTTCTCAGATCTCCAGCTGCGTACTGGGAGAACCACTGCTCTCTTCAAAGCTGTCAGACAGGGACATTTAAGTCTGCAGAGGTTATGGCTGTCTTTTTGTTTGTCTGTGCCCTGCCCCCAGAGGTGGAGCCTACAGAGGCAGGCAGGCCTCCTTGAGCTGTGGTGGGCTCCACCCAGTTCGAGTTTCCGGGCTGTTTTGATTACCTCAGCAAGCCTGGGCAATGGCGGGCGCCCCTCCCCTAGCCTCGCTGCCGCCTTGCAGTTTGATCTCAGACTGCTGTGCTAGCAATCAGTGAGACTCCGTGGGCGTAGGACCCTCCGAGCCAGGTGCAGGTTATAATCTCGTGGTGCGCCGTTTTTTAAGCTTGTCGGAAAAGCGCAGTATTCGGGTGGGAGTGACCCGATTTTCCAGGTGCGGTCCTCACCCCTTTCTTTGACTAGGAAAGGGAACTCGCTGACCCCTTGCGCTTCCCGAGTGAGGCAATGCCTCGCCCTGCTTCGGATGGCGCACGGTGCGCGCACCCACTGACCTGAGCCCACTGTCTGGCACTCCCTAGTGAGATGAACCCGGTACCTCAGATGGAAATGCAGAAATCACCGGTCTTCTGCTTCGCTCACGCTGGGAGCAGTAGACCAGAGATGTTCCTATTCGGCCATCTTGGCTCCTCCAGAGCTACTTATTTTTTTATGAAGGAAAAGAATATCATTGAAAGCAGTTTTACCATAAAAAGTATTTTTCACATATTTGCATGTTTAACATCCAGGGCCCTGGAGCCAGACTGTCTGGGGTTTGAAATCAGCTCCTCCACCTACCAGCTATTGACCTCAGGTAAGTTACATTATCTAGGACTCTATTTTCTCATCTGTGAAATGGGAATAATAATAGCAGCCAACTCATTTTTTTTTAGACAATTCAGTGAATTCATACACATAACTCTTTAGAACAGTGTTATATGAATACTGTTATCATTACGATATAACAAATATATCGTATTACTAATTTATCAAAGTAGAGCTATTAGCTACCTTCTCCAGATGGACCTAGAATCTTGTCTATAGCTCTGTTCTTCTACTTCTCACATTGTATTGTACTGTACTTTTTCTGTTTATTTGGTCTTATCTCTCATCACATTCTGAGATTCTCAGAAGGGACAATATGTTAATACTTAGCACAGTGCTGGGAACATCGGATCCACAAATGACAAACCCCTGGCTGTCACTTTCCCCTGTGGCTTCACTCATAACAGATTTGCTAGCTTTTTCCCACTCAGAATCCTCTTCAACACAAAACTCCTGTGAGTCACTGACAACAGATTAGAAAATGACAGTTCAAGATGATATGTCTTTTCCCCTCATGTAATAGATGCTCACTAAATTTTGAATAATACATTGTCTTTTTAATGCTCTTCTTTCAAGATGTGCTGTCTGGTGATCTTATCTTCGGCTTCCTGGAAGAATGTAGGAGTCTAATATTTTCTGCTCTCTTATCTTTCGCCTCTTACTTAAATTGTAACCAACGTTTTGCAGTGGTCCTGCTTTATTTCTCAGATTCATCCATTCATTAAGCATTTCTATCATATACAAGACACGATGGTTTCAAAGCTGAATAAATAGTCTCTTCCTTCAAGAAGGTAAACATGATTATTGTATAAAACTATTCCTTTATGAATACTTTATGTATTTCAGTCTCTCCTGTTGTACTGGTAGCTCTGCATCTCCCTTATGGTAGTGTGGCACTGGACAAACTACTCCATGTCTCTGAATTCAAGCTTCCCTTTATGAATTGGAGATAATAATACCACATAGAGTTGTTGTACAGATTGAGTGGTACATCTTGTGATTTTTACTCATTGATAACAATTATATTTATTTGATTGTTTATAATATATAGTATCTATCTATTAGAATGGAGTCTCTGAGAGCCATTACTATACATATCTTGTTGGCCTTGATATCTTCAGCTAAATCCACTATGCCTGACACATAGTAAACTCAATTATTGTCACTTACTATTGTTAAGCATGATATCACTAGTAATACTAGCAAAGGTAAATCAGGAAACAATCGTAAAGATGAAGCTTGAATTCAAGCCATGTGGATCTGACTCCTTTGGTTTGAGAGGCATTAAAAAAGGATAGTTTATAAACTTGTAAGTATTTTTTATGCCAAACTATTTTTTATCTATCTTGCTTTTGGATGAGTTTTTCTCTATGAAAAATAACTATTTAAACTCCCTAATGATTGATGAAAACAATTCATTTCCAAATGTTTTCTCTTTTTTGATGTACACATACTTAAAACTAGATCTTTGATCACACACACACACATGCACACACACTGTTTGCAGATAAAGAAAAGAATTATTTTCTTTTCGTGGTTACACAATGAAATTGCAATAAAAATTGCAGTTTTGTTCAAAAATTTTTCTTTGAAGGTAGAATTACCTTGATAGAAATACTATATAATGAACTTTCAATAATAGCTTTAGAATATTTATGATTTGAAATTATCTAACAAGAAAAACATACATACAATTAATTACTAACAATTTAAATGTTTCATCTTTTCCAAAGAAATAAAGGCTATTTGCAGGTAGTACAGTGCAGAACTTTGATTTCTGTGGTTTGAAGCAAAAAAAAAAAAAAAAAAAAAAAAAAGTAGCATATTACATGACGAGAAGAAAGAAAATTCAGTATTCACCAACTGCTGCTCTCCCTCCAGCTTTTTACATTTCTGGAAGTATTCAGCTCCCATCAGTCCAATTCCTTAATACTTTCTGTCATGTAAGTCTGGTGAAGCCTACAGACTCCTTTCAGAATAATGTTCTTAAATGCATAAAATAAAGTACATAGTATTACAAAGAAAAACAATTACATACAATTATCAAAATATGTAAAAAACTGTGATATAGTTGTATATGTGTGTCCTTATTAATACATTAAATAAGACTTAGAAGTGGAATAACTAATTTGGGGATGAGAGCCAAGGATACTTTGTAATATCAGCAACAACAGAAATTAAATAGATATGAAAATATCTTTGATTTCTATTAGTGACAAAATCACAGGCGATGCTGATCCTACTATTGTGATGTTGCCTATATTTCTGATTGAAGGAAATCTTAAGTTTTAGTTAGAGGTTGTGAAAATAAAACATCTGTGCCTTACTTGGGTGCCACAGTGATATAAGATGGTGTTAGCTTGGTTTTTGCCACCAAATAAGACATTTTTTTGTAGGCCTGTTCCTTTCCTTCCATTTTCTCTTTCCAGAAAAACATTCTATTTCACTAGAAGTAACAGGATTTTTTTAAATTACATTAATATTCCTCTGGATAGTCTTAGGAAAAATATAACAATGAGTATCTGAACCTTACTGAAAGGAAAGAAAAAAGACCTTAGGAACCTGGTTATATTTATTAATTGGTAGAATCAACTTACCACTTTCAGTTTCATCACCTTGTTTATTTTTGTGTTACATGTTGAAGCCTAAAGAGACCCTTGGAGCCAGAAAAAAAGAGCAAAGTTATCTGATGACAGAGGGAGCATACAAGCAGAAGCTCAAGCTATCACTCAAGAGTTTGAGTGTACTTTGGGCAACAGCTGGGTGTATTTTAATATTTATCAATTTTTATTAAGGATACAGCTTGGCTTTATAAAGACATGGCCATGTTTTAAGTTGACTCATCTAAGTTTCCTATTCTCAGTGTTTTAGAAATGTCAGTTGTTCAAAATAATACTACCCTAGCATTTAAAAACTAGTGTATAGAAATTTACAGTTTTCTGTAGAATGAAAAACTTATTCTTTAGAATAAAAATTACATTAAATTGATTTTTTGAATAGTGTTCTTTATAAAACATTTTCTTTTTTGCTAATGAAACCTGTTCACCCTAGGTCATGAATAGACCTTGTAGTACAAGAAGTAATGATACTTAGATTCAATTCTATTTCAATTTAACACATATTTATAAGCATTCACTGCTGACAGACACTACTGTAGGTACGTAGGAGAATATAGAAAGGAATAAGAAACCATATATTCCCTGACAGTTTCAAAAAAGTCAGAAAAAAGGAGAAAGAGATCCCAAAAATGACTATGAGGAAAAAAGTAAAATAATAATAGTAGTCATTATTGGGTGTGAAGTGCTCTTCATTCATTATTGCTCATTCTGCAAGGTAGCCGGGTCACTTAGCATGCTTTCAGCTGCAAATAACAGAAAACGTCAACTCAAACAGGCTCAAAAAATAAAGTAATTTATGACTCATATATCCATTTTAAAGGTAGAATGGCTCGAGGATTGATTAAATCAATGGCACAACACCACTTTTAAGAATCCAGATTTTTTTCCATGTCATTTTAGGTTAGATGTGTGGCTTTTTGCTCAGTCTGGCTTCTCTTATAAGATGGTTTCCCAAGTTTCAAGCATCACGTAGCAATTTGATGGTATCCAAAATAGGAGACTATCTTTTTTTGTGAACCATCTTAAAGGAGCCAATGATCCAAAAACAAAGCAAAGTAAAACAACCAACTCACCTCTCCTGAAGCAAACAAAAACCCCAAAAACCTTTACTAGAAGCCCCTAGCAGATGGGTTCTCATGTCTCATTGTCCAAAATTATTTGTTGCCTAAAATAATCAATGATCTGTTGCCTAAAATTATCATTGGCAAGGGCAGTGGGACCATTATTGGGTTAAACCAGTCAGAATTCTTCCAACTTCTGAGATGGGTGATGGAGTCACCCTGGAAATGCATGACTGCCCTGAGATGTGTGGATTCCTGAACAAAATTGAGATTGCTTAAGAAGAATGGAAGAATGGAGGATGGGGAAGCAACCAAAGTAGCCATTATGATTTTTTATTTATAGCTTTGGAAACTGAGTTTCAGTAATGTTAAGCAATTGACCAAGATTAACATCTAGTGAGTCCAGATTTCAAATATAGGTATGTGTGATTCCAAAAACTCAACCCTTTGACTGAATTATTCCCAAAGGCTTACATACCATAATGAAAGCCCAGACATGGTGGCTTATTACTGTAATCCTAGCACTTTGGGAGGCCGAGTGAGATAATCACTTGAGGCCAGGAGTTCGAGACTGGCCTGGGAAACATAGTGAGATCCCGTCTCTACAAAAAAGTTAAAAATGAGCCAGGCTTGGTGGTGCGCACCTGTAGTCCTATTCCTAAGTACTTGGGAGACTTGAGCCCAAGAGGTTGAGCCTGCAGTGAGCTGTGATTGTGTCATTGCCCTCCAGCTTGAGTGACAGTGTGAGACCCTATCTCAAAAATAAATAAACAAATAAATATACAAATACTACAATGCAAATATTTTAAAGTGCTGTATCTTTTGATCTGTGATATCTTTTGATTCATGTTGAATGTGTTAGGCAAAGATGTTGCATTTTGGTGTAATTATAATACCTTATTTTTTATGAAGCTGAATGTGGTTTAATAGAAATGTGCCTCCCACTTGATCTTTGCCTTGTTTCCCATACTTGCTCATTATATTCCTTCATGAAAACAATAAAGCTAAATTATGTGTAGAAATAGAACCAATCCTGACTTGCAAACCTTACTGCTTTTTGTACATGTATTTAAAACTGTGGCTAACATGCATTAACTTGTGAAAGACATCACCAGGATTCTGAATCTGTTTTATGTCTTAGAATTCATTCAATGCAGCAGCAGTTTTAGTGGTAGGGAAAGGGTGAAAGCCTTTTTTATCAGTACATTTTCTTTACTTTGTAATAAGACAAACATAAAACGAATGAGTCTTTTACCCATATCACTAACCATAGACATCCTTTTTCCATGAGCCCCCAAATAAGTTGTAGTTTGAAACATGAGATGCAGTGACATTTAATTTAAATCCTATGTTTTGTTTCCCTTTCCAAATCAGTTTATTGTCTTACTAAGTAAGAGACTGAAACAGACTCTTAACATGATACTTTCTTACTGTTAACTATGGGTTCCAGAGCCTACCAGAAAATGGACCTAATTTTAGATAACCAAAATTCAAGAAACACTGAGCCCCAGTTTATAGAACCCATCACCTCTCACACCGTGACATTGGTTAACATAATTTTCCAAATAAGATAATTTAAAAAAAATCATTTGGTTACTTAATTCACATCAGTTGGAATCTACCCTACATTTCTCTCTGTGTTTCCAGTGGAATAAAAGGCATGATCATTTACCCAGTTGCTTGGACCTTGTCCTTGATGTTTTCTTTTCTTCCATTCCCACAGCCAATTACCAGCAAGTCTTGACAATTCTAACTTTCAACAAGTTCTTAAAACTTCTTTTCTTCATTCACAGTGTCATTCCTTTAACTCCTGCTTGGGCTACTATAAGCCCGACTATCAGCTTTCTTCCAATCTGCTTTTTCTACTCTTCAGCCCACACTGTAGCTGGAGTGGTTTTTTTAAAAGGCATATGTAATAATGGCCTCTCTGTGCTTAGTGCCATTTAATGTTTCCCATTGCCCTTAGAGTAAACTTTCATATGGCTAATAAATCCAGTGTGATCTGCCTCTCTGGTCTAGTTTATTGTCAATATCTGATCTAATATCCCCATGCTCCCCAACCGCCTCCCCCACCACACATACGCACATACTATGGCTTAACCAAGGTGTGCTGATTGATGAATTAAGGAATATATTATTCCTTATCAAAATGTTCTTTTGAAATGATAGACACCTATTTCTCTCTGAACCTTGCTTACTTAAAAAAATATTTTTATGCACAGTACACTGCTTGTCAAATTTACTATTGGATGATTTAAATAAGTGTATGAATTATTTTGCCTAGCTCTTGGTAATTAGTTATTGTAAAATGAGTCCTTACAAAAATAAAGCAAAAGAATCAAAGAGCCTATCTGTTTACTTAAATAAGCTGGGGAAAGTTCAGATAGATAGAGATTGTGAGATGCTTGCTCTAGACCACAAAAAGAACTGGATATCTTGGTGGAGATTAAGAGTTTAGATATTTGAGCCACTCAAAGGTTGTAATTAGACTATACTTCTGCTTAACCCTCACGTTGTTTATTTAGTTTCTCTGGTTACTAATGACAAATTTATATAATCTCTGTAGTTTCAATTGGTTAGACAGAAATATGAAGGCTTATTATTGCATATGTCTGGGTACCCTGTGGAGCAATATGTATATTTGTGTTATCGGAATTCTTTGAAATGAAATGCATTAAATTCTTCCTTCAAGGATGGAAAAATATTTGACTTAGTTTCCTCCCTTATGTAAAACGAGGAGTTAAAATATTTTCTTCCTTAAGCATTTGTTTATTATTATTTTTTTCCTTTTGTGGGGTATGTGTTAAGAAGTCAGGTAATTTGTAAAGTGTCATTTGATTACCTAAAGAAAAAGCTTAAACTAAAAAGTGTTATTATCATAAACTCACAGGCTTCTGACCACAGAAGTACAATTGAATTTAATTCATGATTGAAAAGTACAGTTGATGCATAATGGCTATCTGAAAAATGTTATGTTTGTTTATGGTTTAAAGCTTTTAGAGAGTGGTCTCTTACTCTTTGCTAATTCCTGCTACTTAAATAATCAGGGGAGAAATTTTTAAAAATTCTAAATATAACAAGGAAAATCAGGGTCACATCTAAGATTGACAATCGGGTGCTATTTGCTGAATATGAAAAAACAGGGCTGTGTATAATATAATTTTATTGTTGGAGAGATGGTTTGACCAGATAAGGATATTTGAAAATTAAAGTTAGATTTGGCATCTAAATATCCTTAGGTTTGCAGGTTTTTGATCTGTTTATTAGCCATGCAAAAATATATTGCTGTTTCTTAATCTGATCATAGTTGATTCTGCCACTGGAGTTATTTTTTCCCCACACTTTGATGTGATATGTTTTATTTTCAAGTGCTTGTTTCACAAAGATAAGCAAACAAAATAAGATTTCCACTTCTCTCCTCCACCAGCCATGTTTTTGTTTAGTTAGCCAACATCAACGGGAAGATATTAAAATGATTAATCCTTATAATTTGTTTGTGTCTTAAATTACTGGATATTATGGGAGCTGAACTCCAACTTTTATCTCATAAATATGAATGAAGCAATATTACTAAGTTGTAATTCATTTTGAACTATTTAATCACTGTGATCTACAGATAAGTTGGCTTCTGAATCTTCATCTAATTTCATAACTAAGTCCTCTTTCTCGTTAAAATCACCATGACTGTGCTGAAGCTCGTGTTTAGGGAATCCAACTGAATGAGTAATAGGTTTAAAAATACCCCAGCTATATTGACTTGCCCAAACTTTTCCAGTCTTCTTTAATTTTATTTGTTGTAATGAGTGCAGATGAGGGGCTCTTGGTTAGCCATCTTCAAGTAGATTTCAAAGCAGAGTCTATGATAGAAGATGTACTGGATTTAGGATCAGAATACCTGGCTTGGGACCTGGTCCTGTTGTTTACTACCTGGGTGACTTTGGACCAAATTATTTAAACTTTTCTGACCTTTATTTTCCTCATTTGTAAAAAAGCACGGTAATACTTCTGCACATATATTTTATGCAACTAAGCTGAGGCATTGATGTGCAATAGATTGTAAAGTGCCATCCAAAGGTGAAAAGTAAGGTGTGAGGATCTCACGTGGTGCTTTGGGTTAGCCAGATTATAAGGAGATACCAAAACATATCATAATGAATTCCTTTGAGATTTAAAAGCAGAAAATGTGAAGCAGCCTGAATATCCAAACATAGGTAATTGGTTACATATATTTTGTTACTTCATAGAATACTATATGTAGAGCCATTGAAATTATGCAGTAAATCTATGTTTATTGCCCTAGAAAGGTGTTCACATTTATTCGTGAATCATCAAAACATGCTATTAAAATATTGCATAATCATATTTTATTAAAATTATAAATTTGTGCGTTATTTGTATACACACACAAATATAAAGCATATAAGATGTACAGTGGCTATCTATGCATGTGGGAATTGAGAATAATTTTTTTCCATTTTCATATTCTAATTTTTCTAAAAAATAGATAACTTACGTAAAGCCACACAAAAGCACATACCCCTAGAGACATATTAAAAATTCCCATTGAATCCAGAAATCTCTGTAATCTCTGACAACTCCTGTCTCTCTGATCCCTTAATATCCAGTCCATGGCCAAGGCTCGTTGGAGTCAGCGTTCTCTTGGGTGCCAGCCCTTTGTTTTCATTGCCCTGAAAACCAATATCTCAAATTCGGAATTCATGCCTTCTCATTTGTGGATGCAACAAGCTTCTAACTAGTCACTCTGGTTTCAGTCTCTACCCTTCTAGTCCATCTTCGTAATATCCTCAACTCACAAATCTTTTCTAAAGCACAGAGCTGATTCTGTTATCTTTAGGTCCTCTCTACCTTCCTGAAGCCAACCTCACATATATTTTATGGCTTCCCTTTGTTTAATAACATTCAGTTTACACTCTTCAACCTAACGTTAAAAGTCCTTCATAATATAGCTAAGATTTATTTCACACTCCCACACACGCCCTTTCTCCAGTCAAACGTAGCTATCGTTCTCTGAAAAGAACATACCCCAGACTTTTCTGCCTCCATACCTTGGGCCATCATATTCCATCAGTTTGTATTGTTACTGCCTATTGAAACACTACCCATGATTTATAGCCCAGCCAAATTCCCCATTTTTCAGAATTCTAGATGTGCTGCTTCCTACCTCTGAATCGCATATCTTCTTTGAAATTTATCCTTCCATTTATTCATGTCATTTTTTAGCATCTGCTTTACTTCAGGGGCTATTGTACCTCAAATATAGAGGTAAACAAGCCAGAAACGCCCTTGCCCTTGAGTAAACAACAATCTAATACTTAACATTTCTCCTTTATTTAAATCTATTGATTTATAGATAAACTTTCCTTACCTACCACCTTCTCTTACAACATTATACAGACGTTTATTATAGGCACATCGAGTATTATTTGTGTTTGATTCTCTCATTTAAACTACCACGTTATCTTACAAATTGAAGATATCCAATAAAAATATAGTTAGAAGGGCATAGAGACAGATAGAGTTAGATATGTGTATTTTTCCAGCAATGTAGTTATATACATACATATATATTATATATATATTAGCCTTTAACCATGTTACTTTTCCCTGTTGAGTGTTTTCAAAAATTATATTTGATTCCTAATTAGTATTATTGTTTCATCTCTAAAATAAAAAGAACTAGTTATTTCTCCCAGTTGTATCTAGGGGAATCCAAGATGAGACTGATATTTGTTAAGTAAAACT
The DNA here is from genome assembly GCF_000001405.40 of Homo sapiens. Classification (NCBI taxonomy): domain Eukaryota; kingdom Metazoa; phylum Chordata; class Mammalia; order Primates; family Hominidae; genus Homo; species Homo sapiens. The sequence continues at coordinate 70,300,697 of NC_000003.12, forward strand.
GAAGCAAAAAGTACATTCTTCTGTCATAGAACAAGTAATGTTACAAAACCCATACTTGGCTATTTGACCTAGAGTTCAGTGGCCAGTGAGTTGCTTTTTAATTAACGGATGTCAGCCTACAGAATGTAGAGGTTTAAAGCTATACCAAATTTGGACACTCCAAGGTATTCATGTCCTATAAACACAGTATGTCTCCAAGTTATGTTGCTGTTTTTAAAAAAAAGTCAAGAAAGCCGTTAGTGCAATTTTCTCCTCTTCTTTTGTTCCTAAATAAATGATTCATTTAGTAATTTCCCTTGGAAAAGTGAACTCCTTATTATCCATTAAGTACCTCCGCTCTTTATGTTATAGTTTTTCCTCATTTAAAAAAGACGATGTTAGCTATTTTCTTTTAAGAAAAGAGGCTGGGTGATAAAGATTATTTACACAAAAGTTCTTTTCTTCTGAGACACAGCTGTAAAAAATTTAAGTTAATATTTTAAAATTAATTCTGTTGTTTCAAGTGACTCTTTAGCATAGTTGTTTTAGCCCAAACCTACTGAGTCCATTAAAAACAAAACAAAAACACTTTTTAAATTTTAAGGTAAATCTGCATGTAAGGAATTGGGTATGTTCATATGGTTTCGTGTATGAGAGATTTCATACTGCAAAATTCCACCCACATTGTTTTTGCATGTTCTATTATATTTCAAATACAGCTAAAGAGCTTGTGCTTATCTGAATCCTATGGTAAACAGGATGTGTTGCTGATATTTTATTTTCCCAACTGAATTATAAGTTTCTTTATTGGGCATGGGAATCTCTGTGTATTCCTTGTGTAAGTATGTGTCTTGCAGGAAATGAAAACATTTGTTGATTTCATTTACTTAATTATATATTATTTTGTAAAACGAATGCTTCTTTTACAGTAGGAATGGTTTGTTTTATCAATCTGCGTTTGCACATATTGGTCTAACAAATTAGTTTTAAGACAAACGTGAAGTGTGGAATCTTAATTTGTGGCCTGAATATAGATTTTTGATACATTCTTAATTCTCAAGAAGATTTATTTATATAAACTTTTCATATTTTATGGAATTTATATTCAAGATATTGAACATAAATATTAGCAGATATATTTTGGTAACTCTACAGGAAGTTTAATTTTCTATCTATAATGCTGAATTTTCTAAATACAAAAAATGAAATATATTTGATACGTGAAAGAGGAGTTAAAATGCAGATTTTCTTCTGTTGTCTGTTGTTTGAGATTAGAAATCATGAAGCACTTTTCTTTACTTTCTGCAGGGTAGCTATTTCATTTCAGATCCATATTGGTGTGGAAATTTAGCTCAAGAAGAAGAATTGCCTGATGTCTTATTTAATACTATACTTCTATGAGTTGTCCTCTCTACTTTTTCTTGAAGTTATACGCTGGCAAAACTACTGTCATTGCCCTTGCTTTTCATCTTTGCTGCACATTTACTTCTCGACAGGCTTAAATAATGGCTAAAATGGTTGAAATGATTTATGCCTGTAGAGTGATGTCTTCATTTGCTCTGTTCACATTCCTTTTTTTATCTTTTATTTTTTTTTACTAATGGTCTGGTGAACACCTAGTGTAGGTGCATTTTATTAGCGAGTATATTCCTCTAAATGCAGTTCCTAAGCTGAAAGAAATGGGCCATAATCTTATAAAAGTAAAGTATCTCTTTGTAGAATTTACTAGAAATGGAATGTCCTTATTCCTGAGGCATAAAACATAAGAGACTTTTTTTTCCTCTCACTATAAGACTGCTCTTTATACTAATGTTGATTAAGTGTATCACATCAACAGCTGTTGTGACTTGTAGGAAAATGAATGATTCTACTGAAAATCTCTATTAAAAGGTGTAACTTTCTTGAAATTTCTAGTTATCTACAATTGTCTTCTTCCTATTGGGACTGGAGGATTGGTTCCTGGTCTCTACAGATTGCTTCACTGTTACTTCATAAAACTGCAATTAATAATGGTGAGCTAAGATCATTCTGGATTTGATGTACTGCCTTATCATCATTGAACGAGAGTCTCTAAATGTGCTATTTAACAACTTATCGGGACTTTGCACTGATTAATTCATCTGGTCATAGTCTGAAGCCTGACATGGCATCTTGTAGGCCTTTCATTCCGTTGGGATCAATCTCATCATTTTATATGAAATGAACTTAGTACTTCATAGGCTTAGTTGGAAAGAAATTTTAACCATCAGCAGTAGGATGTGACACTGGAATTTAATTTGTTGGCCTATGAGAACACAGAAGATCTCATCTTTTGCTGAACTTTCTAAATATAAATTAAAGTTATCAGAGAATCAAAATGATTTTGACATTTGAACTTCAGTAGAAGGCCAATACATTTAAAGTAAGTATTCTCCTTCCTGAAACATTCAGTGCTTCATCAACAGCACATATCACGTAAGAAAATATTATTCCTTGTGGAGAAGAGCATGGGTCATTGCTACTGGCTCTTAGAGTAGACATTATGTTGGGGCCACACAGCATCTATTCTCCCTTTATTCTGATGCTCGAACCCTGAATTCCCTCTGAAGAAGCATCTACCTCTCATTGTGTGTAGCATTATGGTGCTGGCAGTCAAGTTTTCTTGGCTTGCTAACCCAGGAGTCAGACTCATGGCCAAAGTTATTGAGCTTTCTTCCTTGGGACTTGGACTCTTAAGGAGGAGAATAGGAGGAAAAAAAATTATGCGGAGCTAATTAATTCCAGAAGTGGCGATCTGAATGTATTATATCTTGCTCTTAGGCTCACCAGAACTAGATTAGTTCCTGATTCTCCTGAACCTAGATTTCCCTTCTAGATTGTGAGCTACTCTTGCATTTTCCAATAAATTACCTTTTTCATTAATGTAGCCAGAATCAGTATATGTTATTTTCCTCTCAAAAACCGATAAAGCTCCCTTTTAATATTGCTGAATTTTGAAAGTAATGTGCCACTCTTTGATAGTTCTTTATTTTATTTTATTTTTCTGAGGTGGAGTCTTACTCTGTTGCCCAGGCTGAAGTGCAGTGGTGTGATCCTGGCTCACTGCAACCTCCGCCTCCTGGGTTCCAGAGATTCTCTTGCCTCAGCTTCCTGAGTAGCTGGAATTACAGGCATGTGCCACCATGCCTGTGTAATTTTTTGTATTTTTAGTAGAGATGGAGTTTGACCATGTTGGCCAGGTTGGTCTAAAACTCCTGACCTCAAGTGATCCATCCTCCTCAGCTTCTCAAGGTGCTGGAATTACAGGCATGAGCCATCATGCCCAGCCTGATAGTTCTTTAGAGAATAAAATGTAGTAGGATAGAGTTTACTACAATATAAACTATATCTTTAGTAGGCATTCCCAGGGTTAGGAGTTTATTGCAATCCCAAATGTCAACCAGGGTCTATGAAAGGCTCTAGGGCCTGCTTCCAGCCAAGCTCTCTACACTCATGGAATCCCAGCCTTCTCTTGGGTGAAGATGTCCCAGTCACTCCTGTTTTCTTTCACTTCTTGGAGCATGACACGTTCTTTCCTGCCCCAGTGCCTGTATACTTGCCATTCCTTCTACCAGAAATTTTATTTAATTTCCATTTCTCTCCCCATCAACAGATGCCATCTCATCCTTCAGATCTAAGCAAAATCTCAAGACTTCTCTTGTCCACATTTCTCAAAATAGAATAACTCATCTCATATATTCTATTGCCCAGTTGACAGTTTCCATGGGGATACCTCAGAGGCATTTCACAAGTAACCTGCTCTACCCAGATCTTTGGCTCCTCCCTTTTCTAGCCAATTTCTCTCTCTCACTTCACCATTCATCATTACCATTTCACAATTTCTAAAGCCGGGGGTCAGCCTTTGATTCCTTTCTTTGTATCACCCCACACTAAGGCACAAGCCAGTCCTGTTGGTTCTAACTTTGCATAGACCTAAAATTCAATTATTTCTATTTCATCTTCAAAGTTGTATCCTATCCCAGTTACCATCTTTTGCATGGCCAACAGCAATACTCTCCTACTTTATTTCTGTTTCTTCTCTTTACCTCATGCAATATAAATGACTGCATATGTTACCCTGTTTAGAATCTCCCGTGGCTTCTAATTCCAAATAGGCGAAAAAAATATCCAGATTCCCAACTGACCAACAAGGTTCTGCATTATTTCCAATTTAAGCACCTTCTTTTCCTTCTTTCCCCTTTTTCGTCATTCCCTTTTCCTTTCCCTTCCTTCCTTTCTATCCAGCTACTCTGAGCTGTACTATCTTTGCACAGGCTGTTCTCTCCAATGGAATGCTTTTCCCAGATTTTTGCAGCACTGGCTCATTCTTCTTATTTAAGTCTCAGCTCAAATAACTTTCCCACAGAGAGAACTTCCTTGACCACTGATTCTAAAGGATAGTCCTCATGCCAATCTCTATCACAACATCTTGTTTCAAAGCTTCGAAACAATTACCCTTGTGAAATTATCTACTTCATGGTCTTGTTTTACTCATTTATATGACTTACAAGGGCATATTTTCACATCTTTTTTTTTCCGTCGGCTATGCTTAAAAACAAAACTACTTTCTGTTTGGCTGTTACCTTTTCTTCACCCCTATTTTTGTTATTAGGTAACGCACTTTCATGAGTTAATGAAAACTACAGAAATAAGAGCTAATAATTCCATTACCTGTGTTTACATAGTAAAAAGAGTCTCAAGATATGCTATTTGGGAAGTTAACAATTTAAAATAAGCATTAGTGTGGCTTAATATTTAAATGAGATACAAAAAATATCCCGTTTAGAAATGAGAATTATCTGAGTGAGAGAATTAGATTGGATTAATATTTAGTTATTATAATAAAGCACTTAAGTACATGAGTTCCTTGAGGGCAGGACATTTTCATTTTTTGGCATCTTTGTTTCTTTGTCTCACATGTTTTCTCTGCGTTCAAGAGGAGCCACATCAAATGGTTGCTGAGTTGAACAAAATGCATATTTCAGAATTCTATTAATGTTCATGATCCAAAATTATTTTTTGAGGAAATGAAGTAAGTTGTCTTCACTTAGAATTAAAGAAGGAAAGTCCAGTGAATTTATGAATGTCAATAAATGTGGGAAAGATTCTCAGTTTCTTCGTCTTATTTGAACACAAACATGAAAGTTTAGGAATGAGATGAGATTTTTCTATTATGCATTTGAGATTTTGCATTATATTGAAAAGGGAATTTTTGGAACCTGGATTTTTTTGGACCTCTAGGCTCTTTTCTAGTATTTTGGATTATTAGTCTCTAATATGTGTTAATTCTGATAACCATGATAACCAGTGTATTCAAGGTGCCAAAACACTGATGATGTAACTTTTCTATGTCAACACTAAATAAGTTTAGAGGCATTTCCTCCAAAATTCACCTAAATAATGGAGTTTATTTATTTATTTATTTATTGAGATGGAGTCTTGCTCTCTTACTCAGGCTGGAGTGCAATGGCGTGGTCTCAGCTCACTGCAACCTCCGCCTCCTAGTTTCAAGTGATTCTCCTGCCTCAGACTCCCGAGTAGCTGGGATTACAGGCACTCGCCACCACACGTGGCTAGCCCGGCTAATTTCTATATTTTTAGTAAAGACGGGGTTTCACCATGTTGGCCAGGCTGGTCTCAAACTCCTGACCTCATGATCTACCCGCCTCGGCCTCCCAAAGTGCTGGGATTATAGGCATGAGCTACCTCACCCGGCCAATAATCGTTTTTATATCATCAAAGATTGAAGTCGTCATGTGACTGCTTACAGAAAAGAAGCTATACTTAATTCAAAATAACTACAGAACTCTCATCTTTCACACTCTTTCCTTCCTGGCATGGATGGAAGGAGAGAATAAAGCTTGTTTATTGCCCATTCCCCACCCCCTATTTTTTTTATCATTTTTTTTCTCTCTCATGAATTTTCCCATTTGGGTACAACACAATTTAACAGTCATTGGACAGCACCAACATCTGGTTAGAAGATTGCAAAACTACTGCTTTGGTGCATTAAAGGTACACTTGGAACTTGGAATGATTTGTTTTTCCCCTATTGGTGACAATTGTGAATAAAATGTCCCACTAAAACAATTATAGGTAGCTAGTTTTCTGAAGGACAAAAAACTTATTTCAATACTCTTAGCTTCACATTTTTTAGGTCATATGATTGGTGTCTTGACTTTGCTCATATGTATAAATATGTATGTATATGCATATATATGTACATATATACACATTGACTTTGACTTTGCTCATACAAATAAATATGTATATGTATGTGTGTATATATTTATATATATAGAGAGAGAGACAAATAGAGAGATAGAGAGAAAATCTGTGCCAATGCAGCAATGTTTATGGAAAACCAGTTTTCAGAAAATTATATTAGGTTTCATTTAGAGATACACCCTCCTAGAACAGAAGCTGCAAACTGGCAGTCTGTGGGCTGAAATAGACCCCAGAGCCTGGTTTCATTTGTCCTTGGTATTTTATTGTTGTTGTTTTGGTGGTGGTGTTGTTATTGTTGTTGTTGTTACTTAACCTTTAACAATCAGGAGATCTCACAAAGAAATCCAGATTTCCAGTTTCTCCTGAAAAATCAGGAGACACTATAAGAAATCGTGTGCACTTCAAACGCTGACAATGCTGTGATTTTAAACTGCAAATGGCAACAATTTAAGGGCTTCCATCCCTTCATCTTGATGTTTCTCTTCCGTATCAAATGGTGTAAGCTACAGGCACTGAAATGCTTACCCAGAATGCTCCTTGGCTTAATGGGGTATTACCTGACATCCTATTCCACCTGTAATTTCCCCCCCCAATTTCTATGTTATAACAATTTTTCCTCCATAAAGTTTTCACATTTGGGCCTATTTTCTCCTTCTCTTTGATATGGCTTTCATTCAGGTCATATTTTTCTCGCTTCAAGGCTGCTAAATGTAGCTGTGTGTATTAGCCGTCACCACCCCCTTCCCTTAACATTTCATCTGCTGGCTCCACCCCATTTTGCACACCAGTTACATATTTACAGGCTCATATCACACAAGCCTTGCCTCTGTTTCTTAGTTCTTGTCCTCAGGCCTCCAGTGACAACACAGAACCAATGTCCACTACTTAACCTACAGTCAGCACTCAATCGGTTTTCTCACTTCATTTTGCATTATTCCGTATATGAATAATCAGCCAATATGCCCATTTCCCTAGCACTGAAATAGGCATCTTCCAGCCTCTGATGCCTTTGCTCCCTGCATCACCTCCTTCTCTCCACCTGTGCAAAGAGACTGACTGCCTTCAAGACTGGACTTCCTAGACCACCTTGGCCCACAGTTTGCATAATGCAGCTCATCCTGCCTGGTGCATATATTTTATTTTATTTTGAATCAGAGTCTTGCTCTGTTGCTCAGGCTGTAGTACAGTGGTGTGATCATAGCTCACTGCAGCCTCAACCTCCCAGGCTCAAGCAATCTCTGGCCTCAGTCTGTCTAGTAGTTGGGACTATAGGGGTATGCCATTACACCCAGCTAATTTTATTTTTTTGTTTTTATTTTATTTTTTTTTTGTAGAGATGGTATCTCACCACTGGTCTCAAACTCCTGGGTTCAAGGGATCTTCCCATCTTCTCCAAAAGTGCTGAGATTATAGGCATGAGTCACTATGCTGAGCAATGCTGCATATTTTTAAATCATGCCTTGTTTATCCGATTATCTTAAAAGAGGGTTTCTCCAAGCATGGTTTTAAAATGAATGATTTTTTGGGTCTGTCAATGGTGTTTCTCAAATAAAATTTAGTCTAATTTTTTGTAACAGCTCTGGCTGTGGCTTTCCTAGATCTCTTTGACACCACCACTGATGTGAACAGGCCCATGACCCATTTGGGGAAAGTCAAGGGCAATTAGGAGCCTCTTTGCCTTCCTGGCAAAAGCAAGACGATTGAATGAGATGAATGAATAATAAGGTCCTTGAGTGCAGGAGAGTATTTCTTTTTTGTATTGTTCTCTGCCACACTTACACCTTGTCTCTAGTCTCTCCAATTAATAACACTGAATTGAGTTGGATAAATGATATGAATGTTTGAAGTCGAGAAGTTAGAAATAATAGCAGTACTCAGAATGGTGATGATGGTAGTAACTCCTGTTGCTTGCATGTTCACTCTGAAATCAAGCAGTGCACTCAGTGCTTTGTGTCAGTGACTCCAGTGAAGTGCTTGTTCCAAGCCGAATAAGGCATTGCTGTGATTACCCACATTTTAACAGTGAGCAGTGTTCAGCTGGAGTTCCAGAGGGAGGCAGCAGAGTCACTGTCATGTGAGATGTAACCACTTTGTTCTTAATGAGAAAAACACTTTTTTGAACAACTGAAAGTATCTGTATTATTTTTTTAAGGGGGAGTGAGGGAGGTTGGAGGTCGACACATTTAAAATTCTGATTGATAACTGTTGTGGAAGTCACTGTAATAAAATGGTTTAATGAAATGAATAGAATTTGGACCTCAAAGACCGAGGTTGGAGATTCAATTTGCCACTTAAGAGCCCTGCAAATTTGAGCAAGATGTAAAGTCTTTCCAAGCCTACATCCCTTAATTTGTAAAATGGGGACAGTACCACTGCATACCACTTTGTTGTAGGTATTAAAAGGAGGAATTTATATAAAATACTATAAAAAGCATTGTTGCTATTACCAATGGTTCAAAGTGTGAACTAAGCTCTCAAAAAACATAACTGTATTATTCTGAGTAATGCTTTTAAAGAGGGAAAAAAACAGAGAAGTAATGAAATCACATTCCCATAATCTCATAAAGCAAGCATTCTAGTCCCCAGCTAGGAAATTGAGGCTCAGGGAGATAAAGTAACATGGCACAATCACCCAGCTAGTAGATGGCTGAGCTGAGATTTAGAAACCATGCCTGCCTGATTCCAAATGCCATGCTCTTTTTACTGCACCACTTTGACTTTTTTAAATATATGCCAACCCATATACTTTTTCTTAACATTGAAAAAAAAGACATTTATGTTTGAAAACTAACTCATCCTGATAATTCCCAATTAAGATGTTGTCATCTAGCATCTGGCTCAATTTCCTTTTATGAAATATAGTAAACATAATTCGAGTGTAGCTTAAATGAAGTGTCCAAATGAGATAAAACAGGTCACCTGGGAAATTAGATTTTATAGATTACAAGAATTCAATGCCTACGCTGTACTTAATGGACACGATTCTTTTTTTAAAGAAAATTCTTTAGGAAACAATTGATTGGCCTATCAATTTCATTATTATTTCTGTATGAGACATCTGTAGCACAGAGTAATTAAAGTAAAAATAAATAATATGAACTTCACCATAAGTGGTGGTGAAGAACATCTCTATCTTCATGGATTTGAGATTCATAAGAAAAACACAGGGGCTCTTTGATGCATGTTCTACTTTTTTTCCTTCTACATTGTTTTTAAAGGATTCTATTTAAAAGACCTTTTCAAAAAAAGAAGTTAGAGAATTTTCAAGCTTTTAACAGAAATGATTCTGGAAATACTTTTTGTCTGCATCAACTTTAGTCCTGAATTAGAGTCTCTTAAAGAGATAATGTCCTACTATTAAAATTGCTTGGTGGGGAATTGGGCAGAAATAATCATCTTTTTTCTTTTTAAAATAAGTATATTTTTATTATTTTTAATTTTATGTATTATTATTATTTTTTTGAGACAGAGTTTTGCTCAGTCACCCAGGCTGGAGTGCAGTGGTGTGATCTCGGCTCACTGCAACCTCTGCCTCCCCAGTTCAAGCGATTATCCTGCCTCAGCCTCCTGAGTAGCTGGGACTACAGGGGTGTGCCACCACATCTGACTGATTTTTGTATTTTTAGTAGATACAGGGTTTCATCATGTTGGCCAGGCTGGTCTTGATCTCCTGACCGCAAGTGATCCACCCGCCTCGGCCTCCCAAAGTGCTGGGATTATAGATGTGAGCCACTGCACCCGGCCATAGGTGTATTTTTAAATTAGGGTTGGGGGTAGGGTGAGATTAAGGACAAGAGTGGATGTGAGGGTATGATGAAGTTGGAGGTGTTGATTTCAACACTGTAGGAAAACATTTTTGAGCACAGATCATGTTCTGACGAGTAACTTAAACATTTTTTTTCTTTGGAACATGATGAGGTGGTGGTTACATTCACATGCTGTAGAATCACACAAACTGGCATTGAATCTCAGCTTTGGCACTTTCCAATTTTGTAATTTTAGGCAAGTTACTAGAACTCTTTAAGGCTCAATTTTCTTATTGGTAAATTAAGGATAATAACTGCTTCACAGGGTTGTCATGATGATTCAGCAAAATCATCAATAAATATCAATAAACATTGTCAATGTTGATGTTATTGTTATCATTATTTTGGTGTTGTCTAATTAACATGACATATTTATTAGAGTTTCCTACAACCTTATAAAGCAATTTTTAAGAATGTCAACTACTTAAGTAAGAGCTGTCCTTTTACAATATAATAGATTCATTAAATGCTGAAAAAGACGCAGCATACCTATTTAGATAAAATATCAAATGTTACCTTTTTGACATATTAAAAGTGATCATAAAATCAAAAAATTATAAAACCGTGCCTTCTAGTAAATAATCACAGGTTTAGCTGTATTTTCAAAAGTGCGCAAATCTGTACTCATTAGGAGAACATATTGATTTGTGTGCGTATTTCAAGCAACCATTTTACGCATGCGGAGCCCATGGCCGACAGCATTCTCCCCTGGGAAGGTGGCTTCTCTAATTGCAGTGAATGGTGATTCTATTTGTAGACATATTTTCCTATAGCAAGCATTCCTTTCTGTGATTATTATTTAAAAATACTTGTCCTTAAATTATTTAGTCTTCTTGGCTATAAAGGAGAAAAATCTACAGCACTGCAAAGACCTCACAGATAATATAAGTCTGAGTAGAAAATGCATATTAAGTCTTACCAACAAAGTAATCTATGTTTCCTGCAATACAGGGACCACAAGAAGCATTTTAATAATAAAGATCCTCAAACAACCACTTAGGCCACATAAGAATTTGAAAAAAAAAGAAAAGAGTGAAAATCAGAAGTACTACTATTTGAACGGTCAGGACAATTTCCTCCTTCTCCCACACTATTCCTTGCTTATAAACAAAAGCAAAATTTTCACACCAATAGAAAATCAAGAGCAAGAAGACTTACCTTCTTTCAACCAAGAAATGTTATTTTTATCATTTTCTAAATGCTCAGCTGTTCTTACTTTTATCTTTTCCAGCTCAGTTTCTGACATCTAAGTGGAAACAGAATTTGTGATATAAAAAATTCATTAAGAACCCAAATTTATAACATCGAGTTTTATATTTAGAAACTACTGCCATATTATGGGAAAATTTTATCTCTATAGTTTTTCAGTTCACTGTCCAATGTTAAGTCTTAACATTTTATTCATTTGTGTTATTTTAAAACATTGACATTGAAAACTAAACTTTATATGATATTTCTTTGCCCAGCAACAAAGATTGTTACAAGACCTTACAATTTCTCAATGTGAAAGAATAACAGATTAACAACTAGCCATGGATTTGTAAGAAACAAACAAACATTCAGTAGCTGTTTTAGTATTTTCTATAGCCTATAGAAAAGCATGCTGCAAAGTGGTATGCAAAGAGACAAATAACAATAAAACACAAAAGCATCTTTTCAGGAATTTATTGGGTGGGAATAAGAACCTTATGACCTAAACCAGGCCAAGTTGAGCTCCCTGAAGGTGTTGACGAGACCTATTACGAACCTTCGGTGCAGTGCACTTGACTTTCATGGCTTGCTCGCAATGAGCTCTGCTTGAATCAGCACTGCAAGGTACTCACCTGTGTGTTCCAAAGGGAGGCCCAAGGTGTGGGACTGGGGAGCAGTGAGCTGCAGCCTCCCTTGTCTCTGGATGTCCAGCATTCCTCTATCCTGACAAAAATGAGTGAAGAAGCAAATACACTCCCTCCCGGGGTGGTGCTAGATTTGTATTGCTGCCAGAAGCATCTAACTTGCGGCCGAGAGTTTTTTTTGTGTTTTTTTTTTAAGGTAATATAAAGCCTGTGGTTGAAAACAATAAAAACCTTCTCCAGGCTAGCACTTATTTAAAATGACATTCTGCAAAATAGGAAAAAAATAATGAACTTTTCAACTGGACCAAGTTTCTTCCATCCCTGCCATTCATTACTTCAAGTTAATATTAAAAGATGTAGAAAAAAATGTATTGAAAAATATACACAGGCTATTTTGGTTAAAAGAAAAGAAAGGGAAACCTTTAAAGCTACACTCTGGAAATTCATCCTGTAGTTGATAGTTTGAAAAGTGAGTGTTTTTTCCACCTAATATTTTATAAACAACAAGAAAACATTTCAAGTTTTTTTTGATCATCTGTAGATATTCCAAAGGGAGTTTGGAATAACATTCCAAAGATGATATGTCATTAAATTCTTAGGTAAGGATAATACAGATTTTTGCCAGACATGGTGGCTCACGCCTGTAATCCCAGCACTTTGAGGAGGCTGAGACAAGAAATGGATTGCTTGAGGCAAGGAGTTCCAGACCAGCCTGGGCAACATAGTGAGACTCCATTTCTACAAAAATTTAAATTTTTTTTTTAAAAGTTAGCTGGGTGTGGATATATGTCTATAATCCTAGCTATGTGAGAGGTTAAGGTGGGAGAATCCCTTGAGCCTAGGAGGTCGGGGCAGCAGTGAGCCCTGATTGTGCCATTGCACTTCAGCCTGGGCAACAGAGCAAGACACTGTCTGAAAGGAAAAAAAAAAAAGGAAAAGAAAAAAGGATAATACTGTTTTCAATGGAAGATTAAAAACAGAAAGCATAACCCTTGGGTACACATCATGATGAATAGCCCACCATTTCTAAAAGTTGTCATTTTTCTCATCAAGGAAAATAATATTTATTTTTTGTCTCAAGGTGGCTTGCCTCCTCCAGTGTCTTTACCTGGACAATTGTCCATTATCAGATTCCTTTATCCATTTCACCTCGTTTCCTAACTTCATTTCTTTATGTACATTGCTCCCACTATATAATCCTTAAAAACTACCTTCATCAGCCAATTTTCTTACTAAAATAGTTTTGTTTCTCCCATTATTAATAAGATAAATTTCAGATTCCTTAGATGGGTAAGGAAGACCTTGACTGGTCAGATTCTATACCACAGTTTTCAAACTGGGGCCCACAAAGTTTTAAGATTTCTTGAAGGTTCCTAACATTTTACTCCAACCTAATTGCATTGTGGCTGTTCCTTGGAGGGACTTGCTTCTGTTATCAATACTCCTAGAAATGTTTCCATCTCCACCCCTACCTTGAAGGCTTCTTCATCTCTCTCACCTGGAGATGATCTTACCCTTCTCTGATCTTACTTGGGACTTTTGATATGATCAGTCTCCATTCTAATCTTCTGTAAACCTTTCTCATCTTCCTGACAAAACTATAACCTCCTCCTCCCCCCAGTGCAACCAAGGGCCTAGCCTCTATCTCAGTATTTTATGCATCTGTCTCAGTGTTTAACATGATTGCCCACAAATTAATAATCATTAGATAAACTAAAACAGCATATCAAAAACTGATGACAGTATTTTCCTTTGTTCCAAAGTTGTAGAATACATATAATTACCAAATTCCCTTAATTTGTCTCTTTTCTATGCATAGTTACAGTGTTTGATGTCACTTCCTCGGGCATTTGGAAACCTAATCTAATTTCCTTAATAATTTAATCACTGTCTTTTGGAAAAGCAAATTATCTAAACTTTACATATTAGTGGGGCCAGAAAGACATTTGAACAACAATAATCACAGTGATCTTTAAGCAATGAGCAGAGACAACACAAGAGATAAAGGAAATTTAAGGCAAAAATATCTAGATGAGAAAAGACAATTAAGAACCTGGAGAGAATGAGCCAGGGACACGGCTGAAGCTACTAGTCCTCCCAGTTTATTTTCACTTTTATTTTAATATTTGACCATATGATTATCAATATTGTTCCTCAGCAGAAATATATATATTTTAAAATTCCAAGATGGATTTGGATCTTTGTAAGGTTACAAGTCATGTAATATCTTCATGTGCTTTCTAAGGCAGAGAATCCATTCCTACCCACAAACCTGAGATGCTTCCAGGTTCATTTTGAAGGCTTTCTAAGGTTCTGTGTTCATTTTTATATACTTGTATCCTTATGTCCAACTAAACAGTTTTTTAAATTTTCTGTCCCAAGAGCAATCCACTGCTTAAATCCTTGTCTGAATTTCTCACTTTGGAGAGTATGGATTCTTTGATTACAGTTATCCTTTGATAATTCTTGACTTATAAATGCTTTCCACTTGCCTGACTTTTCCAATTACTATGATATAATTATTTAAGTCGAAGCATTAGAATAGAATCTCTGTACAAGAGTTTATTCTGAAGAGGAAAGATTTATGAAGATAGTGTGGTGACTAATTTGGACATAATATTCAATTTGGCTGATGTATTTTCAATATGTGGTCAGTCCTAACTCTTGGAATTTTTCTGTTGTTTTTCTTTATCATTTTTCTCTGCTTGGCCTCTAACTGCCATTTGATTTTGCCTTTGCCCTTTGAACAGGCTTTTGTTCTTAAGAGAGTATAGCATTCCTCAAATTTTCTATATAGAATTTTCTTGCATTCTGAACAGCAACATTTTTCAAAGTTAGACAAACTTACTTTGAATTTTATTGCTGCAGTCATTCCTTATAAGAGCTGTAGGTATTAATTAGCATAATATTCCATTTTTGTCATCCACTTCATTAGAAGGATGGTAAGAACAGACACCAAGTACTTTTTCCTGGATCAACTTTATATCACTTGTCCTTGTTGGACATTAAGGGTATTCCATAATGATGCCAACATTTAACCCATTTATTGATCCACCTAGTGATATCCTTGGGCCCCCCAAAATTGTCATCTGGGTAATGGAGTCTGGTTTGGACTAAGATTTAGTCTCTTGAGATGGGCTGGGCCTTGGAATGAACAAAGTGAACCCACAGTTGATGGCTGGGAGTAAAGAGAATCCAGTCTGATGAACTCCAGGCAAGACAGACTGGGAAACCACAGAGACCCAACCAAACGCTCAAAAGTGACAAGCCAGCCTAGGACATCAGGCAAATCTGATTAGAATCCAAGAAGAGTAAATACATCTTTAAATGATTCCCTGTACAAAGAGTGTTCATTGAGCCCATTTAAAATAATGAACTAAATAATTAATAACCAGGGATGTGGTCTCAAGGCTCAAGGTTTCTTCTTAAAGTCTGCTTTCTTTTTAAAATGGAAATAACTGCAAATGTACACTTCTTTTTATAATTCTGTTCCCTTTATTTTGACTCAAGCCTCAGTATCCCTAATTCTGAATCAAAATCTGATCCAGAAATATAATCTTTAAGGGCAAACTATCCAGCAGAAGATAATCTTTGCTAACAGAGTAATCTGCAAGATTATCACACATTTTATGTTCCTTTTCCTGTTAAAATAGAATTAAATGCATGAAGCTAGAGCTTTTTGAACAAACAAATAATCAGTTGCTATCACGAGTCCTTTTGCCTTTAAAATATCACATTATCACTTTTCAGTGTTTTTAAAACAATAAAATTATATATATAATGTAAGAAGATGAAATTAATCAATGCGTAGGTATGTCACCAACTCAGATTACTGAATTTGAGGACTATCATTTATAGAGCTCTCTGAAAGATTTCTGGATTAGATCCTATACAAATGATATAAGAAGGTGTACTACTGCTTTGAAAGTATGTTTTCTGCTACAGAATGGAATCTCTGTTGTTCAGTATACTCAGTTAAAAAATTTAAATAGCCATTCTAATGACCAATATATACCATCAAATATTGCACATTAAAAGAATTCTTTTTGGAACTTTTCGGCCTTGATATGAAAATACACATGGTATAAATCAACACTAGTCTAAGGTATCAAAGGTAAAGGTAAATAAACCAAGAAGAAAATTCCATATTTGTAACATAGGTTCTCCCAGGAGAAGGTTACAGCTAACACCACAAGGCATGCGAATTCAAGGATTTATGAGATCTTAGATCTCACCAAAATTTAGGTATGAAAAATAACACTCAGTGTTACAAAATGCATTAAATTTTATCTTTGTTTCATGCCAGGTCATTAAAAAGGGTGCTTATCTTGACCAAATTATTTTTATACCTGCTTTTTCTAACTG
Source organism: Homo sapiens (assembly GCF_000001405.40). Classification (NCBI taxonomy): domain Eukaryota; kingdom Metazoa; phylum Chordata; class Mammalia; order Primates; family Hominidae; genus Homo; species Homo sapiens. The sequence continues at coordinate 70,316,928 of NC_000003.12, forward strand.
AGACCTTGGCTGGCATTGAGAAATCGTGTAAGGATAAACATGTGAATAACAGTTGCTAGTAGGTGGTGTGTTACGGATATTCTTGGTTCCTCTGGGGGTTACAATATGCATCCTTAATATAGTTCACATAGCAAAAATGTTGCTCCACTTCATGTTATGGGTAATAGGTTTATAACTATATAATTTCATTTACATGCTCTCTCCTTTGTACTATTATTTTCATATATTTCACATCTACACATGTTATAATCCCGCAAGCATTGTAAGTGTGTGTATATATACACAGGCTTACAGGCATATCTTATATTATTGCATTTTGCTGTATTGTGCTTTGCAGATATTGCATTTGTTTCCTACAAATTGAAGGTTTGTGTCAACCTTGCATTAGTCAAGTCTACTGGCATCATTTTTTTCCAACAATATATGTTCACTTCAGGTGTCAGTAATTTTTACCAATAAAGTATTTTTAATTAAGATAAGTACAATTTTTTTAGACATAATGCTATTGTACACTTAATAGACTACAATATAGAGTAAACATAACTTTTATACAAACTGTTTTTTTGTCTAACCAAAAAATAGGTGTGACTTACTTTATTGTGATATTCACTCTGTTGCAGCAGTCTGGAACTAAACCTGCAATATCTTCAAAATATGTGTATCTGTATGTATATATATATGTATGTATATATGTATATATATATATGGATATACACGCGTGTATAGAAACACACTGTTCACTTAGCTGTCTTAAAAAATAAATTAGGAGGAAAAAAATTCGTTTAATGTTTACTTTCTAAGTTACCATTTCTGGTTTTCTTCATTACATCTAGTAGACCTGAATTTTCATCTCATATCATTCCTCTTTAGCCTAAAGAATTTTCAGCACTTCTTGAAATGTGGATATCCTGGTGACAAACCCTCTTAAGCTTTCATTTGTCTAAAAATGTCTTTAGTTCACTATCATCTGTGAAGGATATTTATGCTGAATATAGAATTCTTTATTGACAGGTTTTTTTTGTTCTCTCTCTTTCTCTTTTTAAAAAACATTATTCTTATCATTGTTCCTCTATATCTAATGTGTCTTTTTCTCCTCTCTGGCCTCTTTCACTGTTTTTTCTTTTTCTTTCTTTCAGGAATTTGACTAGGATGTACTTAGATGTAATTTTCTCTGTATTTTTAGTCTACTTGGGTTTTGCTGAGATTCTGGGTTTGGTAAGTTGATGTTTTTCACCAAATTTAGAACACTTGGCCCATCATTTTTTCAGATATTGTTTTTCTGTCCCATTCTCTGTATTTCTCCCTCTAGGATTCCAATTACACATATATTAGACCACTTGATATTTTTACACAGTTCATAGAGGCTTTGATCATTTTTTTCCCCAGTCCCTTTTCTCTGTTCTTCAGTTTGAATAATTCCTATAGATTTGTCTTCAAGGTCACTAACCCTTTCTTTTGCAGTTGCCAATCTACCATTAAGGCAACCTGGCATAGTTTTCATTTTAAATACACTTTCAGTGTGAGAATTAACATTTTGTGTGTGTGTGTGTGTGAGTGTGTGTGTGTAGTTCTTACTTCTTAGATGATACTACCTATCTCCCATACATGATCACTATCTTTTCCTTTAATTCCTTGGTCTTATTTATTATACCTAGTTTAAAGTCACTTTCTGGCAACTCCAACATCTGGGTCTTCTATTGACTGCTTGTTTTCTTGTTAGTGGGTTACATTTTCTTGATTCTTCAAACATCTAATATTTTTAGTTGTATGCTAGACATTGTGAATGATACATGGTAGAGAGTCTGGACAATGCTGTGTTCTTTTTAGAGGGTGTTGAATTTTGTCATAGCAAGTAGTTAAATTACTGGTATAACCTTTTGATTCTTCCAGGTTTTATTTTATTTTTTCTGATAATGGGTCATTTTCAGTCTTTTTGCTTAGTCTTAGGATGTAGTTCATGCTTTAGGACCTGGTAATTGTGTCCAAGGCATGTTATTTTTTAGGTGTCAAATAAATGCCCAAAGTGCATAAGGAAATATCTCCTCTTTGGTTGAGCCAGAGTGTCTGCTAGTACTGTATTAACTGTGATACCTATGTTCAGTGCTCAGTCTCACAAAAGCTACTTTTTGCCAGATTTATTCAAGTCTCATCCTTTGTATGCACAGCTGAGCCCTTAGCCAAGACTATCTGTGGTGAACCCTGTCTCTTCTCTACATTATAGAGTCCCCTCTTCTCCATAACCCTACACTGCAAATTCCAGCCACTTCAACAACCCAAACTCTTGTCTTTGCTGCCTTAGCTCAGCAAGTCTGCCACTAAATTTGGGTTTCACCTTCCTGCACTATATTAGGAAAAGGACAGTGAAGTCGAGAGCTGGAGCAAACATGTAGCTCATCTTTTGTGTTTCCCTACTCTTAAGAATCAGTCTTGTTCTGCCTGTAGTCTTAGGCTTGAAAATAGCTTCTTCATATATTTTGTCTGGTTTTATAACTATGTATGAATAATGCAAGTCCAGTGTATTCTATCATGACCAAAAGCAGAAGAAATTTTTGAAATTCTTTTACTCCTATCTTTCCAATCAATCACACAGTAGAGATAGTCTTCTCTCTCTGTCCTCCTGTGACGGGCAGACACAGCCTAGAACAAAGAGTGGCTAAGCTTTGAGATTCAAATTTCACTTTATTTTAAGTTTTAGAAGGATAGTAGTTTTTAATGTAAGTCTTTTTTATGATAAGTACCAAAGACTTGAGATTCCATTTAAGCCATAAATCATATGATAGGTAAGAATACAAATTTGCTTAAAAGTATTCTTTGAGCTAACCATCCCATTAAATTAAATTTTTACAAGTCAGTGGGAAGGAAATTTGGAAGGGATGTGTGACTATGGTTTAGATACTGGATGTTTATTTAAAAAAAGATTTGGTATATTATTGCCTCAGTTAATCCTGGAAAAAATTGGGACACTAAAATCCCCAGATAATCTGGGAAAATACTAGAACAGAATAGACTGTTGTCGAGTTTCCTAGAAATACATTAGTAAATTTCAAGACTTATAGAAAATTTCTGCATCCAACATGGTGTCCGAGTACCAGTGGTAGATGGAGGCATCTAGATGGAAAGATTTGAGATCCATATATTGTAAGGACACATGTAGAGAATCCCAAACTTCCTTCAAGCTTGAGAGAAGTGCTGAGGACCAGCAAACAGGAATAGGGGTCCTGATGATTATTAGAGATGCCATTAGTGGATACTACAGACATGATATAAGCTGTAGGCAATGCAAGGTTTTAGACATTGGGAGAAGAAGCAGTGGGAAAAGGGATCATTGCAAAGGCTAGCAGAAAGTGCTCTACTTAAGTGAAGACCACCAGCAATGACAGTGGGTTACCATGTAGTAGGTGTGCTACCCAGGAGCAAAGCAAGGGGGGAATTATTTTGCTCCAAAACCCTCTTTTTTAAGCTAGAAAAGACTGAGAGATTGGATTTGCAAGTTTGTTTTCTACCATCAGCAGAAATGTGGGGTCAAATGCTAAATTAAAATCAGTTATGGAAAAATAATGGCATCGTATATTTTGTTGATCTGAACACATAGCCTTACTCTATACTTTCATTTCAAGTCCCCTCTTTTCTCCAAAGACCTGCATTATGAGCTTGCCAATTTAGTCAGCACCTAAACAACCTTATTTAGAATTGATTTCTTCTTAGAAGAGGACCATCATTACTGACAGAGGTTGTTCAGCACCACCAGGCCACCATGTTCCTTCCCCACTACAGACTGTGTCCGAAATGGGTCATTCAAGCTGGCCAATCCAATCCTCTCCCAAAATTTGGAATTGGGATGCAATCCATTAGCATTTACCTACTTAGGTTAACTGTAGGGTCTAAGTCAGCTAGGGCGGCCTGTTTGGAATGCGAGAAAATAGACAAATTTTGCATGTGAGGGAAAGCAAAGTAGGCAACTTCATTGTGTCAGTTTCCTTATCTGTAAAGTGGACATAATAATGGCATCTACTTCAGAGTTGTTGGGGAGGGAGGCAGTGTTAAACAAGTTAATGAAAGTAAAGAGCTTGGAAAAAAACCTGGGCAAGTCAGAAACACCCAGTAAAGGCTTAGCAATTATGTTTATTATGAGTGATTTTTGATTTTGCAACTTTATTGAAGTATAATTGGAGTAGAAATGACACAGGATCCAGGCTAATAAATGACACAAGGCATATGCTTTGATCAGTTTTGACATATCTATACATTCACAAAATGATCACTATAATCAAGATAAACATCTGCATCACCCCAACATTTCCTCAACCCTTTGTAATCCAGCCCTCCCTCCATCCCCATTCCCAGGCAAACACTAATCTTTTTGTCTTTTCCTATGAATTCAATTGCATTTTCTAGATTGAATATAAATGGAATTATACAGTATGTATTCTTTTTGCCTAAATTATTTTATTCAGCACAATGATCTGGAGATTCATCCACACTGTTGTGTGAATCAATATTCACTTATTTTTATTGTATTCCATTGTGCTAATATACTACAATTTTGTCATCCATTCCCGTTAATGGATATTTGGGTGGTTTCCAATTGCGACCATTACAAATGAAGCTTTATGAACATTTGTGTATAAGTTTGTAATTTTATGTTTTTATGGTTTTCGTATTTTCAAATTAAAAATTTTGAAGAGAAAAATTCCCAAAATAAATAAAACTGTCATTAGAAAATGCAATTGAAAAAATACTCTTCATTACCCTATAAAATTAATTTTATCCTAGAGGATCAACTTTACCTTTAAAAAACTAGCTGACATCCAGATAGAGTTTTTTTAGTATTTGATTACTATAAGGCCTTCGCTTAACTAAAATATGCTAGAAAACTCTCTAAAGGGGAAAAAAATGACATAAAATTAGAGACAGTAGACCAGATACTATTTCTTACCCTCCCAAAATTGTAGCGTAGAGATGAAAGAATATATCATCTTCTTGTAAACGTGAAGTATTACTTTGTTAAAGATATTGAGCTTTTAGTACATTTGCAAGCTCAATTTATTTTATTTTACAAACAAATTACAGAAATAACAGCATAGTTTTCTCACTAAAAACCTAGGAGTTTTGGAATATTTGGATGATAGTGACTGCAGCAATATAAAATATTGCTTATCCTTCAAAAATTTGCTTTACTAAGTTTATATTAGAAATTACTTTAAAATTATTTACTAATAAGAAAACATTGATTTATTGGATCCTCACAGTACAGTACCTTTTGCTAAATTCTTAACAATTTTGTGAAATAATTATGTAAACTAATAGATATTATTGACCGAGGTATGATTATGCTTAAGGCAAAGTCCTCTTTAACCAATACAATATGTCAGTTAAATTTATCCTAAATCTTAGCATCTGTCTTTCTCTTGAGGGAAGGGGCATCATTTGTCTACATGTAGTCATTTTCCTCTTCATCTCCTAATTGTCAAGTTCTTTGTCATCTTGACTGTGTCTTTGCTTTTGTAGTTCCAAGATCTCCTCCCCAAATAGGACAGACAACCATGCTTTCTTTCGTCCAGTACTTGATCTTCTACCAACATCCGCGAAAAGTACATTTTTTTGTAACCCAGGAGGGAAAGAAAAAAATGTTATCTTGATCAGTCTTTTCTCTAGACCACCTCTCATGGGTCAGTCTTAAAGCAGGATATTTAAATAGATTGAACTTCAAATATATTCTCAGTATAACAGGACTTTTGGATCCAAAAAGAAATTCTAACATTTGATCAGCTATTCACAAATGATGTCTTTGTATCCTTTAAAGAACTATAAAGCAAATAAAAAATTGTAAGCAGTTTTATTTGATCTTATCTGAGATAAAATAATTCTTTGAAGAGCCATAGAGACTAATTAGAAAAGAATATCAGTGTGTCCCTAAATTATAAAATTAGTAAAGTTAAAACCACACAGGACCTACACAGGTAATGCTACAGTAATCTAAGAATACACAGTTGTTAATGTTATACAAATTCTAAGGGGAAAAATGAGATTTCTGGAGAAGTCGTGAGAAAATTTTAGGGAGCAAAGATTAAGAAAAAGAAGACAGTGGTTGAATTTGGGGGAAGGATAAGTGGAGATGATAAAAGAAATTTCTCATTCCACAAATTAGATTGAAAATGGCATCTCTTTACTTCTCAGATAAATAAAAAGTACAAAGCTCTTTCTCTTGAATTGTGAATCTCCTCTAAAATGCACAGGACGTAAGAAGAAGAAAAAGAAAAGCTGTCCTTTCTCTCATTAATCTTGTTTGAAGTTAAGGAAAATATAAAATTAATCCGAGATTTTTTGTCATTATGAAAGGTAAAATGAATGTGTTCATTTCGTACTAAGTGGCAGGCCTTAGTGATCCCAAGTTCATACCATTCAAAGGAAAATTTTCTACATTGCCAGCTCATTTCTCCGAATTGTCAACTTCTCTGAGTTAGTATGGTGACACCAGGATGTTTTCTTACATCACTGTATGCTTCCTCTTTGCAAACCTTACCTAAGTGGGAGAGTTGCAATGGTTGCCTGATCCATGTTGTAAGCTGGTACATGCAGCCATGCAGGCTGCGCACTGCAGAACTCCAGGGTGTGTGAGATGGCTTTGAAACATGGCAACTTGGCAAGGCTGAACTGTTTCCTAGAATTTCTTTCCTTGTATATTTCCAGCTAGGGAGGGCCACAAAATATATTTTTGTGGGAGATTTGAAAGACAAATGTGACAGCTGCTATATTGTTTTATTACATTGGGAAGAAGATTGGGGCAGCCCTTTCTGTAGCTCCTTCACCTTGTTCCTTTTCTGCTGGCATACCTTATTGTTGTGAGGCCACAGTTCATCTGCAACTGCCCATTTTCCTCCTGGAGTCTGCTTCAGCTTCTCCATCTCTTGAGCTCACCTGGAGATAAGCTATCTTCAGGATGAAGGGCACCAGCTTCTCCTGCAGGATGCCTACTTCATAAGGGCTGGAGGCAGGGAGAACTGACACAGCTCCAGTCCAAACTCATGGGTTCTACCTCAGGCTCATGGATTCCAGCCTGTCCATGCCATCCTCCACTTTACATTCATTCGTCCCTTCCTGACCCCCTTCTTTGGCAGCTTGAAGCCCCAGAATCAGAAAGAAAGATGACAGCCCTACAGGGACTGTTTAACCAGCTCCCCAAATTGTGTAAGTTCAAATCCCTGTAACAGACCCCTTTACATCTCTCTATCTATCTATCTATCTATCTATCTATCTATCTATCTATCTATCATCTATCTATCTATCCACACACACAGAAAGAGAGAGAGAGAGATCTCCCAGTGGTTGTATGACTGATAGAGTGCCCATTCACATTGCAGTTCATACAAGTGGCACCACCCACTTGAAAGTTATGCACTGCCTGGGAATCAGATCAGCGGCCCTGAAGGTCTGTATTACCATAGCTTAACTAGCCTGAAGACCAGAATCTTTAATTTCTTGTTTGTCATTCTAGTCATAGGTGAGAAATTTAACTCCGTGGTCAAATATATTTGAGAAACTGAAATCATCCCCTCCCCCTGCACTGCGATCCTAATACATATTCACATAGTAAAGGCTTTTGTAAAGCTATGCACTAAAGTAATCTGTTCAGTCCTGCTTTCATCAAACTTATTTGACTATTTCTAGGTGCTGTCGAAGTACAGAGTTAATGTAACTTAAAATTCCCATTTAGTCAGTCAAAAATTGAATGCAACCCTTTTATTGTGATGTGATAATAAGCATGTGATGAAAAACAATTCTTGCTGATGTGCAGTGTAATTCATTCCAGTACTTTTCAGAAGATCGAACAAGAGAAAGGCCAGTGGCAGAAACTGCGTCCTGACATAACAAAAGCACAGCGTAATGCATCATGATATATAAACAGGTGATAGAGGAAATATTTCTCCTCTCCTCTCTCCATTCCTTTTCTTTCTTCTCCATCATGAGTTGGAAGGTGAATATGTAAATGGCCAAAAAAAAAAAAAAGAAGTGATACGATTAGGAAAAAAAGGCATTGGATATTGAAAGCTGGAACCAGGTTAGCCTTGAGTGAAATGCAGGAAAACTGGGCTTAGAGTGGTTCTTAACTCCGGTGTTTACATGCAAATGAGATAGTTCCATATGTTAGTTGTGGAAGGGACGATTCTGGCAAAATTGTAAAATAAGGTGATTTTTGATGCTCTTGGTTTCTCTTGGTGATGCAAGCAGTGATTCTCAGAAAGAGAACTTTATGTTGCATAGTAACTGGGAAACATTACTGGTATATTTGGTAAAGGAACCTGGGGCATTAACCATTCTGTTATGCAGGAAACATCCTGCACAATAAAGAACTGACCTGCCCCAAGTGAGTTGCTTCTCTGTTGAGATACACTGTAAGTATGTACGTGTATTTCATTTTCTGTTCCAGTCACCTCACCCATGCGGGCTGTGAGTGTCTCAACTAAGTGTGGATCTGATTAGCTGACAAAAGTTACTGCAGAAAGATTGGATAAGGCTCAACTTTCAAGTGTTCATTTACATTTCAAAAGAGGAAATAATCAACTCAAAAGCATCTCTAATTGTGCTGTGAGAGAGGAAAATATATTAAAACATTTTATTAGAACAGTAATGTAGTCCCTTATATGGTGAGAAATTTTGAGACATTTACTTCCTTTGCCATTTGCTCATTTCAAATTCTACTATTACTCTATCTGTCCCTCCACCTACAACACCCTCTTTCAAAGGAATAAAATATGTGTGGCTAATACTGCACCTGCATAACATCAACCTTTGCCCTTTATAAACAGATGTTTATAAAAACAAAGGGCCAGTCCTTGAAGAAAACTGGTAGGTATATCAGATTGTAAATCACATCTCTGTTAGAATAAAGGAAGTCTTGTCTGAACTACCAGGCTACCATTGCCACCCAGCATAGCCTGGATAGCCCTAACATAACTGATAAACCCCTTCTAGATCTAGACACCTTTTCTCGGATGAACTGTGTTTCTTCACGTATTTACAATCCAGTTGATTGTTACAACTTTATTTTATCTCATCTTTCACTCTTTGTTTCCTAGAACCGCTCTCAGAACTCTAGTAAAATTGATTTTATTTCAGTCAAAGCCTGATCTTGAGATCGGCATAACTGCTGAGTATTTCTGACTTTGGGGAATTTCTATTCTCATTTTTAATGTGCTCTCTTTCCTCCCTCCTTCCCTCCCTTTCTCCTTTCCTTCCTCTTTCCCTTCCTTCTGCCATTCTTTCTGTCTTCCTTATTTACTCTCAGAGTGTAACAATTGCAAATTGGTGCAGATTCTTAATATAGGCTGCAAATGATGGGTTTGACATTCCAGCTATGCCACTTATTAATTGTCTGATTTTGGGGGCAAGTTATTCAACCATTCTGTGCTGTACTTTTCCAATCTATTAAATGGGAATTAATAATAACATCCATCTCATAGTATTATTGTAGGAGTAAATGAATACTAAATGTTAAGTGGTTAAAACAATTGCTAGGACAAAGTAAATATTTAAGTGTGGGCAGTTATTATTGTTGTTGTGCAGCCTTCTTTCCCAGTCTGTGGCAGTGAACTTTCATTTTGACTTAACAGCTCTGAGGTCCATAGCCCTCGGCATGAATTTCAGTCCAGTGGCCATCTCTTATATTCTGAGCAGACACTTGGAATAGCTAAAGAATATTACGAGAGTTTTTATCCTTCCATGTAGGCTTCCTCCCTTTTTCCCCAAATTTTGAATATATTTTTCTCTCTTATATGATTACCTTTCCTTTATTTTTGTTATTCAATTACCCCATAAATAGATATTCTATGGACATGAGAATTACATGATGATAGCAAGACAGTCATGGATAAGGTTTTATGCCTTTCAGGCATCATTGTACATATTTGATGATGATGGTGATGATAATGATAATATATATATATTTTTTGAGACAGAGTCACGCTTTGTCACTCATGCTGGAGTGCAGTGGTGCAATCTTGTTTCACTGCAGTCTCTGCCTTCTGGGTTTAAGAAATTCTGCTGCCTAAGCCTCCTGAGTAGCTAGGCTGACAGGCATGTGCCACCACACCTGGCTAATCTTTGATTTTCAGTAGAGATGGGGTTTCGCCATGTTGACCAGGCTGGTCTCGAACTCTTCACCTCAAGTGATCCAACCACTTTGGCCTCCCAGAGTGCTGGGATTACAGGAGTGAGCCACTGTGTCCAGCTGGATGATGATAATAATTAATACTAATATTCACATCTATCAAATATGTTATGAGGAACTTCTGCTTCTAGACACAATGGAGTAAGAAGAACCGATTTGCTTTTCCACCATAAACAACTTAAAACAAACAAGCATACAAACAAACATATAATCCACAGTAATTAGACATTAGACAACAAGCTGTGCAGGACAGTGACCCCTGAGGAAGGAAAACAAGAGGAACTCTATGATTGCCCAGCTTGCTGCCCAGAGAGATTTTACAGGGTTGGGGAACCTAGACAGAGTCTGGTAGTAGGCCAGAGTGGAGGAGACAGAACTCAGAATTTGGGGACGCTAAGGCAGGTAGAATTCACATGTCTGTGTCCTGAAGAGAAGGCTGCAAGGAGAGCAAACAATCAAGTCTTCAGCAAAATATGGCTCAATCCGTCCAAGTGAGGAAACTTCAGAGTCCAGGGAAGACTACCAGAAAGGAAAAGGGAGAACCACAGCCAGAGCTCACACAGGGTCCAGAAGAACTTGTGTTTCCACCAGGCAGAATAAAAAGACTTCACCACTGGGCATCCAGTAAGTCCTCAGATATCATCCTAGTAGTGAGGGAAAATTCACCTTTGAATCAGCCTAATCGAGCTTGGAAGGAAGCCATGAAAGGAGCCAAAATTTTCCAAATAACACTGTCCCAGAAAAAAAGGTAAAACATGTTGAAAGGAATAAACAAATCCTCCAGAACAAGACAATGTAAAGTGACAATGTCTGTGTATTAGTCCGTTTTCACACTGCTGATAAATACACACTGAGACTGGGCAATTTACAAAAGAAAGAAGTTTAATAGACTCACAGTTCCACATGGCTGGGGAGGCCTCACAATTGTGGTGGAAGGTGAAAGGCACATCCCACATGGTGGCAGACAAGAGAAGAGAGCTTGTGCAGGGAAACTCCCCTTTATAAAACTATCAAATCTTGTGAGACTTATTCACTATCACAATAATAGCATGGGAAAGGTCTGCCCCCATGATTTATATCTCTCACTGTGTCCCTTCCACAACACGTGGGAATTATGGGAGCTACAATTCAAGATGAGATTTGGGTGGGGACACAGCCCAACCATATCAGTCTGACATCCAATCAAAAATTACCACGTACCCAAAGAAGCTAACCACACAATCTGTAGTAATTGGGGAGAAAATCAATCATTAGAAATATACACTGAAATGACATAGGTGATAGAATTGGTAGACAGGAACCTAAAGACAGCAAATAGAACTATGTATGTCCCAAAAGGCAGAGGAAAGCCTGGGCATGAGGAGAAACATGGAAGATCTAGAAAAACACCAATTTGAACTTGTAGAGATGACAATACAATTTCTAAGATGCAAAACAAAAATGAGTTGGATAAGAAAGAACAGATTAAGGACTGCAGAAGAAAATATGAGTGACCCTGGAAACCTTGCAATAATTATCCAAAATAAAAACACAGATTTTAAAAATGACTGAAAAATAAGGAATTGGGCATCAGTGAGTGGTGAACAACTTTAAACAGTCTAATATATGAGTAATTGACACCCAGAGAGTGATGCAGTGAGGAGACAGGGAAAAAATACATTTGAAGAAATAATGGCTGAATCGTTTTCCAAATTTGATGAAAATTAGAAACCCACAAATTGAAGAAGCTCAATGAAATGCAAGCACAAGAAGCAGAAAGAGAACTACACCAAAAATTATCAAATTACTTAAAGCTCGTACTAAACAGAAAAATCTTAAAAGTAACTTGAGAGAAAATGACACATTACACAGAATAAAAAAGATAAATGACAACAGACAGTAGCCATCTCATCAGAAATCATGCAAACTAGAAGACAGTTGTGCAACTTTTTTAAATATTGAAAGAAAAGAAATCAACCAGCTAGCAATACAGTACCAAATTTTAGTCATTCAATTACTTCATATAGTTAATCATGGTCATTCATCATATGAAAATAAGAGTAGCAGTAAATTTTCTGAAACATTTAGAATTAAGGTAAAAAAAGTATAGAACTCAAGTGTGACAGGAGAAACTTTCTGAATAAAAGTGAAGGATTAACCATATATCTTTAATAAGTTCTTAGTTTTTAAAAGCTCTATTAACATTTGCCTTTATGGTTCTTTAAATTCCAAAAACTCTAAAATACTATCTGTGAGACAATTATTGGCAAAGCTCTTTTGCTGCTGTTACATTTCATTTTTCAAAACACTTTTGAATTGGTGAGGAATGTGAGAGAGGTGTGGAGCTCAGTTTATGTCTGGTTGCATTAATCAATTAGTAGCAACTCAATCATGTATATCAAAACTAAGTAAGAATTCGTGCATGATTATTATAAAAATATTGTATTATAGAAAAAATTCAGGGGCTTAAATTATTGAAAATGTAATTCCACACAGAAATTTTTCTGTTTTAATAGAAAATGTTCAAGTGATTACAATATCCTGGAGAAACTAGAAAACACTACCAGAGAAAAATGAGAATATGAATTCTGGCATATTTCATGAAATTCATTTGTAGACATATTATCTGGGACTAAAGAAAAATCACACAATAGAATCTTAAAGATTTTCCTTTAAAAAAATTTTTAAAGGCTTAAAAAATCATTTTATCTCTGGTTTGCTTAATTGATGTTTCTCAAAACTTTATTGAAATAAAAGGTTTCTAATTGAATAAGCAGAAATATTTTGGTTAAAGATTTTCATCTTTTTGTTTTGTAAATTATCAGAAAAACACCTGTATGTACTTCATACACCCACCAAGTATTGGTATGGTAGAATTTGAAATAATTTACAAGAAAAAGTTACTAGATGTTTAAAGGTTAAAAATTCAGGAAGAAACATAATCTAAGTATAAAAAGACGGCCAGAAAACTTGATTCCAATGTAAAAGACTATTAACTCTGTTTCAAAAAAGAATGAATAATTTTAAATAAGTGTATAAATTATCTAGTTAAAATTAACTGATCACACACCTAATTCGGAAAAAATATATAAACTTTAAGAGAAACTGCAAAAGTGACCAAAGAAATAATCAGTAATATTAATATCTACAAACGTTTTTCTCATTTTTAAAGTCATATTTTTAAAATCTTAATCATGAACTTATAGTTGATCTAAACCCTTCAAAACCCACATATCTTTTTCTATAATTAGTTATAAAACTTTGAGAACATATCAGTAATCTGATGTACATGAAAAGTGAAATGAGCTACTAATATTAAATGGCATATTCAGACAAGCTATCTTTATCTATATTGTATATCTATATTTGTCTTTATATAATACCACTTAATACAGTTTTAGGTTTCCTGAGGTCTTTTATAGGTAAGAGACATTACCAGAAAATAATGGAAGGAGAGGAAAAACTCAATATTTGCATATCTATTCATTCAAACATTCCTTCATTTATATTTCCAACATAAAAATTGTTGTTTATATACCCTGCTTGATAATTATGTCCTATAATATTATGCTATTTGAGTCAGTGCTGTTGGTTTAAAAGTAACCAAGTGAAGTATACGGGAGAAGATGTTTTTGGTTTTTAATTAAATACAAAAATAATAGTAAATTATAGTGAGTGGTTATTTCAATGTGAAATTGCCTCACATCTCAGTAAAACATTCAAAATGAATCCGAACAAATCATTTAAATTTGTACACAAAATAATATAAATAGACATTTGTTATATAGAATATGAATGATTGAAGTGAATGAAAATAAATTATAGACAACTCATTAAATATAATTTTATACACTTATAAGTGAAAGGAGAAGGCAATTACTTTTAAAGTAGGACAAGTGAACATTTTACATCTTTTCAATAATTTCACTTTATTTATGTTGATAACAATATGCATAAAAACCCTGTGGTGATATTAAGCCTGAGAAGATTGAGATCCCCAAATTGAAGCTTTTCTCTTCTTAGACAAAACATGAATCCTTCAACGTATGAGCTCTAAAGATTATTTAAGTGTGCCCACAAATCTCATCCTATTTTTCAGAAATCTCTTCTGTAACATTATGTTTATTTCCATCATTCTTCTATATATTTTTTTCTCTCCAATGCATGATTTCCTGCCGATGTCAACCCACCTACCTGGCCCAGTCAAAACTTCGTCCCGTGAAGTAATTGGCACTAGTGGATGAGCTACTGGTGTATCGCTAGGGCTTATGTACAGCTTATCACATTCTGGGACTCCAAAGAGAGAAATGTGTGTTTTCTGTTTCTCTCTTATCAGAACAAGAGTTGGGGCCACCTGATAATCAGACCCTGGATTTTCCACCCCCACAAATCCAATTTATTCAATCTATTCTAGGCTTAAGCATTCCACATAGCTCTTGACACCTCACTGTACTTTATGATAGATAAGGAAGAAAATTCAAGGAACTATTGATGAAAATAAAACAACAAAGTCTGCACACACAAATCTTGTCAGAGATGTGCACTTTCACCATGTTAAAATATGATTCACCTATTTAAGCTTTTCTAAGCAGCATGTTTACATAAATGATAGAATAAAGCACAGCTGTTTTTGTTTCTAAAAATTGTCAGATAATTTGCACCCCTGCCCTTTATCTAGACTATTAATGAGGTAGTAAAGAAATCAAGTTCCATTTGATTCTATTCACAGAAGACTGTCATATTCAGATAATGGCACAATTCAGAATTTATCAAGTGCCAGGAGATTATAAAAGTTAATGGAACAAAATGGCATTAGTGTAAGATTTTGGGGAAACCTCATGAGATTTGGTACAGTAACTTCACAATTAAATTACTATGTCACTACTGTATGTGCAGACAAAGGGAAGTGTGGCATTAGTGAATTCAGTATTGATAGATCTGATGAATGATCTAAAAATGGAAACCGCCATTGTTTAGATAAACTTGAATTTTTTTGAGTGTGGCTTTCTCTTTCATTGCACAAATATTCAAAGCAAAGGACATGGCAATGTAAGACAACTAAGCAGATATATTAGAATGAATTTCTTCTTTAACTCAAACACACAGCATTCAAAAGAGAAACAAATATGTTTAGGGACATGAGGACTATTACCAGAAGCTCACTTCAGATTTGTGTTTTGTTTTTCTCTTCGTTAGAACTCTCACATAAACAGGCTGACTGTTGCAGGATTAGTTCACGATGTTGAAAGGACTTCCCCGCTCCTGGTGTTCCAGGCTAGTAAGCCATTCCTAGGTTAAGTCCCTTATGAATGACTCCAAGATACCTCCCTCCATCCTCATTCTGGTTGCAAGTTGCAGTTCCTGTCCACTCTTCTTGTGGATGTCCAAGTGTCATCTCAGAACCAGTGCCTCAAACTGAGCTCACCTCTTGGAAGAAGTTACTTAAAATAGATCAGTAGTAGCATTAGAGTGAGAATTAAATGAGGTAATGGGGCATTTAGCACAGTGTCTGGCACCAGGAAAATTTGGTTTTTTTTTTGAGATGGAGTCTCGCTCTGACCCCCAGGCTGGAGTGCAGTGTGGCACGATCTCGGCTCACTACAAGCTCCGCCTCCCGGGTTCTCGCCATTCTCCTACCTCAGACTCCCGAGTAGCTGCGACTACAGGCGCCCGCCACCACGCCCGGTGGTTTTGTGTTTTTAGTAGAGACGGGGTTTCACCGTTTTAGCCAGGATGGTCTCGATCTCCTGACCTCGTGATCTGCCTGCCTCGGCCTCCCAAAGTGCTGGGATTACAGGCGTGAGCTACCGCGCCCAGCTGGCACCAGGTAAGTTCTTAACAAATGTTAGTTGATGTTACTATGAGTAATAAGGTCTCCTACGTCCTCTACTTTACCAATATTGTTATCTTTCCTTGACCATTCAGCCTGAAAAACTTAAAAGCCATTTTTATTCTTCTCTCAGTCTCACTCAGACTGTCTTACTTGGTCACAAATTCCTTTATGTTCTGTCTTTTTAGAATTTTTTTTTCTCTTGTTGCTGCAGCTACCATTCTTTAACCTCTTGTTTCCAATATTGCCGGACTACTAGCCATTCCCCACTCGTTCTTCCTTGTGGACAGAGCCTGTTTCACACTTTGGAGGCTGAAATGCCACATACTCATTTCCCATCCTCCTTTGCACCTAGAACAGAAACATGTGACCTGATCCTGCCAATGAGATGTGAGGGGAATGTCTAGGGAGGGTATACTTCCCTTTAAACGTTAAATTAAAAAATATTAAATAATAAGTAAATTAAAATAATAAAAAATATTTAAATATTCAAATGGTTATATACACACACACATGTATAAAACATATACTTTTTAAAAGACATAAATGGGAACTTTCATTGTTTTCTTCACTGGATACTGTCTTGTCTACATGTTCTGCCTGGAACTACCACACTCATACGGATTCTGTGCAAGAAAACATAACCTTTTACAGAATACTAGGTTGAAAGATGAAAACCATCCGGGCCTTGATTTTATTTTTTTTCTTTTCACACTTTTACATAGAGCCCAGCATCTAAGTACCCAAAGTGGTCTTCTAATTAGTCTGCAAATTTCTTCTCTATTTCTCCAAATTACCTTACGTATTGCTGCTGTATAGCATTCCTCCAACTTGCCTTTATCATGTCTTAGTCCTGCTTAAACCCCTTTAACAGTTTTCGGTTTCCATAGTAATGGTCTCCAAATGGAGTGGAGTGACAGGATAACCCAATGAAGCATGTGAAGAAACTGCTAGAAACTGTTAAGTACGTGAGAGAAATTAAACTTGCCCAATTTCTTACATATTGGTTGACAATGACTTTCTCACTTGGTTTAGTTATCTGATGGTCACCTATTACACAGGTGGGGAATCTTCACTGAAAATCAGTTGGCAAAGCTTCCTCACTTGTTCAATGGCTTTCAGAATATTTTGACATATGGAAGGTTGCCTGTGCCTAGTTAAGCAGATTGACAGATTATACAGTTTAATTATTTTCTAAACTAACTTTCAAAAGTGGCTTTAAGAGATTTTTGTTAAGGAATCATAGTTGAAGATAACATAGTTATGCAAGCAGCTTTCTGCTATTTAGGGAATGAGCTCTTTGTCAGCTTCATGATAAGACCTAAAAAACAATAACCTAATCATATTTGACATGAATCAGCCAAAAATATCAGAATTATTAAGGAGAAAATTTAAAATATGGATTTATTTCCACTATTATTAATTGTGACACTATCCCTTGGGAATAGAATGCCTTGAGATAAAAGTATATGTGATATATACATGTAATATATATGTACATAATATACAAATGTATGTAATATATAAATATATGTATATTAGGGGCACAAGCTCAAAATTATGTTTCACTAGTAGGGATTTAAATGAGAAAATTAGACACTTATGACCTATAGGACAATGTTTTCCTTCTTGCTACCTAGTGAAATTCTGCCCCTTCTTTAATATGTAATTATTATAAATAAGTGCTTCCCTTTATTGAATGCTTAATTGTATGTCTGGCACTGTGCTAGGCTCTATGCATGATAACATTTATTTTGTTCAATACTCACAACAACCCTGTAAGCTAAATATGACTCCCTCATTTTTACAGTTGAAGAAGCTGAAAATTGAAAAACTTGCCCAGAGCTATGTTGCTAATGAATTAAAGAGCTGGGGTTCAGGTGATGTTTAAACCTTAACTACTATACTGAACTATCTCTTTAGCTCATCTCAATTCCCATGTTCCTCTAGGATTGACAATCAATGGACAAACAAAAGAAATACATATGTCTACTATTTATTTGGCACTTAATTTTATCCTTCCTTGTGACTTTTTTATTTCTGGATACCTGAATTTATTCATCAAAGCCAATGTAATGTTATGGGAAAAAAGTTGATTTGCTTCCAGGTTGTCCTGGAATTTCATCGCAACCCTCACCCATAAACCTACTGCTTTGGGGAAAAAAAAAAAACAACTCTATAGTTCCCTTATATGTAGAATGGGTATAAAAGACATTCTTTAGATAAGTAAACACGTAGCACAGTGCTTGACACATGAGCAGTGAATTAATGCTATTTTCTCACCTGGTGGGTATATTTCATCTCCAAACGCATTGCAAATTCCTTGAGAGCAAAGTGTGGATGTTTTACTATTTCGTTTCCTTCACTATATTATGTACATAGTACATGCACTGTATGGCTAGCCCTTAGATTCCTCAAATATTTGTCAGTTTGTTTTGTTGAAGGGTTTGTTATGTTAAGCAGAACAAAACATATTTGCTTAGGTTTTGTTTCTTTATAATATACCAGCACACAATCATAGTTTTCAAGATTTTTCATAAAAATTTTATCTAAGTTTTTTTTATAATACCATAGACAATATTTCTAAGACAGAAAGCACACAATTATAATTGAACACTCTGAAGTTGAGTAACTAAAGTAGCTGCTTTGAAATAAAGACAGCCTATTTACTTTGCCACTGTGGGATTGTCCTGCTATAATTGTGAGTGCCATTGATATACTGTAGGTGTCTTGAACTTGTGCCCACTCCTGTCTGGGTAATTTTTAGTCAATATCCTGGGTTCATATCATGCTTGCGAAGTATTGAAGTTAAATTCAATTTACCACCACCAACAACAAAACAGTTTTATTATGGCATTGACAAAGGGCAAAGCTGCTTATTCTGATATTTAAAAATAGTGATCTCAGTCTTCAAACTCTTCAAAGGATAGATTTGAAATATGATATTAATCTCAAATTAATCTTTCCCATTATGCTGTTATAGCTGTATCAAACCAGGAGACCCCATCTTGGAAAAAAAAAGAGAATTCAATGGCTGTAGGGAATCACAGTCCAGGCCCTCTGCTAATATAACAATTTCAGGCTGAAGTTAGGAACTGGTATCAGCAGCAAGACTGAAAGTTCATCCTAAAAAAGAACCTCATATTCTAAATGAATAGACTTCCATTCAAGGTCAAATTTATATTTTAAAGAATCACTGTACAAAATAGCACTCAGCACCCAGAAAAGTCTATGAGCTTAGACATCTCCTAAGCTTGCAGTTTGATTCAGTAATATATATCATGGCTTTAGCTTGAAAATTGTGAGCAGTTTCTTTGACTCTCTAAGAACTACATGTTAAGTTCTATGAAAGAGAACAAGTAAGCAGACCCCAGGTGTTTTGAGGCAAGGACTGATTTGAGGGCATTATATAATTTTAATATAGTTTCTTTGGAAATTGTATGCTTCACAAATACTCTTTTATACTGGTGATTGTAGGACAAGAGTAATCAATGTCGCAGTGGGTATCTCTAAAGTTATACAAGGATTTACTTCCTTTCCTGAGATTTCCGTGTAACACAGAGTTCCCCTTTCCCACTCAAAGACATATCTGTCAATCTTGGAGGTTTGTGGGAGAAATTTGTGGGAGTCAGAAAAAGTCAAGCGTCAGGAAACTAACATTTTCTGTTCTTTGGATTGGTAAGGACATCTCCTACTTATGAGCAGCTTTTTCTCTTCATTAGTCTTGTAAAACATAAGTAAACCACAGCAGTTTGATGTCTGAGATGGACCTTGGTAGAATAATTCAGTAGTTGAACTTACTAGCAACATTTTATTTTCATCAATGTCCATACTTAATGTATCCTCTCTTTAGAGAGAGAGAATCATCATCTTTCCTTTTTGTTAGAAGAGTTAAACATAATAGAAAGTTTGTGTGTGTGTGTGTGTGTGTGTGTGTGTGTGTGTGTGTGTGTGGAGAGAGAGAGAGGGAGAAAAAATTCCACTGAAGAATAGAGCTCCTACCAGGGGTTCATCTATTACTAGCTATTCCGGGACCACCACCAAAGAATCAAATATTCTCCCTCATGTTGCAGAAAATCAGAATGATTTAATAATAATATCTAACTTAATATTATTATTATTAATAATAATATCTAACTTAATATTATTATTATTAATAATAATATCTAACTTAATATTCTTATTAATAATAATATCTAACTTAATATTCTTATTAATAATAATATCTAACTTAATATTATTATTAATAATAATATCTAACTTAATATAATATTAATAATATGTAACTTAATAATATATAATCTAACTTAATAATATCTAACTTAATATCTAACTTAAAACTCCCTTAATAGGGAGTTTTATGTCTCCTGCTCTTAGGTAGTTAATTTTAAAATAATTGCTCTGGTGGTCCCAGATTTAGAACCATACACAGAGTACCAGCTCCTCTTCTAGTCAAAGCTTCCTGAGAGTGGGCTGGCAAAGTTGGAATATAGCTACCCTGTTAAGTGCTTGTTTTCCCTATTGTATATTCTGCTTGATGGCTACATTTCAGCTGTTAATTTTCTCTAGGGAAAAGCAGCAAGCAAAGAATATGAATAAATAAATGCTCAACATCTTGCATGCCCAGGATTCATTATAATTTCTTGCAATGAGAATGATAGATATTTTGCAATCTTTATTTAGGGAGATCTTGCATCACTTGGCATAATCATATGCTAAAACTGATAGTTGAAGTTGTGTCTATTCCTCCTCCTAGGGTATGGACTTATACGCTAACTTAAATAATAATAGAGCATTTTATAAATTGATCATAAAAATATGATTCTCTAAATGAAATCCACTACTCATGTACTCCAAGAAAATTTACATAAAATTAAATACAATAATGTTTATCGCTTTATCTTTTATCTAATAATTACTTTTGGTTTTATATTTTCTCTACTGATCACATTATATGCCATAGCTTTAATCTTAAACATTTTATATTAAATATTTAAAATTTAATTTCCTTCCCCTAGTTTATTTGAAATATTTTAATTTACAGATCCCCAAATTCTCATTAAAGAATTAAACCCTTTTGATTGCAGATTTCCCAATGTGTAAAGATTATAGTCATCTGTTTTTATTATTTATTGACCAAAATTTATAATACATTTCAAATATATTTATTATATAATAGATTTTAAAAAGCAGTGTGTTTTAATGAGGGAAATTTGACTTCAGCATTTGAACAAGCCTGTGCTAGAATCCTAGTTCTCTCCCTCAAAATGTTTACTTGTGATTTGAGGCAACACATGTAAACTCTCTGATGCCCTATTTTCTCATAATCATAATTAGATACAGATATCTTTATTCTTTCTTTTCTTTTTAATATTATAAATTCCCTTTACTATATTCAAAAGCAAACAGGAGGATAATGAAATATAGAATCAGAAGACCCAGATTCAAGTCCAAGTTTTGGTATGCTCTAGATAGATGATTGTGCAGAAGAGTTAACAGCAGGCAGGCAGGAGAAAGAAATAAAGGGTATTCAATTAGGAAAAGAGGAAGTCAAATTGTCCGTGTTTGCAGATGACATGATTGTATATATAGAAAACCCCATCATCTCAGCCAAAATCTCCTTAAGCTCATAAGCAACTCCAGCAAAGTCTCAGAATACAAAATCAAAGTGCAAAAATCACAAGCATTCCTACACACCAATAACAGACAAACAGAGAGCCAAATCATGAGTGAACTCCCATTCACAACTGCTTCAAAGGGAATAAAATACCTAGGAAACAAACTTACAAGGGATATGAAGGACCTCTTCAAGGAGAACTACAAACCACTGCTCAAGGAAATAAGAGAGGACACAAACAAATGGAAAAACATTCCATGCTCATGGATAGGAAGAAACAATATCATGAAAATGGCCATACTGCCCAAGGTAGTTTATAGATTCAATGACATCCCCATCAAGCTACCAATGACTTTCTTTGCAGAATTGGAAAAAACTACTTTAAAGTTCACATGGAACCAAAAAAGAGCCTGCATTGCCAAGACAATCCTAAGCCAAAAGAACAGAGCTGGAGGCATCACACTACCTGACTTCAAACTATACTACAAGGCTACAGTAACCAAAACAGCATGCTACTGGTACCAAAACAGAGATATAGACCAATGGAACAGAACAGAGCCCTAAGAAATAACACCACAAGTCTATAACCATCTGATCTTTGAGAATCCTGACAAAAACAAGCAATGGGGAAAGGATTTCCTATTTAATAAATGGTGCTGGGAAAACTGGCTAGCCATATGTAGAAAGCTGAAACTGGATCCCTTCCTTACACCTTATACAAAAATTAATTCAAGATGGATTAAAGACTTAAATGTTAGACCTAAAATCATAAAAAACCCTAGAAGAAAACCTAGACAGTACCATTCAGGACATAGGCATGGGCAAGGACTTCATGACTAAAACACCAAAAGCAATGGCAACAAAAGCCAAAATTGACAAATGGGATCTAATTAAACTAAAGAGCTTCTGCACAGCAAAAGAAACTACCATCAGAGTCAACATGCAACCTACAGAATGGGAGAATATTTTTACAATCTACCCATCTGACAAAGGGCTAATATCCAGAATCTACAAAGAACTTAAACAAATTTACAAGAAAAAATCAAACAACCCCATCAGCAAGTGGGCGAAGGATATGAACAGATACTTCTGAAAAGAAGACATTTATGCAGCCAACAGACACATGAAAAAATGTTCATCGTCACTGGCCATCAGAGAAATGCAAATCAAAACCACAACGAGATACCATCTCACACCAGTTAGAATGGCGATCATTAAAAAGTCAGGAAACAACAGGTGCTGGAGAGGATGTGGAGAAATAGGAACACTTTTACACCATTGGTGGGACTGCAAACTAGTTCAACCATTGTAGAAGACAGTGTGGCAATTCTTCAAGGATCTAGAACTGGAAATACCATTTGACCCAGCCATCCCATTACTGGGTATATACCCAAAGGATTATAAATCATGCTGCTATAAAGACACATGCACACACATGTTTATTGTGGCACTATTCACAATAGCAAAGACTTGGAACCAACCCAAATGTCCATCAATGATAGACTGGATTAAGAAAATGTGGCACATATACACCATGGAATACTATGCAGCCATAAAAAATGATGAGTTCATGTCCTTTGTAGGGACATGGATGAAGCTGGAAACCATCATTTTGGGCAAACAGAAAACCAAACACTGCATATTCTCACTCATAGGTGGGGATTGAACAATGAGAACACTTGGACACAGGGTGGGGAACATCACACACTGAGGCCTGTCGTGGGTTGGGGGGAGGGGGGAGGGATAGCATTAGGAGATATACCTAATGTAAATGATGAGTTAATGGGTGCAGCACACCAACATGGCACATGTATACATATGTAACAAACCTGCATGTTGTGCACGTGTATCATAGAACTAAAGTATATATATATATAAAAAAAGCAGGGTATCCTTAGAAAGCCCTGCTTGAAATGTTGGCCTTTGGCTGGAATATGGGAACTTGGATTTTTGGAAGGTTCCTACTACCTTAACTGATAAGAGTAGTTCACTGTACCTAAATTGTTGGGACAAACAATATGATTTATGCTGTATGCCTGCCTTCCTTCAGGGAACATGGGATTTTATTGTGTGTTAGGTATATGGTGCTTATGTAAACAGCTCCCAGTAAAACCTCTGGACATTGAATATCTAATGAGCTCCCTGGAAGACAACATTCCATACCTGTTGTCACGATTCATTATTGGGGGACTTAAATGCATACTGCATTATTCCACTGGGAGAGGACTCTTGGAAGCTTGCACCTGGTCTCCTCCTGATTTTGCCCCTTGCACCTTTTACTTAGCTGATTTTGCTTGTATTGTTTCACTGTAAGAAATCATAGTACAACTACATCAGCATATAGTTGAATCTTGTGAGTCCTCTTGGTGAATAATCAAAGCTAGGGTCATTTGGTGGACCCCAACATAGTGATCTTGAATGAGTTAATAAGCCTTTCTGAGTCTGTTCCCTCTTCTGTAAAATATGCATAATGCTGAAAACACCTGTCTCTCAGGGTGGCTGTGTAATTAAAATGTGATTTTGTATATCAGGCTAAGTGCCATACATATGTGAGTCATTGTCATCATGTTTATTGTTGTTACTATTTTCACCATCATCACCATATCCCTCTTTCTGGTGCTTTGGGATATAGTTTCTTGATGGAATAAGTGGGGATGGGAGAGGCATCCAAGTCACTCCCCTTCTTCAGCTTGGCCCTGCTATGATTCCATAATTAGCCCACAAGAGACCATGGAAGAGCCAGAAGGATTTGCACATGCAGTGACCAATTCTGTCCCAGTAGCATCTAGGACTGTGAGGCAGACCCTGTTTTTTTTGGCCTGCTTTAAAGGCAACCAAGAATATTGTTTTTTTCCACCAATCAAAACCCTGATTTTTTCATGGTGAAAGAAAGATTGCATAGTCTCAGTAAGCACAGGTTTCTATCCCAGGCCAGAGGATGAATCCTAGTTGGTCAAAACAAATCAGGATAAAATAATCTTCTTCCCCTTGACCACTGATGGTTTAAGATTGGGCAAGTGACAATGTTCTGGTTAATGAGATTGGAGACTAAGACTGATAGGGAGTATTTTCCTTCTTATATAAGAAGACAAAACCTCAAGAGGCAAAGACTTTTTCCACTTGACTATTCCCTCCCTCTTGTCAAGAATATAAATGTGATGCCTGGAGGTGCAGTGGTCATTTTTTGTCCACGAGGACATAAGCCAACAGGATATTAGAGCAGAAGGGCAGAAAGAACTTTGTCCTTAATAGCATTATGCAGCAGCAAAGTATTTCCTTGTTAAGACACAGTGTCTAGCACACGATAGGCACTCCAATAAAAAAAAACTTTAAAAATATTGTTTATTGATATTGGATATACAAAAGAATATTTACAATAGATCAGTAATATGTAAAGCCTGTTGATAGATATCCCTGGGAATCAAAGAAAGTATTAAATCCAAAGTAAATATTTGCTTACATGGTTATTGGAGCCTTGATGTAAAACTGTCCTTGTACTCTCAATCCTCAAATCCTCTTGTTGGATTACTACAAGGAAAATGAGCACTTTCACAGCAAGAGTAACAAAGCGTAGTCTGAATATAGCTTTTAATAGAAATGCCTTATTCTGTTTATACCATTTCTGGTTGTAAAACACTATTACCATTGAGTGTTTGGGGTCATTTTGTTTGAGGCAGAAATTAAATAGTGATGACAGAATGCACTGTTTTTTTCTTTGCAAAAACTGAGGAGAGATCACGTGGTGTCTATTATAAGAAAGTTTAGGTGACTCACTTCAAACTTGTATCTTCAGTAGCTGCAGTAAACACCTGCTGTCATATTTGACACTGCTTGTTAATAAGTGGAAAATTTTGAAAGCTTCTGTATCTTAGCATAACTGCTTAGCTGGCTTAGAATTCATGAATAATTGATGACAACTTTGAGTTGAGACATATTGATGGTGTACACCAGTGTAGTTGGCTTTACACTATATTCATTCCAAAGTATTTGTCTTAGTGTCTGATTACCTTCTGAAGAACTCAATTGCCACTTTTTTTTCACTAAATTGATTGATTAATGGCTAACTGCGAGCTACATTTTCCAATGGAATCCCAAGTGTCTTTTAGGAATTCTGCTGAAGCATATAACAGGGAGTTTATGAGATATACACCCTTTATTTCCAGAAACATCATCTTTTGACAGAAACATTAAACCAATGGCCAAGGGACAGTCAGTATTGCCTGAAGTCATTATTGGTGATGCCGGCATTTCCAATGTAAATGTGATTATGTTTCTTTTTGTCTAGGTCTCTTTCATCTTTGAATTTCTCTCCCTTGCCCTTTTTCTTTGGCCAGTGTTTGCATATTGTGGCAGTTAAGAGTAAAGAGGTGGCTTGTTCCTATATTATAGTTGAAGTCATTCAGCATTGGCAAACATGAGTAGTAGGTACTAAAAGTTAGTTGTGGGTGTAAAATGCTCTGAAGA
Source organism: Homo sapiens (assembly GCF_000001405.40). Taxonomy (NCBI): domain Eukaryota; kingdom Metazoa; phylum Chordata; class Mammalia; order Primates; family Hominidae; genus Homo; species Homo sapiens. Next base: position 70,342,986 of record NC_000003.12, read on the forward strand.
GTTACAAGTGCCAAGGAAGATAGAATTGGAGATGTTACTCTTTTAAAGAAGACAGTTTTGTACTTGAAGCCAATTCCTCATTACATTTTTAAAATAAGCTTTTTATTTTAGAATTGCTTTAGATTTACAGAAAAATTGGGAAGACAGTACAGAGTTCCCAAATATCTCACACTCGATTTTCCCTACTATTAAAATCTTACATTAATATGGTATATTTATCACAATTAATGAACCAATAATGGTATATTTTTATTAAATAAAATTCATACTTTATTCATGTTTCATATTTTATTCATTTTTTTAGTTTTAATATTAACTAAAGGTTCTTTTTCGGTTCCAGGATGTCATATAGGATACCTCATTACCTTTAGTATTAATAATTATGCCTCCTTTGGCTCCTCTTTACTGTGAGTGTTTTCAAATTTTTCTTGCTTTTGATGACTTTGACAATTTCAAGGACTTCTGGTTAGGTATTTTGTAGAATGTCCATCAATGGGGATTTGGCTGAAGATTTTCTCATGAGTAGATTGGAGTTATGAGTTTTGGGAGGAAGACCACAGAGGCACAGTGTGATTCTTCTCACATTATATCAAGGGTATATACTTGTAGTATGGCTTTTTGCTGTTGACATTAGCCTTGATCACCTTGATAAAGGGAGGTTTGTCAAGTTTCCATTGTAAAATTATTATTTTTTCCTTCTTTCCTTACTGTACTCCGCAGAAGCAAGTCACTATGCCCAGCCTACTCTTGAGGAATGGTCAGTTGTGCTCTACCTCCTTGAAGGTAGATTATCTAAATAAATTACTTGGAATTGTTCTGTACATAGGATTTGTTCTTTCTCCTCCATATATTTATGTATTCATTTATTTATTCATATAAAACCATAGATTTTTGTTTCATATTTTACATTATAATGTATATATATACATTATATAATATAATTTTATATTATTTTATTTTGTTGCTCAAATTGTTCTATCTTTGGTCATTGAGAGCTTTTTCAGTTGGTTCCCATGTTCCTTTGACAGACCTCCATTACTGGGGGTGTTTTGAGCACTGCTTCTAATTTGTAGCACTAATGATATGGACAGGAGACAGGGAAATACTGGGTAGAAGAGAGCGATTAACCACCAAAGACCCCACCCTCAAGCCTGGAAACTTGTGGCCCTAAATAAGAACAGGCATTCCTGTTTTCACACTGAAAAGTTGCCTTTTGACCTGTCACACCTCCCTATCCCATACCTGTATAAACCCCAAGCCCCCAGTTCCATAAGGAGACGAACAGAATAGCAGAAGAATGGCAGAATTGCGGGCCAGAGAAAGAGAGAAGAGAAGGAGTGTCTGAACACCAAGAGGAGTTTGGCTTGGGATGGTTGGAGAGGAGATTGGCCACTGGATGGTCAAACTCCAGGGCAAGATCATCTTCCCACTCCATCCCCCTTCCAGTTCCCCATCCATCCCACTGACAGCCACCTCCACCACTCAATGAAACCCCTGCATTCACCATCCTTCAAGTCTGCATGCAACCTGATTCTTCCTGGACACCAGACAAGGACCTGGGTATGAAGAGGGCACTGAGCTGGTTAACACTTAAGCTATCTGCAGACAACAAGGCTAAAAGAATGCACTCTAACACGTGCCCATGTGGGCTTCAGGAGTCACAGACACCCACCTCTGGATGCTGCCATGGGGCCAGAGCCAAGGGCACACTCCCTGGTTCCTGCACCTGCCCATCTGATTGCTCCCCCTCCTGTAATGGGTTTGAGTGTGAACGGCTGAACAGAGGAGCCACACCCCTGTCGCAAGTCCTGCAAGGGGAGTCAGAGAACTCTGCCGTTTCATTACAAGATGCTCCAGGCTACTCTTCTAAATTTGCTGCCCCAGCCCTAGAATAAGCCATTTCTCCAAGGATGTATTCTGCTTCCTTTTATTAGTGAATGATATAAAAAACAAATATCTGGATGTTAATTGTATTAATTATTACTTGGATGTCATCGGTTCTAGACCTTCTTAGTTGGCAGAGCAAAGAAATATATGTGTGTATACTAACTCATATAAATATAAATGTATGTGCATTCTACATGTAACAATCTATATCTATATGAAATTAAATATGAGTTTATACCGATGTCTCCATCTCTAATCCATTACCACAGAGACCATACTAATTTTCTCCCCTTGCTTATCTCTAACCTCCTGCTCCAACAGAGTAATCTAGTTCTCAATATTTCTCACCAGTTTTCATTTTTCCATTCCTGTGTACATGTCAAGTGGTTTCAGAAGTGCTAGCCCATATTCCCATAGGAACTAACTTTATCAAGTGGAGTCTGTTCTTACATACAGTTCCTTTTGCCCTTAATCTTACAGATTCCAGGTATTTTCAGTGTTACTTAGATCAGAACCTTTCTCTCCCAACACTTTCAAGTGAGACTGCTTCATACATTTGTAATTCAGCCAGATAGTTTTGTCCCATTTTGCATTTTATCATTTGATTCTCTAACCTCCTAAATAATTTTTTAAATTTCATACATTAAAGCTCACTCTTTGTGCTGTAAATTTCTATGGCTTTTAACTAACACATAGTGTCATCTATTCACCAGTACAGTATCATAAAGAATAGCTGCACTAAAAAATCCTTTGTGTTTTAGTTATTGAACCCTCCCCTCATCCCCTCCAAAACCTCGGCAACCATTAATCGGTTTACCATTTCCATTGTTTTGCCTATTCCAGAATATCATGCAATTGGAATCATATAGTATGTAGCCTTTTCAGACTGTTTTTTTTAACTTAGCGATAGCATTTAATACTGATCCATATCTTCACATGGCTTGATAGCTTATTCCTTTTTATCACTGAATAATATTCCATTATATGCTTGTACCACAGTTTGATTATACATTCATCTATTCAAGAACATATGAGTTTTGTTGATTATGAATAAGGTTGCAATAAATATTTGTGTGCAAGTTTCTACATGGACATATGTTTTCAAATCAGTTTGATAAATACCAAGGAGCACAATTGCTGGATCATAGGACAAGGCTTTGTTTAGCTTTGTAGTAAACTGCCAAACTGTGGTTGAAAGTGGTTGAACCACTCTGTGTTCCCACTAGGACTGAAGAAAAATTCCTTTTGCTCTTCACGCTCACCAATAATTGATATCATTAATTTTTTTGGATTTTAGCCATTATGATAGGTATGGCATTTCTTATTGTTGTTTTAATTTGCCTTTCCCTAATGATAACTGATGTGCATCTTTTCATATGTTTATTTGACATCTGTATATCATCTATACTGAAATATGTATTCAGATCTTTTGCTCATTGTTTTTTTTTTTTTTCACTTTTGGTGTTGTATATAAAAACTCATCACCCAACCCAGGGTCACACAGATTTTCTCCTATAGCCTTTCCAAGAAGTTTTATAATTTTGCATTTTACATTTAAGTGTATGATACATTTTGATTAATTGTGGTTAAGGTCTGGGTTTAGGTTTACTTATTTGCATATAAATATCCAACTGTTTCAGCACAACTCCTTTTAAACTTTCCTCCATACTATGTGCTTTGAAAGAAGAGGAAAGAGTTATCCTAAATGTTTACTTAAGGGGAAAAATCTTCTCAAACAGAAATACCTAAAGAGAAAATGAAAGCTTAGGGAAGATGTTCTAACTCTTTCTGAGTTGGTCTAGGTTCTTCCAAATCCTCATCTTTGATGGACTAAGTAACATTTATATTTTAAAATATAATTTCTAATTCTAAAATTCTTACAAAAGATGTATTACAGTTTTTGTTTTCAAGAACAAAATTGGGCATTACAAATGTAATGTTAGTATTTTATATATAATTGTAATCCAGTCTTAGAAAATTCCTTATTCAAGGATGCAGCACCATCTCTGAGGTGTTATGCTTTAGCTTCGAGCTGTTGACTCTTTTCTGATATGCACAAGCTGATCTGGCAATGAAACTGATTCTAAACCATTATGCAAAGACATGCGCTGATTACCCACTGATGATATATTGATTACAGATCTTAGCAGAAGAGAAATAGAGATCACCACCCAACACATGAATTGGGTCATTAGGTGGATTGCAACATGCTAAAATAAGATCCACAAACACTGACCTGCAATGTACGGAAATCAATTTAATAGCAAACCAGACTAAGATAACACAGGCAAGTAAATACATCATCAGGGTGATTTCCTGACTATAAGCAGTGGCAAGTACAAAAATTCCTTAGTGTGGAGCAAATATCTTAGTAGGTTAGATTTTATTTAAGCAAAGCTGCATTCATTCACTTAACTTAAATATATGCATTGTGTGCAAGGCATTGCAACAAATCAAGGGAGGGCAATTAAAAGATAGAAATAAACAAACTTGGCTCTTGGCTTTTGCCTTCTTAAATGTATTAGAGTCTTCGTTCAAGCCATAGTAATTTTTCGGAACTGGCCTAAGTAGAGAAGGGAGTTTATATTAACAAACACAGCAGAGATGGAGAAGGGCCCGAGGAAGTATATGCTATGCTTTATGCTTCTCTGTAGCTTCAGACCTAATTTTTCTGCTCCTCTCATCACACACTAGAATGTGGCTGCATATTTACTTATTCAACAAATATTTATGAATGCTCGTGATACCAAATATTGTTCTAGGTACTTGGATACAGACAGCAGTGAAAACAAGTCAAAAAGACCTGGCCCTACTAAGTTTATACCCTAGTGTGTGGAAACAGACAGCAAGCAATACACATCAGAAATAAGACATATGGAAAACGTTAGGGTCGGGAGCAGCGGCTCACTCCTGTAATCCCAGCACTTTGGGAGGCCAAAATGGGTGGATCACTTGAGGCCAGGAAATTGAGACCAGCTTGGCCAACATGGCAAAGCCCCATCTCTACCCAAAATACAAAAATTAGCCAGGCGTGGTGGTATATGCCTATAATCCCAGCTACTTGGGAGACTGAGGCATGAGAATTGCTTGAACCCAGGAGGCGGAGGTTACAGTGAGACCAGATCGCGCCACTACACTCCAGCCTGGGTGACAGAGCAAGACTCTGTCTTGAAAGGGAAAAAGAAAAGAACAATGTTAAAAAGTGGTAAGTGCTAAAGGTATAAATGATTGGAACATACTGAAGGGGACTGAGTATGCTATAAATAGGGTAGGGGAGAGAAGGGAGGTTGTGATTTTAAACAGAATGTCAGAATAGGCCTCATTGATAGGATAACACTTGCAGAAAGGCTTGAATAAGAAATGTGAGATTTGATCATGCCAGTGCATCGGTGAAGATGGTCATGGACAGAGGGAATAACCAGGGCAAAGGTTCTGTATTAGCCCATTCAGGCTGCTATAGCAAACTACACAGACTTAGCTTAAACAAGTTTTCACAGTTGCAGAGGCTGGATGCCTAAGGTCTGGGTGCCAGCATGTTTGGGTTCTTGGTAAGGGCCTGCTCTCAGGTTTGCAGATGGCTGTCTTCACACCGCATCCTTACATGGCAGAGAGAGAGAGAGAGAGCTCTAGACCCTCCATCCCCTTATAAGAGCCCTAATCCAATCCTAGGGGCTCCACCCGAAACCTAATCACCTCCCAAAGGCTCACTCTCCAAATACTATCACATTGGAGACTAGGTTTCAACATATGAATTTTAGGGGGACACAAACATTTAGTCTATAGTAGGTCTCAGGTTCCAATTCCAGGGGTATTGGAACAGCATAGAAGCCAGCATGCCTAGAGCAGAGAGTGTGATAACTAAGAGGTGAGAAGTGAGAAGTAACGGGGACACAGGTCACAGAGGACTTTGCAGGCTGTTAAAAGAACTGTGTTTTTTTTCCCAAGGAACATGGGAGCTCTGCGAGGGTTTTGATCAGATGAATGATGTGATTCACTTTCAACACTAGATCTTACGGTCTGAGCTATATGAAGAGAGACAATCAATCTCTCTCCCTTATTTTTTCAGGCCCTGTTACCCAGGGAGCAGGTCAAGCATCCACCCATCACCAAACATTTTTTCCCAAGATGCTGCGGCTTGGTGTGTGATCCTGGTTGCTGGAGCACATTTGCTTCTTCACAGGTCATGCACACAAGAAATGGGGGAGTGGAATGGAAGAACAGGCTGGCCACAGTGGTTCATGCCTGTAATCCCAGCACTTTGGGAGGCCGAGGTGGGAGGATCACCCAAGGTCGGGATTTGAGACCAGCCTGGCCAACATGGTGAAACCCCATCTCTACTAAAAATACAAAAATTAGCTGGGCACGGTGGCAGGTGCCTGTAATCCCAGCTACTCGGGAGGCTGGGGCAGGAAAATTGCTTGAACGCAGGAGGCAGAGGTTGCAGTGAGCCGAAATCATGCCACTGCACTCCAGCCTAGGCAACAGAGTGAAACTCGGTCTTAAAAAAAAAATAAAATAATGGGAGGTCAGCTTTCAGAAAGTGGGGAGCATTTGCCAGAGCATGTAAGGCGGCCAGCAACCCATTATTTGTTCACCTCATTACAGTTAGAATCTAATAGGATAAAATGTGTTCATATATATTTTCTCACCTGTATTATACTTAACTATAATGAGGGGTATTGATAAAGTCTCAGGGGTTGTTGAGAGGAGGAAAAATAACTTTCTATGTGGTCATTAAATGCACTTGAGCTTGAAAGACAGTTTGGATTTGGCTATAGAGAGATGAAGGTCGGGTTGGGAAAAGAGGTCATTTAATGTACAAGGAAACAGTATGAGCAAGAAGTCCCAAATATTTCTTCCCCCTGGCAGGGGTAGGTACAGTACTGTAGACAGTATATTATGCATAAACAGATTATGCATGAGTTTACTCAGGGGACTGCTAGACCACTCAACAATAATGGGTAATTGCCTTAGCAAACTCATCCTTCTATCACTTATGCACCCCAACAAACACTAAAAGAAAAAGGTATTAAGGGCAAATGTCAATGTGAAGTATGTTTTTTTTTGAACATGATTGTTGCACTGAGCTCTTGCACAGCACTCTTCTATTAGAAAGTCTATAGATACATTGATTAAAGAAGAAGGAAAATTTCCACTTAAACTTCTTCCTTTTGGATACTTAACTTGAACATGAGTGCTGGTGACACACTATGATCCAAATTCTAAAAAAGACACCAGAGGCACTTAAACAAAATTATCTATTTTAAGTTAAAAACAAATTCTGTGGGTGACTAAAATCTCCAGAATGCAAAAAGTGTTCCTCAAAGTTATTAATTGAAAATAATCTGTTTACTTGCTCTAACATTTTTTGATCTCCCAAATATTCTATACCAAAGCTACGTTTTCTGGCTAAAGAATAACCTTTTTTTGCATGTAGGTACATTGAAATTCCAAATAACAATTATCTTCTATTTTGAATAAAATATGTAAAATGATTTACTTTAGAATTTATTGCTAAAATTATACAGAAATTCCCCCTTTTTAAAGTATAGTATTGGTATCTAAAATCTGAGTTTGTTTCTTGATATGTATTTAATAAATTATACTGGAAACATCATGAACCCTTTATGATACAATTAGATAAGATTTTCAATGAAAGATAATTCCATATATAATATTTTTCATTACTTCTTCACCCATATTCAAAATTTCAAAACTAATTGTAAATATAAAACTATTTTATGTATGTGTCTTACTAGCTATTTCATTCATTCATTCAAATTCTAAGTTCCTTCCTTATTAAACTTATGTTCTATAGGAAGAAGATGAAATGAATATAAAGCATGCAAATAAATTAGTAAGGTAATTTCAAATATTAAGACATGCTATGAAGAAAATAATTTAGGATAATGGAATCAGAAATACCATACTGTGGACGGCCTAATTTAGACTGGGAAGTCAGTAACAACATTTCTAAGGAGGTGACATTGAGTTGAGACTTAAATGATGAGCAAAAGCCAATCTTGCAAAAATTTAGGTAAAAAGCACTTCAGACAAGGGGAATAGTCAAGATAACTCCTAAATATGAAATGAGCTTAATGTGTTATATGGTAGGAAAGAAGCCTTGAGCAGTGGTTCTATAGTACTCATAATATGTACCTGAAATATATCCTATTTCAGATATTATGAGTAGTTTGTGAAACCCCTTTTTATTAGGCCACCTTATAAAATCATATCATTGAGACAGATTTGAATTTCACAGATAAAGAAATATTCCCTACATAAAAGAGAAAAGCATAGGAAGATTGGCCAGGTGTAGTTCATGTTAACCATTACCCGATTCAAAAACAAAAGGAAGGATTCTAAGAAAAAGTAAGTTGATACTTAAGGGATAAGGAAAACCTCCAAATTTTATGAATAAATACCTGGATAGAGCCTGCTTTCTTTAATAAGTATTGGTGGGGAGAAGTGTGGGATTTTTGCAAGGTTCTATAGTAAAAAAGATAAAGAACCTGGTATTTGGGGCAGAGAAGAAAAATATGTTTCCAAAATATGTATTAAAATCAATAGAATAGTTCTATTTCCAGGAAGATGGAGATGTAATTTTCCCTATTCCTCTTGCTAAGTACAGCTAAACCCTCTAAATATTATATATTTAAAATGCCCAAAAATAGGGAAAGAAGAGGACAGACAGGCTAGAAATTATGGGAGTTGAGAAACAACATAGTAGTGAATTCCCTGGGATTTGTTTTTACCTCATATATCCCACACTAGCAGCTGAAGAAATTGGTCACTCAGAAATGCTAATGAGCACAGATAAAACAAACAAACAAACAACAACAAAATCCCAAAAGCCTCCTCTCTCTAACCAAATAACCAAGAACGAGGCACCCTAGCAAGACAAAAACTTTTAGGCAATAATCACTCTTCTCTAGTCAAACAGCATGGACAACTGTGACTCTACTCCACCATAACAGCAAAGGCCCCTTGGGGACTCTAGACCTCCTCACTGATTAGGTTCGTATTTAGTCACCCCAACTGAATTGTAGGACAATATAAATGATTTCATCTGAACAACAGAAAAAAAAGAGACTTTTAAAAAGTAACAAGCCCTGAGGATTTTGGGTATAATGAAAAGGATATAATATTCATGTCTTTGGAGTCCTGATAGGAGAGAAGAAAGATAGCAGGGCTGAAAAAGTAGTCAAAGAAATAATGAACCAACTTCTCAATCTGGCAAAAAAAAAAAAAAAATGATGAACCTATACGTTCAAGAAGCTAAGCAAACCTTCAAAAAGTTAAACACAAATAACTTCATCCCAAGAGACCTCATAGCCAAGTTTTAGTGTTCTGAAAACTTAGGAGAAAGAAAAAAATCTTGAAAGGAGTGAAAGAGAAATGACACCTTACTTTAGTGGCAGGTAATAATTAAAAGGAGAGCAGATTTCTCATCAGAGAGACCATGGAAGCTAGCAGGAAATGACACAGCATTTTTCAATACTGAAAGAAAAGAACTAGCAACCCAGAATCCTATATCCAGCAATATATCCTATAGGAATGAAGGAAAAATCATGACATCATCAGATGAAGGAAAATAAGAGAATTTGTCACCAGAACACTAATCCTAAAATGCTTAAAATAAGTTCTCTAAACAGAAAGAAAACAATGAAAATTCCAACCTTGGAATGTTAGGAAGAAATGAAAAGCATGCTAAGCAACAGTATGGGTAAATCCAATAGATTTTCTTTCTCTTCTTAAGTTTTAAAAATTATCCTTGAGAGTTGAGCAAAAATCTCAACACTGTCTGATGTGATCTTAAATGCATATAGAATAAATATTTCAATAATGTATAAACACAATTTTGTAGAAATAGACAAGAATATTTTAATTATTTTCCAAAGGAAAAAAAGGAGGATAACTAAGACAATTTTGAAAAGAATGAGTTTACCCAATTTCAAGACCTATTTTATAGCTATAGAAATCAAAACTGTGTGGTATTGGTTGAGGAATACATAGATTAATGAAACAGAATAGAAACCAAAAATAGATCCACAAAAATATACGTAACTGACTTTTGACAAAGATAAATAAACAATTCAATGGAACAAAAAGATAAATTTTTTCAGCAAATGATACTAGAGCAATTGGACATCCATAAGTTAAGAAACAAACAAAAGAACTACTAAGTTTCACTTTATATTTAAAATTTATCTTATAACCTATCAATGGACTTAAATGTAGAATACCCATTTAAAACTGGGCAAAAAATCCTTAGATTTACCATCAAAATCATGATTTATAAAAGGAAAAATTGATACATTGGATCTCATCTGTGTAAAACAAAAACTGTTCTCTGTAAAATAATAAAACTTTTCTCTATAAAAGAAAAAACTTTTCTCATAAAAGAATAAAAATTCAAGCTACTTACTGAGAGAGAATGTTTGCAAATCACTTATCTGAGAAAGGACTAGCAACTAGAATATATAAAGAACTCAGAAAACTGCATTAAATAAACAAACAATTCAGTAGAAAATGGGTAAAAGAAATAAAGAAGATGTTTCACTGAGAAGGATGTACAGATGGCAAATTATCACAAGAAAAGAGATGCATTATTCATTAGTGAAATACCAATTAAAACCACAATGAAATATTACTATACTACATGTCAGAATGGCTAAAATAAAAAAAATAGTGACAACACTAAATGCTGTAGAAGTTCTGGAAAACCAGATCAGCCATATGTTGCTGATGAGAATGTAAAATAGTAGAGCCACTCTGAAAAACAGTTTGGTAGTTTCCTTAAAAACAAAATATGCAATTATCATACAACTCTGGAATTCTTGGGCATTTATCCCAGAGAAATAAAAACTTATGTTCACACAAAAACCTGTGCATAAATGTTTATAGCAGCTTCATTCATAATAACCCCAAAACTGAAGACAACTCAGATGTCCTTCAATGGGTGAATGGTTAAACAAACTGTGGTACATCTATTCCCTGGAATACAACTCAACAATAAAACGTAACAATCTTAATCAATTTCCAGGGATATATGCTAAGGGATAAAAGCCAATTTGAAAGGTTATCTACTATGTGACTCCATGGATATGATATTCTGAAAATGACAAAATTATAGAAATGGAGAACAGATTATGGTTGCCAGGGATTAGGGAGAGAGTGGGAGTCAGGGGTAAGGAAGTGCAGCTGTAAAAAGACCAAGTGGTGGCTTGCTATGATGATTAAAGTGTTCTGCATCATTAATGTATCAATGTAAATATCCTGGTTGTGATACTGTGTTACAGTTTTGCAAGATGTTATCACCAGAGGAAGCTGCATTAAAAGTACCCTTCTCTATGGTATGTCTTACAACTGCAGATGAATCTACGGTTCCCTCAAAACAAAAAGGTTAGTTAAAAAATTAACAGAAGTATAATTTAGCAAGTATTTGTTCTATACTCAAACTTTAGGAAAACCAGCTATTTTAGAAAAAAAGATGAAAGATGAGATCAAATGAAGAGTAAAATGAATACTGACTGAAGCAATTCACGAAGACTGGAAATAGTTTAAAGATAATAAAATGTGACTATAGAATTAGAATCATCAGAAGAAGCAATAAGTAACAGAATCAACCCTTCATTCAGTAAAACCAGGAATGAGGAGGAGCATGACGAAAATGGTGGTGGTGCTGAGGCTGCACCTTTCAGACTTCTGGCTGCAGGGAGTGTAACTGTGTCACTGACCCAGGGCTTCAGCTGCTGAGCTGGGAACCCAGTTCTGCATTATGTGAGGCTATGCTTCCCACATGCTGCCTCTAGCTGGACAGTGCCTGAGCATGGCAGGAAGGCCCAGACTCCTAAATTTGGTTTGAGGACTCCACAACAGCCTTGTCAAACTTCTTTAGACTGCATACATTCTCGGATGCTTTCACCCAGCGTTCCTTCCCTCTGTCCTTCACTGGGCATCAGACATGCATTGTGGTCTGATTGCCTTTCCAGCTTTATCTAGGTCCTTCTCTGTTTTCTCTCACCTGGGTATTTTTCTTAATAAAATCCTTGGACTTTTAATCACATCTTGGTTTCTGCTTCTTGGAAGACTAAACTAACTCAGATTTACCACGACTCAGCAATAGTACACTAAAGATAGAGATTAAAAACAAGGGATAAATTGAAATTTAATAGTTGGAAATAAGCTACCTACCCCTGGCCAGTGCAAAGAACACCAGTAACCAGGTGCCTAACTCTCGGGTAGGAGACTTCAGGTCTCTTCTGAATTCATAGAACAGCTGCTAAGAGAAGATCCCCACATACTGACGCTGGAGATCTGGTTGAGAATACAGCATCCCATGCAACCAATCAGCAAACTCTACTAAGTTTCCAATCAATTTTCTCATCACACATTCTTACATACAAATAAATCAAGGACCACCAGCTGTTCAGGAAATCTTCCAACAAGGAAGAGTGATATTGAAATGAATACATGCAAAGAGCCAACTGAAACATGCACAGATAAAGTAGGCATAAGAAAAAAAAAACCAATTAGAATCCTCATTCATACCTGACATTACTTCCATGAAACAAAAACAGGGTGTTATTTTTAAAAATAAATAACCAGAGATCAAAAGAGAGCTCTGGAGAATCTTTTAAAATGCTTGCAAAGAAATCAGTTTTAAAATTGGAAGATGAAGTCATAGATACTTTCCAGAAAGTGGAACCAAAAATGGAAAGAAAGTGAAAACAGGAGAGGGGAAAAAAATCTTTGGAGTGAGCTAAAAGTATCTTTAAAAAAGAGAAGAAAGAAAATAGACGGCAAGAAATTATTAAATAAGTAATGCAAGCGTAACTTTTCAGAACCTATAGACATACTCTACAGATTAAAAGTATCCACTGAACACTCAGCATAAGGAGTAGGAGAAGTGGAGAGGTAAACGGCACACTCAGGCACATTGCTGTGAAATTCCAAACGAAGGAACTATTTCACTTGTTCCTTCAACAATCCTTTGAGCATGTAATCCAGGTTTTCTTATCACATTTTATTTATGATTCTTCACATATTCTAAAAAAAAGCTCATCAGAAAACAACCTAGCAAACTAGGAGAGACAAAAAGACATACATTTGTCATAATAATTAAAATGAAGTTTAAATCAATATACATCAATAGGATTAGTTCTGAAATGATTTGTTCCTTAAGTTTATATGAATCTGAATTCCTAACACTTGATTACTGATCTAACGGTAATGACTCAGTGACATTCATAAAAGCAGGTATTAATTTTTATTCAGTTTCTGAAAAAGTGAAATTGTTCCCCTTCATTAACTTTTTTACAAAATCATTGGCTTTTTATAGATTATAAAATAGTATACATTCATTTCAGAAAACTTAGAAATTATCACACGAAATAATATAAAAGTTACCTATTACCCCAAATCCAGCAATGACAACCATTAAGATTTTGGCATATGTTTTTCTAGTTTTCTTTCTGTGCCTACAAAACAAAACCATCAAATTATATAATTTAACCAACTTTAATCAACTTAGGTATACTAACAAAAATATTTCCAAAATGTGCTATACCCTAACCTGCCTAAATAAATAAATAATCGAATATATTTTAAAATTTTCTTGATAACCCTGAGTTCTGGTTACAAGTCCCACCAGTCATTTAATGACATTCTCAAGATCCACTGAGAGATGTCAGCTCCTTTCTCTGGTCTTCCATGGTTCCTCACTATTCTTACTTTTAAAATACTTGTCCTTTTGTTTTTTAAACAAAATATTTGTATTAAAAACTCTTAAACTTTTAAAATACCTATCCTTTTTGTTTTTTTGTAGGTTGTGTTTTCATGAATGAGCAGAAGTTAAATTGATGTTTCTTTCTGCCTTAAGAATACCAATCCCAGGCTGTCTCTCTTTCTAATTTGCTGTGGGCTGGGAAACCACATAGCTACCTTTATTGATAATCATGACACCACCCAGAGCAGTACTTACAGATGGCACTTTTTTTGAGCACTGACTTTATCCCAGGCAATTACTGTGATAAGTACTTTTAATCTTCATAATAACTGAGAAGGCAACTCAGGATTAGCAAATATTAAGTAATTTGCCAAAATGCATACAGTAAGTCACCTACTTTTGAAGTAGAATTAGTAGAGCCTGTAATCTAGAGAAGAAAAATTATATTCTGGGGGTTTTAACCAACTGGTGGGATGGTGGTGCTATTACAAACTTGGAACGTGCACCCCCAGTGGTAGGTGAGATGATTTTAGGATGCATTCTAATGGATTTTATGTACAAGGACATGGACATGAAAATAAACAACATTGAACTGCATAGCGAGAATCTCTGTTTAATTCAGCTTCCGTTTTCCTGATTATGTAAAGGAAAAAGTCTCAATGAGTGCTAATGTGTTTTTAATATTTTATTAAACTCAGGAAAGCATCTTTTTGGCAAAAAGAGAGCAGGCCTCAGATACAAAGCTTTTGGTAAGCAGTGGTTTCTAGACAGAATTTACTAACATAGTGCTTTTATCATTTATATTTAGGGTTAATGCCTATTTGTAAAATATGTTAATGATTTTCCCTTTATGAATGTGATGTTTTTAAATAAAATTTTTTATTTTAAAAGTTGAGTGGATTTTCAAAAAGTGAAATAATTACATGTTAAAATGAGAGCACATGGACACAGAGTGGGGAACAACACACACCAGGGCCTGCTGGGGGCTGGGAGGCTAGGGGAGGAAACTTAGAAGATGGGTCAATGGGTGTAGCAAACCACCATGGCACATGTATACTTATGGAACAAAACTGCACATTCTGCACATGTATCCCAGAGCTTAAAATAAAATTTTAAAAAAAGAAACATTTAAGAATGAAAATAATAATAATAACGTGTTCACAGGGCAAAAAAAGCATGAAAGTGACACATAAGTGATTCATATGACAAAATGTGTCAAATTTATATCCCTTTTATTTTAAAAGTAAAGAGTATTTTCTATTAATGGGATATGATTTTTCCTGCCTAGAAAACTGAGTATAAAGGATGATGAAGTGCTTTAAACAAAATGGACAACTTCTCCATCTTGACTCTTGTTGTGTTTTGTTGTACTACTTCTCTTAAGATTAAGTACCAGAAGGTCTGGTGTATCTGTGGTGTACTTGAGTCAGTTCGTACAGTTCCCAAGAAATGACTGTTAAATTTGCAGTGGTTTTGTGAGCCAATTGTTAAACATAGCCATTATCAAAAAATAAAGTATATTGACTTATAATACATAAATTACCTTAAAAAACAAAAGTAATACGTATTTGAAACTTACTGTTTCCTAATTATTTTACTACATTTTTGCCATTATCTTTACTTTTGTGACTATGTCCACTCTATCTGTAGGTTGGGAACATGACCTAATGGTGTGCTACCATGCAGCTCTTTCCAGCTCCATGTTCAGTGACTTCATATTGGTAAGTTGAAATCTACTATGGCATGAGTATTTACACTACAGAAATTGGCAAAAGCTATGATTTAGTGCTTTTTCCTCCTGAAAAGCTGGCCATTTAATATTTACCAGCATATGGCACGGTATAAGAGTTAAAGGAATGGAACTTCCATATCTCTGGCCAGGTGATCCCTAGTGCAATGCTTCTGGTTGTTGGCTCATGGAAGGCCTCTTTGAAAAGAAACAGATGGCAAGTAATTGAGAGCTCATTGGCCAGAAGTGGCATATAGGAGTTGTTAGTCATGTTAGAAATGAGCATTCTGTGGATTGGAAGCTCCACCTGTCATCTCCTAAATAGGGGTAGAAAATATATCTTCTGTTTTTTTTTCTTGTGAAAACTGAAGCCAACTTACTTTTGTTTATTGCATTGCTTTGTAGTTAAAATGTATTTATTTCAATAATTTCCTGGCAAGAAGTATTATTCTTCAAAAGTTTGATTACTTTCTTCAATGATGTGAACTTATTCTTAAAATCCATATAATGTAAAAGAAGCCAAAGTAGAGAGTGATGAAAATGTCAGTTGTCGTAACAGAATTTATGGCTTTGGTTTTAATACTAGGAGTGTTTTGCAAATATCTTGTCTCTTATCTTGTGCACACAGTGGCTCTTATTCAGCTGAGAGAGAGGTTAAGTGAGAAATGAGTTGGCTCGCCAAGGATAGATTTGTTCCACCCACCCCCAGCCCCCAACACACATATACACTCACACACACATACTCTGATGTTAATTTGATTTGAAAAAATATCAGAAAACATCATCATCAATTTCTCCTCTTGCAAAAATGATTATTCTTGCTTGACTGCCCTCTGCTGGAATTCCTGAAATACACACTTTGCCTCTACTTACAGGGACAAGTTGTAGGTGGTATGTAACTTAATGTGAGCAATCTTTTCAAGACGTAGTATGTGAAGAAGCCCAAGTACTCAAGAATAGAAATAAAACTGAGTTAAGCATTAAATGCTGTGGTCAAGTGTTGATTTAATTAACCATGAAAAATAGCCAGGTTTTGAATGGATCAAAGAAAACAATTATACCTAATGGGTGAACTGAAAACAATTGACTATTACTGAAAAAGAAGAATGCTTTAATTAAACTAAAAGTTATATCTAATGTTAAATGAGGTGGTTAGAAAAGCTCCACAAAAAAGCTGCTTAACTGCTGAGTATAATATGAGAGATCAGAAAGAGCGCTTAAATGTTTGTAATAAAAAATGCCACCTTATTAAAATTGTATCACTATTATTTTAAACTATCGCGAGCCTTTTCTCTGTTCTGTAGCTAAGCCGTCACACTTAAGACTATTCATTTACTTGTTTAAAATATTTAGATTTTTCATTTATTGCTGATAACAATTTATTGCTTATTGCTGATACAGAGATAGTGCTTTTTTCTACTTAATTAGATTATTTTTTGTTTTATTTAGAGAGAATTATTTTAGAGATAATAATGATTGCAATATCTCAGACCTTTATAATGTACTAGGTTAGCATATACTTTTCTCCATACTTGTAAGGCTCTCTGGAGTTAGAAGAATGCAGAGCAGTTGTCAAGCAGGTTGAGTTGGTGGCGAATTGGTGCTGTGAGACTCACACTTGAAGAGTATCACGGTGGAATATTTTTTACTATAAAGATCAAATCCTTCATCTGAGGAATTTGAGCTAGTAAATGGAACAGACTTCCGTCGGCGCATTTGCTGATCAAAGTCTAACCCTTTATTTTATTCACCATCTCCTTTTTATGTCATTGTCTATGTAAGAAATGAACAAGGGGATTAGAGAAGAAGGGAGGGAGGGGGAAGATAAAGAAAAGCCAAAGATTTAATAGAAAGGAGAAGAGCAAAAGATCTCCCGCCACCATTTTGTTTCATTCTTATGCCTCATATGGATTAAAACATGTAAAATTAAACTAGTAAAGTGCCAAGTTTTCCTAATTCAAGACACGGATTCTGCATCATTGAACGTTACAACTTAAGTATACAATAAGGACGGGACCTTCTTAGAAACAATGTTAAGTGGTTATGGACATTAATTCTTTTGCAGTAAAAGCTGATAACTATACAAGTAAGTCACTTTTCCTATTGTAAAAATGACTGTTATATGTTTTAAACTGAGGCACCAGGGGAAAGTAACGAGATTATAGAAACTTCCTTACTTCACCAGACTAAACGCACTCTATTCCAGCACCATCTCCCAGACCAGCAAACCTACAGCTATCATATTTCTTTCCCATACTGATTTGAAAGGAAAATCTGAAGGCAGACTAGGATGGTAGACATAGAATTTGATTTAACATTGTGAGTGTCATAAGTTGAATGCTTAATCATTGAATTTTTGAATGAGATATAACAATTGAACACTTCTCAGAGTAAGTTATGATAAAACATCATAATATAAATGGAAAAAAATTCATATTTTGGAAAAGTTTGTATGTGCTAAGCTTTTTGGAATTATGCATTTATATTTCAGAGTGAGAATATTAAAATATTATTTAGTCTAATATAATTCTAAATGAAGAAGCCCTATTTTATTAAGGGAGAAATATTAGCAGAGCATACATGTAATGAATAGCTATCATGTTTTGCATTATGAACTATCCCGTCACTGTGCTAATTATTTTACCAGCATTCTACCATTTAATTTTTTAAAACTCTATATGAGGTAGGTACTTAACCATCCCTGTATTACAGATAAGAAAACTCAGCCTCAGAGGCCCAAGGTCAGAGAGACACGAAGTGCTAAGATGGAAACTGTAATCCTGGGTTTTCTGACTTTAAGGGCAAAACCCTTAAAGACGTATTGCATCAGTGATGTCATCATTTTCTCTTTGAAAACCCCTGTAGTCTCCTTGTGAGTCATCATCCTGGTTGTAGACAAGGCATAAGCAGAACTCTGATCTCTTTAAGTACTTGGTAAATGGGAGTTCTTGGGTTCTTTTAATACATTGGCTAACTGAATGCAGTCACATCCGACATTTCTAGATTACCAATTTTCAAAGAATTATAAGAAATTAGACATACTACTGAACCACTATGGAAAGGAATTTTTATCCTCTTTGGATAAATTTCTGTTGTCTCTGGGCCGTCATCTTTGTTCATGTTTCCAGAAACCTATTCTGGGGAAATGATCTGACAGACAGCCTGCTCCCAGAGCAACAAGCCCCTTCCCCACTCTCATCTCGCTGCAGCATCTGCATTGGGCATGAGCCCGGATCCATATTTACGAGACATATGTAGACACTTTTCCCTTTCTTGGCAAATGCATAAATAGAATCCTAATGTCTACATGTAGGTACTATATAAATACAAAGTTGTGCATACTCTGTGGATGTCATGCATCATTTATCCATGTATTTTTAGCGTCACCAACACATTTACATATGCTGTCACGTTTCAAACTGCACCTCAATATAGTGCCTTTTTCAACATGAACTCGGCTGCAGGCAACATCATTCTTTTAACATTTTCACCGCAAGTGAAGATCAAAGAGCAAGAACATAAATCCAAAAATAGGAGACAAATTTAAAATAGGTAACACTTTTCTGAGATGCTCTGAGGATACTACAGGATTACCTAGAGCAGAGGACTGAATCTTTTGCTATATAAATAGATCCATGTAATTATTTTAATGTACCTATTATGCTTGGATTTCCCGAGATGAATGTTTACACCTTGGCTGTTGTCTACAGGGGATAAAGATATGCAAACCATCATTTACAATTCTGTGTTAAATGCCTGTAAAGTGTGGTAGAAAAAAGGGAAGGATTCTTTAAATATACTTGAAGAAGTCAAAGTCTTTACTTGGGGAAATAACATTTGGATTGACTCTCGGATGATAAGTGGTGGTTTAGATTTTCTTTTGTATCAAACATTTAAAAAGTTAGAAATAAGTTGACCTAACAGATCAAGTCCAAGATTAAACATTAGAAATTAATTGATCTAATAGGTAAAGTCAAAGATGTTTGAATTTCTCAACAGGGATCAGTCTTTGGGAAAACTAGAAGTAGTAGATAATTTGCCTTTCTTTCCCTTGTGGAGCCCAGAACACGTATGTCTTTGACCTTATGTTTCTGGTGTTCTGCATGTATAGAAAGTCTGTTTAGTAGGTTTATGGTAGAACCATACCAATAGTTTTTAAAGCCTTTTCTCTTGAGAAGCAGAACAATTTATTAAATGAAACATTTCATGGAATACTAAGTATGAAACAGATAAAGGCAGAGACTGAGTCTGGTAGAAGTGAGGAATAGAAAAAAAAAGACCTACAAAGTACTTTTTGACAATCCCTGGACTTGGTAAAAAAGTGTGTATGTGTGTATGTATGTATACACATGTGTATCTTTTTTTTACATCCCTGAATTGCTTCTTACCTACATATTCTGTATAAATAACTGTTACTAATACAAGAAGCTTACTCTGATCTGTGAAATTTTGGTAACCCAGGAAAGATCTGCTTTTTTTTTTTTTTTTTCTCCAGTGGCTGCTTCAGTAACAAGTGTTATGTATGGGTTTCAACAGTGACTCTCAGAGTATAGAAAACATGTTAGATGGAGTTTATCAGGCTCATGTCCAGTAATATTGACAGCATGGGGTCTGCGATAGAGCCCAAGTATCTATCTCTATGGTTGACATTGCACTCCAAGTAATTCTGATGCAAGGGTCTATAAGAGGCATGGACTAACAGATAGACCATAGTAAAGACAAAGGGGAATGAAAAAATAAAATAATAGATTGAAAGGTAAAGAAGAATAGAAAACAGGGAAATGAAAGCATATGGTAATTGCAGAAAGCCAACAAAACTTGCCTAGTGGCAGAGAAGGAATATACCTCAAAATAACAAAGGCCATATACAGCAAACCCACAGCTAACATCATACTGAATGGGCAAAAATTGAAAGCCTTTCCTTTAAGAACTGGAACAAGACAAGGATGCCCACTTTCACCACTCTTATTCAACATAGTCTGGAAATCCTAGCCAGAGAATGAGGAAAGAGAAAGAAAGAAGAGGCATCCAAATGGAAGAAGAGAAAGTAAATTGGTCCCCTTCGCTGACAACATAATCTTATACCTAGAAAAACCTAAAGACTCACACACACAAAAAAAACCCTCTTAAAACTGGTAAATGCATTCAGTAATGTTTCAGGGTACAACATCTACAGTCAAGAATCAGTAGCATTTCTATACACCAAAAAGAAATAGAGGAGGTAATCCCATTTACAATAACTATTAAAATAGAAGAGGACTATGTATGTGCATGAACATTTTTTGGGTGAACATGTTAAGGTTTTAGTACAAATTAACTTAGATATTTGATACAGTACTTTTCAAGAGTCATTTTAATTTGCAATGTCACTAGCACTGTTTGAGAATGTCCGTTTCCATGACCCTCATTAGCATGTGTGATTTATCTTTTTTTAAAGCTGTTTTTTACAGTTGTGTTATTGCATTGTCTGTGTGTGTGTGTGTGTGTGTGTGTGTGCATGACAGAGAGAGAGTGTGAATTATCTGTTTATGACGTTTTCCACACATGTATTGATATTTTCTTTTTATTTTACGTGAGCATTTAATATAGTATGAGCTGCAGATATATTTCTAGCTTTTTTGTCTGTTTAGTTGAGTTATGGACTCTTAAAAAATGTATACATGTTTTTAATTTTCTTGAGATCTTATCTGTTGACATTCTCATTCCTCCCTGCCCCCTTTCCTCCTAATACTTAATATTTCTATCATTCCTACAATGTACAGCATATATAGTTTATATTTTGTTCTTTGCACATAATTCCTGCATTTATTTCAGTTTTATTTCTACAATTAAACCTTTCCAGTGCCCACTAGTTGTCCTTTGGCCATAGTTTCCCCAATTATCTGTTAGGAGAAGTTAATCCTCTGGCAGTTTCATCAATAAAGGTTCATGGGAAAAATAAACCTGAGTTATTGATTGTTCAAAACTGTGTGTGTATTTGTGCATTTTAACAGCCTTATCCTTGAAGGGCAGTTTGGCTGGATATAAAAATCTTTGGATTACACTTTACTTCCTTGAGTATATTGTAGATGCTGCTCAACAAAGCTCTTTTGTTTTGTTTTGTGGTTAAAAGTGTCAATGTGAAGAAATTCAAGGCCAACTTTATTTCTTCCCTCTTTAACAAGCGGCTTGAACTTTTTCTCTTACTACCCCAAAGATTCCTTTTTAAAAATTCTATCTTTAAAATGCAAGACATTCACTAAGATTTGTGTTGGTGTAAGCTGGTTCTGGCTAGTGTTCTGTGGTATACAGCATGTTCTTCTTTTAAGGAAGTTCAAGTCTTATTTATTTTATCCAGGACATTTTTCTTGCATTAAATCTTTACCTTAATTTCCTATTGTTGTAATCTTCTTTTGCAGGACTCTGAAAATGCAGATGGTACATCTCCTTTTCCTACATTCTACACCTTTTATGTTTTTAATCTGAGCTTTATTTCCCCTTACTGTAGTTTGTTTTCTCTCTATCTTCCATATCTCTTACTATTTTTTCCACAGTGCCTGTTTTCCCTTATATTCCTTCTAATTTCATGTTCGTTTCTACTATAAATCCCGCATCTCTTTCAATGAGATCGTGTTATCCATTTATAACGCACTCAGATTGTTTTGTCACATTATTTTTTTTTCTGGGATATCTTGATCTCACAAATATATTTTCTAAAATGTACATTTATTAAGGTTCATTCTTTATGCTATAAAGTTCTATGGGTTTTCAAAAATACAATGTGTCATATATCCACCACTGCAATATCATACAGAATATTTTTGCCATCCTAAAAGCACTTTCTTACTTTCTGGCATCATAAAATGCTCCATGCTTTTCTTAATACATTTCCTCCCTGAGTCCTGTTTCTCCAGGGAGTCCTGGTTGCTTTTATTGGCAAATGGTATTAAAAACCAATATCTGGGTACTAGTATTTCTCATTGCCATTGGAGTGTGTATATACACACACATATATATGTGTGTGTATATGTGTGTATATATGTATCTATATGTGTATATATGTACACAAACATCCCAAATGTACACATATCCATAAATATTTCTATATGTCACAATCTGTACCTATATTAGACTCAATATGAATTATGAATTTATTCTAATGTACCAAACTCTAATGACCACATGTATTATCAGAGCCTCCCCATTTCTTATCTGTAAACTCCTATTCCAGTAGTAAGAAACCTGACTACTCCTATTTGGAATCCATTTACTTGTTAAGTCCAGTGAACATTTATGTTTCAGAATTGTTAACCTGTACCCTTGCAGGAAACAACTTTTATCAACTAGAGTTCTGCAGTTAGGTGTAGTTTCTTTTGCCTCTTGTCTTACAGAACCCACTCAGTTCTAAAGTTACTCTGAGCAGTATCTTTCCTCCCATCCTCTTCAGTGAGGTAGTTTTATACATTTGTAATGCACTGATTGTTTTGTCACTTTCTTCAATTTTTTGGGAGATTTCTTGACCTCCTATTTTTTAAAATTTACATATATTAAAATTCCTCCCTTGTGCTGTAAAGTTCTATGGGTACTTATATATTGATTATTACAGTATCATACAGAATATTTTTGCCAGCTTAAAAATTGTTTGTGCTTTACCTTTTCTTTTTTTTTTTTTTTTTTTTTTTTTTTTTTTGAGACGGAGTCTCGCTCTGTCGCCCAGGTCGGACTGCGGACTGCAGTGGCGCAATCTCGGCTCACTGCAAGCTCCGCTTCCCGGGTTCACGCCATTCTCCTGCCTCAGCCTCCCGAGTAGCTGGGACTACAGGCGCCCGCCACCGCGCCCGGCTAATTTTTTGTATTTTTAGTAGAGACGGGGTTTCACCTTGTTAGCCAGGATGGTCTCGATCTCCTGACCTCATGATCCACCCGCCTCGGCCTCCCAAAGTGCTGGGATTACAGGCGTGAGCCACTGCGCCCGGCCTGTGCTTTACCTTTTCAATCCTCCTTGTCTCTCTTCAAAGACCTGGAAAACTCTGATCTTATATTTTGCTTTTTTCCAAAGTGTGATGTAATTGGAATTATGTAGTATATAGCCTTTTTGCGTTGGCTTCATTAAACTTATTAACGTATATTGGTGATTCTTCCATGTCTGTTTTTTTGTTTTGTTTCGTTTGTGTTTTTATGTTTTTTTTTTTTTTTTGCCTAATAGCTTATTTCTTTTTATCACTGAATAATATTCCACAGTATGGATACACCACTGTTTGTTTATTAATTCTCCAATGAAGGACATCTTGGTGGTTACCATGTTTTAGCAATTGTAAATAATCTGTCATAAAAATTTATGTGCAAGCTTTTGTGTGGACATAACTTTGCAAATCAATTGGTTAACACAATTGCTGAATCATATGGTAAGACTGTTTTTAGCTTTGTAGGAAGCTGCTGAACTGTTTTTAAAAGTGATTGTACCATTTTTCATTCCCATGAGTAATATAGTGGAGCTCTGTTGCTCCATTTCCTTTTCAGGAATTGTGCTCCTATTATATTTTGAATTATAGCCATTCTAATATATGTGTAGTGTTTCTTTTCATTGTTTTAATTTGCATTTTCTTAGTGACAAATGAGGTTGAGCATATTTTTATATTCTTATTTGTCATCCGTATATTTTCTTTACTGAGGTTTCCGTTCGTACTTTTGCTCATTTATCCTTTGAGTTCCAAAAAAATTGTATGGATATATAATTGTACATATTTATGGAGTATCTGTGGTGTTTTGGCAAATTCATACAGTAAGCAATGATTAAATCCGGGTAATTGAGATATCTTTCCATCACCTCAAACAGTTATCATTTATTTGTGTTAAGAACACAAATCTTTTCTTCCAACTACTTTGAAGTATACAATAAATTACGGACAACTATAGTCACCCTATTGTGGTATCAAACACTAGAACTTATTCTTTCTATCTAATTAAATGTTTTATACCCATTAATCAATCTTTTTTTACCCATCTTTTCCCCCATCTTTCCTAGCCTCTGGTAACTATCATTCTACTCTCTACCTTCATGAGATGAATTTTTAAATTTTTTAAAAATTTTTTAATTGAAAACATCAACTTAAAACAAAGAGATCAACTTTTTTAGCTTCCACATATGAGTGAGAACATGTGATATTTGTCTTTCTGTGCCTGGCTTTTTTCATTTAACCTAATGTCCTCCAGGCTTATCCATGTTGCTGCAAATGACAGGATTTCATCATTTTTTATGGCTGAATTATATTCCATTTTGCATGTATACTACATTTTCTTTATTCATTCATCTGTTGATGAACATTTAGGTGGATTCCATAGCTTGACTATTGTGAACAGTGATGTATTAATCATCGGAAAGCATATATTTCTTTGACTTACTGATTTCCTTTCTTTTGGATATATACCTTGTAGTGAGATTGCTGGCTTACAAGATAGTTCTATTTTTAGACTTTTGAGGAAATTTCATAGTGTTTTTCATAATGGCTGTACTAATTTAATTCCCACTAACAGTGTACTAGAGTCCCCCTTTCTCCGTATCCTTGCCAGTGTCTGTCTTTTGTTTGTTTTTGTTTTTGTTTTTCTTCTTTTGTCTATTTGGTAATATTTTTGCCCATTTTAAAATTGGGTTTTTTTTTTTATTGTTGAGTTTGAAGAGTTTTTTATATTTTGGATACAAGTCTTCTATCAGATATGTTTTCTGCAAATATTTCTTCCAGTGTAGAATTTATCTTTTCATTTTCTTAAGTGTCTTTTGCAGAGCAGAAATTTTTAATTTTAATAATAGTAAGTTCTATTTTAAAAATGTTTTCTTCAGGCAGTGCTTTTGTTATTATATCTGAAAACTCATCCTCAAATTCAAAGAACATAGATTTCATCCAATGTTTTCTTATTTACTTCAACAGAATCCAATAAGAATACTATACAGTTATTAGAATGATATTTGTGAAGGTTTTTAATGATATTAAAAACATTTAATGTTAAACCAAATAATAGTAAATAAATAAAACTATATGAGCAGCATGATGTCAATTAAGTTAAAATGCACAGAGAAAGACTGTTAGGAAATATTCTAAAACATTAACAATGTGACTTGCCTGAGTGAAAAAAATTTGTAGATGGTCTTTATTTGCCATCTATAATTTTCTATAGCTTTCAAATTTTTAATAACAAACTCAGAGCATTTAGATGTATGGTAAATTTTGAGTTGATATTTGTGTAAAGGTAAAATCTGTATCTAACTTTTTTTTGCGTATGGGCATCCATTTTCTAATGCCATTGACTGAAACATTATCCTCTCTCTATTGAATTGCCTTTGTGTCTTTGTCAAATATTGCTTTCCTGTATTTGTGTGGGTCTAATTCTGGGCTCTCTGTTATGTTCTGTTGATTTATGTGTTTATTCCTTCACCAACACCACACTGTCTTGATCACTGTAGTTTTATAGTAAGTTTGAAATTTGGGTAGTTTGAGTCCTCCAACTTTAGTCTTCAATATTATATTGGCTACCCTAGGTAATTTGCATTTCTGTATGAACTTTAGAATTATTGTCAATATCTACAAAATATCTTGCTGTAATTTTGATTGAATTGTGTTGAAACTGTAGATTGATTCTTCTGGTAAGAATTAACATTGAGTCTTCCAATCCATGAACACAGCACATCTTCCCATTTATGTAGATTTTCTTTGATTTTTTTAAATTAAAGTTTTCTATACACAGACTTGTATGTATTTTGTTAGATTTATACCTCAGTATTTTATTTTTTGGTGCTATTATAAATGTCTATTTTAAATATAAATTATATTATTTGTAATCTTTCTAACTCCAATTATTTGAAAGCCATTGCTTTTATATAGGAAAGCAATTGATTTTTGTATATTAACGCTGTATCCTACAGCTTCACTATATTCACTTAGTTCCAGAACTGTTTTGGTGGAATCTTTGGGATTTTCTCGATAGACAATCATGTCATCTGTGAGTAAAGACAGTTTTATTTCTTCCCTTCATGACTTTTAATATCAGAAAATCAAAAAATTCTGGAGCATGACAGGAAAAAAATTTTTTAAATTCTCTCAAAATGCTTGTTGTTATTAATGATAATTCTTTGAAATTTTCTGTAAGACAATTATGTCATCTGCCAACCAAAGCAGTTTAATTTTTTTTCCGTACCTGTATTACTTTTATATTCTTTTTTTTTTTGCCATGTTGCACTACCTAGGACTTCATCTATGATGTTGAATAAGAGGAATCAGAGAGAAGATGTTGCACTGTTCCTGATCTTAGGGGAAAAGAGCCCAGTTTCTTGTAATTAAGTATTGTGTTAGCTACAAGTATTTGTAGATTTTAAAAAATTGATACATAATATTTGTACATACTTATGGGGTACATGTGATATTTTGTTACATTCCTAGAGTGTATAACAAACCAGTCAGGGTGTTTAGGGTATCCATCACCTCAAGTATTTATCATTTCTATGTGTTGGGGGCATTTCAAGTCCTCTCCTCTAGCTATTTTAAAATATATAGTACATTGTTATGAACTATATTTATAATACTCTGCTGTTGAACATTAGAACTTATTCCTTCAATCTAACTGTAGTTTGTACCCATTAACCAACCTCTCTTTATCCTTCCCCTTTCATTCCCACAACTTTCCAGTCTCGAGAATCTATCATTCTTTTCTTTATCTCCGTAAGATAAACTTTTCTAGCCCCTACGTATGAGTGAGAACTCATATCTCTCTGTGCCTGACATATTTTACTTAACATAATGGCTTCCAGTTCCATCCATGTTGCTGCGAATGACATGATGTCATTCTTTCTTATGGTCAAATAGTATTCCACCGTATATATACACCGCACTTTCTTTATCCATTCATCCATGGATGGACATTTAGGCTGATTCCATATCTTTGCTGTTGTGAATAGTGCTGCAATAAACATGTGGATGTAGGTATCCCTTTGATATACGGATTTCCTTTCCTTTGGATGAATACCCGGTGGGATTGCTGGATCATATGGTAGTTCTATTTTTAATTTTTCGAGAAATCTCCATACGGTTTTCCGTGGTGGGTTCTAATTTTCAGTCCCATCAACAGTGTATAAGACTACTCTTTTCTCTACATCCTTGTCAGCATCTGTTATTTTTGGTCTTTTAGTAATAGCCATTCTAATTAGGGTAAGATGATATCTCATTGTGATTTTGATTTGCATTTCTCTGATGATTAGTGATGGTGAGCATTTTTTCATATATCTGTTGGCCATTTGTATATCTTCTTTTGAGAAATGTCTATTCATGCCCTTTGCCCACTTTTTAATAGAGTTATTTGTTTTGTTTTGCTTTTTCTTATTGGGTTGTTTGAGTTCCTTGTATATCCTGCATATTAGTCCTTTGTCAGATAGATAGTTTGCAACTACTTTCTTTCATTCAACAGGTTGTGTCTTCACTCTTAATAATTTCCTTTGCTGTGCAGGAACTTTTTAGTTTAATATAGTCCTATTTGTCTATTTTTGTTTCTCTTGCCTATGATTTAGAGGTCTTAGTCATAAACTTTTTGCCTAGACCAATGCTCAGGGGAGTTTTCCCTAGGTTTTCTTCTAGTATCCATATAGTTTTGGGTCTTAAGTTTAAGTCTTTAATCCATTTTGAGTTGATTTTTGTAAACAGTGAGAGAAATGATTCCAGTTTTATTTTTCTGCATGTTGCTATGCAATTTTCCTAGTCATTTATTGAAGAGGATGTCCTTTCCCCAATGTAAGTCCTTGTCAGCTTTTTTGAAGATCAGTTAGCTGTAAATATATGGGTTTATTTCTGGGTTCTCTATTCTGTTCCATTGGTCTTTGTGTCTATTTTTATACCAATACCATGCTGTTTGGACTGCTACAGACTTGTAATATATCTTGAACTCAGGTAATGCAATGCTTATAACTTTGTTCTTTTTGCTCAGGATTGCTTTGACTATTCCGGCTCTTTTTTGGTTCCATATGAATTTTAGGATTTTTTTTCTTTTTCCATGAAAAATTACATTGGTATTTTGACAGGGATTGCCTTGAATCTGTAGATTGCTTTGGGTTGTATGATCATTATTGATAGTAAGTCTTCCAATCCATGAGCACAAAATGTTTTTCCATTTGTTTGTATCCTCTTCAATTTATTTTATCAGTGTTTTGTAGTTTTTGTTATTTTTCTTTTTTTGTTGTTTTTGTTTTGTAGAGGTCTGCCACTTCCTTGGTTAAATTTATTCCTAGGCATTTTATTTTTTAATAGCTATTGTAAATGTATTGCCTTCTTGATTTCTTTTTCAGCTAATTATTGTTGTGTAGAAATGCTATTGATTTTTTTCATATTTATTTGTGTCCTGCAACCTTAATAAATTCATTTATCAAATCTAAGAGTTTCTTCGTGGAGTCTTTTGGTTTTTCTACATATAAGTTCATGTCATCTGCAAAGAGGGACATTTTGGCTTCTTCTTTTCCAGATTGGTTGCCTTTTATTTCTCTCTCTTGCCTGACTTCTCTGGCTAGGACTTCCAGTACTAGGTTAAATAAGAGTGGTGAAAGTGGGCATTCTTGTTTTGTTCCAGTTCTTTGAAGAAATGCTTTCATCTTTTCCCCATTTTATGTGATGTTACCTGTGAGTTTGTCATTTATGGCCTTTATTATGTTGAGGTATGTCACTTCTGCACCTAGCCTGTTGAGAGTTTTTGTCATAAGACAGTGTTGCATTTCATAAAATGCTTTTTATGTGTCTATTGAGAATCATCAGAAATTTTTTTCTTCATTATATTGATTTCTTAAATCAAGTTTTGAGAATCTCGTTTCCTAGTTTGCTGAGAGTTTTTAAATCATGAATAGGTTGAATTTTATCAAATGCTTTTTCTGCATCAATTGATATGATTCCATAATTTTTATTCCTTAATTTGTTGATGAGTGGACTAAGATGGTTTTGTTTTATTTTATTTCATGTATTTTATTTTTATTTATATATTTATTTATTTTTGATACAGAGTCTTATTCTGTTGCCCAGGCTGAAGTACAATGGCGTGATCTTGGCTCATTGCAACCTCCATCTCACAGGTTCAAGTGATTCTGCTGCCTCGGCCTCCTGAGTAGCAGGGATTACAGGCGCCTGGCTCATTTTTGTATTATTAGTAGAGACGGGGTTTCACCATGCTGGCCAGGCTGGTCTCAAACTCCTGACCGCAGATGATCCACCTGCCTTGGCCTCCCAAGGTGCTGGGATTACAGGTATGAGCCACCATGCCCACACTATTTTTTAATGTTGAGTTTTGACAGCTCTTTACATATTCTAGATGCTGGTACTTTTTGCATACGTGTTCCAGAAATATTTTCTCTCATCCTATATCTTTTCTTTCTAGTTCCTCATCAGGGTCTTGTAGAAATCAAAAGTTTTAAATTTTCATGAACTTAAATTTATCTACTTCAACTTATGTGTAGTATGTTTAAGTATAATTCTTTGTATAACTCTTCTAGCAGTTGCTCTAGCTGTGTATTTTATGTACATAACTTTTCACAGTCTACTGGTGTCATTTTTCCTATTCAAGTGAAATTTAGGTACCTTACCTCCTTTTAAGTTCTATTATTTTTATCCGTTTATAATTGTTTTAAAATCTTCCTATTCCTACATTTAAAACTTCATTAAACAATGTTGTAATTTTTATTTCAACTGTCAAACATAATTCAGAAATGCAAGAGTAGAAAATGTATTACCCACATTTTACTTTATTTGTTCTTTCTTCCTTCTTGACATTCCAATATTTCTTCTCTTATCATTTTCTTTCTGTTTATAAACCTCCCATTAGTCATTTTTTAAAAGCATGTCTTCTGATTAAATATTCTGTTTTCCTTTACCTAGGAATGTCATTATTTTCCTTTCATTTCCAAAAGATATTTTCACTAGATTTAGAATTCTGGACCCAGAGTTCTCTTCTTCCAGTTGTAGAAAATATTCCACTTCTTTCTGTCCTTCATCATTTTTGATGATAAATCTGCTATCATTTGTTTTTCCCCATAGGAAAGAGTTTTTTCTTGCTGTTTTCAAGTTTTCCTTTGTTTTTAATTTCTAGAAGTTTGACTGTAATATGTCTTGGTGTATATTTATTTAGGTTTTCTTGTTGGGGTTTACTATAATAAGCTTCTTCAATCTGTATGTTTATGTCTTGTGCTACATTGAGAAGTTGAATCATTATTTCTTTGGATACTTTTTCCAGCCCCACTCTCTTTCTCTTCTGGAACTCTGATAACACAGAAGTTAGATTTCTCATTATGGTCCAGTACATTCTTGAAGCTCTGTACATTTTGTTTTCAATTTCTTTTCAGAATGGCCAGTTTCTGTTGTTTTACCTTCAAGTTCGATTATTATTTTCTCTGACTCCTCCATTTTGCTATAGAGCCTATTTACTGAGTTTTTAAATTTTAGTTATTCTGTTTTTCAGTTTAAAATTTTTCATTTGGTTCTTCTTTATATCTTATCTTTCTCTGTAGAAAGATATCTTTCATTTTTTAAAATTGTTTTAAGTATGTACATAACTGCTTGTTGAAGTATTTTTATGTTGATGGCTTTATTATTATTATTATTATTGAGATGGAGCTTTGCTCTTGTTGCCTAGGCAGGAGTGCAATGGCGCCATCTCGGCTCACTGCAACCTCCGCCTCCCAGGTTCAAGCGATTCTCCTGTATCAGCCTCTGGAGTAGCTGCGATTAGAAGCATGTGCCACCACACCCAGCTAATTTTGTATTTTTAATAGAGACAGGGTTTCTCCATGTTGGTCAGGCTGGTCTCAAACTCCCGACCTCAGGGGACTTGCCCACCTCAGCCTCCCAAAGTGCTGAGATTACAGGTGTGAGCCAACGTGCCTGGCCAATGATGGTTTTAAAGTATTTGTCAGATAATTATAACATTGTTGTTGTCTCACTGTTTGTGTCTATTGATTGTCCTTTTTTCATTCAAGATGAGATTTTCCTTGTTCTTGGTATGATGAGTGATTTTTTATTGAAACACAAATATTTGAAATACTATAAACGATGAGTCGTCTTTAAACCTTCTTTTTAAGCTATTTTCTCATGACAGCCTTCCAGCAGCAGAAAAGAGGATGGCTCGTTATTGCTAGGTGGGGATAGAAGTCCAAGTTTCTTGCTTTGTATTCTATTGACATTTGAGGTGGTGGAGTTTATTATTGCTACTGGGTGGGAGTGGCATTTTTGGTTCCCCATGAAATCACTGATAATACTGCCTTGGTTGGGAAGGTGTCTAGTTACTGATCTCCATGTGGCCTCCACTGACACCATGAGGAAGAGAAGAGCCTCACTGTTGACTATGGGGATGAAAGTCCTGGCTCCCTTCTCTAATACCACTACAGTGGGGTCATTGCGATGGTTTGTCACAGCCTGGGAATGGTGGAAGTCTAGGCTTCACAGTTGGCATTTGCTGTCATGACTGGAGCTAAGGCCACACTTTTTTCCTGTGGTATTTGGCTGGAGTGCAGCAGCTATTATCTAAAAGTTTCTGTCTTGCTAAATTGCCCCAATCTGCTGGTACTTTGGCTAGAGAGAGTGGGCTTTTGCTGTGGCTTATTCATCTTAACCCTTCAACATTTCTAGGTTGTTATTTTCTCCAATATTGAGTCTGATACATATGAGGCTAAAAGGGAAACCCATGGAACTCACAGGGCCCGTATGTTATATATCTATATGTGTGCATGCGTGTAAAGTCCAGAGTTTTTAGCTGTAGTGCATGAGAAGAATAGTGAAAAGTACATCTATGCCATATTGCTAAAAGTGGAAGGCCCCTCAATTTTTTGTTTTTATATTCTACTTCTATTCTTGACTCAATTCATTCACATCGCATTTTATCTCTTTATTTCTCTGTGTCTCCCCTAAATTATTGCATTTATGCTTTGTATAATGTTCTTGCATTTCCCGTGTGGTCTTAGAGGTGATAGCTTCATCACGTTTTTCAAACGCTCAATAGTGTTTATGGTTGTAATTTTTTTCTGCTTCATGGCAACATTTTATGATGTGTGTTTTTCATCTGTTGAACAGTTTTTTGTTGTTTTTTTTTTTTTTGCCACAAGTGTTGGTGTCATATCTTTATATCGATGCTGTTCTAGACCCTCTTTTATTACTTGTCATGAGTGAGTTGGCTATTTGCAGATTTGTGATGGTGTGGGAGTTGGGAGGGGGTAAGGGCCAGGGCAGTTCTCCAGGTTCATGACCTGAAAGCTCTCTCCTCTGCTACCACAGGGACAGATATGCAAATATGTCATTCCTACAAATATGGCATATCAACAGGATTATTTGCATATGCCAACTTCATCTGCTTCTTTGAGACACACCAGGTTTAAGAGTGTTTCTATTCCAGTCCTGTCTACTTTATTTTCTGCCCCTTATTGCTCATAGATGGTATAATTTTTTCATCGCAGAGTGAGGCTCTCACCTTCAGGAACTGTATTTTTGCTGACTCTCTCCGGTATTCACTGTTTTGGGCCCTCTCAACAATTTCATGTTTTTATTCTTTTCATATCTTCCCAATCTAAACTGTTTTGGGTAGTTCATATACATGTCTCTGGGTTACATTTATATCTTAGCTTCATTGTAAATGGAGTTTGCAGACATTTTTAAAAATGTCTGTCTTCTTGTTGCTGTCGTATGATTTCTAAGAGGAGGTGAAAAAATGCTAACATAGGGAGACGTTTTCATATGGAGGTTTTAACCTGCATTTATTGAATACCTAGTGTTCCAATCTTTCATTTTCATACTGCAGAAGAATCAAAAGAAGATACATATTGTAAGATGAGACAATAAGGAACAAGTTGATAGGGTTTATTCAGGAATAACAATTTTCAATTGGCTATTTAGCCTTCATCAAAATACGTTCTAGAGAATTCACGGAAAATTTCCTTTGAGTTAACTAAGCGTTGTCTCCAGTTCGTCCTTCAACTAGTTGGTGATTTTGGGTAAAGTGTTTTCAAAATTTCCACTTGAGACATTTATGATATGCTGGAATGAAGTTATAAATGCCATATACACTAATTGCTATTACTTCCCATGAACTCTAACATAATGCTTATGTTGTAAGGCAGAACTGGTATGCTTATTTTAGAGTTTGTTTTATAAGGAAAGAATCATTGTACACATACATTGGTGCTATGTAATTTGATTGAATCCATCAGACACCTTGTCATAGAATGTTTTTTTATAGGTCCTTCTGTGACAAAATGGGACTTTGGCACAGAGCAAGAGGTGTCACTTATTTTTCACTATTGATTCTAGGATTTCAACTTCACGACCTCTTTCAGTAGGCAAAATAGGAGCATTTACATACTTTTCTCATCCAGAGCCAGGCTCTGAGTTCAGCCCACTATTAAAGATTTGAAAGGTATAGAAAATTATAGATGGCAAATAAAGACCACCTACAAATTTAGCACCCAGAAATGTCATATTGTTAATTTTTTAAAATATTTCCTTTTGGTCTTTTTCTGTACATTTTAACTTAACTGGCATCATGCTGCCCATATCATTTTATTTCTTTGTTTTGTTTGGTTTAATATTAAATATTTTTGAATGTCATTAAAAATCCTCACAAATATCATTCTAATAACTGCAGAAATATTCTTATTCAAACCCACTGAAGTATATAAACCTAGATTACAATAAAGCAAAGGCATACCATTCTTGAATAGTAATTTAAGATATCTTATAAAAATGCCCATCACTCAAAACAATAGAAATAAACTGTAATCTCAATTAGAAGTATAAAAGTTCTTTAAAAGTTGTTTGGAAAGAGTGAAATTTAAAAGGCGAAATAATCTGAATGTCCATGTGGAAGAATAAGTGTCCAAAATATCTAAAAACTGTATGAAACAGAGAAATCATGGGAGATAGTTAATTTCTAGAAATTAAGATCGGCTATAATTTAGCCTGATGCTGGAAATAATAAGGTATTAACATAGAAAGAGACACATATTTGTGTGGAAAGAAATGTAACTGTGTATACTTAGAAAATTAAGATGTAATGAAGATGGTACTTTAATTAGTAGAGGAAGAGTGATTTATTCATGAAATGTGCTTTCACAACTGGCTGTCCATCTGGATAAACAGCAATTTTGGACACCCCACTCCACAAGATAAATAGAAATAAATTCCAGATGGGTAAAAGATTAAATTTTTTTAATCTAAATAAAACCTGATAAGAGAATTTAGAAGAATGTTTTTATAACTTCCATGTAAAGGAGAGTAATTTAAGCAATTCAGAAACTCAGAGCCATAAAAGAAAAGAGAAATCTAAATTCATAAAGATATTATTTTTGTGGTGAAGTATACCAAAAACGAAGTCACATGACAAATGATAGGCTGCAAGAAAAAGTTACAACACATATGGCAGAAAAAGAATACTAGCTATAATATTAAAAAATACCTACAATTAGGTGAGCAAAAGGCAAGTGTGCCAATAGAAAAATGTTCAAAGAATATGAATAGGCAATTGACAGGAGAGGAAATTCAAAAGGCTAATAAACACATGAAGGAATTCTTTATTTCATTAATATCAATGTGATACTCCTTTTTGCCCATCAGACTGACAAACATTTAATAAGTACTGGTGGAGTACATGAAGGAGAATACGCTCATACATTGATGGTGGGATTGTTTATTGGTATACACGTTAAAAAGGTAATATGGAAATATGTATTTCAAATGAAAAAGTACATCCCTTCTTTCCCAGCAATTCCCCTTCAGAGAATCTTTTCTATCAAAGTAAAAGCACTAGTATTTAGTTATATATAATTTATATATAATTTAGTTATATATATAAGTGTTTATTTTAACATAGAATAGCACAAAACTGCAATCACTCTGAATGCTAATAAATAGGAATACAGTTAAATAATGTCTCACCCATATTAGGAAATATCACACCACTAATAAAAAAGAGTGATTTCAGGTTTTATGAGGTGACCCATAACAATGTCTATGATGTGTAATGTTGAGTGGGAAAAGCTAGCTGTAGAGAAATGTCTATAGAATGATTGTACTTATATAAAAATAAGCAATGATAAAAATGTCCTCTGCATGGGAATTTACACTTATCAATTATAGGAAGAAGGATGAGGAAGGGTAAAAACCTGTGGGTAAATAGGCTTATTTTAGTGAGATGAACATGAGGTAATAAATACCAGAAAGGTAGCAAAATGGAAATATTTTGATGGTATAATGTTTTGTTATATATAAACTATAGAATTCTATTTTATTATAACAGTACAGTTGTATATACTTGCAGAACCATTGAAGGGTTCCTGATATAAATGAAAACATAAATGGGCAATATCTATCAAAATTACTTATGCATTTACCTTTAATCTGGCCATCTCTTTTGTAAGAATCTACCCCAAAACACATTGGTACAAGTATGAAATGACATACACATAAGATTATTTATTGTGACATCATATGCAATGACAAAAATAGTAAATAACCCACTTGTAGATTCTTATAATGAACAGTGAAGAGAAATGAAGGAATGATATATACATAAACGCAGAGTGTTCTGTAGGATATTCCATTAAGTGAATGTTGTGTTCTTTAGGATAAGTATAAGTATGTTCCAAACATTGCAGGGGTATACTTACACTTTTATTTATTTATTTATTTATTTATTTATTTATTTATTTATTTATTTATTTTAAGACGGAGTCTCACTCTGTCGCCCAGGCTGGAGTGCAGTGGCACGATCTCAGCTCACTGCAACCTCCACCTCCCAGGTTCAAGCCATTCTTCTGCCTCAGCCTCCTGAGTAGCTGGGATTACAGGCACGCACCACCACATCTGGCTAATTTTTGTATTTTTAGTAGAGAAGGTGTTTCACCAGGTTGGCCAGGCTGGTCTCAAGCGCCTGACCTCGTGATCCGTCTGCCTCGGCCTCCCGAAGTGTACTTACACTTTTAAAAAAATAATTGTTTAACTGAAATCCAAATTAGTAGGTATCCTGCATTTGTATTTGCTAAATCTAACAGCCTTGTTTGGGGAGAAGACTCTGAAATGGAGTTTAGTGTGCAGAATGTTGAAAAGCAGCGCTCCTGGGATCAACACCTGTGAAGGCAGGAAAAGGAAGCAGGATTGGGCAGAGGGAGAATTGCACTGCGATGAAAGCCTGAGCAACAACTTTACATGACCCATGAGGACTTCTGGAGCTACATTTGCTTATCAGAGGGTCCTCTACTGGGCTGAAATGACTGGGCTTTGATAGCTTCCCTCTTCACTGCTCAATCAGTCATTGGATATGGTCAAGACAACTCTCTGTGGCTGAAATGCCCTTGAAGGGGCTGACAGCTGAAGACCATCTGCTTATAGCTTTCCCAGCAGCTTAGCAAAAAATTCCTTTACTGAAGACGAGTCTGGGCAACTAATTTCCTTGTCCTTTATAGAGAAAAAAAGCAAAGTGCAAAAAAAAGGAAAGCGTGTTATGCATGCTACCTTTGATTTTCAAGGTGTAAAATATAGTGTATGGTATTTGTTGCCTATGTTTATAAAAATAAACGCTAAGAATATATTAAAGTTAATACAAATGATTAATAATGTTAAAAAAGGGAATAAGGCAATGGAAGTAAAACATCTATCAGTGTACTTTGTTAAATACTTTTGATTTGGGGTGTAATTTTTTCATATTAATAAAAGAAAAAGTTAAAGCCAAAATGAAAAATGAAGCCCTAAAAAGTTAAATGAAAATAAATACATTTATATAAAGTGCTGGTGGCAAAACAATTCAAAGAAAAAAAATTACATCAAGTCATTCTAGAGCAGTGTTTTCACTGCATAACCTTAAGCTGGATTTATCCTCAGGTCAAAAATTTAAGAACCACAAAATATTTTAAGTTTTGTTCTTACTGATATTATTGTTTTGAGATTAAAGTATGTTTATGTAGGATAAAAAATATTTTTCTAATATTGTTAAACACCTGAATTTTCAGCAGAAGAAAAAAGAGATACGAGTACAAAATCAAAGAATCTGAGTAAAAATCCTGTAACATACTATTTGAATTGGAAATATCAAAATGACTCATTTTTTAAAAATAAAAAGTCATTATTTTCTAGTTTTGTGCACTAAAAAGCCCCAGAAACAATGACAAAATAGTTGTCATGTGTGCTAAGTGTTCAGAATGTGGTCTCTAAATACCATTATTTTCTTTTTTTTCTTTTTTTATTTTTTAATTATACTTTAAGTTTTAGGGTACATGTGCACAACGTGCAGGTTAGTTACATATGTATACGTGTGCCATGTTGGTGTGCTGCACCTATTAACTCGTCATTTAACATTAGGTATATCTCCTAATGCTATCCCTCCCCTCTCCCCCCTACCCCACAACAGGCCCCAGTGTGTGATGTTCCCCTTCCTTTGTCCAAGTGTTCTCATTGTTCAATTCCCACCTATGAGTGAGAGTATGCGGTGTTTGGTTTTTTGTCCTTGCGATAGTTTGCTGAGAATGATGGTTTCCAGCTTCATCCATGCCCATACAAAGGACATGAACTCATCCTTTTTTATGGCTGCATAGTATTCCATGGTGTATATGTGCCACATTTTCTTAATCCAGTCTATCATTGATGGACATTTGGGTTGGTTCCAAGTCTTTGCTATTGTGAATTGTGCTGCAATAAACATACGTGTCCATGTGTCTTTATAGCAGCATGATTTATACTCCTTTGGGTATATACCCAGTAATGAGACTGCTGTGTCAAATGAATACCATTATTTTCTGACAGCATCTTGGAGAATTTGTTGTATGGTAGAGCAGTGCAGTTCTCATAGCCCAATGCAGTTGTGTTAAAAAGATGTAGAAACCAATTCCTCACTCTGAATGTTGGGAAGTAAAGCATATTTCCTGCCTTTCCCCTGTGAGCTGTATTTCAGGGTAACCAAATAAAGCCTAGTTGATGAGGGAAAATTCTTAAAGAAGAATTCCAGCTAATAAATGTGGAATGAGTGACAGAAAAATTGCCATTTTGCAATCTTAATGAACTGATTCCAGGCAATGGTTATCAACAGATTCCAAAACGATGGGGTGAAAGACAAATG
Organism: Homo sapiens; assembly: GCF_000001405.40. Lineage (NCBI taxonomy): Eukaryota > Metazoa > Chordata > Mammalia > Primates > Hominidae > Homo > Homo sapiens. Next base: position 70,381,418 of record NC_000003.12, read on the forward strand.
GACAACTGCATATTTGCAGGTTGCCAAAGAACTGTAGATAGATTTAAGGGCCAATTTGTAACTTTACAAGAGAGATATTAGATTGTTGCTTCATGAACCTTCATGTGCCCACTGATAAACTGTCATATTAATAAATGAGACAACCAGATTTTATGTGCTTCCTGATGTGAGACACTACAGAGTACATGTTGCACATGAACCAAGCTAAACCTGAGTCAAACCAAGTAGCTGGGTGTAATGAACAGATTGCAGGAAGTAAGGGGAGAAAAAAAAACAAGTTAAATGGCACTACCAGGAAGAAAACAGACAAATCCAGAATGAGGACATTCTAAGAGAAATTGGAGGGAACAGACCCAGTTTCTTCAAGCCAATAGCTTTTGGGGAGAAAAGAACAGACAGGAAAAAAAGGAGATTTAAAAGACATCAACAGCTAAATCAATTTGTTTATATTGTTTGGGTCTTAAATCACATGAATCCACTATAAAAGGACTTTTCAATGGTCATTTGGGGAAATATGATCATGGACCATATTAAATGATGTCTAGGAACTATTGCTAATCTTGTTAGGTGTAATACTCATATTGTGATTATGTGGGAAAATGTCTTCACTTTTTGGGAATACATAGTGAATATTTAGAAATAAAATAGCGTGGTGTTTAAGATTTGTCTTTTTAAAAGTGGTACATGAAATACATATGGAAGATGTAGACAATCTTCATTCTCAGTAATAGGTATATAAAGGTTCAGTTTCTTATTTAAGCACTTTAGTATGTGTCTGCAGAACTTATATAATAAAAAAGAAAATTTATCTGAGATTTGATTTGAATACATATATTTCTTCTCTCTTTCTCTTTGGCGTGTCGTCTCTTAATTCTTAACAGTATCTTTTGAGATGCTCTTTAATAATTCCACCCAAACATATATCCCCTTCCTAACTCAAGAAACTGATCTCTTAAGCACTCAGGTTACATCAGTGGTTCTCAAATGGGAGCAATTTTGCCTCTTAGGGGATATTTTGCAATATCTGGAGATATTTCTGGTTGCCACAGCTGGCAGCTGCTACTGGCATTTAGTAAATGTTGAATTAATAAATAAACGTATGAATGAATGAAAACCAGAATAATTTGTCCCAATGAACCAGGAAAACTTTAATGGATCATGGCTCTCCCTGGATGGCTCTTTCAAAATGTTTGTATTTTTTTCAAGCAGATAGCAATTCTGTACACTAGTAAGCTGATACTTGTTTAGTAATTTAGTTTAAAATGAGAGATTGAGAGTGTTGTAAAAATTATAATACAAGTCAAAAGCTGTTTGAAATGCTGGGATTCTTAGCTGTAAAGTTTTATTTAGTTTGTATTCTTAATTTGTAGTTGCCAATCTTAACATTTTTCATAACAGGTATTCAAACAGTTCATACACATAGCTCTTGAACTCTATTATATGAATGTTGAAACCTTTTCCTTTGCAGACTTTGAGAAGGGTTAGTTTAAGGGAAAATTTGAGACAAAGAGTATTCTCAGGTTTGGAAGATAAAGGTTGTTTTGCATATTGGTTTGTTTTTACTTCTGAGTAAATGAAAATGGTTTCTTCCTGTCTTTTCTTATTCTATTCATCTTCTCTTCCTCTCCCACACTCATGCTCTCATAGGTAACTTCCCTTCATAACTCCTTCCACTAGGAGATTGGACATGGGGAATCCCAAAGTATAAATCTCTTTATGATTTAAAATAGTTTTTCATCTACTTTTTAGGCATTTAATGATTATACTTTGAGAGTCATTAACTTTGTAAAATAATTAATTATATATAAAAAGACATATCACTCCTTCAGTCCCTAGCAGGGCTAGTATACATTTGTTACATTTGTTGACCTTTCTACTTGGTTAAAAGTGTAGGTATATTTTTACAATTGTTTTCCCTTAAAATAAAAATAAAAAAAAAAAACAACCTTATGGTCCTCCTTTTAGCTAACAGGTAAAAGCAAAAAGTCATATTAGAAAATAGCTTTCATTTTCGTAAATGCTATAATTAGTCATTTGAAGACTAAAACTATGGCCATGACCGCTCATGTTCTTTGAGGTTTCCACGCCCACTTTCCGTATGAATTGGGGTTTTAAGTCCCGGTGTCAGTGCCAATCTTAACTTAGAAATTACATTCTTACCACTCAGAAATTCCTCCTGGAGTTTCAACAGGAGAAATTATTCTTCATTTTCCCTCCCAAAAACTGTTGTGTAATATTGCTGGCAGAGAGGGGATGATTGGTGCCACTGCAAAGCTAGCTAGATTTCAGTGGAGGTTGAAGCAGTATCTAAATATAGCATGTAAAAAGCCTTAGGCTAACTGTAGATGAAAAGCATTCTAGATATGTAAGGTATTATTGCTACTAACGCATTATTATTTTAACTTTGCTACAAGTTACAACGAGCCTATAACATCTGCCCTACAGTATTGCAGTGAGGCATGCTTTCTGCTGTGAATTTTTCACCTCTAACAATTTGTTTTTCTTGTATCAGCACTACCTGTCAATTTTTATTAAGCAAAGTAACTTGAGGCATTTTGAATTTTTTTTACCCTGGATGTCCTTGGTGGGGAGTGAAATGACCAACAAAACCATTGGTTAAGGATGCAATCTTTGAGAGCCACTAAACCCAGGAGCAGAAAGCAAGGGCTAAAAAAAATTACCCAGGGCAGAAAACAAATTTGGAAAAAATAATCTACACCAGTCACACTGAGTCTCAAACATGATTCAGTTGCTACCTGCTGATTTAATCAATCCTTTTCAGTTAAAAAATATAAATTGGAGTGTAATATGCATGATGAAAAATTTTAATAAAACATATAGGGATTTTTTTAATGGGAAATAAAAATGATCTGAAGGTGACCACTGCACATTTTAAAACCTCCTGAAAAAGAAAATCAAATGATAGGAAGGCATCAAAGCCTGTATGCAGTCCTGCACATTTATTATAATATAGAACACTTTAGTTCTTACTTCCTTGGAATCAGAGAGGTAAATATAGTCAATCCGATGACTTGAGGCCAGTCTTTAGTTGAGGTATTTTGATTTTGATCTTCAAGAAGATCAAATAGTTTTGCTCTCCTCCGGACATAAAACTTCTGTGGACATAAGGGGCAAAGAAAAGGGCTTGAGGCAAATTATTGTAAATCCATTTCCACTGTCATTGGCAAGTAGAAGCACTTGTACCCCTGAATAGCAGGGGCCCCGCAACATCTATAAACAAAAGACACAATATGCTCATCAATAGGTCAGATGCAAAGTTCACCTTTCTCTGTCAGAATAAATAACAAGCTTACTAGAAATTACCTTCTCACTGCCATCTAAAAGTGGTAGACTTCAGATTTTCTGGTAAGAATTCTATAAAATAAGGATTTTTTTCGTCTATCCAAGTGTTATCCAATAGAGCTTTCTAGGATGATGGAAATGTTCTATATTTGTGCTGTCCAGTAAGGTAGTCACTAGCCAGCTGTGGCTATTACCACTTGAGATGTGGTTAATGTGACTGGGAAGCTTTCTAATTTTATTTTATTTCAGTTAATTTTAATAGCCACATGTGCCAGTGCTAACATATGGAATAGAATAATCTAGGCAACAGGGGAATTAATTAAACAAAATGGTAGCCAGCTGAAAGCCAGAATGTGTCCATCTTTCTAAGGAATGTCTAGGCCCATGAACTTTGATAGACAAGGTGGTGTAGAAGAAAAAGCACGGTGTTGTAGTTTCAGCATCTGGGTTCCAATCCTCCTTTTCTCTCCTTCTGTAAAATAATGGTAATAATACTTACCTTGTTAATTTTTTCGTGAAGATTAACAGAGAAAAATGTTCTTATGATAACTAACAGTAGGTCCACCATGTAAGAGGTACTCATCAGATATTAATACTTCCTCATAATCACTATAAATATGTTAAAGATTGAAGACAAAGGCCAAAATTGGGCACAGCTATTAGCCTCAGAACATTTCATTGTTGTAGGTGTGTGTGGATTCCTGGGAAACCAGCCAAAATGTGGAAACTTATTCAAAGGTTGGATTTATTCCATTTATTCATTCAATATAAATTGAAATGTCGGGTTACATACAGCACTCTGCTAGGCTGTGTGGGGGTGACAATGGGGGGCACCAAGAATATTACCCATCCTTGAGTTGTCATGGTGTATAGCCCAGGACAGTCTGTGATTGGGTGAGTTGGGAGGTTGCAGCAATAGTCTGTCAATACTGAAGATTTTGACTAACGGCATGACCTACTTGATGATGGATGTCAGACTCAGAGTCCCTTCATAATTATCTGATTAGTGGCAATAACTCACTATATCACCTTTTTCTACATTCTTGTCCATTATTTATTTTAAGCTCCTAAAGTACAGATATGTCATCTTAACTTTACTTAAACAGTGGTAGAGTTGTTATGTTTTTTGAAAAATTCCTGTGGATGCTGGTAAAGATTAACAAGTGTCAGATAATGCTTGAAGAGCACTATTAATATCTCTTTCCAACAGTGTTTTTCCATCCTGAGTTTTGGACTAGCAATGTACTGCCCAGGACAAATAAGGTAGGCTTTTGAACAAACATCCCAACTCAGGGTCACAAATCTGCAAGAGCTAGGAGAGTTCTTCGCTGTGGGGAATCACACTGGCTGCTTGCCTCCATGCTTTGGGAGCAGTATAGCATAATACTGTTGGCAAGAGCGTTTTGAAGCCTTCTGGAAAACATGAGTGAAAATCGCAGCCTTGTGCTAACAGGTCAACAAATTTAATCCAAGCCAGACATAAAATGACAGAAGCTCCGCTGATTATCAAGGTCCCTGGCACACCCTAGTGTCCATCTCAAAGTCAACAGCTCTACCTAGCTCTCTGATTTCAAGAGGGGAGTTGGGTTAGAAACCACTATTATTCCCCATCTGGTTTACGAGAGACAGAAATGAGATGACTAGAGACAGAAAATGTGCTGTCCAGGTTATATCTCATTTATGAAGAGATTTAACCTAGTTTTTAAGTATGTAAAATGAAAAAAAATAAATTCATTTGAACTTTAATGCATAGAATATTTGATAAGTGAGGAAGAAACCAATGAATTAGAGACTGCATATTGCCCTCTGATATCAACAATTCTAACTAGAGTTACTGCAGGGATTAGACTACGCTACAGCTCATGTTAAGTTTTTGGCAGATGGAGGATTTGGAGGTGTCAGTAAAGCCCAATGTAATTAGAAAATAATTTCTGAAATTTGAAGCAGCAATGGTTATTAATTGAGTCAAATGCTAATTTCCCTTATAAAGTTCCAGGGGAGGTACATGAGGGCAGTTTTATTTGCTAGACCTTTTTATTTACCTTCTAACAGATAATATAGGGTAAAGGAAGGTGGCTTGGAAGAAAATGTCCAAACGAGTTTTACATTTAATGAAAAAAAATGACACACAAGAAAATCCAGGCATGAGGCAGTTGATTTCTCTGTTGGGATGTATTTCAGGAAAAGATGGCAGTGTGCCTTCCCCATCAGGACTTGGTAATCATTCCACTATTCATGAACAGATGCCTTGGTCAGATCCCCAAGTGTAAGTGAATTCATTAAAAGATCTAGGGAATTGAGGTATTAATTCTAAATTATTACATATTATAGATTTTCTGGAAACAAGTAGGGGGACATGGCAAGGAGAGGAAATAGTAGAGATTATATCTAACTCTTGGCCAGAAGTTGGTCTCATGAGATCACCAAAAGAGCACTTTTTAGCATAAGTTTTAAACTCTTTTTAAAAAGGATTTAAGCAGTTATTGTCACAGTGTAGAAGGTTGATATAAGGCAAAGTAGAATCATGAATGTTGCATACCATATATGGAAACCCTAGAAATAATCTATTGGATGGAAGAGAGTGCACAAATCATTTTCTTCTTTGTATACTTTATAAAAGAACTCTTCTGATATCATTTTTTATGAAGGAGACTCTGTCCTGTAGAATGCCTGCAATGATGGTGTTTGTAATAGTAAGTAGTTCTCTAAATATATTGTGGCATATTTTTGAAATTTAGGCTTAGTTGCTCTCTTTCCAGATTTTTATTTTTTCACTCAGACAATTTGGCACTGGTTGATGTGTGGGTGGATATATTTTCTCACCTGCACAATTAACTTGAAGTTATTTTTGGAATCGTTTTCATTTTCAGCTATTATGATTATACCATACTTGGGGAAAATGCTGTTGAATTTGAGTTAAGATATTCTGAATACCTAAGGGCAAAATGTAACAATCAGGTCACACAGAGAACTTCAAAATAGCAATTGAAATTGTTTTATCAAGGATTAAGTTTTTGATTACACAATTCTTATGGATATATTCTTATGGATAGTTCCATCATAACACTCCTACAGGGGCTGTATTAAATGTTCTACCTACCTCTCAAATGATTTAATGTCATCACAAATAGGAGTTACTTGAATTGCCTACATGAAATTTTACTGTAGAACATGATTGAAATGGATTATAAAATATACCTTATTTCTATAATAAAATCCTGGCTTAACCATTGCTACTTTTGAGCCTATTTTTTTTGGTTTGTTTTGGTTTTGTTTGTTTGTTAATCTCTCACCCCCTGCACTGCTGAAACAATGATGTGATGAACGCTTTTTTGACACGTTGGTCAACAAACAGGAAATATCGTTCTTAGTGGTTGTGCAAACCATTTGAGGAGAAGTTTAAGACTCTGAGAAGATGCATAATATAGGCATCTGCCTGTTCACATTTTTGTGGTAAAGCAGGATTGAGCAAACTGTAACCTGTAGGCCAAATCCAGCCCATCATTTGTTTTTGTAAATAACTTTTAATTAGAACATAGGCTCCTTGGTCTATGTATTATCTATGTCTGCTTTTACACAAAAATAATAAAGTCGAGTGATTTTCACATAGATCATTTGGGCTTTGAAGCCTAAAATATTTTCTATTTGGTTCTTTACAAAAAAGTTTTCCAACCCTTCTCTAAAAAAAACAGTTGTTTGTATGTTTCTTTTTATTTTGTTCCTGAATTTTCTTTTTTAAGAAAAACTGTGATAAATGCTATAGATTCACTATAATCCAAAAGATAATCCAACCCTCTTGTCCATTGCTATTTCTACAATATAGTCTGCAAAAATCTACATGCTCACTTCTCAATTTCCTTTTTAGTTAAGGACAGCCATATGACTCAGTTCCAGCCTTTGCTATATGAATGAAAGATGGCTGTGGAATTATGGGAAACAGCCAGGGTAACATCATCCCGTGCTTATTTTCTTGCCTTGAATGTGAACATGATGCCTTTAGTTGGGGGACAGCTACCTTGAATCATGTAGGAATGCCTGAGGAAATAGCAGAGATATCAGTGCTAATATCTTTGATTTTTGTTAATTGCAGTCATAAGTTTCTATGGTTTGGATGTGGTTTGTCCCCACCAAAACCCATGTTGAAATTTGATCCCTAATGTGGCAGTGTTGGGAGGTTGGGTCTAGTGGGAGGTGTTTGGATCATGGGGGCAAATCTCTCATCAATAGGTTAATGCCATCCCTTGGGGTGAGGGAGTTCTCACTCTCAAGGGAGTGAATTAGTTCCTGAGAGAGCAGGTTGTTAAAAAGAATCTGGCTTCCTCAGTTTCTCTCTTGCTTCCTCTCTTGCCGTGGGACCTCTTTGCACATACCCATTCCCTTTCTGTTTCTTCCATGAGTTGAAGCAGCACGAGGTCCTCACCAGATGCAGCTGCCCAACCTTGAACTTTCCAGCCACCAGAATTGTTAGCAAAATGAACCTCTTTCCTTTATAAACTACCCAGTCTCAGGTATTCTGTTATAGCAAAAGTAAACGGACTAAAACATACGCCTGTGTAGTATAAAATGGTAACTTGAAATCTTATAAATCTCAAATTTTTCTTGGCAAGGAAGAAGATGGGGAGGGAGAGTTGCCAAAAACTCAGTTTAAAATAAAAATAGATGGTCTGAATATTCTATATAAACATGTTGTGCTAAATTATGACTATTCTCTCTAAATGGGACATAGTTCTCTTGATCTTCTCCTAACCTCTTTATCTTCATTAATCTGTTTAATATCCATTTATTTTTGAGGTCTATGCTCTAGTCTGTAAAGATGGCTGACAACAATTTCTTCCCTCCCTGTTTACTCACAGGGTGTTGTCTATTTGCCCTCCACTTGTATACAGGCTGGCCTTTGTGACTTGCTTTGTACAGCTGATGTGACATCTTGAGACATCTGAGGTCAAGGCCTTAAGAAGACTGGTCGTTTTTTCTGGATGCTAAGAGAAGAAAGTGATTCAAGGAGGAGGGTGTAATCAACTTCATCAAGTGCTGCTGACAAGTCAAGTAGGATGAGGACCAGGAAGTGGTCATTGGAAATACCAGTGTGGATGTCATTTGCGATTTGGTAGATAGTAATCCGAGTGGAGCATTTGGAGCAAAATCCTGGTTTAAGTAGATTTAAGAAGAAATTGGAAGAAAGAAATTGGAGACAATGAGTACAAATAACTCTTTCTTCTCTTGCTAGAAATCCAAGAGCAACAGAGCAATGACTGAAGGAAGGTGCTGATAAATCACAAGAGCATTTTTTTTCAAGGTGGTAGAAATAACATCAGCTTATCTAAATGCTGTAATACACTTCTGAACCTTAACCTATAATTTAAAGACAGTACAGACTTGTTGCAAAAACACGATTTCTAAAAGCAAGGTTAATCCTTACCACATAATATCTTGGCAAAAATTATCTTCCTTGTGTTTCAATTTCATCATTTGTAATATGAATTAAAATAACCACTTTACAGAGGAGTTGGCCTGGTAAAATTTTTTTATTTAAGGTTCTAAGTTTGATAGTTCTCATTGTTCCATATTCTTTCATTTGCAACTTGGTAGAAAATATCAAAATTGATTCCAAGCAATAATGATTTTGATAAATGTATTAGGCCATTCTTGCATTGCTGTAAAGAAAATACCTGAGACTGGATAATTTATGAAAAGAGAGGTTTAATTGGCTCATGGTTCTGCAGGCTGTCCAGGAAGCATAGCAGCATCTGGTTTTGGGGAGGCCTCAAGAAGCTTCCAATCATGGCAGAAGGCAAAGGAGGAGCAGGCACATCACATGGCAAAAGCAGGAGCAAGAGAGAAAGAGGATGGGGGAGGATTACCACACATTTAAATGACCAGATCTTGTGAGAACTCATTCAGTATCACAAAGGCAGCACTATGCCATGAGGGATCCATCCCCATGACCCACATACCTCCCCACCAGTCCCCACCTCCATCACCTCCACCATCAGGGCTTAGGATTCAACATGAGATTTTGGCAGGGACATATATCCAAACTATGTCAATAAATACAATTTTTTTCACAGAAAATAGTAAGGTATAAAATTTAAAAATAAATCTTTAGTCTTGTAACTTTCCAAAACATTGGAGGGATGTATAAGTTAAAAAGTGAAAGAGGGTGTATGTGTAGGAGATTAAAACATTATAAACAAAAATTTGTAAGTGTTTGTTGCCTATTATATTCCAGCCAGATATTTTGTTGACAAATTCATGTTAAGTTGACCCTATTGTGTCATTAGAATTTATGAAAAATATGTTACCACATTTCATCATGGCCAGACCATATGTTGGGAAGAGTGACTAGTGGTAATTTACAGAGAAAAGACAAAGAACTGTGGCATCAGAATCCCTTCACCTTCGCAGCTGAGACTATATGCCCTAGGAATTACATATGTTTATGCTGTTGCTATTTTGCTTAAGATCATCTCTGAAAACTAGTTTAGAAAAGCAAATCTCTGTTGCTCTTATGACAAAAATGTAGATGTGAAGTGTAATGCAGGAATGGATAAATGAGTAGAATATTTTGGACTTAAAAGGCTCAAATGATTGGAGTAAATATTTATAATCATTTTGATGCAGTCTTTACAATCATGCCCTTTATGGCATAATATTTGGTTGTATTTTGTATACAATTTCAGGTTCATTTCATGTTGGCACCTATTTTCTGGGTTCTCAAGGGTACAACATGTGTTTTAGCCAGGTGCCAGTAATATTTTTATATGGTCTCTTTCTCGGTACTTGTAGGAAAATTATTCTTGTAATTGGAAGGCAGAAATAGTCTGTAGTCCAATTATATGTGCATAATTGTTTGTGTTCACTATAACCAATGTTTGATTGTCAGTAGTATAGAGGGCAATGTCTTGGTTTCTTCCTATTTTAATAATTAATTACATTTCCTTCTATGAAAGGGAGGTGGGAATAAAGCTTCATGTTTTTGTCAGACTCATTTGTTTCAATCTCCTGGTGTTAAACAAAATGCATCTGTTGAAAAAGAATGGGAATTTAGTTATACAGTTAAACTTGCTCTTTATTTTCATTATATGAAGGCAAACTTACTGACGCATCATGGCAATATCTATAGTAGGAATTTGATGAATTTTGTATAAAATAAAGATGTCTTCTCACTTCTGAATAGATTCATGCAACAATATTTACAAGATTTGTTGCTTGACCCTTATTAAATGCCAAATACTCACATGTTATGTCACGAGAACTCTACTATCTGTTTTTATGGTGAGACAAGCCCATCTGCTCACAAATGGCCGCCTTCCTGTGTCCAACAATAGAAGGGGATGGGTACCCCGCCTAGCCCTAGACTAATTGGAAATTGATATAATTTTGTTCTTTGACCTTCTTTTTTCTTTTCGAAAACTTAAACAGGTCTGAAAACCATTTAAGTAACATAGTCCATAACTGTTCATAGTAATCATAATAATGATTCTGATTTTTAGATATTTACTCTGTGACAAACACTGCACAAAGTTTTTACATGATTTATTTCATTCACATCTCACCACCCATCCCCCAGGAAGTAAGCACTATTTTATCTCAATGAATTTGAGGCTCACAGAGGTTATGTAACTTGACCAGGATCACATAGGAAGTTGCAGAAGGCACAAGCCTGGCTTTACCTGACTCCAAAGCCCCTGCAAGTAAACAATGTGCAGGTGGCCCCCTCTCAAGGAAAGATTCAGTAATGACAGACCTCAGGACTTTGCAGCCTCGTAGTTGATTGCTCTGCTTATTTATAAGGCTCACCCTAGGCAAGGCCTGCTTTAGAAGATAGTGGTTCTGTCTCCACCACTAGCCCCACAGAGTCACTCTAAAGAATGTTTGCAGTAAGGCTGAAGAGTTAAAATGGGGGCTCTAGCATCAGTCAGGCTTCTGTGCGAATTCAGCCTCTACCATCGACTTTGCGACCCCGACTAAAAGACTTAATTCTGGCATCCCCATCTATAAAGTAGAAATAATGACAATATTGACCCGCCAGGGTTGTTGAAGGATGAAATGGGATAAAACTTGTGATAATTTTCACTTAGTACTTGGTACTACCTTTGACTCAGGCCAGGTAATGATGTTGCCATACCAGGCAGATTAAGATTGAACAAGGAGAGTTCAACCAGCAGAAGGCACGGGCAGTAAGGGGTGGCAGAGAAAAAGAAGTTTTGGAGCCAGGCAGATTTTAATTCGCATTGCAAAGCTATTTTTGCACATTTTGGGATCTCCAATGAATATTTTGTTCAGAAAAAGCAATTCCTATCTCTTTCTGAAGAAATATGATCAGAGCAGAAATGGAATATGGACTAATTAGAATGTTTTTGATTAAAAGCTTAAATGTCTGAATATGATCATGATGCTTTCTTCAGTAGTATGCCATTTTATGGCCTTTACTATAATATTTTGTGTAACTGTTTATGTTCACTTATTATTGGCACATGTTTTCTGCATTCTCAAAAGCTGGTACACCAGTGTTTAATTCACATCACAAAACTCAACTTGCAATGTTTTTGCCTTTGGGCAAGTCCGTAAAACTCTATGAGCCTCCATTTTCTCACATAAAATTGGGCTATTAATATGAGACAGTATATATAAAGTGCTTTGTACGATGCTTAACACCTCAGTTGATTTCAACAAATGGTGGTTATTTTACTACTTTTCATAAAATCTCTATCACTTGTTTATGAATTCATTCAACGAGTGGTTTGGGTGCTCTTACATGCCATGAGCAATGCTACAGCTTGGGGAGATAATCCCTGCACTGGTAGCACTTGCTTTCTGGAGGAGGAGACAAATGAATAAACCAATAGAATAAAAGAACTACAGAAGGTTTGTGATAAAAGCTTCTAGAAAAACAAGCTGTGAAAGAGAATTCAGTGTTCATCTCTGAAGAAATGAGACTAAGGCTGAAGTTTGAAGGATGGCAAGGAGTTGGCCAGGCAAAAAGTGTAGGAAACATCAGGTGCAAAGGTCTGGAGGTGGAAATAAACTTCACTGTTCTGTCTCCAAGCAGAGCAAACTCATAAGGCAGAGGTAGGGGCGGAGCTCAGACAGGTGGTCTGGGGCTGGCCAGAGCAGGGTTTGCTGAAGAGTTGGACTTCTTACTCTACATACATGGAAGGATCATTTATGCATTTTACGTTGGGAAGTGGCATGATTCGATTTTTAAAAAGACGACTTTGGCAGCTATGTAGAGAATGGATGAGAGGGAGGCATGCGCACAAGTGTCAGACAAGAGGCTCTTTCCAGTGAGCCCAGGTGAAGGGTAGTAGTGCCTTGAGTTCCAGCAGTAGCAGTACAATGGACAGGAACTGTTGAGAGCTCTTTCAAGGTTAAACTAACAGGACTCCCTGCCAGATTGGCTCTGGGAGTGGTGAAGGAGCAGCAGCCACTGAATCAACACAAAGACTCATTTCTGATCACAGGTTTTGCTACCGATAGAAGAGATGGCTATTGATTATCGTGTGAGAGAAATGCCCGACTGAAAGTCAAGTGTGTTGGGTCAACTTGGATGTGTGAAGAGTGGGGGTGGTTTGGTGATCTTATTTGGGTGGATCCTGGCATTTTTCTAGTATTGTCTAGGTAATAGCTCACAATTTCCCTTTGCGTGGCCTTGACATGCCATATTGGAGCCAAAAGGAAAAATGTTTGTCCCTATATGCACTTACTGACACCTCCTCCCACAGTTTGGGCCAAGCGGACAAAGTTAAGAGAAGCTCTACAATGAAAAATCATGATGACACGGCAGTTACCAGGGACCGAAGAGAGGGAATAATGGAGAGTTACTCTTGAATATACACTGAGCTGCAGTTTGGGAATATGAAAAATTTCTAGACATGGATGGGTAATGGTTGTGCAGCAGTGTGCCTGTACTTATTGCCACTGAACTGTACGTTTAACAATGATTAAAATGGTAAATTGTACGTTACATATATTTCACCACAATAAATAATGCAAGAAAAAACTATACGTAAAATCACGTCCAAACTTTTCAGACATCGACATCAATCCTTATAAACCCACCCATCATGGGACACAAAAGCTGCTGGGGTCCAGGAACCAAGAGCTGATTGAAAAATAATGATTCTCGTTGCACAAAATGCAGCATTGTAAAACAAACAGCCAGCAACAGCCAGTCTGTACTTAATATTTTGATATTTTGTTCATAATTAGTTTTTGTCCATTACTTTCTATTTTTTGAAATCATGCATTAAAATATTTTTTATCTTGAAAGCTGAGTTTGGTGCTCTCTTAAATTTTGTGCCAAAGGCACAAAATGTATTTCCAAGTATCACCTGTTTGTTTCTGGTTTGAGAACCATCCCCCAACTGCTTAGCAGCTTTGCTGTGGACCAAGCATCTCTCAGAAACATACCTTTTTTCAGGCCCACCCTGGGGAATGAGACGCCCTGGTCCCTGTTGCTTTTGAGCCTCTCTAATCCTGCCAAAGGTCTCTATTGTCCGCTCCATTCCACTCTTCTCCCCTCCTGCAGAATGCAAGTCAAGGTAGGGAGGAATAAGAACCCACTCACTGCATCTGAGTTCTCCTCTCCTCTCCTTCTCTCTCTCTCTCTTTTTTTTTTTTTTTTTTGTGTTGTTGTTGTTGCTATTGTGCACTCCTGTGCCTCTAAACTGCCCATAAGAGATGTTTACTTCTACTCTGTGTGGCAAGAAACTGGCATTAGCCCAGTTTATGCTTTGGATTCTGTGCAGTAAAACTCCTTTATTTTTCCCATAAAGTGCCTAGTTTTTGCCTAAATTCAAAACTATTTTGTTGAAAGCACTTTGGCTTTCCGGTTATTACTCCTGCCACAGTTTTACAAAATCTACTCAGAAATCTACTTGAGGGCTTGTTGTAAACTTTTTGTGACAACCCCAACCCTGGCAAAGCAGCTACTGGTTGGGGAAGAATAATGGGTTTAAGGAATGTGGAGTGGCAGGGACAGTCACGTAATATATCTAATATCATCATCCAACCAGGTAAGATTAAATAAGCTCATGGTGAAGTATAAAGTACCCTGGGTTAGGAGTCAATGCTCTAAGTTCTAGCTGTGATTACCCCCAAGAAGGGCCAAGTGCTTCATGAAGAGATTGCATTGTCTGGTACTTAAAGGCACGAGCTTGGAAACCAGACAACCTGGGTCTGAACCTCAGCTCATCCAACCCTTCCTATGAGAAACTTGGTGTGAATTCATGCCTCTAAGCCAGTTTTCTCTTTTTAAAACTTCAATAATAATTATAATCCCCAGCTTACAAGGCATCTAGCTCATGAGAACACTAAGTTCATCCAAGCCCTTTTCTTCACCTTTAAAATTTGATCTCTAGCACCAAGGATTAAACATGAGGATGAAGGTCTGGGCACAGTGACTGGCACATAATAAGTGTTCAATAAATGATGACTCTTATTTTCTCCATATATGAAAGAAAAAAGAATATCTTCCATGGCTGAATTATAGTTTGTTAGAAGACTGATGCAATGTTATAAATATGAAATATTACAATATGAAATACTATTAACATACACAATAAAGGGCTAGGTCAATGTAAGGGATTCTTCTACAATGATTTTCAAATATCATTCAGTGACTAGTAATCAATTGTAAAGCACTCAAGAAATCAAATCCTTTAATGTTCTTCAGTCATGCCTAATGTCCTGTGATTATTGCAGGGGTCCACAAGCCCTTTTGGTAATAATTCATGTGTTTACCCATTCAGCAAATATTTGAGGACCACACACTATGTAACATACATGATTCTGACATTGTTCTAGGGATACAGCAGTAAGTTAAAAAGCCAAAATATTTTAACTTTAGATAAAGTAACTGTGAAATATCTATAACCAACCAAATTAAGGTTTCATGTGGGCAGCTGAATACATGATTCTAGAGTGTAGAAAGAGGGAAATCTGTCTTGGAAATGTAAATTCAGGGGAAATCAGAGAGTATATGTTACATAAGGCAAGCTATAAGCCATCTTAAAATTTAATCCTAATCTTTTCCAGTTCCAAAACGCTGATTTATTTTTTTCTTACAAGGAGCAGGAATGCAAAGACATCATCTCCAGTTATTGTGTTGGGAAGACAGTGTTGGGGAAGTGTTGGGGAAGACAGAGTTTGAGAAGGAAAGCAAAAGTCACTTAGGAGATCTCAGAAAGATAATCAAAGGAAAATTTTACTACTTGTTTATCTTTCTAAAATGTAAGTTAGTTTTCAAGTGAAAAGTACATTTTATAAACTTGGCAAATGCTTAGTGGGTCCTTTATTTGGACTGTGGATCCTTATATAAATTCAGAAAACAACAAAAAACAGTTTCAGATTGTTATATGTACTCTTTAATAGCTAATGTAATAAAGAAGGAAACAGCAATCACCCCAAGTTCTATCACTAAAAGATCATGACTATTATAAAATTGAGATATTTTCTCAGCTTCCTTTTCATATGTGATAGCTATCATTTTAATCAATATTTGAATATTACTATATATTAAGTTTTGAGCTCCATTCTGGGATCGCTAGTATGTCAAAGATTCTTCATAGGTTCCTCAATCTTCTTCTTTTTGTTTTTTTGGGACGGGGTCTCACTTCATCACCCAGGCTGAAGTGCAGTGGCACCATCTTGGCTCACTTCAACCTCTGGCTCCCAGGCCCAGGTGATCCTTCCACTCAGTCTCCCAAGTAGCTGGGACCACAGGCACACGTCACTATGCCTGGTTAATTTTGTAATATTCTGTAGAAAAAGGATTTTTAACATTTGGTGAATGTTTGACTAAGGGGACATACAATGTTCTGTTGAAGACTGAAGTTGTGTCCACTTTCGGATTAACAATATGTGTGTGTGATTTCGGATTAACAATATGTGTATATATAAGTGTGTGTGTGTATGTGTGTATGATTTCATTTTTATTTCATCTAATTTCCTTAGAAAAAAATCCTAAAAGTAAAATTACTAGATCAAAAGGTATAAATATCTTAATATGTATGATCTAATTACCTTCAGAAACATGCTGCCAATTTACACTCTCAACATCAGGAAAAGAGAAGTCATCTCAGTATCCACACTAAAACATTGGTTATTACTTGCTGATATATTAGACAAACTATAACACTATCCTTTATTTGTACATTTTATTATGAAAAATGTTAAATGTGCTTATTAATTCTGACTGTCTTAGCTTTTCTAACATCCTAGCAAATATTAATAATGTTATCTTTTCATTTATAGTAGTTATGTATTCTATTTTTTCTCACTGAATCATCTTGAATTTCCAAAACAATTTTGAATAATAATGGTCACAGTGGCCAGTGTCTAGAAGCAAAATTTCTGGAAGCAAATCTATAGTATGCAGCAATTCCATCAGAGCAACTTGGGAGAAAATTACATGAGTTATAAAGCAGATATTGAAAGAAAAATATAAAATTATACATGTCTATGGGTGGTTTAAATATGTTTGCCACTTGAAAAGAAACAGCAATATTTACTCATATTGGCTTTATTCTAGACTTATTTTTGCTGATCTCCTTTGAGAATGAATAAGGTTTCCTGTATATTTTTGGACTAAAGTAAATTAAAGACTTTTCATCCAAAATGGATTCAAAATAATTTTGTGGATCATATCTTAACATGTATTTCTAGCTGTCTCCACAATTTAGAAAAACTGGTTTCTTAAACAAATCAGCATAAAAATTTCTAAAGCACTGTATTCTTTTTTAACAACCCAAATAAACATAGCACATTCTTATTACTAATTTTGTTCTGAACAGCACACATCTTTGTGTTCTTTAACTAAACTATGTGTTTGACCAGTTTAAGTAGATAGAAGATATTCTGAAGCTCTTTTTCATATTAAAATAGTTCATTATAAAATAGCTTTTATATGACCTGAAGTTGCTCTTCATAATTTTTGGAATCCTAAAGATGTCCTGTAAATTTTGTACTTCATCCCTCCAAATTTGACTTTCACTTCATCAACCAGATAGGGAGTGTGTGGTAGAAAATGTAAATGCTCGATGTTCTTCTGAGAAACACATAAATATAGATTTGTTGGAATTACTACAGCTATCTGTCAGCCTCATGGCTTTTGGAGCCAAAATTCCCTAATTCCAAAATTATGAGCATGTGACAAAATGTGGTTTTATATTGCTAGAACTTTCATATATGCAAGTTAATAGACTGAAAAAATGGACTTGGGCTAATGAGAAGGATATCTTAATTCATCCTTTAGCAATCATTTGAAAATGTAACTCTTAGATTCATTCTGTTTTAGAGCTAGAAGCATCTGAAAGCAAATACATGAATCTTGCGTTTTTAGTCAGAGAAATTTACAATGGAAATGGAGACAGAAATGTTTTTACTGGGAGTAAGCAGCCACCCCATATTTCCTCCCCTCCTCTTTTCTCCTTTTGCTGGTTGGCAAGCCCACCTACTCATATTCCACAACATCCTCGTTGTTTATTTCCGTTTTAGAGGCAGACTTTGTAATAGGACACACTAGTGGGCAAATTCCAGTTGTATACTCCTAAGCAAATTGTTTAAATGATCTGAATCCAAATTTCCTCATCTGTTAAATGGGGTAGAAATTGGGAAGAGGTGGGTCACAAAAGTATGAAATTCATTGGGTTATCATGTCAATAAACTGTATTTAAGAGCCTGATACAATGCCAGTGGACATGACCGTATTTTATAGAGAGAGTTGATTATGCTTTACAGTGTGATTTTCCCCAGGATGCAATGTAGACCAACTAGAGGTTTTGAAATTAAATGAAAACCCCAACAAATATATCTGTTGATATCATTTTCATAAAATGATTACATAAAAAACACTTTCATGGGCCAGACATGGTGGCTCATGCCTGTAAGCCCAGCACTTTGGGAGGCCAAGGCAGTTGGATCACCTGAGGTCAGGAGTTTGAGACCAGCCTGGCCAACATGGTGAAACCCCATCTCTACTGAAAATACAAAGAAAAATCAGCTGGATGTGGTGGTGTGTGCCTGTAGTTCCAGCTACTCTACTCGGGAGGCAGCGGCAGGAGAATCACTTGAACCCGGGAGGCAGAGGTTGCAGTGAGCTGAAATCTCGTGACAGAGCAAGACTCTGACTCAAAAAAAAAAAACAAAAAAAAAACAAAAAAACCCACCAAACCAAAACAACACCAACAACAAAAATACTTTTGTGTATATCAGTTTTTCTCATTAATGTACTGCATGCAGCTCTAATATGGGGTAGATTTTTTTAAGTAAGGTAAGAAGGGTGTGTGATTATATTGTGTGAAAATAGTGGCATATTATTTTTGCTTTCATAATACTATTTTTATTTCAATATATATTCAACATATAATTGGAACATGAAACTCTGGATTTTGTGATGATAGTGAATTTTCTGTTAAAATACATGTAATCAAGAAAAAGGGGACCAATCAAAAACAACCAGTAAATAATAGTAGACATTGCACACAAATATGGTGCCATGGTTTGGTTTGTCCCCAACAAAATTGATGTTGAATTTTGACCCTGAAGATATTAGAAGATGGGGCCTAGTGGGAGGTGTTTGGGTCATGCAGGTGGATCCCTCATGAACGGATCAATGCCCTCCCTCAAGGGTGAGTGAGTTCTTGCTCATGCTAGAGCAGGTTGTTAAAAAGATCTGGTTTCGTTGGGTCCTCTTTCTTGCTTCCTCTCTCACCATGTGATCTCTGCACACATCTGCTCCCCTTCCACTTTCTGCCATGAGTTGAGGCAGTGTAAGGCTCTCACCAGACGCAGCTGCCCAATTGTGAACCATCCAGAATCATGAGCCAAATAAACATCTTTTCTTTATTAATTTCCCAGCCTCAGGTATTTTGTTATAGCAATACTAAATGGACTCAGACATGTGGCAAGAATTAGAGGTGGTTGTTGGCTAGGCAAGGTGGCTCATGCCTGTAATCCCAGCACTTTGGAGCGTGAGGTGGGTGGATCACTTGAGGCCAAGAGTTTGAGACCAGCCTGGCCAACATGGTGAAATACTGTCTCTACTAAAAATCACAAAAATTAGCCAGGTGTGGTGGTGTGCACCTGTAATTCCAGCTACTCAGGAGGCTGAGGCAAAAGAATCTCTTGAACCTGGGAGGTAGAGGTTGTAGTGAGCCGAGATCACACCACTGCACTCCAGCCTGGGTGACAGAGCAAGACCCTGTCTCAAAAAATAATAATAAATAAAAGAAAGAAAGAATACAAAAGTAGAGGTGGTTGTCATTCAGAATCTCAAAAGGAATTTATAATCATTTTATAGTACAGTTTAAGACTAATGTCAATGTTATCCACTAATATAATATTACATACTGCTCTATTAGTCTTTATTCCTTTTGTTTTCCTTTTTCATTTCCTTCATTCTTGTTTGCACTAGTAATTTATATAATAGATATTTTGTTTTTTCTCATGGACAAAGGTTTATCTCTCATTACAAATTAGACTCCACATTAACAGAGGTTTTCTGGATAATGTTTCATATCATTACATAATAAAGATAGAAGAGTTAAAGTGAAGAGCTACAACTCCTTTTGTAGATTAGCCAATAACTTGGGCAAATACTGAATTTAACAAGGATGAAGAAATTCTACATGATCCAAGAATGCAAGTTTCAATTTAGGCCTCTACCTTACTCTTACATAAGGCAATTACTAGCATTTAAGGTTAAAGTCACATGAATGTTCTTTGGATAAAATACAATCCCTGGTAATTTGAATGAAATAATTCAGTGATTATTTTCTCGAAATAATATGAAAATGAAGTATAAGTACAAATCAATTTATTTTTTAAGAAAAAATTATTCATTGCCAATTTCCAATACTACTTTTTCCATAATATTGTTTTATTTTTTTCTGGATATTTTTTCTATTTATTTTCACTTTTTGCAATTCAAAAACATTATTGAAAGTGTGGTTAAGATTTAGTCTAAGGATCTATTCCTTGCTAAAAGAAATATACCTTTTTAGCTTAGGTTTCCTTTTTGGAAAAGCTCAAAGCAATTTTATTAGCAAAAATTTTCCTTTTGCCTAAGGCAAAAACTAGTGAAATTATGCCATATGAAAGAGATTATTAAATATTTTATTTTGCTTTTTGAAAAAGTCATGAGCAAACATTTACAAGGTTCTTCTTTATACTGAAGTTTATTTTTATAAACCTTTACTAAAGAAGTGCTTGTCCTCTTCCTAATCACATTTCTTTAGTATGTCTTCAGGACTTACTAAAATTCAACAGATAATTAAGCAGCCCTGTTTTTCCAGGTTACTTAAAAGTGTGACCCTGTATGCTCTGTGGAAATCCTGCTTTATTATGTCCTTGTCTTTCAGTATTGTCCATAGTCTCAAATCTGTTCTGTAGAGTTAAAATGTATATTGACATAGAAAGCCTTCTAGGGGAATGTGTGGTTGTTAGCAGAGTCTTGGTTCTTTTAGAATTTCAGTTGTTATTTAATCCGGAGCAATAGAACTAGGTTTGTGGAATAATAAAACATATATTTCTTACTGAAACACCATCTGAAAATACACATCCTTCCATAAATTGAGTGGTTCAGTTGGTATTTTTTCCTGTTTGATACGTGAGAATAAGGGAATTGACATATGAATGCCTACAATATGCATGCACAGTTTTAGGGGCCTTATAAATGTTTTCTTAATTAAATTTTCACAACATCTTAATGTGGATGCTACATTGTTTCATGAAGTTCATCATTCATGGATTAAGTTGGTGTATTTTTTTAAAGGTTTTAAAAATATATTTTAACAAAATTAGTAAAATATAGTACATAGTCTCTTAGGAAAATGTATTTCAAAATTATAAATCATGGGCTAGGTGTAGTGGCTTACGCCTATAATCCCAACACTTTAGGAGGCTGAGGTGGGCGGACCACCTGAGGTCAGGAGTTCAAGACCAGCCTGGCCAACATGGTAAAACCTCACCTCTACTAAAAATACAAAAATTAGCTGAGTGTGATGGCATTCACTTGTAATCCCAGCTACTCAAGAGGCTAAGGCAGGAGTATCACTCAAACCCAGGAGGCGGAGGTTGCAATGAGCCGAGATTGTACCACTGCACTCCAGCATGAGTGAGAGAGCAAGACTCCATCTCAAAAAATTACAAAATACATATATATGTATATATATATCTCTCTCTACCATTTATATACCACATATGTGTGTATATATATTATATATATATCATGTGTATGATAGATATATTTTCTTAATCAATATCATAGTAGCTGAGACTTCCATATAGTCTGTATGGTCTGTATGCTTTATAGTCACAGATGCCCATTTAATAAATAATTTCTTTTGCTACTTCAGTGTGTTAGTTTAGGGAGGTGCAGAAAAAGAGACTGTGTGGATAACATTATTATTTTGCATAATGAGCAATGAAATCAAATGATGGTCTTAAAGAGTTTGTGTGCCCACCCATTCCTACCCTGCCCTGTGCAGACAAAAACATATTTGACTTGTCCTGCCTCAGTTTACAGCAGGGAAGCCAAAGAGGAGAGGCCCAGTCAAAATTTTCTGTGAGGAGACAAAACAAACACCCAAAGCCAGGGGATAGGGGCCAAAACAAATTTGGAAACAGGCACAAAAATGGATTAACGTGAAAAGAGTGGATGACAGGTGTACAAGAGATGGATGTTCATGTTTGAGAGTCTTAGTGGTTCAAAACTGACCCTAGATAATGCACCTATCTTCAGGTAGTTCTAGGACTTTGGGTTATCTTATACTGTAGATCGCAGATTGGCAAACTATGACTCGCAGTCTCAATCTGCGTTGCGATCTTTTGTGTAAATAAAGTTTGATTGGAACACGTGCTCATTCATTTACTTATTTTCTATGGCCCCTTTCACACTAGAGTGACAGAGTTGAGTGATTGTGAGAGACTCTCTAGGCCACAAAGTCTAAAATATTCACAACAGAGTTCTTCATATAAATTGTTTTCTGACTCCTCCTGTATAGAAATCTTATAATAGGATACTAAATGTCCTCATTTGTATCTTCTGATCACAGATATAGATATAAAGTTAGATGTACACAAATATGTGTATACATAATGTATACAGATAAGTATGTATATGTGTGATACTTATGATCCTTATGTTTGATAAAAAATCCTTCTTGATCCAGAATAGATATTATTATCTCTATCAAATTTTACTTTAAGGATCTAAATACTACTTACAAGTCTTGACAAATAGGTTATAATTTTCAAAATACAAAGTCCATGTTTCAGTGTAGTCTCAGATATTTTTTCATCAATTTTCAAAATACTGATTATATGGAATCTTTAAAATGTGTTGTGAATAGGTTTTTGATTCTGTTTAAAATATCTAGTGATTAAAAATTTTACTGTTATTAAATTTAAGCTAATTTAGCATGACATTGTCATGGATATTATGTAGTTTCTTATGATCATTATAATGGTGCTAATGATATGCATATCATTAGCATCATTATTACAATGTTTGCTCATATTCTTTTTGGGGGATTAGTTGATATTTAAGGTCACACAATTATGAAAAAACTCATTATCCACGATTTGGAGACCAAGGAATGTTGTGTATCAAATTTAGCCTATATAAAACATTAATGGACATTATATTGACCTGGATTCATGTAGACATCTTTCCATATGGCAGTTTTGATCTTGTCAAGATTCAGAGATACCCGGTAGACACAGAAGACCAGATGGGAAGGAGCTACACTGACTTGATATAATTAATCTTCTTGGGATTCAAGCATAAGAATAAAAATTATGGTAAGGATTATATATAATGTGAATGAGTTTAGAGTCCTCATATTAAGTAGGTATGACTCTCTTCTGCTTCTGAGCATGATGGAGTAGTGATAACAGATTTGCATCCCTGTCATAAACAACCAGCATTTAAAAAATATCATAAGAAATAACATCAGATAAAATGCAGCACAAGACTATAATCCCTGAAAGAAGGCAAACAAAGAAGCAAGCCCTACGACTGCCCTGGGTTTCTATCCGAGGCACTTTCTGGACAGCACTGTATTTCTACACTGCAAAGCACAACAATCTCCCTGAGTTGAGGAGTCAGAGCCCAGAGTTTGGCAAGCTGGAAGCCACTAGAGTATGATGGAATAATGGAGAGAATGGAACTTAAGAGAAAGAATCTCCAAAAATCTGCAAAGTGTCATATTGAGTCTTTAGCACACTACTGTTTATGTGTAGGATGAGAGTCCATGAGGCCAGCAAAACCAAAACAAAGCAAAACAAATAACAACAACAAAAAACATCAGTGAAAGAAGAACTACCTGATGGCTAAAAGTGGAACAATTCCCAGAGCTCTCATAGGCTGGGAGATACTCAAGTTTGAACCAACTAGAGTGACATGACTCTAAACAATGGGGCATTTGGTAGATACCAAATAAGGGTCACCACATAATAGTAGGTGTGCTAAACAAAACCCTACATGAAAGCTTATCCTAGACCTTCCCTACCAAAATTTTAAAATTAGGCTGAAAGCCTAAAGCTTCACTGATGGCCAAAAAATAAAATAAAATAAATTATCAACACTTTTTAAAGAAAGAAAAATCCTGGCATTTAACAATATCTAAAAATTGAAATATCTAATCACAAATTACTACACACCCATAGTATAGTAGAAGAAGCAGGAAAATGTGACCCATGACCAGAAGGAAAGGTTTTTATGACTATGTTAAATGACTTAAAGGAAACTATGAGCATAATAGACAAAAAATAAGTCATAAATAGACAACCAAATGGAACTTCTAGAGATGAAAATCTAAAAACTAAAATAACAGATTCACAGAATGGGCTTAATAGGAGATTAGACCCTGCAGAGAAGTAATCGATAAGCTTGAAGACATAGTAATAGAATAGAAATTATCCAATTTTAAGAACAAAAAGCTTGAAGATAATAAACAGAGACTCAGTGACTTGTGGGACAACAGCAGGCAGTCGAATCTGCATGTAGCTGGACTCCGGAAGGAGAGGGTAGAGTAGAAGACAGAAAAAGTATTTAAAGAAATAATGGCCAAAATTTGTTCACGTTTTATGAGACTATAAGCCCACAAAGCAGGGAAGTTCAATGAATAATGTGTAGGATAAAAATAAAACTATATCAAGGTACATTACAATCAAGTTTTTGAAAATTAATGATAAGAAGAAAAAATCTTAACCAATGCCTGAGAAAAAGGCATATTCAATACAGGGAGTCTATTGTAAAACATGGTGACTATATTTAGTAACAATGTATTGCATTCTTGAAAATTGCTGAAAGAATAAATGTTAAGTGTTCTCATCACACAAAAAAAATGTAAACTAATGCTTATGTTAATTAGTTTTATTCAGCCATTCCCCAGTGTACACATATTTCAAAACATCATGTTGCACATGATAAATACATCCAATTTTTATTTGTCATTTAAAATAAACAAATACAAGGAAACAAAAGTAAGAACTACTACTAACTTTTCATCAGAAATAATTCTAACCAGAAGACAATGGAAAAACCTCATTTAAGTGCTGAAAGAAAAATAAGTACAATTAACTTAGAATTCCATATCCTATGAAAATATTCTTTACAAAATGAAAGTACTATAGGTTTTAGACAAAATCTGAGAGAATTTGTGCTAACAGACCTATACTTCAAGAAATGTTAAAGGAGCCCAGACATGGTAATATATGGAAAAATTTAAAAGAATTTGATTTCTTGGTTTTAAACATTTTTTAAAAAGATAGTTGACTGCATAAAGTAAAAATAGCAACCATATATTAGGAAGCTTATAGCATATATAGAAATAAAATTTATGGCAACAAGAGCACAAAGGATGATAGAAGAGAAATGGAAAGTTTTATATTATACATGATGCAATATTTCAATGTAGGCAATGATCAGTTGAAGATGCATGTGGTAATCCTAGAACAATCATTAAAATATAAAGCAAATAAATGTAACTTAAAAAGCTAATGGGCTGATGGAGGAGATTAATTGGAATTCTAAGAAGGAACAACCACCTAAAAAAGGCAGTAAAAGAGGTAAAAGAGAGACAATAGTTGAGACAGGTAGAAAACAATGAGTGAGATGATAGGCTATGTAACACTGAAACATTAAACGTAAATAATCATATGTATTAGTCTGTTTTCGTGCTGCTGATAAAGACACACTCAAGACTGGGAAGAAAAAGAGGTTTAATTGGACTTACAGTTCCACATGGCCAGGGAGGCCTCAGAATCATGGTGGGAGGCGAAAGGCACTTCTTACATGTTGTTGGCAAGAGAAAATGAGGAAGATGCAAAAGGGAAAACCCTGATATAACCATCAGATCTTGTGAGACTTATTCACTGCCATGAGAACAGTATGGGGGAACCACCCCCATGACTCAAATTATCCCCCACCAGGTCCCTCCCACAACACATGGGAATTATGGGAGTACAATTCAAGATGAGATTTGAGTGAGAACACATCCAAGCCATAATTTTCTACCCCTTGTCCCTCCAAATCTCATGTCCTCACATTTCAAAACCAATCATACTTTCCCAACAGTCCCCCAAAGTCTTAACTCATTTCAGCATTAACCCAAAATTCCACAGTCCAAAGTCTCATCTGAGACAAGGAAAGACCCTTCCGCCTATGAGACTGTGAAATTAAAAGCAAGCTGGTTACTTCCTAGATACAATGGGGATACAGGTATTGGTAAATACAGCCTTTCCAAATGAGAGAAATTGGCCAAAACAAAGGAGTATAGGGCCCATACAAGTCCAAAATTTCCTGTGGGGCAGTCAAATTTTAAAGCTTCAAAATGATCTCCTTTGACTCCATGTCTCACATCCAGGTTATGCTGATGGAAGAGGTGGGTTCCCATGGTCTTGGGCAGCTCTGCCCCTGTGGCTTTCCAGGGTACAGCTTCGCTCCCAGCTGCCTTGAGTGCTTTGGGCTGGCATTGAGTGTTTGCAGCTTTTCCAGGTGAATGGTGCAAGCTGTAGGTGGATCTACCATTCTGCAGTCTGGAGGATGGTGGCCGTCTTCTCACAGCTCCACTAGGTGGTGCCCCAGCAGGGGGCAGAGCCCCAGTGGGAGCTCTGACCCCACATTTCCCTTCTGCACTGCCCTAGCAGAGTTTCTCCATGAGTGCCCTGCCCCTGCAGCAAACTTCTGCCTGGGCATCTAAGCATGTCCATACTTCTTCTGAAGTCTAGGCAGAGGTTCCCAAACCCCAGTTCTTGACTTCTGTGAACTCGCAGGCTCACCACCACATGGAAGCTGCCAACGCTTGAGGCTTGCACCCTCTGAAGCCACGGCCCAAGCTCTAGGTTGGTCTCTTTCAACCACGGCTGAAGCAGCTGGGACACATGGCACCAAGTCCCTAGGCTGCACACAGCACAGGGACCCTGGGCCCTGCCCATGAAACCATTTTCTCCTAGGCCTGTGGGCCAGCGATGGGAGGCGCTGCCATGAAGACCTCTAACATGCCCTGGAGACATTTTCCCAATGTCTTGGGGATTAACATTCAGCTCCTCGTTGCTTATGCAAATATCTGCAACCAGCTTGAATTTTTCCTCAGAAAATGGATTTTTCTTTTCTATCACATTGTCAGGCTGCACATTTTCTGAACTTTTATGCTCTGCTTTCCTTATAAAACCGAATACCTTTAACAGCACCCAAGCCACCTCTTTAATGTTTTTCTCCTTAGAAATTTCTTCTGCCAGATATCCTAAATCATCTCTCTCAAGTTCAGAGTTCCACAAATCTCTAGGGCAGGGGCAAAATGCTGCCAGTCTCTGCTAAAACATAACAAGAGTCACCTTTTCTCCAGTTCCCAACAAGTTCCTCATCTCCATCTGAGGTCACCTCAGCCTGGACCTTATTGTCCATATCACTATCAGGGTTTTGGTCAAAGCCATTCAATGAGTCTCTAGTAAGTTCCAAATTTTCCCACATTTTCCTGTCTTCTCCTGAGCCCCCCAAACTGTTCCAAACTCTGCCTGTTACCCAGTTCCAAAGTCGCTTCCACATTTTCAGGTATCTTTTCAGCAATGCCCCTCTCTACTGGTACCAATTTACTATATTTATCTGTTTTCACGCTGCTGAAAAAGACATACCTGAGACTAGGAAGAAAAGGTGGTTTAATTGGGCTTACAATTCCACCTGGCTGGGGAAGCCTCAGAATCATAGCAGGAGGCAAAAGCACTTCTTACATGGTGGTGGCAAGAGAAAATGAGGAAGGTGCAAAAGCGGAAACCCCTGACAAAACCATCAGATCTACTGAGACTTATTCACTACCATGAGAACAGCATGAGGGAAACCACCCCCATGATTCAAATTATCTCCCACCTGGTGTCTCCCGTAACACATGGGAATTATAGGAGTACAACTCAAGATGAGATTTGGGTGGGGACATAGCCAAACTATACCATCATACAATTGAGAAATTTGCCATGGGACTGTATTCTGATGACTCAACATAATCATTGATACCAACCATTATTTTATTTTGTGACATTTCCCCAAAAATATATTTCATTTAATAAATTGATAACATTCCATCAGGATATGAGAATTTGGAAATGACATTTTAATTTTCTTTGAGATTAATTTCATAAAATATGACTAAATAGAAAAACTTATCACACAACGTTTTTTGCATACAGATCAAAAGTCACTTAAGAGAGAGAAGAAAAGCCTCAGAAGACAAAGGCTTTGCTTAAAAAAAAAAAAAGAATTAGAGAAAAACTTTAAATGTGTAAAGTGTTGATCATGGAATGTGTAGACATGTATTTTGGTTGCAACACTGGCTCCAAGTAATTATAAGGCCTTATCCATGTCATTTAACCTCTCCCATGCTTGGTTTCCTCTTCTGTAAAATGAGAGGTGGTCTGCGTCATCAAGGCTCTTTGGAACCAAAGATCAAATTAAGGCACAATTGATATAGTAATAAGGCCAATATTGTAAAAATGTACTCCTGCTTTTATTATCCTTGTTGGTGTTGGAAATTAGAAAAAGAAAGTCTCAGAGTGCAAGATAGATAGATTTGTTCTTTTATTCATTTTCATGTATTTTTTTAAAAATAATTTCAACTTTTAGATCGAAGGGGTACATGTCCCGCTTTGTTACATGGGTATATTTTATGATACTGAGGTTTGGGGTATGACTGATCCCATCATCCAGGTAGTGAGCATAATACCCAACAGTTTTTCAACCCCCTAGCCCCACCCACCCTGCCAACTTTCCACTTTAGTAGTCCCCAGTCTACTGTTGCCATGAGATAGAGTTATTTAAACCTGTTGTTATTATGTCCTTTAGAACCTTGACTTTTGATCCACAAGCCTCAGGCTTCTGAACTGAAAAATCTTTTCCCCCTAAACTATTCTCCATCTGGACTTTGAATATCTAGTTACCTCTCCATTTGCCTCATGCTGTCGGCATCCATGTTGCCTTCCTTCCCAGACCCTGCTTGTGAATCCGTTCTACAATCTGTCTTCCACTAGGCTACATGCCCTATTTTAGAAAACCAGGTATAGTGTTCATTCTGTAGCTGCAGAAGTGAAGATGACACCTTGATTCTGGTGCCTTGACTGTCAGTCACCTCTACTCTCTAATCATTGCTCTTGGGCTTTTCATCCCCTAAGACATTGTTTAAAAGACAAATATAATAAGACATTGATAGTCTACACTAAGGATATCAAGTACGTGGTCTATTTTTAATGTGCATTTAGAACATGACTTCCAGGAGGCCTAAATATAAGTTTACTTGAGAAGGGAAAAAAGGGTTTCAGAAACAAACAAGTTAGAGAAACACTGGATTAATGAAGGCTAAATATATTTCTTTACTGCAAGATTTTTTTAAAACCTTCATTATGGCAATGAGAATTATAAAGTGGCAATAAAATTCAATCTCCACAATTTTATAATTTGTTACTATCGCTTAAATTTGATTAGGCTATAGCTTAAAACAAAGCAGCATAATGAACTTAAGAAATTATAATTTAACCCTCTGCCTACTGCCGTAAATAGAAATGAAAAGTATTTATCATGAAATTGATTATGGAAGTTATTACTAGGGCTTGCTTTTAGCAGGACAATGCACAGCAATGACCTTCCAAAAATATTGTCTCTTTTCACTGAAACCCATAAGAAATTGGCATCTTTTACTTTATGCTTTCAATCTATTTGTGCTGTTACCACCTATTGGGCTGTATATTTTCTGAGGGCCGGAGCACTGTCTCATTCATTATTATATCCAAGAAGCCAAGTGCATTGACATTGTTTAGCACAACCGACCATCCTTTTATTTACCCCTACCCCGCGCAATTAGACTTCAATTCTTTTGAAGACCATCATTGATCTACGTAAAATAGCACAGGTACAGCCTGTAAAGGAGATCTAAAAGTAGCACTTTAAAGCCAACAGAGACAAGAATTTTGCCAAGTTATCTTGACTAAAAGGGAGGTAGATTTAGGATTCATTTTCAAATGAAGTTTTTATATTCTCTTTGTCAGATACAGTTAGCTTTAGATAGCTTAGATTTCAGTCTTTCTGGAAGTAAGGATTTTAAATAAGTGAAGTAGTTCTTGATTTGTGGACAGAAATTTCATTTTACAGGAGAGTCTTGAACATTTCAGTACAGAACTTTCATCCACCTACAGCAACATAGTTAGGTGAGAAACATTCAGCATATCCACTTATAATAGCAGAATCAACAACTATTTTTTCATTGTTTATTTCTAGACATTTAAATTTTTTGGTTCTTGTGATGTTAACTGGGTATCACAATGATATGGTTTGGCTGTGTCCCCACCCAAATCTCATCTTGAATTGTAGCTCCCATGATCCCTATGTGTTGTGGGAGGAACCCAGTGGGAGGTAATTGAATCATGGGGGCAGGTTTTCTTGTGGTGTTCTCGTGATAGTGAGTAAGTCTCACAAGAACTGATGGTTTTATAAATGGCAGTTCCCCTGCATGCACTGTCTTGCCAGCCGCCATTTAAGAAGTGCCTTTGCACCTCCTTTGCCTTCTGCTATGATTGTGAGGTCTCCCCAGCCATGTGAAACTGTGAGTCCATTAAACCTCTCTTTCTTTATAAATTACTCAGTCGTGGGTATTTCTTCATAGGAGTATGAAAATGGGCTCATACACACAGCATATGTATAATGATGAGAATGATTTTTTCTTATGCTTTAATAATGATGAAAAATGTATATACACATGAAACATGTAACAAAAACTACTTCAACTGTTTAGAACCAAGAAGGACATTTCCTCCTGGTTTAGACTAATTTTTAATGATCTCACAACCCATTCTATTCACTTTTCAATTTCCTTTCATGTTAATGAGGGGAAGCTTTTAAAGGACTAATTCAATGCTGATGAAAGTAAAAGCAGTTAAACTTCATGAATTGAATATGTAAAAACATATTAACCATTATGGACTTGTCTTACCAAAGTGATCAGACAGACTTCCTTAAATGTGATGTAGTGTAGGGGTCAAACCCCCACATTATGTCATATGTACATCCTAGTATAAGCACATGAGGCCAACAACCTTCTTGAAATTATATGCTTAATATTTTCTTAATGCATAGTACATTTAACAAAATATTTAATTATTAAAATAGTTTTCAAAACAAATAAAAGACTAAAATGCCTAGATGCTTACAGTTTCTTTAAACTTTGGAAAAAGTGTAAGTATGCAAAGTGATCAAGTCAAAAGAACAAAGAGTTGTCAGTTTACTAAGTGGTTGCTTTGCTCACAGGATATCGAATGGTGCAGAAGTGTTTGCTAAAAGTTGAAGTATAAGTAAGTCATGCTTTCTGGGTTATGATGAGGACATCAGTAGCACAGATCAACAGCACATTCATGGTATTTTAACACGATATTTCCTTTTCCTGCTTTGATGTCAAAGCAATGCACTGCTGTCGCTTAGCAGGGATAAGATGGAAATAGTTGGTAGATTAGAGTCTACTTAGAAGCCCAAGGGGCTTCATTTCTATAACTAGAATTGGTGACATCTTGAATAAAATCGGGTACTCAACTTAGTAGGCTAAAGTTGTTCTTAAGATATTGCCAACATTCTTGTGCCTCAAGTCTGTCAGCGATTACAATAATAATTATTCTAATTCTCAGCTTGACCAACTACAAGTTAAGGTATTTCAAGTCAAAAATGATGCCTAGCAAGCAGACTTTAAGAATGGCGGCAACTTCAACTAAACAGTTATTTTGTTGTTGTTGTTTTTTGTTTTTGTTTTTGTTTCTTCTTAGCACAGAACCGGCAATTCTTAAGAAAATAACCTTAAAAGAAGTCTTAAAACCTGTATTTCCTTACTTAAGGAAACTAGAAATAAAGAAATCACAATACCAAACAAGTGAAGGAAATGTCAAATATCTTGTGTGCTCTGAAGCTTCTAACTTGAAACGCCTCTTTTAGGTACTATAATTTGAGATACCTACAAACAGAAATTCTTTAGCCTTCTTTAGTAATCTGCTCCAGTGTTCAATCTTTATTTTTCCTATATGTCAAGCTGAACTCTCTATTGCCTCAATGGCCGTTTAGGCTATGTTTCAGTCTAGACAAACATTTCTGTGTTTAGTTCCACATAAAAAATTTTCTGAAATTGCTCTTTGTGTAATAGCTCAAGTGGATTCATGCAAAGTCACCCTGAAAAGGACCAGGAGAAGGAAATCAGCACCCAGCTGAAGTGCTGTATTGTAAGCCTGTCCTACAGAAGCCAAATTAATTGTAGAAGCAGAAAATGTACGCAGAGTAATCAAAATACAACATCAAATATATTAAAATTACATAAAAAGAAACTGAAGGCTGGAATTCCCCCAAGAGGGCACAACTACATATTTGTCCTCAAGACATTGCTGAGACAAAAGAGACCCAAATACTTCTTACAAAACATTTTGTGGAGATTCTGCTTGCTATGCATATTCTATATATTTTCAGAAATTGTGTGTATAAATAGCATGTCAAAAAAGGGCACTATTTAGGGAAAATAATAGGCATTCATTAAAATATGGACAATAGAAAATGAAGTTTCTTCATGTTTCTAAAATTAGAGGAAGACGATTCAATAATAAATAGCTCTGCCATTATTAGTTTGCAGTCCCTTTTGTTAATTGCACCTTTTGTTACCTTTACAGTCTGTCTAAACAGTGTGCTTGAAGGCTCAATATTGTTTTCTAGCTAGTCCTTTTAAAAACTGTTCTGAAGCATATCAGGCAAACAGAAAGTAGGAGAAGGGAGTATGTAGTCTTTTGTAGAAAAGAGCTTAATAAATAGAATATGAGAATAATTATTGATACCTGTCCTACATTTATCTTAGATAACTTGGTTCTATTGAGAGGCCTCTGAAAATCTCTAGTTTCTGATCATTAAGCAGTTTGTAAAGTCTTGTGTGAGGCACAAATTTTGACAAGTATAAAACTGATTTGCTCTGGTTCACAACATGTAAAAACCCATTATCATGGGTCATTTCAGCTCATCCCATGACATGGTATTGAGAAACAACCTCTGGCCCATTTCTTACTATATTCATAAAGCTTAAAATATAATGAGATGCTAGACTTTATCAAAATGATTAGTTTATTAATTTTAGAGTAAGAGGAAAATAACTAAAAAGTAACAAATATAAAAATGAAATGTATGTTTTCATAAATAACCAACCTATTACAGTATCGCAATAAAAGGCATCCCCTGCAAAGGTGGCTATACCTGCACTTAGTAAGACTGTCACTTACTGTGTGATCTTCAGTAAGTTAATACTCTTCCTGATCTAAACAGTGAAGGTAACTAATAACTGGTTTTCCCATGAAGTTATGAGAGAATCAAAATCAGAGTCCAAAATACAACTAGAAATAGTTGGCTAAACTATTTTAGAGACCATATGAACATTAGGTATTTAATGTGACCTTAGTTAGATCACGTAATCTTTCTGGATCTGTTTTCTCATTTGTAAAATGAACCTCATATAGTTCATTTATAAAATGGACCTCATCTAATTCATTTATAAAGTGAACCTCATCTACCTCATCTGACAACTTTTAGTATTAAAAGATGAAATCATTTAAATTGAAGTCTATGAAAATACTTACTTTTTCAAAGAAATTTCTAAAGTAAATATAATTTTTGGTTAAGAGCATTTTCAAATCAGTTAAAAATTCATGGTCCAAATGGCTGAAACTAAACAACCGCAACTTTATAGCAGAGGAGAAGAGGAGAGGAAAAAAGATCCATGCATATAGAGAAAAGCTGAAAAGAATTGGAAAGAGGGAGAGAAACTATAGCAATTACTGTCAACTGTAAAATGAGGGGGGGTCCCAAGGGGGAAAATACAGGAAATAACACCCCTGTTGACTTCTGCCAACAAGACCCCCTTCCATTGTGTAAAACAAAGGTGAGTGAAGTGTGGCTGGTAATATTTAAGATATTATGAATTCATTTTGTAGACAAAATTTAGACTGGGATGAGGACTCATCTGTCATCTTCGCATCTTCTGTCAAGCGCATGTTGCCCTTGGCAATGGGTCTGCTGTTACTAATTTTGTTTTTGTTTAGAAGCTTGCTTTTCCTCTTTGGTTCTCTGAGTTGCTGTGAATAAAAAAAAAATTTAATCACAAAGGAAAAATGTCTTTGATTGATTTCTGATGGTGGCTCTGACACCGTTGTACTTAATGTCGGTGCCAACCTGATTGTTTGATGTTTATTACATAGGTGAGTGGGAGGAGCTCCCCCTCCTTTTTTTGTTGCTGCTATTGTTATAAGACTGGATCTGGTTTTTAATCAGAGCTGGAGGGAAAAAGCAGTAGTTATTAGCCTGTGACAATTGGGAAGACCCAGTTTTGTTTTTAGGCTTTCAATATGGTAATATGTTCTAACAATTGTCAGGTGAGGTCAATCTCCTAATCAAATTTCAAATTTTCTTTAGCCTTGAAAAATTTTTAGATGCTCCTTTTGAGATATGGGATGCAATCTTTTGAAGAGTAACATTAGAATACTCCAATCCTGCCTGGAATTCTCCTAGCTAATTACCAAATGTTCTGAGCAAGAATCATGTTGTTAAATGTTGGACACCGAGCTACCCTTTAATTATGTAATCTTACAAATGACCTTTTAAAACAATCTTTTAGTTTACATTTCACATTTTTTTGCTGTTGAGTTTGGATTCTGTGTACAGCAAAATGTCTATCTCGTTCTCCTATCACTATTTTGATGTAAAGACAGAGGAAGATCTATTTTAAATTATTCATAAGCTTTAGATAGAAACCTAAGCAAATTAAAATGTAGGCCAATATAGAGGAGAATGATAATGGGCATATAAGTATTTGTAGCTACTGTAGCTTCCATTGGGACAATCATAAAATTAATTTCATACCTTGCACAGTAATTTCAATGGGAACAATTTCTCAGTTCGTGGTCAAACTTGTTTCCAACATTGATGGAGATGAGCACTAGAGAAAGTATTGAATTTTCTTTCTAATTAGCTTTTTCTTATGAAATAGCTTCTTAATAATTTCCCTTCATGTCCAGTACATAAAGGTATCTATTCCTTTTAAACTGTATGTGAATTTAATTTATATGCCAATGATGTTTAATGCATTGTCTTGTCTGCATCTCATTACTGTCATTAATAAGCGCTGGAGTACATCTAGTTACAAGGTTAATTGGGACAAATCCGGACTCTTTTTTACTGTAAATATGCTATATCTTAGCAGTGTATTACTCACGGATGGGTGGTAAAAATTATGGTATTTTACACTGCATTGCTCCTTCTGTTGTCAACCAAATCAATCTAAATACAATCTGGAGTGATTTTCTGCATACATTGTCTAAACTTTGGACAGAAATTTTGCTGTTGTTTTTTTAACCAGCCACATAATTTCATGGCTGATTTAAATATAATTGCAACTCATCTCTGTGGGATGTAGTCTCTCCTCTTCACCCCACCCTCATCTTAAACTGTTTAAAGGGATCTATATCACCAGCATGAACCCCTTTAAATTTAGTGAAATTTATAAGAATTTTCCATAAAAAAGAATAAGTATTTTAGTTGTAATGTTAGATATTACCCATGTACATTTCCACTGATTGTAGAAGCTAACAGGAGCTAATAGATTTTTTTCACTGTCCCTGGAGTAAGCCATTGCTCAGGGTCTCTGCATTTGAGAATGATACTCTATACCCAGGGCAGGAATAGAGAAAAACATCTGGCATAGACTCTACCCTCTTCCCCTCCAACTTCCATGACAGACATCACTAATCAGCTAAGACCGCTTTTCTGTTGAGCCCGGACCTCAGAATCATCTTCTACGCAATGTTCCAGGTGGAACATTGTGTAGAAGCCAACTGGAACAAAGCCTTCAGATAGCTTGGCACAGGAGTAAAACCCAACACGCTTTCCTGAATAGAGAAATTTTACCCCTCAGAGTATTTTACCCCTTTACCAATGTCAATCATCATTAGGTTTGGTCAGCCTACTGCCTAGAACCGTCATCAGTCAGGTAAAATTGACTTAGGTGTCATTTTAAATTGATATCATTCATTAACTTAAAGAGCCATAGACAGAACAAGATGTTAAACCATCCTTGTATGGAAGTGTTCCTTAAATTATCTTTCCCTAGGACAATGATCATGTGAGGCTATCTTATCCAACTTTCTCTGTACAATGGTACTTGGAATTTTTCTTTAATTTAGAGCTTTGATTTAGATTCTTCAGGACTTTTTGGTTCCAAGTGACAGATTTGAATTGGCTCAATTAAAAATGGAAATGTATTTCACCAGGCACTTAAAAAATCCAAGAATGATCAGAACTTCAGACATAGGTGGATCCAGGAGCTCAGCTACGAGTATCATCTTTCCTCCTCTCTGTGTCTTTCTCTACTACTTTCTCTGAGTTAGCTTCCTTTTAAAGAAGCTTATTTTTTTTTGTGGTCCCAAAGACCCAGTAACTCAAGGTCTTCATGATTATAGACACTTTGATCATGGAAAGAGAGAGATTCTGTCTCTCTCCTACAAAAGGATTCTGATTGGCTCTTCTTGATCACAGACCCACTCCCAGGTTACAGGTCACCTGGGTTAAAGCCAGGCTGGGTCTTATGCCCCTTCTTTATATTGCAAGTCCTGAAAGGCATGTGGTGAACAGCTCCCTCATCCTGATGGGGTAGGGTCAAAACTCAGAAGAAATAGACGCTTTGCTAGCCACAAGAAGAGGGAAGAGACACTGTGGGAGCTTTGCCTCATTTTGTGAATCCAGGTTAGGTCATCCCTGAAGTTTCTGTCCCAGGACCTCAGCACCAGAGTGGCCACATTATTGGATCAATAATCTGACCACTAATCTCAAGTATTTCTGTCTTTGATCATGCTGACTAGTGTTGACTTCTGAAGGAGCCTCTACTTTTCCCTTTCAGAAGGAGCAGGGAACAAATTTCAGAGGAGCAGTGTACAATGAAGATAGTTTCCTCCCATAAGTAACGTAATGTCTGTTCAAGCCCAATCCACCTAATATTGAAAAACTTAATCTAGAAAACTCCAGGTAAACAAAGTCACCTTTGTGTATTCACCACTTCAGGTTACTCTCTGTTCATTTTAAATTTCTCCTCTTCTTCCTCCTTTTTCCTAGGGTGGTCAGGTACTTATGTATTATCTCGGAATGGGGTGGATGTCAGGGCATCTGTCTTCTGGCTCAGCTTGCTTACTCTTGCCTTTGCTGAAATCCAGCCCATCCTGAGTTTCCAGTATAAATACCCTGCCATCCTGGCATTGGCTGCGGCATCTGCACATCCCAATGGCATTGATGGACAGTCTGCCACTTTATCTTCTCCCATTAGACACTACAATTCCAACAGTCATCTCTCAGCCAATGTCTCTGTCACCCTCAGGAGATGGGGAAATTCAGCTCCTCTTCCAGCCACCTGCCCACTCCTCCTTTTAGGGTTTTAACCTAGAAAAAGGGCAGAGTACAAGCCCATTCTCTGAAACCCAGCAGTGTATAATTCTCTTCCTTTCTTTTCAATTGTTCCTCTCTGTTCCAGACAAGCCTTATCTGGGAAAGAGGTAGTGAGCTATCATTCTTCTCTTAATTGCAAGTCAAAAATATTATCTTTTTTGAATATCAGAAGGCTCTAATGGAACTCAAAATCCAAGGGTTTGATGTTTGCTTTCTTTCCTTTCCTTTCCTTTCCTTTCCTTTCCTTTCCTTTCCTTTCCTTTCCTTCCTTCCTTCTCTCTCTCTCTCTCTCTCTCTTTCTTTCTTTCTTTCCTTCTTTCTTTCTTTCTTCTTTCTTTCACAGGGATCTCACTCTTTCACCCAGGCTGGAGTGCAGTGGCATGATCTCTGCTCACTGCAATCTCTGCCTCCTAGTGTTAAACGACCTTCCCGCCTCAGCCTCCTGAGTAACTGGGACTACAGGTGTTTGCCACCACGCATGGCTAATTATTGCGTTTTTTTTTCTTTTGAAGAGATAGGGTTTTGCCATGTGGCCCAGGCTGGTCTCGAACTCCTGGGCTCAGGCGATCCACCCGCCTCAGCCTGCCAAAGTGCTGAGATTACAGACATGAGCCACTGCGCCTGGCCAGATTTGATGTTTTCTTTGGACTATTTAATTTCTCCATTAAGTCAATGATGTTATGCATGGGGGGAAGAGGTCTCACTTAAGACCTCCAAATTTTATCCTCCTGCATAGTTATTGTTCCCAAATGGTTCCCTTTATGTTTGATCAGTCTTTGAGGTAAGTTCTGTGATTAGATATTTCTATATCTGCTAATACAACACTGATTGGAATGAGGGCTTGAGAAAGTCAATTCCAGGGCATAGGTTATCTAAGAAATAAAAACAGACTCCCAAACATGTGGAAACCCCACTACAATTATGCTATCTGAAAATGGTTTGTTTGTTTTTGAGACTGAGTCCCGCTCTGTCACCCAGGCTGAAGTGTAGTGGTGCAATTTCGGCTCACTGCAAGCTCCGCCTCCCGGGTTCACGCCATTCTCCTGCCTCAGCCTCCCGAGTAGCTGAGACTACGGGTGCCTGCCACCACACCCGGCTAATTTTTTATATTTTCAGTAGAGATGGGGTTTCACCGTGTTAGCCAGGATGGTCTCGATCTCCTGACCTCGTGATCTTCCTGCCTTGGCCTCCCAAAGTGCTGGGATTACAGGCATGAGCCACCACGCCCAGCAAAATAGTTTTATACATAGAGTTTTTTGTCTTGGTTAATTGACATATTCTTCATTGAAGAAAAGGATTAACAATTTCCCAAAAACTCTTTGAGAGATAAGCAGGTAAGGCTGAAGAGAGGCATGGACTGTGTGAAGAGCCTTCCTGGTGAAAGGTCCCTGAATTTTCTGGCTCAGTGTCCATGTCCTTGGATAGTAGAGGTGAATTTACTTATAATAAACTGGTAATAGAACTATTAGCTGTCTCACAGGTCCTCTTAGGTACCTGGTGGGTTTTCTTGTATTTATAATTTCATGGCTCTTTCCACTGAGTGTCATGGAACTCATTAAGCCCAAACCAGGAAAATCATACATGTAGTTGCTTCCAAACTCACCACAAAGTCAAAGGAGCTCACATTTTCAAGAGAAAGAAAAATTTGTTTTCAGAAATGTGCTGGTAGCTCATGGTACCATAATATGATTCTGCTCTGAATAAAATGGGGAAAGTGACTGTCTCATAGTGTCTATTTTCCAAGAATTAATGTACGAGAACCACTATCATCATAAAATACCATTAATAGTAAATACTGTACAGTTGAGTATAATATGCACTTATTTCAATTTACATGCAATCTTAATGATTAGAAAAAACAGACTTTTCCTAAAGGGTATTTGAACATCTCTGACCTAGTAATATTGTAGTTAACTTGCTTGGGCTTTTTATTTTGATGGGATTATTATTCCTGCTTGCATTTAGGATACAGTTTGAATGCTCTAGATTCAGAGATAAAATCCAGGAGGAGATTGTGGGAAGTTGGACAGAGATTGTTGGTTTATTTTCCTCATTGAGCAAAGATGCTAACATTTCTCCCAATGTATTTGAGCTGAAAGTATACAAGATTAAGTGTAGGTGTATGCCAGTGATGGAGAACCTAGAACAAGGATCATAAATTCGAAAGTGTAGAGTGGCTCTACAGATAACCTAAAAGCATGAACAGAGCCAGATGTAAGATAACA
The DNA here is from genome assembly GCF_000001405.40 of Homo sapiens. Classification (NCBI taxonomy): domain Eukaryota; kingdom Metazoa; phylum Chordata; class Mammalia; order Primates; family Hominidae; genus Homo; species Homo sapiens. Next base: position 70,420,931 of record NC_000003.12, read on the forward strand.
GTTTTGCTTTATTTTTTTTTTATTCTGTGCATGCCAATTTATTGCTGTCTAAATTATGAAAAGTGTTAAAATATTTAGAGAAATAATAACTACAACTTTCATTTATGTCTAAAGGCCCCAGGATTATATACATATAATTCCATCTCATTTAATTTTTTCAGTCTTTCCTCCCCTAAACAAGAAAAGATCTTCCAAAGAAATGGGCAAAGTTACTTGCTCAGTTACAGTTAGTAAAGGCATTTCTTAGTATAATATAAGTGTCTTTTTTATGCTAGCTATGCTAGCTGACTCTCGGCATAAGGAAAAACAATAAAAAACAAAAAGCTGCATATGCTGAAATTTAAAAAATTGTATTCATCTGACAAACAGCTTTAGATCTGGAAATACATTTCATGAGTAACTTATAGATAGGCTATAATTATTTGATAATTAATGCTCTCAAATTAATCCCTTTCCTAAAGAACCTCTAGTGGTTCTTATGCTCCAATTGATATAGAAAAGCTAGATCTTAGGAGGATTTCTTTCTAAATTCAGAGAATGTTCATCCATGCAGGCTTCCAAGAGCCTACAAATAAAATCTAATCAGGTCTGAAAGCAATCAGGTCCAGCCAATCAGAAATCGAGCTGTGGGGCAGAAAATCAGAATTTAAATAAAAGTTGCAATTAGAACCCACAGAACTGGCATGACACTCGTTTAAGTTCTTAGTGCTCAGAGACAGTATGAAAATTATCTCCACAGTAGGAATAAGAAGCGCTGGTGAAGATTTTTGCCTCCTGATAGAATATTGAAAATTATCTTCATCAGTGGGTTAATTGGCTTAATTTTCCTTCAGATGGTAACTTTCAAATGCTTGGTCTTAATTAGCATGGGTAAATGAGAAATGTAGGTGATTCACACTTTTCAGTTTTCTTGTGCCCTAGAGATTTCCATTCCTTTCCCTTAAGATATTTGAAATGGCTGAGGGCTACGTTGATTAAAATAAATTAGGCTGGTATTTTATACCAGTGAAAATGTAGATGGAATTGACTAATGTCTGGTCCATTAAAAAATGCAACCCACAAGTAACATGAAGGTGAGAGATAGTGTGAACTACTTACGAGGAACCTTGTATTTACTGTGCTAAAAATTTTAAGACCATAATTTTTCAATATTTTGTTAGATGAGGTATGATGTTCAACTAAGAATGGTAAAAAAAAAATCAGAGGCACTTTACATATTTAATAAGAGGTGTATATGGGAAAATGAATATTAAAAGAGAGGACAGAGGCATAAAATGAAAAAAATTGTTATTCTTAGGTGATTTTCTTCAAGTCTGTTTTACTCCATAACTCCCCCACCAACTTCACCTTCACCTCTAACAAAGAGTTGAAATCAGCATCAAATATTTTGTTTTTAGAATCTAAGAAGAGTGTTATGTTTATTAACTAACGTACATTAGGTAATTTCTTTGCTTTTACCATATTAATATTTTATTATAAACAACGTATTACTTGTCTCTGATTTAAAAAAATCTTTCAGATAATGAAATTTGAACTAGAATACTACTATAGTACGTTGTGAGTTACTTGGCACTAATTTATTGTGTAATACTGCCTGAATTCAAAAAAATCAAATTGTATCCACATTGTACTGTGCACCTTGTATAGTTTTGTAAACATCTAAAAAAATTAAGACTTTCTCATTTTTTTCTGTTAGATTCACCTATGAAAACCCTAGTAAGGGTCATCATAAAGCCAAGAATTTAAGAAAGTTTAAAACTGAAACAATTTTTGAAATTTAGTTAATACAGTGCAGAATGTAGTGTTTTTCTTCTGGTGGCACCCATATAAATAAAAAAAAGCACCAAAATGATACTCATTTTCTAAAATTACATGTAAAAGCAAGCAACTGCAATGATATCTTTGAAAATAATATGCACCTGGAGTCAAAATATAGTAAAATCATCTAATATGATTATCTCATTGATACTCAGATTTTAACACATCCTTGGGTAAACCATATTATAATAAAAATTTTAATAAAATGTATGTTTTGTATATTTATAATAAAATTCACAGAGTCACTTATAATGAAGTTGTAAAAAACATTAGGGGCAGGGAAAGGATATATCATTACATGAAAAAAACAAGTTACCAAAATTATATACATAATGTTTACTAAAAATTGCTTGTTTAATAAATAGATATGTGTACATGAAAAAGGGGAGAAGCACAGACTGAGAAAGATGAGACAAATAGTAAGAAAGAGCCAGAAAGGGAATAAACTGATACTTACATGTTAACAATGTTACCAGTGGGGCTGGGGATTACAAGTATATTTTGTATTCTTTGTGCTTTTCTGTAATTTACAAATTTTCTAGAACAAATGTGTTTCCTTTTAAATCAGGTAAAATGTTGTAAGAATGGTCCCTTTCTTTGCCTTTTCTTGGAGGAATAGAATCAAGGTGGTTTTATTACCTGTAAGAATTTTGATTCTAGAAATATTGCTGCATTCTTCCAGGTAGGCATGCCAAGCACTTAGGCATGGAGATCACATTTTACCTTCTACCTAATAGCGTCTGCGTTTCCAGATTGCTCCCCAAATAAAAACAAGCATTGAACTTCCAATCAGTGATGATAATTTAATTTCTCTCTCAGCTATAAGTACCAGAAAACAGTCAGGCAATCAGTGAGAAAAAACGTGTTCTCCTGGTTTATTTTTACATTAAGTAATTAACATTTTCCTCTTTAACTAACATGAGGTCTAAAAAGTATAGGCTCAGCTGACCTAATTGTGTAGGACTTCTTGGAACTCTGTATGTTTGGGGGTTAGGAAGAACAGAATGGAGGAGTGAGGTCTTTAAATAAAACCTGGAAATGTTTATAAGTGTTCTTCATAATACAGAAACTCTAAGACTGATTTGTGTCATAAAATAATGTCAACAATTTGGAAATGGGCAAAAGAGATTACTAGGTATCTTCAGTGGAGTGTGGGTCATCGTTTAGCAGATCTTTCTGGTCTGGAATTATCAGATTCTACAGGGATGTGCACCTTTGTTGGTCTATTGTCTAGGTGATTTTATAACTCTATAGTGATAGAAGTTAAGTAGCAATCATTTTTTATCATAATGAAGCAAATTAATTTTGTCCAGTAGAGATACAATTGATTTCCATTGTGTAGAAAAGATTACCTTAAATGATGTCAATATTCAAAACTCTATGTACATGTTTGTGTGGCTTTTTTAAACTGAAAATCTCCTTTGAATAAGTTTTAATATTCCACTGGTTATCTCATTAATTAATTAAATACTTCTTGATTCATATTAATTTCTCACTTACATAAAAGCTATGTGCTTAATTTTTTGAAAAATTATCTTAATAACTGAAATATATTATATTGGGGTTATAACATGCAGATCAGAGCCAAAGTGATCCACAGAACTCTGGTGTTCTATAGAGGTAATTTAGGAATCTTTAAAATATTTAATTTGGATTTCACTTTTAAACACATTTTTACACATTTTTTCAAATGATAATGAAAAACAACAAATGTACTAAAATATGTTAAATACCAAGTTTTTTTTTAATTTCACACTGGATGACACTGACACATTAACTGTGGTTTCCATTGAATGACTTTATAACATGTAAAAATTATGGATTTGAGACCATAAAATAAATCAATTCAAATAAAATACGGCTTTTATTTGCATAATGGAGTGATACATAAAAGGTCATTAAGAATATAAAAAATTCTACTTAAAAAAGGACTGTTCTAGATTAGGTTCACCTTTAATCACTGCAGATTCAATGTAGGTAAAGCAGGCTTTGTCTATTGACATTTTGATCTATAATTCTTTGTTGTAGGGAGCTGTCTTGTGCGTTGTAGGATGTTCAGCAGAATCCCTGGCTTCTACCCACTACATGCCAGTAGCACCCCCTCTCCAGTTGTGACAACTGCAAAATGTCTCCAGACATTGTACCTCGAGGGATAGAATTGCCCCCAGTTGAGAACAATGAAACTAAAAGGATGAAGAAGAAAGAGGAGGAGGAGGAGAAAAAGAAGGAGGGAGAGGAAGGGAAAAGCGGAAGAGAAAGAGAAGGAGAAGGAAGAGGAGGAAGAAGGGAGGAAGAAGAAAAGGGGAAGAAGTGGAAAGAGAAGAAGGAACATTTATAGGAGGCAATTTGACTTAACAGGGCACTATACTATGTGTCAAGCGATCAGTGTTCTGACCACTGTTTCCCAGTTTCTCCAATAAGCAATGATAATGTGTCACATCATTTAATTTCCTTGGTTCTCAGCTTTTTCATTTGTCGAATAAGAATATTAGACTTAATGATCTCAAATCTACTTTTTAGCATTGCTATTCTCTATTAGGTGGAGCACAAAAGAAATTGAACGAAGAAACTCCCTGATCTGCCTTCAAATTTTGCAAATATCCTCTCTTAACCAGCAGACTGACAACCTATTTCAAGTTGTCTATTTTTTTATTATTTATTTATTTATTTATTTATTTATTGAGTCGGAGTCTCACTCTGTCGCCCAGGCTGGAGTGCAGTGGCGTGATCTTGGCTCACTGCAAGATCCGCCTCCCAGGTTCACACCATTCTCCTGCCTCAGCCTCCCTAGTAGCTGGGACTACAGGTGCCCGCCACCACGCCCAGCTATTTTTTTTCTTTTTTTTAGTAGAGACGGGGTTTCACCATGTTAGCCAGGATGGTCTCGATCTACTGACCTCATGATCCGCCCGCCTCCCAAAGTGCTGGGATTACAGGCATGAGCCACCGTGCCCAAGTTGTCTATTTTCTACACAATGGATGGAAATGCCTGGGAATAATAATTTATTAATTATGGTAAAAGACTAAAAATTAGTTCCTTTTCTTTGAGACCCCTGTAAGGACTCAGGAAGAGTATCACTAAAATTTTGTTGCACATTATTTGAAAGGAAACATTTCTAGTAATTCTCTTGGGGCCACATGCAACAGAGATAAACATTTTTGAAGTTATCTTTTTACCATCTGCAGCCAAGGCTCTTAAAACTCAGTGATAGTGTCAGAAACCTATGTCATTCTAAATGTATAGCTCCTGTTGAAAACTTAACAGAAGCAATATTGATTGGAAGGAAAGACCCAGAAAAGGTAGCACATGTGATGTTTTCCTACTTAGTAACTGCTTCCTTAAACCTTCATAAATCACTCAGTAATCCAGTAATATTGAGTTCTTTTATTAAACATAAAATGACATGACAAATAATTAGAAACTTGGCAAGCCTATTGTTCTATGTCATCCAATAGGCTGTTTCTCAGGGCATCCTTTGATCCTGACCATTTGTCTGACAGTGAACAAACCAAATGTGACAGCTTGAATGAAGTTCCTGTCCCCAGATTCCTTAAACTCAACAGAGCATATATTTCATTAGAAACAATAGTATATTGCAAACAACCACTATGACTGAAGCAGAGATTGGAAGAGGAACTATAAACACTAAATCATTTTGAGGAGACAACCTATCCTGATCAAGAGTTTCTCCCATTGAAATGGTACTTCAAAGTATGCAAGGATTCCCGGGTTGAGGATTCTGCAGCACTTAAACTTTTACACTAAACATGAAAAAGTAGGGGATTTGGTTCTGGATTTTCTCCTGCTTCTTCCTCCTCCTCTTCTTCCTTCTCTTCTTCATTCTTCTTCCCCTAAACAAGAGTAGCAAGGTAGCCTGAAAATTCCTCTTCCTGTAATAGCCTTTCCAATATCAGAGTCATTTCCATGCCAGTAGACACAAGTTTTAGCCATTCCCAAACCAACACTGTCACAAGATAGTGGAGTTTTTTGTATGCTCTGAACAACATAGATCCCTTGTCTAGGATTATTGACATCTTTGAAGATTCAACTATAGAAAGGATGAAAGTTAAACTTTGAAAGAGAAAGTTGAACCTGCCTAGCATCTGGATCATACAGAAGCGTGCTCAGTCTGAGTTGAAAAACTGAGCTCATTTCTGGATCACTTTCACATTTAACATTTCTTAAATAAGCTCTACTTAGGTTGTCCAAGGTAATTAGAGAATAAAATGTTACTTTTGTTTAAAAGGCATATACAATAAAGATATTGATAGTTTGTGAATAGTTTAAATTCTTCAGAAAGTCACTCCATCATTCACTCAATCTGCCCTCAGTTTAAGACAAGAATGAATATTGTGACTCATGTAGTTAATTTTAAAATGTGATCAGATTTAAGAGATGGGTTGGGAAAGCCTGCTAACATTCACATTTCTATTAAGGTGACACAGCATACAACATCTGCAACGGTAGACAGGATTTTCTACATTCAGAGTTGATCTTCTAGGCATTCATTGTTGTAGTCATCTGCTCATTCAATTGTTCAATTGTGTTTTGTTAGTAGTTTCTACTAACTGATACTTGTATAGAATTTTAAGGTTTATAAGGTGTATTTCTTCCATGTTATCTCACTTAGGCAAAAGCACTGAACTAAATGTTCTGGTAATACCATGAGGATTACCTAAAAGGTGATCCTCTTAAAAATGTCCAAAAGGGCCGGGCGCGGTGGCTCACGCCTGTAATCCCAGCACTTTGGGAGGCTGAGATGGGCGGATCACGAGGTCAGGAGATCGAGACCATCCTGGCTGACACGGTGAAACCCCGTCTCTACTAAAAATACAAAAATTAGCCGGGCATGGTGGCGCGCGCCTGTAGTCCCAGCTACTTGGGAGGCTGAGGCAGGAGAATGGCATGAACCCGGGAGGCGGAGCTTGCAGTGAGTCGAGATCGCGCCACTGCGCTCCAGCCTGGGCGACAGAGCGAAACTCCGTCTCAAAAAAAAAAAAAAAAAAATGTCCAAAAGATCTCTCTAATTAGTGCAAATTGTAATGGCCTGCCATTGGAAATAGTTGCGGAGTCTCTTGCTTTCAGTGTTAATTAACTTCAAGGAAATCTTTATCAACTGACATGGAATCTTAGATTTTTGGAAGATTGAAGGATATAATATTAATATTTAGAACCAGTTGTATTTCTATATACTAACAATGGACAGTCAGGAAATGAAATTCTAAATAAATAATTTTATGTTAGTTACAATAGTACAAAATATATTAAAATACTGTAGCGTAAAGTTGGCAAAATATGTGAGAAGCCATCACATTGAAAACTATAAAATACTGCGGAAAGAAATTAAAGAAAATTTAAAGGAATGAAGATATATATTTTGGCTCATGAGTCAGAAAACTCAATAATGTTAAGAAATCAATTCTCTCCAAATTGATCTAAAGATTGGATGCAATCCATTTATAATGTTAACAGACTTTTTGTAGAAATTGAAAAATTAATTATAAAATTCACATGGAAATGCAAACGGCCTAGAATAGCCAAAAAAATTTTTTTGAAGAAGAAAGAGTTAGAAGGCTAATACTACCCGATTTCAAGAATCAATAATCAAAATGTTATAGAATTGGCTTCAAGATAGACATGTAAAACAATAGAAAATAATAAAGTCCACAAATACATGCACATTTAGATAAATTACTGATTTCTGATAACGGAGCAAAGACAATGCAGTGGGAAAAGTGCTTTGGCAAATGATACTGAAACAATGGGATATCTATATATAAAAAAGAACTTGGAATCCAATGACTAATGCTAATGCGAGTGTTGTATTCTAAAAATGTGATTTCTTTCTTCTGACTTTGGTATCTTATATAGGACGCTAGCATAGAATTTTGTGAAGGATTTGAAATGTCCAAAATATCTCTCTAATTAGTGCAAATTATAAAGTCCTGGCATTGGAAATAGTTGTGGAGTGTATCTCTAAACAGTGATCTATCTAAAAGTGGGTTTATTTGTGTACTTGATTGTTTTTTATTGATTTATATGTCTATCTTGAAGCCAATTCTGTAACTATTTTGTTATCTTTCTTCCAATGATGATTCATTCACTCAGCAAATACTTACTCAGTAATTATACAATGTCAAAGACTGGAGCTACAGTGATGACTAGGTTAAAAAGATCATTGCCCTTATGGAACTTTAGATAGAATAAGTGATAGAAACATATTAATTAAGTCAATTTTGGCTTTAATTGCCATTGCTTTTGGTGTATTAGTCATGAAGTCTTTGCCCGTGCCTATGGCCTGAATGGTATTGCCTAGGTTTTCTTCTAAGGTTTTTTTTTATGGTTTTAGGTCTTACATTTAAGTCTTTAATCCATCTTGAGTTAATTTTTGTATAAGGTATAAGAAAGGGGTCCAGTTTCAGTTTTCTGCATATGGCTAGCCAGTTTTCCCAACACCATTTATTAAATAGGGAATTCTTTCTCCATTGCTTGTTTGTATCAGGATTCTCAAAGATCAGATGGTTGCAGATGTGTGGTGTTATTTCTGAGGCCTCTATTCTATTCCATTGGTCTATATATCTGTTTTGGTACCAGTACGATGTGGTTTTGGTTACCATAGCTTTGTAGTATATTTTGAAGTCAGGTAGCATGATGCCTCCAGCTTTGTTCTTTTTGCTTAGGATTGTCTTGGCTATACAGGCTCTTTTTTGGTTCCATATGAAATTTAAAGTAGTTTTTTTCTAATTCTATGAAGAAAGTCAGTGGTAGCTTGATGGGGATAGCATTGAATCTATAAATTACTTTGGGCAATATGGCCATTTTCATGATATTGATTCTTCCTATCCATGAGCATTCAATGTTTTACCATTTGTTTGTGTCCTCTCTTATTTCCTTCAGCAGTGGTTTGTAGTTCTCTTTGAAGAGGTCCTTCACATCCCTTGGAAGTTGGATTCCTAGGTATTTTATTCTCTTTGTAGCAATTGTGAATGGGAGTTCACTCATGATTTGGCTCTCTGTCTACTACTGGTGTATAGGAATGCTTGTGATTTTTTTGCACATTGATTTTTGTATCCTGAGACTTTGCTGAAGTTGCTTATAAGCTTAAGGAGATTTTGGGCTGAGACCATGGGGTTTTCTAAATATAAAATCATGTCATCTGCAAACAGAGACAACTTGAATTCCTTTCTTCCTATTTGAATACACTTTATTTGTTTATCTTGCCTGATTGCCCTGGCCAGAACTTCCAATACTATGTTGAATAGGAGTGGTGAGAGAGGGCATCCTTGTCTTGTGCCAGTTTTGAAGGGGAATGCTTCCAGCTTTTGCCCATTCAGTATGATATTGGATGTGGGTTTATCATAAATATCTCTTGTTATTTTGAGATACGTTCCATCAGTACCTAGTTTATTGAGAGTTTTTAGCATGAAGCGGTGTTGAATTTGATCGAAGGCCTTTTCTGCATCTATTGAGATAATCATGTGGTTTTTGTCACTGGTTCTGTTTATGTGATGGATTACGTTTATTGATTTGCAGATGTTCAACCAGCCTTGCATACCAGGGATGAAGCTGGCTTGATCGTGGTGAATAAGCTTTTTGATGTGCTGCTGGATTCGGTATGCCACTATCATCACAATGATAGTTATGTAATGAAAATTATAATACGTTCAACGGAAAATTACAAGTTGTTATGAGAGCATGTGACTTGAGATCAATCTAGTAGAAGGAGTAACATGGAGCAGTCTAGAAAGGTTTCTTTGAAAAAGAGACATTGAGCTTGAGGCCTGAATGGGAGTAGCCAGGAAAAGAGTATGCAGAAGACCATATCTGGAATCCCTGAGTTGGTGAAGCCAAAGAAGAAGCACAAACCTTAAATTATAGGCATCTAACTTTGAAATTACTCGAAGAAGCAATATTTTACCATTATTTTTACTATTGTTATCAGCACCAATCGAGTCTCTACCCACTGGGCATAAATTGAGACAAGATCAAGATATTTAAAAATATTTTTCAACCCATCAGATTAATCAAGAATTTGGTTGATGTATACTATAGGATATAGTTTAGCATTTGTGCCTCAATTGCAATATAGTTATAATTTATTCTCAGCCTTAGTTTTTATACATTTTCATTCTGAGAAAATTCCACCAGGATTTGGAAGATACCTTATTTAATTCAATACTGGGCTCTCATTCAGTTACTTTTTTTCACCTGAGAAATTAATATATTTCAACTATTCAGTGGTTGGATATGGAGAGATGATCACTGAATTTTCCTTCAAGCTCCTGGTTTCTTAGAGAATTATTTGGACACTCTGTTGAGTTATTATTTGATGGAAGGAGTAGAAATTCACTCAAAAAAGCTTACATGAGACCATAAAAACTTACGAGAGTATATGGAGGCCTCAGAAAAGCTCAAAATGCTTTCAACTTTGAAGAAATATCACTTTTCAGTGAAAATGGAGCCCTCACTAAGTTGTTTATTCTTTTTCTGTTTCAAATTTTACATTTTTAAGATAATAATAGTGGTAAAAATATAGCTTCTCTATAGAAGTTCATCAATTTCTCTAGTTTTGGGTGAAAAAGAAATCTGTGAGATCCTTTGTCAGGTATAACCTGTGTTTATGTCTGACACTTTAGAACACTGCATGGTTCTCTTCTGGGATATTTAGTTTTGTGTATATTAATATAGAATGAAACTCTCTCAGGATAGGAATCTCTAAAAGTAATAGAAATATAATAAAATATTTTAATCTGTCTCTAAAAAAATTAGTTTGGAAACAAAGGATTACCCTCATTGTACAGTAGAGTACATTTGAATTTATGTAAATATATTTTATTGTGCTGGCCTCTGGGCATTTTTATTCAGCTATAATTAACACACAATTCACAGATCTTAAGTCTTCCGTTTAATGATTTTTGACAATTGTATAAGCTCATATAATGATCACTCTAAACAAGATATAGAATATTTCCCAGAAAGTGTCCTCATGACCTTTTCCATCCAATTTCCCTTGTGAAATTATTATCTAATTTCTATCACAATGGATTAGTTATATATATTTGGATTTCATATAAATGGATCACACAGCATGTATTTTTCAGGTTCTGATTTCTTTCGCTTAACAAAATATTTTTGAGACTTTTGCATGACAAGCAGTTCATTCAACTTTTATTGCTGAGAAGTATTACATTTCAAACATATACCACAATGTATTTATTAACAAATTGAGCATATTTTGTTTCTGCTTTTTAACTATTAATAATAATGCTGCTATAAAGATGTACATGTAGGTCTTTGTATGAACATATGTTTTTATTCCAAACCACTGAGTAGGATTGCTTGGTCATCAGCTGAGAATGTTTATAAGAAACAGCCAAACCGAGGAATTTGTATCATTTTACATTTCCACCAGCAATGTATGAGAGTTCCAGTTTCTCTATATTCTCAACAATTTTTTTTTAATATTAGCCTTTCTTATGGATGTGAAGTGTTAACTCATTGTGGATTTTTTTCATGTACCTATTGACTGTTAATATCTCTTCTTTTGTGAGGTATATGTTAGTCCTTTCCTCCATGTTTATTAGGCCATCCATCTTTTATTAATTTTTAGGAGTTCTTTATATATCTAGATGCAATTCATTTGTCAAATATATATATATATATACTATCAAATGTATGTATTGTGTTTTCAATCTGTTGCCTGTTTACTCATTTTCTTAAGCTATCTCTTAATTAATAAACTATATTTTCATAGCAGTTTTAAGCTTAAAGAAAAATTGAGCAGAAAGTACAGAATGTTCCCATATAGATGCCCCCCACCTGCCACATCCTTACACAGTTTCTCCTATTTCTAACACCTTGTGTTAGTATGGTCCATTTGTTAAAACTGATGAGCCAATATTGATGCATTATTGTTAAATAAAGTTCATGGTTTACATTAGGGTTCATTCTTTGCACTGTACATTTGTAAGTTTTGACAAATGTACAATGACATGTGCCCACCATTACAGTATTATATAGAATGGTTTCACTGCCCTAAAAATACCCCGTGCTCCACCTATTCATCCCTCCCTCTTTCACCCAGAATCCCTCATAACCACTTATCTTTTTACTGTCTCTGTAGCTTTTGCCTTTTTCAGTATGTCATAAAGTTGGGATCATACAGTATGTAGTTTTTTCAGATTGACTTTTTTCATTCAGCAATATGCATTTAAGATTCCCCTATGTCTTTTAATGACTTGATAGCTTATTTCCTTTTATTACTGAATAATATACCATTATAGCTATATATTATACTACAGTTTGTCTGTCCATTCATCTATTGAAGGATATCTTAGCTACTTTCAATTATGAATAAAGCTGCTATAAACATCTGTGTGCACATTTCTATGTGGATATAAGTTTTCAACTCCTTTGGGCAAATACCAAGGAGCATATTTGCTGGATTATATAATAAGGGTATGTTTAGTTTGGTAAGAAGTTGCTAAGCTGTCTTCCAAAGTGGCTGTTTCATTTTGCATTCCTACAAGAAATGAGTAAGAGTTCCTGTTGCCTCACATCCTTGCTAGCATTTGATGTTAACAGTGTTTTGGATTTCAGTCATTCTAATAGGTGTGCACTGGTATTTTGTTTTGATTTGCAATTCCCTGATAGTATTCAATGGTGAGTAATATTTCATATGCTTTTTTGCTATCTGTATCTGCATTGTTGGCGGGGTGACTGTTTAGATCTTTTGCCTGTTTTTTAATCAGATTGTTTACTTTCTTGTTGTTGAGTTTTAAAAGTTCTTTTTATATTTTGGATACTTGTCCTTTATCAGATACATATTTGGAAAGATTTTTCCAAGTCTGTGCTTTGTCCTTTCATTCTAATAGCTGTCTTTTGCAGAGAAGTTTTAAAATTTTAATGAAGTATAATGTATCAGTTTTTTCTTTCATGGATTATGCTTTTCATATTGTATCTAAAAAAAATCAACAAACCCAAGGTCACCTAGATTTCCCCCCATGTTATGTAATAGTTTTATAGTTTTGCCTGTAAGTCTTGAGTTAATTTTGAGTTACTTTTTATGAAAGATGTAAGATCTGTGTCTAGATTCTTGGGATTTTTTTGGATGTAGATAGTTGATAGTTCCAGCACCATTTGTTGAAGCTCTGTCCTTTCTTCATTTAATACTTTGTTCCTTTGTCAAAGATCGGTTGACTATATTTATGCAGGTAAGCTACTAAGCTCCCTATTCTGTTCCATTCATCTGTTCATCTATTCTTTCACTAATACCACACTTTCTTGATTGACGTAGCTTTATAAGCAATTCTTGAAGCTGGGTTATAACCGTCCTCTGAATTTGTTGTCCTTCAATATTTGGGTCTATTGGCCTTTCCATGTAAACTTTAGAATCATTTGTTGATAGACACAAAATAATTTGCTTACATTTTGTTTGGGATTACATTGAATCTGTAGATCAGATTGGGAAAGACTGACATTTTGGCAATATTGAGACTTCTTATCCATATATATGGAGTATTTTTTCTTATATTTAGCTCTTTTTTATTTCCTTCATCAAAGTTTTATAGTTTTCCTCATAGAGATCTTAAATATACTTGTTAGATTTATATCTAAGTATTTAATTTTGTGTTAATATAAATGTTATGCTTTAAACTTCAAATTCTATGTGTTCATTATTGGCATATAAGAAAGCAATTGATTTTTGTACATTAATCTTATTCCCTGCAAACTTGCTGTAATCACTTATTAGTTCCAGGAAGTTTTTTGTTGATTGGGATTTTCTATATGTAGACAACTGTGTCATCTGTGAATAAAGACATTTTTTTTTCCTTCCCAAACTATGTATGTTTTATTTCCTTTCCTATCTTATTGGATCAGCCAGGACTTCTAGTACTATGTTAAATAAAATTGGTGAGAATTTCACTCGCGTCCATGTGAAGAGACCACCAAACAAGTTTTGTGTGAGCAATAAAGCTGTTTATTCCACCTGGGTGCAGGTGCGCTGAGTCCAAAAAGAGAGTCAGCAAAGGGAGATAGGGGTGGGGCCGTTTTATAAGATTTGCGTAGGTAAAGGAAAATTACAGTCAAAGGGGGGTTGTTCTCTGGCGGACAGGAGTGGGGGTCACAAGGTGCTCAGTAGGGGAGCTCTTGAGCCAGGATGAGCCAGGAGAAGGAATTTCACAAGACAATGTCATCAGTTAAGGCAGGAACAGGCCATTTTCACTTCTTTTGTGGGGGAATGTCATCAGTTAAGGCAGGAACCGGCCATATGGATGTGTATGTGCAGGTCACAGGGGATATGATGGCTTAGCTTGGGCTCAGTGGCCTGATATTCTTGTCTTCTTATATTAATAAGAAAAATAAAACAAAATAGTGGTAAAGTGTTGGGATGGCGAAAATTTTGGGGGATGGTATGGAGAGATAATGGGCGATGTTTCTCAGGGCTGCTTTGGGCAGGATTAGGGGCGGCGTGGGAACCTAGAGGGGGAGAGATTAAGCTGAAGGAAGATTTTGTGGTAAGGGGTGATTATTGTGGGGTGGTTAGAGAAACATTTGTCATGTAGAATTATTTGTGATGGCCTGGATATGGTTTTGTATGGAATGAAAAACTAAACGGAATAAGAGAAGGAGAAATACAGGTATTAAAGGACTAAGAATTGGGAGGACCCAGGACATCTAATTAGAGAGTGCCTAAGGAGATTCAGCATAGTCCTGCCAGCAAAGATTATTTATTTACTTTAAGAGTTAACAGTGGCAGTTTGGGGATAGCACCAGGAGATATCAGCTGTGATGGCTTGGATAAACAGTGTAAACCGGCAGTGTAAACAAGAGCAGGGCATGTATGAGTAGTTGAGAACGGTGAATAGGAGTATGACTAGACAGAAGATAGTAGGGATGACAAGTTTTTTTGGGCACAGTCCAAGTTGGTCTGGTGTCTGGAATGAGACTGGGGCTTAATAAATAGGAGCATCAATACAGGAGCTCAAATGGGCTGTACCTTGTAGAATTCCAAGGACAGGCCTGAATTCTGAGAAGGGAAACTGGTAAAAGTACTGTCCAGTCCTTTTCAAGTTGGTGGCTGAGCTTGGTGAGGTGTGTTTTTAAAAGACCATTAGTCCGTTCTACTTTTCCTGAAGACTGAGGACTGTAAGGGATAAAAAGGTTTCACTGAATACCAAGAGCCTGAAAAACTGCTTGGCTGATTTGACTAATAAAGGCCGATCTACTATCAGACTGCATAGAGGTGGGAAGGCCAAACCGAGTAATTGTGTCTGACAGAAGGGAAGAAATGACTATGGTGGCCTTCTTAGACCCTGTGGGAAAGGCCTCTACCTATCCAGTGAAAGTGTCTACCTAGACCAAGAGGTATTTTAGTTTCCTGACTCAGGGCATGTTGAGTAAAGCTAATTTGCCAGTCCTGGGTGGGGGCAAATCCCTGAGCTTGATGTGTAGGGAAGGGAAGGGGCCTCAATAACCCTTGAGAAGTAGTAGAATAGCAGATGGAACACTGAGAAGTTATTTCCTTGAGGATAGATTTCCACAACGGAAAGGAAATGAGAGGTTCTAAGAGGCGGGCTAGTGGCTTGTACTATAGCATAGCCTGCCTTTGCTGGTGTGTGGCCATTAAGCCTGGTGGAACTGCCATCAATAAACCAAGCGTGATCAGGGTGAGGAACAGGAAAGAAGGAAATATGGGGAAATGGGGTGAATGTCAGGTGGATCAGAGAGATACAGTCATAGGGGTCAGGTGTGGTATCAGGAATAATGCGGGAGGCCAGATTGAAGTCCGGGCCAGGAACAATGATAATTGTGGGAGACTTAACAAAGAGTGAGTACAGCTGAAGGAGCCGGGGAGCAGAAAGTATATGTGTCAGGTGTGAGGAAGAAAATAGATTTTGGAAATTATGAGAGCTGTAGAGAGTGAGTTGAGCATAGTTTGTGATTTTAAGGGCCTCTAAAAGTATTAGGGCAGCAGCAGCCACTGCACGGAGACCTGAAGGCCATCCTAAAACAGTAAGGTCAAGATGTTTGGACAAAAAGGCTACAGGACGCAATCCCAGTCCTTGTGTAAGAATTCCGACTGCACAGCCCTGCACTTCAGCTGTGTGTAATGAAAAGTGTTGGGATGAGTCAGGGAGAGCTAAGGTGGGGGCAGTCTCTAAAGCTGTCTTCAAGGAATGGAAACAGGAGTGGGGAAAGGATTTAGGATCTATGGGGTCAGCTAGGTTTCCTTTTGTGAGTTTATATAATGGTTTTGTTAGGATGGCAAAACCAGGTATCCAAAGGCAAAAGTATCCAACCATGCTCAGGAAGAAAAGGAGTTGTTGTTTTGTAGAAGGGATTGGGGTTTGGGAGATTAGCCAGACACGATCAGCAGGGAGAGCACGTGTGTTTTTATGAGAATTATGCGGAGATAGGTAACAGATGAGGAAGTAATTTGGGCTTGACTGAAATAATGGGGGCCGTCTGTGAAGCTATGCGGCAGTACAGCCTAGGTAATTAGCTGAGCTTGATGGGTGTCAGGTCAGTCCAGGTGAAAGCAAAGAGAGGCTGGGATGGAGGGTGCAAAGGAATAGTAAAGAAAGCATGTTTGAGATCCAGAACAGAATAATGGATTGTGGAGGGAGGTATTGAGGATAGGAGAGTATATGGGTTTGGCACCATGGGGTGGATAGGCAAAACAATTTGGTTGATTAGGCATAGATCCTGAACTAACTTGTAAGGCTTGTCTGGTTTTAGGACAGATAAAATGGGGGAATTGTAAGGAGAGTTTATAGGCTTTAAAAGGCCATGCTGTAGCAGGTGAGTGATAACAGGCTTTAATCCTTTCAAAGCATGCTGTGGGATGGGATATTGCCATTAAGTTGGGTAAGGGTGATTAGGTTTTAATGAGATGGTAAGGGGTGCATGATCGGTCACCAAGGAGGGAGTAGAGGTATCTTATACTTGTGGGTTAAGGTGGGGGCATACAAGAGGAGGATGCAAAGGAGGCTTTGGATTGGGAAGAAGGGCGGCAATGAGATGTAGCTGTAGTCCAGGAATAGTCAGGGAAGCAGATAATTTAGTTAAAGTGTCTCAGCCTAATAAGGGAACTGGGCAGGTGGGGATAATTAAAAAGGACTGCTAAAAAGAGTATTGTCTAAGTTGACACCAGAGTTGGGGAGTTTTAAGAGGTTTAGAAGCCTGGCTTTCAGTACTCACAACAGTTATGGAGGCAAGGGAAACAGGCCCTTGAAAAGAAGGTAATGTGGAGTGGGTAGCCTCTGTATTGATTAAGAAGGGGACGGACTTACCTTCTACTGTGAGAGTTACCTAAAGCTCAGTGTCTGAGATGGTCTACGGGGCTTCTGAGGCAATCGGGCAGCGTCAGGCTTCAGCCGCTAAGCCAAGAAGATCTGGGAAGGAGTCAGTCAGCCTTGGGCCAGAGTTTCAGGGGCTCTGGGAGTGGCTGCCAGGTGAGTTGAACAGACCAATTTCCAGTGGGGTCCTGCACAGATGGGACACAGCTTAGGAGGAATCCTGGGCTGTGGGCATTCCTTGGTCTAGTGGCCAGATTTCTGGCACTTGTAGCAAGCTCCTGGGGGAGGCAGTTCTGGGGGAACGCCTGGCTGCTGCGGTTCAGGTGTTTGGAAGTTCTTGTGTGCTGGAGATGTGGCTGGGGTTTGTCTCACAGTGGAGGCAAGGAATTGCAACTCAGAAATATGTTGCTACTTGGCTGCCTCTACTTTATTATTGTACACCTTGAAGGTGAGGTTAATTAAGTCCTGTTGTGGGGTTTGAGGGCCAGAATTTAATTTTTGGAGTTTCATTTAATGTCCGGAGCAGATTGGGTAATAAAATGTATATTGAGAATAAGATGACCTTTTGACCTTTTAGGGTCTAGGGCTGTAAAGTGTCTCAGGGTTGCTGTCAAACGAGCCATGAACTGGGCTGGATTTTTATATTTGATGAAACAGAGCCTAAATGCTATCTGATTTGGGATAAAGAAAAAGGAGCATTAACCTTGACTATGCCTTTAGCTCCAGGCACCTTTTTAAGAGTAAATTGCTGGGCATGTGGGGGAGGGCTAGTCACGGAACAAAGCTGTAAGCCGGACAGGGTGTGAGGAGGGTGGGGTGATAAAAGGATTATAGGGTGGAGGAGCAGAGGTTGAAGAAGAATTAGGACCTAGCTCAGCCTGGCGAGGAGGGGAGCGGTCAGATGGGTCTGTAGAAAAGAAAGATTAGAAAGACTCAGGGATGCTTGGGGTTGGGATTGAGGGGACAGGTGGGAGGGAAAGAACGAAGATTTGGGACGAGTTGCATTGGTAACAGAGACTAGGGAGGGACAATGTGTAAAAGAATGCCTGGACGTCAGGCTCCTCAGACCATTTGCCTATTTTATGACAATAATTATTTAGATCTTGTAGGATGGAAAAATTGAAAGTGCCATTTTCCAGCTATTTGGAACTACTGTCGAGTTTGTATTGGGGTCAAGCGGTGTTGCAGAAGAAAATAAGATGCTTAGATTTTAGGTCAGGTGAGATTTGAAGAGGTTTTAAGATCTTAAGAACACCGGCTAAGGGAGAAGAAGGAGGAATGGAAGGTAGAATCTTGCCCATAGTGAAGGAGGCAAGCCCAGAGAAAAGAGAGTAGAGACATGGAGAAGGGAGGTTGGAGCACAGAAATAACGGATCAGGGTGCAGAGATAAGAGGTCAGGGTTCCTGCCCCTCTCCCAGAAAAGTGGGACTTGCCGCTAAGGGTGAAGGAGAAGGGGTTGAAGCATTCTTGCCCCTCCTCCAGAAAAGCAGTACTTGCCGCTACGGGTGAAGGACCAAGGCAGGTGTCCCTGCATGGTCTGACACCTCTGAACCTGTGTGAATAATCAGAGAGGCATTCCTGCAATGATTAAACACCAAGGGAAGGCCACCTTCCCTAGTCCGTGACTGGCGCCGGAGTTTCTGGGTCCACAGATAAAACGTGTCTCGTTTGTCTCTACCAGAAAATAAAAGGAATTGAAATTAAGAGAAGGGAGAGACTGAAGTGTGGCACCAAGATTGAGAGGAGAAAGAGGTTGAGGGATAGTGAGAGAGGTTGGAGAAGGGAGTAAAAAGAGGCCACTTACCGGATTTAAAATTGGTGAGATGTTCCTTGGGCTGGTTGGTCTGAGGACCAGAGGTTGTAGGTGGATCTTTCTCATGGAGCAAAGAGCAGGAGGACAGGGGATTGATCTCCCAAGGGAGGTCCCCCAGTCTGAATCACGGCACCAAATTTTACTCACGTCCATGTGAAGAGACCACCAAACAGGCTTTGTGTTAGCAATAAAGCTGTTTATTTCACCTGGGTGCAGGTGCGCTGAGTCCAAAAATAGAGTCAGCAAAGGGAGATAGGGATGGGGCCATTTTATAAGATTTGGGTAGGTAAAGGAAAATTACAGTCAAAGGGGGGGGGTTGTTCTCTGGCGGGCAGGAGTGGGGGTCACAAGGTGCTCAGTAGGGGAGCTCTTGAGCCAGGATGAGCCAGGAGAAGGAATTTCACAAGACAATGTCATCAGTTAAGGCAGGAACAGGCCATTTTCACTTCTTTTGTGGTGGAATGTCATCAGTTAAGGCAGGAACCGGCCATATGGATGTGTATGTGCAGGTCACAGGGGATATGATGGCTTAGCTTGGGCTCAGAGGCCTGACAGAGAAGGGACATCCTTGCCTTATTCCTGATTTTAGCAGAAAAGCATTTAGTTTCTCACCACTAAGTATGATGTCAGATATAGGACTTTTTACAGATGCTCATCAGTTGAGGAAGCTCCTCTCTACTTCTAGTTTGCTGAGATTATTTTTTTTTTTTACCCTTTTCAGCACCAGAGGCTAGAAAGTCAGGGTTTTGTTTTGTTTTTTTTTTTAAAATATTCTATCCTCTTAGGTTGGTGCAAAAGTAACTGTGGTTTTTGCCATTAAAGATATTAAATTTTTGTCATAAAATTATTTTTAATGGCAAAAACTGTAATTACTTTTGCACCAACCTAACAATAGGTTGCACTTCTTCATATTTATTTGAAGTGGTGTTGAACTTTGTAAAAAGATTTTCTACATGTACTGATACTATATAATTTTTTTTCTTAGCCTATTGATTTGGTGGATTGTACACATCAATTTTCAAATAAGTTATCTTTTGATGAGCAGAAATTTTATTTTTGATGAAGTTTCATTGTTTCTTTTTTCTTTCCTCTTATGGTTTTTGTGTTCCATCTAGCCTTCTTTTTAATGGGATTCTATTTCATCACAAGATGATGAAATACTAAGTAGGTTAGGATTTTTAACAATAGTATCTTGGAGTGATAAAATTATTCAGGGAATAGGGGGAGCAAGGTGGCTGAATAGAAGCCTCTAGTGATCACCTTCCCTCACCCCATAGGAACACAATTTGCACAAATATCCACGTAAGAAAGCACCTTCATAAGAAAAAAATAATGTGAGCAATCACAGTACCTGGTTTTAACATCATAGCAAGGAAGGAGGTACTGAAGAGGGTAGAAAAGACAAGAGAAGACATTCTTGAATTACTGACGCTATTCTTCCCCCAACCCCAGCAGCAGCCACATGATATGGAGAGAGAATCTGTACATGTAGGGGAGAGAGAGCACAGTAATTGTAGGACTTTGCAGTAGAACATGGTGCTCCTTGTCACAACGGAAAGCAACACAGGGCACAATTCAACCAGCGCCCACAGAAGAAGCATTTAGACCAGCCCTAGCCCAAGGGGAATCATCCATCCTAGCAGTCAGAAACTGAGTTCCAGCTAGTCCCGCCATTATAGGCTAAAGTGTCCTGGGTTATAAATAAACATGAAAGACAGTCTAGGTCACAAAGACTGCAATTCCTGGGCAAAGCCTGGTGCTTGGCTTAGCTCAGAGCAAGTGGACTTTGGGTACTCATGACCTAATGAGACACCAGCTGGGACTGCAAAGGGAGTCCTTGCATCACCTCTCCCTCAATCCCAGGCAGCACAGCTCACAGGTCCAGGAGAAACTCCTTCCTTCTGCTTGAGAAGAGGAGGGGAAGAGTAAAGAGGACTTTGTCTTGCAACTTGGAAACCCACTCAGCCAGTAAAATAGGGCACCAGGAAGATTCCTGAGACCCCTATTCCAGGTCCTGGCTTCCAGATGGCATTTCTAGGCACACCATGGACCAGAAGGATACCTGCTGCCTTGAAGGGAAGGACCTAGTCCTGGCAGGATTCGTGACCTGCTGATTAAAGGTCCCTTGGGCCCTAAATAATCAGCAGTGGGTACCAGGGCCTTGGGTGAGACTCAAAGCCATGCTAACTTCAGGTATGACCCAGCACCTTCCCAGCTATGGTGCTATGAGGAGAGACCCATTCTGATTGAGGAAAGGAGAGAGAAGAGTAAAAGGTTCATGGTCTTGCAGCTTCAACACCAGCTCAGCCACAGTGGGGTAGAATACTAAGTGGGCTTCTAGGTTTTCCAATTTCAGACCTTAGCTCCTGGATGGCATTTCTTGACTTTCCCTGAGTTAGAGGGGAGCCTACTTCCCTGAAGGGAAAGACCCAGGCTTGGCAGCATTAACCACAAGATGACTGAAGAAACCTTGGGCCTTGAATGATCATTATTGGTAGCCAGGCAGTACTCATTGCAGGATTAGGGTGGTGGTGGCCATGGGGAGAGAGTCCTTCTGCTTGAGGAAAGAAGAGAGAAACGTGGAAGGAACATTTCTTGTGGCTTTGGTGCCAGCTCAAGTGCAGTAGAAAAAAGCACCAAGTAGGTTCCTAAGGTTCCTGACTCCAGGCCCTGGCTCCTGGATGGCATTTCTGGACCCACTCTGAGCTAGGGGTAGCTCGCTGCCCTGAAGGGAAGGATACACTCCTGGCTGGACTCATCATCTACTGACTAAAAAGCACTTGGGCCTTAAGTAAACGTTGGCGGTAGCAAGGCAGTTGTCGCCACAGGCCTTGGGTAAGACCCAGTGCTGTAATGGCTTCAGGTCTGACCCAGTGCTGTCCCAGTGGTAGTGGCCACAGGGTTGCTTGTGTCACCCTTCCTCTAGCTCCAATCAGCTCAGCAGTAAGAGAGAGACTCCATTTATTTGGGGAAATGTAAGAGAAGAGAACAACAGTCTCTGCCCGATAATCCAGGCAGTTCTCTCAGATCTTACTCAAAACCACCAAGGCAATACCTCTACAAGACTGCAAGATTTAGACAATTACTGGGCTTGGGGTGCCTCCTAATGCAGAGACAGCTACAGTGACCAAAGACTTAGGTCACAACACTCAATTCCCTTTGAATAATTGGGAAGCCTTCCTGAGTTGTGTGGGTACAAGCAAGCCCAGACAGCTAAGACTACAATAAATACCCAACTCTTTAATGCTCAGACATTGACAAACATCTACAAGCATCAAGACCATTCAGGAAAACATGACCTCATCAAATGAATTAAATAAGGCACTAAAGACCAATCTCAGAGTGACAAGGATATGTAACATTTCAGAGAGGGTAATTGAAATAGTTTTGAGGAAGCTCAACAAAATTCAAGATAACATAGAGAAGGAATTCAGAATCCTATCAGATAAATCTAACAAAGAGATTGAAATAATTTTTTAAATCAAGCAAAAATTTTGGAGATAAAGAATTCAACAGACAAACTGAAGAACGCATCAGCGTCAACAGCAGAATGGATCAAGCGAAGAATTAGTGAGCTTGAAGTCAGAGTTGAAAACACAGTCAAAGGATACAAAAGAGAAAGAATAAAAAAGAATGAAACGTGCCTACAAGATCTGGAAGATAGTCTCAAAAGGGCAAATCTAAGAGTTGTTGGACCTGAAGAGAAGGTAGAAAGAAAAATCCGAATAGAAAGTTTATCCAAAGGGATAACAGAGAACTTTCTAAATCTAGGGAAAGATATTCATGTTAGAGTACAAGAAGGTTATAGAACACCAAGCAGATTTAACCTAAGTAAGACTACCTCAAGACATTTAGTAATCGAACTCCCAAAAGTCAAGGATTAAGAAAGGATCCTAAAAGCACCAGAAGAAAATAAACAACATACAAACACATTCCAATACATCTGGCAGCAGACTTCTCTGTGGAAAACTTACAGGCCAGGAGAGAGTGGCATGACATATTTAAAGTGTTGAAGAAAAAAAAAACCAAAACTTTTATTCAAGAATAGTATATCCCAGAAAAAAATATTCTTCAAACATGAAGGAAAAATAAAGACTTTCCCAGACAAACAATAGCTGAGGGATTTCATCAATACTAAAGCTGTCATCCAAGAAATGCTAAACCGAGTTCCTCAATCTGAAAGAAAAGGACATCAACAAGCAATAAGAAATCATCTGAAGGGACAAAACTCACTGGTAATAGTAAGTACACAAACACAGAAAATTTTGACACTGTAATTTTGTGTAAACTACTTATATCTTGAGCAGAAAGACTAAAAGATGAATCTAACAAAAATAACAACTTTTTAAGATATAAATAGTATCAGATATAAATAAAAACAACAAAAATTTAGAAAGCAGAGGCATAAAGTTAGAGTTTTTTTCAGTTTTCTCTTTGCTTGTTTGTTTGTTTTTACAATCAGTGTTAAGTTGTCATCAGTTTAAAATAATGAGTTACTAGTTGTTTGCAAGCCTCGTGGTAACCTCAAATCAAAAAACCTACAACAGATACATAAAGAAAATTAAAAACAAGAAATTAAAACATACCACCAGAGAAAATCACCTTCATAAGAAGGAAGACAGGAAGGAAGGGAGGTTGGATGGAAGAGAAGACCACAAAACAACCAGAAAACAAATAACAAAATGGCAATAATAAATCCTTACTTATCAATAATAACATTGAATGTAAATGGACTAAAGTCTGCAATCAAACAAAGTGGCTGAATGGATTTTAAAAATGTGTGCAATGATCTGTTGGTTACAAGAAACACTCTTGAAATATAAAGACCCACATAGACTAAAAAAAAAGGATGGAAAAAAATATGATATTCCATGTCAATGGAAACCAAAAAAGAGCAAGAATAGCCATACTTATATCAGACAAAATATATTTCAAGACAAAAGCTATAAAAAGAGACAAATTCATTATGTAATGATAAAGGGGTCTATCAGCAGAAGAATAAAACAATTGTAAATATATACATACACAACACTGGAGGACAGATATATAAAGCAAATATCATTAGAGCTAAAGAGAGAAATAGATCCCAAAACAATAATAGCTGGAGATTTATTTATTTATTTATTTATTTATTTATTTATTTATTTATTTTTTATTGTTATACTTTAAGTTTTAGGGTACATGTGCACATTGTGCAGGACAGTTACATACGTATACATGTGCCATGCTGGTGTGCTGCACCCACTAACTCATCATCTAGCATTAGGTATATCTCCCAGTGCTATCCCTCCCCCCTCCCCCCACCCCACAACAGTCCCCAGAGTGTGATGTTCCCCTTCCTGTGTCCATGTGATCTCATTGTTCAATTCCCACCTATGAGTGAGAATATGCAGTGTTTGGTTTTTTGTTCTTGCGATAGTTTACTGAGAATGATGGTTTCCAATTTCATCCATGTCCCTAAAAAGGACACGAAATCATCATTTTTTATGGCTGCATAGTATTCCATGGTGTATATGTGCCACATTTTCTTAATCCAGTCTATCATTGTTGGACATTTGGGTTGGTTCCAAGTCTTTGCTATTGTGAATAATGCCGCAATAAACATACATGTGCATGTGTCTTTATAGCAGCATGATTTCTAGTCCTTTGGGTATATACCCAGTAATGGGATGGCTGTGTCAAATGGTATTTCTAGTTCTAGATCCCTGAGGAATCGCCACACTGACTTCCACAATGGTTGAACTAGTTTACAGTCCCACCAACAGGGTAAAAGTGTTCCTATTTCTCCACATCCTCTCCAGCACCTGTTGTTTCCTGACTTTTTAATGATTGCCATTCTAACTGGTGTGAGATGGTATCTCCTTGTGGTTTTGATTTGCATTTCTCTGATGGCCAGTGATGGTGAGCATTTTTTCATGTGTTTTTTGGCTGCATAAATGCCCTCTTTTGAGAAGTGTCTGTTCATGTCCTTTGCCCACTTTTTGATGGGGTTGTTTGTTTTTTTCTTGTAAATGTTTTTGAGTGCATTGTAGATTCTGGATATTAGCCCTTTGTCAGATGAGTACATTGCAAAAATTTTCTCCCATTCTGTAGGTTGCCTGTTCACTCTGATGGTAGTTTCTTTTGCTGTGCAGAAGCTCTTTAGTTTAATTAGATCCCATTTGTCAATTTTGGCTTTTGTTGCCATTGCTTTTGGTGTTTTAGACATGAAGTCCTTGCCCATGCCTATGTCCTGAATGGTAATGCCTAGGTTTTCTTCTAGGGTTTTTATGGTTTTAGGTCTAACATGTAAGTCTTTAATCCATCTTGAATTGATTTTTTGTATAAGGTGTAAGGAAGGGATCCAGTTTCAGCTTTCTACATATGACTAGCCAGTTTTCCCAGCACCATTTATTAAATAGGGAATCCTTTCCCCATTGCTTGCTTTTCTCAGGTTTGTCAAAGATCAGATAGTTGTAGATATGAGGCGTTATTTCTGAGGGCTCTGTTCTGCTCCATTGATCTATATCTCTGTTTTGGTACCAGTACCATGCTGTTTTGTTTACTGTAAACTTGTAGTATAGTTTGAAGTCAGGTAGTGTGATGCCTCCAGCTTTGTTCTTTTGGCTTAGGATTGACTTGGTGATGCGGGCTCTTTTTTGGTTCCATATGAACTTTAAAGTAGTTTTTTCCAATTCTGTGAAGAAAGGCATTGGTAGCTTGATGGGGATGGCATTGAATCTGTAAATTACCTTGGGCATTATGGCCAATTTTCACGATATTGATTCTTCCTACCCATGAGCATGGAATGTTCTTCCATTTGTTTGTATCCTCTTTTATTTCCTTGAGCAGCGGTTTATAGTTCTCCTTGAAGAGGTCCTTCACATCCCTTGTAAGTTGGATTCCTAGGTATTTTATTCTCTTTGAAGCAATTGTGAATGGGAGTTCACTCATGATTTGGCTCTCTGTTTGTCTGTTGTTGGTGTGTAGGAATGCTTGTGATTTTTGCACATTGATTTTGTATCCTGAGACTTTGCTGAAGTTGCTTATCAGCTTAAGGAGATTTTGGGCTGAGACAGTGGGGTTGCCTAGATATACAATCATGTCATCTGCAAACAGGGACAATTTGACTTCCTCTTTTCCTAATTGAATACCCTTTATTTCCTTCTCCTGCCTAATTGCCCTGGCCAGAACTTCCAACACTATGTTGAATAGGAGTGGTGAGAGAGGGCATCCCTGTCTTGTGCCGGTTTTCAAAGGGAATGCTTCCAGTTTTTGCCCATTCAGTATGATATTGGCTGTGGGTTTGTCATAGATAGCTCTTATTATTTTGAAATGTGTCCCATCAATACCTAATTTATTGAGAGTTTTTAGCATGAAAGGTTGTTGAATTTTGTCAAAGGCCTTTTCTGCATCTATTGAGATAATCGTGTGGTTTTTTTCTTTGGCTCTGTTTATATGCTGGATTACATTTATTGATTTGCGTATATTGAACCAGCCTTGCATCCCAGGGATGAAGCCCACTTGATCATGGTGGATAAGCTTTTTGATGTGCTGCTGGATTCAGTTTGCCAGTATTTTATTGAGGATTTTTGCATCAATGTTCATCAAGGATATTGGTCTAAAATTCTCTTTTTTGGTTGTGTCTCTGCCTGGCGTTGGTATCAGAATCATGCTGGCCTCATAAAATGAGTTAGAGAGGATTCCCTCTTTTTCTATTGATTGGAATAGTTTCAGAAGGAATGGTACCAGTTCCGCCTTGTACCTCTGGCAGAATTCGGCTGTGAATTCATCTGGTCCTGGACTCTTTTTGGTTGGTAAGCTATTGATTATTGCCACAATTTCAGATCCTGTTATTGGTCTATTCAGAGATTCAACTTCTTCCTGGTTTAGTCTTGGGAGAGTGTATGTGTCAAGGAATTTATCCATTTCTTCTAGATTTTCTAGTTTATTTGCATAGAGGTTTTTGTAGAATTCTCTGATGGTAGTTTGTATTCCTGTGGGATCAGTGGTGACATCCCCTTTATCATTTTTTATTGTGTCTATTTGATTCTTCTCTCTTTTTTTCTTTATTATTCTTGCTAGCGGTCTATCAATTTTGTTGATCCTTTCAAAAAAACAGCTCCTGGATTCATTTATTTTTTGAAGGGTTTTTTTGTGTCTCTATTTCCTACTGTTCTGCTCTGATTTTAGTTATTTCTTGCCTTCTGCTAGCTTTTGAATGTGTTTGCTCTTGCTTTTCTAGTTCTTTTAATTGTGATGTTAGGGTGTCAATTTTGGATCTTTCCTGCTTTCTCTTGTGGGCATTTAGTGCTATAAATTTCCCTCTACACACTGCTTTGAATGCGTCCCAGAGATTCTCGTATGTTGTGTCTTTGTTCTCGTTGGTTTCAAAGAACATCTTTATTTCTGCCTTCATTTCGTTATGTACCCAGTAGTCATTCAGGAGCAGGTTGTTCAGTTTCCATGTAGTTGAGTGGTTTTGAGTGAGATTCTTAATCCTGAGTTCTAGTTTGATTGCACTGTGGTCTGAGAGATAGTTTGTTATAATGTCTGTTCTTTTACATTTGCTGGGGAGAGCTTTACTTCCAAGTATGTGGTCAATTTTGGAATAGGTGTGGTGTGGTGCTGAATAAAATGTATATTCTGTTGATTTGGGGTGGAGAGTTCTGTAGATGTCTATTAGGTCCGCTTGGTGCAGAGCTGAGTTCAATTCCTGGATATCCTTGTTGACTTTCTGTCTCGTTGATCTGTCCATTGTTGACAGTGGGGTGTTAAAGTCTCCCATTATTAATGTGTGGAAGTCTAAGTCTCTTTGTAGGTCACTCAGGACTTGCTTTATGAATCTGGGTGCTCCTGTATTGGGTGCATATATATTTAGGATAGTTAGCTCTTCTTGATGAATTGATCCCTTTACCATTATGTAATGGCCTTCTTTGTCTGTTTTGATCTTTGTTGGTTTAAAGTCTGTTTTATCAGAGACTAGGATTGCAACCCCTGCCTTTTTTTGTTTTTCATTTGCTTGGTAGATCTTCCTCCATCCTTTTATTTTGAGCCTGTGTGTGTCTCCGCACGTGAGATGGGTTTCCTGAATACAGCACACTAATGGGTCTTGACTCTTTATCCAATTTGCCAGTCTGTGTCTTTTAATTGGAGCATTTAGTCCATTTACATTTAAAGTTAATAGTGTTATGTGTGAATTTGATCCTGTCATTATGATGTTAGCTGGTGATTTTGCTGATTAGTTGATGCAGTTTCTTCCTAATCTCGATGGTCTTTACAATTTGGCATGATTTTGCAGCGGCTGGTACCGGTTGTTCCTTTCCATGTTTAGTGTTTCCTTCAGGAGCTCTTTTAGGGCAGGCCTGGTGGTGACAAAATCTCTCAGCATTTGCTTGTCTGAAAAGTATTTTATTTCTCCTTCACTTATGAAGCTTAGTTTGGCTGGATATGAAATTCTGGGTTGAAAATTCTTTTCTTTAAGAATGTTGAATATTGGCCCCCACTCTCTTCTGGCTTGTAGGGTTTCTGCCGAGAGATCTGCTGTTAGTCTGATGGGCTTCCCTTTGAGGGTAACCCAACCTTTCTCTCTGGCTGCCCTTAACATTTTTTCCTTCATTTCAACTTTGGTGAATCTGACAATTATGTGTCTTGGAGTTGCTCTTCTCGAGGAGTATCTTTGTGGCGTTCTCTGTATTTCCTGAATCTAAACGTTGGACTGCCTTGCTAGATTGGGGAAGTTCTCCTGGAGAATATCCTGCAGAGTGTTTTCCAACTTGGTTTCATTCTCCCCATCACTTTCAGGTACATCAATCAGACCTAGATTTGGTCTTTTCACATAGTCCCATATTTCTTGGAGGGTTTGCTCGTTTCTTTTTATTCTTTTTTCTCTAAACTTTCCTTTTTGCTTCATTTCATTCATTTCATCTTCCATGGCTGATACCCTTTCTTCCAGTTGATCGCATCAGCTCCTGAGGCTTCTGCATTCTTCACGTAGTTCTCGAGCCTTGGTTTTCAGCTCCATCAGCTCCTTTAAGCACTTCTCTCTATTGGTTATTCTAGTTATACATTCTTCTAAATTTTTTTCAAAGTTTTCAACTTCTTTGCCTTTGGTTTGAATGTCCTCCCATAGCTCAGAGTAATTTGATCATCTGAAGCCTTCTTCTCTTAGCTCGGCAAAGTCATTCTCCATCCAGCTTTGTTCCGTTGCTGGTGAGGAGCTGCGTTCCTTTGGAGGAGGAGAGGCGCTCTGCTTTTTAGAGTTTCCAGTTTTTCTGTTCTGTTTTTTCCCCATCTTTGTGGTTTTATCTACTTTTGGTCTTTGATGATGGTGATGTACAGTTGGGTTTTTGGTGTGGATGTCCTTTCTGTTTGTTAGTTTTCCTTCTAACAGACAGGACCCTCAGCTGCAGGTCTGTTGGAGTACCCTGCAGTGTGAGGTGTCAGTGTGCCCCTGCTGGAGGTTGCCTCCCAGTTAGGCTGCTCAGCGGTCAGGGGTCAGGGACCCACTTGAGGAGGCAGTCTGCCCGTTCTCAGATCTCCAATAGCTGGAGATTTAAGCACCCCACTTTCAGCACTGGACAGATCATACAGACAGAAAATCAGCACAGAAACATTGGACTTAATCTGCACTATAGACCAAATGGACCTAGTAGATATTTAGTGAACATTTCATCCAATGGCTACAGAATACACATTCTTCTTCTCAGCACATAAATCACTTTCAAAAATAGATCATATGTTAGGCCACAAAACAAGTCTTCAGAAAAATTTTTAAAAAGAAGAAATAATATTAAGCATCTTCTCTGACTGCAATGGAATTTACCTAGAAATCAATAACAAGAGGAAAACTGAAAACTATAAAATCACATGGAAATGAAATAATATGCTCTTGAATGACCGGTAGGTAATGAAGAAATTAAGAAGGGAGTTGAAACATTTTTTGATACAAATGAAAGTAGAAATACAACATTCCAAAACCTGTGGGATACAGCAAAAGCAGTCCCAAGAGGAAAGTTTATAGCAATAAATACATCGAAATAATATATCAAAAAGGTAAAAAAATCCAATAAACAACTTAATGACGCAACTAAAAGCACAAGAACATGCTAAATCCAAAATTAGTAGAAAAAAACAAATAATGAAGATCAGAGCGCAAATGAATAAAATTGAAATAAAAAAAGAGAAAAGATCAATGAAATTAAAAGTTGGCTTTAGAAAAGATTAAAAAAAATTGACAAAGCTTTAGCCAGACTAAAAAAAAAACCCAAAATAAATAAATAAGAGATTTTCTTTTATTTGTATAGATACTTGATTTTATTTCTCTTGGATAGACACTTCAGAGTGGAATTATTGGTTTCTGTGGTGAGTTTATGTTTAATTTTTTCAGAAGCCATCAAACTATTTTCCAAAGTAGGTGTACCATTCTCCATCCCCATCGGCAAATTTCCAATTGCTTCATATTGTCTCGAACACTCTTTATTGTCCATCTTTTCTATTTTAGCCATCCTAGTGTATCGAGTAGTAACTCATTGTGGTTTTACTTTGCATTTCTCCAGTGAGCAACGACATCCAACATCTGTTCATATGCTTGTTAAACATTCTTATATCTTCTTGGTGAAATATTTATTTGTTTAGTCCATTTTTAAATTGCATTGTTTGTTTTCTTATATATTGAGTTATAAGAGTTCTTTATATGTTCTAAATTCAGGTCCTTTGTTAGATACATGATTTGCAAGTACTTTCTTTTTTTATATATATATTTTCTTTTTTTTAAATTATACTTTAAGCTCTAGGGTACATGTGCAAAACGTGCAGGTTTGTTACATATTTATACATGTGCCATGTTGGTGTGCTGTACCCATTAACTAGTCATTTATGTTAGGTATATCTCCTAATGGTATCCTGCCCCCTCCCCCGACCCCACAACAGGCCCCGGTGTGTGATGTTCCCCTTCCTGTGTCCAAGTGTTCTCATTGTTCAATTCCCACCTATGAGTGAGAACATGCAGTTTTGGTTTTTTGTCCTTGCGATAGTTTGCTGAGAATGATGGTTTCCAGCTTCATCCATGTCCATACAAATGACATGAACTCATCATTTTTTATGGCTGCGTAGTATTCCATGGTGTATATATGCCACATTTTCTTAATCCAGTCTATCATTGATGGACTTTTGGATCAGTTCCAAGTCTTTGCTATTGTGAATAGTGCCACAATAAACATATGTGTGCATGTGTCATTATAGTACCATGATTTACAATCCTTTGGGTATATACCCAGTAATGGGATGGCTGGGTCAAATGGTATTTCTAGTTCTAGATCCTTGAGGAATTGCCACACTTTCTTCCACGATGGTTGAACTAGTTTACAGTCCCACCAACAGTGTAAAAATGTTCCTATTTCTCCACATCCTCTCCAGCACCTGTTGTTTCCTGACTTTTTAATGATCGCCATTCTAAATGGTGTGAGATGGTATCTCACTGTGGTTTTGATTTGCATTTCTCTGATGGACAGTGGTGATGGATATTTTTTCATGTATCTGTTGGCTGCATAAATGTCTTCTTTTGAGAAGTGTCTGTTCATGTCCTTCGCCCACTTTGTGATGGGTTTGTTTGTTTTTTTTTGTAAATTTGTTTGAGTTCTTTGTAGATTCTGGATATTAGCCCTTTGTCAGATGAGTACATTGCAAAAATTTTCTCCCATTCTGTAGGTTGCCTGTTCACTCTGATGGTAGTTTATTTTGCTGTGCAGAAGCTCTTTAGTTTAATTAGATCCCATTTGTCAATTTTGGCTTTTGTTGCCATTGCTTTTGGTGTTTTAGTCATGAAGTCCTTGCCCATTCCTATGTCCTGAATGGTATTGCCTAGGTTTTCTTCTAGGGTTTTTATGGTTTTAGGTCTAACATGTAAGTCTTTAATCCATCTCGAATTGATTTTTGTATAAGGTGTAAGGAAGGGATCCAGTTTCAGCTTTCTACGTATGACGAGCCAGTTTTCCCAGCACCATTTATTAAATAGGGAATCCTTTCCCCATTGCTTGTTTTTATCAGGTTTGTGAAGGGTCAGATGGTTGTAGATGTGTGGTATTATTTCTGAGGGCTCTGTTCTGTTCCATTGGTCTATATCCCTATTTTGGTGCCAGTACCATGCTGTTTTGGTTACTATAGCCTTGTAGTATAGTTTGAAGTTACGTAGCGTGATGCCTCCAGCTTTGTTCTTTTTGCTTAGGATTGTCTTGGAAATGCGGGGCCTTTTTTGGTTCCATATGAACTTTAAAGTAGTTTTTTCCAATTCTGTGAAGAGTCCTTTGTAGCTTGAAGGGGATGGCACTGAATCTATCAATTACCTTGTGCAGTATGGCCATTTTCATGATATTGATTCTTCCTATCCATGAGCATGGAATGTTCTTCCATTTGTTTGTGTCCTCTTTTATTTTGTTGAGCAGTGGTTTATAGTTCTCCTTGAAGAGGTCCTTCACATCCCTTGTAAGTTGGATTCCTAGGTATTTTATTCTCTTTGAAGCAATTGTGAATGGGAATTCACTCATGATTTGGCTCTCTGTTTGTCTGTTATTGGTGTATAAGAATGCTTGCAATTTTTGCACGTTGATTTTGTATCCTGAGACTTTGCTGAAGTTGCTTATGAGCTTAAGGAGATTTTGGGCTGAGACTATGGGGTTTTCTAAATATGCAATCACATCATCTGCAAACAGGGAAAATTTGACTTCCTCTTTTCCTAATTGAATATGCTTTATTTCTTTCCCCTGCCTGATTTCCCTGGCCAGAACCTCCAACACTATGTTGAATAGGAGTGGTGAGAGAGGGCATCCCTGTCTTGTGCCAGTTTTCAAAGGGAATGCTTCCAGTTTTTGCCCATTCAGTATGATATTGGCTGTGGGTTTGTCATAGATAGCTCTTCTTATTTTGAGAAACGTCCCATCAATACCTAATTTATTGAGAGTTTTTAGCATGAAGGGCTGTTGACTTTTGTCAAAGGCCTTTTTTTCAATCTATTGAGATAATCATGTAGTTTTTGTTTTTGGTTCTGTTTATATGCTGGATTATGTTTATTGATATGCATATGTTGAACCAGCCTTGCATCCCAGGGATGAAGCCCACTTGATCATGGTGGATAAGCTTTTTGATGTGCTGCTGGATTCAGTTTGCCAGTATTTTATTGAGGATTTTTGCATCGCTGTTCATCAGGGATATTGGTCTAAAATTCTCTTTTTTTGTTGTGTCTCTGTCAGGCTTTGGTATTAGGATGGTGCTGGCCTCATAAAATGAGTTAGGGAGGATTCCCTCTTTTTCTATTGATTGGAATATTTTCAGAATGAATGGTACCATCTCCTCCTTGTACCTCTGGTAGAATTCGGCTGTGAATCCGTCTGGTCCTGGACTTTTTTTGGTTGGCAGGCTATTAATTATTGCCTCAATTTCAGATCCTGTTATTGGTCTATTCAGAGATTCAATTTCTTCCTGGTTTAGTCTTGGGAGGGTGTATGTGTTGAGGAATTTATCCATTTCTTCTAGATTTTCTAGTTTATTTGCATAGAGGTGTTTACAGTATTCTCTGATGGTAGTTTGTATTTCTGTGGGATTGGTGGTGATATCCCCTTTATCATTTTTTATTGCATCTATTTGATTCATCTCTCTTTTCTTCTTTATTATTCTTGCTAGCAGTCTATCAGTTTTGTTGATCTTTTCAAAAATCCAGCTCCTGGATTCATTGATTTTTTGAAGGGTTTTTTGTGCCTCTATTTCCTTCAGTTCTGCTCTGATCTTAGTTATTTCTTGCCTTCTGCTAGCTTTTGAATGTGTTTGCTCTTGCTTCTCTAGTTCTTTTAATTGTGATGTTAGGGTGTCAATTTTACATCTTTGCTGCTTTCTCTTGTGGGCATTTAATGTTATAAATTTCCCTCTACACATTGCTTTAAATGTGTCCCACAGATTCTGGCATGTTGTGTCTTTGTTCTCATTGGTTTCAAAGAATATCTTTATTTCTGCCTTCATTTCGTTATGTACCCAGTAGTCATTCAGGAGCAGGTTGTTCAGTTTCCATGTAGTTGAGCGGTTTTGAGTGAGTTTCTTAATCCTGAGTTTTAGTTTGATTGCACTGTGGTCTGAGAGATAGTTTGTTATAATTTCTGTTCTTTTACATTTGCTGAAGAGTGCTTTACTTCCAACTATGTGGTCAACTTTGGAAGGTGTGATATGATGCTGAGAAGAATGTATATTCTATTGATTTGGGGTGGAGAGTTCTGTAGATATCTATTAGGTGCACTTGGTGCAGAGCTGAGTTCAATTCCTGGATATCCTTGTTAACTTTCTGTCTCGTGGATCTGTCTAACATTGACAGTGGGGTGTTAAAGTCTCCCATTATTATTGTGTGGGAGTCTAAGTCTCTTTGTAGGTCTCTAAGGACTTGCTTTATGAATCTGGGTGCGCTTGTATTGGGTGCATGTATGTTTAAGATAGTTAGCTCTTCTTGTTGAATTGATCCCTTTACCATTCTGTAATGGCCTTCTTTGTCTCTTCTGATCTTTTTTGGTTTAAAGTCTGTTTTATCAAAGACTAGGGTTGCAACCCCTGTCTTTTTTTGTTTTCCATTTGCTTGGTAGATCTTCCTCCATCCCTTTATTTTGAGCCTATGTGTGTCTCAATCAGAGATTTTTTTTAAAAAGGAGACGTTATAACTGATACTGTAGAAATTCCAAGGATTATTAGAGGCAACAATGAGCAAGTATATGACAATAAACTGGAAAACCTAGAAGAAATGGATAATTTCCTAGAGGCATACAGTTTTCCAAGATTGAAAAATGAAGAAATAAAAAACCTGAATAGACCAATAACAACTAATATGATTGAAGCCATAATAAAAGGTCTCCCAGCAAAGAAAAGCCCAGGACCCGACGGCTTCACTGTTGAATTTTACCAAACATTTTAAAGAAGAACTACTACCAATCTTACTCAAATTGGTCTGAAAAATAGAGGAGGAAGGAATACTTCCAAATTCATTCTACACAGCAATTATTACCCTGGTACTAAAACCAGACACCTCAAAAAAACAAAACTACAGGCCAATATCCCTGAGGAATGTTGCTGCAAACATCCTCCACAAAACACTAGCGAATCAAATTCAACAACACATTAGAAAGATTATTCATCATGACCAAGTGGGATTTATCTCAGGGATGCAAATATGTTTTAATATATGCAATTCAATCAATGTGCTATTTCATATCAACATCATGAAGAACAAAAACCATGTAATCATTTCAATTGATGCTGAAAAAACATTTGATAAAATTCAACATCCTTTCATGACTAAAATAAAAACCTTCAAAAAACTGGGTATAAAAATAACATACCTCAACCCAGTAATATGTATAATAAGTATACACAACCTACCCACAGCTGGTATGCTGAATGAGGAAAACCTGAAAGCCTTTCCTCTAAGATATGGAACAAGACAAGGATGCTCATCTTCACCATTGTTACTCAACAAAGTACTGAAAGTCCTATCTACAGCAATCAGACAAAAGAAAGAAATAAAAGGCATCCAAATTGGAAAGGAAGACCTAAGTATCCTTGTTGTATTAGTTCGTTTCCATGCTGCTGATAAAGACATAGCCAAGACTGGGTAACTTATAAATAAAAAGAGGTTTAATGGACTCACAGTTTCACATGGCTGGGATGCCTCACAATCATGGCAGAAGGTGAAAGGTACATCTCACACAGCAGCAGAAAAGAGAGAAAATGAGAACCAAACAAAAGGGGTTTCCCCTTATAAAACTATCAGATGTAATAAGACTTATTCACTACCATGAGAACAGTATGGGGAAAACTGCCCCATGATTCAATTATCTCCCATCAGGTCCCTCACACAGCACCTGGGAATTATGAGAGCTACAATTCAAGATGAGATTTGGGTGAGGACACAGACAAACCATATGACTTGTTTACAGATGATACGATCTTACTTTTGGAAAAATCCAAAGACTCTATCAAAAAACTGAGAATTAATCAACAGTAAAGTTGCAGGATACAAAATCAACAAACAAAAATCAGTAGCATTTCTAAATGCTAACAGCAAACAATCTGAAAAAGAAATCAAGACAGTGATCACATTTGTAACACTTACAAGTAAAATAAAATACTTGGGAATAAAAAACCAAAGAGGTGACAGATCTCTACAATGAAACCTATAAAATATTGATGCAAGAAATTGTAAAGAACACACAAAAAATGGAAATATATTCCATGTTTATGGACTGGAAGAATGAATATTGTTAAAATGTCCATACTCCCCAAAGCAATCTATGGATTTAATGCAATCCTTATGAAAATAATGATGTCATTCTTCAAAGAAAGAAAAAAAAAATCCTAAAATTTATATGGAATCACAAAAGGCCCAGAATAGCTAAAGCTATACTATGCAAAAAAAAAAAAAAAAAAAAGAAAGAAAAAAAGAAAGAAAGAAAGAAAGAAAAGAAAAGAAAAGAAAAAAAAACTGGCAGAGTAACATTACCTGACTTCAAATTATACTACAGAACTATTGTAAGCAAAACAGCATGGCACTGGCATAAAAACAGACACATAGACCACTGGAACAGAATGGATAACCCAGAAGTAAATCCATACACCTCCAGTGAACTCATTTTCAACAAAGGTGCCAGGAAAACACATTAGGGAAAAGAGAGTCTCTTCAATGAATAGTGCTGGGAAAACTGGACATTCAGTAGCAGAAGAGTGAAACTAGACTCTATCTCTGGCCATCAAATCAAAATCAAATCCAAATGGATTAAAGACTTAAATGTAAGACATGAAACTATGAAACTGTTGAAAGAAAACATTGAGGAAACTCTTCATAAAACTGGTCTGGACAAAAATTTCTTGAGTAATACTCCAAAAGCACAGGCAACCAAAGCAAAAATGGACAAATGGATTACATCTATTTAAAAAGCTTCTGCACAGCAAGGAACACAATCAATAAAGTAAAGAGACAACCCATAGAATGGAAGAAAATATCTACAAATTACCCATCTGACAAAGGATTAATAACAAAACAATGTAAGAGGAACTCAACTCAATAGGGAAAATAATCTAATAATCTAACTTTGAAACTGGTAAAAGATCTGAATAGACATTTCTCAAAAGAAGATAAACAAATGACAAAAAAAGCAGGCATATGAAAGAGTGCTCAACATCACTGGTCATCGGAGAAATGCAAATCAAATCTTCAATGACCTATCATCTCACCCCAGTTAAAAGGGCTTTTATCGAAAAGACAGGCAGTAACAAATGCTGGTGAGGACATGGAGAAAAAGGAACCCTCATACGCTGTTAGTGGGAAGTAAATTAGTACAGCCACCATGGAAAACAGTATAGAGTTTCCTCAAAAGTTTAAAAATTTTATTACCATGTGATCCTGCAATCCGACTGCTAGGTATATACCCCAAATAAATAAAATCAGTATATCAAAGAGATATATGCATCCCTATGTTTACTGAAGCACTGTTAACAACAGCTAAGATTTGTAAGCAACCTAACTGTCCATCAACAGATGAATGGATATAGAAAATGCAATATATATACACAGTGGTATACTATTCAGCCATTAAAAAAGAATGATATCCTGCCATTTGCAACACCATGAATGGAACTGGAGGACATTATGTTAAGTGGAAAAAGCCACAGAAAGACGAACTTCAGATGTTCTCACTTATTTGTGGGAGCTTAATACTAAAAAAATTGAACTCATGGAGACAGAGAATAGAATAATGGTTACTAGATGCTGGAAAATGTAGTAGGGTGGGAAGGAGGGTTAGTGGAGATGGTTGATGGGTACAAAATATAGTTAGACACAACGAGTAAGATCTAGTGTTTGATAGCACAACAGGGTAATTACAGTCCACAATAGTTTATTGTACATTTTAAAATAACTGACAGAGTATAATTGGAATGTTTGTAACACAAAGAAATGGTAAATACTTGAGGTGATGGATACACTGTTTACTCTGATGTGATTATGCATTGTATCCCTGTATCAAAATATTTCATATACCCCATAAATATATATACACACTATGTACCCATAAATATAAAAAATAATTTTAAAAATTATGCAGAATGAATTTTCATATAAACCACTACAACAAACAACTATAACTGAAAAGAAACAGAACACTGACATTAAACTATAGAAAGTCCACCAAAGTAATAAGTGAATTTTTAGCTCATTGATCCTTCACAGTTCACTTTAGTTTATCACGTCAGCCTGTCTGAGAAGATGAGTAGACCTGAAACCCAGCCTGCCCTCCACACAGCAGGCAGCAGCCCTAGAGGTGGGGAAACTATTTTCTAACCAACTAAAGATGCTATCTGTCATGTAAACTTTCTGGTGAGATTGCATTAGCCATTAAGGAGTTTATCCAAGTCTTTTAAAAAAAGCCTGTTGCATGGGTATGTCTTCTGTAAATCTCACATTCAAAACCAATGCAGATCACAGTACTTACGGTGTACTTGTTTTGAAAATGTGAATTGTTTCAACATGAATCACATACTAAAGAACAATCTGGGTGAAACACAAATTTTACATTTGCTTATGTGTGATTTTGTCTGCAAGAAACACTAGGTGAATTCAGCCACCGAAGTAAACTCAGTTGCCTAGAGAGACACAAAAGGCACGCACAAGCACACCTCAAACATGTAATTCAGTTCACCATGTGTGTTATGCACTACAGCCACCCAGAGCCAGTGTTAGAACTTTCCATTCAATTTCACATAACCCTTTTTCTACCACTTCACAATAACTCACAAGCTATATGATGAAAGAAAGAACAATGGTTATGAATGCAATTGGTTGCCTATAGATCTACCTAATCTCACTTCCCAAAAGAACCTGGATGTTCAGGAGTAATAAAAGAATATTCGATAAATAATACCATATATTACAGTGGTATTTTTGCAAATAATGAAACAAGAATAATATGATAATAATTATTTTGGCTGGGAG
Organism: Homo sapiens; assembly: GCF_000001405.40. Taxonomy (NCBI): domain Eukaryota; kingdom Metazoa; phylum Chordata; class Mammalia; order Primates; family Hominidae; genus Homo; species Homo sapiens. Next base: position 70,459,859 of record NC_000003.12, read on the forward strand.
CAAAAAAAGGAACCTATAAGACTTTTGTGTAAATTATGCTTTTTAAGAGAATCATTTCTCTGGAATTTGATCTTACTCTGAAAATAGGAGAGTTACACTAAATGGTTTCTGATTTCCTCTTAGCTTTACATAAGAATAGCATTTAGATATGTGTAAATAATTAGGAATTCTATCAAATTAGAACCAGGTTATGTTTCTGTCACACTGCTACTGCTTACATGCTGCTTAGACTCTTCCTCTCTCTACTGGATTCCTGCCATCATCTCCTGTTTCCATGCATATCTTCTGACAGCCTATACTCAAGACAACACGTTCTTAAAATGATTCTCTTAAAGTACAAGTTCGATGAGTTCATGCTCCTTCTCAGCACCCTGCAATAGCCCTCCATCTCACAGTAGAAAGCCAACAGCCTTACATTGCTTCGCGTCCTTCTTACCTCTCTGATGGCAACTCCATATCCCTTACCCTTCCTTCCCCACTTCATTCCAGCACTTACTGACCCTCCTACAGACAAACCTGATTCCACATTTTCTGTGCGCTGGCTATTTCCTCTGCTTGGAACATCATCTCTTCAGATACTGATATGGTTTGGTTCTGTGTCCCCATCCAAATCTCATCTTGAATTGTACTTCCATAATTCCCACATGTTGTGGGAGGGACCTGGTAGGAGATAATTTGAATTATGGGGGTGATTTCTCCAATACTGTTCTCCTGGTAGTGAATAAGTCTCATGAGATCTCATGGTTTCATCAGGGGTTTCCACTTTTGCACCTTCCTTATTTTCTCTTGCTGCTGCCATGTAAGAAGTGCCTTTCACCTCTCACCATGATTCTGAGAACCTCCCCAGCCAAGTGGAAGTGTAAGTCCAATTAAACCTCTTTTTCTTCCCAGTCTTGGGTATGTCTTTATCAGCAGTGTGAAAACAGACTAATACAGTAAATTGGTACCAGTAGAGTGGAGCATTGCTGAACAGATACCCGAAAATGTGGAAGCACTTTGGAACTGGGTAATAGGCAAAGGTTGGAACAGTTTGGAAGGCACAGAAGTAGACAGGAAAATATGGGGAAATTTGGAACTTGCTAGAGACTTGTTGAATGGCTTTCACAAGAATATTGATAATGATATGGACAATGAAATCCAGGTTGAGGTGGTCGCAGATGGAGATGAGGAACTTGTTGGGAGCTGGAGCAGAGGTGACTCTTGTTATGTTTTAGCAAAGAGACTGGCAGCATTTTGCCCCCACCCTAGAGGTTTGTGGACTTTGAACTTGAGAGAGAAGATTTAGGGTATCTGGCAGAAGAAATTTTTAAACAGCAAAACGTTCAAAAGGTGGCTTGGGTGCTGTTAAAGGCATTCAGTTTTAACAGGGAAGCAGAGCATAAAAGTTTGGAAAATTTGCAGCCTGAGAATGTGATAGAAAAGAAAATCCCATTTTTTTAGGAGAAATTCAAGCTGGCTGCAGATATTTGGAGAAGTGCAGCTATTTGGGTAAGTATAGATACTTGGATAACGAGGAGCTGAATGTTAATCCCCAAGACAATGTCTCCAGGGCATGTTAGAGACCTTTGCAGTAGCCTCTCCCATCACAGACCCGGAGGTCTAGAAGGAAAAAATGGTTTCGTGGGCAGGGCCCAGTTTCTCCATGCTGTGTGCAGTCTAGGGACTTGGTGCCGTGCATCCCAGCTGCTCCAGCCATGGCTGAAAGGGGCCAATGCAGAGCTCATGTCATGGCTTCAGAGGGTGCAAGCCCCAAGCCTTGGCAGATTCTGCATGCTGTTGAGCCTGTGGGTGTACAGAAGTCAAGAACTGGGGTTTGGCAACCTCTGCCTAGATTTCAGAAGACGCATGGAAATGCCTGGATGCCCAGGCAGAAGTTTGCTGCAGGGGCGGGGCTCTCATGGACAACCTCTGCTAGGGCAGTGCAGAAGGTAAATGTGGGTTGGAGCCCCCACACAGAGTCCCTGCTGGGCTACTGCCTAGTAGAGATGTGAGAAGAGGGCCACCATCCTCCAGACCCCAGAATGGTAGATCCACCTACAGCTTGCACTGTGCACCTGGAAAAGCTGCAGACACTCAATGCCAGCCAGTGAAAGCAGCTGGGAGGGAGGCTGTACCCTGCAAAACCACAAGGGTGAAGCTGCCCAAGACCATGAGAATCCACCTCTTGCACCAGTGTGACCTGGATGTGAGACATGGAGTCAAATAAGATCATTTGGAGCTTTGAAAGTTGACCAACCTGCTGGATTTCGGACTTGCATGAGCCCTGTACTCCTTTGTTTTTGCCAATTTCTCCCATTTGGAACAGCTGTATTTACACAATACCTGTACACTCATTGTCTCTAGAAGTAACTAGCTTGCTTTTAATTTTACAGGCTCATAGTCAGAAGAAACTTGCCTTGTCTCAGATGAGACTTTGGACTGTGGAGTTTTGGGTTAATGCTGAAATGAATTAAGACTTTGGGCAACTGTTGGGAAGGCATGATTGGTTTTGAAATGTGAGGAGATGAGATTTGGAGAGGCTAAGGGGGAAATAATAGAGTTTGGCTCTGTTCCCACCCAAATCTCATCTTGAATTGTACTCCCATAATTCCCATGTGTTGTGGGAGGGACTTGGTAGGAGATAATTTGAGTCATGTGGGTGGTTCCCCTGTACTGTTCTTGTGGTAGTGAATATGTCTCACAAGATCTGGTTTTATCACAGGTTTCCACTTTTGCATCTTGCTCACCTTCTCTTGCCACCACCATGTAAGAAGTGCCTTTTGCCTCCTGCCATGTTTCTGAGGCCTCACCAGCCATGTGGAACTGTAAGTCCAATTAAACCTCTTTTTCTTCCCTATCTCAGGTATGTCTTTATCAGCAGCCTGAACATGGACTAATACAGATACCAAATGGTTCCCTCCCTCATCTTGTTGGGATCTTCCTTCAGGTGACATATTCTTAATAAACCCTACAAACTACACTACTTAAAATTTCAATCCCCACTTTTCTAACTATTCTCCATTCTGGTCCTCTTTCTCTTTTATTTTCTTTTCCAATAGTACTTTTATTTTCTGACCTGCCATGTAGTTAACTTATTTACTATAGGTTAATTGCTCATCTCTCCCCAGCTAGAATATAAATTCTACAAGGGCAGTAATCTTTATGAGTCTTGTTCAGTGATGTGTTGCAAGGGCTTAGAATAGTGCCAGGAATATAGCGGATGCTCAACAAATATTGTCGAATGAAGGAATGAATAAGTGAGACCATTAACACTTCACAAATACTTCTAGTATTTCAGGGGTATAAATGTATTTCTAATGTTTTCTAGGCTCATTAACACAGCAGGCTTAAAACTAGAAAGATAATGATGAAAAAATCCAGAGTTTCAAGTAGACCTAGACCTAATACTAGAACTCTGAATTTGGTGATGAAAATGCTCAAATAGGGACCGTTTAAAAAACTGAGCAAAAATCTAAAATGTATGAGTGTTATTAGGATGGCATAGGACAAGAACACATACAGATTGTCTTTTTTCACTTGAATTACTATGAAATGCTCATTTTTGTCTGTGATGTTCTTCCCTTATCATTGTATTAAAGATAAAGATATATTGATTTTAACAGTATTGATTCAGTTGTTTCAAAGAGGGAAGAAAAACTCAGCCTGTGCTTTTCCATTGGGATTGTGCTATTTAAAACAGTATGGCAGAAAAGCAAGTGAGCATGACTGTTTAATTACAGTAGAACATGCTACCAATTCAACTATTGATTTTACTTCATTCCCCATCTTATAATATATTATATACTTTTTCATACATTCTACCTAGTGTTCAATATAGAATTTTATATTTATAAATTCTTTTAAATATTTAATGCCTTCCCATTTAAGTTCTTAAATCGAATGTTTTGTAATAGACTGAAATAATCGGCATCACGCTGAAAATTTAGGAAAAAGATATAGAGATAGATCAAACCTTATAATATGTAAGGAGTTTTAGAAAACACAAAGCCATGTATCTGAATAGTAAATGTGTCAAATTATACATATTAATTAGAATTTATGGATTAATATAATAGAAATTGTGTAATGATACGAATATGGTACAGCAGTATATAATGACATTCATATATGCAGGTAATATGGAAAGTGAAATGTAAATTTATGTGATTTAATAAGCTTGTTATAGAACAACATATAAAAATTGAACAAGAAAAAGCTTGGCTTCATTAGCATGTGATATAAATTATTTTTAAAATTCTGTTTGAAACATAAATTATACTGCTATATGGAAGGCTTCTAATTTTCTTGGATAATAGAGCCACAATATTTTAGAAAAGTATAAAGATCATTGACAATAAGTTGAAGATCAGTGTAAATATTACATGCATACATACACATGTGTGTGCCTGTATGTGTGTGTATGTGTTTTAGGGTATGTATCCAGTTTACAACCACTGATGTTGTGTAAAAATAAGTATGAAATGAACAAAACTAAACTGCCATATGTAGCCAAGCAAGTTAGTCATGACATTTAGTTATTTGTTAAAACTTACAAACTAGAAAAAAGATCTGCAATATATTTTGCTGTGTTATTCCACCCACACCACTCTGGTCCTTTCTGTAGGTTGTTTTCTTGATCTATGAAGGCATTAGGGAATGACCACTAATTAGAGTTATAAGACCAAACCATGGTAAAATTGGGTGCCGCCCAGGCTATCTAAGTTGCTAATGTGCAATCTCATTTCAGAAGAGCTGTCACTATAAAACCAGGTCAGCATGGCGGCAGAAATCTATAAATATAGTGCCTATGTCATATCCTATCATCTCTGGAAGGAGCACGCACCCTGTCTTTTTAAAAGAGGTTTCCATATGCTATAGAAGACATGTGTGATAAATTAAGCACTTCTTTCTAGACACTGAAAACATAATAGTGATATAATTAATTACAGTCATATTCTTGTTAAAATTGTGCAGAAAAATTACACCTTTTTCGATTAGCATGAAATATAAGTGTCAAATCCGTAATAAAACCCTGATCAATAAAACAATAATAATTGTGTTGTTAAAAGCGGACATCGAAAGGTGTTCATGGCAACATATTTTAAAGGTTAGAAACCCTTTTAAAATAAACGGATTTCATCTTTACACTATGTCATCTAAATCATTACTGTGTTTGTGTATACAATTATAATCAGACGATAAATTGCAGCTATTGAATGGATTAAGTCTGCACTTCTTGACCTCATAAATCTGAGATTGTCATAGCTTTAGAAAATGCTTGTGTAACAATCAGTTGATTACATGGCATGAGCAGCTGTGTGCATGTTAACTGGAAAATATGAAAGGGGAAGGGTAATTCAAAGTTCAATGGTGGAACTTTATAACATATTTGACGCATTCTTTTAACACTTTCAAACCCTTCCTTTGGAATATGCTATAGATGTTAGTAAGTTTACAAATTTAATAGAAGGATGTTGAGAAAGTTTAACAAAATGGGGTCCAACTGAAATGTCAATGATTATGAAGATTCCCTGAAAAGATTTGTTCATGTTAAATCACTGTGTTTTTGAATGCTTTAATAGAGCATAAGGAAGAAGAGTATAGGGTGAGAAATACTTCACAGTATTTCTCTCTAGTTAGTGATTTGGGGAAAGAGTCCTCACGAATCCATTTCTCACAAATGACACTCTGTTTTTAAGTGTACCATTTCCACCAGCTGCGCAATGCCGCTGTGACACGACTTCAGTTTACATTTAAAAAAATGCATCAAAGATTGTCTGATGTTTTACATTATCAAAAATTTTGAAACTGTGAAAATGGTTATCTTACCCTAATGAAAATAAAATGCTTAAGGTAGCAATATACTAATAGTTTCTGAAGGCAGGCTATACCTGAATCTGCTATTTTATGTTTAATTCAAGAGGTATTATGTTCATTTTAGATCTTCTTAAGGAGAATTGGTTTTAACTAAAATTTATCTATTTGTGTATAGCTTCCACCTTCAAAAATTTATATAGAATATGACCCAATTTTGAAAATCTCATATATTAAAATGGTATTAATCAAAGATTCAAAGAGAATTAGATTATTAATAATGAAATATTTTCATTTACTTTAATTTTCTCAGATGAAAGGAACTAAAGCATGCTTTAAGCATTAGTTAGGAATTTACAGCCTGCTCATAAAAGTGGCATTTTTCTCATTTTGCATAAGAAGTTAGAGCATAGAATAGCCAAATAACTAATCCCAAGGTCACAGCAAAAAGGGGAATCAGGGGCAGCTAAAAAGAGAATCCTCAATTTCAAGCTCCTGAGGAACAATTGCCTTTTTATAACCCCTATTTAATAACATTTAATGATTAAATTACCATGAAAATAAAACATCTTGTTCGAAAGGCATTCTAGTGTGGAAAAATAGAAGACAGTGATCTATGATATGCACTCAACTTCGTTAAAACAGTCTCGTAACAGATTAGACCCGGCATGCTCGCCACCTGTCTAGAGAGCCCCCTGGCTTTTAAAGAGCTATGGAAGGGATGTCCACATCTCAGGAGAGGTGGAATTTTTTGCCTTCATGAATTCTGACTGGGATAGTTGATGATTAGAAACAATTGCACAAATGTCTCATTCTGACTTCGGACATTATATCCACGCAGATTGCCCCTTCATTTAATGATGAAATCTACAGTTCTGTTAGACAATGCTATAGTACCTTGTTATATACTTTATTAACTAATAAGAGCTATACCTAATAATAATAACTAAAATTTGAGTGTCAGTCTTTGCATTAGACAATTTACTTACATTAACACACTCAGTATTTCAAGTAACCTGTGAGGTAATTATTGTATTTAACATCCAGATTAGAATACTAAACCATTAAGTGTATTGTCCAAGGTCACAGAGCTAGAAGGTGGCACAGCTAGAAGATGGAACACCAGATTTCAACATCAAGCACTCAAATTCTCAACCACTAGACAATACTGCCTCCAGGTTTTGCCCTTCCTGGCCCTAGTTGATTTCTCAATGTGGGGCTTTTGGAGCTCAGGAATTTAAGCTGCCCAATGGGATGCCTCATAAAATCCACTGCTTTAAAAGAAACATTTTAATCCAAAATTTTAATCTAAAGACAACCCATAGGTGAGTATGGCTAGTTTCGTCTTGTCAGCTTCATTTACCTGACTAATTACATGATGAAATGCAGCTACTATAGTGTGTATAAGTTTTTCCTTTGTGTAAAAAATACAATCAATTAAAGTTTATCATTCTAGTCAAAGAAAGAATTTTTTTTCAAATAAGTAGTTAAAGCAATCAAACAACTGCTGTGAGAAATTTTTCCCTTAATAGAGTACTTACTTGTCTACCACAGAATGGATTGAAAGGAACTTATTCAAAATTTGTCAAATTGGTTCTTGGCTTTCTTTGACTTCACTGATATAGACATTCAATGAATTAACCCAATTGATTAACTATTTTAGGTAAATATGCCAAATGAAAATAATGACATTTGGGGGTTATTTGATCTCTGTAATTCTATGATATCAACACAGCCTTGCTTAACTTAATTTTTTCTCAGCTGAGTTAATGCAAGTTTTCCCTCCATGTCCCCCGTCACTCTGTGGTTCTTCCCACGTCTTTCTGACATCTGAAAGTGCCATATCCACCAACCCAGGGCTTTGGGACATGTTCTTTCCTTGTCTAGAACACATTTTCCCACCCTCTTTCCCCATCCCTACCCTAGCTAAAAGTACCTTTCAACTTTCTGTAGTTTTTCAGATCTCAACACAATTGTGCCTTTTCTAAGATAAGTCCCCTGACCTCCATTACAAGGTTAAAACCCCCTATTGCAGGCTACCAGAATACCAGTATCTCCTTCCATAGCAGCTGTCAACATAACTGAGTGATATATTTATTAGTATGATTCTCTTATTAATGCCTCTTCCCAATAGCCTGGAGGCTCCATGCTGGCAGGTGCCATATCTGCTTTTGCTCATTTACTCCCAGTGCCTAGCACAGTCCCTGATATGTATTAGGTAATCAAGAGATAACATGGTGAATGGAGGGATGATGAATATCAGGCTGATGAAGCCAGAGACATGGTGCACCTGTGAGCAAAAAGGGAACATTGATTTCTAATCAACTTCATTGAGCTGTAATTTACATAGAATAAAATGGACCCATTTTTAAGTGTGTGGCTCAATCAGTTTTCAGTATCGCACTTTTTCATAGGTTGCCTCTCTGACACTGAACTGTAGCACATTACGAGTCTTCGAATGTTCCTGGACTTCGGGCCCTTCATCTGTAATAAGATATTGTGCTGTTCCTACAGTCCCTGCCCATTCCAGGATTCTAGGTCTGTGTTTAGGTTCTCTGCATTTCAGCATATATTTAAAGATATATTTTCCCAAAAGGACAGCTATACCCCTAGAAACTTGTCAAAAGATAGGCTCAGCTTGCCTGATTTCGGTAGTGATTTGCTGATACACTCCATAATTTATCAAATTTGAATTTTTAAGTTATCCCCACTTTGAAAAAGGAAGATTTGGGTCACTTAAAATAGCATGTCTTTGAATATATGGTTCAATGTCTTTGTCAGCATTTTCAGCCCTTAGAATATAGAACAGAATTTTGAGACCTCTTCAACCAGAGTTCTGGTAGCTTTTTTCTATCAAGCCACTAAGCAGAGTGGAAAAAAAATTAAACGAACGTTACTTAGTAAAAAAACAACTCAGGTATTTATCTTCTTTCAACCTATCCTCCTCTCTTCTTTCCTTCCTTTCTTTTTTCTCCCTGTTCATTCATTCATTTGCTCATTGGTTCATTCTTTTAATAACAGAAATACAAAAACAGTACATCAATCTACTTTTGGAATTGAACACAAGAAATTATAAATTGTTCACTAAATATAACACATAATTTAAAACATATCAGACTCTGTTATATGAATAGTAAACAGAGAGAGCTTAATTGAATTTTTTTATTTAAAAAAGAAGACAAGCAATGTGAGTAAGAACTGCCCAACAGATTAGAAAAGCACATAGAGAAAGGAGAAAAAAGAGAAAAAGCCAAGACAGATTGACAAAACCACCCACCCACAGGGACCTGTATTTTGATAAAAAATAGACATTTTCTATTTTTAGGAGAGGTATACCCAGCAGTGAATATTTAGGACATTGATTCTCAAATGATGCCCTTGCACTCAGTATTTGAAACTAAATATTTTTAAATGATCTAATTCACACTAAAAAAATCTTATAAATAAAATAATATCCCTCTGAAGACTGCTCTCCCATTATTTTGTAATTAAACTTTTGTATCTGAATCTGCTTATCTCTACTAGCATATAGATTTAGCATGAAAATATATATTTAATTATATTAAGAATTTTAAAATTTGTATTTTAGGGTAGGACTTCTCTACCAAAAAAAAATTGTAAAAGCTACTAATTTAAGAATTGACCAGGCACAGTGGCTAACAGCTGTAATCCCAGCACTTTGAGAGGCCGAGATGGGAGAATCTCTTGAGGCCAGGAGTTTGAGACCAGCCTGGTCAAGATGGCAAGATCCCTGTGGCTACAAAAAATTTAAAAATTAGCTGGACTTAGTGGTGGGTGTCCGTAGTCCAAGCTACTCAGGAGGCTAAGGTGGGAGGCTCAGCCATGAGCCTAGAAATTCAAGGTGGCATTGAGCTATGATGGCACCACTGCACTCCAGTGTGGGTGAAAAAGTGAGACCCTCATCTCTACTCATACTAATAATAAATAAAACAAATAATTTAAAAATTGATGTTAAAAATATTTTTCTATGTATTTTTATCCCTTGTGAAATTTTAATAAAATAATCCAGGCACGTAGTTTAAAAAAAAAAATCAAGCAGGACAAAGGACTTATAATGAAAACACCAGATGGTCTTAATACCTTCAGTCTCACTAGCTGAGGAAATCATTTTAATGGTTTCCTATGTAGTTTTTTGGAGTGATTGCCTCCAAATGCTAAATGATATACTTAATTACTACATCTCATTTATCAAATTTAATATAACATATTAGGCATAAAAGATGAGAAGTTTACACTACTTCATTTCCACTACCCTGCCAACTTGTAACTCCTCACTTACTCCCAATCTTTGATAGTTCTATCAAAGAGCTATCTGAAAGAACTTTGGCCCTCTAAAGGACTTTACACCTTTATATTATAGATTTAAACTGTCATTTCATGTTCATCAATTACTCTCAACACCCTACTATATACGATGAAAATATTAGTATTTCACCTCTCTTTTCTCTCCTTGTATCCTTCCAGTTTTTCACTTCCTAATTTACACTCTTCATTATCTTTCTACCTTTCAACATGAATATTTTCATAATTTTTATTCTATTCTAAAAAATAATGCCTTTTTTTTTAATCTATAGAAAGTGGGGGCATGCAGCAGACATGGGAAGACATTTCCTAAGAGGAACAGAAGGGATAGGATGGTTCTCCATGGCAGTGGGCAAAGTAAATTCTATTTTCTGTCTTCCTACAGCATCTTGAGTAAAATATTGATTTGTTATTAATGCAATGTGGAATAGAATATGCTTTGTAAAGGTGCCTTCATGCCTGAGTCTTGGCCAAAGGTAAGCATGGTTCAAAAAATAGGTCTTTCAAGGGGATCTCATTACACTCTGATTACAAGAGCATATACTTAGGTCTTGAATTATGTTTTAGCGTAAGTCTTTAAGGGTGTCATAGAAAGGTGATCTATGATACCAAAGTGATCACAAAGCAGCGCTGGTTAGAGTATGTGGCCTGGGTCAAAGGTGAGAAGGAATCTAGTATAATGCCATGTTAGGGAAGTTAAGAAAGTAAGTTTTATTCTTGGAGAATAGTTTTTAGAAAAATAAAAAGTCACCAACATGTGGGTTTTGAGTGTAAAACTGTCATGGGTATTCTTTGAATAATCAGTTTGGGAAACGGAGTCAGGGTAGAAGGCAGTTTCACTGGGAAATGACTGCGTGATGGGGGAGGTTTCCAGGAAACTTGCATAAGGAAGTCTGTAGAAAATTTACTGGACAAACTGGAAGGGAAAGCAAGTCTTATCTATCCCCAAAGGCCCATCTCAAAGTGTCATCTCTTCACAAGATTCTTTCTGCCTTCTCCAGCCCCTTGCTGATTGAAAGTCCTTTCTCCCCCTTACATTGTCATGATCATCTTTCTTGTCCCTCTTAGACAACTTATCCACCTTTTGCTTTGTGTTAGGTTACTTATAAATATGTGATGTCTGTTCAATTAGATGGCAACTTAATGTTGAATTTATCTTTATCTCCCCAACACCTAGACCAAAATCTTACACATAGCAGGCATTTAATGTGTCTTTCAAATATGTGTTAATATGTATATGCATGATTAAAAGAGAAATGTGTTCAGTTCTTTTCTCGTTTCCTTCCTTTGTTTCTACCTTTCCTCCAACTATCCTTTTTTTCATTCCTTCCTTTCCCCCACCCCACTACTTTGCCTTATTTTTTTCCTTTTTCTATCAAAGATAAGGTCTATGCATGCAGGGACAGGGAAAGGTGGAGGTTTGAAGGATTAGTAGAGATTGAAAATCCTAAAAGAGAACGGGAATAGAAATGATAAAAAGAGAAGAAATATGATCCAGATATTTTTAAAAATTCTTCTAAAAAAGAGAGTGCAATATACACATACTATGTACCCACAAAAATTACAATTAAAATTTTTAAAAAAGAGAGTGCATAAACCTCTCTCTAAGGCTGGAAGGGCCAGGCCAGATTATGAATGTAATATCTTAGCTGAGCATGCACTGAAGTTTTTTCAGTGATGCTTGCCTGGATGTGAAAGTAGAGGAGTGTTCAAATTCTTGCCATTCCTCTGCACTAAGAATAGATTGAAAAACAAACAAGAATCCAATTACCATAAACACATTTCAAATGTGAGTGAACAGAGTTTTAAATCCAAAGAGAAAAAAATACAGAGGTTTATATAGTTTCTGTTTGAAGGACCAGCAGTCCATAAAGCAATTATCTGCATTCAAACTAGCTGTCAGAATTGATGGACATTTAAATATAGATCATTATTATGTTTGAGTCACTTAGGCCTCTTACAGAATTAATCGAAAGGAATCTCAAGAATCTAAAGAAAATTGTGGCATTTATTACATTTAAAATGTAATAAAGAGTAGAAGATTCAAGGAAGAGAATGCTGACTACTTTCTAAGCCGTCACCTAAGGGAGGGGTCCCATGGCCTGTTAGGAAACAGGCTGCACAGCAAGAGGTAAATGGTAGTCAAGAGAGTGAAGCTTCATCTGTATGTACAGCCGCTCCCCATCACTCACATTACCATTTGAGCTCCGCCTTTGATCAGATCAGTGATGGCATTAGATTCTCATAGGAGCATGAACCCTATTGTGAACTGTGCATACCAGGGGTCCAGGTTGCATGCTCCTTATGAGAATCTAATGCCTGATAATCTGTCACTGTCTTTCATCACTCCCAGATGGGGCTGTTTAGTTCCAGGAAAACAAGCTCAGAGTTCCCACTGATTGCACATTATGGTGAGTTGTATAATTATTTCGTATATATTACAATGTAAAAATAATCGCAATAAAGTGTACAAAAAATGTAATGCGCTTGAATCATCCCAAATCCACCCCCTACCCACCAGTCCATGTAAAAGTTGTCTTCCATGAAACCTGTGCCTGGTGCCCAAAAGATTGAGGACCTCTGGCCTAAGGTATCTTGGTGAATTGGAGAAGTTTCAGCTCTGCTTCTCACCTTGGGGGCTCACAAATTTGGCTTTACACACTAAGAGTAGAGTCACCTCTCAGGGCCAAACTCACAGCAACCAAGTGCATAAAACACAGCGTTACCAGAATACCAACTTCTTAAATTATACTGAGAAATTTAATTGTCAAAGGGTTCAGACATTCATATTCTCTGCTTGCAACAGTATCTCCTTGTAGGCAAGCTCTGTGGGAAGGTATTTGTAACTAGAATTTTATTTGATGCATTTGGAATTAGAGTCAGCAGAGTTAGTTGTGTAGTTCAAGGGTCTACTGAAATCCCCTGACAACTGTTCAATGCACCTATAATTTTGAGATGAATATTCCTGCCACTAGGCCTCCATAGAACGCATGGAGTTGATTTGTTTTTTACTTGTAATTCCTGTGAGATTTATTGTATATGCCATGTTCTTACGTGTTTCTTAGTATCATTACATTTATATAATCATTTACATTCACTAAAAGCATTTACATAAGTTATATCATAATGTCCATAGCAGTTCTGTATTAACATTATCATCTGTATTTCACAGAAATGGAAACCAAGGCTCAGAGATGACAAGTGACTTAGCTAAAGATCTCACAGGCACTAGCATATGAAATTTTGAAAGCAGGAAGCATATCTTATATTTTTTATAGTTCCAAGAACAATGCTCTATAGCTATGAGCTACTTGTAACATACTTGTTGATGATAATAGTAGTTTTATATAAAATACGTATTAACAAAACTGATACGTTTGAATATTTATGGAAATAGTCTTCATTTTACTCAGTATTTTATAAGTTTTTCTTTCAATATTGAGTTTCCCTTAATACATTTAAAACAGGATGTGCTTTATAAAAATTGGGCTTTTCCACAGCATTTTAGGAACCTGTATATATTTTAAGAAATTAATGACTTTCAACTATTATTTTAGGGTTTAAAAATGATGATTTTCTTCCTTTGGGTGGCATATCAATTATTGTTCTTAGTTGCAAACAACAGACTCCACTCCAGGAAATTTGAGGAGAAAAGTAATTTACAATCAGGAGTAGTGGGCTTGATCCGCACTTTACCCAATGCTACAGTTGCAATATTTAACCTTCTAAACCTTATGTTGAAACATGATCCTCAGTGTTGGAGGTGAGGCCTAATGGGAGGTGTCTGGGTCATGGGAGCTGATTTCTCATGAATGGCTTAGTGCTGTCCTTAGGTAATGAGTTCCCATTCTGTTAGCTCCCCAGAGAGCTGGTCGTGAAAAAGAGCCTGGCACCTTCTCCTCTCTCGCTTCCTCTCTCATTACGTGACCTCTGTACATGCCAGCTGCCCCTTCACCTTCCATCGTGAGTGGAAGCACCCCACATCCATCACCAGAAGCAGATGTTGGTGTCGTGTTTCTTGTACAGTCTGCTGACTGTAAGCCAAATAGACCTCTTTTCTTTATAAATTACCCAGCTTCAGGTATTCCTTTATAGCAACACAAATAGAATAAGACACTCAGATACTCCCAGATCCCTTTTACTGTGTTTATGTGCCTCACAGCCAGATTCTCTAGCAATCTTTTTCTAAGGTTGGCCCCTCTGACTTTCTTTAAGGCCTATTCAAGGGCTATAAATGCTGCTTTACCAACATGCACAGAGAACCTGCAGTGCTATACAGATTGGGTCCCATGGGGCAGCCCTCACCCATGACTGGCCCCTGTGACTGCAAGTATGAGAGTCCAGCTCCTTTGCCCCAAATTGGGACAAACTCTGGATGTAATTTAAACTCCAGAGCTCCTTGCAGGATCAAGATGAAGCAGGGGTTTTGACTAAGAGCTCATCCTTGCTTGGCTTCTAAATTCTTTTCTTTCCTGCTTTCTCTACTTTCTTACTGGTTTCTATTGGGATGACTTTCTTTCAAAGTCACTTGCACTGAATCCTCATCTCAGGATCTCCTTCGAAGGAAATGTGTTTATTTCCTAGGACTGCTATAACCAAGTACTACAACCTGGGTAGCTTAAAACAAAAGAAATGTATACTCTCAGTTCTGAAGGCTAGGAGGGCAAAATCAAGGTGCCTGCAAGGCTATGTTCCTTCTGAGACTGTAGAATATTTCTTTGCCCATTCCCAGCTTCTGATGGTGGCCATTGTTTCTTGGCATTCCTTGGCTTGCAGCTGCATCACTGAAATCTCTTCCTCTGTCCTTACATGGAGGTTTCAGTGTGTCTCTGTGTCTTTACATGGTATTCTCCTCCCTGTGTCTCTGTTTTTCTTATAAGGACACAGATTATATAGGATTAGGGCCATCCTAATCCAGTATGACCTCATCTTAACCAGATTACATCTGCAAAGACCCTATTTCTAAATAACGTCACATTCACAGATACTAGGGATTAGGACTACTATATATTTTTTTGGAGTACACAATTCAACCTACGACAGTAACCTAAGACAAATGAGGTTAGGGGACTCACAGGATAGGCCAGAGCATTAGCCTTGGAGACTGCAAAGCAAAGAAGAATACCACCCAACCATGCCAAGAAAAGATTCCCAAGAAAAGCCACTTCTACTTAGTAAGGACACCCCTATGGCTTCGGTTGCTGCTGATACTGCTGTTGTGGAAAGAATTGTAGAGCCTCTGCCCCCCTGCCCTTGAAAGCAAGACACCTCTACTCTCACCCTCATAAGAAAACGAACTCTGTAGGTATGGCATCAGTCTTTTCATGTTGCTTCTTTCAAAGTGAAATCTCATGGAGACCAAGTGGAGAGTTGAAAGGGAGACTTCAACTTGAGCACGTTTTTGTGCTTCTACCATGGGGATGCAGGTCTCCTAAGATAAAGAATTCTTCAAATACAGCAGGAGTGCTCAAAATGTGTGACCAAGCCAGAATACATGACAAAAGGGCCCTAGAGTTGGACTCAGTGACACATTAAGATGCCTAAGGGTATATAGAATTTTCTCTGCATTTTTAGACATGAGTTTAATTCTTTTTTGAAAAAGAAGAAATAAAACCTTCTCACTTGGGAAATTTGTTGTGACTCATATTTTCTCATTTAGAATGCAATGTTGCTTACTCTTCTTTAAGTCCTTGGTGGGCATTTACAGTTTATTATTATACTAAAGAGCTGCATGAATATTCAGCTTTTGACTTCTTATTTATTACAAAATTCTTAAAGATATTTGTATTCAAATTATTTACATAGGAGGAGAAAGAGACTTAAAGGTAAATTTCATGATTCATTGGGTTATTCCTGAAAAGCCATGTTTAAAGATTTTATATATCACTTTATGAGACATTATCTTTATATATAATCATGAGGATATTTATTAATGTTATGGTTTTTTAGTGGAAGAGGCTTGAAATCTAGTTAGGTTCACAGTGCCAGTCTTGTTATCTGTTTTTTTCTAGTGCCCAGTACACAGCCTGAAAAGTGGCAATAAATATTTGTTATTTGAAAAAGCAAGAATAGGTTTTTTAGGTTCAAATATTTTATATTGAAATAATTTGAAACTTGACATGTGGAATTCTTTACTGGTCAAAATGGAAGTGATTTTTTTAACTTTGCCATCTATCTTATCATACAATCAAAATCACTTTGTTACAATGTAAATTACTAAGTTTCATGTTTTGAAGGACATCCAGACAACTATGATCTTATTTTTTTAATGGTCAGTACTCTATAGTGGGGGCCACGAACCAATGGCCAAATCTGGCCCGCCACCTGCTTTTGCAAGGTCTATGAGCTAAGGATGGTTTTTACATATTTAAATGTAGAATGCAAAAAAGACTATTATTATTTAAGTGAGAACAGTTGCTCAGAGTTGAGGACATTGCCTCTTTGCCTGCCAAGCCTAAAATATTTACTATCTGGCACTTTACTGAAAGTTTGCTGACCCCTGCATAAGAATATATCCAAGTAAGACTTCTGTGTTGAAAGCATTCTGTTAACATAAGAAATTAGAATCTACCAAATGTGTTGCTATATTTTATTATGAAGAAAATCAGCCATAAAAGGAAAATAAGTATATTTTGAAAAAAATAAACCGAAAATGAAGAAAATACAATCAAAAGATAATAAAATTAAAGACTACAGAATACCACTCTCCTCTTGCATCTGTGTTCTAGAAATGCAAAAATGGAGAAACACTGCCCACCTTAAGGCAACAAAATATATTCTAAAAATGATTCCTTATGTTACAGTAGGTAACAGAGAAGAGGAGAGCAGAAAAGAGTTCCCACCACAGACACACACACACACACACACACACACACACACACACACGAAAACCAGGAATGTCAGGCGACCATCAGGTGATGGTCAGACTGTTGTTAACTGTCTCTCTAAAATAATAATAGATATGCAGCTCACACCCGGGAAAGGCAGTCTCCCAATAAACAGAAGCACCTGAAACTGGTAATCAACAGCTTCCCAATAAGATCTCAAGAGCTGGGCAAGTGGGCTCAAGCATGTGCACTAGGAGGCAAAATGTCAAAGTTTAACTGGCATATGGCCTCCAAGGGACATTTGGTAAGAGAACTCCTCAAGCGAGCATCTGTACAACTCCAGTAAGCACACCGTGCATGCTACCCTCCCACATGCTGGCAGGCCACTGCATATGTGAACAACTCATGCCAAGGGAAGAATCAGGGAAGAAGGGATACAAGACCCTGGAAGCATGGCACCATATAAAACCCTAAGTCAAAGGTCAAACTATGCACTTGATCTCTCAAATCGCCCACTTGGTCTTCATCCAAGTGTACTTTATTTCCTTTCATTGCTGCTCTAAAGCTTTTTAATAAACTTTCACTCCTGCGCTAAGGTTTGCCTCAGTTTCTCTTTCTGCCTTCTGTCTCCTCGGTTGAATTCGTTCTTCTGAGGAGGCCAGATTGAGGTTGCTGCAGACCCATATAGATTCGCTGCTGGTAACACTTAGGTTTGTATAACACCTGTAACTTTTCAGAGCTCTCTCATGATAGTATTTAATGTCTTCTAGCTGTATTATAGCAGTAACTCACATTTTTTATTGTTTCGCACTATGAACCTCAATTGTGTGTACATTCTTTTTATCTTTCATGATGACAGTTATTCTGCTCTGCCAAGAGGTTTAGTTGAAAATCAAGAATTTCCTTGAATGCAATACTTGCCCCAAGTTTTTTGTTTGTTTGTTTTTGTTTTTTTTTATTTTTTGGCTGGAGTAGGTGCTTAAGGCTGAAAGGTACTGGAGCAATCTTGAAGTCCTCTTTGTTTCTTAAATTTTGTAACTCAATGATGTGGTTTTGGTAAAAATAATCTCCATATACTCCAAAAAATGTATTTTTTTGCAGTTACTGAACATGGTGTGAATATAAATGTTATTCCAAAGATCTCAACACCTGATGGGGAGCATAATTCAAATGTCCTAAGTTTGATTATTGAGAAGATTGTTTCTAATGGCATGTTCTGGAATTCTATTTAAGACCATTGTTACTAATCATGTTGACCTATGATACAGATCAAAAGGCATATTAATTTGGTTTAAATGAGTTGATGTTGAGAGAAATACCTAATAATTAGAATCCAAAAGATTTTCATTAGGATGGACTGAGCAGTAGACTAAATTGTTGATATTAATTGAGATAAATATCATATTATGCACTTGGATCTAAACTATAAGAAGGTCAAGGTGTGACTTAACAACAATACATATGAAGAAAGATTCAAGGCTCTAGTTGTTTGCTAGGTCACTGTGCATCCATAGCATAATGAGATTGCAAAAATGTTTGTGATCTTAGGCTATGACAATTTTGGTCAAGTAAGGTAATGACTCCTTTGTTGTGGGAAGTCAGGGACCCTGAACAGAGGGACTGGCTGAAGCCATGGCAGAAGAACATAAATTGTGAAGATTTCATGGACATTTATCACTTCCCCAATCAATACCCTTATAATTTCCTATGCCTGTCATTCCTTTAATCTCTTAATCCCGTTATCTTCATAAACTGAGGATGTGTATGTCGCCTCAGGACCTTGTGATGATTGCGTTAACTGCACAAATTGTTTGTAAAGCATGTATGTTCGAACAATATGAAATCTGGGCACCTTGAAAGAAGAACAGGATAACAGCGATGTTCAGGGAACAAGGGAGATAACCATTAGGTCTGACTGCCTGGGAGCCGGGCAGGACAGAGTCATATTTCTCTTATTACTGAAAATGGGTAAGAGAAATATCACTGAATTCTTTCCCCAGTAAGGAATATTAATAATTAACAGCCCTGGGAAAAGAATGCACTCCCGTGGGGAGGCCTCTGAAATGGCCACTCTTGGAGTGTCTGCCTTATGCAGTTGTAGATAGGGATGAAACATGCCCTGGTCTCCTGCAGCACCCCCAGGCTTGCTAGGATTAGGAAATTCCAGCCTGGGGAATTCTAGTCAGACTGGTTCTCTGCTCTTGAACCCTGTTTCCTATTAAGACATTTATCAATGACAATGCGTGCACAGTGGGACATGAAACTTCATCAGCAATTCCAGTTTCACCCTGGCCTTGTGGCCTTGCCCTGCCCATTTGCCTTGTGATATTTTGTTGCCTTTGAAGCATGTGATCTCTGTGACCCACACCCTATTCATACACTCCCTCCCGTTTGAAAATCACTAATAAAAACTTGCTGGTTTTGCGGTCAGGGGGCATCACAGAACCTGCTGACATGTGATGTCTCCCCCAGCTTTACAATTTCTCTCTTTTGTACTCTTTCCCTTTATTTCTCAGACCGGCCGACACTTCAGGAAAATAGAAAAGAACCTACGTTAAAATATTGGGGGCTGGTTACCCCGATACTCCTCTCTCTATTCTGTGACAGCGTGGTCACACCAAAGTCAAAATCTAGATAACACACTTTAAGAAGAGTATAGAAGATCAGGAATGGCAAATGGGCTTTATGTCTTTTGTTAATTCTGATTGATTCCTTGTGGTTGCCCAGAAAAAAAAAAAATGGGTTGAAAAGGATTCTGTAACCTTATTCAAAATGGCCCATTGGGAAATGGTGCCAGATATGTCAGTGGCAAGGAGGTAATAAACTATTGATTATTATATATATTCAGGATTGTGCTAGTAAAGGGACTATAACAGTATTAACAGAAGAGACAGCTCTCTCATCTTCTGCACACTTTAATTTTTCTCATTAGTGGTCAGCACCTGTTAAAATTTTCATATGCCTCTCAACAATGCCATCTCCTGAAACAGATGTGGGCAAACAATGGCTGGCAGGCCAAATCTGGCCCACTATTTTATTTTAAGTTTAAATGGTAAAAATGACTATTCAAGTTTTGGTGAGAACAGTTGCTCAATTTTGCCTCTTGGCCCACAGAGCCTTAAATATTTAATACCTAGATCTTTACAAAAAGAAGTTCATTCTAATGCCCCTATCTTAGAGCCATGGTTGTTCCAGATAACGTTCCACAGGTTGGCATCCAATGTTCAGGGAAACATTAATTGATCTATACAGAAATAAGTTTGGTAAATTCAAGTTTTTAAAATACAATTTTATATATATATATTTATATACACTTTTTTGCTATTAGACTACCTAGATCTTTTAATACACTAATGTGCATTGTGAATCATCAAGAAGTAATGTAGAGTATGTACTAATTTCTGGTTATTTAACCATATTTAGTCCTTTTAAAAATATCTAATAAATGGCCTGTTAGAATGGTGTTCCACAGAATGCATTTGAGATATTGCTGAGATATATACAAAATAACAGTATATTAACAACAGCTAAATTTAACAAGAACATACAGTAAGTCCTCACTTAACATTGATAAGTTCTTGGAGACTGCAATTCGAAGCAATATGATGATAAGAGAACCAATTTTCCCTTAGGCTAATTGATATAAACAAGAGTTACGCTCCTTCAGCATATTTCCAGTCACAAAAACATCACTAAATTTCTAAATAAAGAACCAAAACATTTCTCATTTTAAACATCTGTACATACATTTAACAAAGATTAATAAGGACAACATAATTATTTACCCGCTTATTCCAATCGAGGGTCTGGGTGGCCCGAGCCTGTCCCCACAGATCAAGGTGCAGAGTGGGAACCCACCCTGGGCAGGACACCATCCAGCTGCAAAATTAGCTGGGCGTGGTGGCGGCACCTGTAGTCCCAGCTACTCGGGAGACTGAGGCAGGAGAATGGCGTGAACCTGGGAGGCGGAGCTTGCATTGAGCCAAGATCGCACCACTGCACTCCAGCCTGGGTGACAGAGCGAGACTCCGTCTCAAAAAAAAAATAAAAATACAAAATAAAAATAAGAGATGGATTCTTATTTATCTGGTCAGCATAGCTCCTGTTTCTGATGTAAGATGCTATTTGTTGCAACTTTGTTCTTCCATCAGATTATCAGACCATGCAAGAAATTGCTTAGCAACTCACCCCTATCAAAGACAGAGTTACAGGGAATTCTACTTGGGCTTTGGGTAGCTTTGTCTTCATGTTTATCTTCTTTGGCTTTTTAAGGCGACTGTATTAATCCATGCTCACACTGCTATAAATAAATACCTGAGACTGGGTAATTTATAAAGAAAAGAGGCTTAATTGGCCCATGGTTCTGCAGGCTGTACAGGAAGCATAGCAGCTTCTCCTTCTGGGAAGGTCTCAGGAAACTTAAAATTATGGCAGAAGGTGAAGGAGAAGCATACACATCACATTACACTACACCAGTTGGAGGAAGAGAAGGAGTAGGGAGGTGCCACACTTTTAAACAATCTGATCTCTTGAGAACTCTGTCACAAGAATGGCACCAAAGGGATGACGCTAAACTATTCATTAAGGATCCACCGTCACGACCCAGTCACCTCCCAACAGGCCCCACCTCCAACACTGGGGATTACAACTGAACATGAGATTTGGGTAGAGACATAGATGCAAACCATATCAGGGACTGGGGATTGACTAGATGGAGCACATTTGTTTAACTCCTTTGTCAAACTGCATATTTCAACCATGTCTCACTGTGATTTTAGCTTGTCTAAGAATAGAATACACAGTTTAGTTAGGCATGGATTCCAGGTAGATGGTTTTAAAACATTGTTGCCCATAAAAAAAGTTATTGAAATGCCATTCTAAGACAGAGCCATCATATAGAACAAACAGAGGTGAAGTTGCTTGCTCTATTTGCCTAGAGGGCAAATAGAGAGGAGGGCAAAGGATTCAGGGCTACAGAGAGGGAGGGTGGGGGATAGTCTCCAGTACCATGGAGTCTCCATCTAGTCAGTGGAATAGGTGTGAAGACAAACGCTTCAGAGACTTTTGAAATTATTAAAAATGTATAAAGATATGAGGATAATTGAAATACATGAATTGTAACATAATAAAAAATTTTTAAATAATAGCAAAAAATCACAACGTTAAAGTCCAGTACAATAACCACCAAAGGTGTGTATAAACCCCACTGAGTTTTAAATGGTAGCAGTAAAGGGGTGGATATTCTATTATCAGAGTATCATAAACACAATTTACAATGTACTGGGTCTAACTACTTTAAACTGCAGTCCTTGATGAAATTTTAAAATTTGGGAGAATTTACATTATTTCAGATGGACTTCATTAAAACTTTTATGTTGTACTATTTTAAATTTAGATCATTCAAGTTCTCATAAAATTAGATTATACAATATTAGATATTAACACTGTGCATGCGTTTCGCTTTGATATAAATACCGAATTAAGGGAGAGAGGATACTGTTTGCAAAACACTGTCTTGCTTTCCATCCTGTAGCAGTTCTACATTATCTTCACAAAATTCGAAGGCAACATTTTAAAACTGTAAACCTAAACCACAGTAAAGTTTAAGAGGTTTACTGGAAATGATTCATAAAATTCTGTAGCCAGTGATTGCAAAAGAGAAGGTGTCTCAAGGATTGGAAAACTCCTATAAATTAAATTCTTATAAGATTTCAAATAGAAGTAATGAATTTATACAGAATCACCTGCAATGAGTTAGTAACTAAGAAAAGAAAAAAGAACTTGAACACATGATGACATGGGTTGTAAGAATAATGCATGAAAGGCCAAAGTCTAAAACGATCTGCCTGTTTCAAAATGTTCTAAAAACACTTTTACAAAGAAATGTTTAGAGGGAGAGGAACCACTAAGAAGAGAGATGAGGCTGACGCTGTCCCATTAACTAATGACAGTGAGAAACGAACTACTGAAACTACTGAATGTCAGTTCTCCTCTTCCTCCACCAGAAATGGTCTTCAAACTAAGACAGAAGAAGCAAGCATGAAGCCCAGGGGATGTAGTGAATAAAATTGATGGCACAAAGCTTGGATAGATTTGGTGGAGGGTACCACTTTTGGTTATAACACTAGATCCTATTTCAGTCATGTAGAAGCAAATCTGGAGAATGAGAAAGGGGCTGGAGAAGTATTAATAAAAATGTGTGAATACTGTTCTAATTTTCCAAAATGTAGAAAAATTCAGATTCTAGTAGATATGACCTAATGACGTTTCATTGATTCCTAGAAAAATCAAAAAACTCACTATTTAAATGATAAAATGGTAGTCTTGAATAGAGACGTATTTTCCATGGTATAGGTTATAATAAGTCATGACAATCGAATCCCATTTCTTTAGCTGGTACAGGAGGAAAAGCTAATAAAGAGTTTTGGGTTTTGTTATTTTTATGTAACTTTTTAAATCTCTTGACAGCCATGACATTCTTGTGGGCAAGAATAAAAAGGTTGTGATAGTACCCATAAAAGCATATTAACGTTTAAATGACAATACCTAAAACATATTGATTATTGATTAGTGCTAAGCGGGAGAGTATTCTCTATAGGACTCCGTTCATAGCCACATCCCTAGTCAAGTAATTTGTAATTTTACCAACAACTTAAAGACAGTTGTTATATACAGTTGACAGAAAGCTGGAAAGGACAGCTGGCTCTGCGGACAGTAGGATAAAAACCAGGACATGCCAGTTGTGGGGTTTAGCACTTGCTGGCTACTTTATCCTGGCAAGTGAAATACCATCTCTCCATCAGTTTCCACACCTGTAAATGGGATAATAATGAAATCATAAGGATGTAATTAATTATATGATGATAAATATAGCATATTGCAAGACCTGGTACATATTAAATCATTAATAAAATCAAATCATTGTGTTATCAATATGGAATAGGAAAATGAGCTAAAACTAACAAGGTAGCATAAACAGACACAAAAAAGTAAAGTTCCAGACTTAGGTTTTAAAAAATCAGTTACATAAATGCTGGATGAAAAATTCCATGTGAAAAGCATCAGAGTTTTCTCATTTTCAAATTCAGTAGCACCTTATGATATAACAGTGAGAGAAACTTAACTTAGACTTTATTTTTGTCCCAGGCAAGTGGAGTAGCATTCCACTCCTATTGTACTAGAAACAATTATGTTTTAAGATAATTGTTTATATGAGCTATAATATTTTGAGAAGGATATCAATTGGTATGTGGCTAGCAAAGTTAACTAAAATGTTAACTTAACTGAATGACTAAATTGTGTCATTCAGTAAGTAATTGAATGAAATAACGGGGGATTAGGCTGGGGAAGAAATGGCAAACAGATTTGGACCAACTGGCCAGTTACATACAGTGAATACTACACCATGCAGAGGAATGAGCAGGCTCTCTGTATACTGATATTGAAACATTTTCGAGGTATGTTAAGTGAAGAAAGCAAGGTGTGGAATGGTGTGAGCATCATTTGTTTTTATAAAACAAAGAAAGGAGTAAGTATCTATATTTGCTTGGAGATTCATAAAATGAGACCTTGGGAAGAAACTAAGAACATAATTTACCTATTGAGAGTGAGAGCTAGGCAAAAGGAGGAAGAAGACAAGGACTGGGAGCAGACATTTTACTTCATACCTGAGTTGATTTGGTTCCCTCAGAAGCTGACCCTGAGATGAGAATTTTTGTACAAGCGATTTCTTTAGGAGATGATCCCAGGAAGCAGGGATGGGAAGGAAGCAATAAGTGATGTATTATTAACCAGGTTACTGCTACGGAGCTGTATCCCACTGGCAACCTCCAGCAGGTAATGTAAAGTGCAC
The DNA here is from genome assembly GCF_000001405.40 of Homo sapiens. Taxonomy (NCBI): domain Eukaryota; kingdom Metazoa; phylum Chordata; class Mammalia; order Primates; family Hominidae; genus Homo; species Homo sapiens. The sequence goes on from NC_000003.12 coordinate 70,484,654, forward strand.
ATCAGAGCTACTCCAGCAGTAAATGAGGAAACTCCCATTGAGTGAGGACTGCTTACTGCCGGGGAGCCCTGGGGCAGATGCTCTTAGCCATGGGCATGGGGGAGGTAAACCCAGGACATACAGGCTGGGTAGTGCACCAACAGCATCTGTTATTATACCCTTCTGATTCTTTTAGGTTTTTGAACCAAGGGAAAGTGTTTCATTCCCAAAAAGTTCTTAATAAAATTTATAAAGAAAAATAAAAAAATCATATGTCATAAAATATTAGTGATACTGACATCCAGAAAGAGATTAGATCTATTTTTTGCTCAGTTCTGACACACAGAACCAGAAGCAATATATCTTATAAGATAGCAAATATCAATGAAAATAGGAAGAAGTTTCTAATAATAGATCTGCTGTCTTGTGAGGTCTTGATAATTACCTATCATTGGTCTCACTCTATTAGAGAATAGAGCTCATTCAAGAATCTGTTTTAAACAAATATTTATTGGATATTAAGCACAAGGTAATAAACAAAGTAGTTAGCCTCCAAAAGTGGTAACAAAAAGATAAAGTATTTTGTTATGCAGCAACAGGAACCTAAACAGCCCATTACATAAATTTCTCATTTAATTACCTCAATATAACATTCTCAAGAAGTGGTTAGTATTAGAAAGCCAAGGCACAGAATGACAAAGCCTGAACCAGCAGGTAGTTATTCCAATTCCACAATGATCCTCTGTAAGCTTACGAACCCATTGCCCAGCAGCGCTGGCATCACCCAAGGAACAGACTTGCTAGAAATGCAGAATCTCAGGCCCTCCCACAGATTTGTTTAATCAAAATCTGCATTTGAACAAGATCCCTGGGTGATTTTGTGTGCACAGCGTAGTTTGGAAAGCAAGTTTACCATGCTCACACTCTACATACATGGTATAATTTGCTTTATCCCTAAAGGAAATATTATTGGCTCATATTTAAACTACATTTAATTTAAATTCAATTAGACATTTTAATTTATAAAGCCATGATATACAAATTGAATCACTGCAATAGCCACAATACCAGATGATCATATACACCTTTATAAATATCATCTCAAACATATTGTACTCATGTGATGGGAGTTAATCATTTAGGATAGAAAGATTTTTATGTCCTCAAATTTGAGCATAGTGTCCAGTACTATTGTGGACATAGTTCCTAGATATACTCAGAGCCAACTTGGTAATCTATTAAAATATGATAGGTAGTTTTCCTTAGTTCATTATAAACTTCACTCACAATTGTGAGGCACTCTATTACGAACTGAAACAATGGTACCTGAAAATATGAATAAAACATCACACTAACAATGCTTTTGGAACCATTATGGCATAGAATATTGTATCAATCCATAATTTGAAGATGGGACTAAATGGATCTTTCATCTAAAAGAGCTACTGTGATGTGTCAATTTACACCTGATGTTAATAAGCACATACTATCACATAAAATCCATATTAAAATATTTTATATAAGATGTACTTGCATTAATAGATATCTGTCATTTGTTACTAAATACAGCTGTTAAAAGAACCTCTTAAGTGCTTTCAAAATTTGTTTTTAAGACCTTGACATTGGATTGAATAAAAACTATTATGGAACCAATCCTTCATTGTGAAAATGGACATAATGGATGAAATACTGTATGTTGCTTACTTCATTTTTGCCAGGTCAAATAGAAATTCCCATCAGCATTTGACACCCCTTACATGGCCACATAATAAATGGGTGAGAGCCTAAATATGGACATTAAATATTTCATTTTCACTAGACATTATTACAGTATAGTATGCTTTAACTTTTGAGAATATCTTTCACATTTCTTCTTTGACCATTATCGTCTTTCATAGTGAACCTCTCCTAAAAGGGAGTAAAATAAGGTAGCTCACTCAATTATGAATCATTCTAGATTATAAATTCATGTATCATTAACCATGAATTCAACAAGTACACAGTGATCTGTTTGATCTGAAATTGCATCAGAGTGTGAAGTAGTACTTTAGGAAGATTAAATTAATAAAATAAATTGAATAAATGTTCAATATAAGTGAAATATGGCACCTTCACCTAAGGGTAAATAAATAAATCCACTGTTTACATTGTTCCCCTTTGACTTCATTTTCTCCATCATCTTCTTGCTGACACTAACTGTGCCTCCATTTGATGGAATCAATATTTTAAATATGAATCAAAATGCAAAGTAGGAGGCTTAGGCACACATAAGTTTGAAGTAATTTTTTTCTAATGGCTTAGAGTCATTTATCTTCGTCTGAAAGGCTTTTGACTAGTGGTGAGAGAATCACAGTGCTTTTCATTTTATTAAAGTTGCTTCTCAACTTCAGAAATATTCTGTTTATCATTACATTTAAATAAAAGATACTAAGAGCAAACTGAATGCAAAAACTACAGTATTGTATCATTATTATTACTATTATTGTTCTTATTTTATAGACTGAATATGGAATGTGATTTCTATGCAGCTTTGGCATTGAAATTAGTAAAATATAATTTCTCTTCCAAAAGGTTTGTATCCTTTGATTTCCGTCATGCCTTTATTTTCTCTATCCTGAGAAGGATTCATCTGTCAGAAGTATGTTAGATGTTGTGCCAACCTTACAGAGGGATTTTTAAAGCAACCACTTTAAATGACTAGCCAGCACTTTGGTGCATAAATTGGACTTGAAAAGTGCACAATTTAAAAAGTGTATTTCTCAATTTTTCTGCTGATTTCTTGACTTTTACTATTTCCATGTATGACAACCTGTTTCCTGAAATGTAAGCAGACAATTAACATTGTTTTAGTACATTTTTTGAAGTCTAGAAGCTCAGAAATAATTCAGTACTCAAAGCAGCCTAGAACCCAAGTTGCTACTTAGAGAAATAGGTCAAAACTTATTTAACCTGAAATAAATTACTATCTACCATCTGTGGGCTTTAAATTCTAAATGACCTTGAAATTTCACCTACTGGTTTCCACCAACATGATTGAGTGGAATGATGTTCCTTCTGCCATTGAACTCTTCGTTTCAGAGCTTTTGTAGCCTGGAATGGAATGTCTTTGTTAGCTTCACTTACAAAATATATTATTTGAATTACAGGATTGGAGACAAAACGTTACTCAGGAAGGAAAAGAAATTGCTTGTTAGAATCACTAAATTAATTGCTGCTCAGCAAACTTGAAAACCTCCAAGAAGAGATAAAACACGAAATCTCCACGTTGGCCAGATTTCACCTGTTTGTGCACTCTCATTTGACCTCTGGATTACTCCCTGTCTCAAGTTTTCCATCACAGCCTTTGCCTTATCTTCTGGTCTTTTCCTTCTAGTTGGAATCCATGCCATCTTTAAATGTATTCCTATTTTGTCATTCAACAGACAAACTCCGAGTTTTGTATCCCCCTCCCGAGCCCTTCCCCTCCGTGGCTAACACGTTCTGCCATTACTTTCTGGCCACACAATGTCACCGTCTTCATGCTTTTCTTTGCACTCTCCCAGCTGATGTCGACATCCTTCATTCCACGGCATCTGAGCAGAACCACAAGATGACAACTTTAGGATCATAATGCGAATTAGTTATGCTCTCACCATTTCCCATTCTCATTAAATCATTGTCAGGACAATGGATTCATGTGGTACCATTTCCTGTTCTCATTACAATTTTTGTCACAAGAATGAGGTATCAGAATTTCAATGCTTCCCATAGTCTTTGAAAAATAATAGTTAACTCTGCTGCTTTGACCTATATTTTTTCTGTTCTGCGTTTGACTCAGCCCTGCCATTCTCTCCCCTGCCTGTTTATGGTCTTGGTGATCTGGAGATTAAGATGAAGGGTCCTGAAGATGGCAGAAGTTATGAAATCACGCTACAGGATTGTGTTAAAACTTTGCCTTCTCTTTTTAATGACAAAACTAAACCCAATAGTGCGGCATGCTCTACACTAAAGTTAGAAAGTGGACACATGATCATTTCTTAGGTAAACAATTTCTCAATATTCTTTTCCATTCCATTTTTACTTTTTTCTTCTACTTAAATAACAAACACATAACTTTTCCTTAAACAAAAGCAAGGAAATCATTGTTCATATTTTCTTGGTTTTTTAAAAAACAAAGATTTCAAATTTATGTTACTTTTAGGAAAAAAAGAACCATTCTTACTCCTCAAATATACAATTTGAATAAATTACTTTATTTCCCCTCCCTGCTGATCCTAGCTGCCTTTACCAAGGTTTGTTTTACAATTGATGGCTTTGTTCTTCCAAGACAGTTACACGTTCTGTTTGGGTTCAGGTAGAAGTCTTACAAACACTAAGTAATGATTTGTTAACTAAACGCTCCTGAAGCTGTCTGTCAGCTCTCCCCGCAGCATAATAGCGGCTTCACCTGCCTGCAGTCACTTCAGGACGCTCTAATTAAATGCAAACTTTGTAAAAATACCAGACAAGCACAGGCAACACGGAAATGCCATAGAAATATATACTTCTCCCTTCGGCATATGCTGTTGCAGTTGTTTTTGGCTTATGTTGTTGTTGTTCCCACAGTATAAGAGAAAATGGAGATCATGTAATTGTTAACAGACCAATTACCCGATTTGTAGAAAATGTTTTAACCTGTAATAGGCTTAAAGCTAAATTCCAATTCTGTTTGGATTCAGAATAGGAAAACTTTCTTCAGTTTGGTATTTTTTAACTTGCTTCTGGAGTCTTGTCACTTTTTTTTCACTTACTGCTTTTTTTATTTTTCATGTTTTTTTTTTTTTAGACTATGTTTTTATTTTGAAATGTGGCCCAGCACAGTGCCTGGTATATAATAGACACACAATATATATTTGTCCATGGAAAGGATAAAGGAGTGGGGAAATACACAAAAAGTGTAATAAAAATACAAAAATTAGCCAGGCATGGTGGTGTGTGCCTGTAATCCCAGTTACTCACAGGACCAGGCAGGAGAATCGCTTGAACCCAGGAGGCAGAGGCTGCAGTGAGCCAAGATCGTGCTATTGCACTCCAGCCTGGGCAACAAGAGCAAAACTCCATCTCAAAAAAAAAAAAAAAAAAAAAAAAACTTGAGGGTAAAATCGTTTCCAGATAGCACTTCTATTGGATCATGTTTTATTTTAGTAGTTTCTTTCTATTCCTATTTGATTTAGAGTTTTCATTTGGAATGAATTTTATCAAAAACCTCTCAGAGTCTGTAAATGTGATCATAGAATTTTTTCCTCCTTTAATTTACTGCTGATACTAAATCACCTGTTTCATCAGATGTATTATTTTTTAATACATGGCTGGGTTTTATTTTTAACATTTCATTTAGAATCTTGCATTTTTCTTTAAAAATGAGTTAATATTGTTTTGTTTATGCTATCTTTGCCAGGTTTTAGTATTGATGTAAAATGACTTGGAGAGAATTTTCTTATTTGTATGTGGCTTGAATCATTTGTGTGACAGTGTAGGTATCCTTCAAAGGATAGATAAAACTTAGCTTTGAAGGCATCTGGAACTGGTAACTTCATGGTGCATTTCTAACCACCTTCTGATCTTTTTGGAGGTACATTGTACTCAGATTATCCTTTTTAGGGGGATAATTTCGTTAATGTGGGTTTTGCCAGGCACTCATCCATTTTCTCTAGGATTTCTAATTTGTTGCAATAGGATTTCAGGTAGTAGTGTCTTTAAAGTTGTTTAATTTCTCCTGAGTCTATGATTATGCGTCCCACTTCTCATTCTCAATCAAGTCTATTACATATATATTTTTTCTGCTCCTAACTGTGCCTACAAGGGGAATATCTATTTTACTAGCCATTTCCAAGAATCAGCTTTCGGATTTATGTCTCCATTTTATTTAATGTTTATTTGCTATTTCCCTAATTTTAAGCTTCATCTTTGTTTCTTTTTGTTTATCTTTCTTTTTTTCTTTTTAAGATGCTATTAACAATTTAATTTTATTTATCTGTCATCTTTAATAATGAGGGCTTTTAAGGCCAAAACTAGTCTTCCAATTATAGCTTTCATTGTACTACTATGTCCGGGATAAAATAGTCTCCATCTCGATATTGTCTGGATTTTATGTATTTTCACTTTTTTATCTGAAAACTTTCCAGAAATTATCTACGAGTATAATTTTTTATTTCTAAATGCATAAAATTATTTTGATTATATTTATCTATTCCTAATTGCATTAGCTTATGATTTCAAAAAGAGAAGCCTGAAAAATATAACTATGCTTTAAAAAAATCCAGTAACTTTTTTAATGGTTAGTTTCATAAATGGTCTATGGACATACAAAAATAAATATTCTATATGGGAGGGATGATAATATATGTATATATTTAATAAATCAAGTTTATTGATCAATTCTATGCATTTACTTGTTTTTCATTTAGTAGATCCGTTTAATTTCATAAGAACTATTAAAAACTCTCTAGTTTTATTTTCAAGTTCACTTTGCATAGCTAATAGTTTTTGCTGTATGCATCAGTTGTCAACTTGTTGGACATGCAAATGTGTTAGTTATATTTGCAATATAAATTGTCCCTCTTTCCATTTCATAATGTCTCTTTTTATCTTGATTACTACTTTTAATCTTTAATTTCACTGTGTCTGCTGCTAGTATTACTACTCCCATTTTCATTTTGTTTTTTGTTTGCATTGGCTGGTACCCTTTGCTCATCCTTAATTTTTTTAAACATTTTTCATCTTAAATGATAAGTAGCACATAGCTAGGTTTTTTAAAAATCTCATGTTTATAATCTCTGCCCTTTAATAAGGGAATCTAGGCACTCACATTTAATTTAATGACTACTATATTTAAATTTGCTTCCTCACAAACTAAGCATCTGTCAGGAGGCACTGCAGGATAATTCAATTGGATTAATGTTAGGTCTAGTAGCATGCCCACTTACCAAGGGCCCTCATTGGACTTTACTAACTTTGTCCTTCATAGAACCAACTCAACACAGAGCTTGTTCTAGGATATTTTTCTTGTTATTAACCACTATTTATGTTGTTATTTCTAGCATTTATTGAGTCTTTACATCCATTTTTCTTATTCACATTCCCACTGTTAAAGTCATATCTTAAAGGAAAGATTGTCATTACATGAGAATATTCCCTATGAATTGACAAATTAATAAAATAATTTCCCTCTAAACATTCTGCTCCAGTGAACACTAATACCTATTTTGGCCTTAGGGCATCTGAGTCAGTTTCTCAGTTGCTATGCTCTAATTGCCAGCAATAGAAATCAACTCTGGCTAACTTAAATTTTAAAAATTTAATCAAAGGATTTTACAGGTAGCTGATAAAATGAACTAAGGATAGAGGACAAGATAGGAAAGGACAGAAAATATTTTTGTTTCTTTTTTTTTTTTTTGGCACGTTTGTTTTTGCACCAATTGTAAGTCAGACAGCTGTTATGGATCCAATTGTAAGCATAGTATAGTCCCTACCCTTAAGGAAGGTACTTCTAGTATTTGAAAAAATTTGTTGAAGAGTTCCAAGTTTCAAGTAAGCAGAAAAGACTGGTCAGTGACTAGAGTATAACAAAAACAGTACCATAACAGTGTGTGTTTAGGATGCACAGATCACATCAGGTACTGTTCTAAGTGCTCTTTCTCGTTGGTTTTACCGCACCCTATTATAATACCCATTTTCTAGAAAAGGACACTAAGATTTGGGACCCGAGATTCAAGCCCAGACAGTCTGACTTGTTCTTGTGCTTTTCATGTCTCATATATTGAGGGAAAGAATGCTTGTTGGATAAATTTATGGATAAAGAAATGCAGAAATATGTGTCATACTCCTTTTTAGATTCAGTGGCACATCTTACCATTATCATCTTTGTATTTTTGTCATAATCCAGTGTCTGAATCATATATTTCTGGCTCTGCCCAGCATTTCTTTCTTTAGATAATAAGAAATTCAATACATAGTTCTGTTACCCCTTAAGTTTACTTCTTTTTTTAAAATTATGTACATCATTTTAGATTTGTAAGTGTACATTTTTCTTACTTTTTTTTTAAGAGATATTGCCCAGGCTAGTCTTGAACTCCTGGCCTAAAGAGATCCTTCTCTCTCACCCTCCCAACATGCTGGGATTACAAGCACAAACCACCTCATTCATCCCCCTTAGGTTATTTCAACACCCACAGCCACTTTATTATTTCAGAACAAAGTTATTCCAGAATTAAGCCCAGAATTCAAATTATCCTTGCTTGCTACACATGTAGACATTAAGCTTTAAAGAAAAAAATAATTAATCCCAGAGAAGTTTGTTCTCAACATATGTGCAGAAATCAGATTACAAAATACTGTAAACATTTCTGTTTTCATTTGTGCTTTATATAAACATGTAGCCACACAAACACTTGCACACAGACATTTTAGAAATTGTGCAAAATGCTTAATGCTGCTTTTCTAGGAAAGTAGGTTTATAAGTGGTTTCTATTTTCTTTCTTCTCTGTATTTCTACATTTCTTACTATAAAAATCTTTGCTTTATTAATGAAAAGAAAATGATTTTTTAAAATAACGATTAATACAATTTCATAAGGTGCCTTACTTCATAGCAGAATAAAACTTCCTGGAGACATCAGGATACAAAGCTGCCATCTTTCCTGTTACTGTTTATCTCCACAAATTGCCAGTTTTGCTGGTAGTATTGAGTATCTGTATGGGCTGAGCTATATAGCAAATGCTCAGAGAAATATCACTTTTATGCAGCTCTTTTTTCCTTCAGTGACAAATGTTTTCCACTCTTAGTTCCTGAATTTCTACCTTTGTCCCAAAAGTGCTCCCCCCTCCTATGTTCTAATAAAGCATGTGGGTTTTTTTTTTTTTTTTGAAGCAAGCATGTCCACATAACATTCCTTCATTTGCCTACCGTAAATTCTCCGTATGTACTAGATAAATGGTGGCAATATGGTTCATCTTTAAAAACTTTAACTGAAAGTCATCCTCTAGCCATCCATTTGAATTGTATGCGTTTACAAGGAAAACTCAGTGTAAAATTCAATGCTGAAGCAATTACACAAGATTTACCGGTCTTTTAAATTAAAAATTCCTAAACCTTTGTTTTCGCTAAACTAAAACTATCATTTTCATTTTTCAAAAATAGATATAACCCAAAAGAGGACGACAGTAATATTTGCAAGCGGTTATATTAGAACCACATTTCTAGGGAAATCAATATATTGTTGGGGCACCCTATATTTCCACCAAGATTCAAATAAGCTGCTTGAAATTACTAATATTATGGTAAGGGAATCTTTTTATTGAAAGCTTGTGCCCATGCGAGTTCTAAATTCAGTGTAGTATGATGACTTGGCAGGGTAGAGCTGTTGCTCGAAATATAATAATAAGGAAGGAAACCAGGAGAAAGATGCCTCCATTAAATTTTCCATCTAGTTTGTATGTTCTCACTATTAAAATGGCTTCAGTATTTTTGTCTGTTTTCCACAGACAAACCTTGTGACTAACCACCTCAGCTAAGTTTAAATAACTGAATTCTAACACTAAAATTGAATATACGTCATTTCCCTTTCAAATATATCTAACCTCACAACTTGATCTTGAAAGCTGTATAAGTCTTTCATAGCTTTTACATCTGATTTAAGAATTTGACATATATTCACATCTTCGTACTTGAAAGTTTTAGCAAGTGGAAAAGATCGGAAGTCCTTGGAAATTATTTCAGAAGTTCATTCTCTTTTATGTCCAAAGACATGGTTGACATCTGAAGAATAAAATTACAGTAACAATAAACCCAATTCTCTCATTTGGGATCCAGGTAGTGCTGAGAGGTGCCCTGAAAAAATGTCTCAGGTGGATGTAACTCTCCTAAAGAAGTTGGATTTTCTTATATCTGAGTAAGGTTAGAAAGAGTGCCATGATCGTTTCAAGGAACGAACAAGGAAAATCAGGCCAAGCAAACAATTTTTAAAAATTAGGCACTCTAGAATAGGGCTTAAGAACATGGGTTTTGGAGGCAGAAGAGTCTGATTTCAAATCTGGTCACTGGCCATGTTATGAGTAAATTCAACTCTCTATGCCATCAGGCTTAATACTTACTGCTTCATGGAACTATATGAATTAAATCATACAATCCCTACAGACGGTTTATCAGAATGCCTACCATATAAGAAATTGCAGCCACTGTTATTACTGCTATTATTACAAATAAAAAGAAATATTCACATTTGGTATGTTCGTGAAAGAGTTTTCAGATTTGTATATGTAAATGTGAAAAATGTGAGATAGTTATTGACAAATATGTTTAAATCATTCTCCCAGTCTTATTTTAATTGGTTTCCTATAAGATTTCCAGTTCTAGACTTGGCTTTACAATGGCTCCATTTTCCTTGACTATTGCTAAACTGTTGTCTTCTAATACACGAACTGCTTTGTTGAGTCTGGGAAGAGAGAAGAATTGAGGTCAGTGTAGGAGGACTAGTCTCTGAATTAAAACTACCAAAGGACCTTTTCAAAGAATCTATCTTAGAATACGCGCTGCAGCCTATCGATTCTGATGTGTGCCCTGCCTATCCTTGTGCTCTCCTCCTGCTATGACAGAGAAAAACTGACTTAGAAAGTTTTGAAGATAAGGTAAATTATGAGCCTGATTTAATAGCATGGTTTGGAGGAGAAGGCTTAGAAAACAGAATGGGAAATACACATGAAGATACATAAAAACTACTTCAAAATGGAAATCTGCCCACCTACAATCATTTTGTCATTAACCAGATTTTTGTGGTTCCATTTTATTTTCCTTTTTATTTTTGCAATATTTATTGAGTATTTATTTTGTTCATCTGAATGCATTTCATAGTTAATTCATTTAATCCTCATAATGCTATAGGCTACATACTATTATTACCCCATGTTACTGACAAGAAAACTAAGGCACAGAGGGTCTAAATAACTTGCCCAAAGTTACACAGATAGTGAGCAAGGAGCCGGGAGATGAGTTGAGGCCACCTGGCTCTAGAGTCTGGGCTCTTAACCGCTACAGTCCATATTCCGGTATGTAGTTCTGCCTATAGTTTTGCAAAAAATAAGTGATAATAAGTAGAGAAATTTAATACATTTACAACTTGTAATAGATAGTTATGTTCCTTCCTTTTGATTTATAAAAATGAGAAAGAAAAAAATTACTTGTCTTTTATGATATCGTTTGAAATCTGGCAATACTTTTAATTGGTGACTCTGCCCATGAAAGTGCTCTGGAGAAAAGTGAACCTTCTGTTACTCTGTAATTGCTATTTTCCCAGCAATATGAGATAAGGACAATAAGGTTTGGAAAAAGAAAATGCTGATCGGAGGAAATGAATGGTCTATGTTTTCCTTATGCTGACCTACTCTCTATAGAAGTCTCTATCCTAAAGTTTTTTTTTTATTAGTCTATAAATAGGAGTCAATTCTTCTCAAAATCTAAAAGGAAGGAAAAATTATTTTCTCAGATTTCTATGATGCCAGATAAATTGCCTCTTATCCCATGCCTGAAATGTTTTGAAACCTGATGACAGTAAAAAAGAATTCATTTAGATTCAATTGGGTATTAAATGATAAATTTTCTATTTGCATAAGTTTGGCTTCTTTAACTTTATACTTAACGTGTCAGTTTTTAATGTAATTAATCCATCTGTTTGTGCTTGTATAGTGCTTTTAAAAAGAGAACATTTCATAGTAGAATGTACTTATCTGAATTCAGAATAAAATAAAGCTCACGGGAATGAGCATTTTAAGCTTCACATAAGGTTATATGTGGTAATCTGTGACTTTTCAGTCATATTAAATAGACCCCGGAATAATATTCTCAGATAAATACAGCATTTTTATTAATCAGTGTAACTGAGTGCAAATTAAATTCCATTCCTCCCTCCTTATTTTATAAAAACAGAATGGTATTTGGGAAAATAAAGGATATTTTAAATTGCTCAAAGAGTTACATATCTTACCTGTATAGTGAGACTGTTACATTTTGCTCCTTGTCATATCCTTGTATTTGTGGAAAAAAAAAAAGAAAAAGCAATCTTTGCTTAAAGGAGGACATGGTGCCTGAGCTTCTGTTAACACAGTGCCATGCAAAGCAAGGAGTGCCTGTTTTCAAATGTTTTTGTTGAATTTCTGTGTTCACTATCTAAAGTTTTAAACATAAAATTTTGAAGTTTTTGATTAGATGAGATAAACTAACTGATTTGTCTTTCCTTAAGTAGGTAGAAGTAAAATATAACCCAGTTTTGCCCAAACTTTTATCATATCATGGAAAATATTGCTGCTTAATTCGATGCTGAAAAACAGTATGTTATCTTCCCCTGAAATCTATTTTGATCATTACCTAAATTCCCATTCAAGGTGGATAGATAAGAATACCATGCTGACATCAATCATCTGGATAGTCAGCATTTTGGAGACAGACTAGTGATGGGTTAAAGTTTTTATTTTTTGTTTATGTAAATTTTGTGTATTGGTAACAGGAATAGGTTAGAGATCACATTTTGGAAGAATTCTTGAATGTTAGTCAGATAAAATGCCTCAGTTGTCATAATTTTTTAAATATCCCAAATTATTATTATTTGCCTACCAGTGGTATTTTATTCACCAATTTTTGCATCCATGTTTATATTTACAAATAAAGGTAATCTTGAATAGCTATCGGTATTCCCAGACTTCAGTATTTCACAACTGCTTCCAGGCCCTTGGTAGTGAATTTGACTTCATTCCCACGTCCTTCCATAGACCTTAGAGTTTACAGAATAAAATATACATACAGTGTTTGCCTTTTATCCCAGCACATTCCAGAAATATGTTTGAGAAGCTGAATCTCATAAAGCAGCTAATGTTTTCACATAAGAACAATGTTAAAACTGGTCAGGAACTCAACATAAAAAACATTGTATTAAGGGGTAATAATATTTTGCAAATAATCACTATAGAATCTCAGGGAATTAAAAATAATATATTATCTAAGACATCAAATGATTATTCGGGTACTTAATATTATCTAGTTTTTGGTGTCTCAAACTTTATTCATTTTTATTAAAATGTCCCAATTATTTCCTAATCCACTTTCCTGCTGCGTTATTGTTTTCTTAATATTTTTGTTAATCCAGTTCACTTCATAAACTTTAACAATCCTTTAAAATGTTAATGAATTTATTTATTGTAGGAATTCAGTATTGATAATTTCAGTATTTGAAAATTTGAGAATGTACTTAATATCACTTTATAATGGTTAAAATGGTAAATTTTCATGTTGTATGTATTTTACTCTCAAAACAGACAACAATGACAATAAAAAACAGTTCAATGCCTGAGGGTTTGGGAGCAAGAAGTTTTTTGACCACCTAGGTGTTACTACTTCATCTTGAATATCCTTGCAAGAGCCAACTTGTAGTTATAATTTCCCAGAGATAATTCTTATGTCCTTGATCTGCTCAGCAGCAAAGCAACTTCTCATAGGCCCTTGGGCTTGGGAGGGACAGAGCAAGTCTACCTTTGATTTACTCGGACCTAGAAAGTGAGGCTCTTCCAGATCCCAGTGAGTAATATGGAGGGAGGCTGTCTTCTTAGACTTCCCACTTCAGTGGGCCTTTCCTGGAACCTGACTTTCCTGGAACCTGATTTAGCAAGTGAAACTTGCAAAATCAACCTTTTCATTCTCCTGGCTATGCTGTACTCTTAGTGTCTACTGTCTCTCTGGGCTCCCGCTTCCACTCAGATATCATTGTGATAATTCATGAGTGCTTAATCAGCAAGTCCAAGTATTTAGAGATCTTTAAATTTATTTCAGTATTTTCAGCTGTCTTGTGCAGGTGGATGGGTCTAAATGATCACTTGCAGCCTTATTACTGGAAATTGAAATCTATATAACCTTTGTTCTGGTGCTCCTTCATGCATGCGATTTGACTTTCTCTACATTTTTTTCTCCCTTTACTCTCTCTACTCCCATCACAAAAATTCTTTCTATCCTTTCATCTCAGTTTCCTGAGAAGTGGAATCTCATTGTCTCAGTTCATCTTTTACCCCTAGGCCATGATGTATCTTAGGCCACCCAGAGACAGCCTGAACCAGGACAGCATAAAGCTGTAGTGGTGAGCAGGGTCTGGGCACTGGCAGCTTTTCATTTCAAAATGGAGCTTGAAAGTGCAACAGGTCCAATTTTCCACCAAGCCAGATGTCCACCAAACTGAAGCTTGAGAAACTTACATTTGCACAATGAAATGCACCTGCTGCCTGTTGACCAACTCTTCCTTGCCCCTCCTGTTTTCCTTCCCTGATATATAAACCCCTAGCTCTCATTGGAGGAGAGAGATGGATTTGAGGCTTGTAGCCTGTCTCTCTGGCTGGTGTCAACTGGAAAGAGGCCTTCTTCCCTGGCAATACTAGTTGTCTGGGTAATTGGCTTTCTGTGCAGCGAGCAATGAGACCTAGGTCAACCTCCTGGCATTTGGTAACAAACGGACAGGTGTAATGATTGGATATGATCAATGTACGTCCCAAAGCACTTCTCTATGCTTTTTGTTTCTTTAATCTACCTATTTGATATAGATAGAGTGGATATTTTCCCAGTATTGAAGTTGGGATTAACTAGTCTTGGAGTAGGTTAATGAATTGTCCACTTTTACAACACCTAAAGGAAAAAGCCAGGCCTAAACTCCAGTCTGTCTGTTGTGTGCCTGTTTCTTGGAGTTCTTGCTCTTAACACTGGGCTATGCCACTTATATTTGAAAGAAATCTGAAGGAATGAGTCAAAGTTGACTACTAGCCAGGAAGAAAGGGGGCAGAATTTATTCAGGGAACATTGAAAAGTCCATTGTAACTTCCTTATGTGGGTTAGGATTGGAAAAAAGAGGAGAGGAAAGAAAGCTGAGAGTGTGAAGATTGAATTTTGGAATTGATTTGTCAATTTCTCCAATTTCTATTATGCATTTAATTTTGTTTTTATTAGACCTATAATTTTAAATGGACATTTTTGTTTCTTCTAGACTTTCTCTAACTTAAGTGCTGTCCATATGTGATATTTTTATACTACATATGCATATAGGAAAATATATATTTAACAATTATATAGTATTTCATATATTTTTCATTCAAGTCCTATATATTCTTGATAAATCTCTTTCAATGTTTTCTATTTGTGGCAAACAGACTCTTTTAGAAATTATATTTTCACCTTCTTATGTATGATAGCTAAATATAAGGATGAGTGGTATGGCTCCTCTGATAAGCCATCAATGATTTTCACTTGAATGGCAACTGGATGGTTCTCAGGGCATTTCATTAGCTTTCAGTGGATTCTGGGACACTGGTAATAGATGTTGCTTGCTTAAATGAAGAGTGGATAATGGGATATCAATCAGCTCCACTCCTAAATGAGTGGCTCCTACATCACACCTCTAGCCCTTATCCTGTTACCCAACATGTGTTTTCCCCAAGCCCTACAATAGAGGAAATCTTGTCTATTCTCAGGAGGGAGTTGGGAAGTTTTAGTTTTCCTCACTTGCATTTTCCTGAGTCTTTTAGCTGTGCACATGTGTCTTTCCTATTGATCTAGGGATTAAGTTTTTGAAACCTCAAATCCAATAATTATCTCCTTTGTTCATTCTTATTATTTTTGGATATATCATCCCTTCCTTAACACAATAAAATACAGACTGTCTAGAAACTGAAAGGAAGAAGACCTATGCAGTAGAAAAAAAAAGGCAAGGAAGAGGAGGAATAAAATTTTGAAGTATTATTTAGACTAAACCAGGAAAGGAAATTCCACAGAAAAAATACATTAGTTAGCCCTTTATTTATTCTTTTACTGAAAACAAAGGTATTCCTGTTACTATGATCATTATTTTCAAACAATACATGAATTGTACAAATATGTCTTTCATACATGCAAGAATGTACAGTCACATCCTCTGTGTGCTAACACCTATGAATGACAATCACAGTTTCCCTCATTTTAACAGATTACCTATCATAGTGGAAGTATTAAGAAAATCTGGCTTCATAATCTTGCTAAATGGCCCTCTCTGCTAAGGACATGTGGACCCATACACTTGATCAGTGAGCCTTTGTTCAAAACTTACACGCACAAAATGTAGGTGCAAAGGATACCTTTTTCCTGCTTTCTAAAGGATGAGTACGTGAATACTCACTGAGGTAACAAGATTTCCAAATGCTAATTTCCCATAGTTGGAGTTCAAAAGGGATTAATGTGGGCACTAGAATTCCAGAAAGGGTGCTTGCAGAGATGATGCTGGAGTTCTGATAGAGTGGAAATGAAACATGTCTCAGAACACGTAGTAGGAAAGAATTTCTAGCTTGGGACACTCGAATCACAGTGTTTCCTTTGACAAAGAAGAAAGATGACAAAGAAGAAAGATGAGCATAGGGTATGTGCAGATGATAATGTGGATATAAGATAAGATATGGAACTATGAATATAAGGTGGTCATTCTGTATTCAAAGTGATGACCTAAAATCTTCTTTAAGAGAGTAGACATGTGATTAGGCTGGCAGACTCTGAGATTCAGAAGAAGATTAATATGCTAGTGGATTCATGAATGAGAGAAAAATAGAGAAAGAAATCAGAATAATATATTCACCCAACATAAGGGAGAAGGTGAAAGAACAAGGAGACAAGACAAGGTGACAAGTTTAGTGAAAGAGGATAAAAAAGTGTAGATTAAGCCAAATACTGCTTCATATATTACTTGTTATAATACTTTATTTCCCCCAATAGATAGAAAATCTCAAAAAACACCATTGAATATCCTTCTCTATTTTATAGTAAAATCATTAGTTACCATTTCTTAAGAACCTACTATGTGCCAGGTACCATGCTAGACTTCACAAAAGTCTAAAGTAATCTCTACAACAAATCCACAGAGTATATGTTGGTATCTCCATTTTACGAGGGTGAAAATTTAACTCAAAGGGGTTAAACATACTATCCAAGCTCTTAGAGCAAGCATATGTTGGAGCTAAGATTGGAACTCAAATCCATCTGGCTATGTGTTCACTTCTCACCTTCTTAGCTGGGTGTAGTGAGTGTGGTGCTCTGTAAAGATTGGAGAGTGGCTGAAAGGGATAGGCAGGAAGGAAGTCATCAAACATGCCTGTTTCATGCCACAGTTTCTGCTTTTAGCAACTGTAGTCTCGTCTTGAGATGCACCTGGTAGGCACAGCTGTGCACATACAAGTCACTTTCTCTTTGGAGAAAGAAACTCTGCAAAGAAACGCATAATAGATGTGTCCTTGTGGTGGCAATATGTCAGCAATGCCATTCTAAATCTGACCCATACATACTCTAACAACATCTAAGGACAGGTAAGACAAGGACTATCACTGATGATATGATTCTATACTAGAAAACCGTAAAGCCTCAGTCAAAAGCTCCTAGAACTGATAAATGACTTCAGTAAAGTTTCAGGATACAAAATCCATGTACAAATATCAGTACCATTTCTATACACCAACAACTTTCCATCTGAGAGCCAAATCAAGAATGCAATCCCATTTACAATAGCCACAAAAAATAAAATACCTAGGAATGTATCTAACCAAGGAGTGAAAGATCTCTACAAGGAGAACTGCAAAACATTGCTGAAAGAAAGCAGAGATGATACAAACAAATGGAAAAACATTCCATGCTCTTGGGTTGAAAAAATCAATATCATTATAATGGCCATACTGCACAAAACAATTTACAGATTCAATACTATTCCTATCAAGCTACCAACATCATCTTTCACAGAACTAGAGAAAACAATTCTAAAATTCACATGGAACCAAGAAAGAGCCCAAATAGTCAAAGCAATCCTAAGCAAAAAGAACAAAGCAGGAGGCATCACATTACCTAACTTCAAACTATACTATAAGGCTACAGTAGCCAACACAGCATGGTACTGGCACAAAAACAGACACATAGACCAATGGAACTGAATAGACAAGCCAGAAATAAAGCTGCATAGCCACAGACATCTTATCTTTGACAAAATTGACAAAAATAAGCAAGGGGGAAAAATACTGCCTATTCAGTAAATGGTGCTGGGATAGCTGACTAGCCATATGCAGAAAAATGAAACTGGATCCCTACATTTCACCATATAAAAATTAACTCAAAACGGATTAAAGATTTAAATGTAAGCTCTCAAACTATAAGAATCCTAAAATAAAACCTAGGAAACACCATTCTGGACATCAGCCTTAGGGAAAAATTTATGACTAAGGCCTCAAAAGCAATTACGACAAAAACAAAAACTGACAAATGTGACCTAATTAAACTAAAGAGCTTCTGCACAGCAGAGGTAACCATGAACGGAGTAAACAGACAAACGTACAGCATGGGAGAAAATATTTGTAAACTATACATCTGAAAAAGGTCTAATATCTAAAATCTGTAAAGAAATAAAACAATCAAATAAGCAAAAAACAACTCCATTGAAATTGGGGCAAAATGCATGAATAGACAAATCTCAAAAGAAGACATACAAGTGGCAAAAAAAATGAAAAAATACTCAACATCACTAATCTTTAAAGAAATGCAAATCAAACCCACAATGCAATACCATCCCATACCAGTCAGAATGGCTACTATTAAAAAGTCAAAAAACAAAACAAAACAAAACAAATGCTGATGAGGTTGAGGAGAAAAGGGAAAAATTACACACTGTTGGTGGGAATGTAAATTAGTTCATCCATTGTGGAAAGCAGTTTGGAGATTTCTCAAAGAGCTTAAAACGGAACTATCATTCGACCTTATAGTTCCATTACTGGGTATATATTCAAAAGAAAATAAATTGTTCTACCAAAAAGACCCATGCACTTCCCTGTTCATTGCAGCACTATTCAAAATACCAAAGATATGGAATCAACCTAGGTGCCCATCAACAGTGAATGGGATAAAGAAAATATGGTACATATATACCATGAAACACTACAGACCCATAAAAAAGAATGAAATCATGTCCTTTGCAGCACTATGAATGCAACTGGAGGCCATTATCCTAAGTGAATTAATGCAGTAACAGAAAACTAAATACCATGTGTTGTCTCTTATAAGCTGGAGGTAAACGTTCGGTATTTATGGACATAAAGATGGTAACAATAGACACTGGAGACCACCAGAGCGGGGAGAGAGGGAGGTTTGGAAGGGTTCATTGAAAAACTAACTATTGGGTACTATGGCTCAGTACCTGGATGACGGGATCAATCATAGCCCAAACCTCAGCATCATACAATATCCCTAGGTAACAAATCATAGCCCAAACCTCAGCATCATGCAATATCCCTAGGTAACAAACCTGCACATGCACCCCCTGAATCTAAAATAAAAGTTGCAATTATAAAAAGAAAATATAGAAAGCTTCATGAGAAAAAAAAAAGAGTTGGCCACATGGAAGACATCAGCAACATTCAAAAAAAGAGTGTTAGAGGAGTAGGGGATAGGCTTTGGGATGGAGGTGGTTAAAGAGTGTGAGAGAAATGACCAAGTAGAAACAGAATTTTATATAACAATAGTCATTCTCACATACGGTAATTGTGAGGATTAACAAAATACATGCAGGGATAAGACAATAGCTGACACGTAATATGTGCTCGATAAATGAGAGCTATTATCATTTCATTTGAAGTTTAAGTGAAAAAAGATTCACTGTATTCTGGAGAAAATCCCAAATTATAAGAATGTATGATTGTACTGTTTATTATTTCAATATTTAGAGTTGGCATTCAAGACTTTAATATTGAAAACATATAAGCATTGTAACCTGTTTTACTAGAGGCCTCTTTTTGTATCTAATTGTAATTCAAATATAATTTCTATGTTTATTGCCTTCATTCCACACATACCTTTTCTAGATTTACTGTTTACAGCCCCTAAAGCTCTATTTCCACAAGTTTTTTCTTTGCCTTCTCTCTCTCAAATATTCAAAAGCCCTTCATAAGAGTCCCTTCTTTTAGTTATACCTGACCCTTACTTTCTTTTTCTGTTATTCCAATTCCTATCTTGAGGCGGAATTACCAAACATGGAGTAGTTAGTCCATTTTTTCAATCATGTACTTATTCCTCTATTTATTTTTTTTAGTTCAAAAAATTTTTGAATGCTTGCTATCCTCCAGGTACTGCAGTAAGCTTAGAGCTACAAAAATGAGTTGTCCTACCAGAATTTCTGGAGTTTGTTTTCACCTTGAGGAGAAGACAATTATCTAATGGGACAGGTAATAACTCTAAGTGGTGATACGTACTAAAAAAGAAAATTAGAGGGAGCTCTTAGAGCACTAGTATGGGGAAACTGGAGAGATTTTCCTGAAAAAGTTATAGGTGAACCCTGAATGAACCAGTAGGCCCCACCTCATGGGTGAATACCGTGGGAAGCATTTGACTCCTGTAGTTTTGACACTTTGTTTCCCAGATCATCTTCCATGACACTTTTGAAGCCCCCAGAATTCCTCCAAACATCTGTCTTTAGCACTCACAAATGACTTTTATTTGAATAGCTTATTTATTTCTGTATCTTTTCAACATTTCAGCTGCATCTATTTTTCTTTTCCCCTACTTATGATTAATATTTGGCAACCTTTTCTGCTCAACATTCTCTAAACTTACATTTTTCTCTGCTTTTGAGTCTTTTATTTAAGAAATGCTTATGCATTCTGTTTTCCATTCACTTCATTTCTCCTTATTATCATTTTCTGGCTCAGTGCATTTACCGGCCAGCAGTTTCCCTTTGCATTTTTTTGGCTTCATTTGTACTTTTCTGGACTTTTTCTTCACCTATCAACCAATATAATAATATATCCTATTGCAGTAAATGTGTCAGATCATGTTTAGTAGTTAATGCCTTAATTTCCATAAAGGTGGTGATTTTCAAAATGCTCTCAGTGATTCTTCTACACTTGTCTTTGTCATTTTTAATTTGCTAAAACTGGCTAATAATCATTAATACAAATATCAAATCATCAAATCCAATGAACTCACCTTTTGCTTCCCCACAAAATCAAAGATCACATGTAAAGAATGTAAAGACTGGCATTAGTGCTCATGGAAAGAACATAAAGTTTTCAACCATCTCAAAGCATCAGTATTCATCTTCAGTGTGGTGCCTTATGAATCCTTATGTTTATAACACTTCTCCGCTGGAATAAATCTCGTAGCTGATTATCACAGCAGTCGGCTTGGTGCCAAAAGCAATTCTGAGAATGGCATTCAATCAATGTGTAAACTAGTAAAATGCCAGGAACTTTTGGAAGACCAAGAAGGGTGATTAGTTATTGAAGAATAAACAATAGTGAAACACTGAGCATACTCTCTCAAACAGTGCAGAAAAGAATTTTCCATGAGTTAATATGAATATAGACCTGGTTGTATTTTAGAATGTGGGTTCCAACAGATGATTTATATTTTGTTATATTGTGGGAGAACGTTTAACTAGTACAAAGTATGTCATTTAGAGTTTAAAAGAAATAAACACTTCTGTTACTCAAAGTAATATGTTTAGAATACTGCCATCGACATATACTTTCATTTATAATTTAATAAGAAACTTGATATAAAAAAATATAAACAGTAATAAATCGATGAAAAGAAAACCACAGGAGCTGAAAACCTAGAATCGTGATTATTAACATTAGGCTAAACAGAATGTTAAGATGCCATACTGTAATATATTTCAATAGAGAAAGAGCCTTCAGTATATTTAGTATATATATGGATGGCATTATCTAAAGTTCTGGAATAAATTCCATTTAGATTTTAGAATATTTTAAAATTTTAATAAACTCTTAATGGAAAAAAATCATTGCATGATGCCGCAGGTTCATAGTGTTCCAAAACTTAGGCTGGGAGATGGAAACATCCAAATTGAGAGAGAGGAAGAGGGCATATGCCCAACCAGCTATTCAGCCAAATCAACCTACTGCCAGTGGAAAAAGCATACATTTCATTTGTCTATTCTATCACTAATTGAAAATACTTTATTATAATCATTATTATTTGACATTTGGAAAATTATGTGAGCAACCATAGTTTCACATTCAGATTTTCAGAAAGAAATTGTCAGTTTTACTCTTGATTTCTGTAATGCAATGCCACTTATACAACATGTACACATGAAATGGGCCAGGACCGATCTATTCATTTGTAATATTTAAAATGTACATGCAAAGCACCACACAATGACTTTGCTTATGACAATCAATTTGAAAAGTAAAGATGGCAGAAATTAACCAATTATCCAATTTTTTCGCTATATTCTATTTTTAACTCTTAATTTTCCATTAGAGACATGCAGTGCACACATCCACTTGCACATACACATACACACATAAAGAAGAAACTTGTAGTGTCTTCATTACTGTCGAAGGAAATATTTTACCTATTTTTCCCTAAGGGTTCGTTTAGCAAAATAAGTTACAAATCTTTTAAAATAAAATTACGTGCCTAAAAAAACATGAATTATGCCAATACATGACAAAAATCAAGCTGAGATGACTTAAAACTGCATGTAAATGACCCTTGGTGGTATATATCACGGCGAGGTTTATGCACCACCATGCACAATTCTGGAAAAGGTACAAAAGCAATATTTATGTAAAGTAATATTTTAGGAACCAGCATATTGACTCCAAGTTCCAAGACACACTTACATTTAAACCATTTAAAACCTTGCAAAATTTTTTCTGGCTTTCTAGGATTTGAGTATTGTCCTATCACATAAATTTGCTAAGTCTTAAAAGTTCATGTCATTAATCAATTTTTCGTGAATTCGATTGTACATGTCAGGTGTATGTCAGGTGCTCAGAGGAGGAAGGGAATTCAATCAGCATATGCTCACTCATTGACACTTACATAAAAGGAACATTTGCAGATGTTTTGATAATGGAAGGGTTCAAATCATTTGTCCTAAGGCAGTATTCGTAGGAATACTTTGATCAGTTGCACAGTGGTTAGATTATTTTCCCTGCAGAAATTACCACATGACCCCAAAGGACAAGAGAAATATTATGTGAGAAAATTGGAAAACATCCTATTGGCGTGTTTCAGCAAGTGGACCAGAATGAATTGTATTCAATCTGATTTCAACTACTTAATATAATATGTTTAACGCCACAGTGAGATGAGGAAAGCCAACAGATAAAACCCACATAAATCATAAAAAATTGCCTCACTCCATCAATGTTCATCGACCTTTAATTGTAATATCTTTTCTTTAAAAAAGTTGTAGTTGCTAGTTTTCTTCACGATTATTAGCAGTTGCAGAGTGTTTTATGATTTACATACATAAACTGAACTCACTCAAAAACTAGAGGCAGATGTTCTCATCTCCTTTTCACAGATAGGGTACCAAATGTTCATTTAGGAATCATGACGTTTGTAAAATCACAAAGGTGGTGAGTTACAAAGCTGGGACACAGATGAAAATCATTTGTATATTCTGCACTGCCCTCCCCCATTAAAAATATTTCATCAGTTGTTTTTAGGAAAATGTTTTAGTGGGAACTTTAGGATTAATAATTGTTTTATATTAGTCACAATATTGATAAAAGGATAGCATAGTAACTCTATTGGTCATTTTTCATGAACCAGTGTTGTAGATTGTAATCTCCATTTTTGCAGATGTAGAATTCATCCTCAGAGAGCAAATACCTTGCCTGAGTTTCTAAAGCTAGTGAGTAGCGGGGCCAACATTTGAACCCAGAACCGCTAACATCAGAATTTGCACTTTGAACAAAGCAAAGGTTTAAAATGAATGACACATGCCCATAAAGAGAAGAAGAATCTTGGTGTAATTTTTATAAAACTGTAATTTTTAAATGTGCCTGTGTTTTACCATATTTGACACTGAATATCTGTTTACCTGAAAAACATTTTTCTATGTTCTTCCTCTATTTCAATAGGTTAGAGAGCACTGGAAAATACAGGACTACATTGCCTTTTTTGTACCAGACAGCTTTCATGCTATTATTTGAAAATATAATATAATAATACTTTAAGTCTCTATAGAGTGTAAACAATTTTGTCATAGGGTTTCATATTTAAAAATTAATATTTGCTGTCAGCTACTACGTATTCTGTAATTTCAAAAAATTCCAAGAAGTGGGCAATACAGAATACTGAATGTTGATGCTTCCCTTTGACTCATAGTCACTGGTTCAGAAAGAAGCGTTTTTAAAAATGTTTATTCAGACAGAATTTTTTTACTCTCTACTTTCCCACTAAAGGCAGAACTCGGCCTTTTTTTCCCTAGGAGGTTTGGTTATGGGTTTTGTTGTTTTTTGGAACAGTTTTGATGAAAGAACATCATTATATTTGTAATCTCATATTATTGGAAAACAGAAAATGAATTTTTATGCTTTATCATTTCAAAGATTTTTCTAAAATGTTTCAAAATATATCTTTAGTTTGAGTTATTTCTTGGGGAGTACCTAAAACTTTTATTTCTAAGTAGGAGTAAAGTTCAAGTTTACAAATGAAGTCAAAAGCAAAGTGAGAAAATGATGTGGGGAATAGTGAAAGACAAATGAGGGTAAATTAAAGCTCAATTCAATTTGTTTTTAACAGTTTAGTCCATTAAAATGCAACTTCATGGTGACACTTCTTATAGTACTGCAAAGTCATCTTATTTCTAAGATGCAAAGCTTAAAACTTATTTGTGTAAAGTCCCCCCTTTGTTTGTGTCAACTTACTCAGCCAGTGAGTTTGACTCTGTAGATATCCATAACTAAATCCTTTATTTGGTTATAAATACCCATCACTAGTCATGGATCTTGTAAAATGTAATACTGTCTTGCTGCTCAGAAGATGATTTTACAAAATAAACGGTGACAATCTTTATGTTGCTACAGGATTTCAGCCATCTCTAAGAAAGGGTGCCATGTTTACTAAATACTCTTTTTTGTATACAGATTTCATACAAAAAAAGGCTTTTATAGAAATGTTACTGTCGGGACTTGAAAAATCTATGGAAAATCTAATTTTCCTGAATTGCCTTAGTTTCTGATTTTAACAAAATGCAAGGATCAATATTATATTGCCTAATCTTGTTTTATAACGTTTGTTTACATTATAGTCACTTCCAAATGACACCCCTTGAGGTTCGTGCTATGTCTTAAACAGTGGATCACGTTGGCTGATTGAAATATTTGAAATCTTAGTAATTCTTTGTGTTTCCCCCTTGTTAAATGCTTTTATTTTGAGGGAGGTGGATCTTTTAAAAGTGTAAATGGTGATAAACTACTCATTTAAAATTTTTTATGTATTGCCTCAGATATCAATATTTGAAAAAATATATTTGAATAAACTGGAAATACAGGGAACAGCAATGTCTAAATCATTACACTGGAGTTTGCCTACATCCCAGTGTAAAACTGTTTCTATGAAAATTGAAACACCTTTTATATTACTGAGCATGAAATTACTTCATAGTTGTTTTTGTTTCAACCTCTTCTTCAGATATTGCAATATAGTAAGAATGGATGTGGTGGCATCATTTTCAGGGTTATAGAAAGAAGAGCAGATGTTTAGACCTGAACCATGCAATGCACCTCTTTACATCTGCAACATGTAGCATATGCCTAATAAAATATGACATGATAATAGAAGTAATAAATTATATTGTCTGAATTCTATGACAATAGCTCTTCCCAAAGCTGACTGCTTTGCACTCAGTAGGTGCAAAGATATATTTTATTACATGATTTATGAAAGGCTCAATTAATGTGGCTTTAGGACAGGTAAGATTCTGAAGCTACATAAACATTAATTCAGTAAAATACATATCAAGATTAGAAACTTTTAAAATTATTTATCCAGGTCTAGGGTACAGAGTATAAAATACTGCGGTATCATTTGTCATACCATTTAAGGATGACCATAATTAGTTACTATTTAAGTTCTAGGCAGAGTAGTTCCAGATAAGTCATAACATTCAACCTTTTGTTCACATTTGTTTTTCCACGATATTTGTGATAATTGTAACTTGGACCAGTCAGTCTAAGATTAGCATTTCAGAGATGCATAAAGTAAATTTCCCCCACTTCCCTATGATGATCTTTTAAATATAATAAATAGTTTTTCTTCTGTCTCCTCTCACATAATCATTTCTACAAGGAAAATCTGATTCTTCTGTTTTTATCACAATAGGAGACTTACCAACTTACTTGATATTTATTTCTTATATATAGAAATATCGACTTATCAAAAATGAAAGCAAGCGCTTGGCTTTATCCAGTTTAACACTGTTATAAAGGCGGGAATTAGAAAAGGTATTTCAATGCTGTATCATTGGCACGTAGCCAGTAATCAGCAGATAGAGGAACATCGAAAAGAATTAGCAACACATTTATTAGACTTTTTAAATAATACAAAGGGAGGAAGAAAAAAAGATAAAACCAGGAAACTGAGAATTTAAAAGTAAAACAGTTTAAGTTTTATGGTTGGATGAAAGTGGAAGGGAAGTTTTCTCGTCTCGTTCTGTGCGATTCAGGCTTTCTGGAGCATGGCATTCTCTTCTGCGTCCCGTAGTTCATCAGAGACCTTTAAGATTGAGCAAAGACGAAAGAATGACCAAAACCATTAGAATCTTTGAAGCTTCTATTAATAATTTGAGAAATTATCAAAGATGTTGGGATGTTAAGCTCGAAGAACTGTAGGAGTTTAAAAGCCTTCTTCAAATAACAACTGGATTACAAACCTGGCATTATGAAAGTGTGTACTTGGGCACCCTTATCAGCCCTAGTTTACAGTTGAGAAAGCTGCAGCACAGAGAGATTAAGTAACGTGTCTGATGGTGACACAGTTAATGCCACAGGACTTTTCCTCTCAGCTTGAAAGAGCAACTTCAAGGAATGTATATCCCCAAATTTTTAAGAAGCAGTTTTCCCATTAATGAAGAAATGAAACTTATTCTAAATCTTTGCCACAACACACTTGGCTCCATTCACCCAGCTCGTGGCTTTTCTCTCAAGCATCACCCGCTGAACCTTACCTTATTTTACTTTGTTAGTTTGTTTTTGAGCTTGCATAAGTTCTGCTAGTAAATGTTTGTGAAATTGTTCATGTTTTTGTTGCCTTAGATAGTAGAATTTACTGTAGTAGAATTTATTTTCTACTATAACAATTTTATACAGTAAAATAATTTTATAATTTTATGCATGTATAATATAGGGAAATAATATAATAATTTTACACATATAAATAGCCTTTGCACTCTTAGTCTCCACAACCTACACTCTGCTTTGGGGGCCGGGGGAGAGTGGTGAATTAGGGCTTGAAGAAGGACAGAGGATAATTTAGAAATGTAAAGAAAGCAGCGTTGCTCTGTTTAAAGAGGAGTTAGGAGGCCACAAACTCTGGCTCTGGAAAATTCTGAGCTTAGCAAAAGACAGCTTTTGAATCACCAAATGTTGCTCTTGCCCCCGCCAAAAGACCACATTTAATTAATCCAGGTAAATGCCTGTCTATTTATTATATTGCCAGGGCTAAAAAAAAAAAAAAAAAAAAAAGGAAAGGAAAAAGGAATGTAATGGTCTTTCTGCTCCAGAGAATGTTAATTATTTATCCTGATGCAAACATAATTACCTGGCAATTCGTGGAAATCAAAAAATGTGGCATTAGACAGAATGAAATAATTAAAATATATTGATAATGAGCACACACTGCTATATTGACCCAACGATGGTTAAGATACCAAAGATGCGCTCTTCAGAAGGGTATTATTTTGTAATTAAAAAGAACTGTAGAAAAAGAAACTGAAGACATGATAATTATACAGTGCATTCAGCGTAGTTGTCAGTAGAAATGCCATTTAAGGAAAATAATACCATGTTAAAAAGAAGTTAATGTGGAAAAAAAACCTGAAAAGGAACCTACTGTTGATACAAGTAGGATCAATTATACGTGTCTGGAAGGCAATAGTTATTTGTGATAGATTTTTAAATACTAGACACTGGAAATAGTTTCATGATCAGCGTCTTGTTTTTATTGGAGGTGGAAGGTTCATCATTTCACATATTCATCATCACTGACCTTCCTTATCCAGGCTTTCTTCTCCAGAATCGACGCTATCACTCATGATCACAGAGTATATTTTTTTCTTGGTTCTTAAATTTGATGTTATTTGAGAGTGTCTGATGTTCCTCATCCATAGTAGATCTGTCATTGCCCTCATCATGCTGAGGGACATAGTACTGTTTATATTTTTAAGGGCAGAAAGGCTTGATTTGATCAATCCAGTGGGGAAAAAATAACTCAGAGTCATTCCTGGCATCAATCAAGGCAAAAATTCTTTCACTCTTTCAGCTTCCTTCCAGCTGGGTGGGCATCCTCTTGGTGGAAAGTACTTGCTACAAAAAGAATGAGTGGTTTGGACTAACCTACGTCTAGTCTTTTTGATGATTTTGAGATTAAGCCAAATATTTTCATTGACGAAAAACATGAAGAATTATAAACAGCTAGCCACGTATGTGAACAATCCTAACTGATCATTGAACATCGAGTTAAAGTGTTTAGAATTTTGATTGGGTATAATGACAGGAATTCAGGAATAATTTTGCATAGTCTGATATCCATATTTATTGCCGACTTGACATCAAGGCACAATAAAGAGATAAGCTTTCATTCCATTTAAATGGAGAATGCATTTTAAACTATCCCAAGTCTCTACAATCTCTAGAGGAAAGCCTTCAAAATTTAAGACCAGTGTGTTGGTTTATCTGGTTCTAAGATAGACCTCATGACAGGCAGGCAGTTTTCAGAGGCAGGAATAAGATGAACTATAGACTGATAAGATTTAACTCAGTCAGCCTAGGTCCTACAGTTTTTAAGACTTAGATGGTGTATCTTTCAAATCAAGCCAATTCAGTAAATATTTAAGTGTTTCCTGTGTGTGAGGCACTCTTGGGATGGAATGGCAAGTTGGTCTCGTGGAGACACTCCCAGCATACTCCCTAGAGCATCCTCCCACATTGGGCGGAACCCATTAGTTTCCTCCTGCACTTTCAGGTCTCATCACAAATGTCGCTGACAAATAAAAGGCTTCTCTCTCACTCTGCAAATGGCAGGGCTGCTTGCCCCTGCTTTCCATGGTTCATGGTTCCTCAGGTGCACCCTCACAGTTACGATATTATTTGCATGTTCACTGCACATTTCCTTGCTTGTTCACTGACTGTCTCTCTTCCTAGGCTACAAATTCCACCAGGACGTCTCTATTGCCATTCCCATTCTGAACACCTGGAACAGAGATATAAATCAATAAATATTTATTAAGGAAGGAAGGAAAGGAGGGAGGGAGGCAGAGGTTCATAAAGTCAGGGAGATCATCTAGGACACAATTTAAGTATCTAGGCAACAAATTATCAGTGTCTCCAAAGGTACCTTATGGGGGAGGAAGATTTTCCTAAACTATCTCTTTCTAAATTTCATAAAATCTTGTCAAAAATATAACTCATTATACTTCATATCAACTTATATTCTTGCTCAAAGCCACCAAGACTATTAATAGACTAACAAATGCTTTTCTTAGGAGAAAGTACCTTGTATGCTTTTTATAATATTTTTTCTGATTATTAATGTATATTCAACGTAAAACATTTGAAAACTATATACAAATAAAAAGATGAAATCATAGTCCAATCCATAAGCCTGTCACCAAGAAATCGGGTGTTTTTTAGCACATTGGCATGTTTTTTTCATGTCTTTTTTCTATGCTTGTCTGTGTCATATATTTAGTTGAGACTGTGAAGTATATATGCAATTTGTTATTTAATTTTTTTCACTTAACATAATGACATAATTTTCTCCTACCAATAATCAGTCCTGTATTATTGGGTATTTATAGTATTTCCATTTTTTCAGCATTATATATGACACAGTGAACCTAATATACCATGGAAAATTGGAGTATAATAAAAGTGTTTCCAACAAATTTAGGCTGCCATCATTATTATGTGCTTATATATCAGGTAAAACTGAATGCATGTCCTTCGACTTTCAGTTTTCCAGAAAAAACTAAACTGAAGTATCAATAAAAAGAAATGAATAACCAAAAAATCCAGGAAAGTTGTGGCTACCATAACATGTTAAGTGTATGTCAAATGAAAAACATGATTTGAATTTGGCCTCTTTTGTTATTCCTAACTGCATGGCTTCATCCAAACAACAATACAGTTCAATATTTAGTGAAGAGATGTCTTGACATGTGATTTGAAGGCACAACTTTATTTTTATTTTGATTATTTTCCCTGTGTTTCAAATGAGGTTTATCGTGTGAGTGAGGGATAACCAGGAAAGGGCAAACGGAGCTGTGTTTTGCCCATGATATAGACACAGATTCCCCAAACTGTCTCCCTAGAATTTTTCCAGAGTCCTTAGTTCATCCTACTCTCCAATGACTAATTCTTTCCCCTTGCAAATCTTTACCAAAGATGATTTTGTAGCCTCAACTGATAAGCCACTATGAAGGATATTCAGTAAGTTGAGAGTTCATCAATGCTGTAAAAACACCTTTGAAATGCACAAACCAGAAAGCTCATGTGTGTCAATAGATATTGAAGCTAGGTGGAAAAAAAAAAGCAAAACAAAACAAAACAAAAAAACCTCCAAGCATTGGGTAGTATTTTTGACCCCAGCTGGTCAAATACAAGAACTTGCCTGTGGTGTTCATGAAGAATAAAATACAAGTAGTTTATATTACATGAGGGTACCATAGATATGTTCATCTGATGGTGACTTTCATATGCATTTCAGCTGTGTAATCAAAGACAGGTACAAATAAACCCAAGATATGCATGTGTATAGCTTCTTTGGTCTGTTTATTTGGGTGTTCCTCAGGGCCCCTAAACCCTTCGGAAGCTCCAGCATCCTGCATTTACTTAAAGTCACTGTTTCTCCACGTCATGAGAAACAGGCTATGCTTGTCCTTAGAATCTGTCTCTTTCTAAGAAAGAACAATTTTAGAGAATGCCAGAGGACCAACATCTTGGTGATTAACCAGATTTGGAAAGCAAAGAAAGCTCACTAGGGTTTGAGAGTCTCTTAAGTGTTTCTCTACAAATGCTCAGTTAAGAAGTTCTATCCTTGTAGAGCTTTTCCTTGCATTTCACGTGTAACAGGAGAAACCAAAGGAAGTTATGTGGGAAATAATTTCTTGCATTATAAGGACATTCTTCCTTTCATGGTAGTTATTGAAAAACTGAACATTAATTATTTAAACCCTTAACCCCAAACTTTTTGCTTTTAGTTGCAATAATTAATTCCAGTTAAACATCACACATTAAGCATAGAGGCAAAAAAAAAAAAAGGCAACTGAATGATCACAGTCATATTTAGTTTCCCAAATACCTCTGTAACCCTAATTAGTTTTTCATTAATGTGTTCTGTGGAATCTTTTTAAAAGAGTAGAAATGTCCTTATCTCTGTAGAGTTATATGTTGATTGCCGAAGGTGATTTTTCTGACGAATCCCACACATTCGTGGGAAACAATTTGTCTTTGTGTCAGAAGGAACTCCTTGAACAACTTGGGGTGAGGCTAGAGAACAGCAGCACATGTTTGCCTGAAGTCTTACCTGGAGATATGGCCGGGCTTATGTTACACAGGCTTCAGCTGTATAAATACATCATGCCATCTGCACATGGCAGGGGAATTGAGCCTGTGGAAGCTCAAGACCTGTGTCAGTGTTTTCACAGAAGGACTGTTTATGAACAGATGTTATGTGGTGTTTTTCACAGAAAATGGACTCTGGAGAGAGAAAATGTCTATCAATTACTGAGGTATTATGTATAACAGCAATTTTTAACCTTGAGAATACTTTTAAAGTTCTCGGTAAAATATTTTCAACTGTGGCCACTTTCTTTGTCTCAACGAGGATTCAACCTCTTGTCGTGGGCGCACTTCCCATTGTAATGTTCTTTGGAGATCTCTCAGTTGGTGAGATTGTGTTCTGTCTGACACAAGGTACACCCAATGTTCTGATCCATTCATGACTGCAAAACCTTTCAATCTGTGTGGAAACTGCTTGTCATTTTCTTCTCTTTTCTTTTCCTGATAGGATAAGACTTTAAAATCAAACTGTAGGATTGAATGACCATTTAGGTTTCCTTGTTATCATGTGTTCTTGATGTTTTTCATGTAAAAAGACATGGTAATTGATCTAAATGTTAATTATGCTCTGGACAATTAAGCATTCAGAGATCTACAAAATAAATTTATTCTCTATAGCATGCTTCCTAGATTAAATCTAAGACACTTACCATGAGGTGGAGGTCCAGAATGCTTCAGGGCCAGCACTCCAGAGATGGAATTATCTCCAACAGCCACACCAAGAGCACTGAAGCCCCTTTGTGACCTGTTGACAGACACCATGTTTTGCATAATATATATATTTTCATTTTCCCTTAGCTTTCTTATTATTTATTCAATAAATCCTTTTTTCTTGCTGACAGCAGTTGTATTTATAAAGCTAAACCCAACACAGCAAAATGTTCATCACTTTATAAACTAAATGCTAATGTTTTATTTATGTGCAATGAAGAAAGAAAAAAAGAACTGAATTGATGTTTACCTTACAAGCAGCACAAAAGTGCAGTACCATAATAGTGGAGTTCATAAGCATTCTGGCTTGTAATTTTGGGTGTCAACATTTGAATTGCAGAAAGAGTTTATGCAGACATAGCACGTACACAAGTGCAGTTTAGATCCACATCTATAAAAATAACATCTGTTTAAGCATACATTACATTTAAAAATAACTGTACAGTGATCAGCTGGTTAAGTACAGTTAACCAGATGTCGTTTTAAAGGGCCAGATGGAACTATGAAACTAAGATTGAAAAATTAAAAAATACTGTGAAAGGTCAAACCAATTAAGCAACCTGTTTTGTTGGCATGTAACAGTTAAAAAGTAAGTTAAACTACTTAAGGAGTGAGCAATATGAAGATGTAGCAGTTAAAACCAGGTCTTGCTCCTCTGAGGACAAAGAGAAAAATCCAGGCTAGAGTTGCTCACTTACTGGAACTCAGGCCAACATCAGAAATGTGAATTTTCCTGTGGTTATCAGAGGCTGGGGAGTGGGAGGTTTGGGGAGCTGTTGGCCCAAAAATAGAAAATTTCAGTTAGACAGGAGGAATAAGTCCAAGAGATCTATCGCACAACATGATGATTATAGTTAATAAAAATGTATTGTATACTTGAAAATTACTAAGAGAGTGGATTTTAAATGTTTTCTCCACAAAAAAAAAAAGATAAGTATGTAAGGTAATACATATGCTTGATTTAGCCATTCCACAATGCAGTATTTCAAAACATCATGTTGTATACCATAAATACAAACAATTTTTATTTGCCAGTTAAAAAATTATTTTTTAAAAAAATTGAAAAATAAATGTGAATTTCTGTTGAGATGATTCGGAATTGTCTTCACTATATTTTCAATATATGTTTTCAAACAAAAATTAAAACTTCTGTTACAAAGTCACAGGACCCAATAAAATTCTCCAAAGTATAAGCTTTTCCCAAGTTAAGCATTTTAACATAACGGTGGATAAGACTAAACATATGAATATATGACTTAAGTAATAAATCTGATCCTTAAGAGTGAGAAATCTGATGATTTTCTAAGAAGCTCAAATTGATTATTTTTCTTTCCTCATGTTGGATATCACATGCAATGAAAAAACGAGGCAAATATTTATGGAATATCTATACTGAGGCAGGTTCTGTTACAAACATGTTCACATACATCAGAGGTCACAACGGGTGCCTCCCTCCGCTTATTTGGCCTGCAGATGTGTTTTGTTTGGCTTGCACAGTGCTTTAAATTTGAATTAATTGCCAAAAACTAAAAATTGTGAGGTTTCACATAAAAGTCCGGATTTCCAGCTTCCCGGAAAACCTGGCAACACCAGGTCCACATTTTTTCCATTGCAAAAACTCACTGGAGCCAAATAGGAACAGCTGCCTCTTTAGAGGGACAGAAAGTCTCAAGTTTGTCACAGACACCACCAGTCCCTTCAAATCAGAGACTGCATGCCAGTTGCCATTTACTGCCTTCTACCTAGCCCACTTTACTCAGAGTAACTTCGAGTTTCCAACTCTAATAGTCGTCAACTCCCTTAATCCCCACAGTCAACCTTATAAAGGGAGTACCGTTTGTTATTAATATTTTACAAAAAACTAGAGACAAGAGAATCCTACTAACTCCTCTGAGTCACACAGTTGGTAACTACCAGAGGCAGAATTCAAATTTGAGTCTGGTGTTTCTAATATTCCTAATATGTAAGTCTTTATACAGCCAAAGTATCAGAATTCTTATCTTTGATCATGTGTGGGGCAGCAGGCACTATTCATCAGAAATGAAATAAATAGATCTACTAGAAAATAATTGTTGACCATACACAGCAGACAATTTAGTGCTGACCTTTGTCCAAAGATGATTGAATGATTGAGAGTCAAGATGTGAAAGAACACAAGAATGCCAAAGAGATTCCATCCCCCCAGTTCGTGTCCTTCTGTTGCCTTTGCCTGTCCCACGTGCCAGAGCTGAGCGGGACTTTGAGGCTGTGTTTTAGCTAAGTGAGGAAAAGCTGAAGATTGGAAGGGAGAAAATAGTGGCTTGTGTCATAATGGACTTTTTTTTTGGATCAGGACTCATTTTTTTTCTTTTGGCAATACACGCTTCCTCCTGGAAGTTCTCACTATACTTTCTTTTCCAGCATTGACTTTTCCTACATTTTTCTACAGTAAATTAATAACAAAGAATGATATCTGCTAAGCAAGCTTTATTTTCCATCTAAATATGCATTTTCAAATTTCAAGCCTCTTTCTTTGTCTGTTGCCCTTGCTGCTTACTTAAATTTTAAGTGAAAACAGCCAATTTTTTAAAAATAAATTTATTAAGGAAAGCAGAGAGATAGATTAATGTACAGTTATGTCACTAAACCAGGATAAAGTTATATACATATATATCTTTGTATAGGGATCCAGATGCATGGCTGAAAAATAAGGCAATATTTACAGCAGGTTAGAGTCATGTGATCTTATTTCAATATAGCCATCGTTTTCCTGGAGGTGAAGCGGTTTTACGTGGGGAAAGAGAATATAGTTTTAAAGGGGGGGGGGAGAGACAGAGAGAAACAGAGAAGGAGAGAGAGAAAGAATAGAGAATAAATTCTAAGGGAAAGACAAATTTTGAGGACTGAAAAATGAAAGATTCCACCTAAACTTTTCTCATCCAGAATGTAACCCATTAAAGAAAGATGTCAAATAATGCTTAACAGCCTTTTTTAAAAGCCTCTAGAAAGCCTATGTTAATCGGACACACCTGTGGTATTGATAGTTTGGTAAGAATCAGTGTCACTGGGTGCAGTTGAAATGCAACGAGAATATCCCAGAAGACACTACATACTAGCATTTTAAATATCATGAGTAAGCAATAGTTGGTGGTAAATATCTTGGAGTTAGTGCTGGGAAGAACTGACTCAGTAACTATCTATGCAGGAGTAGCAATTCCTTGTCAAGAAAGAAAGAAAAGAAAAAGAAAAGGGGGGATTTACAAAAGAATGGGTTTGAGAGTAGAGAAGGAATTAGAAGAGGACAGTTAGGAAAGAGGAATCAGAAAACCTATAAAGAAAATTCTCCTATACCAAGGACCTTCTATTCTGAATCCACTCCCTCCTCTTCAGTTAAATGAACTGTTAAAAGACCCAAACCAAAACTGCAGTTACTCAGCCAACAATAACTTGGGAAGTTAGAGCAGATGGCTCCACCTCTCCATCTGATTACAGCACATCCATAACCTCCCCTCAGCTCACTCTCATAGCAACAGGGGAGGACAGGCACACTGAATGGCTGACACTCAAAGGAGGAGGCTGGCAAAGCCATGGCTCGGGTTTTTAGAGTTCAGGCTGATTTTACAGGCCTATTAATAACACATATGTTGACCACTCAGTTTTCTGATTTTGGGGAATGGCCTAGAAGCAAGCTGCTTTCCTCACCAAAACCCATTTCTTGCTGGTATGCCATCAAACATGATTATGTAGCCCAAGGAAAGTTCTACTATTTTAGCTGAAAATATATATCACACATTCCTGAGGTTGTAGAGATCGAAATTGAGCAGGGAAGAAAATATCAACATTTGTTAAATGCCATGAACTCTTGAGCTATGGTTTCAGTCATTTGGGATGTCTTTCCCATGAAAAGATGAATAATGTCCAAAGATGAAGGGAAATGCAGTCTTCTCACCAAATCATGATTGGAGCACTGGTTCCATATACAGTTGCCTTTTGGGTCCCATGCAGCGCAAGCTGCAAAAACCTGCCACAATGCTGGTGGGCAATAGACAGCCAGCTTATTGTGGCTGGAATTGGAAAAGCCAAAGATTTTAATCAGGGTGACCCAAAGCAGTCGGGGGTGGGGGTGGGTGGTGGTGGTTGATTTCTCCTGGAATGTTGAGTGCAGTCAGGTTCCAATAACTTATCTAAAGGCAACATTCTGGTGACCAACTTGAAGTACTTCTCTTATTAGGAAATGACAAAGATTTTCAGAGAGGAAAGAGCCATAACAGTAAGGTGGGATACATAGGTTGTTGATACCAGGGTTTGAAAATATAAGAAGCCCCCAAACCCAAACATTTAATCAACAATGTGAGTAAGACAATAAGTGACTCTTTCTTCATTCGTGTCAAGGGGCATCAAGGAGTGGTGGAGACTATGGCGCAATGGATTACCACCAGAATGCCCTTTCTAAATTGGGTGGCCATAATCATAATTGCCCCAGCCAGTGGGCCTGATGCTACAAAGCTCTTTGCTTTTTGGGGGAGAAGACAGAATCTAGATTATTATATGGGACCTCCTAAATATTAACTGTTGACAATTAATTCTCTATATTTTTAAAATTAAACACTGAGCAGACAAATAAGTACATCTCTTTGCTAATGCACCTTGGAGGCCTTTTTAGGACTTCTGGTTACATTTGGCATGCTTTCCTCTGGACATGTATGCAAAAATATAAGAGAACCCAGATTAATAGAAAAGCCCCGAATTTGCTGATATAAGGACACAGGGTCAGGCCTCAACTTTGCATTACCGGCTGCACACCCTTGGGCAAGCCCATTGTTCACACCCACCCTCTGTCTCCTCATTTTTGAAAGGAGCAGTTATTTGTGTTATATTATCAGTGAGACTAAAAAAACCTCATTGTCACCGACCCCAAGCTCTGTAATACCAGATATTATTTTGTTGGTCTTTTATTCTACATTTAGAACAAACCATTTAAAAGCAAATATGCCTAGGAAAGATAACAAGGCAACTTCAATACTAAGTTCCAAGTGTGTAGCAAAGCCTTTAAAAGTGGTTTCAGAAGGAAGAAAGTAATAGGTGGCTGAAGATGAGGGAATGTGACATCATCAGAGGAATACCAAAGGGTCTCTGAGGGTCCTGAAATCAAACCAACCATACCTTCACAAAGTACCTTAGAGCAGCCATCCCCCTCCCAAATGTTATAAGGAATACTAATTTCCTGTGAATCAGTGTTGAGGAAAATAAAAGTCTGAGAGCCAAGTTAAGTGAATATTGCGACCGCAGGACTTTTCAGAGCCTTTAATTTTGCTTATATGCTGTGTGAATCTATAAAAGGAAGATATAGTATGTTGTATACCTAAGCCTTTGACCATTGGACCTTTGTTTATTTTTAAGAGACTAGCATTTCATCATACACATGTTCAAAAACATTGATCTATATGAAGAAGGTTGTGATGACTATACTCACTTTTAGCTTCGAACCCCATTTTCCCTCCATGCATTAGATTTTTCAGGGATTTCTAGGTTTTATTGTGTGTTAGGCCAAAAAAGGCATGCATTAAACATTTTGGTGTTGTTCTTTCCAAGTACATGAAATCAGCATCAGTATAAACTTAGCAGCTCAAAATTGTCTCATTCAGTCGTGTCTCTAAACTTCAGTCCTAGAGAGAAATGCCCTTATTTTTATGGCTTTTTAATCCTATCTTTCCAAGTGCACACTAACTGGATTAAAGCAAGATATTAATAATATTTCTAAAAATAATAATTTATACATAAGCCGTGAGCTGGGGCATTTTCCAGGTCTCCCGCAAATTTAGACTTAATATAAATCTGAATTGCTTCTTAAAGAAAAGCACATCACTATTATTTTTCACTGTTGGCTTTTATACAAAGCAAGTTCCTGGTCGGAAAATATATATTTTTTAATTTAGATATCTGACATTGACATTAATATAGACATCGGGACGCATTCTAAATGTGATCACCAATGAACATCATAACATGCTTCCAATGTTATGGTCCTATTTTGTTTGGAATTCCTGAAACTACTATTATAGACATCTGAGTCTTAATTTTGTTTTCCTTTAATTCAACTGATCTTCAAATAGTAAAGACTAAGCAAAACTGTTTTTAGCTGTATAGCCAGAATTTTTTGTCCCTAATATTTCAGTTTTTAATAAACAGCCTTCTGTTCTATTGCCTCAATTGTTTTTGCAGTAATTGTTTAATTTTATTTTATATGTATGCACATAATTACATTATTCATTAATCCACAAGTACCTGGTATTTGTCCATACGTATATTTTCCCATATTTATTTTGCAAATGTGAGGCTTTCCATTTAAAAAAAAATAGATTCTGTGAGGGATATGTTTGAAAGGTATTTCATTAAAGTAAGTTGTTTCGTTTTCTATTTGTTTGATTTACCATACTCCTCTCTCCAGTAAAAGGAAGCTGAATTTATGTGGGCTTTTTATTAGGTCTAGTGTCATTGTAATCCTTTTCTTTCAATCATAATTTTTCCATAGACATGAAAGATTTTGGTAAAACATGCTGAACAGGGTGCTCGCTGTGAAACATGGGTAGCTTTTTCAAAACCTAAAACAGTAAGAGTACCCTGAGAATAGAACAAAAGAAATTAAAACGCTAGATATGCCACAGTTGTCTCATGCAGCAGTTAGAAATTTAATTATTTTATCTCGTAGAATAATGTGCCCTTCAGAAATCATTTTGGACTAGATGTTTCAAACCAATGATCTGTAGTTAATTATCTTTAATAACTGTTGCACATTATGGTTAGATCTATGTTTTTGCTAAACCAATTAATAATATCTTCATTAGTATAAAGACAAGGTAGCAGGATCCTTTCATTTTTCACATTGAAAGAGTAGATATTTTAAACACTGTAATTTACTTTAGCCATACATTCCCAATGATATGACTAATTAATGAAACTTCAAAGACATAACTTCCAAAAAGCTACTTATTTTAAAGTCATTGTTGCGCACTTAATGACATTAGGTTGGGGGCATTGCTGACACCCTAACTATCCATGTCCTGGAATTGACTAAATCGTTTAAACCACCAAAATGTTTAATGTTTTTAAAGAAGAAAGAAAAAAGAAAATTAATTGCATATTATCTCTTTTAAAGACCTGTTGATTATAGAAGAAAAGATTAAAAATGGATAGCCTCTCTTTGTCCTCAGTGGATGGCATGACCACAGGACAAAAACATTTCCTTTTTAGTTAAAAACATTTGCGGGCCCATAGGGCTTCTGCTGATTGTAAAGAAAAGTAAGATGACAGTGATGGTGGCTAAGCCCATCTTAGGTTGGCTTTCCCCTTCCTTTTGAGGTGGTGTTGACCCTCATGGAAGGGGCAGCTGCAGCCGGTACACGTTCTCCAGCATGGTTCATTGTGGTCAATTCACCTCACTCTGATCTTGCTATGATGAAATCCATTCAGATGCATGGCACATTTAGATCAATTATTGAGAAGCCTTGGGCCAAATTTTGGCTTTTGCTGTCTTTTTAGCTACATGTAGACAGAATTTTTTTTCGGTGGGGTCATGTTACTGCAGATAATTTCTTTGGGTTTTAGAGCATTTCACTCCCACAGCTATTTCAAAGCAGGAAACATGGTTTTGAAATATTACTTAACACATATTTTAATATACCTAAAAATACTTGATAAGAAGTTTTTCTTGTGAGAATTAAATATAGCAAAAACTTAAATTTATTAATACCTCCACCTTGTTAAAATTACTTGAGATGACTTACAGAAATATGCTCATCTGCAGTAAATAAAACTTGGGCAAAAAGATGAAAGAAAACCTAATATAAGTTCATTC
Organism: Homo sapiens; assembly: GCF_000001405.40. Lineage (NCBI taxonomy): Eukaryota > Metazoa > Chordata > Mammalia > Primates > Hominidae > Homo > Homo sapiens. Next base: position 70,524,812 of record NC_000003.12, read on the forward strand.
TAGGCTTATTAGCTATTGAACACATGTTAAATGTCATTTATGATAGCAGAGGTGGGCCTGATTCTGGCCTTGTGGTGCCAAACAGCCAAAGCAAAGAGGGAATTGGCTGCATCCTGAAAGCTAATTCTCCAGAAAACCAGGAACTTCTATTTTTCCAGGCTAATCAAATCCAATAAGTTTGACTTTCTATTAATGACATGAAGAACATAATTGTTGAATTAAGAGGAGCATTTCTATTCCTTTGGACAGAAACTTGCTAGGGGAAATAGAAGATCTCTCATAATTACATATACTGAGTGGTGCAGACTTCTTAAAAGGCAGAAGTAGAAAGTCAGTCATTCAAATACTTTGTATGTCATATGACTAAAATCTTATGGGGGTATAAGATAGGATGGAGAAACATAATTAATAGAAGATAATTCAGTGGAACTAATTTTAAAGGCTGGAAATTGGTTGGTGACCTATAGGCTTTAGTTCTGGCTATCACCAAAAAAAAAAAAAAAAAAACTTCCACAGCTAAATCTTTTACAGATTCTTAAATTTGGAAGTTACCATAGTACTTATATAGCCTCTGGAAGAAAAAAGCACATAAAGCCAAAAACTGCCCAATTCCATAAAACGTTTGGTGAAATCAGTTGTCAGAATGAATCTGCTTTTTGTTAATCTAGTAACTGAAGGCCTTTATGTCCGGAGTCCTTGTTGTGATCTTACTGCAAATGAGGAGAGAGATCAAGTTTTACAAGGAGGAAAGCATTCTATTTATAATCTATACACATGTTGAAACCCTTTCTCCATACAGAAGTCAGAGCGATCATGTAAAATTCAAAATTCAGATCCAGCCATGTTACCCTCTATGTTAGTTGGAGTTTTACCGAGAAATAGAACCAAAAGGATGTATATGTATACATATGTATGAAAAAAGATTTATTTTGAGGAATTGGCCCATGAGATTACGGAGACTGAGAAATTCCCCAATCTGCCATTTTCAAGCTGGTGACCCGGGAAAGGCAAGGTTGTAATTCGGCCTGAGCCTGAAGGCCTGAGAACCGGAGAAGCAGATGGTGTAAATCCCATTCTGAGGGCACGAGATGACAAGATGAGATGCTCCAGCTACAACCCTGAGGCAGGAAAGAAGGGATGATTTCCTCCTTCCTTGGCTTTTGGTTCTGTTTAGACCCTCAGCTGATGGGATGAAGCCCATCTACATTGAAGAGGGCAACCTACTTTACCGAGTCCACTGATTTGAATGCTAACCCCATCCAGAAATAATGTTTAATCTGGGCACCTTGTGGCACTCAAGATGACATGTAAAACTAACCATCACACTCCCCCAAACTAAATCCCCCAAACTAAAGCCAAAAGAAGGAACTTTTGGCTTCCTTCTGCCAATAAGGGAAGTACCAATACTTGGCTATCATTTCAAGGCCTGCCAGTATCTCTCTTCTGCCACTTTGGGGTAATCGCCAACCATGAACACCCTTGCCTGTGTTCTCACCTCCCCATACTGGTCTGTGAGTCTTGCATTGAATCATGCTCTCTCTCAATTTGGGTACTTCTTTCCTGAGCTTTCCTGTCTTCTTGCTTTACCCAGCTAAGTACCCTATTCATCTATCTGATCTCAACTTAAAAGCCACTTTCCCAGGGACTTCTCTGAGCACCTGCCCCATAGACCAGCTTAGATCCACTTTTCATATGTCCTCATAGCTCTCTCTACTAATTATCCTCCTCTTTCTTTTTCAAATGTTCCTCAAACATAGAATTAATTATTCTTTGCCCTTCTCCTGGCATTATCTCTGTGAAAGTAGAGGCTGCTGATTTCTACATCTGCAGCACCTCAAATGATGCCTAGCACATAGTAGGGCTCACTAAATATTCAAAAAATGAATGGTTGTCCCGACTACGGTGTCAACAATTCAGGAACTTTCTCTAGTGAGATACATTGAAACATCTTGGATAGAGGAATAAAATGAAGTTGTATTTCACTGGACTTAATTTATAGACTTTGGATAAGACAATGTTCATGTTACTATATTAGGAATGAAAACAAACTGACAAGACTTTCTTTTAGCACATTACTATAATCCCCACTAATCAAGGTACACCAACAAGTTGAACATTTCAAAGACCCTTCTCTACAAGCTAAAAGCTGCAAATGGAAAAAATCCCCATACATTCCTAAATGAAAAACACAAATCATGATTTTTCTCAGTATTTTTGTTATTCACTCGTCATTTCAGGAAAAAAGGACCTCCTCAATTCACGACGTTTAGTGGTTACCCCACCCTGCCTCTATTCTGTAACTGTTTTGTGAAAGATTACACGCAAAAGAGTCGCTATACATTTGCAAATAGCTTTTTAAACCGGAGCTCTCTCCTGGGAATATGATCCTAATAGGATAGAGACAAGGCTAAGTTGCTGAATGCTGCTGGTCATTATTCTTTTGTTTCAACTCAAAGAAAACATGCACAAATCTCTAACTAGACTCCCGGGCATGTGTTTTTGCTTACTGCCTAATGTGGTTCTAATAATGCAAACATTCCAGCTAAGTAATGATGACACATCTACAGCTATAGATATTAGAAGCCTACGCAAGGGAAACATTTTGGGAAAGACAAAGGAAAAATACTTTCATTTAAATTTTCTTGATGCCATCATATTAGAACTCATTCCAGGCCCTGTGTTAGCATGAAAAAAAAAAAATAGACTCTGAAGAAATATGAACTAAAGAGAAATTCTTTCAGTGTGTGTTTCAGAATTAGCCTCAAAATGTACTTGATTGAGAGTACATCTCACCTTTGTGGGTGCACATTCAAGAACTGGTAAATAAATTTTGGAAAATTCTTTTTTATTGTATCATTCATGGCTGAGTCAATGAATATATTTCTTGTGTAAAAACCTATTTTTGTTTAATTTAATCATTTTACAAGAAGTTGGATGCCAGCCTTTCCAGGGATCAACTTTGACTCGCAGGGAGACTCAGACTCCATCGGATAAGGTGACAGTATTAGATTTGGATTGGTTGCATTTCTCCCATTAGCCAATAGCTGCCATATTACTTCTCTCTTTCAAAGCCATGTGGTGTGAGTAGAAGTGCTCCTGCTCTTGGGGAATGCTTATGCCAATGTCTTAGTCCATTTGTGTTGCTATAAAGGAATACCAGAGGATAGAAAATTTATAAAGAAAACAGGTTTATTTTGCTTATGGTTCTGTAGGCTGTACAAAAGCAAGGCACCAGCATCTGCTTCTGGTGAGGGTTTCAGGCTGTTTCCACTCATGGTGAAAGTGAAAAAGGAGCCAGCATGTGCAGAGATTACATGGTGAGACAGAAAGCATGAGCAAGAAAGCAGGAGGTGCCAGGGCTCTTCTTAACAACCAGTTTTTGCAGGAGCTAATAGAATGAGAACTCACTCACCTCCCTTCTTCACCCCCTACCCAGATCCTAGGGAGAGCATTACTCTATTCATGAGGGATTCATCTCCATAACCCAAACACCTCCCATTAAACCCTATCTTCAACATTTGTGATCAAATCTCAACATGAGACTAGGAGAGGTCAAACAAACCAAAGTGTAATAGCCAATCAGCATGTCTTTCCCCTAGGCCTCAGTGTTTGGTTAAAGCATAAGAATATGACCTTATTGAGTCCATGAGACATGTCTTCACTGTTTGCAGACATTGTTGCTGCTAAGAGTGAAATCTCCCCCGAAAATAACATCATCACATGGAAGAGAGTAGAGCCCAGAGAATAGCAGAACAGGGCAGGATGATATCTGGATAAGCTTCACCTGACGCCAGTGTTAACTTTGAAATTCTGGTTATTTGAACCAATAAATTCTCCATTAATTTAACCCAGCTTAAGTTGCATTTACCTATACTTGCAGTGAAAGATTCCTAAAAGATATGGGAAGAGAATATCATAAAATTCATTTAGAGTGCAATCCTTAAACTTTGGGGGTTAGGAACTTGGAAAACTGGCTGCCATCTTTTTTCCAATCCTACATATACCCTAATTTTCTGGTTCCATGAAACACCCAGCTACGTCCTTGTTTGTGAAGGTGCTCAGCAGGCTTCTTCTCATCCTTTAAGACCCAAGTCAAATATCACTTCCCATTTGAAGTTTCCATCAAACCACTCCAGCATGATTCCCTACCCCAGGTTACCAAAAACCTTGTCATTATCATGAGCGTGGTGCTTTTCACATAATCACTGAATTGTTTACATTTCTCTTCCTTCTCCTGACCTTTCGGAATAATGATCACTCTCCATGGTCACCTACCTTAGGCCAGGAACATTACATGCTTTCGTGCTAAGTCTCTGAATAAACCTGTTTATACAGAAGAGGAAACGAAGGCAGAAAAACAAATGGCTTCAAATTTTCTCAGAAGTAAAAGATAGCTGAGCCACTTGAATCCTTCCTGATTCCAAAACTACTGCTTTTTTTCTTTCTATCATGAAGGACTGGGTCCTATTCACTTTTACATTTTTGAAACTTACTCATTGTCTGATGTTAAACTGTAAGCTTCAAACATTCAGTTACCATTCCAGATGCAGCATTATCATAGCCCTGTTCCAAGTACTATACTCAGCACAGAAAATGCTTTCAATAAAATTTATTGAATGAACCAACTAGTAAATAATAAACATATTTTGCATGTGTTGAATACTCACTCCAACATTTTTTAATGGTCTTTTGCGATGTGCCAGAGTACAACTAAACAGCAATGCCAATCACTGAAAAAAATAGGTGATACTGGTTCCTCAGTGGGATATCCAGGAAGTATTGAGGCACACAAAGCCATTGGTGCTGCTAGAAGAACCATTGAAAGGCTGTGTGATCATGGCTAGTTTACTTACCTGCTCTGAGCCTTCATTTTCTCATCTGTAAAAAGGAGATGATAATAACACAATCTATTTATTGGTTGTGATGAGGCTATTATGAGAATGCAAGTGAAGTGCATAGCATATAATTAACACTCAATAATGCGAAAAATAAAAGATCACTATCTTACTGATGATGGCATGAATAACATCTTTGTGAAATAACTTAGAACTGAATTTTTGTTGTAAAAATAGGGGACCAGTACATTTATCAGTGATCTTAAAACCTTCCCTACTACACCAAAAATGGAATAGGAATTTGGAAAATGACATTTACTTAAGGTTTGTCATGTTTCAGACCAAGAGAAAAATCAGGAAAATCACTAAACCCTGCTATGTAGCCTATGGAGAGTTGCTTAGTGTTTGGTAAGAATGTGGCATTATATTTATTTTATTTTTATTTTTCTGTATCCACTTCTCCTCCCTCAGATCAAAGTATTTTAATAATAAAAAATAAGTAATTTAAATTTTAGATTATTTAGCAAAATTTAGATTATGTATTGTTTGGTTTCAGATGGTTTCACTGAAGGTGCTTTCCCGCCAGTGAAAAAAATATGATGATTCAATAGTGGCTATAAAATTATTGAAAATGGTATTCTAAGTCTTAGAGCCATTTATCTTATTACTTGATATGCTTTAAAATGTTTTTAATTACAAATCTAAATTTGCTTTTTCGATTTTAAATTAAAATCACCACCCAAAATTCTTAAGCCATCTTTCTCTTAATGGATTGGTCAGACGTTTCTATTATTTATCCAACAGAAGAACAATGGGAAATTAGAAATTACAATACATTTGTTAGTGCTTTGTCAACAAGAATTTATGTGGTGTGTTGGAATGCTGAAACATTCTATTATGCTATTTCTGTGATATTGGTAGCTAGGTTTAAATTAAGCACCTACCTGAACGTTTGTTTGTGATTAGAAATGTGTCCAATGAAAATATATTTTTCATGCCAAAATTCAAGAAGAAGGTGGTTTACACAAGCACGTTCTTAGCAGGAAGTCAAGCTGGACTTTTTCAATCCAGCCAAAATCAGAAAGCACTATAAATCTCCCTAGAAAACAAGTTTATAAACTCAAGTTATGTTTAAATAAACATTCTAAGTTAAAATGCTGGACTGAACCCCAGAATATGTCCAGTTTTTCTTATCACTGCTTCTCCGGTGCTGCATTTAATTCTATGATAATTAACTGAGATTTTTAAAATTTTCTTGGAATATCGTGGCAAAATTATGTAGTGCCCATGGAACCCCTTGGATTTAAAAAAAAGTTAGAACATGATTCTGGTTAAACTCTATTACCGAATATTCAATTTCATTGCATTTCCTCCCATCTCCTGTTTGAGTATGTCAAGAATTTCTTGAACTATAGGGCATAATCACTTGAAGACTTTATGGATCTCCTTGGGTTAAAAAAATACTTTTTCTGACTAAATTTAAATAATTAATATTTGATTATATCCCACCTCTATCCTGTACCCATTTTTGTCTGATTCTATTATTGGCCAAGATTCACATATTCACCACCAGCATAAATAAAAACTCAGTTCTTTTAAATTGTCCACAAGGCGGCAGTAAAACATCTTGCTTCCCCCCAATATCTTGAATTTCCAAGTATTCATTTTCCAAACATTTAGTATTATGTTTCCCTGAATAAAATTAAAAACTATTCTGCCTTTAAATTTCTACTTTGCCATTCCAATAGAATGTATTAGTAAATATGAGTTAGTCATGATGAGATACTTAATTTTCTCCTACAATAGATGAGTAGAAATCCTTCAAGTTTTGCTAACATAGATTGGTTATTTATATTGACAAGCAATACTCCTTTCCTGTTTTTCCGGGTTACAGCGGGCCTCTGTAAATTTTCTGATAAGAGAATTTGTTTCTGACCAATGCCAATATTAAGCTTGACATCTTGGTTTGTTTTTTTCTCACTAATTGTATTATGGAAAGGCAGCTTCACGGGTGATTTTTCTACTCAGAGTTTTCAAATGAAATGTAAAATCGGATGTTCCCATTTGTTTAGCAGACACCCTGACAAACCACTGCAGTACAGAAAAATACACTTTTAATAGGTTTTCTTCACAAGTGAGAAAACATCTAAAGATAGTCAAAATTGAAGGCTCAGTAGCAGTGCAGTACTCTAGTAGGAATCTCACCCGCAAATGGGTAGCTCCAATTGCTTTGGTGCTTTCGCTTACATGGTGTGGACCCAAATTGGAGACTACCTTCCATGACCTCATGTGTCAAACCATTGAAGTGTACCTTGGAACACATGCCCCACACAGGAGAAGGGGCGGGGGACCTGGGGGATGGATGACCTTGTACTATTCACTGACTTACTGCTGCCAGAGCAATGGTTGCCCTGAGGGCGAGAAGCTGCCAAAGGCACCTCTGGCATAATCTGTCATCCCAGTAAATGCCTGCCATTCCTGAGAAAAACATGCAGGTGTGCATGCATTAGAGAAAGAGATAGACAGAGAAAGAAGGGATGCTTTGGCAAAACAAATTTGAAACACAGGAGATCTAAGCTGCAGTCTTCATGCTGTCTGCATTCCTGTGAAAACTGCACGGAACTTGGCCCGAGCAAGATTGTGAGATTGAGTCCAGCATTTTGCCAATGCAGGCGTGGCGTGCTAGTGTGTGTGCATGTGCCTGTGTGTGTGTGTTTGTGATATCAAAGCAAATCATTTATGAAGTGTATTCATATGGCAAAATGCAAGACAGTCAGTAATAGTTTCAGTTCTGTCCATTGGTTCGTTTAAGATGCGTACTGCCTAATGCCATTAGAATTGAACATTGTTTTCCTAGTAATAAAAGACATGAAGTTCTTAGCAATTTGTGCCTTCAGAAGGATGATTTCCTATTTAAAATGCTCTAAAGTAAAACATACATCACCCACATAGCACTTAATTTTTGAAAATGCATATACTTTTCTAACTAGCTACTCTAGGAAAATGTGCTGAATGATTTAATTTCATATTAAGGTGCAAATGTGGTACTGGATTTGCGTTGAGACACAAGTGTTTTGCCTCTGAGAGCAAAGCTTTCTGAAAGATTTTCACCACCAGATTCAAAACTACCGAATTCAACATCTGATAGTAATGACATGATTCTCTCACTTTAAGAAAAGCACATTGATTTTAGACATATTGAAACTCAGAAGTTTTAGAAGTGTGTTTGGGTTAAGGTTAAGTCGTCCTTGACAGTATTAAAAGAAAGGTTTGAATTGTTGAATAACCACCTTTCACCCATCCTTAATTGTAATTTAAATGACAATATGCTCTCAATCAATAGCTCTTTGTCACACTGTGAAGATCAAGGGATGAGATTTTACCCCATGAGTTTACAAGGCAAAAGCTCCTTGTTCACATCCCTAAAGATGTTGCATTAGAATACCTGTTCTCCAACAATTCGTCCTGGATAAAGGCATCTGAGTCACATCTTAAAGGTGTAACATTAGAAAAAGTCAAAACCTTTGTTTTTGAAATTTGCTCCAAGCTAGATATCACAATAAAAATACCAATTTAAAAAGCTAAATTATTCTTATGTGAATTTGACTAGTTTAACTTTAGTCATTTTGTTCTCATAGATAATTTCTGTGCATTTGCTGTGTTCTGGGCACTGTGCTAGGCACATTTACATTAAGTTTCTTTATTCTTTGAGGAGTCAACCTCTGAGGTAGGACCTAGTATTTATCCCCATTGAACAGATGAAACTCAGAGATTGAGTCATGTTCCCTCGTCACACTGCTAGGGAAGGGAGAAGCTTTGACAAAATGAATTCTAAATGCACCTCTGAGCACTTAACAAGCCTCCTGAACTTTTCACATGATGAAAATTCAATGTGACTAAACACAACCACTTCTTTTCTCCCAAATCTCTCTATGTAGAAGTTTAAAAATATATCATAAGCACTTTGCTCATGTACTATTGTAATGTAAAACTACATTTAGCACTTATAGAATATACTTTATACATAGAAACAGGCACTTTTACTATTTTTCTCCTGCTTTCCAAGTAGAATGCATTTGAACACTGGCATATGCACTACATTTTGTTATCATATTCATAGGGTGATATTGAATTTCCAGTCCAGCCAGGCTGTGCCTATTTAGGCTTAGATAAGATGGAGCCCACCTCTGTAGACACTGACCGATGAACTCATAATTAGCTCTGAACATGTAGGACCCCAGTCCACCAGTTAATTTTTAAGATTCCAACATCAACTTTAATATATGACCAGACAATTGTCCTGTAAATGTTAAGAGATCCTTCAATTCTCTGCTAGTTGCCAAGGTTAATAATGGTGATTTTTGTGGAGGGTATATGATTTGTTGGGCTAGAGGGGGCTTACTTGTCTTTGGGACTCATTTGCAAACCAAAAAAATGAAGTACTTTCCACCTATTCTAAAATGCATCTTTATACTCTCTACGAAGTAGTTACCATTATACCCATTTTACAAATGAGGAAAGAATCCAGAGATATTAAATAAGCAGCCAATGCCACAGTTAATAAGTGGCAGAGCTGGGATTCTACTTTATGTCTGCCTCATTTCAATGCCTGTGTTTTAAGGCCAAAGTTGACCTAGTCATTTACTCCTGTGTGTAGACTCTTCCCCTTCTAATTAGCAAAGTGCATTTTTATGGCGGTCACCCAGGATTGGGGTTGTGTTGGGAGACTAGAAGTCACTAGCATGTGCCCATTGACATCTCTATACCTTCTTAATGAAAGAAGCTGCTGGGGCTGCTCTTGAGGTATGACTACGGCTTGTAAAACAGTACACGCTCACGGTAAGAATGTCTAACTTAGGTGACTTCAGCATTACACAATTGGCAACTACAACCCCCCAAAAGGCATGGGGGAATTAGTTTTAATAGTGCCAGTCATTCCACCTGCCATTGCATGTGGAGTGAGAGTGAGGTGGGAGCTGGCAATCTGCTATTCCCTCAGCCAGTCTTGGCTAACTTGCCTTGTGAGTCTGTTGTTTAAAGATAAGTATTTAGCCATCATCATCATCATTAATAGTATCTTGAGAGAAAACATTTGCAATTTTTTCTCTTTTTGAGATGGAGTCTCACTCTGTTGCCCAGGCTGGAGTGCAGTGGCTCAATCTCGGCTCACTGCAACCTCCATCTCCTGGGCTCAAGCAATTCTCCTGCCTCAGCCTCCTGAGTAGCTGGGATTACAGGCACGCACAGCCGCATCCAGCTAATTTTTTGTATTTTTAGTAGAGACGGGGTTTCACCATGTTGCCCAGGCTGGTCTTGAATTCCTGACTTCAGGTTATCCACCCATCTCTCGGCCTCCCAAAGTGCTGGGATTACAGGAGTGAGCCACCGCACCTGGTCAATGTTTGCAATTTTAACACCATCACAGAACAGAAGTGGCAGTTACATAATAAATACATTCATGAGCTTTCTATGATGTTTTCACCCACCCAAAGGCTAGATAAAATTTATGAAATTGTTTGTCTGTGGGAAGGAAAACATGTTGGGATGCTATACTGAGAGCACTCACATGTCATCTCCATGAACTCAGGCCACCTAACTAACAACGGACAAACTCTCATCAAGTAACACTTAACAAAGTGTGTGTGTGAGAGAAGGAGCGAATGCAACCAGGGCCACAATGCCTGAGAACTGTGATTGGACAGAGCCAAGACTGATTAAGAAGCTTACACAAGAAGCTTAAACAAGAGAAACTGCAAGTAAGTGTCCTGCAGTCCCCCTGTGCCCAGAGCAGACATCGCTAATCAATCTTGCCTCTAAACATGCAAGGCCAGTGAGACTATTAATAATCCAGCTTTAGAGAAGTGTATGTTTCTATCTAATGTTGTCTGGTCTTAAGCCAGTTACTGGTCCAGTGCTCAGCTGAGTGGACAAGCTGTGAAGGGATTGGAGTTTGCTTATTGAAAGGGACAGCGACATGTTCTGTGATGCTCTGTGTTGCTGTAAAGAGATTCAGACTGTTTCTTTTGTTAGAAACAGAGATTAGAACAACAAAATGATAAACGGGGATTATTTTACATCATTGAAGTACATAAGAATAAGAAAAACACCTACCAAAAATATTGCGGAACACAATGCATGTGTGTCCATGTTTTGGGCCAGGGGAATGGGTTATGTTAAAATTGTGGGACTCTGGAGAGTTTCAGGTCCCTAGCCAATTGTATAGGGAAGGGAAGTCTTTAGCCTTCAGAAGCAATCATTGCCAAGAGGACACATCCCTCCATCCCCTATGACTTCCAAGACACATCAGACAAGAAATCTCCAACTTTGGAATAAAAACCAAAATCATCATCTCCCTCCTTCCCTTCTTTCTTCCCTCCCTTCCTTCCTTCCTTCCTCCCATCTCTCCACTCCTCCATCCTTCCATCCTTCCATTCCTCTTGCTTTCCCCAAGTGAAACATAGAAGACACTCTGAGCTTTTGTTTCAGACTTGAGGAAATAGATATGGGGTGAGCATAAATCCTACCCCCCTACCCCCTCACTCCACCCACCCCATTCCAGATCTCTCCTGTTTTCTGCTTGAAAATCTTTTAAGGAAAAAAAAAAAAGCTGGCAATTCCACCCTGAGAAGGAAAAGGGTTTAAATGCAAATGAGAGTTCAAGGTAACATTTGAGTGTGAATGGGTTTCATTCAGAGAATGCCAATCACTCAGCCATCACAAATGATTGACAAGAATTCAGGGGCTCCTGGCACCCAAGGAGTGCCTATAAGAGGTGCGGAAAGAGGGCAGAGAAAGGTTAGAGGTGAAGAAGACACATTCTGTGCCTTTCAAATTTGTCCAAGGGTTAGACCCTTGGACTTTAGTTGGAAATGGAGCCTGAAAGCCATTAGGTTTCTAGTAATGGTGAAGATATATTTTCTTAAATTTCAATTGTTTCAGAATTTGTTTCTATAGTGAAGATCTCTTCTTTATCTTGAGACTACCCCCAAGAAACCCTCAACAAGTATCACCCCTTGATACTTGCACCTCACAGTCATTTAACTAGATTGTGGCTAGACCCATTCTGGGATGCATAGCAGGTCATTTGGGGTAATTCTCACTTTTCACCTGAACAGCTACACATCACTATGCTAAAAATGAACCAACCCCTCTCACATTGTCAGGAGTCAAATTGATTTGTCTGTCAAGGCTGTCATAAAAGTCTGTGGCTCTGCAAGAGCATTCAGATTTTGCTTTATTAATGTCTGAAATATTGGAAAGAACATGTGGATTATTCATGGAAAACTGCAACCCCTGTGTGTTTTCTCCTCTCTTGGTCATCTTCATTATGAGTTGGTTTTGGCTTAAGGCATGCAAAATGAAGCCAGAATCTTTCGAAGCATACTCTATCTGGGAAGGTAAGACATTGGTGAAAACTAATGTATTCCAAATGAAAAACGAAAACAGAATTTCAGACTATCTACTGTTTAGAATCTAAACCCTTCCTTTTTCTCTTAATTGCAATTCTCTAAATATTTACTGAACATCTCCTATTTGTCAAGTGTGAGAGACTCCCAAATGAACTATATAAATATGACTTCTGTTCTCATGTGGCTTATTAGCTCAGAAAATGTAGTTGACTGCTGCAACTTCAAAGACATTTTTTTGGGAAGAGGCACATTCCTACTTGAAGTTCAGCATTGAAATTGGTTCCCTTTTGGGGGACCCCATTACATGGCACTGTTCACACATCACTCTCACTTGGAGAAACAATACTCTCCTACTCAAACCAAACTCCTTCTTTATCTGATGATTCCCCAAACAATTCCTCTACCCATGTTAACTAAGTTAGTGTTATTCTGACTCTAAAACGGAATAACAATCTTTTCACAATTCACCAAATTAAGTTAAGCATATCGTTGAAATTGTCTGAAGTGAAACTTCCTCTCATCCATGGATTTCCTAAATGACTGGAACCCCCCTGTCTGCTAATAAGCAATTTATAAAATTATCTAAGTTTGCAACCAATACTGGGCATAAAGTGATTGAAGGGTGACTAAACAGAGTATTGTTTCTCCAAGTAAGTGATGTGTGAACAGTGCCATGTAATGGAGTGCCCCAATATAGAACCAATTTCAATGCTGAATTTCAAGTAGGAATGTGCCTCTTCCCAAAAATATATCTTTGAATAATCTTCCCTTTACAAAGATCATAGGTGGATGAGAAGAAATTCAATTTCTTAAAAGGAGTGCAAGTTTTATCTCATTTCATTATCTTGGCAATCAATAGAGGCAAGAGACAGATAAATCCTAGGCAGACAAGGGAGGGTCCCTACGGAAACCCCACTTTCAAGCCAAAAACAGTTTAAAGCCTGAAAGTCAAGCTACAAGTCAGATCCATGGACCAGATTGAGAACCTGTCTTCCTATTTGGCATGCTTTCCATTGGCTGGCAGTTGGTAGATGAAGCTTGCCATCCTCCGACTGTACCCATCCTGAGGACCAAAAGATGTATTCCTGAGAGGTGGCCCATTCTATTTCTGCAGAAGAATATTGAGATTTTATTTCTCTTATGGAGCCCTCCCACATTAGAGGGGCTTCAAGTGGATCAGAAATCTAGGGCCCTCTCACTGCTGATTTACCTGCTTGGTCAGCCAACCTATTTCCCTCGGCTATTTCATACGTTCCCTTTGGGTGGCCTTTACAATGTATTACTGCCACTTCCCATGGGAGTAAAACTGAGGATAATAGTCTATTAGTTTCCTGATGGTATTTAATGGGAGACCCATTAGCTGTGAGGAAGTTCCTCTCTTTCCAGATGGTGGCATGGACACGGAGGACTAGAAAAGCATACTTAGAATCAGTATGAATGTTAACTGCTTTCCTCTTGCCCAGGTAAGTGAGCTCTTGTGCCTGAGGAGACAGATGTGTTCTCAACAATATCATTCAGGGTAATTATTGTATACCCTGCTTTATGGATCACTTGTTCTACAAAGGAAGTTCTGTCTGTAAAGAGAGTCCAGTCTGAGTTCTCTAAGGGGTTTTCCTTGAGGTCCTCTCTGGCTGCATAGGTTTGTACTACTATGTTTGCAATTATGTTCAAGCTCCCCAGCTTCCTCTGGGAGGAAGGTGGCTGGGTTTATGGAGAGACAGGTTCTTAATTGGACTGCAGATCCCTCTAATAGTACAGCTTGATGTTTGAGGAGGTGGTTATCCATCAGCCAGAAACTCCCCTTAGAAGACAGCAGTTCAGCCACATTATGTACAGTATAAGAGATTGTTATTCCCCACGGTTAGTAGTCTCTGGTAGCAGAAGGGCTACTGCTGCAACTGCCTGGATGCAGGTAAGCCATCTTTTAGCTATCAAATCAAGCTCCTTACTTAAGTAGCCTACAGGCTGCTGGGCTGGACCTCAGGCCTGAGTTAGAACTCCCAGGGCCATTCCCTTCCTTTATGACACAAAGATTAAATGTCTTCCCTATGGGAAGACTAAGGGCTGGTGCCTCAAGCAAGTCTTGTTTTAACTGGTCAAAGGCCTTTTTAGCCTCTGGTTCCCAAATTAGGGAGTGTGTTTTAGCTGCCTGAGTCTCCTTTATCAGGTGATATAAGGGACAAGCTACTTCACTGTAGCCAGGTGTCCATAGTCTGCAGAATCCTGTAATGCCCAAGAATCCCCTCAGTTGCTTGAGGGTTTGGGGGAGGGGAAAGGAGGAGATGCGCTGAATCCTTTCTTTGCCCAATGCCCGTGTCCCTTATGACAAGACCAGACCTAGACACTTCACTGAAGTCTGACAGAGCTGAGCCTTAGATTTTGAGACCTTATAGCCTCTGTTATCCAGAAAATTAAGAAGAGCCTTACTACCCTCCTGAGAGATTTCCTTAGTTTGGGCACAGAGGAGAATGTCACCTATGTATTGTAAAACTTTAACCTGAGGATAAAAGAATTCAGAGAGGTCTTTGGACAATGCCTGCCCAAACAGGTGGGGGCTTTCTCAGAATCTCTGAGGTAACACCATCCAGGTTAGCTGGGTGGTCTGGCTGGAGGAATCCTCGAATATGCAAACAAATACTGTGAGTTGAGGTGTAACAGTATGCAGAAACAGGCTTCTTTTAGGTCTAGAGCTGTGAACCACTAAGTTCCTTCAGGTATTGGAGGTAGCTGGGCTTAGGGATTGGGAGCCACTGGATGAATTGGAACCACAGCCTTATTAACAAGGCAGAGGTCTTGGACCAGTCTCTCTTCCCCATTGGGTTTCTGTACCTCCAATACTAGGGTATTACAAGAGCTGTTGCAGGGTTTGAGGAGGCCCTGCATCCTCAAGTTATCAATGATGGCTTCCAGTTCTTTCCTATAATAACTTCTGATTTCAGGGGATATTGTCTCTGGTTAGGGAAGGAGGTTAAGGTGGATCCAGACCTGTGTGGCAGTTGTGACTCGGCCAATTTTCCCTTGAGTTGCCCAAACTTCTGGGTTAAGATCGGTCTCCTCTAGGGGGAGACAAAGAGTCTGTCCTGGAGCCATAAGGATGGTGGTTCCCACATGAGCCAAAAATATCCCTACCCAACAGGCATGATTAAAAAGACATGGGTAAACAAGAGGTCTCCCCAACTAAAACTAAGGGCCTGAGAAAAATATTGAGCTAAAGGCTTTCCTGAGATGCCCCTCATGGTCATCAGACAGGAGAGGAGCCCAGATTGTAGAGGAGAACTGAAAAGCTTGCTCCAGTGTCCAGGAGGAGCTCCGCCTTCCTCCCTTTGACTTCCAGAATCACCTGAGGCTCCTGTATGGTAATGGTGGTCTGGACCACTGGAGCCAGGGAGAGAATCCCTGAGACCCATCAGTCCTGTTGGACCATTTGGGAGATTGGCTCTGGGCCTGGTGACCTGTGTCTCCAGGGACAGCCCACCCTCCAGTGGTCCCCACTGCAGATTGGACAGGGTCAAGGTGGCTTCCTCATGCTGTCTAGATAGTCCTTCCTAAAATAGCCTGGCTTGTCACATTTGTAGCAGTTAACAGGTACATCCCAGGGATTCTGGGATTTGTCTTTTTTCTCTCTCTTGGGCCTCCTCCCTATCTCTGTTTTAAAAGACCAAGGTGGCCACTTTCAGGAGGCTCTCTAAAACACTATATGGTCCTATGGCCTGTTTCTGCAGCTTCATCCTGATATTAGGGGCTGCCTAAGTAATAAATTTATCCTTTGGAATTAGTTGTCCCTCAACTAAATCAGGAGATAGAGAGGTGTGCTTTACCGAGGCCCCTCTTAGCCTTTCCGGGAAGGCAGTTGGATTCTCATCTAATCCCTGGTCTATCATGGATAGTTGGAAGTAGTTGAGAGGCTTAGTTCTAGTCCTTTGTAAGCTTTCCAGCATGCACACCTGAAAGTGTTTCTTCTTCCATTCTCCCAATTCATCACTGGGATTCCATTTAGGGTCCTCCAATGGTACTGCTACTTTTCCAGTTGGATAAGGCTCTTCCCCTTTCCTAACACTATATGAGAGACAAAGCTTATCCCCAAATTTCTCTGCCACTTGCAGAGTGGGCTGCTTCTCAGTGTTAGTCAGTGTTTAATTCAAAAGTAACATAACATCTTTCCAGGAGAGTTCAAATACTTGGGTTAAATTCTGGAAAGCCTCTATATACCTGTCAGGGTCATCTGAAAATTTGCCAAGATCCCCCTTAATTTGCCTGAAGTCCTGTAGAGAGAAGGGCACCTGGATCTTATTGGGGCCAGATTCCCCAGGCGTCTGTTGGAGGAGCAAGAGTGAGACTGGGTCTTGTATAGGGTGAAGATTTCTAGGAGGGGGCAAGCAAGAGAGAGAAACTGGATAGGGAGGACAGGGTGGACCCAGAGAAGAGCAGGGCCAAAGGGAGCTGGCTCCCCTGCTGGAGGTGCCTCTGGAGTTTGTTTCTCTAGTTCCCTGGGATTGCCCCTTGTAGCCTCTCCTGAGATGGCCGGTAGGAGGGCTGGATCAATCCTACAGTCTCAGTAAAGATCTGAATTTCCCTGCAAGGCAAAGAAAGCCTGCATATATGGGACCTCAGACCATCTGCCCTCAGATTTACAGAAAAGGTCCAACTGCAGGATGATGTTGAAATGAATGGTTCCTTCCTAAGGCCAAGCCAGTCCTTTCTGCAAATTATAATTTGGCCAAACCCTTTGTGCAAAGGGCTATAAGGCATTTTTTCCCCAGAGTCTGAGTGTCAAAGCATTCCCAGTGATTCAGGATACACTCCAGAGGAGTGTAGACTGAAGATGGTTGATAGCCCATCTGAAAGAGAGAGAAAAAGACATCCCTTAGATCCTTTATCTCTTTCACCTCTTCTCAGGGGTATGTAAGGGAGAGGAAAAAAGGGTGTCCCTGTTTTTTTCTTCCATCTTTTTATCCCTGAGTTCTGGAGACCTAGGTGGGTGCTGCCCATGGGTACCAGTGTGACCCTCCCCCAAGAAGCAGGGAGTCTAGAGGGTAGGAATTATTTGCACTCACCTCACACTGCCTATCCTCCCTGCTGTTGGCAACCTTTGAGTTCCCTAGACCTCATCTATGCCATGGATACAAGCACGGCCTCCTTCCTTGAAGTGGAGGCTGAATTGAAAGGAATTAGTCCTGCCCATCTACACTGTGCCCCTTGACTTCCATTGTTATCTGCCTTTGGATCCCTCAGATCTAGTTTTCCTTTATAGGGCTTCAACCTGAAGCTTGGAATTGAGTTTGAGACAAAAAGGGCCTCAGGAGAGTGCATGGATTCATTTAAATTAAGTTCCAGGAGGCCCTTGTCAAATTTGCAGCCAGCAGCCAGTGGGCTGCTCCTCCACTGCTTCCCTATCATAAGCAGAGTGCTCAGGTAAAGCTGTGGAACCAGGCCCTCATCAAACAAGGGAGAGAATAAAAGTCTCATGAATTGGGGGCCTGGCCTAGTAAGATGCCTCCCAAAAGGAAAAAAAAAAAAAAAAACAGAAAACCTCTCATGTAGAAAAGCTCCCTGTATTTGTAGGGCTATGTGAACTCCTGACATGGGGGAAAACAGGAAAAATCAAAAAAACAACTTAAGTGCGGGGGGAAAGGTGCCTGACGGGGAAAGACTCTTGCTCTATGTAAACGGGTTCCTTCAACAGGAAAAAAAAAAAACCTCCTAATCCCTGTATCATCCTTGCCTCTAAGAAGAGACAGAAACTGCATTGTTCTGAATTGCATATCTGATGGCTGGGCCAAATATTCATTCTACCCAGTAATATCTATAGTTTGCAGCAACACACCTTTAACAGTATGAAAGGAGAGATAGGAGCCATTTTAATCCATGAAAGAAAGATGAAAAAATACCATGGAGAAGTCTGGGGGTCTTGGCCAATGTCCTAACAAGTGGTCAGGGACCAGAGCTGGTCTGGGGGCCTTATAACAACACTGAGGTGTGGCCTTCTCCAGATGCCTTCAGTTGCTGCAGGACCTTATTCTGATCCCACATGGCAGCTAGACCTCTGTGAGGAGAAACAAAGCCAACATCCTTTCACCTGAAAGAGAAAGGCGGTGGGGGGCAGGGTCACATCCTGTCCTCTGTACCTGAGCCATCTACTCTTAACTGACGAATCAGAGTTTCAGTGCTTCATCTGCCTTCAGAAGAAAGTCTGAGGACAAGAAGTCTTGGGAAAAAAGTGAAGAGTCAGGTCCGCATTCGCTCACCCTTCCAATGATCCCAGATGAACCCCCAGAAATGACACAGAATTTTTCTTGGCCCCTTTGCCAGACTTGCAATAGGTGGGGCCTCATCTACTTGGCCTGCCACTCTCAGCCCGTCAAGAGGGAACACATGAGTGAGTGAGTGCAGGGTCCGGACGACCACTGCAAGTGCTGACACAGGAGCAAGCTCTGTGCAGGTTCTGCAGCCAGACTAAGCATGTCTCCCAAGGGGAATACAACAATGCCCAGGCAGGGGTTCCCACAACCCTAAAGCCCCAGAGGAGGTGTTACAGTGTGCTAATTAGCTCTTTTAGTTTCGCCATCCACAGCCCAATGGAGAGCAGATTGTTAGTAGCTCAGTCAGCCTCTTGCCCCACTCTGGCCCATGGCTCCAGGACTGGCATGCCTCCAAGACTGGCTTGGCTCCACCACTGCTTATGTTGCATGGGGCGGCTGCCCTCTGCCAGTGAGGGCAGAGGGCCACTGTTACAGCATTTCTGGGTACCCATGTTTGGTGGGTCCTGAGCTATTGTCTTGCATCCAAGAAGAATGAGGTCATGCTGACAATTGAAGGGTGGTGAAGGGAGAGAATTTTATTGAGCAACGCAACATCTCTCAGTCGAGAGAGAATGGGAAGGTCGGGTCATCTCTCCCGAAGTCAGGTCATCTTCCCAGTGTGGCTGAGTCTGGGGTTTTTGTAGGCACAGGATAAAAGAGTGTGTGCTGATTGGTCTGTGAGTATGCAAAAAAGGTTAAAACAAAAGCACCAATCAGAGGCAGGCACAGTGTAAATACAATTAGGGAGGGGTAGGTATACATAAAATAGGTGAAGGGTGGGGATCAATGAAAAGAACGTGTGCCAAACAGGAAGACATGTTCTCAATCCAGTTCATGGATTTGGCTTGTAGCTTGGTCTTCAGGCTTTAAACTGTCTTTCGCTTGAAGGTGGGGTTTCACTGGGGATGCACTCCTGCCTGCCTAGGATTTCTCTGCCTCCTGCCTCTGTCACAATTATATAAAACTATTATTATCCCCATTTTACAGATGAGGGCAATGAGGCACAGGAAGGTTGGGTACATTTTGCCCCAGATCACATCATGAATGAGTGACAGGACCAGGATGTGCACCCCTGCACTGAGGAGTGAAATGAATCCTGCTCAGATTGGACCTGGTTCTTATCTATGAATGTGTATTAGAATTGTCTGAGGAGCTTTTCCAAAATGCTTTTACCTGGACTCGATCCCTGTGGATTCTGATTTAATTGATTGGAAGTAGGTAAGATCACATTTTAAGAAAGTGTTAGAGAGAGAACTACAGCAATTGACATAACCAGGTTTCTTTTTTTTATATGTAGGGAAATAAAGCTTTCTAAATAAATCCGTTGGCTAAATATTCAGAACATCATTCAGAACACAAACATTTTACTTTGGGTAAGTGTATAATCAGAGGTAGAATCTTCTAATAAAGGCCTTGGGGTAAGAAGAAGGCTTTCTGAGACAAATCAGATAATCACATGGCACCAGCACAATTTGGTCCACAGAAGGGCAACTGGATCCTACCACACCTGGCAGCAACCACGACACAAGGTATACTGGGTGACCTTTTCCACAAGGTCCTCTGAGTGCAGAATAGACTTCACAGCAAAGTCACTGTGCATTCCTTGGCATGTAGTGTTCATCTATTGCAAGAATATACTCTATGCCAATTCTCTACATCAGTTATGGGTTCAGTTATTTTGCTTTAAAAATTATGGAAGAGGCAGATCACAAGGTCAGGAGATTGAGACCATCCTGGCTAACATGGTGAAACCCCATCTCCACTAAAAATACAAAATAATTAGCCGGGCGTGGTACAGGCGCCTGTGTCCCAGCTACTTGGGAGGCTGAGGCAGGAGAATGGCGTGAACCCAGGAGGTGGAGCTTGCAATGAGCCGAGATCGTGCCACTGCACTCCAGCCTGGGCAAGAGAGTGAGACTCCTTCTCAAAAAAAAAAAAAAAAAAAAAATTTTGGAAGAAAACATGTTTGAGGTATAATTTTATAACATAAAATTATAAACAAAAGTTTAAACTTCCTATTCAACTATCAGCCAAGATTTTAGTACTATCTCAGCCACACTAAATGTTACAGGTGCTCTAAGTAAACAAAGAAAAAAATGATTTTCATAGTGAGGAATAAAATTTCAAGCCACAAAACTTTGACTTGACCATGGTATTTGATGAGAATAGGTGGAATAAAATGATCTTGTTGTCCTAGGTATTTGAAAATCCAGTGTACTGGCTGTTACCCTTATGAGCAAAGATAAGAAAGAGAAGTCTAGAAAATACATTTATGTTTAGGTGAGCCCAGGAGCACAATGAACAGACAGCATGAGGCGAACAGGGCAGAAAAACTGTTGAGTTTAAATCTGTACAGTTTCTGTTTCTTGTCATCAGAAAAAATCACAGTTCTTCCAATGTTTATAGAAAATGTGCACAAGTATGTCTCTAAGACATTCAACTTCAGACTTGAGGCTTTATTTAATTGCTCAGGGATATAATTTTCAACTTCAGAGCATGTATTGACCACAAAATTTGAAGAGTCTATTTGTTGCAGAACACCTAAGCAATAAAAGCAACTCACCAGCTTCTTTGGTTGGGTAGAAAACTATCAATTGTCTGAGTCTAGCTTTATCCTTGCTGACTGTTAGAAAGTACCTCCAGAAAGTGATGAAATGCATTTGAATGTGGCTAGTGCAACTGCGGAGCTGAATTTTTAATTTTGTTGAATTATAATTAATTTAAAGTTAAATAGCCACATTAGTGGCTGCTGTATTAGACAGCACAGATCCAGGCTGTTTCAACCCAAACACAGTGCTTAGTAATCACTCTTTCACAAAAGCCAATAGATTAATTTTGTTTGTTGTTGTTAACAAGTTTTTATTTCCTGTGGTTGGGATTTTACATTAGGTATATATAATAAGTCATGATTCCTGCTAATCAAATTACTTGATGTTCATAAAATTAGGTGAGATGTAGGAATCGTTTCTGCTGTATTACAATATTGAAAGTACAAAGACTTTCAGAGAGTCCGTGTCTGAAACAAATTGAGAACCCGTGGACTAATGTGTAGGCATCCCCTTTCCATAATTTTGGTAGGAAACAAAACTTTGTCCCTCCAGATTCACTAATAAAGTAAGGACTTTTTTATTTGCTTTGAAAAATTATTCTTGGGGTTCATCCTTTACATTCACATCAGCCCTTTGTCTTACCCACATATAGACCTACGAATATTTTTACAGTAACCTAATAATTTGTTAATTTAATTTTTGCATTACTTTGAAAGTTCATTGAAGTATAGCATGCATAGGAAAGGTGCACAAATCATGTCTGTATGCGTCCAGGACTTTTTATAGTATTGTTAATTAATCATTTTATTCTGAGTTTAAACAAGGTGAATAAATTTCTAAGGATTGGTGAATGCAATAAATCCTTAAAGGAATCTCCTGGAAGCGGTTGTGGAAGAGCTCTAAGACTATCCCTACTTCTAGCTACTTCTCTCCTTCCAAAATTCTTATGTCACTCACTCACACCCACGTCTGTATCTCTGCATTTACAATGGGTTACTTACTTCCCACTTCTCCAGAATAAAGGTCAAAGACATTTGGGTTGTGATGTGACTGCATCTCGTCTTCAACCATTGGAATCTATTTTCATACAAATAACTACCTAAATTCCAGGTGCTGAATTCTCCAAAAAAAGCCGGGGTCTTTTGAAGAATTAATACATTCAGCCAACTGAACATCTAAATATTTTTCTTCTTTATTTGGTTTTGGTAGTTCCCTTTCTCTCTCTCTCCTTTTCTCTCTTTAAGGTTTTGCAGGCTGTAATAATTTCTGTTACTGAATATATTTCATTTTAATTTTTTAAATGCTCTTCTAATTTGAATTTAGGCCTTCATGCAGATTTGTCGCCTGGGCTGTTTTTGAAATATATGGTTTTAAATGCATGAAGCTCATCCTTTAAAAATGATTTGCGAGTGTACATTTGAAAATGGTTAATGCTTATTTATTACAAATGGAATAATTACAGCTAATGGAACAGTGCCATTTAACATCAGTATAGTGGTGTGGGGGAGCTTGATAATTAGCAGCTCCATAAGTGCCTTTTTTTAGCTTATGAAATGACAGCCACAGAACACCTTTCCATGAAATGTCTCCATGTACTAAATTCTCTCTTGCTTATCTTATTGGCTGTCGATGACTGATTTGGGGGGAGGCATTTGGACTTAATTGATTTAATCAACACCTGAGTCCCTCTCTGACTTAGAATATAACCGTTATTTTTAAATATACAGGATCGAGTAAGCAACAGGATTTTTATATGCAAAAACTGAATTTCTAAAAGTTTCCAACTGCCAGAGGTGATAACGCCCCCTTTGGAACAGGCTGCTCTTCGAGATGGGAGAACTACAAATTGGTGTTTTGAATGACTGTGTTTCTTGTTATTGCCTCTTCTACCTAGAAAAGAGGGAAGAAATCACTTTTATTCTGGTCATTTACCATGCTCCTCAAATGATTTTTAGCAGTGATCCTAGAGTAAATAGAATTTGCATTTTGAATTTTCAACAGAAATCTAAACCACCTAATGGTTCAAGTTGTCCTTTTTAGCCTTTTGATTGTCAAGTGAAGGCCACTCCTTTATGTTCTCGTTTGAGACTCTAATATTGATGATTGTGATAAAAGTAAAAATTCTGTCTCCGTCAAAGAACTACCACTCTGATTTCATTTTCTCTCATATTCTAAGTTTGACTACAGCATTAACTAAGAAACTATATTAAGTGACGTTCAGGAAGAATAGCCTGTGGAGCTGCATTTAAAATTAAACTTCTCCAATGCATAAAGTTTATGTATTAAAGCTTATACAAAATATTGCATGTTCTTTCTCCTTCTCTTTGAACACTAAGAGATTGTGATACTGCACCTAATATCACCCTTAGAACTTCTACCGACATCAATAAGAAAGGAAATAACTGGTAATTTATTCTGAGTCGGGAAGACATTTTCTAAAATGCAGTGCAACCCTAATTTAGAGTAGAGGGAAAAGGGTTTAAATTAGGTTTTTTTTATGGTGGTAAGTATTTGCAGACAATGTCGAGATTTATGGATTAATTTGTTTTAAATTAACTTTTATAGGGTGACTAATAGTCCACAGGGATAAATCAGGCTTTCAATTGCCCATGATTTTTAGTCAAATCCTAGAGAGGAAATCATTTCTCTCAGGAAACGGGGACACAGTCTTTAGAGTGTGCAATGCAGTTTTTTGTTTTGTTTTGTTTTGTTTTGTTTTGTTTTTTTGTCAGTGTCCAGAGAAGATAAATAAGTTCTGGGCCTTGGGCAAAGATATTCACCACTGGCCCAAGATTTGATGTCACATTTCACTCAGAAAAGGAGAAAGACCCTGACCTCCACCCTGGCAGAGATCTTTCATCAGGGGATTTCACTGGGTAACTTACCAGTGGTGCCCAAACAGTGTTCCTACAGACAAATATTCTGCAATATGGATACATAAAGCTGTTTCCCTCTGTTCCCTTTAGTCTAAGAAACACTGATCAGATCCAAGAGCTGAAAACTAAAAATATTGGCATTTTGATGCTGTATTGTATCAGACTCTGCTATAAGGTACTCAGTATCAAGGTCAGAGGTGGCAAAAATTGTCTGCAAAATGTATGTATCTATGTATTTATCTATCCATTTATCTATCTGTCTATTCATTCAGTCACCCACCATACATCCATTCATTTATCCATTCATCTGTTTATACATTTCCTGAGCATCTACTACACACTTGACCTAATGCTAGCACCTAGAGAAGTGAATCAGATTTTGGACTAGACTGATTATGATTACATCTATTTTACCCATTGTAGGCATGTTTCATTAGCAAAATAATTTTATTAATGACATATTTAAATCTCACAAACAGCTGAAGAACACAATGAAAAGAACAGTATCTTCGTAACATATCTTTATAGACAACAGCCTGTATTCATAAGTTTAATTCTATCTAACTCTCTTCCAACTTAGACTATATTTAGATTGATCATTGCTTTCTCTCTGCAAATTTCAGCACATCATTCTGTGGTGTTCTGGCTTCCCTTGTTGCTGCCCAACTAAATGTTTTGTTTTGTATTGTGTTTTGTATGAAATCTGCCCTATCACTTCTTGCTGCTTTTAGGATTTCCCCTTTATCCTTGCTGTTCTCCAGTTTTTCCATAATGTGTTTTGGTCTTATTTTCTTGTATGTATCAAGCTTGCAAACTAGTTTCTTCCAGATCCTAAGGATTCAAGTGTCGCATTCGTTCTGGAAAATTATTCATTATTAACTTCAAATATTGTTTATCATGCTGTGTATTAACTCCTTCTGGGATTCAAAATAAACATAATTTAGGTCTTAGTCCTCCATGTCTGTTAACTTCTTTTTCCATACCTTGCATTTCTTGGTCTCTTTGGATCACGCTTTTCTAATTTCTTGTTAATTAATTTTCTTTTTAATGGCATCTATTCCTGGATCCATTCTTGAACTCATTTGTTGACTGTTTTTTTTCTATTTTGTAAAATAAGACTATTTAAAAGTGGTATTTGCTCTGATTTATCACAGCTGATCTTTTCATTGGATGTTAAGGATTTTTTGTATGTGAGCTGTGTGTGTTTGTGTGTGTGTGTGTGTGTGTGTAGACTTTTTTATTGAAGTACAACATTGTGTTAGTCCATTTTCACCCTGCTAATAAAGACATACCTGAGACTGGGCAATTTACAAAAGAAAGACGTTTATTGGAATTACAGTTCCACGTGGCTGGGGAGGCCTCACAATCATAGTGGAAGTTGAAAGGCATGTCTGACATGGCTGCAGACAAGAGAAGAGAGCTTGTGCAGGGAAAATTCCCTTTTTAAAACCATCAGATCTTTTGAGACTTATTCATGAGAACAGCACAGGAAAGACCTACCCCCATGATTCAATTATCTCCTACCGGGTCCCTCCCACAACACGTGGGAATTATGGGAGCTACAAGATGGTATTTAGGTGGGGACACAGAGCCAAATCATATAATTCCACCCCTGGCCCTCCCAAATCTCATATCTTCACATTTTAAAACAAATCATGCCTTCCCAAAGTCTTAGTTCATTTCAGCATTAACTCAAAAGTCCACAGTCCAATGTGTCATCTGAGACAAGGCAAATCCCTTCCACCTATGAGCCTGTAAAATCAAAAGCAAGTTATTACTTCCTAGATACAATGAGGATACAGGCATTGGGTAAATATAGCCATTCCAAATTGGAGAAATTGGCCAAAACGAAGGGGTTATAGGCCCCACGCAAGTCTGAAATCCAGCAGGGCAGTCAAATCTTAAAGCTCCAAAATGATCTCCTTTGACTTCATGTCTTGCATCCCGGTCATGCTGATGCAAGAAGTGGGTTCCCATGGTCTTGTGCAGCTCTGCCCCTGTGGCTTTGCAGGCTAGAGCCTCCCTCCCAGCTGCCTTCATGAGCTGGCGTTGAGTGTCAGCAGCTTTTCCAGGTGCATGGTGCAAGCTCTTGGTGGATCTACTATTCTGGTATCTGGAGGACGGTGGCCCTCTTCCCACAGCTCCACTAGGTGGCGCCCCAGTAGGATCTTTGTGCAGGGCTCCAACCTCACGTTTCCCTTCTGCGCTGCCCTAGAACAGGTTCTCCATGAGGACCCCAGCCCTACAGAAAATTTCTGCCTGGGCACCCAGATGTTTCCATACATCTTATGAAATCTAGGTGGAGATTCTCAAACTTCAATTCTTGACTTCTGTGCACTCTCAGGCTCAACACCATGTAAAAGCTGCCAAGACTTGAGGCTTGCACCCTGTGAAGCCATGTCCCGAGCTCTATGTTGGTCCCTTTCAACCACAGCTGGAGTGGCTGGGATGCAGGGCACCAAGTCCCTAGGCTGTACACATCCCGGGGAACCTGGGCCCGACCCATGAAACCACTTTATCCTCCTAGGCCTCCAGACCTGTGATGGGGGCTGCTGCAAAGGTCTCTGACATGCCCTGGAGACATCTTCCCCATTGTCTTGGTGATTAACATTCCTCAACTTGTTACTTATGCAAATTTCTGCAGCCAGCTTGAATTTTTCCTCAGAAAATGGGATTTTCTTTTCTTTTGCATTGACAGGCTGCAAATTTTCCAAACTTTTATGCTCTGCTTCCCTTTTAAAACTGAATAGCTTTTAAAACACCCAAGTCACCTATTGAATGCTTTGCTGCTTAGAAATTTCTTCTACCAGACGCCCTAAATTATCTCTTGCAAGTTCAAAGTTCCACAAATCTCTACGGCAGGGGCAAAATGCCACCAGTCTCTTTGCTAAAACATAACAAGAGTTATCTTTGCTTCAGTTCCCAACAAGTTCCTCATCTCCATCTGAGACCTCCTCAGCCTGGACCTTATTGTTCATATCACTATCAGCATTTTTGTCAAAGCCATTCAACAAGTCTCTAGGAAGTTCCAAACTTTCCCACTTTTTCCTGTCTCCTTCTGAGCCCCTCAAACTGTTCCAACCTCTGCCTGTTACACAGTTACAAAGTCACTTCCACATTTTTGGGTGTCTTTTTAGCAACGCTCTACTCTACCAGTACCAATTTACTGCATTAGTCCATTTTCACACTGCTAATAAAGACATACCCAAGACTGGGCAATTTACAAAAGAAAGAAATTTATCAGACTATGGTTCCATGTGGCTGGGGAGGCCTCACAATCATGGCGGAAGGTGAAAGGCATGTCTCACATGGTGGCAGGCAAGAGAAGAGCACCGTTTGTGCAGGGAAAATCCCCTTTTTAAAACCATCAGATCTTGTGAGACTTATTCACTACCACAAGAACAGCACAGGAAAGACCCGTCCCCATGATTCAGGTATCTCCCATTGGGTCCCTCCCACAATACATGGGAATTATGGGAGCCACAAGATGAGATTTGGGTGGGGACACAGAGCCAAACCATATCAAACAGACATTTCAAAACCAATCATGCCTTCCCAACAGTCCCCCAAAGTCTTAACTCATTTCAGCATTAACTCAAAAATTCACAGTCCAATGTCTCATTTGAGACAAGATGAATCTGTTCCACCTATGAGCCTGTAAAATCAAAAGCAAGTTATTTACTTCCTAGATAAAATAGGGGTACAGCCATTGGGTAAATGCAGCCATTCCAAATGGGAGATATTGGCCAAAACAAAGGGGCTACAGGCCCCATGTAAGTCTGAAATCCAGCAGGACAGTCAAATCTTAAAGCTCCAAAATGATCTCCTTCGACTCCATGTCTCACATCCCAGTCATGCTGATGCAAGAGGTGGGTTTCCATGGTGAACCCACCATGGTGAAAGGCATGATTGGTAAAATGCAGAAATCTTAAATTTATAACTAGATGAATTTTCATAAAATGAACACACATTTATAACCATTATAAATAGTGCTGCTATAAAGTTTCTTGCACATTTATTTTGGTGAGCATATGTTGAGCATTTTTATTGGGTTTATACCTAAAGAATTTGCTTTGTCATAGGGTACATGTTTTTCAGCTTTAGTGAATGCTGCCAAACAGTTTTCCAAAGTGGTTTTACCAATTTGCAGTCCTCTCAGTATGTGAGAATTCCAACAAATCCATATTCTCTTATACTATTTAACTTCAAGTATTACAATTTCTGAAAGATCTATTTGATTATTTTATTTGAAAATTCTGTTTTATTCCTTTCAAATCTGCCTATTCCTTAGACATATTTTCAAACCATCTCTTATTTTTATAATCATGTTAAACATTCTTATCCATACTCTTTAAAGTTCTGGTCTTCATCCATTTGACTCAGCAATTTGTTTCCTTATTTATTTCATGATTTCTTTTAAAATCATGAGCTTATTTTTAATAACACTTAAGTGTGGGAATTCTTTGAAGTCTGAGTTACAGGTACATTCCCCCAGGTAGGATTTGCATTTGTATTTATCAGGTGCCTGGAAGCGCCCCCAGCTTGGGAGAATAGGCTAAAATTCATAAGGCCAAGCCTGTGGTTATGAGCCTATAGAGGAATTTTTTCCCCCTTCCATTCAAAACCAATATTGAAAGAAATTTTCTCATATCTTTTTCTATGAGCCAGGCTTTCTCCCTCATTCACCCTTTCACTGAGTTACAGTATTATCCTTTGAGGTCTCGGCCTAATGCTAAGAGCCTAGTGAAGTCGTCTTCTATCAAATTAACCTCTGTGTGCCAGCTCTAATCTCTTGACCCCTCTTCTCTACACATCTGATAAAGTAAAATCTGTTGGTCACATGCAAAGAATGAACAGCCGTCCCCAAGCCTCCCTTACTTTGCCTTACCTCTCTGGGTTTGTGCTTTCACTCCAGTTTCTTTCTCTAAAAGTAGCGCTTAATTTCTTATCAGCTTAGCCGTGAATTCAAAACAGATCTTTAAAATTTTCATCCAGCATTATGTATTATTTTTCAGGGGGAAAATTGTTTAGAAGACACCTCTTAAAATGTGGTCTAGCAGCTTTGAGTGTCTCTGAGGCCTTTTCTAGGGTTTGCTAGGTCAAAGTTATATTCACAATAATAAAAAGATTTGATTTGCATTTTTCACTCTTACTGCCTCCTGAGAGTACAGTGGAGTACAATGGTAATATGACGTGTGTTGATGTCATCATTCTGACAGCTAATGGAATGTATGCTTTGCGTTCTTGTGATTTAAAAAAAAAACCTCTCAGCTTTAATTTCTAGCATGGTACGTATTGATTAGTATAATTCATATAACAGAAATTCTTTGGGGTTCTTAATAATTTTTAGGAACATAAAGGGATTCTGAGTTCAGGAAGCTAGAGAAGTGCTGATTTGGGGTATCCTTTGTGCTAAATTGTGAAAAATGAAATTCCTCAAATGCCAAAATATAGAACATCATCAATGTGTGCTATAAACAATCACGAGGTGGAGAAGATCTAAGTTAAGCTGCTGTAGAAGGCTGTATGCAAATATGTTCCTAAGACCATGAGTTCCTCCAGAGCAAGAATCTTCTGAAGTAAGAAGCCAGGCTTTATCATGCACCATGAGCTCCTGAGAAGGAATTCAGCATTTCTGAGTCACAGTTTCCTCAACTACTTAATGTAGAAACATAAGAAACATAGTTCTTCCTCCAAATGTTGCACCTATAATGTAAGATGATAGCAAAATCAGTCTTGGGTCTTTGTAAGGTTTCATATTGTTGAAAATAAAGGTTTTTCAAAACTAACAAAGATGATTGACTCAGATTTCCTTCTTAGGTAAAAATGACCAGAATTTAAACCTGGGCAGTAAATTTAACTGGTATTTTAAAGAGCAATATGCAGTAGTAACTGTCCTCTACTATGGCCTACACTTTGACCAGTGTTAAAATAATGAGCCATCTTAATGTTACTAAAGGAAGAATAAATGTGACATTGGAGAGTCAGCTTGGTCTGATGGGAAGAAAACCACATTAAGGAGGCCTAAGTTCTAATCTTGTTCTGTGATATAACAGCTATATGACATCCCATGTTATGGTCGGATGTCATGCTGGTTACTCCCGATGAACCACATTTGTTATGCACCCTCTTGTGTAGTCCCCTCCCACCTTGTCTCTGGGCTCCTGTTGGGCAATGGGACATTAGCAAGTGTGATACAGCAGAGATTTGACAAATGCTCGCACATTAGGGCTTGTCCATTTGGAATGCTTCCACTTGTAAGGCAAAGAAACTCAGGCTAGATTATTGAATAATGAGTGTCACAGGAGAGAAACATTGAGGATGAGAGGTCACCTTGTATATTCCATTCCCGGGCTCCCAGTTGAGTGCAAGTCCATGAGTGACCTCAGTCCCTACCAAATAGAGCAAAAGTACTGCCCATATGAACCCATTCAACCCACAGAATTGTGAGAAATAATAAACCATTGTTGTTTTAAGTCACTATGTTTTGAGATGGTCTGTTACACAGTTATAGATAACACATTCTAACCACTTGTCTCTAAAACTTTTTATTTTTCATTGTTTTTTTAAAAAGATAGGGTCTCACTCTGTCACCCAGGTTGAAGTGCAGTAGTATAGCTCACTGCAGCCTTTAACTCCTGGGCTCAAGCAATCCTCCTACCTCAGCCTCCCAGTTAGCTGGGACTATAGGCACAAGCCACTGCTCTTGGCTTAAAAATGGAACGAAAAAAATAGGGGGGGGAATTTGCCCCACTCTTCTCAGAGGGCTTGTACAAATATCAAATGAGTTATGTGGCTACATCTGTGAAACTGGTTTGACTCTGTTGACTGACTTGACCAGTCAAATCAATCTCATTAGAGAAAAATAAAACCTTGTAACTGGATTTTTGACTGACTTGATTATTGTTTTGACCTCTCTGACTTTTTTTGGTTGAGTTCCACTTTTTTTAACTGAATAACTTGACTTTGTGGGTTTAGTCAGTCAAAATAATCAAAACAGTTCGGTGTATACAAACAGTCCATGTGTGATATTTTCTTCTTCTTTAACTTTAGTGGGAAATTATGTGACAGAGGGGCATATATGCATAGCAAATGTGGGTATAAACTTCTACTTCTAACTACCCAGTTTCAAATTACTATATAGATTATAGCAACATTTGTTTGATAATGAAAAAAATATAGTTAGTTTTTATTTCCCAATGGCATGCTACATTATAAGTCCATTAACAGTTGCATGTGTTATTGCTGTAATTCTAATAACTGCCATATATTATTATGGCAATAATAATGTAATTCTCATAGTATACAATATATAATTCATTGAACATTGCCAGAATTTATTTTTAAATTGTAAATTTGGCTTGCTTTTCAGCATAGAACTCCCTTCGTCCTGCTTTGGGAGTTTAGTCATATTCCTTTTGTTTGAAGAAGCTGTCAGAAGCGCATGTCTGAGATGAGTGCATGCAAGAGAATGTTGAAGCTTGGCAGTCATTAAAGTCCTGGGTTATAAGTGAAGTGAATGATTGGAATGCAGGTTGAGTAGGTCCATTCATATATGTCATATTGATACTACCAGAGCTGCTGACTAGGTGATTCAAATATAAGCCACTGTTATTGGAGTATTCGTAGATATTCTACTGTGCTTAAGGTTATGACAGATGAAGCTTTCCTTATGAATTGTCAAAAGGATCACAAACCCCTCTGCTACTTCTATTTCCATCACCAGTAGCTTGCTTTATTATTATTATTATTATTTCTTCTAATGCTCTTTGATTATAGTTCTTCAGAATTCTACATCACGAAGAAGCTATGCAAAATGCTCTTGAATTTCTTTGCCCGCTCCCCAGCTGGAATGATTCTAAACTATTCTGAGAAGATAGGGATCTATATTTTTCTTTTAGTAGTCCAAGTGAAAATCAAATACAAATGTAACAGTTATTTCCATTTCTTCAACCCATTTCATGATGTTCTTCTTGATTTATTTCCTAAATATAGTGTAACATAATTTAAACTATCAATAGGTATCACAGAAATACCTCAATTGCAGTGCATGTGTATTTACTTTGTTTAGTATAAAGTAAATCCCCCCTTATTGTGTTTAAACCAACTTACTTCAGTGTTGGGAGAGGAAACCCACCGTGGACCCTGAATGTCCCTTCACATTTTTGGTGGTAGTGCCAAATTACAAGCCTTATGTGACCTCTGGCCCGGTTCCCTTTCAATTGCTGGTTACTGAGGCAATTGGTATTAATACTTCAAGACCACCACAGCTGACTACCATACAGCTATCATACAGCATTTCTTTCCTTTCACTCAAAAAAGCCTTTTATTTAGATTTTTCTAATAATATCCCTTAATCATTTAGTTGTCTCTTCTCTAGATCTTTTCAAAATTTCAATGTCCCTCTTGAGTACAAAGTTGACTCTTAACAAAGCCTAACCAGTGTTCAACATAGAAGTGTGAACTAAAATTTCTGTCAGTTTAAATTACTCTTCATCATTGGTCAAATCAATGCTTGCTCTTTATCCTTTCATTTATTTGTTCTTTTCTCAGCCAGTTTTATTTATTCTTTTATTTATTCATCATTATTTTATTTATCCAACAAATGATTATTGAGTGCCCATGCACTCAATAACTAACCAATGGGTATACAAGTAACTTGGACGTGACTCTTAATTTTGGACACTTTGTTTCTCAAAGCTAGTCTGTATGCAAATCAAATGTCTTTTAGATCCGTATGCTGCAAGTAGAAAAAGCTAGACCAGATTTAAAGGACCTAAATGCCAGAATGTGGAGGTAGAAGTACCTGCTGAAGACTAGTTTTGAGTAGATTTATTCAGAAATGTTCATTTGATAGAAATGTCTAGAATTGATTAATGAAAATAGAAATAGTAAGTGGAATTTCTTTCAGGAGGTTATAATAACAAATATTCACATTTCCTCATTTGAAACTTTTGAGCCCAGATATATTCTGGATTCAGAATTTTCCAAAGTTTAGAAAGGTGCTACAAGGTATATATCAGATATTGAATAACACAGGGTTCTGGAGAAGCTCCCTATGGTCAAATGCCTCTATATTTCTCCAGATAAATTCAAACTACATATTATCAATGGTGTCTATAAAATCCTCCTGTCAGCTCATGTCACAAACAATTTTTAAAACACAAAAACTGGATTACCAGATCTTTCTGGGCTTCAGAACTGCAGATAAAGGTCTATCAATCTCTGGTCTGAGCAAGAGGAAATGTCCATGAATTAGTGAGGTAAAGAGGAAGAATGGATGTAAGAAATATTACAAAAGTAGCATTAGGGTGCTTGTCATTTTGTTACATATTTTGCAGGAAAAGATATGCCACAACAGTGACTCTGAGGTTTTGAGCCTGGGTGGCTGGGAGGACGGTGGTGTCATTAACAGAATAGAAAGGACATGGGGGGAGGGGACCACATGGTAGGAGCTGGGGAAGGAGGGAGATGATGATTAATTCAACTTGAAATATACAAATCTCCAGGACATTATGAACCTGCCTGAAATTAGCATGATTAAAGGTGCCTCTCACGGTGTTTTGGTGAGGATGTGATTTCTAACTAAATTAGAAATCAGTAGCCTTTCGCATATAAGCATATAACATATTTGATTAATCAAATTTGAAATTTGAATTCATCCAACCTAAGAAGTCATCCTAGACACTTTTTAAAAAAAAATGGCACAAATGGTGGTGGTATTTTAAAATTGGAAAAAAATTTTAAAGAGAATACATAAATTTCAAAATTCTATCTGGATTAAAATGGAGCTATTTTAATCTATTTCTGCAAAGCTACTTGTGACAGTAAATAAAGCATATGGCTCAGGTATAAAAACTATCTGACCCATTTTGGGTAATAACTACACATTAGATCAGTGACTTAAACATTATCATTTGTATGAGCTATCAACTGGCTAGACCTACAAATACTACAGTTTTTAAACAGGAGTCAAGTATGGCTTAAAATTATCAGAGAAATATTTGTTTTAACTCTCATGTACATTTCTAGAAATGTAGTAGCAATCTTATATCTGCAAATAGATACTGATAAAATGTTATTTACCTTATATGACATAGTTACCAAGGAACATTCCAATTTTTGCTGATGTTTTTAATGTCAGTCAATATGTCTCAAATGGTTTGCTTCTTTCACCACTGTCTATTTTTAAAGTCCCTTGATAGAGGTGAATGGATATATCTTGGGTTTGTAAAAACCATTCTTATCAAATTATGCCACTGGTTCTTCTCTTCAACAGCTCTCTTGCTACCTAGAAACCTTTACTTCCTCTTCTGCCTATACATAGAGGTACATCTTTAACTGTAAATTCTTTGGGTAGCCCCCTTGTCACCAAGTCTGTTGACCGATGGCAACTAAGCCACAGAAACAGTCCATCTGTGAGGAGGATGTGATACAGCCTGTGTAATCACAGAAGCATGGAGAAAGGGCTTAACGAGGAATGGGAGGTAAGTCCCCAAGCCCTGTATTTTAAGTCATTGTTCAAATGAAGAGAACTCTTGAATAATAAATCTATGCTTTTTTTTTCCTGGGAAGGTAGAGAAATTCAATATTAAACATATCTTCACATACATTATTTTGCTGTTAACTACATTTTCATTGAAATACATTTGACTATACTTTTAGGTAGGCTGATGCTCTCAGAAAGTGTTTTCAGAAAAGCAGAATTATTATTTGATAGAGCTGTTAAACGACCCTCTTTCATCCTGAAGTGGTTAATTTTTTTTTCAACATTTTAAACATTTTACTGTCATGACATACTGGAGTTTTTCTCCCTATCAAGGATATAGGATTAAGAAAATGCATTTCAATTATTAAAACAAAGGTCACAGAACATTCTGAGATGACTGTCTTCCAATGTAGAAGGCGACATTGTTTATATATTTAATAATACTGTAACAATGACAACCTTCTTGCTTTATAGTTAGAAAAACAGCAATGGCCCATGCATGCAAGGCAGAGGAAAATATTTTATTTTGTCCCAGAAGCCTTACTGCCTCACCTCTTGAGCACGGTCTACCAAAAAGAGCTTTAACCTTCTCACTGCTCAGATGTGGCCCAGGCTTAGGGGCGTGATCTTCAAGGCCCAGGTGACCGCTTGGCCGTAGATCTCCTTCACATGGAGGAAGGGAAAGAACCAGTGCATTTCAGTGACTTTATGCAATGCACACACTCGGGTGGACCAGGTTGAACCTTTGAGAACAGGATGAAAGGGCCTAGCAGCAGGAAAAATCAGGGCTACATTTAGGGAAAATGCCCCTGTAAAAGAATTGTGAGACCCTGGTGCATATTACCATAAGATTCAGTGGAATACCAGTATCTGGTGGTTTTAATGAATCAAATACAACAATTTTTGTAGGATAATTGATCTGAAGTGCTGCCCTGACACCGAGGAATGAATGACTCCACCTTTACACGTCTTTTCAGGCCCTTCAATTCTATGATTTGTGCATTATATTATTTAGAATAAATAATAAAGAACTGAATATGCTTTTTTCTATGTGTGGCATTAACCATCTTTGTGTGTTAATGTGGTACCTGCCAATTACTTGCATTAATGTAAATGGCTAAAATATACAAATTAAGTTATGAACATACTGTTACATTTAATGGATTAACTGAAAACCCATGAAGATTTCAAGAGTATATTAAATGCATAAAAACCATTTCCTTGATCTTGAATTTGTAGGCTATTTCTTTTTACCCAAAAAGTGTGTGTTCTTAGAGCCCTGAATGTGTTCTGAGTGTAGCAAAATAAATTTAATATATATTGATAAACATGTGATCACCAGACTACATGCTTTGGGAAGCTCCGTCACACTTAGTCATAGTAATCTAGGCACAGGTCAGCAAACTTTGTCTGTAGAGGGATAGACAGTAAATATTTGAGATTTTATTAGACTTAAGGTCCCTGTACAAACTACTTAACTCTGCCATTGCATCCTTATAATTTACAAATTAATGGGCAAGGTTGTATTCCAATAAAACTTTATTTACCCAAATAAGCAGCAAGCCACTTTTGGCCTATCAGTAGTGATTTGCCTACTCTTGATCTAGTGATAGGTATTATTACTGCTGTTTATGGATGATAGAAGGGAAACCCAGAGGGGTTATTTTAGTTACTCAGGGTCTCACAAGTAAGTGGGTTGTGTATTCAAATTAGTACCAGCTAAATTTATTTGAAAATATATTGATTCATAAACTCTAATAGTATTGTTTTGTGAGGTATTTGCATTCAATAATTATCTATTCCAATAACATTTAGATATTATTTCATTGTCTCTCTTGTTATTTATAAATATATTCAAATATTTAAATCAGTTACTCCAATAATTTTAGCTGGCAAAAAATCTGCAAATTTTTGTATTTTTTTAAATAGACTTAGGGAATACATGTGCACGTTGGTTACACGGATATATTGCATAATGGTAATGTTTGGGCTTCTAGCGTGCCCATCACCCAAATACTGAACATTATACCCAATGTTGATTGGGTGATGTTTCAACTCTCACTACCCTCCTACCCTCCCCAGTTTTACAGTCCCCACTGTCTGTTATTTCCCTCTGTATGTTCATGTGGTATTGTTTCACTCCCACCCACACGTGAAAACATGTGGTATTTGATTTTCTGTTTCTGAGTTATTGCACTTAGGATAATGGCCTCCAACTCCATCCATGCTGCTGCAAAAGACATTATTTTATTGTTTTTTTATGGCGGTATTGTATCCCATGTTGTATACATACCACATTTTTTTTATCCAATCATCCATTGATGGATACTTAGGTCAGTTGTATACTTTGCTATTGTGAATAGTGCTGCAATAAACATACAAATGCAGGGGTCTTTTTAACATAACAATTTATACTCTTTTAGATAGATATCCAGTAGTGAGATTTCAGGGTTGAATGGTACTTCCATTTTTAATTCTTTGAGAAATTTCCATAGAGTTTTCCATAAAGGTTGTACTAATTTACCTTCCCACCAACAGTGTATAAGCATTCCCTTTCCTCCACATCCTCACTGGCATCTCTCTCTCTCTCTCTCTTTTTTTTTTTTTTTTTTGACTTTTTAATAATAGCCTTTCTGACTAGTATGAAACGGTATCTCATTGTGGTTTTGATTTGCACTTCTCTGATGATTAGTGATGTTGAGCATGTTGACTTTTATTTCTTTCTCTTGCCTAACTTGCTCTAAGACTTCCAACGCTATGTTGAATAACAGTGGTGAAAGCAGACAACCTTGTCTTATTCCAGTTCTTAGGGAGAATGCTTTCACGTTTTCCCTATTCAGTAGAATCTTGGCTGTGGATTTGTCATAGGTGGCTTTTATAATTTGAGGTATGTTCCTTAGCAGCATGGTTTGTTAAGGGTTTTATTATAAGGAGGCATTGGATTTTATCGAATGCTTTTTCTTCATCTATTGAGATGATCATATGGCTTTTGTTTTAACTCTGTTTATGTGGCGAATCATATTTATTGATCTGCATATGTTAAACTATCCTGCATCCCTGTAACAAAACCCACTTGATCATGATGTAGCATCTTTTGATATGCTGTTGGACTTTGTTTGGTAGTATTTTTTTGAGGACTTTTGCATCTAAGTTCATGAAGGATATTGACCCATCATCTTTTTTGCTATGTTCTTGCCTGATTTTGGTATCAGGGTAATACTGGTTTCATAGACTGAGTTAGGGAGGAATTCCCCTCCTGAATTTTTTGGAGTAGTTTCAGTAAGATTGATACCAGCTTTTCTTTGTGGTCTGGTAAAATTTGTCTGTGAATTCATCTGGCCCATGGATTTTGGGGGGTATCTGTTTTTACTACTGATTCAATTTCATTCTTCATTATTGGTATGTTCAGGATTTCTATTTTTTCCTGGCTCAGTCTTAGAAGATTGTATATTTCCAAGAATTTATCCATTTCCTCTAGGTTTTCTAGTTTGTGCATATACAGATGTTCATTGTAGTCTGTAATTATCTTTCGTATTTCTGTGGTATCAGTTGTAATGTTATCTTTATCATTTCTGATTGTGTTTATTTGAATTTTCTTTCTTTTATCTTGGTTAGTCTAGCTTGAATTCTATCAATTTTGTTTATCTTTTCAAAGAAGTAACCTTTCGTTTACTTAATACTTTGTATAAATTTTGATCTCAATTTCTCTAATCTTTTTTTAAATTTCTTCAGTTAGCTTTGGTTTTCATTTGTTCTTGTTTTTCTAGCTCCTTGAGGTGTGACAGTAGGTTGCTAATTTGAGTTCCTTCTGTCTCTTTAGGTAGGCATTTAATGTTGTAAACATTCCACTTAGCACTAATTTTGCTGTATCCCAGAGGTTTTGATATGTTTTGTCTCTATTTTCATTTGTTTCAATTTTTTTTTATATCTGCCTTAATTTCAGCATTTTCCCAAAAATAATTCAGGAGCAAGTTGTTTAGTCTCCATGTTTTGTATAGTTTTGAGTATTCTTCTTGATGTTGATTTCTAATTTTATTCCACTGTGGTCTGAGAAGATACCTGGTATGATTTCATTTTTGTAATATATTGTACCTTGCTTTATGGACAAGCATATGGTCTATTTTGCAGAATGTTCCATGTGTAGATGAGAAAAATGTAAATCCTGAAGTTGCTAAGTAGACTGTTTTGTAAATGTCTAGTAGGTCATTTGGTCTCAAATCCAGCTTTTTACTTTTTCTTCTTGTCCCTCATAATGCCTATATCTCATAGGCTTGGTTGCTTTACATAATGCTACATTTCTTGAAGGCTGTGTTCATATTTTATAAATTCCTTTTTCTTTATTTTTGCCTGACTAGGTTAATTCAAAGGACTTGTCTTCAACTTGGAGATTCTTTCTTCTGCTTGGTCTAGTCTATTGATAAAAATTTCAGCTATGTTTTATAATTCCTTCCATGAATTTTTCATCTCCAGGAGTTCTATTTGGTTTTTTTAATTAATCTTTTTAGTAAGTTTTCATTCATATCCTGAATTGTTTTTCTGATTTCTTTGTGTTGGCTTTCAACTTTCTCTTGGGTCTCATTGAGCTTCCTTGCAATCCATATTTTGAATTCTCTACATTTCAGAATTTTCAGTTTGGTTAGGATCCATTGCTGGAGAGCTAGAGTGATCTGTTTGCAGTGTTGAAATATTTTTTGTACTGCCAGAGTTCTTACATTGTATCCTTCTCATCTGAGAGAGATGTCACTTCTTATTTTTGAGTTTGCTTAGTTTGAATGGGAACTTTTAATTATTTAGTCCTTTTCCCTCGAGGGTATGACTGTAATGTATGTTGTGTATAATCATTTGGCTTTGATTCTGGGTGCTTTCAGGTGTCCAAGGCTCTGTATAACTTCCTTGATTATAGATGGTTTTTGTGCAATGACTTCTCAAATACTGATTATTGTAGCAATATGTCAGGCATATGAGCCAACTCACTATCTTCTGAGAGGCTAGGAGTGAGGAGGTCTCAGGAAGCTTATCTCATTCCCTAGCATTATGCCCTTCTGTCAGTAGGTTTTTTTTTATTTGGTCACGCAGTTTATTCTCCAATACAATAGATAGCATTTACAAGTAAGAGCTGACTGATTCTTAGATATCTGACGACGAAGGAAGCACCTGCCCTAATGAAGGTGGCAGCAGGAGCTCAACATAGAATGTGCTGAGGTCTCCACAGAGGACGAGGAGACCAGGGAGGGGGTTGCAGTGGCCCTTTGTTCTGGGTAGGCAGGAACATGTTCCACTTCCATATCACCCCCCTGTCCCAGGGATCATGACCTTTAGTTCAGACAGACACTGTCCTTTATCTCTAGGCTGTAATGCAACTAGAGTCCACAGAAAATGGCTGTCTCCGGCCTAAAAACCCTTGGGGTGGAACCTCTTCTAAGCCCCAAACAGACAGCCCTAAGGCTGGTTCCTACCGTACTGCAGGAACACTGCTAGTCTGCATAGGGAGGGGGAGATGAGCCCCACCCTTCATGCAAGCCTGTGCTGGTAAGCTCATGTTAATTGGGGTGCAGCTGCCCCAAATAGCGCTGGAAAGGCTGTCTCCTAGGGCACCTGTGCCAACCTGCAGCAGGAAAAGCCACAGTTGCTTCTGCAGCAGTGGATGAGGGCAGAAGACCCTCTCTACAGGTCTGTTCCTGGCTGCCAGTGCCACCTCTTCACTGAAGTGAAACGATACTCACCACTTCAGAGATCAGCAATGCACCTGCATCTATGCTGCTCCCAGGTTAACTAAGTCATCTGCTGGTCATAAACAGCATGCTCTTGAGCAGGGGAGAGTATGTGATCCAGTTTCCTTCGTCCCAAGGAGTGCTTTGGTGAGCTGTAATTCCCCTTGCTCTAGGGGCAGCCCATGCTAAGGGCTAGATCTCCAGGGATCCTACAGTTCCTCAGGGTCCCACAGTCAGGGTGGGTTCTGATCAATGTTTGCAGGGCATCTAGTGATACAGAGACACAAGGGCTAAGATTCCCTGGGCAGGATAGTGGCCAACGACAGGTGCACAACCAGTATCTCACCCATCACCCTAGTTCAGATTTGAGGGGAGAATGAAAGAACTTCCATGAGCTGGCCATCTTGTGCTCTCCCCTCCAGAAGTCCCCAAATTGCTGTGGACAGCAGTCCACCTGAGTGCAGAGAAGTCCTCTGACAATTCAGCAGTCAGTAATATGTTGCAGAGGTGAAGGAGCAAAGAAACACCCCACCTACCTTTTCCACGGGACTCCAAGTTCCTCCGGGTCAATCTCTGCCAGACTCTTGCTGCCTTCTTTTTCTGTGTCCAAGCCTTTTCCCATGGGTTCTCTCACAGGTACAAACCATCTTCTATCAGCTTTCCACTTGGACCATGATCATTCGCCTGTAACTTTGGATCTTCTTTCTGAGGAGAACTGATATCTGGCATCTCTAGTCAGCCATTTACAATGACCAGTTTGTGGTAAAGGATTTACAAAGGATACCAATGAAGAGATACATAGGTTGAAGTGTGGAGGAAGGGACACGGGGCTTCCATGCCCTCCCTGGGTGCACCACCTCCAGGAACCTCCATGTGATTCTAGCATAGAAAATTAAGTAATATAATTCTTTACAAGAATTTAAGTAATAATATTCTTAATATTCTTCACAAGAATATTAAGTAACATAATTCTTCACAAGTAGTATAATTCTGGTCACAAGCAGGGTGCTTGTGAGAGTGTGCTATCTGGTTTCTAACAGGCTATTCTGAAAGTCCTAGATAAGGTAGATTTGCCACTAACTTCACACACGTCTTCTGTAGGGATCCGCCCTGCCCACAGCCATACTTGGTGTGTTGTGGTCTCTGTGACCCTGCCCCTTGCAAAAGCTGGTTGAACAAAGGGTGGGAACTTGACCTGTCTATATAGTTTCTGACACTTTATGGCTTACGTGATCTGGTGTGTATTGGAATGGACCCAATGGCTTCCTCTCTTGAAAACTTGGTCATCAAGAAACATAGGAAATTCTTGGTTGAAAAGAGTTACTAGAATTACCCTGATTTGATTAGACAAATGTATCAAATTATCACGTGGACCCTGAAGATATGTACATCTGATATGTATCGTTTTTCTTAAAGAGTTATAGAGCTGGAAGGTTATGGATGAAGGTTATCTGGGGCCCTAGAATAAGCATCAATAGAAGAATCTTGGGGCAGAGAGCAGGAGAGAAAGAGGGACAGCCCCTAATAAATAGAGAAACATCGATTACTAAATTTTCAGTTTCTGATTCCATTTCTTGTGAAGTCCAAGTGCTTTGAGAGGATGCATATCTGTGTTGTATCATTAAATCCCATTTGTTTAACTGTAGCTTGAGTGGGACTCTGTTTCTTGTGTCAAAATGGGCTTGATGAGTGAATAAAGTCATGAGGTTTTCACTTTTACATCCAATTGAATAAAACGCTCTCCATCCCCCTCTCAAGGTTTGGGAGTTGGAATTTCAAGGTCCAAATTGGGGCTCTTCAAGTTTATTCTTCAGAAGGTACATTTGCCCAAGACTAATATAAATATATCATGAATGAGGCTTATGGCTTTTCTAAGTATGTTTGTTGTTTCTCCCTCTTTTGAAGTTATTTAAATCCAGAGGGGAAAAATATATGGATTAGTAGGAAGAAGTGAAAAGGTCAGTAATTGGTTATTTGGTGCTGGCTCATGCTTCTCCAGTGCTCTTAATGATGATGTAGTTATGACACAAAAACAGAACAGAGGCCTGGCTTCATGTTCCCTGCTGTTGGCCACAATGCCCAGAACGGGGATTCCCATCCCCCCATGGGCAGCTTCCCTTTCGCTTCTCCAAACCCACTTCCTTGATAGATATTTTTATTTGGTATTATAGATCATTTTTTCTAGTCAGTGTCTTAACTAGCAATATAGGTTTATAAAATATTTTGCACACATAGTTATCTCCCATTAGCTGAATTAAGATGTAAATGCACTGTATCTGATTCAAGTAAGTGTGGCACTTGTTATGCACCAAGTCAGGTCTGCTTGGCCCGCCTGATTTCAAGGCCACTGTGTGGTAGGCAGTTCTTTCTTCTTGCAAATGTCTCAGAAGAAGAGTGTGCCAAAGCTCTCTCCGTTTTGCTTCCTCTGAAGCCATGAGAGAGTGGCAGGGAGAGCAAGGTGGCAGATAAATAGGCACAACATAGAATTGCAGGTGTGTTGATGACCCCTGGACCAACCTTCAAGCAAAGAAGAACGAGGTTCAGAAAAGAAATGCCCAAATGCTTCCTGTCCTCCAGTGAGTCAATCATGAGTTCTAATCTTATGCGATTCTTCAGAATCTTCCCCGGGAGACTGGAAGCTAGCTTCCCACTGTGGCTCCCACTTACTGGTGTCTCCTCTGTTTTTCTCTGTTTCCTGTCTCACTCTTCTCACTTCCCCTCTTCTGTATCCTGGTATCACATCCTAAATAAACTGCCACCATTCGAATTCTAATCTTAGGGTCTGCTTTTGGGGAACCCAAACTGAGACAATGACCAACTTATAATTTTTACATACAGCATGT
This sequence comes from Homo sapiens, assembly GCF_000001405.40. Classification (NCBI taxonomy): domain Eukaryota; kingdom Metazoa; phylum Chordata; class Mammalia; order Primates; family Hominidae; genus Homo; species Homo sapiens. The sequence continues at coordinate 70,567,823 of NC_000003.12, forward strand.
TCATAAACAATACTGTCTGCTTTCTGGATCTCAAAGAGCATCATTGTAAGCTTCTCATGGTGGTAACCATAAATCTCCCCCTCTCGCAGAGGGCCATGCCAATCATTTTTTCGTAGACATTATATATTTTGCTGGCTTAAAGAAACTGTTTCTCTAATGTGTTTTTTGCAAGGTACTTATTGATTTAATCATAAATCAACCCCACATGGTCAAAGTTACCTCTCCCATGTTTTCTGTCTTGCAGCAGTGTTTTTGTGATTGATCAAGTGGTTTGTGGAACAGATTAACTAATATTTTGAAAACAATATTTTTGATAGGAAGTCTGACTTCCCCTACTTTGCTGAGATATTACAGAATATTTGAGCTGGGAGGATGCTTGAACCCATTCCTGCTCACACCCTGATTTTTACATTGAGGAAACTAAGGCCCAGTGGAATTAAGTAACACTTCCAGGCTATAATTCACAACAGAGATAAAATTAGAATTTAAACCAATTGGTTTTCAGTACAAGGGTCTCAGCTCACAGCTTTCAATGCTAAATATAATGTTTGACTGTTTCCTTTTCATATTTTTTTTCAAATGTTACCTATAAAACTACAGGTTCTGATACGCTTCTGTGCTGTTCTTATGTTGGAATAGAGTCAGGTGGCACAGAAGCTATTGTTACAGCCCCAGAATAGTTTCTGGCATTTTCAGTGGCACAATTGGAGTTTGAGTCAGAGATGTTCTAGTCAACATATTGTATGGGGCAAGAGGCTAGGTTACCATTGATCCTACCCTGGGAACCTTCAGAGGATCCTATGCTAGAGAAGTACCCACCTCCTACATGGAGACTGTAGAATTAGGCACATTAATAATCAAAACTCTCCAAGAATATCTCTGCATCAAATCAATCCAAGCATTAGCAAAGCAGCCAGAAACGTTTTCTTGGAGGCTTCTCCTTGACTCTCACTTATTTTCTCACTAACTGCTGGCCCTGCTTTTTTGCCCTGGATCCAACTCCATTATCAAAGACGCCAAGGCAAGTACTGCAATTGGATTGTCTGAAAATGAACAACACACAGATAGTGAGGAACAGATATTGTAACACCCTACCGTGCCTGTTAAATTCACACACCGAGAGAACTCGAAACCATCCAGGCGATGGAAGAAAATGGCGTCTCCCAGAAGAAATAACAGACTTGACAGGTAACACTGAAGAGAGATTTCCTGGCAAGGCAGGCTGAGGGGAATGACCTTTTGAGAACCCTCCCAAAACTTAATGATGTTAAATAATCAGCCTTTTTGCTGAGACATGAATTTGAATCCTGTGTTCTGAGATGCTGGGGTTTGGGCACAAATCACATTAGTACAGTATCATAACACTCAGGGAGAATCTGTCTACCATCAACCATCTTACTAGGCCTTTCTTTAATCCTGATTTCTTTTTGTGACAACTGACCACATAGAGGTAAATCCCAGAGGGTTTTGTTCCCATTTTGTGGCACTGCCAAATTAAAGGCACCACTTAAGCACCTCTGAGTTAGCACAACACTCCTGGTTTTTTAATAGCCTTGCACCCAACATCTGCATGTATTTAAGTTTTTTTGTTTGTTTTTGCAGACTTTAGTAACCCTGATTCTAAAACGTCTTCCTAATTCAGCAACACTTACCTTTTTTGTTTGTTTATTTGTTTGTTTTTGAGATGGAGTTTCGCTCTTGTTGCCCAGGCTGGAGTGCAATGGTGCGATCTCAGCTTACCGCAACCTCCGCCTCCCAGGTTCAAGCAGTTCTCCTGCCTCAGCCTCCCGAGTAGCTGATATTATAGGCATGTGCTACCATGCCCAGCTAATTTTGTATTGTTAGTAGAGACGGGGTTTCTCCATGTTGGTTAAGCTGGTCTCAAACTCCTGACTTCAGGTAATCCGCCCACCTCGGCCTCCCAAAGTGCTGGGATTACAGGCATGAGCCCCCGCGCCTGGCCTACCTTTTTCATTTTAATCCCTGCCTTAATTTGGGTTTCCCCAGAAGCCAATGCTAAATCAGGATTTTTCAACCTCAGCATCGTTGACATTTGGGGCTGGTGGATTAGTCCGTTTTCACGCTACCGATAAAGACATACCGGAGACTGGGCAATTTACAAAAGAAAGAGGTTTAATTCAACTTGCAGTTTTACATGGCTGGGGACACCTCACAATCATGGTGGAAGGCAAGGAGGAGCAAGTCCCATCTTACATTGCATCAGGTAAATAGAGAATGAGGAAGACCCAAAAGCAGAAACTCCTGACAAAACCATCAGATCTTATTCACTACCACAAGAACAGTATGGGGAAACCGCCCCCATGATTCAATTATCTCCCACCGGGTCCCTCCCACAACACGTGGGAATTATGGGAGTACAATTCAAGATGAGATTTGGGTGGGGACACAGCCAAACCATATCAGCTGGGTGAGTCTTTCATGTAAGAGGCTGCTGTCCTGTACATTATAGGGTGTTGAGCAGCATCCTGGCCTCTTCCCACTAGACCCACTCCTATAACAACCAAAAATGTCTCCTGACATTGCCAAATGTGCTGTGGAGGGAGAACCACTGCTCTAAGTCAAGGATTCAAGGGCAAATATAGATTAAATGGAAAAGTATTCTGAGAACAGTGGCACAGGAATAGGAAAATGTATTAGCATTCTCCAAAGCAGCAGAAAATATGCATATATATGTATATATGTATAATATATACACATATACGCACAAATTTTTTATATTATATATATATATATATATAGAGAGAGAGAGAGAGGTTTATTTTAAGGATTTGCCTCACACAATTGTGGAGGCGCAAGTCTAAACTCTACAGGATAGGCTGGCATGCTGGAGGCCCAGGGAAGAATTAACATTGCATTTCAAGTATGAAGGCAGCCTGCTGGCATAATTTCCTCTTCTTCAGGGCAGAAGAGTCTTTTTCTATTAAGGCCTTCAACTGATTGGATGAGGCCCACCCACATTCAGGAAGGTAATCTGCTTTGCCCAAAGTCTGCTAATTCAAATGCCAATCTCATCTAAATGATACTTTCATACCAACATCAAGAATAATGTTTGACCAAATATCTGGGTACAGTGGCCTAGCCAAGTTGATACAAAAATTAGCCATCACAAAAAAGGAAAGGAAAAAGCCAATAAAGGTGCATCATTAAGCAAGTTCTAATGGAAATAAGAGCATAATTCTGCTATGGAACTTGGGACACTGTATAAAACACATGCTTCACAGTTATCCACTCCATTTAAGTAGTGAGGGAACTGGAATATTCGTACACCAGTTCCCATCAGCCATTGACTTCCCTAGAGAGTTTAATGCCCTGACATGCCTGGTCTGCTACATGCTCAGGAAAAGCAGGTTCCAGCAGCTTCATTGCAATCTGTCAGGCAAAGAGGTGCTGGTGCTGGCAGTTGGAATTCAGATTGACAAGGAAAAATGGTAACTGGCCAAAGGGCTATGGGCAAGGTTCTGACAGCATGTGCTATAGTTTGTGTGAAATCAGTCACTAATTGGTCCCACCTCTGTCTGGCATTAGACCCTCCTCTCTCCATGCCCCCAAATACTTGATTTTTAAAAAATGTGGTAAAATACATATAACGTAACATTTATCATCTTAACCATTTTAAGGTGTACCGTTGGCTACATGCAGTGGCTCACACCTGTAATCCCAGCACTTTGGGAGGCTGAGGTGTGCAGATCACTTGAGGTCAGTAGTTCGAACAAGACCAGCGTGGCCAACATGGTGAAACCCCATCTCTACTAAAAATACAAAAAATTGGCCAGGTGTAGTGGTGCACGCCTGTAATCCCAGCTACTTGTGAGGCTGTGGCATGAGAATTGTTTGAACCCAGGAGGCAGAAATTGCAGTGAGCCGAGATTGCACCATGACACTCCAGCCTGGGGGACAGATGAAGACTGTGTCTCAATAAATAATTAATTAACTAATTAATTAATTTAATTAAAGTTTACAGTTCAGTGGCATTAAGTACCTTCATATTGTTGTGTAACCACCACCACCACCCAACCACAGAACTCTTTTCATCTTGCAAAACTGAAACTCTGTACCCATTAAACACTAACTCTCCTTTCCCCACTCCTCTCAGCTCTGGCAACCTCTATGCTACTTTCTGTCTCTACAAGTTTGACTGCTCTATGAACCTCATGTAAGTGGGATCATAAAATGTTGTCCTTTTGTGACTGGTTTATTTCATGTAGCATAATGTCCCCAAGGTTCATTCTTGAAGCATGTGTCAGAATTTCCTTCCTTTTAAGGGCTGAATAATATTCTGATGTATGTATATACCATACTTTGTATATCCTTTGATCTGTTGATAGACACTTGGGTTGCTGCCACCATTTGGCTATTGTAAACAATGCGCTGTGAACATGAGTGTATACAAATATCTCTTGAAGTCCCTGCTTTGAATTATTTGGGGTATATACTCAGATGTGGAATTGCTGAATTGATTGTCTTTTGAGTTCCATAGATAACAAGTAACAGTGTGCAAAACAACAGGGTGAAAGATAAGCATTCTGCGAAAGTCTGGGGTCATCCATCTCCATGACCCCAGTCAAACCTGGGCTTCTATAAGTATAAGACACATCTATGGATTGTATATAATTACTGCATTTCATGTTCTAAAAACAGTTCTATTTGTCTCCTCCTTTGCCTTCTGATGAAGAGCTTTGTTTATGAAATACCCGTCTTCAGAAGTTCTTGAAAGATCTCAAGTGAGTTGTCCTCAGAAGTGATGGCAAAAACATTGCCTGGCAAAGCCTGTGATTGACAACATCTTTTTTTAGTTACCTGAGCTCTATGCCTTCATTCTCTCACACTTTCCATTTTCCCTTTGTTTCCCCGAGTTTTGCAGCAAACTGCTGTTTAGCAAAGAGAAGCCAAATTCAGACTTAGGCCAAGCCCTAGTTACAGGCTATTTCTTTTTGTTGTTGGTACCAGCATCACATCCCACCTGGACAGACCTGCCAAGTTTTTTGGATTTCCTAGAGGAGGTTTTTATTCTGTCTGCTTGTCTGCACTTGTATACAAAACCTGTAATTATATAATAGGTGAACTTACTGTTGAGCTATTGTGCTTTCTTTTCTTTTTTTAAACCAGCTGAATTGGTCCTTTTTTATATTTTGAGCCTATTGTTACCTTTAAAACTGTTACAGTTTCCTTCCCCCTGGCTTCTAATACTTTAGCCTTTATGCCAGCAACTAAATATTTATGTAAAAAAAATCATTTAAAAATTCTCTTTCCACAAAATCTAAAAACGTTTATGTTTCTAGTTATAATTTGAATGTTTCAATGTTATAACTACACATGACTGTTAATGAAATAAATTTTGTTCTCAAAATATGTTATCCTATTTTTAGATTAGAAAACATCACCTATGAAAGTCATCAAAAATTAAGTATTCATATTTAATTCTTGTACTTAAAGGTCTGTGTCTTCTAATACATGATGTTCCTAACCTGCCCTTAACTAAGGAAATGTTTTATGGTTAGCACATGACCTGGACTTTTTGAATAGTTATATACAATATATGAAATTTAAAGTACAATGAATGCTTGATAAAATTGTGACTTGATGGAGAAGCTGGCATTTTTAAGGGAACAGAGGGAATGGTATGTCACGACCTATTTTGTGACACTATGAATTCTGCTCTTCAGTGCGGTGGTCCTTTCTTCAAACTTGTTAATTTCATGGATGCTAACACAAACCTCTTCATTTCTGTGGGCTATGGTTTTTCCAAGATCTATGGACTATTTTGTCATAGAACTACCCTTGTATTTATTTTATTCTCTTCACCTAAATGGAAAGCTTGAAGAGAAATGGATGATACCTGGTTATTTTCTGCTACATGACACCCAAGAGAAAATGAAAATGAAATGCTTAGAACACTGTCAGGAACCCTGTCAGCCTCTCAGGATACTGATTGTTGGTGTTGTTGGGATTGTAATTCACCAAACCTAAACAGATTACCAGATTATTTTGAATGGGTGTTCTTGGTGGCCATATCTAAGGATACCGTTTAAAGGAACAGTAGATAAGGACTGAACATTAAGGTTTTATCTCTGAGATTGTGTCTTAGGAACAAGCTAATCACTGCTCCCATTTTCATCTCTTTTACCAATACTACTCTTCTCTACCCTGTCTTTTTCTCTCTAGCTGGTGCAGCATTCTTGTTGATGAGGTCAGGGATCATACTGTATTTCTCTGTGATAGGGAATCATGAGGTATCTGACAAAAATGGATCTTGTTGTTCCAAGACTCAGTACTCCAGTAAAGAAGGCAAATGTGGCTTTCCTCTGAAATGGCTGGCAGTCCTTCAGAGACCTCTTGATGAAAAGGCAGAAGCAGTTATTCAACGGTTAAAGGTGCAGCCCCATTGCAAGGAGGTTCATCCTTGCAAGAGAAGAATAAAATTTTGCATTTAATTAGTCAGGTATGGATGCACAAACACTCTCCATATGATTCAGCAAATATGTGTATAGCCCTTTGCTGTAGTCAAACACACAGAAAACATAGCACTTGGTGATAACAGGGATGCTACTATTAAACATAACCAATGAATCCAGAGCTGATCATTTGAACGTAGTTTAATTCCCTACATATCTTCAGGCAGCTCACCTTCTTATTTGAGGATGCACATGAAAGAGCAGTCATGGGCAGTCAAAAGGGAACTAACTGTGAGATCGAGTCTCAGCTCACTCAACCTCTATGACTTCTCTGGTTGAACTTGATAGTATTAAAATATTTCCTTTTTAGCCATAGTGCCTTTATTTTCAATTATCTTATCTGGAACCCTAGTATATAAAACAGATAAAACCAAATTCATAAGCTCTGGTAGAACTGAGGGCAGGATCCCAGAGTCCAACCCACATAACATAACCTCCTCCTTATGTCTCCACCCACCTACTCATAATCTGCCTTAGACACTAGGACTCTGCAGAAAAAATTGAAAAAGGCTGCAGTAGTTACACTTTCCAAAGACTCTTCTAACTCTGAACATCCAATGCCATCAAGATATTAAAAATCCACTTAATCTAGGCTTTCACCCACCTAAATGCCCTGTGTTCCATGCTGTCAGTCTCAAAAGCAACAGAAATCTGACACCGAACCATTGGGAGCAAGAGATATGTATTAGAATAGTAAACTGTGTGTCCCAGTGTTCCCAATCTGGAACAGGAAATGAGAAGTTCTAGAGAGCAAAATATAGACCATTTAGCAACACTTTCCATGTGGATCTCTATGCTTTTCCTTTTGTAGGGCATTTTGCCCCCAGACATCTCTTCTGTCTTTCACTCCACATTTCCACCATTAAATTCAGATCAACACAGAAAGATCTCTGGAGCTGCACAGTACAAAGAATATACCTTTCAAGGCAAAGAAAGAGAAATAGGGGAGAGTCATTATGTTTTGCCTCTCTTTCACATTAGCAACATAGAATAACATGGAATTAAGTGCCGTTCTGAGTAAATAATATCCCTCCAGGCCACTGAGAGGAAAAATGCTCGCAGTAGACTTAATCTTCACCTCTCAGCTTCCATATGATTTTGTTTTATCTTACGTTTAAGACACTTGACGTTTGGTTTGCATGATAATTTAGGTTAATAAACTGGCCTTATTTTACTATTATATTGCAAACTTCTTAAGGGGAGGAACTTTTTCATATATGACTGTGACTCCTTTATATGGCTAAAGATGTCACCAAGTATGGTGTGTCTATTTCAGTAATTCATAACCATTAATCCCACAGTGACACAGCAATGTGGATAAGGGGCAATGTCCCAGTGGAAAGAAAGCTGCATCTCCTATGGAAATATTATATCTCCTATGGAAATATTACATCGGAATTTTAGTGGCGAATACTCGATTTTACAAACAACAGCCAGCTCTAGAAGAAATGATTTTACTCTTCCTCTCCTTATTTTGTGTCATCTTTTATCATTCTGTTGAATATTTGGCTCCTGGGAACTTCATAATACCCATCTAGCTGCTTTCTAAGCAGATACAATGTTCAAAGTTCTACCCAAGCTCACATTTCATCAACAGGTACCTCTCTAGTATCCTGTGGTCTTGTTCTGCTCATTTTCTTCCATGTGACACGTTGGTTCTAAATTTAATGAGATTACATAACTAAAGTTGAGATGTACTTATTTGTAACACTGCCTAGAAATGTTAAACTGCAACAATCAAGTGGTTAAGATGCAAGCATTTTCTACGTGATATTAAGGAAAGAAATGAAGATAAGAAATGTCAAGGTACAGAAGGATGGGACCAATTTTTTTTTTTTTTTTAATGAGGAAGAGGTCAAGATATTCTCTTGTTCTCCCACCTAATCCCCACCACACTACAACCCAGGAGCATCTAAACTTTTAGACACTGAAAAGTTGTCTCAGAGGAACACTGAACTGTCTGTATGAGCCAGTTAGAAATCTTAGTATAGGCTTTGTTCTCCCTAGCTGTCTTCTAGCTTGAAGACACTGTGATTTGGATCTAAAATAATTACTGCTATTCAGTGTCATCCACACATAATTAGCCTCAAATTATAATGAATTAACATGGCTTGCCATATTCATGAAGTGAAGTGATTCTATTACTATTTTTTCCTCTCATATACTTAGAATAAAAACACTTTAAAACTTTCATCTTGTTAGGTGGGATGTTTTCTGGACTGTGAGCTCGCAATGAAGACAAAAAGTCAAGGATGGCTAGTTCATCTGACAGGCTGCGTTATAAGGCGGAGTTCAAATGATCTCTGAGCCCTTTGCTTTCTCTTAGGCGTTGCACCTGTTGGCTATCTCTTATTCCACATCTGCTCCCCATGTGTACCTGGGGAAAACCTTAGTGTGATAAAGGTTTTAGGTCACTTTGAAAGAATCTAAACCAGAGAGATTGATTTGTCTCCTTATTCTATATAACTGGGCACAGACAGATGTTATTAATGAAGGAATTTTGAATAGTAATTCTAAAACACAGGCTTTAAGAAACATGTTTCTGAGGTGGGTGAGGGGGAGAAGAGGAAGATTTCAGAGCATGAATTTACCTTTTATTGTCATTACACGTATACAGAACAGCTCCATGAAAATTCAAGACTTTGAAGGCAAAATGCTTGAGCATCCCCACTGTTCCCTGGCCTTTTCTACAGTTTTAGCTTTTAACATTTAGTCCACTGCTCAGCTCCTAAGGAGCAAAGTATCTATATATTATAGACATATATTTAAAATCAGTTCCTCCTCTGTAACCTTGGTTTGTTTTTTTTTTCACACTCTTGTTGCCAAACCATAAATTTGAAGTTGCAAACAGGGTATTTTCCATGAAAATTTCTCATGCATAAAAATCCATCTCAGATTCCAACCAAAATTATCCGAGAAATTAGTTCATTGATGAAACTCTTGTCTATGAATGGAGTTTTGAAGATAAAAATGCCTTTTTTCTTTCTTCTTGAAGGGAACGAAACAATCCCTTTATTGTCATACTTCCTTAGAATTTATTTTCCACTGCTTATTATGCATGCCTCCTTTATGTCATCGATACATAATCCATTATGTACCCCTTATCATATTTGCTCCAACTATTGTCTCAAGATGATGTCGAAAGACATTAGATACCAGAGACTAACTTTGCGGGAGTGAATTAACGTCAGTGTTGAAGGAGCCTATAATCATATGACTAAATGGGCTTTCAGGAGGCCACACCGTATGCTGATGACAGAATCAAGAATGAAACCTAGGAATTCTGACCATTTATCTTGTTCTCTGTCCACAAATGATACTTTCTATTAGTATCGAGTACAGGCTTTCTGAAAGCAGTCTATTTTCTGGTAACATAAAACATTCATGAAGGAGTTTTAAAAAATAATCCAATGGAAATTGCTTTAGTGATTACAAAAAAGTTCTGAAAGAAAATAGTGTATGCGTACAATTATATATATAGTGTTATAAGATTATTGCAACTTGGAGAGTGCATTGAAACATTTCTTTGAAAAGTTTAGCCGATTCAAAAGCTGTAAGGCCCTAGACTATCTGATAATAAGACAATGTTTATGTCATGTATGAAACTATTGCAGTGCAGGATAGGAGCTAAGAGTATGGACTACAGAATAAGATAGACCTGTGCTCAAATAGTTTTTCCATTAGCAATTAGCTATTTGATCTTAGATCAGTACTTATCACATTTGAGACCTCAATTTTCATGTTTGTAAAGTAGGGGCATTAAGACTGGTTACTTGGTTTGTTGTAAAGATTAAATGAAATAATGCATCATAAACACCAAGGCCAGAATTTGAAGATGTCCATTGTAAGGGCAGTGTGGTTTTGAAATCTTCCCCAACTCCCATATAGAAACAACATAGCAACTAGACAGCAAAACCAGAACCCTACAGACAGTATTCACAATAAGCCTAAGTGACAATGTAACAACACAAGCCCCAAAATGTAGGAAGATGAGGACAAAACAACAAAAACCACCAGATCTGTCTGTTACAGACATCTGTACAGCAGCCAGACAACCAGTTTCTGACAACCAGAATGACCAGGGAGACATCAACAGAAGACTCTTTTGAATACGTGTATATGTACTTGTAGAACTAAAATGACATGCTATAACAATGTAGACATAGTACAACTCTAAAGAAATGGAAGAAGAATGGGAGAGTTTTTGCAAAAAACTACTTACCTGTTTCTGTGACTATAATTGGTGGTGGTAGTATTAGTATTGTTCTTCTGTGACAGTGGCATTTGCAATGTGGGGTAAAGCAAATGAGTAATTATGGAATATTCCAATTCTATCATTCCCGTGTCCTTGAGAACCAGAATTAAGATTCCAGGATTCTCTGCATGTAAGAAGTAATAGACCAAAAGTTAAGAAAGTCTATAGCCCTAGATTAGAAATGGAAATCATGAATATGAACTCATGAGGCATTCTATCTTTTATATGTATAAAAAACATCGAGTATAGTTATTCTCTTTGTCTCTATATAGAGTATATACTTAATATTTTATTAATACTTAAGTATAATATTTAAATATATAATAACTCATAGAGAGAGAATGAATTATATATTTGAGGATAATATATTTTATATACTATAAAATATTATATATTGTCATAATAATATTTTAATATATAATATTCTATATGGGTACAGCTGTGTGTATAAATAGAATTTATTTTTTAGCTCTACTGGAAAGATCTAGGAACAATGAGTAGCAATACAGTCCTGAAATACTATATTCTATGAAAAGAAGGCACTGCTTCTTGGAGAAACATGGCTGATATTAGTATTTTCTGCAAAATGTATTTTTTTCAGTATGGTTTTATGATTTTTTTCTTTTTTTAAATTTCTGAGACGGAGTCTCACTTCATCACCCAGACTGGAGTACAGTGGTGCAAGCACTGCTCACTGCAGCTTCAACCTCCCAGGCTCAAGTGATCCTCCTGCTTCAGCCTCCGAGTATCTGGGACTATAGGCACGTGCCACCACACCCAGCTAATTTTTTAATTTTTTGTAGATACAGAGTCTCACCATATTGCTGAGGCTGTTCTCAAAATCCTGGCTGCAAGGGATCCTCCTGCCTCAGCCTCTCATTTCGGGCATGAGCCAATGTGCCTGACATGGTCTTGTAATTTTTTAATGTTTTCTATAAAATTGCCTTTGATCTTCAAAGGTGCATTTTGAGATTAATAAAATTGAAATTATTGACTCCTCCATAAATTTAAAAGTAAGCTTAGAAGAAGATTAAATACATGATTTACTTTTCGTCAATCATATTTGCTGAGTCCAATTAGTAATGAAAACAAAATAAATGAAAATTTAAAAATTATAATTAAAAATTTACAAAACTGAATTATGGCATGTTCTATAAGCGATATTATATCAGTCACAGTTGTCTTATATATTTATATATTTTTTTCCAAAATAGAATATTTTTAAAGATATTTTAGTGACTTGGTGGTTTCGTTTAGAAAAAATATGTAAAAGACACAAGATAGCTCTTAGAACTTGGTACATTTTCTTGAGGCAATACTCACTTTTTCAGTGTCAAAGAATGCCCATAACAGTTAATTTAGCAATTCACTTAGTTCATACCATTTGAACATCATATATGTATTAATTTGTTGTTGCATTTTTCAAGTGGACAAGTTAGCATTTTAAGTAATGGAATTATGTGATATACTTTCTATTCAACAAAGATCTTCTTTAAATTGTGCTCAAATATATAGGTCCACAGTCCTGCATATGAAACCCTTGAGCTAATATGTTTCAGGATTCTTCAGATTTACAGAAGTACTTTAGTGGAAGAAGTGTACATTACATAATGTATCCCCCCAACCTCCCTCAGTACAGTTGCGGGCAACACCTCATGATCAAACACGTAACTCTGCCGGAAAACATATGACTATTCCCACTAAGTAAAATAAATAAAAAGTATAAGTGGACTTGTGTTGGCTCAGGTCAGGTTTTGCTGCCAAATGAGTTTGTGCTGAATTTGCAGAGAGAAAAAATTGGATTTTCAGAGCTTTTCCAATTTTAGAATTGTGGGTTCAAGGATTGTAAATCTTTCTTGTTTGTATCTTAAAAAAAAAAGCAAAGCAGCATAATGATCTGAGAGGGGTACAATATCACTTCTGTTGTTACACCCAAAAAAAATGTATACCTTGTACTCAAATATGAGGAAATGTCAGACAAATTCAAATTGATACTGTGGTAGGTAGAATCATGGTCCCCTAAAGATGCCTACATGCTGATTCCTGAAAACTGTGAATATGTTACTTTACAGGGCAAAGGGGCTTTTCAGGTATAATTATGTAAAGGATCTTGAGATGGGAAGATTTTGCTTGATTAACGCACTTAGCCCAATATCATCACAAGGATCCTTATCAAAGGGAGGTATCAGGTCAGAGTCAGAGATGGAGATGTGATGACAGAAGGAGAGGTTACAGGGACATGGAGCCACAAGCCGAGGAATGTGGGCACCTTCTAGATGCTGGAAAAGATGAGAAATAGATTCTCCCCTAGAGCTTTGGAAAAGAACTCAGCCCTGCTGACACCTTGATTTTAACCTCCATAAGACTTATTTTGGACTTCTGACTTCTATAACAGTAAAAGAAGAAATTTATGTTGTTTTAAACCACTAAATTTATAGTAATTTGTTGCAGCAGTGATATGAAACTAATACAGAGACATTCTACAAAATAACTAACCAATACTCTTCAAAAATGTCGGTCATGAAAGACAAAGACAGCCTAGAGAATTGTCCCAGATTGGAGGACACTAAGAAGACATGATAAACAAATGCAATGTGGAATCCTGGGTAAGAAGAAAGGACATTAATCAGAGACAATTGGTAAAATGTGAAAAGGGCCTCTAGTTTGGTTAATAACATTGTATGATGTTAATTTCCTGATTTGATAATTGTGTTGTGGTTATATAAGATATTATTGTTAACAGACACAGAATGAGGGAAAATTTTCTACACTTTTTGCAATAATTTTGTAAGTCTGAAATTATTTTGAAATAAGGTTTTTTTTTTTAATAAAAAGGACTGGAGATAAATCAATGGGATACCACTTCCTTTCCTCAGCACTTATTTAATATTAACATAATTGACACATATTAACCTATTTATATTATTAACATAACAGTATTAACACAACACCTATTTAATGATTAATATGAACAGACTAGGCACTGCTCTAAGCTTCCACATATATTAACTAATTTAAACTTACCATGCTAGAGGTGGGTATTAAAATCTCCACTTTACAGACACTGAAACAGAGAAGGGTAGGGAAATTTTCCAAGGTCACACAACTAAGAAGAGTGCCAAAGTCTTGAGTGTATGCTCTCAACAGCTACTAAAGGTGATTTCTTACATATTAAACTTTGAGAACATATGGCATGAATGTTACTGACTTATAGTAGAGAAATTGACTATTCAGGAAACTTTGCTTATGTCCTAATTTGTATGTTCTATACTGGTGATATTGACAAGTAACTGAATCCTAGTAAGCCAAGTTGTTACCCTAGTAATATTTTCAAATAATGAATATCACAATCTGGAAACACTAGTTCTACAGAACTAAAGGAATTTTTCCATATATTACCTTTTCGTTGTGTTACTTTTCCTCATGTTGACCAAACAGCATCCTAATCTTTTAATTAATTAATTAATTAATTATTTTCTAAAATTGTCTCAAAACTTCTATTCTGCCAACCAGTTTCCCTCAAAACTTCCAGACTTTATGTCTGTCTTGGTGCTTTAAATGTAATGTCCATACTTTTGTTCTAGAGTTAAATATATCTTATACTGAAGATATTTTTTCCCACATGGCAATAAGACAGGAGGAGTGGCCAGTAAAAGTTTTGGGGAAGAAAAGATGAGTACTAGGAATTACTTCTCAAACACCTGTGTTCTAGTGATAATCTGACATAGAAAGTAGGAATTGGGGAAAAAAGGAAAGCAGTGAAGACGTTGTCTACTTTAGCTTTAAAGCATTTAGGGCAGAAAACATATTATTTTCCATACCTTATACTGAGTAAAGCATATTGTCAATACTCAACCACAATAAATAATTAGCTATATTAGATTTACATACTTAATTCATCATACGCAGAGATTAAAATCTGTCTCTGAAAATAAGATTCTGAAAGAAAGTCTTTGATATATTCTGATAGAGGTGTAAATCATAGCACTTTGTGCAGATCTTAGATAAGTTAAATATATACCATTTTACCCTTTCATTATATCATAAGTTCCTTTTTAATATTTTTAAATAAATGCCTGCAAACTGAAAGTCTAATTCTCTTTAGAGGCTTTCCACACACATCTATTCCCACATAGATATGGATATGGTTATACCTAGCTATTTATCTACATATAATATATAAAGCAATTATTCACTGGTAAATTTGTACATTTCATTTTCCAATACAGTGTATTCACTTTAATCACATACTTTCTAATCTTTTTGCCTCCTAGTCTCAGATTTTTGAATTCAAATTTTCTTTCCTTTGTCTGTATTTAAAAATAATAATAATCATTTTACATCTATTACAAATAACAATACCTAGTCTCTGATTGAATGCTAACATTGTAATTCATTCTCAGGGTTCGGCTGCCATTCATTCATAGCTGGAGCTGTGCTCTCATTATGTATGACATCAGCAGAAACTCTCAATTCAATTGCAGCCTTTTATTTAATTAGGGGCTATGTATTATTTGGTGTGTAGTATCCAGAATTAAAAATAGCCCCTTCCACTGTGTAATGGGAAAGGAAGAAAACTTTGAATATATATTCTAATTGATATTTTTAATACTTACTCTAAAAGCAATCAAAACTTATGTTAAATATTAATTATAATATTTTTCTGCTTTTGTGCACCTTGATTTATTGCTGCCCTTTTGGGTTCACTTTTAATTACATTACAGGAAAACAAAGGATATTTTTATTGGAAGAGTTATTTAGCACAGACAATACTTTCAATGGTGATGGTTATACTGAACTTTATATTAAACTTAATTTTCAAAAGCATATTTAACACAGTTTGCCAGGCTTTGTAAAAATTATTTTTCCTTCCTTTAACAACATGCCTGTCGGGTCTCTATATTAGAAATCAGGGACAAAGCTCATAAAGGAACAAAGACCCAAAATCAGGGATGGTCTTTTAAAAGAGGTACAGTTTCAAAGACTCCTAAAGATATAAATCAAAGTGCTTTTGAATACAGAGAGCATTCTAAAAGAATATTGAACTGTTTGCTTAAAATCTCACATTATTTCCTGCTTTTTAAACCCTATTCCTTTTTGAAGGCTAGCACCAGATAGGGACAAAAGGAATATTTTCATGCAAAAATCAGGGCCAGGTACAGAGGCACAGTCAGAGTCTATTTCAAGTGGGGACAGAAATTTAATTCAAGTTATTCTCCTCTTTATTCCACATTTAACAGATTTGAAGGATTTCTCCACCTCTCTGACACTTGTGCAGACATCACTAGGTAATGTTTGCACCAGTGGCGGGCACCAGGAAATCTTGGTGTGGAATTTTTTGTTCCCTTGGAACGGATTCTGAAAAACACAGCAGAGTCCAAACATGTCTGCTCAAGGAAGGTGGGGCTTTATGTTTCATGAAATCAACCCTTCTGGCCCCCTCTACTAAAGAAAGCGAGTAGTCGGTCTTTTCCCTTTTTATTAGAATCTTATGTTACCCACAGCTAGGTCTTATTCTAGATGCTATTCTTCAAAGTATAAATGAATATCTTCATACTGTTAGGAAGACAGAGATGTTACTCACCTTATTCTAGATCTATGCTTTTTTATGTTTTATTTTTCATGTAATACTTCTAGCACTTTTGCTAAATCAGTGCAAATACCAAAAGTAACTAACTGATCATTCTATAACAAATCTTACTTTCCAAAAGTTATGACCAAATACAAGGCTTAAGCCCTTATGATGTGTGTGTTTCATTAAGAAAGTGAAATGCTATACCTCTGAGTAGAGCAAGTATCTGTGATTTTTCATGTTTCCATAGCAACCTGTAATTTTTATTGAACTGTGGAATAAATAGGCAAATAAAACATGCATAAAATATTGATGGCTGTTGAGGCTGCTGTCCAGGGACTTTAGTAACTTACGGTCACTACTGTCTCTTTTTAACTCATGAAGCCATTTTTTCTAATTAAAGCATATATTTATTATGATTTCCTTATTCTTTATCTAATAGATAAAGTTTGCTTTTCAAAACAGGGTTTTCCCTGTTTTGTAGCAGACATATTGGAGAGGATACTGAGAAAGTAACATAAGCATAGAGACAAAAAATATTCCCTAAATTTTTCTAAGGGAACTTAGGCGATTTGCATTGTCCTGGATTGAATTTCTCTTTTTTGACTAATTTTTGCAAGTTACAGACAGTTCTCTATTAAAAATATATATTGCCGATGAGAAAATAACAAATGCAAATAATAATAAGCATGTTTGAGAAAGTAAATTGTTTATGGAAAATAAGTATTTCAACTTTAACTGGAAATAAAAAATGGAATCAATTAAATTGTTTATTTGAACTTGAAAAAAGCAAGTTATAAGATGAAATTGATCTAACATCCATGTATTTCATTGATGCTGATCATTATAGTACTATGTGGTCTGTGTCATTTCAGTTCAATAAACATTTATTGAGAACCAACCTTATGCTCAGTACCATGCCAATTGTAAAAAAAAAAAAAAAAAAAAGAAAAAATAGTAAAGTTTCTGAACTTAAGTTATAGCTTAATAGAAAAGTCTTGATGAAAAGAGAAAAAAAAGAACCTTAAAATCACATCTAGTATCTGGAAAAAAATAAAGCTGTATCACTACCTCGTAGCTTACAGCAAAATAAATTCCAGATTGATCAAACTAAAACTTACAAAATAAAATCATTAAAATACTAAATGAAAGCATAGACTTTTTAAAATATTTATGTAATCTTAGAGTCAGAGAGTGGAAAATTTCTACATATGATCAAAACTCAGGGGCCATTTAAAAAATGATAAATTCTGTTGCATAAACGTGAAAACAATTCACATGACGAAATAATATCAAAATGTCAAGGGACAAAGAACAAATTGAGAAATATTTTTTCTGCTTATATCACAGCGACTAATTTTTAATAGATATAATATTCCTATAAGTCAATAGGAAGAATATTTACAATGTAATAGGAAAATGAATAAAAGAACAGGAAACAGAACAAGCACATGTTTGGAAAAAAATGCTCATGTACACTCATCATAAGATAAATGCACGTTAGTGTGATACTATTTCCACCTAGCATATTGGTTAAAATAAAAAAAGTTTTATAACCAACCTGTTAGCAACAGTGTGAGTATAAATTGTTACAAGCATTTTAAGGATGCTTTCATGACTTTTATAACCTCCTTGGATGACATTCTAGCAATACCTATCCAAAAATGCCCATAACAATTTCATTTCTAGGACATTCTCATCTATGGGCAAAATGCAGGTTATTCATTGCAGCACTGCTTGCTATATAAAAACATTGGAAACAACCTAAATGTTCATTAATAAAAGACAAGTTAAATATATTTCAACACATTCACACAATGAAATACTATGCAGCCATTAGAAGAAGCAACTCTGTGAGTATAAATAAGGAATTATGTCTAAGAATATTATTAAATGAAAACAGCAAGTTGCAGAACAGTGTTAAAGTATACTCCCATTTGTGTGTATAAAAGGCAAAATATTTCTTTATGTGCTGTCATATATATAAACTATCACTAGAAGTGCACAAAGAAAATCCTTACTCTCCGAACAGATGAATTTGTAGCCTAGAGTACAGGGCTGAGATGGCAACTTACCTATCATTCTGTATCCTTCTATATATTTTGAATTTTGTTCAAGTATTTGTTGAGCTTATTTAATTAATTTTTTGAAATAGGTATTAATTTTAAGATAATACAAAGGCAAATATATAAAAGTATGCTAACTACTTGGAAAATTTTAAGTAACAAGAGACTACTCTGTGATGCTATTCAGAAAATGTTTAGAATAAATGGGTCTTGAGCTAGACTTGAACTTAAAAGTGAGATCAGGAAGTAGTATCATGACCCAAGAAGGGCATAATCATACGTTGATGGTGCAAGCTTATGGCCACATCATTCAAGCAATTATAAGATAGGGAGGAGAAAAAATAGGTGGAGATTATGGAAATAAAGGAAAAGTGTGGAAGGAACAATGATATTCAACTAGGTCTAGTTTATTAGAGCAAGATAATGGGTTTATAGGAGTTCAAAACAAATATTCAGGCTGGGCGCAGTGACTCATGCCTGTAATCCCAGGACTTTGGGAGGTCAAAGTGGGTGAATCATTTGAGGTCAGGAGTTCGAGACCAGCCTGGCCAACATGGTTTGGGAGGCTGAGGCAGGAGAATTCTTGAACCCAGGAGGTGGAGGTTGCTGTGAGCTGAGATCATACCACTGCACTCCAGCCTGGGCAACAGAGTGAGACTCTGTCTCAGAAAAAAAAAAAAAAATTCAAATAACATCATGGTGGAAAATACCATGTTCTTAATGATTATGTTGCAAAAATACCTCTTTTTGCATAAATATTTAGATGAGGAGAAGTAGCATGATGTATTAGAAGAGGCCATGAACCTGAATTCAAGAGACACTTAATCTGGTCTCTGTTCTGCCTTTAATTAGCAATGTAACCTTGAGAAGGTCGCACTGTGTCTTCAGGCCTCACTTATATTGTCTGTAATATAAGGGGGGGGGGGGGAATGTGCAGTAGATTCATAATTCCACAATCCCTTTTTCATCTGAAGAATACTTTTTTTTCAAATAAAATATGAGAGCAAACAGTAAAATTGATAGGAACAGTGTAACTTTGAATAAGGCAGGAATGGGTGCCCCAGAGCCCACCTGCACAGTGTCATTATTTCCTACCATTGCCCTCTTCAATTGAGCAAAATCAAAGTCCTGGGAACTGGCCAAGTTCGATTTAAAACTATTTTACTAAAGGATTCCTAAGGTCCCTTTTCATAAGAGCATTCCACAATTCTAGGAGATAATTGATTCACAGGTTTAATCATGTTGTGTAATTCCTACAGAAACATTTGCCAATATAGTGGTGGTGGTAGGAGGCTATGCAGGAAGCAATTACTTTAAAAAAGATTTGTTAAGCATCTTTTCACTTGGCCCCCACAATGTTGAAAGATACAAAGCTGGCTAAAGTGTGATCCTGTCCCATTCTCATTCTCACAATTTAAATGTATTGGATTTTCTTTTTAAATCTTTTTAGGGTTCTCTAATAGGCTTCTCAAATATATGAGTTGGTATCTTTTATTTGTTGGGAACTTTTGTCTCTCCTCTCTCCTAAGATGGCAATTCAATGTATTCTAGAACTTTTAACCATTTTATATGCCTCTTCTGCACTTTTCCGTTCCATTATTTTTACTTATGTCTCATTCTGAGTGTCTTTTATTGACTTGTCTTCAGTTTTCTAATCCTGTTTTCAACTATGTCCCATTTGCTTTTAAACTCATCCACTGAGTTCCTAAGTTCAAATATTGTATTTTTAGTGCTAAACTGTCCATTAAGTCATTGTTTATGATTCAACTATATCTTTTGAAATTTTCCTTTCCTTACTTTGTCTTTTTCTCCTCGAACATATCAGTCAGAGCTATGTTAAAGACTTGGTTGGCTAATATCAGTATATGGATTATCTGTGGGCTTGTTTCTATTGTCCATTTTTTCTCTTCATTGTTGTTTATGGCCATTCCTTTTCTCACGTGTAATCATTTTTAACTGTATTTGAGACATTGTATATGTTTAAAAACTGTAGAAATTTTAAATGGTGTTCACTTCCACAAAAGAAAGTTCCTCTTTCCTCTGTTTAGCAGGTAGTGTGAGGGGTTGATTAGCTAAATGAAGTTATGGAATGAACTAGATTAGCACTGGGCTATAGCTTTTCCACCTATCTCTGTGGAGGATTCAGTTCTGCCCTGTAAAAATGTTCAGCTTGGCTCTTTGACTTTTTGCCTCATGCAGCTTCAAAACTTAGTAAATGTATTAAGGTCATGTATTGGAGGCCCTCGAGCTTTCAACCTTCTTTTGTCAGACCACACAAATATCAAAATATCCCTCAAGGTTATCTTTCTAGTTTTCAGCTTCAGTTGTATCTAGAATCAGTACATAGCCCCAGATCACGTGAGCTGCAAAATTGTCTTCTTACTCCATAAGACAATTAGACAAATCCTAGTACATTTCAAAAGCCATGTTTTTATAGTTATCAGAAAGCAACAAAAATCAGTCAGATTAAAATGCAAGAGAAGGGAGAACCAGTAAGAGGTGAGTTAATGAGCTGATGAGCAGTTCCATAAGAAGCCTCCTTTTAGGGTTCTTATCTGTTGCTCAATTTGTTTCAGGCCTTCTCTTCTAGAAGCTTTTTGTTTCCTAAGTTTGCAAGATTGTGGAATTTTTCACTCTCCTTTTCAGGATCTTTTAGTTGATTTCCTTGGCATCTCATACATTCTTAGACTCATCAATTTATGGAGAAATGGGCTGTCTGTTTGAGAGCCCTCAAATCTCCAAATTTAATAAATTTGATTATTCTGGGTTCATTTGCTCACTAAAATCTTTACTTTTTGTCTTTTTTTATAGTGACTTTCTGCTTGCACCCAGATCTCATCCTTGTGCCCTACTAGTATAACAGATACCTCCAGGGAAAGAACTGCTCATCAGCTTATCAACTCACCTTTCACTGGTTCTCCTTTCTCTTGCATTTTAGTTCATCTGATTTTTGTTGCTTTTTGATGCCTATGAAAATATGACTTTTGAAATGTATCTGGAATTGTCTAATTGTCAGTGGGAATATTCATCTGCAGTAACCTACTATACCCTACACAGAAGCTGAAGTTCACAACCCAGATTTTTGAGAACCTTAAAATCTAAGCAACATGAGACAAATTTTAAAATTTTTAACATATGCTCTCATACCGTTTATGTTACTATATATGAACAGATGTTTCTAAATCATTTATAATATAATAGCATGGCACATTCTCTGGTTATGTCATATAAGATGGCATCAACAAATATGCTAACAATCAGGCCAAAATTTAATTGTAGACATACAACTCTATATCTAGTTAGCTAGTAACTTTATTCAGGAAGGCAGAACTCTTTAAAACACATTAACACTTTTTAATTTTTGTACGAGAGTAATTATATAGGATCAAGTTAGATTAAATTTTGAATTAGATACTAATTTCCCAGGGTATAGAAATAACCATACACTAATCATAAGTAGTATAATGGAGGAAAAAGTGGTATTTTCTACTGCTATATGTATAACATATAAGAGGTATAAGCTTATGTTGTATTTTGAAATTCTAAGACATTGATGTTGCTATCATTTTTTTCACCTCCCAGAATATATCAACACTCATTTTAAATTATTTCTTCAATTAACTTCAGGATATCCATCATGCTAAAATTTTTAGAAAGCCTAGAGGGCTTAAGAAATTGTGTGTATGTGTGTGAAAGAGTGTACTTAAGAAATGAATTTGGTTTGCCTACCGTGGATTACTTGGAATTTATTTTATTCTTTCTTTTGTTCTTGGTTTCTTTATATTTTAATCAGAGTCATATTTGTAAAGCAATTTAAAACTAGATTAAAATTTAACCTGCAAAAGTGTTGCGTGAGAAATGAATTAACTCCTTCTGACATTCTATTTTTCTCTTGCCCTTTTACCTCCAGGACCTGTTACAAGCAATAGAACCCACTGTAGATTTTTTTTTCAGATAACACTTCACTAAACCAGTGTTTTCCAAAGCATCATAGGTGCATGAATTACCGAAATTAGATTATTGAACATGTTGAGATTATTGGGTTTTACTTCAGACAGGGACCACTGACAGTAGGACCAAGAATCTGCATTTTTAATGTGTGTTGTCCATGCAGTTGCCCAACGCCATTACCCAATGACTACTCCATTAAAATAGCATAGGACAGTGTCACCATTGACTTTTTTCTTGTTCACTTGAAGGATCATTACCTTAGTTCCCACTGCAATGCCCATAGTGGCTTCCTACATCAGCAATAGTAAGGAACTGGCCTTATTTCCCTACTCTTATCTACCTCTAGTGTCCTCCGAAGGGCTCCTCACGATCTGCTCATTTTCTATTACACTGATCTCACTAGAAGCTCTTCCAATTCCTATCTTCTTTATTCCATATTCCAAGACATTCAACTATACCTGTGTACAGGTCTTCACCTTTAAATTTCTCTTCTCAGGATCAAACCTGGAGGGAAATGTGTTACTTACCACTGGACATGTTATTTACCAAATGAAAACACAGCGGCTTGTGATACTTCTGGTGTCTATGTATTCTCTTGCAGTCAGAGTCAGTTATTTTCCCAGGCCTCACCAAGTGGGAAAACTCAACGGAAGTTTTGAGCATGGAAGATCCTTAATGAACCTGCTTAGTTCTCACCATTCCTTCAACTCTGAGTAATCAGAGGCAAAAGATAATAATAGACGACAGGAGCAAAACTAAACCTCACTTGTTTTGTGTCCAGACTGCTCATTAAGAGCAAGGGATTTGTGGTCGGACTGCCAAGATTCAAATTCTCCTTTCATGACCTTAGCCAAGTTACTTAACTTCTTCAACCCTATATATCTGCATCAAAATGGAGGAAAATAATAGTCCCTGATACCTCAAAATGTCTTAGCAAACTGTTTTTACTGAATTATAGCGCATACAGAAAGGTGCATAGTTTATAAATATGCAACTCAATGAGTTTTTACAAAGTGAACACACTCTCATATACATAGCACACAGATCAAGAAACAAAAGGTCTCCTTCTCCTCACTTCTGATCAATACCATCTCACCAATATTTGCCACTCTCATGACTTCTAGCATCACAGATCAGTTTTGCCTATTTTTAACTTGATATTTACATGTATACAATTTGGTCTCTTTTCTGTCTGGCTTCTTTCTCTTACTATTACATCTGGGAGGATCACCTTGTTATTCCATGTACTTATAATTTGTCCATTATCGTTGCTGCACAGTATTCCCTTTTGTAAATATAATATAATTTATTACTTGTTTTATGTGGATAAGTATTTATTTAATTTCTAGCTTGGAGCTATTTTAACTATTTCGCCATATGTATTTTTATTATATATTCTTATGTATGTCTTTAGTAAATAAATGTAAACATGTCCATTAGGTATATACTTCAGAAAGAAATTAGTAAGTCATAAAGTATGTGTAGATTCAACTTTAGGAGATCTGCCAAACAGCTTTCCAGTGTGGTTGTACCAATTTACACTCCCACAAACAGTATATGAGAGTCCCAATTATTCTATATTATTATCACTGAAGGCTATCATCTTTTTTATTTTAGCCATCTTGACAGGTTGAGATATTGCCTTGTGGTTGTAATTTTCTCTTCCTTAATGACAAATGCAGTTGAGTGCCCTTCACATGTACTCATATTACTGTTATGAGAACTAAAAACTATAGACAATGTAAAGCTCATTGCATAGGGCCTAGCACATAGCAAGTGCTCAACAAAGTTAAGCATTCTTACTTCTTACTCCTTTGCCTGTTGGATTGCAATGAAGAACCACCGGATGATCTCAATATTGCACATACCTACTTTTTAATAATCATTATTCTTTGCCTCTTCCAGTTGCAACAGCAAAAGCCCAGACAACTAGACAAATCATAAAAGAGAAGCTTGGTTAAAGGAGAATAAGAAGCATATTTTATGGCTGTTTCTATTTTAACTAGTATAAGCAACAGAAGTTTATCTTATTGAGCACCACTGAATTAGCACAAATGAAATATAAGCTCATTAATCACCATTTATTGATTTACACCTCGCTAATGCAATCATTTAGGAAAGTAGCTGTTAGGTAATGGTATCTCATTATGGTTCTTGTGTAATTTCCAGATAGGAATTATTATCAAGTATGTCAAGTGGGAATCCTGTGCACTGAGTTTGCGATTATCCATCCGCTCAAACAGTTGTACAAAATACCACCAGGGACGTTTCCAACTAGCCAATAACGAATAATGTAGTTTTCCTTGGCCACACTTTAAAGGGAGTTTTCTTTCTTGGCTTTTATCATTCAGTCTGGAGTTAAAGAGGGATGTAGCAACCATTTCTGGTCACATTCTGCTCATTTGAGTGCAGTCAGAAGAGAAATGCAAGCATGAAATATGGCCAATAAAGGGAGCAGAGGGCTTTGAAGACTGGGGGCTCGACCATGTAAGTGAATTGGTGTCCATTCAAAAATTTAAAACTAGGAATGACATTGCAGAGGACACAAAATGACCTTAAATTTTGAGCTGTCTAAACAATGCCAGCAGGCAGACCTTAATCAGTGCCATCCAGCATATGGACAAGAAAATTTATCCCAACAAAGTAGCTTTTATTTTTTGAATTATTGAATTGTTTGTTGTTTCCTTTGCATGAATGCTGAGTAGGGAACCTCCCTAGACACATCCTCATACATATATTTAAAATGTGAGTTGATAAATAAATTCACTGGTGTGGGATACAACACAAACTATACAAATTAAGAAATTTAATTTTTCTCACTTCTGAGATTATCATGGGCTTTGAATATACTGCCTAACACGTATACTTTGAGTTGTGCAATAAATCTGTAATTTGAACCACTTGATAAAGAACTGACTATAAAGCTTAAATACTATTTGAGTCAACAAATATTTAAGTAGTCGCAGACTAGGTGCAAGGCTGCATTTAGTAATGTGCTAAATGCAAGAATACATACATATGTAACTTTAAATCAAACCAAGGTATGGAAAGTGTAATCATAAGCAAGCCCACTCAAGTGGGTATGCAGCTTGAATACAAGGTTTAGAGCAGTGGTTTTCAACAGGGGCCATTTTTCCCCTCAGAGAAATTTGAAAATGTCTGCAGATATTGTTGGTTATCACAACTAGGGTAAAGAGAGTGCTGGCATCTAGCAGATAGGAGTCAGAGGTCCCGTTCAACATCCTGCAATGCGCGGGCTAACACTCCACAACAAATAGCTCTTTAGCCCAAAAAGGCAATAATGCTGAAGTTGACAAACCCTGATTTATAGCATTTAACCTTATCCCCAGGGTCCAGAACAGAGCCTGCCACATAGAAGGCTATCAATAATTATGTTTAAAGAATGAGTGTACTATACAGTTACTAACCTACTCAACAGAAAAGTTTGTTTAATACCAGTAATCAAATAAGCAAATTGCATGGTATGTGAATCATATCTCAATTAAAATATTAGAAACATCATATCCGTTTCGCTTTCTGTGAATATAATATTTGGATTTTTTTACAGATGTTCATATGTTACTTTCTTTATTTCCTTGACAAAGTAGAAAACAGTTTAGCATTTGAATATTGTAATAAGAAGTAATGGTTTGAAGTCAGAGAGACATGAATTCAAATCCTAAATGACCGTCAGTTTCCAGGACTGTGAATTAGGATAAAAGTAAATAAATATGGGAAAAATACGCAACTAAAATGTACTCATTTTGCCAGGTGGGGTGGCTCACATCTGTTATCCCAGCACTTTGGGAGGCTGAGGCAAGTGGATCACTTGAGGCCAGACTGGCCAACATGGAGAAACCCCGTCTCTGTTAAAAATACAAAAATTAGCTGGGCATGGTGGCGCATGCCTATAATCCCAGCTACTCGGGAGGCTGAGGCACAAGAATCTCTTGAACCCAGGAGGCAGAGGTTGCAATGAGCTGAGATCATGCCACTGCACTCCAGCCTGGGTGACAGAGCAAGATTCTGTCTCTAAAACAAAATAAAATATACTCATTTTGTAATAATGGCTAATAGAGTTTCAAGTATAGCACAGGATTGTCACGCAGATTCAGTTGGCTGTATATTATCCCTTGGTACTATTGGTTGGCAGGCAGGATTCATTTCTATTTGATGAAGGAATTACTTTATTCTGGGCTATTGCTCTATGAAAGTGTCATCAGGTCACCTAAAAAGTCATTTTGAAGTAAGAGTTACATCAACAATATCAGTCTCTTCAATGTAGGGAATTTCTACAAGCCAGGCACTGTGCTAAACACTTCATAGGCAGTTAATACTGCAGTCCTCAAGCGAAATGATGAGATTGGGATATCAAGGCTTAAAAAGATTTGGCCACACAAGCAGGAAGAGGCAGATCCAGTTTTCAACAATACATTCCCTCTCCAAAATGAAAACTCTTCTTCACTGTGAATGACTGTGTCCTGGAGCAATCAGGAGAAAGCTTCATGAGGGATAGAATTTATATGCAGTAGTGAGGAGCAAAGAGGGCTGATGAAGATGGAATGAAAAAGAAAGTAAACTCATCTCCCGTCAAAAGCTCAAATACTTTGTATTGTACAAGTTTGTTCTTTAGAACATTGTGTACAATAAGGCTTCATTAAAGTCAACTTTTATGACCATCATTAGGTTATCATGTAAATATTATAGACTAGCATATAACCATTGTAGTTAACAAAGCAGATGTCTGTGCACTGACTTGGAAAGATGGCATTTTTGTTATGAAAATGGAGACAGGATATAGAATGAGGTATACATATATCCAGATGTGTGTGTGTGTGTGTGTGTATTAGATAAGTCACAATTGTACACAGGATTGGAAATAGTGCCTACAAAGGAAGAAGAGTTTATGGAGTGGCATGAGTGATGGTCAACAGGATTTTTGCTTTCTTTCTTCTCTCTCTCTCTCTTGCTCATATTATGTTCACAATGCCTACAATTTATTAATTTAACACACACTTATTGTGTACCTACTATGACCAGTCACCACTGTTCTAGACATTTGAGTTTCATTCTTGCTCTATAATTAAGCAGTATATGAGATTGTTTCATTGGTACTCAAGCCACAATCAGGGAGTGAGCTGATGAGATCCTGGACTACCAAAGTCCTTTTGGGAATGCAGGGGAAAGAGAGGATGATATCCATCTAATATGCTTCTTGTGAAATGGAGTGTATGTGTCTCTCCCATAAGCCCCTCCATAGCAGCATTTGGTGAAGGTCTGCAGGGAAAAATCAGCCCATACATTCAGTCCCCAGGAGAAAGAACCATTTCCTGAAAACAAGGAAGATTGAGGGATTTTTAAAGAGCCTCTTCAGAGACGATTGTTCCTGCGTGACTATAATATGACTATTTATTCATACAATACTTTCCATAGATTCTGATTTTATGCTGCCATAAAGTAAAATTTTCAGAAACTTGGTGGTGGGTAACATAATGCTATCAATGACACTATTAATTAATGAAGAATTCTACTTAGTGAGGGTGAGCATCATATTCTTCTGAAAATGAATCTTGAGAGCTTCCTTGATTATACTGTGATTCTGCTTCCATTATCATTTAGAGATTGGGACATGAGATGAGACTGGTGATTATAATGATTTAAGAGGAGAAATAATATGTCAGAACTATGGGAGATTCTATAATTTCATGGTCTATAGCATAAAAAAATACATCACATCACTACATCTGGGTGTGTTAAATTTTAATATTGGCTGTTGTCATACTTTTCACAATATACCTGATTGCAAGTTTATCCTGAACTCTCCTGATATCAGTGATATATCTATTGCAGTTACTAATGAAGAAAAGAGAATGTAATAGACTTTTATTGGAAATTTCTTTAGGGTCTAGGCCATAATGGCATATATCAGGGGGAGGAGAAATTTTTCATTACGTATTTCCTAGGGATTCTTCATAATTTCACCTAGCAACATTACAGACCCTAGACCCATGGGTGCTTCAGCTGGTGCCGACTGGAATTGCTCCGCTCTGCAATGCAGTTAGCCATATGGAGAACATTATACCTCCAATCTGAAACCTGCAATAAAGATCTTTTTGCTTTCTGGAGCAATTTTGGGTTCTGAAATTTTAGTCTTTAATTTGGGTCCATAACATCTTTAGAAGCAAGAATTTTTAAGTATCCCAATATCTGTTCCTGAGATTGTGTGTGGGTGACTTGAAGATTTTGGGTTTTGATGCTTGAAACCTTCATCATTAAAATGAAACATGAAATAATTCAGATGCTTTCCAGTCAAGAGAAATTTGGCATCATGATGAGTAGTCAACCAACAGAGTAACTGAATTTTCAGTTTCTATCTGAATATATTTATATTTTTTATAAATAGATAAGAAAGTCTAAGGAATATAAGTACCAGATTATTTTCCTCAGGCATCAGATATCTTAAGAAGTGAGGTTAAATAAATTTTAAGTTTTTTACTTTCAACTTCTAAAAATCACATTTCATTGAATCTAAGACGCGCTGATTTTTATAATGCACCATTATTTTATCTACAACTATGAACTGTAATTTTAAGACTAATCCCAATTTTGAGAAAGGAAGAAAAAAAATCTTAGAATCAATAAAACTTGTAAATCACAAAGCAATGTATCTTGAAAAAAAGCAAACAACACACAAATATGGAAGTATTATCTACTCCCATTGGAAAGCTCTATAAATAATGTGTTCTGCATCCCCCATAATTGTGTAAACAGTTCTTTACAAGATAAAATTATTCAATATATTTTGTATTGCAACTGACTTTTATCATTCAACAATATATTAGGGACACTCTGCCGTAACAGTTATCTCATTTTAAAAAATAACTAAAATAATATTTAGAAGTGTCTTTTCTGTCTTTGGGTCAGAAGTTCTAAACTGTGGGCCACAACCCACTGTTTTAAATATCAATACATTTCATATACATTTCTGGTTTCCAGTTTCCCTTGAAAATCAGGCAAGGGCTACACTTTCATATGGTGACAGTTGGCTATAGGCAACTAATGACTGTTCCTCTAGTTGGAGGACATCCCTTTAGCCCCCCAGTTCACCATGTTTCCCATAGCTTTCTGCTCTCATTACATTTCTACCTAGCCCCCCACTGGTTTTAAGGTTTGCAACCCCTAAGTGAAACATTTGGAAAAAAACTTAATATAGGAAATCAGGAAGACCTTGTTGTTGCATTCCAAGTTCACTTAAAATTTTACGTAATTTTTCACTGTCTACCACTTCCACCATCTAGTTTTTACTCCTGCAACATTTACATATCTGATTCAAACTTTGTTCAATTCTCCTACTTCCTTAAAGCTGCAGTGAGAGGAGTTACCAGTACCATTTTATTGGTATCATTTGTTTTATGATTTTTTTCTATCACGTGCATTTCATTTGACTCTCAGAGACCCAATTACATTTTCACATTGGTAGTTTTTTATGAAACCTCATTTCTGATGATCTGTCATAGTCCACCCAAAATGGAAACATTTCCTTTGTATTGGTAGCTATGTCAACATTGTTCCTGAAGCCCAACTTGGCCACTTCTTTAGTCATTGTTTCCCTAGAGCCTATCCTTTTGTCACCACCATTTCTTTAGTTGGGAAAAAAAATTGTGGAAATGTCTGAATAGAGAGAGATCTGGTGTTTCATTTGCTGATGTGGCCCATTTTCTAGTGTTACAATTGGTATAGAACTATATTGGTTGGTAGTACTAAACAAAAAATTTCAATTCTTCTTAATAGACTTCTTATAACTATTTCACCACTTAAACTGATTTCTTGGAGACATTCTTAGTAAAACCAATGTGCCACTATTTTCTTGAATTTGTATATTCTACAAAATAAAATAAATTTCCGTAAAATAATTTAAATGTAATCTTTATATTTCTGGAAGACATCCTGACATATTTCTATTCTGCTTCAAACCTAAAGTAGAAAAATAAAATGCACAACATTGAATTATCAAAATTGTGTGAATATCAAAGAATGAATATCATAAATTTATTCCAGAGTACTTGTTTATATATGTCACAACTAGATAAAAGGCTCTTTCTGTGCCACTTTTCTCTCTGTCTCTGTCTCTTTCTCTTTTTTCTTTGACTGTATATAATGTCATGTCAGTTGTGATAGCCAGCAAGTATTGTTTCCCCTGAGGAATGATATGGTAGGACTAAAAAGGGACAACTTACATTAAGGGGCTTAAACTGTAATGGCGTTATCTCTTGAAAACACCCAAGTCTCTTAGGTAGACTTCTTCCCTTGGGGAGGAAAGAAAGAAAGCAGAGAGCCTCCTTGGTAAGTTGCCATTAGATTGTGTCCTCTGCATTATAAATTAGATGCAAAGATGTATAAACTAGGAAGTTTTCCAGACTTACTCTTAAAGAAGTATTGGCATTTCCCAAGACTTCCATGAAAGCAAGATTCTTTGGACTATCACAAAGCTCAATGCCAGCATGAAAATTCTGTGTGCTCTGTGAGTGTGTTGAGTAATGGGCAGTCAGGAATAGAGCCAATTGTGTGGAAGCCATTGAATGCACGTGCATTTCAGAGTCATTCAGCTATCATTGCCTTTCTTAGGTGGGCCAAAAATTTAAGACATGGAGTAATATTATCTCACTCTGATTAGATATCGTAATTCTGATGACAATTTCTAAATTTTCTAAATTTCTGATTATAAAAATATACAATATAGAAAATCTTAAAAATATGGAAAAATAGAAAATAAAGTTCCCATAATGCTAATATTCAGAGACAGTCTCTGTTAATATTTTTATGTGTGTTAATTCTAGGTGAGGGGAGGTTTTTTTTGACATATTTAAAATGTTTGAAATTATACCATATATAAATACTATACCCTGCTCTTTTCAATCAATTTATAACATACACACACACTCATGTATATGTATGTGTACATACATATACATACACATATATATATCTGTACATATGCTTATGTACATACATACACACATATGTGTATGTGTATATGTGTGTGTATATATGTGTATGTGTTTATACATATATACACACACATATATATGTCTGTGTATATATGTCTATATCTGTATATATGTATATACATATGTGTACACATATATACGCATCACATACCAGAGCCATCTTCCCTAGCTTGTTGAATGCACACATACTGTATGTTGTATATACACACATCTGTACAACATATAGCAGAGCCATCTTTCCTAGCTTGTTGAAAATTCCTGAAAGCATAATTTAATGACATTATTGTGCAACTGTCCATTGTGTCAACATAATAACACTTGTAAACCATTCTCCTATTTTTGGTCATTTAGTTTGTTTTTATTTTTTTGCTGTTATAAATAACCACATTACAAAGCAATTGTAGTGATTCTTGGTGAATGAAATGAGTGGGTAAAAGGTATGAAATGTTTAAAGACTCAATAGACATATTGTCAAATTATTTGACTAAACTATTATTACCATCTTACCTGCATTGAATGAGTCCCAATTTCAAACCAGTCTCATTGGCACTGGGTAACCTTATTTTCTAAATGGTCCTTTTAATAAATTAAATTTAAAAAATGTTATCTTTTGTTGTTTGAAAGTACATTTCTTTTTTCATGGTGAGGGTGAATATTTTTCCATGTAAGTATTTGCTTTTGTAAGAATCACTGAATTGCTACAAGACAACATTACACAGAGAATGTTGTCTATGCCTATTTGAACATCAGGCTAATTTTTTTTAAAAGTGCTTTTCAGTTTATAAACTGCTGTCACGTACATAATTACCTCATTGGATTCTGACAACAACCTTTTGAGATAGGAAAGAACAGGTATTATTTTCCTATTTAAAAATGAGGCAGGTGAAGTTCAGAGAAAATCAGGAACTAGCCCAAGTTAATCTAGTTAGCAAGCAGAAGAGGGACTTTTGTTTTGTTTTGCTATTGAATCAGAGGATTTCAACAAAAACCGGAATTTATGTGAAGTGAGGTCCAATTAAGGCAAAATGGAAGAAAGTAAAGTAGGAACAACTATGTAATTCCCTTCTTTAGCTCTCTATAATAGAACATAAGGCATCAAGAAAAGGAAGGTATCATTTTTTATATGGTGTCTAAGACACTCCAATTCTGAATCAGGATAAATATTTAGCAAGAGAAAGAAAATGTGAGCTGAAGGGCTGTTTTTCAGACTGTTGCCTCAGAAAATGTTAATCTTTAGCACTCATGAGCTTAAATATAAGAGGACAAAAAGAAGTACTTAAGAGGTGTGCAGAGGACTGGCAATATTTTTGAGGCAATATTTTTCAAGAGGCCATGGCCAATTAAGTAGTGTCGAGTGTATGTTCACAGCAAAGGGTTTGCTTCTCCTTCTTTATTGCACAAACGCTAATTGCAAAAAGTAACCACTTCTTCCAAGATGCTGATTTTGGGGAAAATATGGCATACAAATGTCTGCAGTGGGCAAGTGCTCTGTTTTGATTATGTAATCTCATTAGAAACATTGGACTAGATATCCTTTATTTGAGTCTTCCCATTGATGAGAAATCACACAACTTTCTAAAAAATGAACCTCTGAGCTTTTTGTTCTTAATCAATTCCATCCATTTTTATCGATTACAAAATTTGCATAGGCACAGTATAATTTTTACACCAATGGTACATGTATTTTGGCACAATGTGACCACATATAAGCTATATAATAACCAGGTGGAACTGGAACTTAGGTATTATATGTGCTATCATTTGGTGCCATCTCACTTGAGAAGTAGCAGTTGTATCAGTTAGGATCCTTCATTTCAAGCAATAGAAGCTGATGCTGGTAATCTTTGGCAAACAGAATTTATTGGCAGGCTCTAAGGGGCTCACAAAATTAATCAAATCCTGGGAGGCCATTCTTTGAATACAGGCATAAATCTGCAACGTTCTAAATGACACTATAGCAAGAACTACAGAAAAATATTCACATCAAAAAACTAATCAGACCTGCCCAACACAGTTACAAATATGATCCCAAGCATCCCCACATCCTGTGTCACTAATTTTGAACTCAAAATCTAGAAGGAGAGGCTTCTAGTTAGTTAAGATTGTATGTGCCTATTACCTCAAAGTAGGAAGAGAGACCTGTTCAATTTTGTGGTCAGCAGCAGCTATTAGTTTACAAAAACTGTACATAATTTGGAATTACCCAAAAAGGGGACAAAGGAATTTCTTCATAGGGCAAGACGAAATTCAATATTAAAAATATGGAAATTAAATGAGAGTCTATGTAACTAGGAACGTTGAGACTACCAGCCATCTCCTCAAGCCCTCTTCCTACACTTAACCAGCACAAAGTGGGCAGGCGGTTGTATATCTTACATGCTGGGTATGGGAGGATTTTTCTATAGTGAATCCAACCAGCCCAAAAGCACCAACCTTAAAAACACTGACACTGGGGTTTTCCCGATGAACCAGCCTAGCTATATCACCTTGCGGTGAGATGCAATGTCCATAGACAACCACTCATGCACATAGAGCTTTTCATCAGCTTTTTAGCCTCCCACTCTTAAGAATATAAGCAGACAAGCAGAGACTGCCAGATATCTTAGCAAAGCCTCCAACATGAAAGGCAATTGCCTCAACATATAAATAGAAAAAAGCAAACTGCTGGGAGCGTGGATATAAATTTTATATATATATATATATATATATATATATATATATATTTTAGTGTCCTCAGAGATAAGCGATAATATTACATCAGTGACACAAGAAGAGACATTTAGATAACAAAAATAAAGGTCTTAGCAATTAAAAATAGAATCAAATAAATACAAATCTCATAGAAGGATGGGGTTACAGGATTGAGAAAATCTCTCAGAAATCGGTGCAAAAAGACATAGAGCTGGACTGTGGGAGGGAAAGGATAAGATAATCGGAAGATCTTTCCAAGCACTTCAACATCCAGATGCCCTTTGCAGAAAGAAAAGTCATTAGATTCCAAATTAAAGATGCCAAAGGACAACCATCCACTCAGCACAATGGATGAAATTGAACCACACCAAAGTACATTATTACAAAATCTCAGAATCCTGGGACAAGAGGAGAAATCTTAAAAACTAACGGAGAGAAAAAAAATCAGGTCGCAGCAAAAGATCAAGAATCTGAATACCAGTGAATATATCAAGAGTAACTAAGAGATAGTGTGAAATGATAAATCAAGAATTAAAATACATGTCTATATTTTAGAGACATGGAGATAAATTCAAAAAAGTAAAAGAGCTGAAAGTTGTTGCATCAGGGAGATTGAAAAAGCTATGGGAGTGTGGATGGCAGGTTTTTTTTAAATAATAAAATTTACATAAACCATTTACTTTTCGGACTATAAGCATATATATAACTTCAAATGAATAAAGGTTAGGAACAAATTGATAGCTCTCCAATAAGCAGAAAGAGATAGGAAAGAAAGAAAGAAAGAAAGAAAGAAAGAAAGAAAGAAAGAAAGAAAGAAAGAAAGAAAGAAAGAAAGAAAGAAAAGAAAGAAAGAATAACTAGTTTATTTAGTATATGTACAGATGCATATTCTCTACACCAGAAAATGAGTTGGTGACATACTATCTGAAAGTGTCTGAAAACCAACTCAAAGTAACATAACAAAATTGGAGATGGACTTTGGTGACTCTCATAGATAGAAGCATGCTGGGGCAGCTTAGACTATCAAAGCCAGAGCTACAAGAACTGAGACTTCATAATTTTGCTTGCCTCTATTTTTGCTTGGCTGCATTTGCAAAGAGAAGCATTCCTCATAAAGCATTTCAGAAGGCCACTAGAAGCCCACATTTATATTTTTCCAACTTTAGCAATCTAAGTGGAATGAGTTCTTCTTTATCCCAGTATTCTTACATTTGATTGGGTAAGATAATTGGGTCTAACCTAAACAGAGCTCTAAGAATGGCCGGGCCTGAATCAGATGCCCATCCCATTGGCCAGATTTGGCAAAGGTGCACGGCATAGCGTTATGATTGACTGTCTTTCCTTCTCCCCCACCTCACATCTTCTCATCTCAACTTTTATGACAACCATGGCTAGAATGACTAGTTTCATGCAGTTATAACCTGTGACAATGTTGCTTCAGCTGATCTCCTTCCTTCTGCTCTGAGGCTTTCACACCTTGGCATGGAAATATCTTTGGGGAAACCCCTGCTGCAAAACCCAGAAGTTTTTAAGAGTTAAGAGACTTAACACGCCATGGGGTAACTCTTGATCAATGAGACATGGGAGTCAGTGAATAAATGGTGTTCTCTTCTGTCACTCAGGCAAAACTTCTGAGATGCCATTTCCATGGCCCCTCAGAAGATCGCAGTGAGATTAGCACCAGCTGCCTTTGATAGTGACTCAAGGACACACCCTTACATTGACTTTCCGCCTATGCTTCTTCCACTTAACTCTCAACTCTTCTTCCCTAAAATCACTTTCTTCATTCAGGCTCTTATCTCAGGTATTTCTTTCTGGGGAGAATCCACACTAAGCCATGAGTTTTCTCAAAGGAATACAGATAACTTGTTAGACAAAAAATAACATATCTATCTTAGATACCATAAGCCAATGATCTCAGGCACTTCATCAGTGGCTTGCGAATAACTTGAACTTGTCATTTCAGAAGATGTAAAATTTGAGTTTAGCCTCACAATAATTTATTTTCATATGGACTGATTCTCCCAATAAATCCTGGTTAAATAGAAGGCCAACTATTAGGACGAGGACAAATTGGACAAACATATATGAAAATCACTTCTGTATATACTGTAAAGCAACAGAAATGACTTGTAGTGTGATGGGAGCTCTCCAGCTATTGGGCAATTGATGTGAGATAGTCTTACGAAAGGAGCATGTTAAAGTGATAGTAAATGTGGTTGTTAATTTATACAACCTAATTAAAGCCTGAACCAATGTTTTAAACAAGGTTTTGGGTTACTATATTCAACGTTAAAGAATACAGCTAGGCATGGTGGCTCATCCCTGCAATCCCAGAACTTTGAGAAGCCTGAGCCCAGTAGTAAGGGACCAGACTGAGCAACATAATGAGATCTAGTCTCTACAAAAAATAAAAGTTAGCCAGGCATTGTGGTGCATGCCTGCAGTCCCAGCTACTCGGGAAGCTGAGTTGGGAGGATTGCTTGAGCCTGGGAGGTCAGGGCTGCAGTGAGCCGTGATCACACCATTGTCTGGGTAACAGAGCTAGACCTTGTCTCTCTCTCTCTCTCTCACACACACACACACACACACACACACACACAAAGTAAAAAAGATAAAATATTTTGTGTTCTGAGGAATGTTTCTAAACTTGGCCCATTTAAACTATCATTTCTTTAAGAGGAATGGTTTAATTTCTTTATTGTTGTGCTACTTCAAAATGCTTTTCAAATGACTTATTTTATTGATTAAACAAATTAAATTTTGGTTGTTATTCATAAAACACATATTGAAGCTATACATTGATCAAAAAATTTATTCTTTAAACTTTACCAAAGATGGTAGGGTAAATATGGCAATGTATATATTTAAAAAGGTATGTGATGATTATTTTAAACATCTATGCAAAACCATCTATATTCCCCATACTTTGTATTATAACTTTTCATATTTATATATTGTATTTCCCCATTAAATTGCAATGACCTTGAAGACAGACAGAGACTCTGAAACTTCTCTGCACCTTCGTTGGTTCCTAACAATGAGCATTAAATGCAGAAGGTGAGAAACAAATGTTTCATTCACTGATTTCAATAATATAATAACTATTTTTATTAAAGAATTAAATTACCCTTATTATAAACAATACAAATAAGGAGAGAAGAAGTAAATAAAAAATTATTCACAATCCCACTATCTCTGCTGAGGGGTGAGCAGTAACCAATATTTGGTGTGTGTTCTTCTTGTTTTTCTTTCCTATTTTAAACACATACACAGATATGCACTAATTTAAATGACACCTATATATGTACATATATGAGGTCCTACTAAACATACTACTTTACTATCCTGATTTTATCGCAGTCATTTTTTCATTACTTTATTAGATTTTATATTTAAAATTAAAAAATTAAACCTCCCTGTAATTAAATCAATTAGTATAGGAACATATAATGAAAAAGTATTGCCCCACCTTCCCCTAACCCACATCTCTGAAGTAAGCATTATTAACAGTTTGGTGTCTAGCCTTCTATGTCTTTTGCTCTGTGTTTCTACAAATATAAATAAACAGAAACATATAAACATGTATAAGGTTTTAATTTATAAACTGCATTTTCACACACCTTTTGGGAGCACAGTCAGAAAAAATGAATTAAGAAATGTCAGCATATTAGTCGTTTGGCTGTTAGGACTCGTGCATTAAAATAGAATTAAAGTTGATAAATACAATTTGATTTCTATTAGACTTCTTATTAAACTCCTTTTTATTAGTACTTAGTTCTGAATCAACATGGTCAGTCTGTTGTCCATCTTGGGAAACATCTCTGGTAAACATGGTTCCTATGGAGACAAAGGATAAGCAAATGACTCCCTTTGCAATTTTCATTGGGGTCTCTACAGATGAATATCTATTAAATTCAATAATCACTCAACATTGACTAAAATTATCTCCTTTCAAGAGCCAAAGAAATATTTGTTGTTATCTTATTTAGTGTATAGAAAATTGGACTCACATTCTTTCCAACCTTCTCTTAAAAGGGCCCGTAGGAAAATAACTTGAAGATTAACTCAATAGCCATTGAGTTTATAGAATGAGACACCTATGAAATTATTAAAAACACTTAAATTCACAGAGTTGCTTTTCAAACTTACTTAAGTCTAATTAAATGGTTGTTTTCATCACTTCTTATAATTTATTTTACTCTAGATAAGAGGAAAATATATCAGTCTCCAAATAGTATTAAATATTTCCCTCATAATGTATGGTCAACAAAGTCCTGCTGAATTAATGAATTGTGTGGATGTTAGAAAGTAGAATTGTACTTGTCTAATTGTGGCATCAGTTGTCATGGAGACTATCAGCCAATCAGTGAATAAATGCCCTTATTTGGCAGTGTTTGGGTGAAGAAAGCTTTGTGCAGTTGTCAGCCTGAGATTTATGATGGTAAAACTATATTTGGCAGGCAAATCAATGTGTTGACCACTGTTTGTGTTTCTGCCCTCATTTTATGTCACCCCCTTGTGATTCAACTAGAATATTAAGAGACCCTGGGTCTTTGGAGCAGTTTTGTTATTAATCGATCACTTTTATAAACTGTGTATGGGATGACTAGCTATTTGTGTACATACCCAACGAAGCCAACCCCTGGTATGTCTTTGTCTTTGCAATTGCAAATGTCAGATCTTGAAAGCAAGTGGGTATTAGAGGATATCTTTTTATGTCTACTATTAAAACATGTTGAGTGATCTATAAATTACCCCACATAGATAAACAGTGGATTAAAATTAGGCACTTTCATTCTGTCATCACTATAATATTAATCATTGGAGTTTGGGTCTTTAATGTTAATATATACCTTTTAGCAGTATATGTCACTACATATTAAATTACATGATAGCTGACAGACTTTTAAATCAAAACATTTTTTTCTCTTAATGTCATAACATGATAAGAATTAGAGTAATTTTGGCTTACATAGAATATTGTTTAATCTTTTGCACATGCTGTTTTCTTTTGTTTATATTTGCAATAAACTAAGATATTTTTATGAGTACCTATTCTTATTCACATACACACCAAAATAGGTGATCAACGTTTCACTTAATATACAAAGAGCTATGCAGAGTAATGCCCATAGCGCCAATGCTATTTTACCAATTTTTAGTAAAACAAAATTGTGGTAAAATATGAGATCTTCTAAGTTATGTGTTTTCTTTTACCAGAATAAATTGTTATCTGAAAACACATTATTAGGATTATGATAAAATAGGTGACTTTTATGTCCTAATCAATCCAGAACAGAAAGGCTTACTATATATCCTCTGGTAAAGAGTGATTTAATTTCTTATACTCATTACAAATTCTGAATATTTAGAGAGTATGAATAAATTGCATATAGTTAGTTGACATAAAATATATCCATTGAAGAATGGGCAGGTAGTGTTGCTTATATGATAGTTAGTGCTGAAAACAAAATTCCTTCTACAAGTCCCCTATCCTAATTTTCCCATCTGCTACTGCACAAATCCATTGCAGAAGCTGAATCTTGCATAGAGTAAGCACATAGTAAGATAATACTTTGCAAGCAAATGCACCAAACTTTCTTTACCTACTGCCCATTAGACTAAATAAAAAGTCGATCCTTCCCCCATTGGACTGGGTTTCTATTGTAATTTTGTTGTGGTTATTATGCTTATATGTGTGTGTCCTCTGACTATAAGATCCACAAGGGTGGGAATCATATTCATCACTGTGTCTTTGGCACTTTGAACAAGGCTTGGCACACAATCAGTTCTCAAAAGTGTTTGAGTGAATAGAGGTTAAACTGCTCTCTTAGATTTATTGCTTTCTTATCACGTGAGGCTGCAGCAAGAAGATGCCATCTATGAACCAGAACACAAGCCTTCACGAGACACTGAATCTGTTGGCGCTTTGATTGTGGACTTTCCAGCCCCAAGAACTGTAAAAAAAATAAACTTTGTTGTTTATTTTAGAAACAGAATTTATTAGTAAAAATTTTAAATGTATGACTTATTGGGTTTTTTTCTCGGTTAAATTTTCTTTAATTCCAACATATTTAAGGATTCAAATAAAAATTATCCTATCTCTATTTCATAAGTGTAAAAAATAAATTCATGAAAATGAGAAAAAATGTCAAGAGGTAGCCGGAAAGATAGTTTTAAAATAATGTCATACATCACTGATGATGAACTTTTTAATACCATTATAAATAGTATTTTAAAAATAATACCTGAATGGCAAGAGAGGCTTCGCAGAGTATAGAAACAATAACTTTTATTTTTATATTAATTTACAGTTCCTAAGTCATTTTTTACATATAATTCCTCAATTCCTTACTCCAATTTTATAGATAAGGAACCTAAAGGACAGAAATTTTGAAGAACTTGTCCAAAAATAGAAGAAAGTTATTCTGATGCCAAATCTAATCATCTTTCTACTATCAAAAATATATGTTTTAAAAATTCCATATCTTACATATCTCTATTTATTACAAATAACAAGTCTGGATTAAAAGAAAATAGGTCTGGCAGGTTTAGTAGCATGCTAGTGTTTTACATTTTAAGGAATTTTAAAATATCCCAAGTCTAAAGCTCTTTTTTTGTAGCAGATTAATAATAACCAACACAGTGGTCCATCTTGGAAAAAATTAATGCCACAGGCTATGATAGACTTTCAAAGTAACATTTAGGGTGTGATATCACCAAAAACATGTACCTGGCAAAAATATCTCCACTGAAGCATAAAATCTTTGGCCTGGAGCCACTTTGAGTTAATCAGTGCCATGGGGCATATTTACTGCTGTCTACCCACATCTCCACAATGAATGAACAGCTTTCAAATACATATTCATCTAACTGATGACCTAGGAGAAAAACAAGGCAGAAAGTATCAGTGAGACACTCCAATCCACCATAGTTATTGCTTGCATTTGTTTATTTCTCTTGATATCACACATTATTTTCCTTAGTTTCTGTCCATTTAAAATGTGCAGTTTACTTTCTGTTTTATTCATTCTCTTCCATTGTCAAACTTGATATGCAATCTGGGAAGCAGATTATTAGCTCCTTTAAAAGCGAATACTTGAACATTTGACATGGTTTACACTCACATTACTCTCTGGTATTTTTAATATCCAAAACGTTTTATCAAAGAAAAAATGATTGTTGGTGCAATAATTTAATTCCATCTCCATACTATATTCCCACATGTAGGTGTTTTTTAGATAGAATGAATGTATGTGGTAGTGAAGGACAGTTGTTACATTAGCTGTTATGATTCAAGGATTCTCTTCATTATGCAGGACATTGAGAAATAAATTTCAGTATGTAGAGTATAAACTTATATGCCATTAATATTTACATGAATGAAAAAAATTAAAGTTTTTACTTAGATCTATTTTGAGCATACTCAATAACATTTGTGTTAAACTAAAATAAGGCTAAAGACATATTACAAATCTGCAAATAGTTCCTAGTTTGACTAGAGTTGTTGGAATTTGTCAATCAGTTCAGAAACAGATCTTTTTGTCTCTTTTTTAAATCAAATCACTGAAGATTGAGTCATAGCTCCCTTTTTTATTTCTTTATTTATTTTATTTGTTGTGCATGCACAAATGAACAAAGACATTTCAGAAATTCTTTTTTATTTTAAAATATGCTCTGGCCACAAAACAACATTTAAAAACCAGTAAAATTTATAAAATATTTATATTTTGCTCTACAAGTAATTGAAATAAACATCCCTGGAATCTCTAGTAAAAAAAATTGTCATTGTCCTACACAGCCACATACAAAGTCAAATATTAGTATGTGGGAATTATATTGGTTTACCTATATTATGTAAATTCTACACATAGGATTGTAATTTTATTAATCTCTTTAGTTATCACTGACATATGATATTTATGGAGTTTAAACTTTTCTGCATGAATTCAAAACTTGTTACCATTTTCTTGTTAGCATGTCCTGATAATTTTGCTTTTTGCTATTCTTTCATTATTTATTCCTCTAAATGTCTCAAAACTATTTTAAGGGAAGCTTTTAAAAAGGGAGAAATAAAAAAGGGAAATATGACTCAATCTTCAGTGATTTTATTTTAAAAAGAGACAGATCTATTTCTGAACTGATTGACAAATTCCAACAACTGTAGTCAAACTAGGAACAATTTGCAGATTTGTAATACGTCTTTAGCCTTACTTTAGTTTAAAAAGGTTAAATAGTATTTGTTATATTTAAAGTTTTGATCAGTTTCTCTTTTTTGTTTGTTTTTTCATATGAAAGTATAAGCTCACTTGGCTTCCTGGTGAAAAGTTCAAAAAAATCAAGCTGTGAATTTAGACACATTGATAAAGTAGTTTTGGTAGAATTACTGATAAGCAACATAAAACTTGATTTTTTAAAAAAAGTAGTTTTTTCTTGAATTACACAGTCACAAGTATTTTGTGAGTTTTTTGGTCTGAATTTTAATTGGACATTGGAATTTTATCTATAATTTTATCTCACTGATGCCCTCTTTTCTCAAATTTAAATGGCAACATTTTTTGCCTGTATCTCCTGGTATTGCACAAAAATTAAAAATTAGATCTACAATTATATATAACATACTGTTGATTGTGGGCATTTTGAAAATACAGCAATATCCATACCAACTATAAGTGAAGTCTGATACTATATCTGATTTGTCTGTTTCCTTTTTTAAAAAAATCATTTATGGACTAATATGTTATTTCAGGAGCTACTGAACCATGCAGGGACTAGCATTCCAAGTATTTGAAACCATCTGTTTGAGATGATGTTACTGGAATATTTTTTTCTTTTGTTAATGTTTACTCAAAATTGTTTCTTTAATAATTTTATAAAATGGCTAAAATATCTTGTTTCCTTGAGAATTACCCTTAAGAAACTTAGTTCCTGACTATTAGAAAGAAAATTCTTTCGGTATCCCTTGAAATACACAACAGTGGCTAAGAAAACATCTTTTCCGTTGTCTAAGAAGATCATTTGATATAAGAAAACTAGTAGATTAAAATTCTAGAAAACCTTATGATTGAATTATGAATCTTTGTTTTTAATAATACAGTGATCAGTCTTTCTACTTCAGTAAGAATTTTGTGTTGTATGTGATTTTGCTTTATTTTTGGTATTGATGTTGCCAGAATATTCTTAATCAAATGTAGTTTAGAATATATTCAGGGACAATATTTGTCTCTTACAGAAAATGAATAATTTCACCTGCATATATGGCTTTTAGCCTAGTTTTAACCTACTTTTTAATCTCATTAACTGTTATGAACAATTTTTGGTTATTAATTCTGAGAGAACACAAATTGCTGGACGACTCCTCAGAATTTTGGTTTTAATAAATTTGAGTGAGCTCCAGAAACTGCGAACTCCTGAGTGATGCCAATGTTGCTGGTCTGGGGGTCAACTTTGAGAACTACTGAATTTAAAAATAGATTTTAGAAAAACGGAAAGATGGCAGTGGCTCATGCCTGTAATCCCTGCACTTTGGGAGGCTGAGGCAGGCAGATCACCTGAGGTCAGGAGTTCGAGACCAGCCTGGCCAACATGGGGAAACCCCGTCTCTATTAAAAATACAAAAATTAGCCAGGTGTGGTGGCAGGCGCCTGTAATCCCAGCTACTCAGGAGGCTGAGGCAGGAGAATTGCTTGAACCCGGGAGGCAGAGATTGCAACAAGGGGAAATCGTGCCACTGCACTCAAGCCTGGGTGATGGAGCAAGACTCAGTCTCAAAAAGAAAAAGACAAGCAGAAAGGTGGAGAAGCCACCCTGAGCTCTCATGCCAAGAATTTTAGGAAAATAATGAGAGGTGACAGCATGCTGGCAGCCCTCGCAGGCTCTTGGCACCTCCTCGGCCTTGGCACCCACTCTGGCCACGCTTGAGGAGCCCTTCAGCCTGCCGCTGCACTGTGGGAGCCCCTTTCTGGGCTGGCCAAGGCCGGAGCCAGCTCCCTCAGCTTGCAGGGAGGTGTGGAGTGAGAGGCTCAGGCGGGAACCGGGGCCGCGCAGGGCACTTGTGGGCCAGCGCGAGTTCCGGGTGGGCGTGGGCTTGGTGGGCCCTGCACTCGGAGTGGCTGGCTGGCCTGCCGGCCCCGGGCAGTGAGGGGCTTAGCACCTGGGCCAGCAGCTGCTGTGCTCAATTTCTCACCGGGCCTTAGCTGCCTCCCCATGGGGCAGGGCTCGGGACCTGCAGCCCACCATGCCTGAGCCTCCTCCCGCCTGCCCTGGGCTCCTGCGCGGCCCAAGCATCCCAGACGAGGGCAGCCCCCTGCTCCACAGCACCGGGTCCCATCGACCACCCAAGGGCTGAGGAGTGCAGGCACATGGCACGGGACTGGTGGGCAGCTCCACCTGCAGCCCTGGTGCAAGATCCACTGGGTGAAGCCAGCTGGGCTCCTGGGTCTGGTGGGGACCTGGGGAATCT
The DNA here is from genome assembly GCF_000001405.40 of Homo sapiens. Taxonomy (NCBI): domain Eukaryota; kingdom Metazoa; phylum Chordata; class Mammalia; order Primates; family Hominidae; genus Homo; species Homo sapiens. The sequence continues at coordinate 70,612,304 of NC_000003.12, forward strand.
TTATGTCTAGCTAAGGGATTGTGAATGCACCAATCGGCACTCTGTATCTAGCTCAAGGTTTGTAAATGCACCAATCAGCACTCTGTGTCTAGCTCAAGGTTTGCAAATGCACCAATCAGCGTTCTGTGTCTAGCTAATCTGGTGGGGACTTGGAGAATCTTTATGTCTAGCTAAGGGATTGTGAATGCACCAATCGGCACTCTGTATCTAGCTCAAGGTTTGTAAATGCACCAATCATCACTCTGTGTCTAGCTCAGGGTTTGTAAATACACCAATCAACACTCTGTATCTAGCTAATCTAGTGGGGACATGGAGAACTTTTCTGTCTAGCTCAGGGATTGTAAACGCACCAATCAGCACCCTGTCAAAACAGACCAATCAGCTCTCTGTAAAACAGACCAATCGGCTCTCTGTAAAATGGACCAATCAGCGGGATGTGGGTGGGGCCAGATAAGAGAATAAAAGCAGGCTGCCTCAACCAGCGGTGACAATCTGCTGGGGTCCTCTTCCATGTGATGGAAGCTTTGTACTTTTGCTCTTTGCAATAATAAATCTTATTGCTGCTCAGTCTTTGGGTCTACACTGCTTTTATGAGCTGTAACACTGGCGGTGAACGTCTGCAGCTTCACTCCTGAAGCCAGCGAGACCACAAACCTATGGGGAGGAACGAACAACTCCAGACGCACGGCCTTAAGAGCTGTAAGACTCATCAGGAAAGTCTGTAGCTTCATTTCTGAGCCAGCGAGACCATGAACCCACCAGAAGGAAAAAACTCCGAACACATCCGAACACCAGAAGGAGCAAACTCCAGACACACTGCCTTTAAGAACTGTAACACTCACCGCCAGGCTCCGTGGCTTCATTGTTGAAGTCAGTGAGATCAAGAACCCACCAATTCCGAACACAATAACAGCACGTTAAAACAAAAGAAAGTTGTGAAAGAACAGAAATTAATAACATAGAAAAGACATATAAAATAGTAGCAATGAGGCCCAAGGATGAAATTATTTTTAAAAGCTGATAAAATCTTGATGAGTATATAAGCAAGGAAGAGAGAAAAGACACAAATAATATCAGAACTGAAAAAGTGCTTTCACAATGTATCCCAAAGGATAATAACTAAACATTTTGAATGACTGTATGCTAATAAATTTGAAACTTTAGATTAAATTTTAAATTTTTCTGGAAAATACAGCTACTTTGTTGTTGCACAGAAAGAAAATCCTATATCTGTTTTAAAGATTAAGTATGTAAATAAAAATTTCCAGCAAAGAAAACCCCATGCCAAAATTTTATTTAAAGCCACTAATTTTATTTAAAGAAGAAATACAATTTTAAACAAAATCCCCCAGTGAATAACCTTTCTCCTATTTTACCCTTTTTCTTAAAAGATAGTTTTTCTTTGTTCACAACTTCAGTTTAACAGTCATTTTCTCTGAGAACCAGATGTTAGTTACCTTCTTGCTTCCATTGTTGCTGCTGAACGTCTGCTTTCCATTCAATTTGAGATTAATCTGGCTTTTCTCTTCAAGTCCTTTTAAGACTTTTCTTTTGACTTTGGTATTCTGCGGGTTCACTAGAGTTGTCTAAATTTTTTAACCTCTGAATTTTATATACTTTGCTTTTCATATTTGTGAACTCGTGTTTTTCATAAGTTGTAGAAAAGTCTAAGACATTTTCTTGTCTACACCATTATTTCTAGTGTGTTTTCCTGCGACTTCGACTGGGAGTATACCAGCCTTTCTTATTCTATTCTGCATACGTATTAACTTCTCACATGCATCCTTGTCTCCCTATACCATATGTGGGTACTATGTTAGTCCATTTTGCGTTGCTATAAAATAATACCTGCAGCTGGGTAATTCATAAAGAAAAGAGGTTTAATTGACTCACAGTTCTGTAGACTATACAGGAAGCATGGCACCAGCATCTGTTTCTGGTAAGGGCTCATGAAGCTCACAATCATGACCGAAGGTGAAGTGGGAGCAGACCTCTCACATGACGAGAGAGGGAGCCAGAGAGAGGAAGGAGGTGCTAGGCTCTTTTAAACAACCAGATCTCACGTGAACTCAGGGTGAAAACTCATTCATTATTGGGAAGATGGTACTAAGCCACTGATGAGGGATCTACCCCCATGACGCCAACACCTTCCACTAGCCACAATTCCAACATTGGGAAACACATTTCAACGTGAGATTTTCAGGGGACTAACATCCAAGCCATTATTCCCTCCCTGGCCCCTCAGATCTCACATCCTTCTCACATTACAAAATACAATCATTCCTTCCCAATGGTCCCCAAAAGTCTCAACTCATTTCAGCATCAACTCAAAAAGTCCAAAGTCTCATCTCAGACTCAAGGAATGTTCCTGCCAACTGTGAGCCTGTAAAATTAAAATCAAGTTACTTACTTCCAAAATACAATGATGGTATAGACATTGGGTAAATATTCCTACTCCAAAAGAGAGAAATTGATCAAAAGAAAGGAGAAACAAGCCCCACACAAGTCTGAAACCCAGTGAGGCATTAATCAAATCTTAACACTCTAAAATGGTCTCCTTTGAATACATTTCCCACATCCAGGACACACTGGTACAAGAGGTGAACTCCCAAGGCCTTGGGCTGCTCCAATCCTATGGCTTTGCAGGATACAGCCCCGCAGCTGCTCTCACATGTTGGAATTGAGTGCCTGTGGCTTTTCCAGGCTCAGAGTGCATGCTGTCAACGAGTCTACCATTGGGGGCTGGAGTGGCCCCATTCCCATAGCTCCAATAATCAGTGCCCCAATGGGAACTCTGTGTGGAGGCTCCAACCCCACATTTCCCCTTGGCACTGCCCTAACAAGGGCTCTCTACAGGGGCACCACCCCTGCAGCGGGCTTCTGCCTAAGCAAGCAAGTTTTCCGATACAGCCTCTGAAATCTAGGGGGAAGCTGCCAAGCCTCCTTCATGCTTTCATTCTGTGCACCTTTAGGCTTAACACCACATGGAAACCACCAAGGCTTACAGCTTGCACCTTTTGAAGCAGTGGCCCAAGCTGTATCTGAGGCCCTTTGAGCCAAGGCTGGAGCTGTAGCAGTTTGGATGCAGGGAGCAGCATCCCAAGGCTGCACAGGACAGTGGTGTTCCAGGCCTGGCCCCTGAAACCATTCTTTGCTTTTAGGCCTCTGGGCCTGTGATGGGAAGGGCTGTCCCAAAGACTTCTGAAATATCTTGGAGGCTTTTTTCCCATTGTCTTGGATATTACCACCTGGCTCCCTTTTTGTTAGGCAAATCTCTCTAGCATTCCTTGCTCCAAAGGGTGCTTGCATTTCTCTCCTGAAAAAGTGTTTCCTTTCTCTGCCACACGACTAGTCTGCAATTTTTCCAAATTTTTATGCCCTGCTTTTCTTTTAAATGTAAGTTCCAACTTTAAGTCATTCCTTTGCTCCTATTTGATCCTAAGTTGTGAGGAGCAGCCAGCTTTGCTGCTTAGAAATTTCTTCCACCAGATACCATAAGTCATCACAGATAAGTTCAACCTTCTACAGATCCCTACGATGCAGACATAACGTAGCCAAGCCCTTTGCTAGGGTGTAACACAAGTGACTTTTACTCCAGTTCCCAATAAAGTCCTCATTTCCATCTGAGACCTTGTCAGCCTGGCCATCACTGCCCATACATGTAATAACATTTTGGTCACAATTATTTAACTAGTCACTAAGAAGTTCCAAACATTCCCTTATCTTCTTGTCTTCTTCTGATCCTCCAAAATCTTCAATCTCTTCCCATTGCTTCTGCATTTTCAAGTATCTATATAGCAATGCTACACTCCTCAGCACCAATTTTGTGTTTTAGTTCATTTTCCATTACTAGAAAAGAATATCTGAGATGGGATAATTTATAAAGAAAAAAGATTTAATTGGCTCACAGTTCTTCAGGCTGTACAGGAAGCATGGTGCCAGCATCTGCTTCTGGTGAGTGCCTCAGTAAGCTTACAGTGATGGCAGAAGATGAAAAGGGATCAGGCATATAACATGGCAAGAGAGGAAGCAAGAGAGGGAGGAGGTGCCAGTCTCTTTTAAACAACTTGATCTCACATAAACTCACAAAGTGAGAACTCATTCATTACTGTGAAGATGGCACTAAGCCATTCATGAGGCCCCATGACCCAAACACCTCCCACTAGGTACCATCTCCAGCACTGAGGATCACATTTCAACATGAGATTTGGAGGAAACAAATATCCAAACCATATCAAGTAGTTTATTTGAATCTATCTTTTAGTTCCCTCATGCTCCCTTCAACAGTGTGTAATGCCTTGTATAACCCATCTAGAGTCTAATTTTCAGCAGTTACATTTCATATTTCTAAAAAGTCAATTTGATTGGTCATTCTTGATAGCCTTTTGTTCTTTGCTCAATTTTTATTCAACTTCCTACTTATTTAAATGTATACTATACTATGCTTATATTTGTGTTCTATGTCTGATCATTCTAGTAACTAACCTCTTCAGTTGGGATCTTAAACCATCATTGATTTTGCTGATTCTCACTCATGGTTCCTTATTTCATTTTGTGTTTGATGATTTCCTTTTTTATTGTGAGCTCAAATTTTGTTGAACTGGACCTGTAGGACTATCACTGTTACACATTTGGAATTTTTTATTCTGGAGGAGAGTTGTAGGATTATCGTAGGACCACTTTAGCACTTTTAAGTTTCCAGCTTAATGAAGGAGTGAGAGATTCATCCCCTTCAATGTGTAGCAGCCACAGTTTAGCCTTTTGGTATCAGCACTGGCATTGACATTTACTTTTAGGACTTCACTGATCCTAGTGGTGAGAGACAGGACTAGCTGGATTTCCTAGGCCAACTAAAAATCCCTAAGCCTAGCTGGGAAGGTGACCGCGTCCATCTTTAAACACGGGGCTTGCAACTTAGCTCACACCTGACCAGTCAGAGAGCTCACTAAAATGCTAATTAGGCAAAAACAGGGGGTAAAGAAATAGCCAATCATCTTTCGCCTGAGAGCACAGCAGACGGACAATGATCGGGATATAAACCCAGGGATTTGAGCCGGCAATAGCTACCTCTTTGGGTCCTCTCTTTTTGTATGGGAGCTCTGTCTTCACTCTATTAAATCTTGCAACTGCACTCTCTTTTGTTCCGTGTTCCTTACGGCTCGAGGTGAGCTTTCACTTGCTGTCCACCACTCCTGTTTGCGCTTTCGCAGACCCACCGCTGACTTCCATCCCTCCAGATCTGGCAGGGTGTCCGCTGTGCTCCTGATCCATCGAGGCGCCCATTGCCACTCCCGATCGGGCTAAAGGCTTGCCATTGTTCCTGCATGGCTAAGTGCCTGGGTTCGTCCTAATAGAGCTGAACACTAGTCACTGGGTTCCATGGTTCTCTTCTGTGACCCGCAGGTTCTAATAGAGCTATAACACTGACTGCATGGCCCAAGATTCTATTCCTTGGAATCTGTGAGGCCAAGAACCCCAGGTCAGAGAACACGAGGCTTGCCACCATCTTGGAAGTGGCCTGCCACCATCTTGGGAGCTCGGGAGCAAGGACCCCCTCGTAACAGTGGTATCAAATGGTTTATTAATTATTTTCCTAACTCTACTGAAAGTACAGAAATGCATAAAAAATATACTTCATGCACATTATCTGGCAGCTAGGTTGTCTTGCAGCAGAACGATTTTTTAGGGTATCTAGTCCTTTCATACTACCAGAAGCAAAAATCCCAAAAGTAACATTTTTCACTGTAAAAAATTTCGAAATTCCACATAATCCCAAATCAAAAAGAAAAATAAATTCTCCCATCACTGAGCTATCCAGAAAATCCAAGTAAATAATTTGGTGAGTATCTTTCAAACATAAACACACACTCACAGAATACATACACACATACACACACACATATGTATATAGAATTTTTTGTACTATTTGCCAGATACATGATCTGAATGTCAAGACTACTACCTTCTTCACCCTCACCCCATCCATGGCAAACAACATCAGTCAATTACTGCTTTCCGACTCTTGGGACTGGTAGCTTTATGTCATGTCATCAAATTTATATCATCAAAAAATTACAGAAAACAACTACCAATCAGTTGGAGTTAGTTGGTATGTAAGGTCTTTTCTTCCTTTTTTTAAACTTAATACATAATGCTCATTTATTTTTCAGAGTGTGTATAAATTAAATTTGGTAGAAGCAATTTATGAAACTCATATAGAAAGTATTACATTATTTTTAACTAATGAAACATTCATAAAATGTACTACAGAGAGCATATTTAGGAATTAAAACTGTTGCCTCCAAAAGAGTAAATGTCAATACAAATATGGCATAGGAGGAAAACATTCCAGGTATCAGAGTGGATTAATAGACATATATTATAAATGAGATGTGTTATGCTGCAAATAATCTTCATCCTTAATGAATCTTTAAAATCGAACTATATTGACAGTTAAAGATGTAAGAGGGAGACACAGCCCTTTTCTCAAAGGTCTATATTTTGTTTATAAAGATTCTAGTTCAACTAGTCAACAAGCAACAGCTCAAATCCAGTCTGCCTTCTAATACATAAATAAAGTTTTATTGGAACATAGCCATGCCTATTTGTTTCATATTGTCTATGGGTGCTTTTGTGCTAAAATGGCAGCATTGAATAGTTGAATTAATAACATAGAACATACAGCTTAAAATATTTACTTTCTGGGCCTTTACAAAAAATGTTTGCTGAGCCCTGTTTGTCATTCAGGGGTTGACTACACGATGAACTGAGATTAAAAGTCAGCACAATCCCAGGTGGCCTTGATTTCCTCCAGCTTCTCTGCTGAAAACTCATCTACTTTGCTGTTTCTTTCAACTTTCCCTGCGTCTAACTCCCCTTCTCTCTGTCACTCTCCCTGCCTTAAGGCTTGACTCCTACTGCTATATGATACCAAGAATTGCTTGAAGATACATAACTCCCAGGGATGTGCTAAACCATGGTTATTCTGACCCTGTATAATTCAAATGTATTTGTTTTCTTTTAACAAAATTGTAGGTCATCTATTTCTAGCCCCATAATCTCCTCCTCATTTGCTTCCATTAACAGAAATTCTGAAGATAAATGACATACAAGTGCCAAATTTACAGTTCCAAAATGAAGAGTTCTGCATTCAAAAAAAGGATGAGAAAGGATGTTATTTGAGCTAGACCTTCAAGCACAAGAGGAATTCCGATAAGTACGAGGCACTGGAAAATTATTATAGTCAAGGATAATGGCAAAAGCAGAGAATAAAGGCAGGAAGGGGCATGTAGTGATCAGAAGCCAAAACAAAAATCAGTGGGCAGATACATTCTTTAGAACAACTCATTATTATCGTCATTATATACACAAGAAAACAGAGTTCATCAGATAGGTTCAGCAGATTGTTCAAGGTCACATAGCAAAAGATGGAGACTCTTGGATTTTATCCCAGCCAGACCAACTCTAACCACCATCCTGTGCAGCCTGAGACCAATTGTTAAAGTTACATGTATTGGTATGACCATTTCCACCTGACAGCAAATGCAAGGGAACCATAAATACCACACAAAGAAGAAAAAAAAAATGAAGAGAGAATGAATGAAAGAAAAATGTTTGGCAATGGGAACCTACAATTATGACTCAAATGCCCCTAACTTCAATAAAAGGGAAATGAACTATGAAATTATTGAAGGAAGCAGTATATGAAAATGAAGGCATAGATACTCCATTCAAATCTCTTAATATATAAATTTAAATATTCACTCCATTTTAAGTGAATGATTCTGTCAAAAGAATTAATTTTCTGAGCAATGAGGATATTCATTTACCATGATTCCACCATCTGCAATTTATGAACCAAATTATACTCTTTCAGAAAAAAAGAAGTTCATACAATGCATTTAAACTACATCAAGACCAAATCAAAAATGTTTTCCTAAAATTGAAGAAATCACCAAGTAAAAGTTAATCACCTGCACCTTTAGTAGACAGTGACCATTACAGAATAATATATAACAAACGCTTTACCCAAGTGGTTTTTCAAACTTTAACAGTTTATTCATGATATGTGAAGTCAGAGTTCTAGTTTTAACTGGAAAGGGGAATTCTCACATCCACAGAGCAGTCAATAGTCTTGGTGTCCCAGAAAAGACCTTTTAAACAAGTTGTCATTTCCAAAAGGGTTTGCAGGGATCTTAGGAAAAAATGCCCATCAAAGCAGTCTGGCAGGTAACTTTAACGGGGGAAACAGGTTAGACAGACTCTATGCAAAGTGGAGGAACTTCCTCTGTATGTGAGAAGCAAAGCACCAGAGTGCCAGCTAAGTGTTGCCATAAGGGAATAGGGGCTTACTGTTATCAGCTATTCCAATTTTTCAAGAGAAACTGCAACTCCAAATATTTCGGTAAATTTTTAAATGGCCACTAAGTGAAAATGTTTAAGACACTGAGCAGACTAAAACCACTTAAACAAATTTGCAGGCTAGGTGACGAGCGGGCTGCAACTTACCCATTTTGCTCTGGAGCATCTGTCATTTACCAAAGAGTGAAACAAAGCATGAATATACACAAAAGGAAAAACTATTAAGAGAACACCATGGGTCTCTTTTATATATAACAGAGATGATCACCTAATTACCAGATTTGTCTTTCTTTCACTTTTTCCTTCTTTACTCATTTATTTGTTCTCTTATTTAACAAATATTTGCTCATTGTCTTTTTGGTATCAAGCTCAGCAGCTGGTGGAAGAAAAAGGAATGCAATCAAATAATTACAGCTATTTAACATGTGCTGGTAAAGATATATACCAAAGTACTGTGAAAGCAAGAATAGGAAGCGTTAACTCTCCCCAGGGAGGTCAGAGAGCCGCACTGGATTTAGTAGGTAGCTGTTAGTTTTGCTTGCTCAGCATCCATTTCCTTTTTTTTTTTTTTTTTTTTCTGGTGACATTGACTCAATTTTAATTTGAGAAATATTTTAGTCTCAATAGGTTAGTAAAAGCAAAGGCAACATTTTATCATTTTATTTCTTGCTCACACTACACAGTTTTATTCATGCTACATTTCCTATACAAGGTAGAGAGGAGTTCATTTGACCACAGGCACTCAGGGACCAAGACTGACAAATATTCTATCTCATTTAGCTACACCATGTAGAATACATGGCAGAAACAACTAGACCACCTTGCACTGGCTCCTCTTTGCTTTAGCTTAGACATATCATGTCCTCCTGTGGTTCAAATAGTCGTGTGGTCTCATTTCACTTCCTGGAGGCTTAGAAATGTAGGACAACCTATTATATGCAATCTTGGTGACATGTCCACCAAAATACCCAACCAGCCCATGGTTGAGACATGGACATGTTACCCAAGCAAAGGCAATGAGATAATTTCTTCCTTTGAGTCATGAACCTTGAACTGAATATCACAGAATGCAAAACCAGAACTGACCCATTCCAAGGACCTTTTCTATGAAAAGATGAGTCATTAGTTCCTACAGTCTAGATTCATAAAGGTTTTTTTCTGTGCCTTGAATGTTTAGTTGTTGGGTTGTTTTTGTTCTTTGAGCTACCTATACCTACCTGTATCCATCTTGTATCTTTTCAAAACACTCATTTTATTGTCCGAGTTAGTCAGAGTCATTTATGTGAGCCAACAATGATTACTGATAACCTGGAAAAAAACATGCAAAGTAAGTCTTAGAGAATGAGTAGCAGTTTGATATGATATGGGATAAGAGTTGGTGTGGTGGGATGAGGATGACATCGAGGGCAACAAATGATCAAAGTCAGAGAAGCACGTAGAGCCAGGTATAAGTAGTTCTGCATGGCTAGAAGAAAGAATGGGTGGATTAACGCATGTCAAGAAATGGGAAAGATACTAAAGGCTGAGAAATAGCAACAAAGATTTCTACATCATCCTAATGAAGTTTAGATTTGACCCTGAAGAGAATATACATGTCCCAGCCAGAGAAGTGTGCCTGCAGACTGCAGACAGTGAAGAGCCATAGAAGGCTTTTAAGTAACTGTGACTTCACCATGTTTTTTTCCTTTGGTCTTATCTAGATAAATTTCACATAATATAAAATTTACCAATTTAAAGTGCACAATTCAGTGGTTTTCGATATGTTCACCGAGTCATGAAATCATCACTACTATCTAATTTTAAAATATTGTTATCACTCCCAAAGAAAACTCATACCCATTAGTAGTCACTACCTATTTGCCTAGCCCCTAACAACCATTAATCTACTTTCTTTCTCTAGAGATTTGCCTATTCTGGACATTTCGCACAAATGGAATCGTACAGTATGTAGTCTTTTTTACTGGCTTCTTTCACTTAGCGTAACGTTTTGAAGATTCTTCCATGTTATAACATGTATCAGCATTTCATTCTTTTTTATGGCTGAATTATATTCACTTGCATGGATATACTACATTTTGTTAATGCATCCATTGATGGAAATTTAGGTTGTTTCCACATTTTACCTATTATAAATAATGGTACTATGAACATTCATGTACAAGTTTTTGCATGAACATATCTTCCATTTATCTCTTGTATATATACCTAGGAGTGGAATTTCTGGGTCATACGTATGCTTAATAAGTTTTTAAAGTGTCAAACTATTATTCAAAGTGGCTGTACTATTTTGTATCCCATCAGTAATGTATGAGAGTTCTAAATTCTCCGCATCCTTGCCAACATTATTAGCCATTAGGGAAATGCAGATAAAACCTCAATGAGACCCCTTTAAACCTCCTAGAATGAATAAAATAAAAAGATACATAGTAACAAGTGTTGGCAAGTATGTAGAGAATTTAGAGTTCTCATACATTACTGATGGGATACATTTATTGGTCATTTGCACATCTTCATAGGAGAAATGTCAATTCAGATCCTTTGCCAATTTTTAAATTGGGCTATTGTATTGCAAGAGTTCTTTATATATTCTGGATACAAGTTCCTTATTAAATATATGATTTGCTATTATCTTCTCTCATTCTATTGTCTTTCCATTTTATTGGTGGCATCCTTTGATGCATGAAAAATTGTAATTTTTATAATGTCCAATTTAGCTATATTTTATTTTTTCGCTTGTGCTTTTTGGTGCCACGTCCAAGAAAACATTGTATAGCCCAGGGCCCTGGAAAGTTACTCCTCTATTTTCTCCTAGGAGTTTTATAGTTTTTGCTCTTACATCTAGATCTGTGATCCATTTTGTGTTCATTTTTGTCTATGGTTTGAGGGAAAGGTCCAAATGTATTCTTTTGTATGTGAATGTCAAGTTATTCATGCCATTTTTGTTTTAAAAAGTTATATGTGGTAGCTAATAAATAAATATATAAATGTGGAAGCAAACACCAATTAGGAGGTTATTACAATAATCCTGAGAGCAGATGAAGCCTGAACTAATTTGTTGACATGAAGAATTATTCAGAAGATATTTAGAGGAAGAAGCCACATTTGGTGGACATTTGTAATTTGACAGCATTGTTCAGCATTCACTCCCCATTTCAAACAGCACCCAACTTCCTTTTGGGGAAATTATATTTTCTCTATTACATGCTGCCTCAGTGGATGATAAATTCAAATTACTTCTTTTTTTAATGGAAACCAAGTGAGCCTGCTACTTTCTCTAATTATCTGTCTACATAGAGAGGGAAGGCACAGAACTTACACTTACGCTATCAGAAGTTGTGTCCTAGCTTGGATTCTTGTATAAAAAAAAACATGAACGTGGAATAAAATGTTAAAGTTGCTTCATTTAGACACATGGCCCTCACCAGACTATTCCTTTGGTTCTGGTCATCAAACCACTCTAAAATGTAGGGGGTGGAAATAACCATTTAATTATATCTCATAATTTAGTGGTTTAGGCTTGGCCAGGGCTAAATATTTCTGCCCTAGGAACCATCGGCTGAAAATCAATTCCCTCACATGCCTGTTGTCTGGGTGAGGATGACTAGGAAGCTGAGCTTAACTGGGTTTCTCTACCCTTCTGTATTCTCAGGTTCTCCCCATGACACCACTGCTGTAGAGTAGTTAGACTTCCTACATGGAAGTTCCAGGAACCCAAGTTAGTCCTTTTGAAGGTGACGTCTGCAACTGTCATGGCATTTTTCTTCTGTACTCTATCAGTCATAACAGTCACAGGATAATCCAGATACAAGGGGAGGGGAAGTGGTCTCAATCTCTGAATTGAAGGAATGTCATGGAATTTGCAGCCCTCTTTGACGTGCCTTATATACACTGAGAAAACCAATATTGCTTCAATTCCTCCTCCCTAGCTTTCCAGAACTGCCAGATTTAAGACTAATTTTTCAGCCTTCCAAACCCTGGTGTAGTCCTCATGGGCTGCCAGTAAGTTCTTGTCTCTGTATGTTGTTTTCATCCAAAGAAGCCCAACTGATGCTGCCCAAGAGTTAGAAACTGGTTAGTGAAAAATCATGAGGGAAACAGGCATCTAGGATTCCTCACAGGCTTATAGTTTGGTAGATTAAAATGACTGTGCTGCCACTCTAAGATATATAAAGTACAGAAGCAAGAGGGTTGAGAATCAGATCATGAGTTCCACTTTTGATAAAACAGTCATTTCAACAACCTGTTGGCTATATGGGTGGTAATTGTGACAGAGATTTAAAAATCATAAACACATTGGTGATAACTGAAGCCAATGGCATAGGTGAGGTGTGTAGAATGAAAAGAGAATTAAGCCAAAGAATGAACTGTTGGTAAAGCAGAAATGAAAGAGGAAATAAATGGGCCAGAGGTAGAAATTATGAATGGTTTAAATCTGGGGGAAAGAATCAGGAGAGGGGGAGAGTCGAAGATACAATAGAAGGCAATGGATTCACGGGTTTTCTGTGGGGATAGAAGCAGATGGGTTCCAGACTAGAATGGAAACATTTTCACAGAAGGATACTTTCATGATTCCAAGATGGAGAAATGAGGTCATCTGGAGAGTCATTCTCCTTCTTCTGGGGCAGGAAGAGATTGGGGAAAGATAGTTGTGGGGAAAGATGAATCTGTAAATTAGGAAGGACACAATTTGCTGAAGGAGCTCGGTTGTTTTGTTGTTTTGTTTTGTTTTTCAATCTAATGGCTGCTATTTATAATACCAGTATAAAGGGGATACGCAAGGCTATCTGTTGAAATCAATGTGAGGCAGGAACTGATATTGTACATCTCTATCCCCAGCATCATCTTTTCTGTCTTCCTCCATTTTCCTTCCCAATGTCATGTTGATGCCCTCATTCTAATGCTCTCCCTGAGGATCTCTCTGACACCTGCCTCTATCAGATCTACACTCATACTTTTGTCAAGTGATCCCTTTAAGATACAATTCCAATTATATGACCACTATACACATATACATGTACACACGTATACATGTACACACATATAGAGACTCAAGGAACTGATCTCTTATTCCCTACTGAATTCAGTGTTTTAGAATGTACCATCATGTGCCTCCAAGTATCTGTATTTTCTTCTTAAAGATTTCCTATGCCCCTACTGCTATGGTGTGAACGTTTGTGCCCCTCCAAAATTCATGTTGAAACTTAATTCCTAATGCAATAGTATTGAGAGGCGAGGCTTTTAGGAGCTGATAGGCCATTAAAGGCTCTACCCTCATAAATTGATTAGTGCCTTATGAAAAGACTTGAGGGACAAGGTCACCCCTTTCTTCCCTTCTACCATGTGAGGACACAGCATTCCCCCACTCTGGAGGATGCAGCAACAATGTGTCGTCTTGGATACAGAGAGCCCTCACCAGACATGGAACCTGCCAGCACCTTGATCTTGGTCTTCCTCACCTCCAGAACTGTGAGAAATAAATCTCTACTGTTTATAAATTATACAGTCTGTGATATTTTGTTACAGCAGCATAAACAAAGACACCAACTAAAATCAACAATTCATTATTCCCCAAGCTCCCCCTGTATCTTCTTTCCTCGATAGTTCTGGCACTTTTGTTTCTTCCACACGAAATGCCTCCCTTCCAACTCTACCTTCTTACATGGGTCCATTTCTTAATCTCAGGGCCTATTATGGGATGGGGAGGGCCATTTGCTTTAAATGTTATATATACAAAAGACCTCACATTTACTTCAAAAGTGGTTACATTGATTGACAGATATTATAATTCTTGGTGTTAAAAGTATTAATTTCTTATATGTTATTAATTTCTTAATTATAATTTCTTATAATTTCCTACTTGTCATTTATTTATTAATATGCTAGGTGCCTCAAAAAAATGAAAAAAAGACTTAGGTCTTTCTGGAATTTTAAGAATACATGTTTAAGTTTAACAATAATTATTATTACAAATTTTTAATAACTAACACTTCTTAAACAGTGCCTATGACATGCAGGCACTGTTCTGAGTACTTAATATTTTATTTAATCCTTCAACAACAGTCCCATGGAGTAGATGCTATTATTTCACTATTATAAAGAAAGAAACTGAGGTTTACTGAGTGATATAGTGTAGATATTTGTCCCTGCCCAAATCTCATGGTGAAATCTAATCCCCAATGTTGGAGGTGGGGCCTTGGGGGAGGTGTTTGGATTATGAGGGCAGATCCCTCACAGCTTGATGCTGACTTCATGATAGTGAGTTCTCACGAGATCTGGTCATTTAAAAGTGTGCAACACCTCCCCATCCCTTCCTCAACCCTGCACCCTCTCTCTTTCTTGCTCCTGCTTTCACCATGTGAGACACCTGCTCCCCCTTCACATTCTGCCATGAGTAAAAGCTTCCTGAGGCCTCCCCAGAAGCAGATGGCACTAAGTTTCCTGTACAGCCTGCAGTGAGCCAAGTAAATCTCTTTTCTTATAAATTGCCCAGCCTCAGGTATTTATTTACAGCAACACAAGAATGGCCTAATACACTGAACATAGGTAGAATGGTCCAGGTTATACAACTCAGATGCCACCTGTTCATAAGTTTTTTTTTAATTCTGCTAAATAATAAGTCCAATAATAAGTCCTCTCTCTTTTCTTTGAATCCCCACAGCAAATGTTTACAATGTTATGAGATTCTCTTTATTTTATTCTGTATTATAGTTTTCTAGCATCATGACAAATCCCCAGAGTAGTCTGAGAGCTTCTTAAAATTAAGAAGGAAGGCAAAATGTTTTGTTTTGTTTTGTTTTTTTGTAATCCCACTGCCAACGCTGAGCCTTGCACACAGTAGGACTTCAATATATCCACTGCATTATTTTGGAGAATTACAGTTACTTAATCACAATTAGCTCTCAAACAAATTCAACATGTATGCAGGAAAGCAAATGCAGGTCGATGTTAGTGTAATTACTAGTACAGTAAATCAATAAGTAATGAAAGCATTAGCTCCATAAAGATTACAAGTCCAGTAATGATAACTAAGGAGAAAAATCTTACGTTTGTTCTTGCAGACATTTTCTCATTCTCCATTCTCTTCCACCTATACTTAACTGACATCTGGTAGAGTCTTTTTTTTCTTTTTCCTTTGACATTATGTGTTTAAGCACTTGCTGGTTGATGAAAATAATATGTAAAAATGTCCTTGCTCCTGTGTTTTTGCTTCTAAAAGTGACAGAAATAACCAAAAAAAAAAGTGAATTAATGGTAATCTGTTAGAAATGATGAAATTTGTTATACGTTCTCCTATAGAATATACATCACATTACTCTTTATTCTCCCCTCACTTTTTGTAATTTTTTATGTCCTCTTAGAAATTATATTCTATGCTCTTCTTCTCTTTCTTATCCTCTCACTACCTGTTTGCTTCTTTCTTACCTTTCTTCCTTTCCCTCTGTCTCTCTTATTTTCTAAAATCATTTAGGATTTCCTGTGAAAATCTAAAAGACTTAATAAAGAAAATTTTAAAATAGAATTATCTCTACAATTTGCAAAAAAAAATTTCATGTCACCACCATAAAATGGCCTACTGAAATGTACTTTATTCTCTTTGTGGTAATTATAGCCTTGATGTAGTTTTTTCACAATACATCGTTTACTCACATATTTCCAAATTTAAATCTAAAAATTTAAAAGCATCTTAATGTAAAAGTCCTTGACAACTGGTCACAATAATTCTCATTTTGACACGAACAATTTATTCGTTTTCTTGTTGGTGGTATTAGGCCATTATTTTTCCATTCACAATTTAACACTGGATAGTTCCTATAGTCTTCAAAGTAGCCACAATTTTGTTTATGTTATTGTTTAATACATTGTAAAATGTTACCCAAAGCTTTATTGCACTTGTTCATTTTGTAGATTAATACAATGTTTTCCTTGTATAGCCTTTGGGCACACAGACCATAAGCAAGCAGAATCATAAATTGATAGGAATAAAAGATTTCTGGTTTTCATTACAACTTGAGTATAATGTAACTAGAACTCTTCTGCTTTTGCCTCAACTTTACATGAAGTACAAAAAAGAGACTTGGCCGCTACACTGGGCATCTAACTCATCTTCCTCTGGAGGTTGAAAAGACTTAGGGATGCAGTCAGATGGTATCAAATTTCAATGTGTGGGAAAGAAATTTAAAAATAATAATCCAGGAACTCTGTGTAACACCACATAATTTACACAGCAATTTCACATATATTATCTCATATCTCATATCAAAGAAAGCATAATGCATATCCCACCTTCTTATAAAAATGGGGAGAGAGGAAACTCTTGAAAAAAAAACCCAAATTAAGGCATAAGGAAGTTTGGCAATGTTTCTAAAATTGCACCTAGATCTAAAGGAAGTAGGGCACTATTTCTATATGCATACTTAATACATGCTCATTTTTAAACCCTAAAATATAGTTAAGAGCCATCAGTTAAGATCAGCTTCAGATTGTATATAACAAAACAAAACAAAAATCTAGACATAAACAAGATAGAAGTTTATTTTTCTTAACAGTCCTGGGCTAGAACAGCTGTTCCTCCAAATCCTGCTATGTTATTCCAATACAGAGCCTTTATCTTCATTCCAAGACATGACTGCTTGATTCCCAGCTATCACATCAGAGCTCCAAGCCATAGAAGGGAGGAAGAGAAGAAGACAGAAGAGAGGCAAGCCCTCTCCTGTATAAAGAGACTTCTGAAATATCTTATACAATATTTCTCCTTGTATCTTGTTAATTAAATCTTAAATATTTGACTACCCTGGTTGCAAGAGCAGTATGGAAACGTGCTATTTTAACTGGATGGAAATAAACCCACTAAGGTAAAGTGGTACCCACCCACTCAGTGGGTAGAGTAAGCCCACCCACTAAGTAGGTGTGGGGTAGGCAGGTGGCAGACTTTGCTACAAGAAAGGAGAGAATGAGAGAGGTGAGAAGAGAGGCAAGAATAAAAGCTACCAGATCAAATTCTTTATTACCCCAGGGATTAATTTCTAACAGTCCTTCAAGATTTCCATAAATAATACTTGAAAATTTGACTTTATGATAATTTGGAAAATTAGCTGAGTGATGTGGTAACACAATAAAACATTGATGATGGCATTTGGGGAGTAGTAGTAGCAGCAGCAGTAATATTAAAAGCAGTAGAACTAATAGTAGGCTTTTTGTCACTCAATATGTATTCCCAAAAATATGTAAAAATAATTATCTTTTTATAATGAAACTAAACTTCTATTTGAATAAACATATACTTTTATTCTAAATGCTTTTCTGAGTTTCCTACTAAGTATTTATAGTTTATTAAACTTCAAATAATTGGTGAACATTTATACTGTAACTAATGGGATTTAAATAGCCTTTTAAAGGCTAAGTTAGTTGGTACAGCTTGTGTTTGAAAAGATGAAACGAGGTTGAGTCTAAACTTGGGCCCTATCACTGAAGAGCTATATGTGAGCTTTCACCTTCAGTGATTCACTCTCTAAGCTCAATCTCCTCAATTATAACACAGGGACAATAAAAACCCCCAAAATATTTAACTTAAAAGGCTATAGTGAGGGTTAAATGAAATAATACATAAAATATATAGAATTTGGTAAGTGTTCATAAAAATCTTTTTTCAAGATCTTCTGCGCAAAGTACTAAAGACTAATCAGAGATTGCTTTTTTTAAAACAGAATGATTCTAAGGGCAAGATATCCCTGAATAATGTGGTAGTATACATAGAGTTTACAAAAAAGATAAATACTCGTACCTGGGGAAAATGTGGTTCATCAGATAATGCATTCAGGAAAAAATAAAAATATTTGTTTCCTATAGCTAATAATAAATAGTTCTCAAAACAACAGAAATTAAATATTATCTAACCTAAGAATGGTTCCAAAATATGAATAACTTGTTTTTAATTTAGGAATGTGGTATAATTAAATAATCCTATCAAATTTTATTTTTTGGAAACCAAATTTTCTAAATTACCAGCATCAGAATGAAGAAGCAGAAAACTTTGGAGTCTAGTCTTAAATAGTACATTATCAATGATCATTTCCCAAATATAAGGTCTAATACTTTTAAGAAATTTGCTTTTTCTATATAAATCCAAACCAGAGAGAGTTTCTCAATCTTTTCTTATTTACCTGACTTGAAGGATTGTGGTCTCTTCATCACCACTCATCAAATCCATCACCACTATATATTACGTATTTGTGAATTTACTTTTTCTAAACAAATACTTTTCGCCAGGTGCAGTGGCTCACACCTGTAATCCCAGTGCTTTGGAAGGCCTAGGCTGGAGGATCACTTGAGGCCAGGAGTTCAAGACCAGCCTTAGCAACATGGCAAGGCCCCATTTCTACACATATTCTTTTTTTAAGTTGCTGGATATGGTGGTGTGTGCCTGTAGTCCCAACTACTCGGGAGACTGAGGTAGGAGGATCACTTGAGCCCAGGAGTTTGAGGCTGTATTAAGCTATGATCACCCCACTATGTGACCAAGAGACACTCTGTTTTGAAAGAAAGAGAGAGAGAGAGAAAGAAGAAAGAGAGGAAGGAAGGAAGGAAGGAAGGAAAGAAGGAGGGAAAGAAAGAAAGAAAGAGAAAGAAAGAAAGAAAGAAAGAAAGAAAGAGAGAGAGAGAAAGAAAGAAAGGAAAGGAAGGAAGGAAGGAAGGAAGGAAGGAAGGAAGGAAGGAAGGAAAGAAAGAAGAAAGAAAGAAAGAGAAGGAAAGAAAGAAAGAATTGCATGCTTTCAACCCCTTTGGTAATGGTCAGCCCTTTTGGTAATCGGGTAAACGGTCGGGTTAATGTCTCTTTCAAAATCAGCCTATGTGAGGGTGTTTCAAGCTGTGTAAACATGTGTTTGGGATCTCTGAAGGGGCTGCGGTGCTTTCAACCTTCTTCATCAATTATCCAGGTTTCTCCTCTTCTTCGTTTCCCTTACTCACAGGGTATCCTCTTGTCTTCTTGTCTTTTTTTTTTTTAAGCTGCTTCTTTTCTTTTTGCCTTAGAGAGCTTCAGTCACTGCCTGCTATGGGTAACGTCCAGAAAATCAAGTCTTTGGAAAGCTAAATAATATATTTATATATCCATTCATTTAAGAACACACAAAAAGTACTTATTAAAAATGTACTGCAAATACTAGGTAGTCACAAATAAAAGACAGTCAGTATACTCAAGGAGCCTACGATTTTGCAGCCAACAGACACTTGGCATCACTGATAAACCCAGGCTATCATGCAAGCTTTATCCTACAGGCAGAGTTTCTGAGCTACTCATGGAACAAAGGGCTTTTGAAGAAGGATGAAACATCTAATCCCATGTATTTTTTGTTGCATCAGCCTAACTAGATTGTAAGATCCTTGAAGTTCAGATAAATGTCTTTTTGTTTGTTTGTTTGTTTTTCTTTTGTTTTGGAGATGGAGTCTCTCTCTGTTGCCTAGCCTGCCAGGCTGGAGAGCAGTGGATTGATCTCAGCTCACTGCAACCTCCGCCTCCTGGGCTCAAGTGATTTTCCAGCTATTCTCCTGAATAGCTGGGATTACAGGCGTGCCACCAGATCCAGGTAGTTTTTAGTAGAGATGGGGTTTTGACATGTTGGCCAGCCTGGTTTCACTCCTGACCTCAGGTGATCCACCCGCTGGGATTACAGGTTATCTTTTTTTTTTTTTTTTTTTTAATCTTCTATTCTGCCAAGAGAGTTACAGGTATACGTTTGCTTGTTGAATAAATGAAACTATTCAGACTTGCTGATGCTGATGCTAGAACATCCTTAAGTGCAGATGATTTTGTTGGTTTGTCCAAAGGGCAAATTGTAACTTTTTAATATTAGCCATTTGCATCTCAGTATGGATTAATTCGATATTTTCCTTGGAGTGGGAAGATGTGCACAGCAAACAATTTATGGATTAGAAAGAAATCATGAAAATGCACGGAACATGTGGATGTTATTAATCCTCAAGAATTGAAGAAATCACAGAAAGTGATGGCTGGGGATTTTGGAAGATAAAGTTTGTCAAAGAACTCCTACTCTGATTAAAACAAGACTTTACCTACACAGGGACCTTACCTTATGTTTCAGAACTGAGCACTGCCGGCACTTGAAACCATCCAAAATAAAGTTTTTGTTTTTAAACATAGTCTTTAACAATGAGTTAACCTCTAAAAGGGGCCTCAAATACCAAATATTCAAGACTAAATAGTAGCGTAAGAAATGTTTTCTTAATCAAGTTGTAAAGGATTAGAGATTACTCTTAATCAGAAAGATGTGGTGTGGTTATGAAAATACCAAGTAATTAACTATATTTTCCTAATTGTAATCACCTCTTAAATTAATAAAAAAGGATATCAGTTTTCTTTTCTATTTTTTAAAACACAAGATTTAAGAGTAATGATAAAACACTGATTAATTGTTTTGTTTTAAAACAATTAGATTAAAATATTGTTTGAAGTTACTCCTTTTACCCAGTTGACATTTTAATGTATAAATATAATTACAGACTCTTTAAGAATGCTTAATTTTTGCCTTGATATATACGTTAGCAATTGTGTGTTTGAAAGAGAATCATAAAATGTAAAACTTTATGTTTAATCACCAGTGTCAAAAATTATTAGGTAATAACCACCAGAGGAGAGAATGTGGTAAAAGATACAAAGGCCCATATTTAAGACATAATTTTTCTAATAGTTTCTCTGATTTTAAGATGTCATGGCGTCATATGAAGGTTAACAGGTCAGATACCAAATGGACTTTTTAAAAAATGTTAAGTGATCAATTTGCACTCATAAAAGGGTTAAGATTACTGGAAACTAAAGTCCTCTTTGACCATCATCTAGGCACATCACTGGCTACAGAGACAATAAAATTGGCTTCTCCTGAGTCTTCAATTTGCTGAGCAAAAGTAGATCAGAGTAGTTGCTTAAAAGAAGATGGCCCCCCAGATTGGGACCAGAATATACTCTGGTGTCAAAACCAGAATTTTGACGCTAGAAAATATTGTTTGAACATCTGCTTCATTAATCCTTGTCTGGCTCTTGTTTCTCTGTCACCCCAGTCACAGTCCTCCTTTTGCCACTGTAAGAGAAGCGCAATGCCAGGGTATCACTGCTGTGAGGTTTCATCAAGGAAAGAGAACAGTCTTTTGACAAAGCTGATTTGTTTTGTAAATTGCATTTTTTACTGTTGAAAGCTTTGGCTAAGAGTGAGTTCTAAATCTATTATGATTGCAAATATAATATATTTTATTCAGCCTGTGTCTACATGCTGACAAACAAAACTTTGGGGTAGGAATAAATAAGAAAAAGACATGTTTTGAGTTTCCTAACAGTAGAACTAGATTTTCCCAACAAAATGTGACACCTAATTTTTTTAAATGCAAGATGAGTGTTTTAAAATTTTTCAGAAGTGCCTTTTTTTGTTAAAAAAAAAAAAAACACTTTACAGGGAATATTTTTATAAAGTTAAAGTTAGTTTTTATCAAACTGTGAAAAGCTTCTGCACCACATAGAAACCAAACAACAAAGTGAAGAGATAACCTGTGAAATGGAAGAACTTATTTACAAATCATACATCTGATAAAGGGTTAATATCAGAAATACATAAGGAACTCAAACATCACAACAGCAAAAATGCAAATAACCCAAGTTAAAAATGGGCAAAGGATCTGAATAGACAATTTCCCAAGGAATATATACATATGGCCAACAGGTGTATAAAAAACTGCCCAACATCAATAATCATCAGAGAAAAACAAGTGAAAAACATAATGAGCTATCACCTGACCCCTGTTAGGATGGCTATTATAAAAAAGTCAGAAGATAGGTGTAGGAGAGGATGTGGAGAAAAGGCCATTATAGAGAACAGTATAGAGGTTCCTCCAAAAGATAAAAATAAAGCTACCATATAATCTAGCAATCCCACTACTGCCTATATATCCAAAGGATATGAAATCATGTTGAGGAGACATGTACACTCCTATGTTCATTGCAGCACTATTCACAATAACCAATATATGGCAACAGAAGTGTCCATCAGTGGATCAACGGATAAAGAAAATGTGGTATATATACATAATGGAATAATATTCAGCCTTCTTAAAGAGGCTGTCATTTGTAGGACCTAATTGACAGCATGGATGAACTGGAAAGACATTATGTTATGTGAAATCACCCAGCCACAAGAAAGACAAATACAGGATGATCTGACTCATATATATGTGAAGTGTTAAAAAGCCAGACTCAAAGACACAGAGTAAAATGGTGGTCACCAGAGGCATGGGGGTTGGGGAATTTGGGGAGATATTGGTCAAAGGACACAAAATTTCACTTAGGAGGAATAAATTCAAGCAATCTATGGCATATCATGGTGACTATAGTTAATAATAACATATCATATACATGAAAATTACTAAGAGAGTCTATTTTTATTTTAATTGTTCTCACCACAAAAAAAAGTATGCGAGATAATTCACACATTAAATAGGTTAATTTAGCCATTCCACAATGTGTATATATATCAAAACATTATGTTGTATGTCATGAATATCTATAGTTTTTACTTGTGAAATAAAAAATAAAAGAAATAAAAAATTTTTTGAATATGCAAGCACTTTTTAATTTTTTAAAGTGGTATAGATTTTATCAAAAATCAGGATAAGCCATGTTGAGGAATCACAGTAAATGGAGAATACTTTTGCACTGTGCAGCTATCTTCCATCATTAAACCAAGTATCTCGCATTCATTTTTGGTCACGTTATGATAAAGGCTAAGTCTGGATACTGTCAAAATATCCATATGCAAATGAAACAAGCCATGCAACCAGGCTGCTTTGCTTAGCAGCTACCAAACTCCTTGGGTTTGGAGGCATCCAGATGATTGTCTGAAATGTTCATGTTGCATCTGGATGTTTTAGCATTGTGTAGCCCAACAAAAGACAAAGTGTTAAGTTTTACAGCTGTTAGGGTAACACCCTTTTTTTCCTTCTTATGCTTCACAGAAATAATCTGCTTTTACAGGATAATTTTTATATGAAATTACACAATAGAGTCTGAAAGCCCAGAAAATAGGAATCCTGTTTGGAGCAAGAGGGAGAGCACTTTGGGAGTAACAATTTCAGTAAGGGCTGAGGGTGGAGGAGGTAGTGGAAATCATAGTTCAATCGGTAGACTCAGTTATAAGATAATCTAATAGATATGAGAGATTTGATGGAAAAGTTGAAAAAAAAGAAGGATGAATTAGTAGAAAACTATGTAAGTGAAAATAATGGGGATTTATTTATGCTGGAGGTAGAACAGAAGAAAAGTAATTATGGTATATTAGTGCTGAAGCAACAATAAATGCTACAGATTTAGCTAAGTAAACTAAACTAAAAATATGTATAGATATATGTATGACTTTATATATAAATGTGTGTATATATAATATATATAAGTTCCACTGAGATTTATCTAGACTGTTGAATCTTTGAAAATGTTAATGACTTTATATTAAAGCTAATGTTTATTTTAAAAGTCTCAAACAAGAGCATCTCTTCTCTCTGAAAATACGGGCATTTCTGTGGCAGCTTTAGAAAGTCGTTGTTTAGCGGAAAAGTGTGGCACAATTCCTTCAGAGCTTTGCCTTATGATTTTCTACCTGTACCTGAGTCATGTTGATTAACTTTTGTCTTTCTTGCTTTCCCCAACTACAAAACAAAAACAAATCCTTTCCCTTCCTCTGCCCCAAGTTCTCTTATTCTTTCCCATCTGACAGGCAGTTTGAAATATATTAAAAGCTAAGAAATGTTCTGAGTTGCAGGAAATTGAAACCATCAGACTTTTACTATAAAATATGACACGAAGACAATTATCTTGTTTAGGATAAAATTATCTGATTTAAGTCAGATAAGTTCTACTATTATACCTTATTCACAGCATAATAGAGTATATCTCTATTTTTTAAAATTCAACATCAAACTTCTCTTTTCTAATTCATGTGACTTCATGAAGGATTCCTATGACTTGGAGTGTATCCATTTAAAGGACATTTTAAAGAAAACACTAAAAAAAGACATAGAAACATTAGGCATGTTTAACTTCTCAACTGAGAAAAAATGTTAAATACATGAAAACAAAATTCCACTGATATAAATATTTTTTATGTAAAAGATGGTTTGTTCTTAGGAAAACATATTAGTTACTTTCTCTTCTTGGATATATTTTCTTTCTCCCACCTCTAACTTTATTGAGGTATGATCAGCAAATGAAACTTGTATATATTTAAAATGTACAACATGCTGTTTTGATATACATATACAATGTGAAATGACTACCACAATCAAGCTAGCATATCCATCAACTCACCTACTTACCGTCTGTGTGTGTGTGTGTGTGTGTGTGTGTGTGTGTGAAGAATGCTTGAGATTTACTCCTTCCACAAATTTCAAGTGTCCAATACATTATTAACTGGAGTCGCCATACTGTGCAATAGGTCTGCAGAACTTACTCATCTTATAACTGAAAGTTTGTACCCTTTGACCAACATCTCATTTCTTCCAACTTCAGCCCATGGTAACCACCATTCTACTCTCTATTTCTATAAGCTCAGCTTACATTTTTAGATTTGACATGTAAGTGAGATTATGCAGTATGTGTCTTTCTGTATTTGGTTTATTTCACTTAGTATATTGTCTTCTAGGTTCATCCATGTTTTTGCAAATGGCAGAACTTTCTTCCTTTTTAAGGCAAACAGGATTCTATTGTGTACATATACCACATTTTATTGATCCATTCATCCTTTCACAAGTTGATTCTCTACCTTGGGTATTTTGAATAGTGGTGTGATAAACATGGGGGTGAAGAGATCTCCTCAACATACAGATTTCACATCTTTTAGATATATACTGAGTAGTGGAATTGCTGGATCATATGGTAGTTTTATTTTTAACTTTTTGAGGAACCACCATACGGTTTTCCATAATGGCTGTACCAATTTACATTCCCACAAACCATGTACGACAGTCCCTTTTCTCCACATCCTCTCCAATGCTTGTTATCTTTTGACTTTTTGTTAATAGCCATCCTAACAAGAGTGAGGTAATATCTCATTATGGTTTTGATTTATATTTCCCTGATGATTAGGGATGTTGGACATCTTTTTATACAACACTTGGCCATATGTTTGTCTTCTTAGGAAAAATATCTACTCAGGTCCTTTGCCCATTTTTAACTTGGATTATTTGTATTTTTGCTGTTGAGTTGTTGAGTTCCTTATATATTTTCAAGATTAACCCTTTGTATTAGTCAGGATTGCAGCGAAGCACAACCTATAGGATATATGTAAGTATATAAGAGAAGATTTATTATGAGAATTCACTCATGTGATTATGGAGGCTGAGAGGTCCCAAAATACACCATCTGCAAACTTGAGAACCAGGAGAGCAAATGGTATAATTCAGTTCCACTCCAAAGGCCTGAGAAATAGGGATGGGGGTAGTGAGGAAAAAGTGGTGCTAGTGCAAACACTGGAGTCAAAGACCTGAGAACCAGGAGCTCTGATATCTGAAGGCAGGAGATGCATATCCCAGTTGAAGAAGAGATTTCATCCTTCCTCTGCCTTTTTATTCTATTCTGACCCTCAATGGATTGGATGCTGCCCCTCCGCCCAACATTGACGAGGACGGATCTTTACTCAGTTTATTGATTCAACTGCTAATCTCTACCCAAAGCATGCTCACAGACAGATCAGGACATAATGTTTTACCAGCTATCTGGGCATCCCATAGCCCAGTCAAGTTGACACATAAAATTAATGATCACAAGCCTACCCCTTGTCAACTTGGCACCCATACACATCTCCTCAAACCACACTTGATGTCTAAATAAAGGCAATAACAAGTTCACAATACCATGTATCATGATACAACTATCCTAGATATAATTGGAAACACATTAATCCCTTCTCCAAAAGATGAGGTAAAGTCTGTGAATGATGTTTACTCTTCTCTTGATATCCCATAACTTATATACAATGATGTAAAATTAACAATATTTAAATACTGATATAAACTCAATACATCTTATGTTACATGATACCAGAATAAGAGAGGAATGAAAACAAGGATATCTGCTTAATATATGTATATAGCCACACAAACGTTTATAATAAACTAAGAAGGAAATATGCATTACAATTACAGTCATCATTTCTGCAGATATTCAGGTGGTCATAGATGGTATTTATAACTACATTCCTCTACTGTCCATTCTATATTCCCTTTGCCTTCAGAAAGAATGTCAGCTGGTCACAACAGTCACCTGGCTGGGTGACCCAAATTTTTATTCTTGAAAGGTCTGGACCATTTGTGGTACTGCCTGGATTGGGTTGTTGTAGTGTTCTATTAATCAGGGCATGGTAATATTAAAAGACTCACTAAGGGGATCTCCTGTATTCCAGACATATTCTTCTTACCTCCATTATGGAGTAGTCATCCAGTTTCCCCTTGGTAGTTTGGATCAATCACTCCAGCCAACACCATAGCTGTTGGCCAGTTGACTCAGAGGCATGAAAATACCAGTGTGGCTGATGACAGTCTTAACTTCTAGTGCAGTGGAATCATTTGTTTGTAGTGTTTTGTTTTTGTTCTTGTTTTTGTTTTAGAGATGGGATCTCACTCTCTCACCCAAGCTGGAATGCAGTGGCACAATCACTATAGCCTCAAACTCCTGAGCTCAAGGAATCTATCTCAGAATCCTGAGTAGCTGGGACTGGGACTACAGGCACACGCACCACCGTGCCTGGCTTTTTTTTTTTTTTTTTTTTTCTTATAGAGACAGGGTTTTGCCATTGTGCCCAGGCTGGTTTTGAACCTTGAACTGCTGGGCTCAAGCAATCCTCCTGCCTCGGCCTCCAAGAGACTGGAATTACAGGTGTGAGCCACCACACCTGGCCTGGAATCATTATTGTGTCTCCTGCTAGTAGCAAGCCTCCCTCTTGAACTAAGACCTCTAGGTCATCAGTGCACAAAGCCATGGGAAAAGGAAGCAAAAACAGAGCACAAAGTCGTGGGAACAGGAAGGAAAAATGTTGCCATTAAGTCAGTAAGGTAATTGTGAACAGTACCACTCCCATTTCCACCCCTTGATTCCTGGAAATACAGTACCATGTATTGGACACTGATTCAGAGAATATACAGCCTCCTAGAGAACCTTGTCCCAGCCCTGCAAGGTATTTACACCTAGCTGGCACTGTAACTGCATCTTCAAAAGGCCATTTCAGGCAACCTGCCCCGGGATGGTGGGGAACATGATAAGACCAGTAAATTTAATGAGGATGTGTCCATTGCCTCACTTCTTTGGTTGTGAAGTGAGTTCCTTGGTCAGAAGCAATGCTGTGTGAAATACCATGATGGTGATTAAGGCATTCTGTAAATCCACAGATTGTAGTTGTAGCATAAGCATTCCATGTAGGGAAAGCAAACCCATATCCAGAGTAAGTTTCTATTTCAGGAAGAACAAAATGCTACCCCTTCCATGATGGAAGTGGTCCAATGTAATCAGCTTTCTACCAGCTAACTGGCTGATGGTACTGTGAAATGGTGCCATATAGGGGGCTCAGTGTTGGTCTCTGCTGTGGGCTGATGGACACTGAGTGGTGACTGTAGCCATGTTGACTTCAGTGAGTGAAATGGAAGTCCATGTTGCTGAGTTCATGCACAACCCCCATCCCTGCTACTATGGCTACTTTTTTCATGAGCCCATTGAGTGATAACAGGAGTGGCTAGGGAAGGAGGCTGACTGTTATCCACAAAAAGGGCCATTGTATCCACTTGATTATTAAAATCCTCCTCTACTGATGTCACCCTATAGTGAGCATTTACATGAGACACAAATATCTTCATGTTTTTTGCCCATTCAGAGAGAGCTATCCACACACCTCATTTCCAGATTTCTTTGTCAACAATTTTTCAATCATATTCCTTCCAAGTCCCTGACATCCAGCCAAACCATTGGCTACAGTCCATGAATTATTAAATAATTGTACATATGGCTGTTTCTCCTTCCAAGCAAAGTGCACAACCAGATGCACTCCCTAACATTCCATCCACTGGAAAGATTTTTCTTTACCACTGTCCTTTAGGGATGTCCCAGGGAGGAGCTGAAGTGCTGCAGCTGTCCACTTTCAAGTTGTGCCTGCATGTCCAGTAGAACCACCTATAAATCATGCCCATGTCTTTTCTTCCTCTATTAATTGATCATAGAGAACTCCCCATGAGGACATAGGTACAGACTAGGAGAGAAAAGGCAGTGTAGCAGGAGTGTCGACCATGGACTTTTGGGCCACTTCTTCTTGTAACTTACTTGTGCTTTCAGGACCTGCTAAGGGTGAATCACATGTATACTACTTTCATTTGATGGAGTGTTGCTGTGTAAGCCCAACTATATGGCTTCTTGGGTTAAATAAAACCCAGTTCCTAACGGGCAGCTCAGGTCACATGGTATCACATTTATCACATCCCTGATCGGAGAGAGAATTTGCAAATATTTTCTCCCATTCAGTAAGTTGCCTTATTTTAATTGTTTCCTTTGCTGTGCAGAAAGACTCTTTCATTTGATGTAGTCCGTTTATTTTGCTTTTGTTGCCTGTGATTTTGGTGTCAAATTGGATATTTTTTTAGAATAAGAATGAGAATCCCATTTATTTAATGGATTAAGTCATGTAATCAATTATAGGCTCAGCATTGTATTCACACCTGTGGATGAAGAATAAAAGAATTATAAAAACATCCTTTTTACCATTGATTGATTTATAAGTTGATGAGGGCAGGATTACTATACTTTAATGTATAAGACTTGGTTTGAATTAACAAGTTATTTAGCCTTTCTGAGTCTTAGATTCCTCACATTTAAAATATGAATAATTATAGCTGCCCATATCGCTGTGTTAGTTAGAATTCTCAGGCACTAGTGACCAAAATGGAATTTATTTTTCTTACCTTACTGGAAGTCACTTTGTTCTAGTGTTCTTCAGTGGTTCCTGGGATAGTTCAAGGTTCTGGTCCTCTCTAATTTGACTGGCATTTGCATCATAGTTCTTTTCTAGAAGCAGGTCAACAGATTTCTCATTTGATTTCATTAGTCAAAGCTGATACTTAAGGCTATCCCTAGACCAATAACAGCAAAATGAAATTGCTATAATGCAACTAAGCCATTCATTATTCCTCCAGTGAAGCTGGAGTAGAGACCATCCTTCCCTGAGTTCAAGGTGTCATCACCCACTAACTGAGCAAAATTAGAGTTATATTAACAAGCAAGAAGCCAGGACAACCAACCATGTCCACCATGATCATAAAATTGTGTAAAGAGCTACATTATTAAATAAGTTCATGCAAATTTATTTTCCTAACTCTAATGTTGTGGAAATATTGTTGTTATTGTTGATAATGATGATGTTGTTATGATTGTCACTTAACATGGAAATCTGCATTTACAACCAAAATTATATGTTCACTAGTCCATTACCACCCCACCCTCCTTGCATCTACACACAACTACTCAAGGGCACCTTATCCACATAAGAAGTGTTCCTTCTGCATTCTGAAAGCAGCCCAGAAAATGTTATTATTGCCATAATTTCTATTAATCTATAGCAGGTCTGCTTTCATAGATCGATTATTATTATGCTAATTTGATTAGATAATCTTCCAGGGATCTGACACACAGGGCTTGGAACAGAGGAACGAAATATGTAAAACACCATCAAAACCAAATGAAAACAAATTTTATCCAGACATGGTTTCTTCGTCTACGTAATACCAAAATAGTTTCCAATTGTGCTTCCCACTTAGTTCATGGACTTTGTGATTTTATGCCAACTTCTAAGATATTGTGTGGCCCAGCCACCATCTGTAAGTACACAGAAAAAGAAAAAAATAAAAGCCTGGCAGAAGTAAAACTGACATAATAATCAAGCAAAGGGTTAAAACACTTTGAAACAAATGAGGAGAAGTGTTGAAGAATTTGTTAAAAATTATTTCAGGTATATGAAAGATATAGGAATGAAAACAAAAAAAATTGACATTTTAATTTACTCCAGTCAAAGACTTTTTACTTAAATAAGATTATTTTGGTGAGAGGTTTTGCAAGGTACTTACACCAGACAGAATGATCAGTCTGCTCAGAACGTATTAGCTAGATAACCCTACTTGTTACAGCAAACAAACTAAAAAATGGCTGGCTTGAAAATGATAGAACGCTCTCATGCTCACATAAAGTCCAAAGTATCTCTGATTGGTGAGTGATATTTTTCCAGTCAATGACTCAAGGACCCGGGGCTCCCTCCACCTTGTGGCTGTGTCATCTTTAAGATGTGGCTTCCAAGTGACGATCTGAGGTTCATCATGTCACAGAAGGGTAATAATCAGGGAGGGATGGGCATGAGAGGATTTTTATAGGTCAGTCCTGAAAGAAACAGAATAAATTAGTTGGATGTCCACCTGGCCACTTAGCCTTCTTTACCACATATATAATTAAAACGTTTACATTAACCTTGTTTATCTAAAAAATTTCAAGCTAAAATTTAATATTTACATAAAATTAATTTATATTTATATAATATAGATCTTTATAGCTATAGGAATACTTAGTATAATAAAACTTTTAATAGGAATAGCAATAATAATAATGGTAACTCTTGAGGAGTTATTGCTATATTCCACCTATTATGCTAAGTGCGGTATACAGATTTATCACCTAAACTTCACAGAATCTTTCATGAAATAGGTGCTATCGTTATTGTCACCATAACTTAGAAGGGGAAACTGAAGCATAAGAAAATTCACCTAACAGCCTGGCATGGTGGTTCATGTCTGTAATCCCAGCATTTTGGGAGGCCGAGGTGGGTGGATCACTTGAGGTCAAGAGTTCGAGACCAGCCTGGTCAACACGGAGAAACCCTGTATCTACTAAAACTACAAAAATTAGCCGGGTGTGGTGGTGGTCACCTGTAATCCCAGCTACTCAGGAGACTGAGACAGGAAAATCGCTTGAACCCGGGAGGCAGAGGCTGCAGTGAGCTGAGATCACACCACTGCACTCCAGCCTGGGCAACAGCATGAGACTCCGTCTCAAAACAAAAACAAAAACGAATCAGCCAACTTGCCCAATGTGGTGGGTGATGGGCTGTAAATAAAATAAATAGTAAGACTTGAATGCATGAAATAGTAGGACTTGAATGTGTGAAATAGTAGGATATGAATGCAGGAAAATTTGCCATTGCAATTCAACCAAAAGATGGTCAACATAAAGCTTTGTAATTATCAGCTACAAATTCCAGTTATAGCAATCGTTTTCTTGTGTTCAAAAATCTTCTAGACAAATTCTTACAGAAGCATGGTGTATTAAAAGTACCATTTTTATATTCCAGGTAGCTTACCTGCTTGAGATAATGTGATGAGGGCAAAAATTATTAATGAATCAAATTTCCTTTCCTTCCCGTTTATCCAATACCACCATCCTCTTCCTCGCCACCTGGACATTGCCAACACAGCAGTTTTCACTACTATGTTCATCCTTCTTCTGTATCTAGGGGTAGTCAGTAGAAAGAAAACTCAAGAAGAAGGTATAGGGAATTAGCTTTTGGTAGAGAGAAAAAAAAAGCAGAACAAAAGTTGTGTGGGAGATTAGGAAGACAACACCTCAGTAGATGTGGTGAGTAGAAAAAAATTGATGGAAAGAGTTGCGAATAGACCAGAAGAGAGTTAATAGCCACACTGAGACAAAAAGAGAGATAAAACCAAGGAAACAGAGGCAAAAATATTTAAGAAGTCTTTGCTGTAGATAAATGATTAAAACTCTTTTAATCATGTCCAAGCAATTTTTGTTTGTTTGTTTGTTTGTTTTTGTTTTTTGAGACAGAGTCTTGCTCTATCACCAGGCTGGAGTGCAGTGGCGTGATCTCGGCTCACTGCGGCCTCTGCCTATTGGGTTCAAGCAATTCTCCTGCCTCAGCCTCCCAAGTAGCTGGGACTACAGGCGCATGCCACCACACCCAGCTAATTTTTGTATTTTTAGTAGAGACGGGGTTTCACCATGTTGGCCAGGATGGTCTCGATCTCTTGACCTCGTGATCTGCCCACCTCAGTCTCCCAAAGTGCTGGGATTACAGGCCTGAGCCACCGTGCCCGTCCCAAGCAATTTTTTTAAAAGATTGTAATTACTTTTAACTTGCATTGAAACTTATGGTATCCACTTCTTTTTAAGTGGCCCCAAATTGGGCCATTAGAAGCCCTGTGGTTTATTATTTTTTTAATTTTTTCTTTCTTTCTTTCTTTCTTTCTTTTTTAATTAAACTTTAAGTTGTGAGATACATGTGTGGAACGTGCAGGTTTGTTACATAGGTATACATGTGCCATGGTGGTTTGCTGCACCCATCAGCCCATCATCTACATTAGGTATTTCTCCTAATGCTATCCCTCCTCTAGCCCCCCACCGCTTGACCTGTGATATTTCCCTCCCTGTGTCCCTGTGTTCTCATTGTTCAACTCCCACTTATGAATGAGAATATGCAGTGTTTGGTTTTCTGTTTCTGTGTTAGTTTGCTGAGAATGATGATTTCCAGCTTCATCCATGTCCCTGCAAGGGACATGAACTCATCCTTTTTTATGGCTGCATAGTATTCCATGGTGTATATGTGCCATGTTCTCTTTATCCAGTCTATAATTGATGGGCATTTGGGTTGGTTCCGAGTCTTTGCTATTGTGAGCAGTGCTGCGATAAACATACACATGCATGTGTCTTTATAGTAGAATAATTTATAATCCCTTTGGGTATATACCCAGTAATGAGAAGCCCTGTGTTTTATTTTGGTTACATTGAGATCACGGCAACTCAGAATCTAAGAGTTAGAAGGAATCGTAAAGATATGTAGTCTAATATCTTTCCAAATGCAAAAATTTATTCTTTTTCCATCTCAAAATGTGTAATCCCCCTAACTACCGCTTGAATAGGATTTACAGTAAAATACTCATTTCCTCATCCAGTCTCCATGTAACTCCTGAGATATTTGAAGATAATCATTATCTTTTCTACAAATTTTATTTTCTTTGGTTTATTGATAGAATTGTACTGGACCTTATTTCTCACCATGTTCAATTAATCACCCTTGGATGAGGTTCACTTTCAAATACGTTATGCCTGATTTCTCTGACATATGTTTAACATCTTTCCAACTTGCTATTTCCCCATGTATCTTCAAACATATAGACAGTACCACCTGGGACCTGAAGATACAGGAAGAAAAAGTGGTTACCAGTGGAAGGAGAGAATTGTACAAAATCAGTTACCTTCTGAGAAGGTACGTTGCCAGCTCAAGGTTATTCACAGGGAGAAAACCAGGAAATAAATGCATAACCTCACTCTTTTCACTTCCAACAAGCTCTGGAAGGCTGTCTGCATTGACTGAACCCAACCAGAAGCCAAAAGATCAGCCTCCGAGAGCAGTTAGAAGGTATGAAGAGAGGATATGCAGAAAGAAATGGAAGATATCTGATATATTTCATAATATTGTTAGAGATATCCCAAAAAATAGAATCTTCTGCTCTGCTATAAGGTGATCAGAATCTTTCGACTAGTTATGTTGCTCTAAGAGATTTACATTGCATACTTTCTGCTAAGCAACAAACACTTTTGTTTCTTTTTGCCACTTATTATAAACCTAGGTATATAGAAAGCCTCTCCCATCCCAAAGTAATCATGATGCCAAATTTGTGTGTGTATGGTTATGATATTTTTGACATTTCACATACTTAAACCTATTAGTTGTCCATAATGAAATTTAGCCTTCTGAAAAGTGGCATTTTAGAGTCTGAGCATGGCGGGCTAACATGGTCATTGATACTGCCTGTTATAGCAAACAATACATATATATATATATGCACACACACACACACACATATATATATACACACACGCACACACACATACACACACACACACACACACACACACACACATATATATATATATATATATATAACTCCTAATAGAGGTAGATTGCTTTGTTCTTTATACAAATGAAAACAGGGGAATGGTTTGGATTCCAAGGGAAGAACAGAGAAATGAGCTGGGGAATTGACAGTGGAATTGGCTATATGCCAACACTTTTTAATCTATGCTTTAGTAAGCTTTTTGCCAATATGGAATACAATAGGCTTCTTTGCATACTTGATGTTATTCTGGATAGCAGCCCAAGCTTTAAGAAATCTAGGCTGGACACATAAAAAAACTAGAAATATTTGCATTTATTTTTTAAAAATCTCTGACTAGAAGAGGTTTTTACACAACCAAGACCATTATTTATAAGTTCACTCATTTGTTGAAAAATGTACTCTTTTCTTGCCCACTCACTTGCCCTTAAAAAGAGTATAAATAAAGCAAAATGCAATAATCCAATGAACCCCCTGTACCCATTATAGTACTTAAAAAAGAAAAAGAAAACTTTCCATCAGAAAGCTGAGAGTGCTTTGCATATATCATCCAATTTACTTTTACAGTTTCTGGGATATGGCTAGAATAGTTGTCATCATTCCTGGGGTGCCTTGATGCCATTGTTGCCTAGTAAATTGCAAAACAATTCTGGAACTAAAAATAAATACTTCAGTTCTCGGTACAGCCTGGTCAAATTCAGTACTCAATAGCTCATAATGTTCCCTCAACAAGTATATCCTATTTCTTGTTTTGCTTCTTTCTTGAGATTCATTTCAAACTTGTAGAAATCATTTATTTTAACTGTCGAAGAATCTCAGAGCTGGTAGGTTTTAATGCTAAAAAAGAATTTGGCAGCTATTTCCATGATTAGCTTGGGAGTGGTATTCTAAGTCACCCTTCATAAGCCCTTGCTCTGCTTCTGTTCAGATTCAAGTCACGATAAGAAGTAGGAAAAATGTCATCAAGAATAAAAAGAAAGTCAAATAGGTTGATATTCGAAAATGAATTCTGCTAGAAAGCACAGCAACTATGAGATACCAGTGGCCAAATTTTATTCAAATCTGAAAGTAAGTACTTTTTATGTTAAGCCTTGTTGGGAGGAGAGGGAGACTGATGTGGATGTGTCAATGTAAAATCATGGTTGATAGACACCTACAAATGGGAGCATAAACTTTAGTTAGCTCCTGTCGGCAGAAGAGCCCAACAATGCCTCCAAGGACCTTAAAGGTTAACAATAAAATCTCAAATTGAATCCTCATTCTCAATGTGAGCCAATCTGTTATAAAACAATGAATTGGCATGAACATACCAAGGCCAATGAGTACAGTTAAGCAAGAGCCTGTCAGCGTGCCCATACTTTATCACCCATGCAGAGAGTAACTCTCCATGACATTAAGGATGCTATATTTGATGGAATGTCACAGTTAGTTGACACTGGCCTTATCCTGGATTGTAGATTCTCTGTCACATCCTGCCAGTTTAGAGCAGGACCTAATGATTACAGTATTTTACCTTATAAGCCATGGTGGGAAACCAAAGCTGACTTTAACTCAGTAAATTGCTGCCCAGTGTCACAGTTGCCAACTGGAAGTGATTGATAGAGGGTATGACCAGCCATATGGAAGAAAAGAAAGTGAAAAGTGTTTTCAAGATCAGTATTATACCCTAACCATGAGTAGAAAAGCTTATAATCTAATGAATCCAAAGGAAAAGGATTAGTAAGGGTTTTAAAAAACTTTGAGACTGCAGGTCATTCCACCCTTTGGTGACTTGAATGTAACAGAAAATTCATTTCTGAGGTCAGAGGGCAGATAATGCCCACAAGTAGAAAGAAGTTTGGATGGATTACTTTTAAAGTATATAATTACATAAACATCAATTGTCTATTATGTGTAGGTATTGGGAACCTAGGGACAAACCCAGAGCTGCATAAGATCAAACAAGCACAATTCATGGGATTTATTCATAAGATGACTTTATTTTTACGTCCTACCACTCTCTTAAATTTATTGCCCTCTTAAATTTAAGCATGGGCAAGTGCTTCCCTTAGATGAAAGCTCAGACAGTTTGAAGCCTTTTCTGATGAGTATTAGGCCATGCAAATTATTAAATCTAAGAATATAAATGTCTGTTTCCATGTGATAGTCACATAATAGTTGATTTAAAGTTGAAGCTGCCGCTTCTCCAGTTTATTTTTGCTGTAGAAGGTAAGCGTGCAGGTGGGGCAAGCATTTTATGCTCCACTTCTTTGTTTCCCTGCCTTGAACTTCTACCCCTCCTAACCCAGTTGGCAAACCTCAGATTCAGACTGTGGCAGAATTGGAGCAGGGCATGGAAGGAGAGGAAAGGGATGCAAGAATATTCTCACATTATGAGTACTGTTGTGAGGACCCAGCATGCATGCTCTCTAGGCTTGGCAGAAGTTGAAAGCTGACCTTTTCGTTTAAGAACATTTTCGTCAGTTCTTTGCAGAAGCCCCAGTCAGTAGGCATGTCTCCCCTGAAGTTCACTTGACGTGGGTGAATGGGTCTCCATTCCATTTGGTCACTTTTGATACCTTCTCCAGGCCTTAGACTTTCCAAGGTCGTCTACCAACTTCCTTCCACTGAAGCAACTTTGCCTGTCTGACGACCCTCACAGCAGCTCCGTCTTGCATACAGTTCAAATCAGCTCCACAGGAAACATTCATATATCTTTTGCTCTGAAGACATCCAGTAGTATAGTCACTTCTCAAACCACAAATCTCTAATATCACAGCCTCCTTTGCCCAGACTCTTAATTTTCATATTTCTCCAGTGCGTTTTAGACATCCGTCTTCTGTGTTGTTCAAGTCATGCAATTCTAAACACAGGAATCAGGACACCTGCAAGGCACAAGTGACCACTCATTATTCTAATCCAGTGGTTCTCAACCAAAGTTAATTTGCCTCCTGGGGGACATTTTGCAATGTCTGGAGACACTTTTGGTTGAAACAACTAGAAAAGTGCTACTGACATCTCTAGTGGGTAGAGGCCAGGGTGGCTAGTCCATATCCTACAGTGCAAAGGACAGGCCCCACAACAAAGAATTATTCAGCCCAAAAGGACAATAGTGCTAAAATTGAGAAACCCTGTCCAGTAAAAAAATTATTTTAATTTTTTTCTTAATTTGTAAGTGGAATAGAACTATAATAATATTTGGGACTCTTCCTCAACTCTTTATATTAATCAATTCAGTAGCCATAAATATTAAGTGCCTACTAAGTATTGGGCACTGTTAAGAGGGCTGAGGATACAGGAGTTCTCATGGAGTTTACACAGTAATGGGTAACACACTAAGACAGTAAACAACAACAAGTGAGCAAATACATCAACAATATAACAATATAGAAATAGTGCTCTAAAGACAATAAATCAGACAATATGACAAAGAGATTGGAAAGGGGTGTCATCACTTTGTATCAGAGTAGTCAAGGAAGGCCTATCTGAAGAAGTGGTAACTGGACCAACAGCCAAAGGATAATATGGGGACATTCGGGGGAAAAGCATTCTAGAAAATACAAATGGCTAGTGCAAGTATGAGAAAGGACTAATACACTAGGTAATCCCCTGGGGGCATAACTGTGGTCCCTACTTCGTTTAGAAGTTGCTTTCCGACATATCTTTTAGAATCACAAGAAGGCAGGGGCTTTGACGTCAGGTAAATTGCTGCTTCCAGGACCTGGAATTTACCCAGATCTTATAAAATCCCTAAAATAGGGCTGTGCTTCCATATCGACGTAAGGAATACTTTGAGAGGACCAGTAAAAACTTGGGATGCTACAGTGACATGACGAGGTATCATGAGTGAGGAAGAGCATGGAACAAAAGGAGGATAGAGCTGATTATAAAATGGGCACAAGATCTGAGTAGACATTTCTCAGAAGAAGACATGCATATGGCAAACAGGTGTATGAAAAGGTGCTCAACATCATTATCACAGAAATGAAAATCAAAGCTCCAATGAGATATCATCTCACTCCAGTGAGAATGCCTTTTATCCAAAAGACAGGCAATAACAAATGCTGGCAAGGATGTGGAGAAAAGAATCCTCATACACTGTTGGTGGGAATGTAGATTAGTACAACCACTATAGAGAACAGTATGCAGGTGTCTCAAAAAACTAAAAATATTACTTCCATATGATCCAGCAATCCCACTGCTGGGACTATACCCAAAAGAAAGGAAATTAGTATATCAGAGAGATATCTGCTCTGCCATGATTATCGCAGCAGTATTCACAATGGCCAGGGTTTGGAAGCAACCTAAGTGTTCATCAACAGCTGAATAAATAAAGAAAATGTGGTACATGTACACACAATGAAATACTATTCAGTCATAATAAATAATGAGATCCTGTCATTTGCAACAACATGGATGGAACTGGAGGCCATTATGTTAAGTGAAATAAGTCGGGCACAGAAAGACAAACTTTGTATGTTCTCACTCATTTGTGGGAACCAAAAATTACAACAATGGAATTCATGGACATAAATAATAGAATAATGGTTACCAGAGGCTGGGAACGGTAGTGAGTGGTGATGGTTAAACAAAAATATAGTTAGATAGAATGAATAAGATTAGTATTTACTAGCACAGCAGAGTAATTACAGTCAACAATAATTTATTGTGCATTTTAAAATAACTAAAAGAGTATAATTGGAATGTTTGTACCAAAAAGAAATCAGAAATACTTGAGGTGACTGATACTGCATTTACCCTGATGTAATTGTTATGCATTGTATGCCTGTATCAAAACATATCATGTACTCCATAAATATGTACCCTACAATATACACATAAGAATTAAAAAAGAACGATAGAGAAGACTGCAGAGACCCAGACTAGGTAGAACCTCTTGAAACAGCGAACAGGACTTCTTAAACAACACACATTTGCACTTGGGTCCTGGGTGGTGGAGATGTCCATGGATCCCTTGGAAAATCTACACACTTTTGTGCATGTGTCCATGGGTATACTTTTCACCTGATCCTCAAAAATGGCCCCAAATGAAGGTGAGGATTAATAATCAGAAACCTATTGTTTGCACAGAGTTGTAGAAATCTGTGTCCAGCTGAGGATTTTTACTGCTCCTCTCAAAGTATGCCTTAAGTTGATATGGAAGCACAGCCCTATTTTAGGGATTTTATAAGATCTGGGTAAATTCCAGGTCCTGAAAGCAGCCATTTGCCTGATGTCAAAGCCCCTGCCTTCTTGTGATTCTAAAAGATATGTCGGAAAGCAATTTCTAAACGAAATAGGGACCACGTTATGCCCCCAGGAGATTACCTAGTGTATTAGAACTTTCTCACACTTCTAATAAAGACTTTCCCGAGACTGGGTAATTTATAAAGGAAACAGGTTTAATTGACTCACAGTTCCAGATGGCTGGGGAGGTCTCACAATCATGGTGGAAGACAAAGGAGGATCAAAGTCAAGTCTTACATAGTGGCAGGCAAGAGTGGTAGGCAAGAGAGCATGTGCAGGGGAACTCCCCTTTATGAAACCATCAGAGCTCATGAGATCTATTCATTATCAAGAGAACAGATTGGGAAAAACCTGTTCCCACCGGGCCCCTCCCACGACATGTGGGAATTACGGGAACTACAATTCAAGATGAGATTTGGGTGGGGACACAACCAAACCATAGAACCAAAAGTTAAAGCCTTTTGTCCCTAAGAAAGAGGGAGGGAATGTCAGCCTAGAAGGCCTAGAGATCTCCAGAAAGAAGAGAGAAATGTTCCCGTCTCCCCTCTCTCTAGGATAAACAGCCACCAACCCTCTGACCAGAGGTTCTCCAAAGAATATATCATTTGCTATACCCCACCATAAAACCCTTTTCTGCTGAACAATGAAATAGCATGGATAGCTTAAAAAGCAGTACCTAACTGAAAGGGAATAAATTAAATTAAAGAGAATAAATACCAGCAGCCTGAAGCCTGGGGAGCTAGGAGGCATTCCATAGAAAACCTAGGGCGGAGAGTGGCCAGAGTAAAAGGAAAGGGACAATGCTGAAAGAAATGACAATATCCAGGGAGCAGAGCCAGTTTAGTTATAGCAGCTAAATAATTTCAAACTACAAAAGGAATTTTAGGCTTCAAAACTCCAGCTCCCAAATAGTGTTATAATTAGTATTATTTTCAGATTAAAGAAAACACCACTTTTGTGTAACAAATTACCTCCATTTTAAATGCAAAAATAATATATTTCACTTCATAAAAAATGCCCAAACGGAAGCATTCTTACATTAATTATTTCACTCTATTCAAAAAGCATATCCCTGCTTGCTTTTTATTATGCCTTCCAGCTTCTACTTTGAAAAACATGTTAAGAAGCTGGAAGGTATTTTTTAAAAATGAAAGGAAAAAAGAAAAATAAATAATCTTGGAAGCAATTAGAGCCAAAATACAGAATGCATAAATATACATGTACATATTTTTTATTTGCCCCCTAGATTTTACTCCCCATTTTCTTCCACCTCCCTTTTTGGCACCAGAATATGAAGCATCTTTCTTTCCTTGAGCTTCAACAGCAGGCAAATGTTTGCCCCAGAATTGAGTCAGATTCTGTTCTGTGGATTGATTGGCAAGAGTTTTCATAAAGGAGGTGGGGTCCCCAGAGGGCAAATACATAATTTTCATAATGCATTTCTTTTTTTCCCCCCAGCCTAGGAACCTAAGTCTATTTCTGAACCATTTCGTCTAAGAGTAATAATTAGCAGCACATTGCAAAAGACAAAACACCATCGTCATTGCTTCGTGGGGTCTGTAGTTGCTCTTGTACAATTACCGAGAATATAATTTTACTGTGGGAACAAAGAACATATGTAAAGTAAATATTGTTACAGATTTTAGACTTTCGAGAAGAAATTTTTATATTCGAATATTAGAGAAAACCACAGGAAATGGAGTTTAAAATTGATTCTTTCTGCACTTTCCTTCACTCAATTGACTGTGGCTAAGGTAAAAGTTGTCACTTGGTGACAGCAAGGAAAGCTTTAGCACAAGCTTTTCTAAACAGGGTATCAAAGCACTTGAATTTAAAACATCTAAAATAATGAAGATATTCCCCCCTCAAATGAACTTTGACATCCAGGTCAATCTACATTGAAAAACAAATATGCTATCATCATTTGACTTTAATATGAGAATATTTTAAATATATTATTATTAAAGTGATCTTTAAATGTAATACATCTTTAATAGGAACAAGAATAAGAAGGTGAAAATCAATTTGTGATGATAGTATTTGTACTGGGATTAAAATGTTGACTGTATGCTGTACACCCAAGGAGAGGCTTGATTATTTTTTAACCAGATTTTGAAGAGTATGAGCTCTGATGAGGTGACGATGTTGCTGAGCTTTGCGTAAAGGCAAAATCAGTGTAGTAACATCCTATCTTTCTGAAGATCGGGCTTCTGACAACATCACCTATCCAACAACACAGGTATGAAATAGAAAGCCTCAGCCCTATGCCTTAGCCAGTGGGTTCCAGAAGCTGTTCTCAGGTAGCAGGCAAGAGTTTTCTGACTCAGGTTTTTAACCGTAACCCTGACAATGCCAGCAGTCCAATTCAACACAGAGCAGGACATTAGTCAGTGTGAATTAGAATTGGGGGATGGGGATGCCACAGGGGCAAGGACAAAGCTGCCGATGTGGCTGCCAATGTGAGAGACAACAACAAGATGAGGCAATGAAACTACTGTACAGTAATTGGTGGTCATTAAGATGAGCCTAAGCCATCAGGGAAAGCTAAATTGTGCTTTAATACTTCATTTATGAAAGAAGGATAGCATACCAGAAGTCTTCAAATCTCATTGAATATCAGAATGACCTTGAAATATTCTGATTCAGGGCTCTGAAACATGTGCCCAAGAACATGCATTTTAACATGAGTGAATTCAGATTTAGCTTATCTACAGCATGATGTTTGGGAGTGACTATACATGCATACTATCTAATGTCATAGATGAAGAAACCGTGGCACGTAGAGGTTAGATAACTTGCCCAAGGTCATCTGATAAGTAGTACGTAAAAGAGCTGGTACTACGCAGATCAACTCCAGCCAGATTCTTCCAGGGTTCTTCTGCTCTTTATAGCTTATTGGATCCTAGTTTGGCTTGACACTAGGTTTCTATATCTACTAACCCAGTGGTTGTCAATGTGCATCACCTGGGAACTTGTAGGAAAAGCAAATGCTCAGGTTCCACCCTAACCTTGTGAATCAGAATCTCTGAGATGGGACTCAGCAATCTTTTTTCAACATACTCTCCAGGAAATTCTGATTCACTGTAAAGTTTGAAAACCACTGTACTAATCCACTTCAGATGTAATTTAAATAAAGCTAAAAAAAGAAAAAGAGGAAGCATAATGTGTCTTATTTGGGGCTCTCAGTGGTACCTTATCTTCTTGGTTTCTAGAAAGGGCAGGTGTGTCCCCAAAACTGTCTTCCTGTGCATTTCATCTTTTTGGTAGTAATTCTTATTTCCAAACCCAAGGACCCCATTGTTCTTATGTCCTCTTCTTCAACAACCTCTTAAAACCCTTTCTCAGGGAATAATCTCTCAACAATATCTTATCAGTCAAGATTCTTGATTACAAAAATAGAAGCCAACTCCCAAAAATTTGGGATGGGAAACTGATACTCTATGCTTTTATTTTCTTTTCAGTCCTTTACTAAGCTGCTAACCCTATAATCTCTCTAACGTTGGAAAGACAAACTACTTCCCAGCTCTGAAATCTGTGTATGCTTTAGAAATAAATCAAACCCTATCTCAATCATTTATGTTTTAAAAAACCAAGGTCATCCCCATCACAATTGATAACTCGACTTAATTTTAAATACTCTGTACAGAAATAATTTGAATAAAACATCTTCTGCACATTCTCTATTTATTTACTTATTGAAGAAATGTTTCTTGAGAACCTATTTGGGGCCAGAAATGATACCAAGTACTAAGTATACAACAGTGTTTAAGTATATCTTACCCTCCAGAAGCTTTCAGTCTATTGTAAGTGTTCTTAACCTGGGATCCATAAATGCATTTCAAGAGTTTTGTAACCTCTGAAATTACTTACAAACTATTGCTATTCTCACCTATCTTTCTTTCTATAAATATACACTGGGAATGGGAAGAGTGGGTAGAAATTCTACACTTTCCAATTTGTTACTCAAATGGATCTCAGTTCTTTCTCTCCCTTGCACCCGCTATGATCTTACCTCTCTGCCCCTGCACGTGGCAGGCAGGAAGTGAGAATTCACATCCCTCTCTTGAGCAGCCATCAATCAATAACAGATGGAGTTAGGGTACACGCTGCCTCTCTCTGCACAGCTGATGAGACAACTCCCAGACTCCAAGAGTTCCCCACTGGGATTAAGTTCCAGTTACTCACAGTAGAAACTGCTTGATGAAGTGTATTCTGCTACCTCCCTTCACTTCTTTGCCTTCCTTCCTTACTCCATCCTACCCATGTTTCCAGGGACCACTTCTCAAATAAACTGCTCCCACTAAAATCCTTGTCTCAAGGTCCATTTCCGGGGGAACCCAAACTGAGAGAGGATCCTTGAGCCA
This sequence comes from Homo sapiens, assembly GCF_000001405.40. Classification (NCBI taxonomy): domain Eukaryota; kingdom Metazoa; phylum Chordata; class Mammalia; order Primates; family Hominidae; genus Homo; species Homo sapiens. Next base: position 70,656,232 of record NC_000003.12, read on the forward strand.
AAGAGATTAAAAATCTCTAGTCTGGTGGCAGACAAACAAAACCAGAAATTTCAGTTCTCCCCTAACAGGATAAGTGTTCTTAAAGAGATGAACATGGGGGTAATAGGAAGACCCCTAGGGGAGGAAAAGGAATTAGGAAAGAGAAAGGACTTCACCAGGTAGAAACAAAGGAAAGCACTTATCCAAATATTTTTAACATTTTTAATCTTTTCTGTCTACCTCATGTCATTTCCTAAAGTCAAACCCTCAGCTCAGAGGACAGAGGATATTTGCAAACATTATTTATGTTCGATGAGGGAGAAAGTGTCATCAGTCCTCTGCAATAGCGACAGGTAGTGCCTCATCCAAGGCTGAGTTTTGTGAGACACTGGGGAGCTGCCCGCCGCGCGGGTGACAAACCAGCCAGCAGAGCAGGGATCTGAGCATCACCTATTTGCTTGCCTGCCTGCTCTATGTGGAGTGGAGTCTAACTTGATAGGAACTGTTTGTTACATTATTTACTAAGTGTCTCTAATCTCACCTTTTTATGTGTATGGGCTTCCTACAGAGTGAGGAGACAAATCTACTCCCAGAAGAGACGTTACAAGAATGTTAGCTGAAATGTTGAATAACGATAACTTCCTTTGAGTTCCTTGCAACGTTCTAATCCACCATGATAAAACTTTCATGTTTTGTCAGCTATTGTAATTTTGCTTTCACAAATGCAATACAAATTCTTCCCGTATAAGTGACTTTCACGTTTAGCGGTAACTTTCAGGAAAATTTTACTATTGTGATTTTAGATGGCATGTGTTTTAGGAGCTCTATAAAACACACACACCTAAAAGGTTTATATTTGAATTCCTTTCATTTTAGTCAGCTGTAGACAAGTTTTAGTCAACATTTTTAAATAATTGACTCCATTATATTTGATAAAATATAGGTTAGTTCTGAAGGCAACAGTTAGCACTTACTTGAAGAGTTTTTTTTTTTTCTTTTAATCTCCAGAAAGCTTGTAAACCTAAAATAATTTTCACGTCCCTGTGAGGGAAGTAAGAAGTTCCAGAATTCCCAGCTTTTATAAAAGAAAACTGAGGCATGGAATAGAACTGAAATTGAATTAAAATTATGGAAAATTATTGAAAGTAAAGGTCTTAAAGCTGAACAGAGAACACCGTTCGGCTGAGCAAAAGTTGCTACATCTTGTACCTGTCTCATCATCTGTTGACATAAGGAGAAACATTCGACTTGTAATAATTGTAGAGGTTAGAAACTGTAATTAAAACTATGTAACATTAATTGATGGACTTAGAAAGATTTATGTGCCTTGGAATAAAAGTACTTTCAACTAGTTTAGATTTATATTTGTGACTTGTCAATTTTGCATATGGGTGTGTCATTTTTAAATTGAAGTAAGTATGCAGTTATTCAAGTGTGCAAAATGCTCCTGCTTTCTCTGAGCTACTGGCTTACACCAAAGCAGGCTAACAGAGAGCCATTTGAGCCATTCCACTGTGGGTCTCTATCATGAGCCGTGATTGCCATTTTAAAATGACTATGTCTAATCTATGACAAACCTCAAGAATTCTGTCAAACCAGTACCTTGGAGTTTTATGTATTGCTCTGCCATTTCCCAATACAGGATTGCGTCTGGCTGATTTTCTTAAACTAACTTCTTCTTGGTTTTAGACGGTTGCCCAGAAGGTGGCATAGAAGTCACCAGCTGGGTAGTACAATGAAAATAAATGGTTTTCTCCACCAAGATAATCATTCCATGAAAGGAGCGTGTGGATACAGGCAGACAAGGTAGCTTGCCTGTGAGACAAGCTCATGTGAGAAGCATGAGCAATGGACAAGGAGAGCGAAGCAGAGGGGAATGATTTTAATTTTGGCCTTAATAATTATTGGCTGATAATTTTCTAAACAGCTATCACTTTTCCAGTTATTCTCTGCCTTTGATCTCGTTATCTCTGATCGACCATCCTTGTTAATTTTCTTAGCTCATGAAAATTACTGTTTGGAATTTTAAACTTTTTCTATGTAGTGGTTTCTTAAAAGAGTTTTTTAAAGACTATCTCAAAGGTTGAACCTGTTACGTTGTCCTAGCTTTCAAGTCTCTAAAATGATCAGATAAGTGTTAAGATTGTTAAACTTAAAAAAAAAATACACATTATCCTTGATAGTTTTTATTGTGAAATCAAACTCACACATATGTAAATGTCTCTACTTGGATCACGTAATGGCAAACATTTTATCATGTCAAATGTAAATGAATAGTAAGGCGGTGGAAATTTTTTTCAAATCCTTATCCCCTTCCCAATTAAGAAAACACATTTTCCAGATGGAACCAGGTGGTTCAGAATGTGACTGGTATTGCCGGTGAGCGCTGTGTTGGAATTGTGAGTGCAGGAGTAATCACGCTCCTTCCTAAAAGAGGGAGCTATCTTCACATCTCCATTTGCATAATTGATCCAGTATGAAGTAAGTCCTGTAGCAGATGAGCACTCTGGGGATCCCTTGTTTGTTTCAGCACGTTCAATGTCTTGGAGGCATTACCCATCAAGCCAGTGTGTAAGTGCATCCTCCTCACGGCTTTCCTGGGTGCCCATCCAAGCTTCTTAAACTAATGATAATACAATCAGAGACATAAAAATGCTTCTTTTGGACACATTTTTCATGTTACAATGATAGAGTGTTTATGACTCAGAGTCACCCCCTTCACTGCCGCTGCTTTATTTAGCGACAGCAGGCAGTATAGGAAAGCAGGCAGCTGCGAAAGTTTCCTACCAAGATGAAAGTCACGAAATTCTTACTAAACATGGCTTGGCTATCAATGATGAAACAGGTCTGGATTCTTGGGGCTGTGGCTCACAGAAGCACCATTGTCCCCATCTCTCGTCTGAATATTTTAAGGTCAGATTGCAATTCAGACTCAAGCAGGTGGGAATCTCAAAAATGAGATGTGGTTTTATTAACCTGACTATGTTGTTGGGGTAACTCCGTTGTGGTGGTTGCTTTTCATTTTCTATTCAGCTATTTATGGTGCATATATAGAAACCAGAATCTTTTAGAGTAATGGGGCCAATCAGACATACACAAATTTTAAACACACACACACACAACTCTTGAGGAGTGCCCAGACCATGAGCAGTGGTGGCCACACACTTCGAAAAAGTTACAGCAGAGATACAAATGTGGAAATGTCTACCAGTAAACAAAGCAAGTAAATTATTTAGAGGGTAATTTTTGCACATTCATATACTGTACTAAAAATGACTTTGATGCACACAAAATTAAAGGACTCATCTGAAGCCTAGGAAAATTACCTTCAAAGCACTGGGAGGCTGGAGCTAAGCCTAGGATGTGGGGGTCTGCGGGGCATTACTCTCTGCCCTAGACGCCTGCTTCTGAGAACAGTAGGTAGTAGGATTGAAGAGGGAGAGAGTGGGTGGGCTGGGTGGTGTATATAAAGTCCAGGTAATGGAAAACATTATCCACCTTTCAGGGAGCTTAAGATTTATCCCACAAGTAATGGAAATTTACTGAAGAAGTGAAACAAACAAATAAAAAGTATCATCAGGTTTGCCTCTTAGAAAGAGTTCTGCATATGCAGGATAACTTTCTCAAGGATATAATTAAGAGAAAGAAAATAAATTAGGAAGCTGTTTCTAACTCAAGTGATTGGGAAAGCAGTGATGTCATTTGAGGACTTAGGTAGGAGAAGCAGGTTTTAGAGAGAACGTAATATTTCACCCTGAGTGTGGTAAGTTTGATGTGTCCTTAGCGTATTCACGTAGAGATGTAAATGATTGACTGAACAAGTAAAAACAATACTATAAAAATATTTGAAACATTGATTGGGGACTTATCAGAACAGAGAGAATAGTAGGTAAACATTAATAGTAGGTAAACATAAACATAAGAACTAATTGATCAATATATGTAGAATACTTAAAACTGTGGAGAGGCAATAACTAATAGCCTACCAACAAAAAAAGTCCAGGACCAGATGGATTCACAGCCGAATTCTACCAGAGGTACAAGGAGGAGCTGGTACCATTCTTTCTGAAACTATTCCAATCAATAGAAAAAGAGAGAATCCTCCCTAACTCGTTTTATGAGGCCAGCATCATCCTGATACCAAAGCCTGGCAGAGACACAACAAAAAAAAGAGAATTTCAGACCAATATTCCTGATGAACATTGATGCAAAAATCCTCAATAAAATACCGGCAAATCAAATCCAGCAGCACATCAAAAAGCTTATCCATCATGATCAAGTGGGCTTCATCCCTGGGATGCAAGGCTGGTTCAACATATGCAAATCAATAAACGTAATCCATCATATAAACAGACCAAAGACAAAAACCACATGATTATCTCAATAGATGCAGAAAAGGCCTTTGACAAAATTCAACAGCCCTTCATGCTAAAAGCTCTCAATAAATTAGGTATTGATGGGACGTATCTCAAAATAATAAGAGCTATTTATGACAAACCCACAGCCAATATCATACTGAATGGGCAAAAACTGGAAGCATTCCCTTTGAAAACTGGCACAAGACAGGGATGCCCTCTCTCACCACTCCTATTCAACATAGTGTTGGAAGTTCTGGCCAGGGCAATCAGGCAGGAGAAAGAAATAAAGGGTAGTCAATTAGGAAAAGAGGAAGTCAAATTGTCCCTGTTTGCAGATGACATGATTGTATATTTAGAAAACCCCATCGTCTCAGCCCAAAATCTCCTTAAGCTGATAGGCAACTTCAGCAAAGTCTCAAGATACAAAATCAATGTGCAAAAAGCACAAGCATTCTTACACAACAACAGACAGAGAGCCAAATCATGAGTGAATTCCTATTCACAATTGCTTCAAAGAGAATAAAATACCTAGGAATACAACTTACAAGGGACACGAAGGACCTCTTCAAGGAGAACTACAAACCACTGCTCAACAAAATGAAAGAGGACACAAACAAATGAAAGAACATTCCATGCTCAGGGATAGGAAGAATCAATATTGTGATAATGGCCATACTGCCCAAGGTAATTTAGAGATTCAATGCCATCCCCATCAAGCTACCAATGACTTTCTTCACAGAATTGGAAAAAACTACTTTAAAGTTCACATGGAACCAAAAAAGAGCCCACATTGCCAAGACAATCCTAAGCCAAAAGAACAAAGCTGGAGGCATCAAGCTACCTGACTTCAAACTATACTACAAGGCTACAGTAACCAAAACAGCATGGTACTGGTACCAAAACAGAGATATAGACCAATGGAACAGAACAGAGCCCTCAGAAATAACACCACATATCTACAACTATCTGATCTTTGACAAACCTGACAAAAACAAGCAATGGGGAAAGGATTCCCTATTTAATAAATGGTGCAGGGAAAACTGGCTAGCCATATGTAGAAAGCTGAAACTGGATCCCTTCCTTACACCTTATACAAAAATTAATTCAATATGGATTAAAGACTTAAATGTTAGACCTAAAACCATAAAAACTCTAGAAGAAAACCTAGGCAATACCATTCAGGACATAGGCATGGGCAAGGACTTCATGTCTAAAACACCAAAAGCAATGGCTACAAAAGCTAAAATTGACAAATGAGATCTAATTAAACTAAAGAGCTTCTGCACAGCAAAAGAAACTACCATCAGAGTGATCAGGCAACCTACAGAATGTGAGAAAATTTTTGCCATCTATTCATCTAACAAAGGGTTAATATCCAGAATCTACAAAGAACTCAAACAAACTTACAAGAAAAAAAAAAAAAACCCATCAAAAAGTGGGTGAAGGACATGAACAGACACTTCTCAAAAGAAGACATTTATGCAGACAACAGACACATGAAAAAATGCTCAACATCACTGGCCGTCAGAAAAATGCAAATCAAAACCACAATGAAATACCATCTCACACCAGTTAGAATGGCAATCATTAAAAAGTCAGGAAACAACAGGTGCTGGAGAGGATGTGAAGAAATAGGAACACTTTTACACTGTTGGTGGGAGTGTAAACTAGTTCACCCGTTGTGGAAGACAGTGTGGCAATTCCTCAGGGATCTAGAAGTGGAAATACCATTTGACCCAGCAATCCCATTACTGCGTATATACTCAATGGATTATAAATCATGCTGCTATAAAGACACATGCACACGTATGTTTACTGTGGCACTATTCACAATAGCAAAGACTTGGAACCAACCCAGATGTCTATCAATGCTAGACTGGATTAAGAAAATGTGGCACATATACACCATGGGATACTATGCAGCCATAAAAAATGATGAGTTCATGTCCTTTGTAGGGACAGGGATGAAGCTGGAAACCATCATTCTCAGCAAATTATCGCAAGGACAAAAAACCAAACACCACATGTTCTCACTCATAGGTGGGAATTAAACAATGAGAACACTTGGACACAGGAAGGGGAACATCACACACTGGGGCCTGTCCTGGGGTGGGGGCAGGGGGGAGGGATAGCGTTAGGAGATATACCTAATGTAAAGACGAGTTAATGGGTGCAGCACACCAACATGGCACATGTATACATATGTAACGAACCTGCACGTTGTGCACGTGTACCCTAGAACTTAAAGTATAATAATAATTTAAACAAAACTGTGGGGAGATTTGGTCAAAGGGTACAGTATCTGTTACAGGATGAATAAGTTCTGGAGACCAACTGTAACAGCATGAAAACTATAGTTAATAGTAATGCATTGTATTACTATTTCCAAGAGAGGAGATCTTAAATGCTCCCACCACACACACAAAAATAACTCTATGAGGTGATGGACATATTAGTTAGCTTGATTGTGGTAATCATTTCACAATGTATACATATTTCAAAACATCACATTGCAGACCATAGGGTATACAATTTTTACTTGAAATTATATCTACATAAAGATAAAAAGGGGTACTTAAAACCATTTCTGGCACATGGCACATTGTACAATTGGCCCTCTATCTCTATGGGTTCCACATTCTCAGATTCAATCAACTTTGGATTGAAAATATATAAAAATAATAATAAAAAGCATAACAATATAATGATAAAAAATAAAATAAAAAACAATACAGTGTAAGAAGTATTTATATAGCATTTACATTGTTTGAGGTATTATAAATAATCTAGAGATGATTTAAACTTATGGGAAGATGTTAGTGGATTATATGTAAATCCTCTTGTCATTTTATATTGGGGACTTGAGCCTTTGTGAATTTTGGTATGGGGGGAGGTGTCCTAGAAGCAATGCCCTGTGGATACCAAGGGACTACTGCATGCACTAAATAAATGTCTGTTCTTAATGATTACTATAATTATACTCTCTAATGAAGTTTCATTTCTTAAAAGCACTTATGTAGATCTGTGATTACGTATTCATCTCCATGATTATTTGGTTGAATATCCTTCCTAAGAGGGAACAAACTCCATGAGGGCAGGGACTGAATCTGTTTTAATTTGCTTTTGTTTGTTTTTAATTATTTTTATTTTGAAATACTTTCAGACTTCCAGAAAATTCCCAAAAATAGTACAGAGAATTCTTGTACATTCTTCCTTTAGTATCCCCTAATGTTAAAATCTTATATAACCACAGTGCAATTATTGAAACCAAGAAGTTAAAACTGATAAACAATGCTCTTGACTGAACCATATAGTTTACTTGAATTGCCAGTTTCCCTCCAGTATGTCTTTCTTCTAGTCCAGGATCCTACATTGCACTCGGTGGACTTGTCCCCCTAGTCTCCTTCAATCTATGATGGTTATTATTTCCTCCTTTGTCTTTTTAGACTTTAACACCTTTGAAGGGTACTAGTCTTCAATAAACCCTCCACTTGGATTTGTCTGGTGATTTCTCATATTAGAATGTAGCTGCATTTTTGGCAAGAATACTATAGAAATCCTATTATACCTTACTAGTTCATCTCCCAGGGGGCACATACTGTCACTGTGTCTGATTATTGGTGATATTAACTTTGATCACTTGATTACAATAGTCTGCTAGGTTTCTTTACTATAAAGTTACTAGCCTATTTTTGATCACCATTGTGTCTTCAACTCTGCACAATGCCTGGCAATAATAATTAATTAGTAAACATTTACTCATAAATGAACGAATGCTCACTGACTAAATTTTTCTCCTCAAAGGAGTGCAGCTGAGCAATGCACTGCCTTTCTGTTTGTCCAAGCTTGGCACAGCCCGTGTTGGAAGCAGTGGTTGTAATTTCCAAGATTTTCCCTGAAAAGAGCAAATAGGTGCTGCATTTCTCCCCTCGTATGACATCAAGGCTGTACTTACTAAACGCACAGATTGATCATTATCTGTTGTGGGGATGGGGTCCCAATTCTTTTGTGAAAATATGGGGTAGCTGAGATGAGGTCACATGGCTCTGGAAGTCAGAATCTGAAGCAATCAAGGATCTCCTTTTCATTTTTTCCCTTTGAGACAGTTTTCTTTCCACAGGGTAAAGGCAGAGTCCACATTTAAGAAATACTTCAATGACAAAAAGTTTACAGGCAGGAGAGCTAGTGATCTCTGTCAGGCATTTGTATAAATTCTTGAGTCTTAGAAATATTATTATACATATTATACATTTCTCCATTTCCGTAGTTAAAGGAAAAAAAAATGAAAATGTTCTTGTCTCCAATCCTAATTTACTCAGTAATTAATCTGAAATGAAAGCTAATTTCTTTGCTTACTTTGACAAATATTTTAGAACAAAGGGGTTACTTTAATTTTTTTAACTGACTCGCTAATCTATTTTTGATGACACTAATCTTTTTTGGCTGGAGGCAGTGGCTGAGTGGCCTCCACATCACCGTTGTTCAACCTAGACTCCCTGGAGCCAGAGGTTCAAATCCGAGCGGGGTCACCCCAGCAGAAGGCTGATAAATTGAGTGCCTTATGATGTAGTCCTGACAGAGAGGCGATCTTTCAGCAGTACTCTTGAAAGCTTAAGTTTTCTCTAGACATTAATGATCCTCAAATAAAATAGACCACAGTGTCCAAAGCATATTTCTCATTAGTCCTCTAACCCCAAATGCATGAAAGAATGTTTATGATAGAGGGGGGAGGTTAATCGTGTTGAAAAAGACCAACTATGCCAAACACTAGAAGATCCCAAACAGGTGTAATGGAAGACAAATCTACTGGAAGCCTCAACAGCATACACAAATCCAACCTTCTCACCCGCAGTAGTGGAATCCAATGCCTTTTGACATTAAATATTCCTTCTGAAACAGATAGTAAAATATGCTTAGAAAGTATAAAGACAGAAGTGTGTTATGGAAATTTAGGCCCCGTGGAAATGGTGCAAGTGAAAATTGTGAACCAGTCCCTACATTCTCTCTTCATTGTGTTTCCCTATGATCTCTCTCTTCACCACGACACACAGATATACGCAGGCAAACACAGTGAGCTAATGCATGCTCATGAGGCATAAAAATGTCAGTGGAAGACATTGTTTTCTAACACATTATTCGGTAAGCACGTGATTACAGTAAGGGAAGAAACCCAGCCAGCTTGCTGGAGACCTGGGGTGAAAAATAAATAAGTCAGTCTCACTTCACAAATTTCACCAAGGAAAGCCATGCAGTTTGTAGGGACCTTCTTTTCATTGTATTACACACTCACACACACACACAAGTGATGTTAAATACATGTGTAATATGTAAATAGGTGATGTGTAAATACACACACCGACCTAATACATGCATACTCACACGTACATTCTCTATTTCATTATCTTTCTGGGTTTATGTTTTCTACCTGAAATAATCAAAGGAGTAATTGTTCATAATCAGAAGTATAACTAACACAGTTGGGTTACTTATGGGCTATGGAAATAGTTACTCAATTATTAACTGAATTTAACTATTTTCCCTTGGGTTCAACTCATTCATTTATTTTTCATTCAACAAATGTTAATAAACATTTTTGGTCAAAGTAGCATTCCATTCACTTTACCTCTGTTCCATTTGTGCCATTTGTGTGTGTAGGGGTGTGTGTGTGTGTAAGCGTGCATACCTGACAATTCATCTAGATGTTAACCTTCTAAAAGGCAAGAATAATGACCACAGAAGAACAAGAAAAATTATCCATAGACTAGTGAGTTCAGCTCCAGGGGAAATGCTAAAGGAATAAGATTTCAATATTCCAGTGATGACCAAACAGAAAAATTGTTTATAAAACCAGAAAAAAATAGAAATATGCCATATGACCTCTCTGGACAACACTATTTTTAGTGCCAGTCCAAAATGGAGTAAAATTGCATTTACAAAGGAAAGTACTTATTAATGGCATTAGGAAGACTTTCCTGGCTAGAAGTCTTGTGAAAGAATGGAACATTGCCTTCCCTTTTTGAAGAGTAGATTCTTACAATTTAAGAGCTGAGAAGCACTATAAAAATTATCTAATTCATTGCCTCTTAATCTTTTGAGGGGTCATGTACCCCTTTTAGAATCCAATTAAAACCATAGACTTTCCTCCCCCTAAAAAAAACACATACAAAATGTGGTATAATATTTCAGAGGGTTTATGCATGCCCCCTTAACCTCAACTATAACTCAAGGTTATGAACTCTTTATCTATTCAATATTCCTCTTGTACAGATAAATAAACTAAAGCTCAGTGGTTCGGTAGTCCCATTGTACAGGTGAATAAACTAAAGCCCAGAGGTTAGGTAATGAATATTATGCACTGAATTATGTCTCCCAAAACTTCATATCTTGAAGTCCTAACCCTCAAAAGGTGACTGTATTTGAAGTTAGGGTCTTTAAGGAGGTAATTGTGTTAAAACAAGGTCATTAGTGTGGTCATTAATACAGTAAGACTGGTGTCCTCATATGAATCAGAAATTTGGACACAGACACATACAGAGGGAGGACCATGTGAAGATACTGGAAGATAAGCCAACTACAAGCCAAAAAAGAGGCTTCAGAAGAGACAACCCTGCCAACCTCTTGATCTCAGACTTCCAGCCTCCAGAACTGAGAAAAAAAATTATATTATTAAAGCCGCCCAGGCTGTGGTACCTTGTTACAGTAACCTTAGCAAGCTAATACAGGTAATAAATCCAAGTTATTTAACTATCTAATGGTAGAACCAGAAACGGTATCAGACTTCTGTCTAATCCAATTCTCTTTCAAGTGTTGTATGTCTTTGAATGGAAAGTAATGAAACAGATACATTGATATTCCAAGATTACTTTTCTCCCACTAAGTCTGTAATATTATTCATTTATCGAATTAAAATTTTTAAATGCCCTTTGTCAAATCTTCTGAACACTTGTAAAATTAGGGAAAAGAAGTTATGCTCTGGTTCGTTAGAAAAAATTTAAATATATTTGTTTACAATGAAAATGTTGTAAATATTCTTTGTAAATGGTGAGTCTCCCCAATCCCAACTCTTAAATAAATATCTATAATACTAAGATGTTTTAGTATGAGTCCTTTTCCATTTATAGCTCAGAATAAGTCATTGTAATTAGTAAGACTCAAAACTAAGTATGGAATCCCATCTAGAAGGGGCCCCATCATATCACAAATGAGATTATGCTTCAGGTATAATTAGTTTAGTTGGCTAAATGCAAGACTTCAAAATTAAAACATCTAAATTTTAATCTCTGTTACTCCACTAATTAGAGTAGTGACCTTGGGTGAGTTTCTCATCCTCTCTAAGTTTCAACACCTTCTTCAATAGTGTGAGGATAATAGTAATCTCCATAACAGAGGGTTATTGTGAGGATTAAATAAAGTTATATATATATATATATGTGTGTGTGTGTGTGTGTGTGTGTGTGTGCCCAAAGTAAATATCTGATATACAAAAATATACAAATATTTTAAAATCTGCAAAATATACAAAATTAACCCAAAATTGATTATAGGCATAAGAAAACCTAAAACTATAAAACTTCTAGAAAAAAAACATAAAAGGAAATCTGTGTGGCTTAGGGTTATACAAAGGTTTTTAGATCATACACAGAAAGTACAATCCATGAAAGAAAAAAATTGGTCTTCCTCAAAATTAAAAACTTCTGCTCTCCAAAGGACACCATTAAATGAAAAAGCAAGCCGCAGAATGCAAGAAAATATTTGCAAAATGCATGTCTGTTAAAGGACTTGTATCAGAATATACGAGGAATTCTTACAACTCAATAAAAAATATTTTTATTGAGTTTTTTAAAAGGCAAAATATTTGAACATATCTTTCATCAAAGAAGGCATATGAATGGCAAATAAACAAATGAAAGATACTTAACATCATTAGTCATCAGGGAAATTAAAATTAAAATTACATTAAGAATCTACTTCACACCCACCAAAATGACTGATGCCATAAAGACCCACTACAGCAAGCTTTGGAGAGGATGTGGAGCAACTGCAATTCTCATATATCGCTGATGGGAAAGCAAAATGGTACAACTACTGAAGAAAACCATTTCTCAGTTGCTTAGAAAGTCAAATGTAACACCTACCATATTACTTATCAATTCAACTCTTTGCTATTTACCCAAGAGAAATAAAAACAGGCAGACACAAAAACTTGCAGCACAATTGTTGATAACAGGCTCATCATGATAGTGAACGCTGAGGTTGGAAGGAAAGATGGACTCCAAAGAGATCAAAGGAATCTCTTGGCGGTGACAGAAATGTTCTTTTTCTTGAGTATGGCTGTGTTTCATGACTGTATACATCTTTCAAAAGTCAAAAAATTATATATATTGAGTAGATACAATTTGTTGCACATAAATTATACCTCAATCAAGTTTAAACAAACAAATAATGCCAGACCAGGAGGCAGGACTTTGAAGCATGAGTTCCTGTTCTGTTCCTGCAGGCCATTTGCAAGTTACTAAACTTTTTGGACTCTAAATTGTCATGGAACAGATTGTTTGTAAACCACTGTGCTTATACAAAATGTTACAACACTTTGAATTAATGTATTAATAAGGTACAACACAGAAGCTGAAGTCAGACTGTTTGACAAGAAGTTTACAGCCTGGCTCCACTACTTAATAGCTGTCTGATCTTAGACAATTTACTTTACCTTTCTGTGTGGTGTTTCCTGATCTGTAAGATGAAAATATTAATGAGAAGTTAACATATCAATATAAGAACAGTGCTTAGAAAACTGCCTGGCACTTAAGCAAGTATTTGTTATTATGGTTAGCAAATATTATTGTTAAGAGCACAAATGTAGGGTGTAAATCCTGGCTCTACACATTTTGGTGTAGGCAAGTTGCTTTGAATGACCAACATTCCCAGCTTGACTGGCATATTAGTTTGCTAGGGCTGTGTGTTAGTCAGGGTTCTCTAGAGGGACAGAACTAATAGGAAACATGTATATATGAAAGGGAGTTTATTAACGAGAATTGACTCAGGATCACAAGGTAAAGTCCCACAATAAACTGTCTGCAAGTTGAGGAGCACAGAATCCAGTGGTGAATCAGTCTGAGTCCCAAAACCTCAAAAGCAGGGAAGCTGACAGTGCAGCCTTCAGTCTCCACAACCACTGTTGTAAGTCCAAGAGTCCAAAAGCTGAAGAACTTGAAGCCTGATGTTCAAGAGCAGGAAACATCCAGCACAGGAGAAAGATGAAGACTGGAAGACTCAGCAATTCTGCTCTTCCATCTTCTCCTGCCTGCTTTATTCTAGCCACACTAGCAGCTGATTAGATGGTGCCCGCTTAGACTGAGGGTGGGTCTTCCTCTCCGAGTCCACTGACTCAAATGTTAATCTCCTTTGGCAACACCCTCACAGATACATCCAGGAACAATACTTTGCATCCTTCAATCCAATCAAGTTGACACTCAGTATTAACCATCACAGGCTGCCATAACACAATATCACAGACTAGCGGCTTAAAGAACATACATGTATTTTCCCACAGTTACAGAAGCTAAAGTCCAAGGTCAAGAGGGCCAGCAGGGTTGTTTCTTCTGTGTCCTTTCTCCTTGACTTGTAGATAGCTGCCTTCTCCGTATGTCTTTACATGGGCTTTTCTATGTACATGTCTGTCCATATTTCCTCTTCTTATAAGGATTTCCAGTCCTATTGGACTAGAGCCCACCTTAATGATCTCATTTTAACTTAGTTCTCCATTTAAAAACTCTAACTCAGCTGGGTGTGGTGGCTCATGCCTGTAATCCCAGTGCTTTGGGAGACCAAGGCAGTAGGATTACATGAGATTAGGAGTTGGAGACAAGCCAGGGCAACGTAGTGAGACCCTGTCTCTACATTTTTTAAAAAAAGTAACCAGGCATGGTGTTATGCACTTTAGTCCCAGCTACTCAGGACACTGAAGTGGAAGGATTGCTTAAACCCAAGAGTAAAGGAGCTATCATCACACCACCGCACTCCAGCCTGGGTGACGGAGCAAGTCCCTATCTCTAAAATAATAAATAGATAAATAGATATTAATACAAACTCTATCTTCAATTATGGTCATATTCTGAAGTACTGAGGGTTAGAATCTGAATTTGGTGAAGTGGAGACATAAATGAGCTTGAACTGAAGGGTTCCCAGAACATGAGACTTTCTGTGCTAAAACTAGGAGAGTCCTGGGCAAATTGGAATGATTGGTCACGTACATTTAGCTCTTAACTTCTCTATGATGAAATTTGTCCATGTGTAAATTGGTGAATATGGTAGAGCCTACCACAAATATTGTTTTGAAAATTAAAATGGGAAAATATATTTGAATTACTTGAAAAACTGCCTTGCCCATAGAATGAGGATTTATTATGTAAATTTAACAAAGATGAGATGATTCAAGGGATTTGAAATCAATGACCTCAGGATCTCTTGAGGTCAAAAAGTCCAAGGGCTTCCTGTTAACTGAAATGTTGAGAAGTACAATAAATCAATAGGCTAATAAGATAATCAAGATTTTGACAATTTACTGAGAAATGTTGCAGTACTAGCTCTTACGTGCCCGAAGTGTGGATTCTGCTAATTATTCCAACATACGGTCTAATAAATTAGAGTGACCTTAAATATTCCCCTGGGCAGGTTTAAATTCTCCATTTGTAATGAACAAGCTTTAAAAAAAAAAAAAAACAAATAAACTGGAGATGGGAGGGAGTACTATGGGAGGGAGTACTATGTCCATGTCAGTCATAACTCAAATGCTTTGTCTTCAACAGATGGCAGATTTCCTCTACTATTTCCCATATTGAAAAGTTCCTATTTGACTGACTTTTCCCAGGGTCATTACATCTTGTATGTAATGAAGAATATAGCTATATACAGCAGTCTCTTAAAATATCTTAATTCTTCAATTGAACTATTACCGAAATGAATGTCTTTGTTAATTAAAAGAAATTATTGCATTATAGTATATGTATCTTTGAATTCCAAGAAACTTTCCTGCCTTTCTTTGGGAGCCTATTGGTCATGACTATCATGTAATTCTGATTACTCTCAACAAGGCAAGGATCTTGAGATGCTTTAAAGAGTAAGAACCAGGCCAGACTTATGAAGAATATATTTGCCACTTATGTAATAAAAATGAAGCAAGCCTGAAAACTTTGTTTTGAATAATCCAAAAAGGTTCATTTCATCTCCCCACCTAGATAGCCAGAAAGATGGAAACACAGTTTTAGGTGTGTGAGATCATGAGCATATCTGAAAAGAAGCATGTTTTAATCAGAAGGATTTTGAATGTCAAATGAGAACTGAATATGGTATACCATGGAAAGAGGGTGCAAGCTTAATTCTCCTATCCCCATGCTATTTACTGTGAAGTTCAGAGAACAAAACATGCAATTGCAATAGGTCGATATTAACTTGCATAGCAACCGTGAATGAGTCCCAGACCACATAAGACTTAGACCCCTTTGGATTTTACCCTTAGAATAAACACTCAAGCCCTGCATAACATATAAGGTACCACATGACCCAGCCCCTTTTTTCTTCTCTCGCTTCTCTTATTCTATCTGTACTCTAGGCACAGTGGCCTTCCTTTTTGTTCCTCTAATAAATCATGATCCCATCCATTGCCATAAATTTAAATACTGTCTTTACACTAATGACTCCAAAATTTTTATCACCAGCCATGGTGATAAAAAACATGAGCTCTCTCCTGAGTTCGAAACCCATGTACTCAACAGTCCACTTGACATCCTCACTTTAATAGCCAGAAGCTATCTTAGATCTAATTTATCTAACTTGTTCAGCCCTTAGAAGCAGACTCTGAGATAAATATGTATGTTCAAATTATTTATTTAGAAGATGATACCACGGAGCACTGGGAAGAGAGTGGGGAGTAAGATAGAAAAAGGTAGAAAGCCAATTAAAGATGCATTTTTGAGCAGGTTTCTACTGTGGACAACTGGGGCACAACCCTCCTGGGAAACTCCAGGAGACTGTGTAGAACATGCTTCTTAATTACTCCACTCAAAAGCTGAGGAAGCTGGTGGATTTATTCAGCAACCCCAACTTCATTAGCTCTGGGACACTCTGGAAGATATAACCCCATGGCACTTCCAGCCTCCCTACACCACAGGCTTGAGAGAGAGCTTTTGGAAGGAGAGTTGCAGGTGCTTGCCTGTTGTGTACTGAATGTTTCATATGTTGAAATTCTAACCCCCACTGTGATAGTATTAGGAGGTAGCATCTTTAGGAGGTAATTATGTCAGGGCAGTGGAGCCTTCTAGAATAAGACAAGTGTTCTTATAAAAAGAGACATGAGCGAGCTTGCTTCCTCTCATTGCTCTCCGCCATGTGAGGATACAGCAAGACAATGGCCATCTGCAAAGCAGCAAGAGAGCTCTCACTAGAACCCAACCATGCTGGCACCATGGTCTCAGATTTGTCAGCTTCCAGAATTGAAGGAATTAAGTTGCTGTTCTTCCAGCCACCTAGAAAATGGTATTTTTGTTACAATGGCTTGAGCTGACCAAGGCACTGCCTTTAGACGCCATTGGTATAGTCAGGGTCTGTGAATGCGAGGGGTATATGGGTGTGATACCAACTACATCTTCTACACTGTCCAAGGTAGAATCCTTTCTTGGGACTTCTCCCTTTCAGTTAAAATGTCACCCCCATTCATCAAGTTGCTCGGGTAAAAACATATTATCATATTTGATTCTGTATTAGTCTGTTCTCATACTGCTATGAAGAAATACCCGAGGCTGGATAATAAGGAAAAGGAGGTTTAGTGGACTCACAGTTCCAAATGGCTGAGGAGGCCATGCAATCATGGAGGAAGGCAAAGGAGAAGCAAAGGCACGTCTTACATGGTGGCAGGCAAGACAGCATGTGCAGGGGAATTGCCCTTTTAAAAAACCATCAGTTCTCATGAGACTCATTCACTATCACAAGAATAGCACAGGAAAAACCTGCCCCATGATTCAATTACCTCTGATCAGCTCCCTCCCATGACACATGGGGATTCTGGGAGCTAAAATTCAAAATGAGATTTGAGTGGGGACACAGTCAAACCATATAAGATTCCTCTTCTCTTTACCATCCACATCCAAATCCATCTGTCAGGTTTGGGCAACTCTGTTCTGAGTTACTCTTCTCTCTTTGACCACTCCCAAACACCTCTACAGGTACCACCTTAGCTCAATCCATATCGTCTTTCATTTGGATCACTGTTACATAGCCTTTTCTAACTCGTCTCTCTCTTTAATTTTATACCAAGAGTGTATTTTTTTAAATCCGCATTTTGAAATACACATTTATTTTTTAAATGTAAGTCAGACATGTCCTTCCCATTGTTGAAATCCTCCAGTGTTTTCCAGATTCCCATCACACTTAGAGTAAAATTTGAACTCTACTATGGCATATTAAGTCCTATGTGGCCCTGTCTCCCAGACTTCACTGCCTACCTCTTTTTCTCACACTTGATATGTTCAAGCCATGTCGGCCACCTGGCTACCCTTTGAACACACTAAGCCCCTTTTTCCCATAAGCACTTTATATTTGATGCTTCTCTCTCTTCAGATTTTTGCATAGATGCCTCCTTGTCATTATTCATATCTGTTTCAATAGTAACTCTTCAGAGAGGCATTTTCTAAATGCTGTCTCTAAAACATCCTCCTCACACACAGATACCCTAGTACTTCTCTTGCTTTATTTTCTTCATAGTACTTGTTAGCTGAAATTATGATATTTACCCACCTTTTTCTTTGTTTTTTCTCCTCCACCAAAGTATAATTTTCATGAGGACATAGACTTTATCTATCTCATCCAATGCTATATTCACAGCATCCCAGTATGGGCACATGGAGATAGTCAATTAAGATTTACTGCATGGGCTGGCTGCCCTGGCTCACATGTGTAATCTCAGCACTTTGGGAGATCAAGGCAGGCAGATCACTTGAGGATAGGAGTTCAAGACCAGCCTGGCTAACATGGCAAAACCTCGTCTCTATTAAAAATACAAAAATTAGCCAGGTGTGCTGACACACGCCTGTAATCCCAGCTACTCAGGAGGCTGAGGCATGAGGATCACTTGAACCCGGGAGGCAGAAGTTGCAGTGAGCCAAGATGGCACTACTGCACTCCAGCCCGGGTGACAGAGTGAAACTCTGTCTCAAACAAACAAACAAACAAAAATATTTACTGCAAAGAATCAAAGAAGAAATATTATTTTCCGCTACAGCAGCTGGTAAAAGCTGGTTCCTCTGACTCTAATCTATGCTCCCATCTTGTGTCCCACTTTTTTTCCCCCTGTTTCTTCTACTTATTCTTCAGATGTCAGCTCAAACATTTCCTCGGAGAGGTCTCCCCCACCTCAACCGTTCCCACTCTCCAAAGTAGGTCAGCATCTCTCTCAATTACACATTTTTTCAGGGTTCTATGTACCTTTCCTTCATTCAAGCATTTATCATTGCTTATAACTGTAATTGATTCAGGTGATGATTTAATTAAAATCTGTCTCTTCTTTTAAATCATAAGCTCCATGAGTATATGGAGAAAGTCTGATCTTGTTTATTATATATCTCAGCACTTAGAAAAGTGGCTGGCCCATTTTGGGGCTTTAGTAAACATTTTTTGAATAAACAAAGTGATAAGAGAGACATGCTGAAGGTGGAATGGGCTTAAGTTTTATTAAAAGATATGAGTTTTGACCTTGGGCTTCAAAGAATTAAGGAAATATTTAAACAGTATATTCAAAACATATTTATGCACAAACATTCACAAAGAAGCTATAGTAAGGCCCACACATAAACACATTGTCAAATCAAAGAACACTTTCTCACTTTGTTCCCTTGTATAATTTTCCATACATTGAAAAATCATTACCTGAGAATATGAACGCAGCCTGTTATGTCTTATTGAGTTTCCTTCTGTAGAAATTTGTTGACCTATACAAAAGCAACACACAAATCTCCTTTCCTGCACCATGTTTTGAATCGCGGGTATAGACTCTTATTGACTCCAAGTCAATGAGATGCAGGCTCAGAAGATCATTTCCGTCATATAATTCTTTTTTTATTATTATTATACTTTAAGTTCTAGGGTACATGTGCACAATGTGCAGGTGTGTTGCATATGTATACATGTGCCATGCTGGTGTGCTGCACCCATTAACTCGTCATTTACATTAGGTGTATCTCCTAATGCAATCCCCTCCCCCTCCCTCACCCCAAAACAGGCCCCAGTGTGTGATGTTCCCCTTCCTGTGTCCAGGTGTTCTCATTGTTCAATTTCCACCTATGAGTGAGATCATATGGTGTTTGGTTTTTTGTCCTTGCGATAGTTTGCTGAGAATGATGGTTTCCAGCTTCATCCATGTCCCTACAAAGAACATGAGCTCATCATTTTTCATGGCTGCATAGTATTCCGTGGTGTATATGTGCCACATTTTCTTAATCCAGTCTATCATTGATGGATATTTGGGTTGGTTCCAAGTCTTTGCTATTGTGAATAGTGCCACAATAAACATGTGTGTGCATGTGTCCTTATAGCAGCATGATTTATAATCCATTGGGTATATACCCCGTAATGGGATGGCTGGGTCAAATGGTATTTCTAGTTCTAGATCCCTGAGGAATTGCCACACTGTCTTCCACAATGGTTGAACTAGTTTACAATCCCACCAACAGTGTAAAAGTGTTCCCATTTCTCCACATCCTCTCCAGCACCTGTTGTTTCCTGACTTTTTAATGATGGCCATTCTAACTGGTGTGAGATGGTATTTCATTGTGGTTTTGATTTGCATTTTTCTGACGGCCAGTGATGATGAGCATTTTTTCATGTGTCTGTTGTCTGCATAAATGTCTTCTTTTGAGAAGTGTCTGTTCATATCCTTTGCCCACTTTTTGATGGAGTTGTTTGTTTTTTTCTTGTAAGTTTGTTTGCATTCCTTGTAGATTCTGGATATTAGCCCTTTGTTAGATGAGTAGATTGCAACAATTTTCTCCCATTCTGCAGGTTGCCTGATCACTCTGATGGGAGTTTCTTTTGCTGTGCAGAAGCTCTTTAGTTTAATTAGATCCCATTTGTCAATTTTACATTTTGTAGCCATTGCTTTTGGTGTTTTAGACATGAAGTCCTTGCCCATGCCTACGTCCTGAATGGTATTGCCTAGGTTTTCTTCTAGGGTTTTAATGGTTTTAGGTCTAACATGTAAGCCTTTAATCCATCTTGAATTAATTTTTGTATAAGGTGTAAGGAAGGGATCCAGTTTCAGCTTTCTACATATGGCTAGCCAGCGTTCCCAGCACCATTTATTAAATAGGGAATCCTTTCCCCATTTCTTGGTTTTGTCAGGTTTGTCAAAGATCAGATGTTTGTAGATGTGTGGTATTATTTCTGAGGGCTATGTTCTGTTCTGTTCCATTTGTCTATATCTCTGTTTTGGTACCAGTACCATGCTGTTTTGGTTACTGTAGCCTTGTAGTATAGTTTGAAGTCAGGTAGCGTGATGCCTCCAGCTTTGTTCTTTTGGCTTAGGATTGTCTTGGCAATGCGGGCTCTTTTTTGGTTCCATGTGAACTTTAAAGTAGTTTTTTCCAATTCTGTGAAGAAAGTCATTGGTAGCTTGATGGGGATGGCATTGAAACTCTAAATTACCTTGGGCAGTATGGCCATTATCACAATATTGATTCTTCCTATCCATGAGTATGGAATGTTCTTCCATTTGTTTGTGTCCTCTTTTATTTCGTTGAACAGTGGTTTGTAATTCTCCTTGAAGAGGTCCTTCACGTCCCTTGTAAGTTGGATTCCTAGGTATTTTATTCTCTTTGAAGCAATTGTGAAAGGGAGTTCACTCATGATTTGGCTCTCTGTTAGTCTGTTATTGGTGTATAAGAATGCTTGTGATTTTTCACATTGATTTTGTATCCTGAGACTTTGCTGAAGTTGCTTATGAGCTTAAGGAAATTTATGGCTGAGATGATGGGGTTTTCTAGATATACAATCATGTCATCTGCAAACAGGGACAATTTGTCCTCCTCTTTTCCTAATTGACTACCCTTTATTTCGTTCTCCTGCCTGATTGCCCTGGCCAGAACTTTCAACACTATGTTGAATAGGAATGGTGAGAGAGGGTATCCCTGTCTTGTGCCAGTTTTCAAAGGGAATGCTTCCAGTTTTTGCCCATTCAGTATGATATTGGCTGTGGGTTTGTCTTAAGTAGCTCTTATTATTTTGAGATATGTCCCATCAATACCTAATTTATTGAGAGTTTTTATCATGAAGGGCTGTTGAATTTTGTCAAAGGCCTTTTCTTCATCTTTCGAGATAATCATGTGGTTTTTGTCTTGGTTCTGTTTATATGATGGATTATGTTATTGATTTGCATGTGTTGAACCAGCCTTGCATCCCAGGGATGAAGCCCATTTGATCATGATGGATAAGCTTTTTGATGTTCTGCTGGATTTGGTTTGCCAGTATTTTACTGAGGATTTTTGCATTGATGTTCATCAGGGATATTGGTCTGAAATTATCTTTTTTTGTTGTGTCTCTGCCAGGCTTTGGTATCAGGATGATGCTGGCCTCATAAAATGAGTTAAGGAGGATTCCCTCTTTTTCTATTGATTGTAATAGTTTCAGAAGGAATGGTATCAGCTCCTCCTTGTACCTCTGGTAGAATTCGGCTGTGAATCCATCTGGTCCTGGACTTTTTTTGCTTGGAAAGCTATTAATTATTGCCTCAATTTCGGAGCCTGTTATTGGTCTTTTCAGAGATTCAACTTCTTCCTGGTTTAGTCTTGGAAGGGTGTATGTGTCGAGGAATTTATCCATTTCTTCTGGATCTTCTAGTTTATTTGTGTAGAGGTGTTTATAGTATTCTCTGATGGTAGTTTGTATTTCTGTGGGATCAGTGGTGATATCTACTTTATCATTTTTTATTCTGTCTCTTTGATTTCTTCTCTCTTTTCTTCTTTATTAGTCTTGCTAGCAGTCTGTCAATTTTGTTGATCTTTTCAAAAAACCGGCTCCTGGATTCATTGATTTTTTGAAGGGTTTTTTGTGTCTCTAACTCCTTCAGTTCTGCTCTGATCTTCGCTAGTTCTTGCCTTCTGCTAGCTTTTGAATGTGTTTGCTCTTCTTCTCTAGTTCTTTTAATTGTGATGTTAGGGTGTCAATTTTAGATCTTTCCTGCTTTCTCTTGTGGGCATTTAGTTCTATAAATTTCCCTCTACACACTGCTTTAAATATGTCCCGGAGATCCTGGTATGTTGTGTCTTTGTTCTCGCTGGTTTCAAAGAACATCTTCATTTCTGCCTTCATTTCGTTATGTACCCTGTAGTCATTCAGGAGCCGGTTGTTCATTTTCCATGTAGTTGAGTGGTTCTGAGTGAGTTTGTTAATCCTGAGTTCTAATTTGATTGCACTGTGGTCTGAGAGATGGTTTGTTATAATTTCTGTTCTTTTACATGTGCTGAAGAGTGCTTTACTTCCAACTATGTGGTCAATTTTGGAATAAGTGGGATGTGGTGATAAGAAGAATGTATATTCTGCTGATTTGGGGTGGAGAGTTCTGTAGATGTCTATTAGGTCTGCTTGGTGCAGAGCTGAGTTCAATTCCTGGATATCCTTGTTAACTTTCTGTCTCCTTGATCTGTCTAATGTTGACAGTGGGGTGTTAAAGTCTCCCATTATTATTGTGTGGGAGTCTAAGTCTCTTTGTAGGTCTCTGAGGACTTGCTTTATGAATCTGGGTGCTCCTGTATTGGGTGCATATATATTTAGGATAGTTAGCTCTTCTTGTTGAATTGATCCCTTTACCATTATGTAATGGCCTTCTTTGTCTGTTTTGATCTTTGTTGGTTTAAAGTCTGTTTTATCAGAGACTAGGATTGCAACCCCTGCCTTTTTTTGTTTTCCATTTGCTTGGTAGATCTTCCTCCACCCCTTTATTTTGAGCCTATGTGTGTCTCTGCACATGAGATGGCTTTCCTGAATACAGCACACTGATGGGTCTTGACTGTTTATCCAATTTGCCAGTCTGTGTCTTTTAATTGGAGCATTTAGCCCATTTACATTTAAGGTTAATATTGTTATGAGTGTATTTGATCCTGTCATTATGATGTTAGCTGGTTATTTTGCTCGTTAGTTGATGCAGTTCCTTCCTAGCCTCGATGGTCTTTACAATTTGGCATGTTTTTGCAGTGGCTGGTACCAGTTTTTCCTTTCCATGTTTAGTGCTTCCTTCAGGAGCTCTTGTAGGGCAGGCCTGGTGGTGACAAAATCTCTCAGCATTTGCTTGTCTGTAAAGGATTTTATTTCTCCTTCACTTATGAAGCTTAGTTTGGCTGGATATGAAATTCTAGGTTGGAAATTCTTTTCTTTAACGTTTTTGAATATTGGACCCCACTCTCTTCTGGCTTGTAGAGTTTCTGCTGAGAGATCAGCTATTAGTCTGACGGGCTTCCCTTTGTGGGTAACGCGACCTTTCTTTCTGGCTGTGCTTAACATTTTTTCCTTCATTTCAACTTTGGTGACTCTGACAGTTATGCGTCTTGGAGTTGCTCTTCTCGAGGAGTATCTTTGTGGTGTTCTCTGTATTTCCGGAATCTGAATGTTGGCCTGCCTTGCTGGATTGGGGAAGTTCTCCTGGGTAATATCCTGCAGAGTGTTTTCCAACTTGATTCTCTTCTCCCCGTCACTTTCAGGTACACCAGTTAGATGTAGATTTGGCCTTTTCACATAGTCCCATATTTCTTGGAGGCTTTGTTCATTTATTTTTATTCTTTTTTCTCTAAACTTCTCTTCTCACTTCATTTCATTCATTTGATCTTCAATCACTGATACCCCTTCTTCCAGTTGATCGAATCAGCTACTGAAGCTGTGCATTCGTCACGTAGTTCTCATGCCATGGTGTTCAGCTCCATCAGGTCATTTAAGGACTTCTCTACATTGGTTATTCCAGTTAGCCATTTTTTTAATCTTTTTTCAAGGTTTTTATCTTCTTTGCAATGGGTTCCAACTTCCTCCTTTAGCTCGGAGTAGTTTGATCATCTGAAGACTTCTTCTCTCAACTCCTCAAAGTCATTCTCCATCCAGCTTTGTTCCATTGCTGGTGAGGCACTGCATTCCTTTGGAGGAGGATAGACCTTCTGATTTTTAGAATTTTCAGTTTTTCTGCTCTGTTTTTTCCCCATCTTTGTGGTTTTATCTACCTTTGGTCTTTGATGATGGTGATGTACAGATGGGGTTTTGGTGTGGATGTCCTTTCTGTTTGTTAGTTTTCCTTCTAACGGCCAGGACCCTCAGCTGCAGGTCTGTTAGAGTTTGCTGGAGGTCCACACCAGACCCTGTTTGCCTGAGTATCAGCAGCAGAAGCTGCAGAATAGCGAATATTGCTGAACAGCAAATGTTGCTGCCTGATCTTTCCTCTGGAAGTTTCATCTCAGAGGGGTACCCAGCCATGTGAGGTGTCAGTCTGCCCCTACTAGGGGGTGCCTCCCAGATAGGCTACTCGGGGGTCAGGGACCCACTTGAGGAGGCAGTCTGTCCGTTCTCAGATCTCAAACTCCATGCTGGGAGAACCACTACTCTCTTCAAAGCTGTCAGACAGGGACATTTAAGTCTGCAGAGGTTTCTGCTGCCTTTTGTTTGGCTATGCCCTGCCCCCAGAGGTGGAGTCTACAGAGGCAGGCAGGCCTCCTTGAGCTGCAGTAGGCTCCACCCAGTTCAAGCTTCCGGCGGCTTTGTTTACCTACTGAAGCCTCAGCAATTGCGAGCGCCCCGCCTTGCAGTTCGATCTCCAGCTGCTGTGCTAGCAATGAGCGAGACTCTGTGGGCGTGGGACCCTCTGAGCCAGGCACAGGATACAATCCCCTGGTGTGCCATTTGCTAAGACCATTGGAAAAGCGCAGCATTAGGGTGAGAGTGATCCAATTTTCCAGGTGCTGTCTGTCGCAGATTTGCTTGGCTAGGAAAGGGAATTCCCTGACCCCTTGCGCTTCCCAGGTGAGGCAATGCCTCACCCTGCTTTCGCTCATGCTCGATGCGCTGCACCCATTGTCCTGTACCCACTGTGTGACAAGCCCCAGTGAGATAACCCAGTACCTCAGTTGGAAATGCAGAAATCACCCATCTTCTGCGTCGCTCACTCTGGGAGCTGTAGACTGGAGCTGTTCCTATTTGGCCATCTTGGAACCCCCTGTCTGTCATGTAATTCTTAAGAGGCAATATTGTCTCATTCCACTGAATTAACAAGAAAGACTGGAGACGAGTCCATTTGGAAAACCGGAACCAAGTAAAGGAAGAGACTAGAAAGATGGAGCAAAGCATAGTCGTGTAAGAGGAGTTAGAAGAAAACTTAAAAGATACTTTCCAAGAACAGAGTACTTGCAGTTACATCAACATATATGCATACTCTAGGACACTGAAGCACACAGTTTTAAACATAGCCCTTCCTTAATTAAGAATTTGTACTGGAATTAGTAAAAAGTTTTTAAATGAAAAAATACAATACATGATATGATACATCAAGGCAGACACTCATAAATTTCTATGAGAATTGGCAAAAAGTTTCTAAAAATTATTATCCATATTTATGATGAATCTTAAAAATATTCCTGCCTTATATCACAATCATTTTTTAAAAAGTTATCATAAGGAGCCTGGGCAACATGGCGAAACCCAGTTACAGTCATGTGCACCTGTAGTACCAGCTACTCAGGAGGTTGAGGTGAGAAGATCTTGAGCCCAGGAGACAGAGGTTGCAGTGAGCCAAGATCACATCACTGCACTTCAGCCTTGGTGACAGAGCAAGAGCCAGTCTCAAAAAAAAAAAATTAAGGAAATGTTTATAAATATGGACAAAGATTTTTTTGCTCAGAAATATTCCTTTCAGAATCTTATAATAGTTAAAGATAAGGACCAACTTAAATGCCTAACAACAGAACAATAGTTAAACAATTCATAACAAACTAGGTAGTGTTTGCAATACAACCATTATAAATCATAATTTCAAAGACTATTTAATAGTATAGGAAAATATCTCCAAGTATAATGTTAAGGGTAAGGCAATATTGTAAAAAATCTTTTTATAAAGTATAATCCTCATTTTGAAAACATATATTTTAATATGTCCTAGTTACAACTAGTAACATCAGAATAAATATTGGCTTTAAATAACCAATATAACCGTACTTATTATCAGACTGAATATTTTCCCTGGACAAGCCTATAAAAATAGAGAAAATTGTGTTCCTTTATATTTTTATTGGTTTACCAAAAATGGGGATTGCACAGAATGTAGGAGCAAGGTTAAAGTGAACTTTGACAGCAGAATGATGGAACCAGGGATCTACAAGTTCATTCTCTCCTTATTTTGTTTAATTCTCATTGTTTTGCTCTGCACATATATTCTGGTTCCTTCTCTCTCCCTTTAGATCAAGTTTTCTACTTCTATCTACATGGCAGGAAATAAGGATACAGACAGCTCCCAATTTTAATCTATTAGACTTTCAGGCACTGAAAACATATTCAGTCTTTCTCTTGGTCATAATTCAAAATTGTTCTAATTTGTGTAAGTTGCATTGTCTTGGGACAATGCAAATGCAGACACATACGATGAATGCCAAGGTCTTACCCCTGTGACCATGCAGAGGAGCCCTTACCAGAGGAAAACAGAAGCCAATATGAACTGAGGAGATACTTCAGTAAGTGTCTCTGGCATAAGGACTCCATGATGTTAACTGCGTTATCAGGTAGGATGTTTCAATGACAAGTAACAGATATTATAATTCAAAGTGGCTTAAACCATAAAAGGACTTTATTCACGCTCATAATAAAAAAACCTCTAGAGGTGAGGTTTGTTTCAAACGGGGTTTCACTGAGCATCCAAATGTAAAGACTAGGACCACTTTTTGTCCACTTTTCTCTATTCCTTGGCTGTTTTTTGTGTGTTTGTTTGTTTTGTTTTGTTATCTCCTTATCTATCTCCTGTCATA
Source organism: Homo sapiens (assembly GCF_000001405.40). Taxonomy (NCBI): domain Eukaryota; kingdom Metazoa; phylum Chordata; class Mammalia; order Primates; family Hominidae; genus Homo; species Homo sapiens. The sequence goes on from NC_000003.12 coordinate 70,683,596, forward strand.
GTACCAAGGTGGTTGCCAGTGGTTTCTAGGACTGCATGCTTCCTTATTCATGTCCAAGGAGAAAGGGAAATGTTCTTCCCAATCATTAAGCAAAAATTCTGAGCATTAATCTAATTGGACCAACTTAGATCATATGCCTATCTCTGAACCAATCATTGTAATCATGTATATGGAACTAAACTGAAGTCTTGAACACCTGCCCGATCCATAGAGGCACAGGAGAATTCAGCTTTCCCTGAAATACATGGGCCACACGGAGAGGATAAATACCTTTGCAAACAATAGAAAATGGATCTTAGGTCACTCAAAACAGAAAATATCCACTGTAATGTTTTTATTATTAAATATTGGTACAAAGGGTGGTTAGATTTTTGCATAGCTTACACTCATTTCTAGATTTTCTAACATGAATATTTGTTACTTCTTTGGTCACACACTCCTCAAAACTAAAAACATTAGTGTGATTTTTAAAACGATTTTTTATTCCCCATAGAACAAAATCATAATTTTATACATAGCCTGTATCCTTCCTCTCTGTGCTCCAGCCTCACCAACACACACTACTCCGCTTCCAATATTCTCATCTTTTATACCCCCATGAGTTTGTTTTTCCTGTTCTTCTGATTAGAATTTGCACCCTGCCTCCATCCCTCACTTCTCCCATTTAATCTATCTTAAGCATTACCTGTTTTGAAATCTTTCTGAGCTGTTTCCCTACCCTCTCCCTCACAGGCAGAATTTCCCTATTCAAACCAGTAGTTTGATACATCTCCTTTTATTTCTAGTTGCATATATCCTAATATCATTTTGTGATTAGGGACTACTTTTATACAATTCCTAACATGATGCCATAGTACTACTGAAAATATGTATGACTTTCCAAAACACTTTCTAACTTTTGACAAAATTAACCTTTTTTTTAAATAGTCTCAGAGATTCTTCAATATTAACCAGGTATGCAAGTCTCCACCATATGATTGAAATAATTTAAAATGCATGAAACTAAATAGTTTCTGTCTTGTATGAATGTGCTTTGCACTTACAGTTGCAACACTGGTTCCAAACTATGTACTCTAATTACCAGAAATTCTTTAAATATTTGGCATATAAAGAATTTAACATAAATAGCACAGACTCTACACCATTCTGCATCAATCAAGGTAGTTTAAATTTCTCAATATGCCATTACTATTTGGGCCACTCCATGATTATGGAATCCCCAGTGATGACACTTGGGAATCCTCATGTACCTCCTGGATTATTTATCTCCCGTCCTCAAGGTTAATTCACATGAAACAATTTCTCTTGTTAAATGCCAATTTTGCCCTAAGGTATGAATGTTTAATCCTCATGAAGGTAGTGGGAGTTACATGTGTGCACTGGTTACAGTCCCTTAACTAATTAGTGGTGAGAGGATGTTAATAAGAGAGTGATTTGTATAATACTAAGGAACTGCCAAATAAAGTAAAATCTAATTTAGACTGACTGGTGGAAAGCCAGACTTATCTGGTTAAAAAAAAAAGTAAGAATTATAGGATATTTTTAAAGAAATTGTATATCATAACTTTCCAACATATTTGGTAATTCAAAGTACTTCTCAAGCTTTAACGGAACAGAGCGCAAAAAATGCTGCCAAGTAGAGAAGCTTTAGAAAACACCTTTAAATGAATACATAATAATGATTATCATTATATAACGTTTTTCAAGATAAATTATATTTTTTAAGTTTGAGACATTTTAAATGAACCTATTGTCATCCTGCATAATTTTACTTACATTATTGCAGTGCCTAAAAAGTTCTTCATAGACTTGATGTGAGCAGCTGTACTTTCTGGGGACACAAAAAGGCAAGCAAGCAGCTCCTAGCTTTTCCCCAGCTAACACACCAGCTAGTGAAATAAGGCATATAAATATGCTAAGAGCCCAGGGGGAGTTAGTTGCTCCCTCCCTCTTTATATACAATACACAGTTACAGAGTTTTTACAATATTCCAGTCACTGTTCTAGGCACTGGAATGCAAATCATGGGCTTTATAAACCAAGTTAGTCTAGATTTGATTAGAAGTATCATGGAAAACCACTAGACAGTTTTAATGGTCAAAAGTTGATTTAATTTCTGCAAGTGAAGTAGGTTAGACCCAAGGTGCAGAAGATTGAATTAATCATATGTCCCAGACCATCACACCATCATCATGGCCTGTATAAGGCCCCTTTCTCTTCATTTATATTTACCTTCCCTTTACCTGCAGAACTCACTTCCATCCTACCCCAGGTCATTGTGCTAACTCATTTGATGCCCTTCTTTCATTTGTATGTGTTCCTGTAAAGCATGCATTGTCAATTTTATTTACACTTTTGATGCACATAGAGTGCTATGCTACATAACTCCTTTAGACTTTCTTTTCACTCAGCACTATTTTCTTAGCATTTGCCAGTTTGCATGAACCTTTGGTAACCAATCATGTAACAACTAGATTGCTTCCAACTCCCCACTATCATAAAGTTAAGGGAAACATTCTCATACATGATTCTTTATTAATCTGAGTGAGAATACTTTTGTGTATACACCTAGGAAAGCAATTGTCCAGTGATGGAGAATAAACATGATTAATTTAACTAAGAATTCCAGAAGAATATATGAAGGCTCCTACATTCCAGATTCCTGCTAATAGTTTGCATTATCCTGCTGTGTGATTTTGTCAATATGATGGGTATAAATTGACATCTCATTATTGTCTTAATTAGCATTTTTCTGAATATTGATGAATCTTCATGTATGTTTGTTAGGTTTATGAGTTTCTAGTATTTTGTTCTATTCATTCATATCCTTTGCCTCTGTTTCCATTGCTATTCCTGTTTCTTAACTTGCAAAAATTCCACTTATATATCTAGATATTAGTCTCTTATTAGTTTTTCACATTAAAAATGCCTTTTCTCAGTCTGTGGCTTCTCTGTTAACTTTTTCCATTGTACTTTCCATTTGAACAAAGGTTTTGATTTTGTTATAATAAAATTTGTCAATTTTTTGTTTATGGCTGTGCTTTGGGGTATTTATTTTAGAAATCCTTCCTCATTCTAGGCCCTAAAATTATTCTCATATATTTTTTCTAATCATTTCATGTTTTTTTATTATTATTATACTTTAAGTTCTAGGGTACAGGTGTACAACGTGCAGGTTTGTTACATATGTATACATGTGCCATGTTGCTGTGATGCACCCATTAACTCGTCATTTACATTAGGTATATCTCCTAATGCAATTCCTCCCCCCTCCCCCCACCCCACAACAGGCCCCAGTGTGTGATGTTCCCCTTCCTGGGTTCAACTGTTCTCATTGTTCAATTCCCAACTATGAGTGAGAGCATGCAGTGTTTGGTTTTCTGTCCTTGCGATACTTTGCTGAGGATGATGGTTTCCAGCTTCATCCATGTCCCTACAAAGGACATGATCTCATCCTTTTTTATGGCTGCATAGTATTCCATGGTGTATATGTGCCACATTTTCTTAATCCAGTCTATCATTGATGCACATTTGGGTTGGTTCCAAGTCTTTGTTATTGTGAATAGCACCACAATAAACATATGTGTGCATGTGTCTTTATCCCAGTAATGGAATGGCTGGGTCAAATGGTGTTTCTAGTTCTAGATCCTTGAGGAATCGCCACACTGTCTTCCACAATGGTTGAACTAGTTTACAGTCCCACGAACAGTGTAAAAGTGTTCCTACTTCTCCACATCCTCTCCAGCACCTGTTGTTTCCTGACTTTTTAATGATCGCCATTCTAACTGGTGTGAGATGGTATTTCATTGTGGTTTTGATTTGCATTTTCCTGATGGCCAGTGATGATGAGCATTTCTTCATGTGTCTTTTGGCTGCATAAATGTCTTCTTTGGAGAAGTGTCTGTTCATATCCTTCGCCCACTTTTTGATGGGGTTGTTTGATTTTTTCTTGTAAATTTGTTTAAGTTCTTTGTAGATTCTGGATATTAGCCCTTTGTCAGATGAGTAAATTGTAAAAATTTTCTCCCATTCTGTAGGTTGCCTGTTCACTCTGATGGTAGTTTCTTTTGCTGTGCAGAAGCTCTTTAGTTTAATTAGATCCCATTTGTCAATTTTAGCTTTTGTTGCCATTGCTTTTGGTGTTTTAGACATGAAGTCCTTGCCCATGCCTATGTCCTGAATGGTATTGCCTAGGTTTACTTCTAGGGTTTTTATGGTTTTATGTCTAACATTTAAATCTTTAATCCATCTTGAATTAATTTTTGTATAAGGTGTAAGGAAGGGATCCAGTTTCAGCTTTCTACATATGGCTAGCCAGTTTTCCCAGCACCATTTATTAAATAGGGAATCCTTTCCCCATTGCTTGTTTTTGTCAGGTTTGTCAAAGATCAGATGGTTGTAGATGTGTGGTATTATTTCTGAGGGCTCTGTTCTGTTCCATTGGTCTATATCTCTGTTTTGGTACCAGTACCATGCTGTTTTGGTTACTGTAGCCTTGTAGTATAGTTTGAAGTCAGGTAGCGTGATGCCTCCAGCTTTGTTCTTTTGGCTTAGGATTGACTTGGCAATGCAGGCTCTTGTTTGGTTCCATGTGAACTTTATATAGTTTTTTCCAGTTCTGTGAAGAAAGTCATTGGTAGCTTCATGGGGATGGCACTGAATCTATAAATTACCTTGGGCAGTATGGCCATTTTCACAATATTGATTCTTCCTATCCATGAGCATGGAATGTTCTTCCATTTGTTCGTGTCCTCTCTTATTTCGTTGAGCAGTGGTTTGTAATTCCCTTGAAGAGGTCCTTCACATCCCTTGTAAGTTGGATTCCTAGGTATTTTCTTCTCTTTGAAGCAATTGTGAATGGGAGTTCACTCATGATTTGGCTCTCTGTTTGTCTGTTATTGGTGTATAGGAATGCTTGTGATTTTTGCACATTGATTTTGTATCCTGAGACTTTGCAGAAGTTGCTTATGAGCTTAAGAAGATTTTGGGCTGAGACGATGGGGTTTTCTAAATATACAATCATGTCATCTGCAAACAGGGACCATTTGAACTCCTCTTTTCCTAATTGAATACCCTTTATTTCTTTCTTCTCCCTGATTGCCCTGGCCAGAACTTCCAATACTATGTTGAATAGGAGTGGTGAGAGAGGGCATCCGTGTCTTGTGCCAGTTTTCAAAAGGAATGCTTCCAGTTTTTGCCCATTCAGTATGATATTGGCTGTGGGTTTGTTGTAAATAGCTTTTATTATTTTGAGATACGTCCCATCAATACCTAATTTATTGATAGTTTTTAGCATGAAGGCTGTTCAATTTTGTCAAAGGCCTTTTCTGCGTCTATTGAGATAATCATGTACACTGTCCCAAGACTAAACCAGGAAGAAGTTGAATCCTTGAATAGACCAATAACAAGCTCGGAAATTCAGACAATAATTATTAGCCTACAAACCAAAAAAAGTCCGGGACAAGACGGATTAATAGCTGAATTCTACCAGAGGTACAAAGAGGAGCTGGTACCATTCCTTCTGAAACTATTCCAATCAATAGAAAAAGAGGGCATCCTCCCTGATTCACTTTATGAGGCCAGCATCATCCTGATACCAAAGCCTGGCAGAGACACAACAATAAAAAAGAATTTTAGACCAATATCCCTGATGAACATCAATGTAAAAATCCTCAATAAAATACTGGCAAACCGAAACTGGGACTACAGGCATGCGCCACCATGCCCCGCTAATTTTTGCATTTTTAGTAGAGACGGGGTTTCACCATGTTGGCCAGGATGGTCTCGATCTCTTGACATTGTGATCCGCCCACCTCGGGCTCCTAAAGTGTTCGGATTACAGGTGTGAGCCCCTGCCCCCAGGCAATAAATTATATTATTAAAATTAATTTCACCTGTTCTTTTTAATCAAAGTTAGAAAATTTTAAATTACATTTCTGATGTACATTGCATTTCTATTGGACAGCATTGATATAGATTATTATAACACCATAAAGTCAGAATTATCTCTTCCTTATAATAATTCTTACATATATATATATTTTCTCTTTCCCCAGAGTACTGGCTGACACATTGAGTACAATGTTAAGAGAAATTAAGGCCAGGAGCAGTAGCACACCTGTAATCCAAGCACATTGGGAGGCCAAGGTGAGCAGATTACTTGAGGTCAGGAGTTCATGACCAGCCTGGCCAACATGGTGAAACCATGTCTCTACTAAAACTACAAAAATTAGCCAGGCATTGTGGTGGGCACCTATAATCCCAGCTATTCGGGAGGCTGAAGCAGGAGAATTGCTTGAACCCGGGAGGTGGAGGTTGCAGTGAACCAAGATTGCACCACTGCACCCCAGCCTGGGTGACAGAATGAGACTCCATCTCAAAAAATTAAGCATGTTTGTATTGTTCTCAATCCAGAAGGAAAAATATGGTTAATGGTTTCTCATTATGTATGAGGTTTCATGAAAATTTTTGCTATAAGCACGAGCTATAAAGAAAATTCTTTTTGGCTTCTAGTTGGGGTCTTTGGCATATGTTTTTTCTGCATTCATCAAATTCATCACATCATTTTTCTCCTTCACACTACTGATGTGCTTAATTATAAATATGAATTTTATTATTTCAAACCATCATTGTACTATAGGGATAAAATCTATTATATTAGTCAGAATCTCAGTCTATTGGCTCCCATAATCTGATTTGGATCTTAAATAGATCACTTTGGCTGCTCAGTGGAGATTGGGTTAGAGGTGGAGGGTGAAATCAGTGTGCCTGTGTGTGTTTTTATTCTATTTTGACTGTATAATCTTTCTGGTGTGTTGTCCTTTTGATCATTATGAAGCAATCCACTTTATCTCTAGTGATACGTCTCTCTTTTTGCAGCATAAATTTTTTAAATTTTTTAATATCCATATGTTATTGGGGAACAGGTGGTGTTTGGTTACATGAGTAAGTTCTTTAGTGGTGATTTGTGAGATTTTGGTGCACCCATCACCCGAGCAGTATACAGTGCACCCAGTTTGCAGTCTCTTAGCCTTCACCCCTTCCCACCCTTTCCCCTGAGTCCCCAGTGTTCATTGTGTCATTCTTATGCCTTTGCATCTTCAAAGCTTAGACCCCACTTATGAGTAAGAACATGCGATCTAGTGATACTTCTTTTTTTTTTCCGTTATTGTACTTAGGTTCTGGGATACATGTGCAGAACATGCAGGTTTGTTACATAGGTATACACATGCCATGGTGGTTTGATGTACCCATCAACCTGTCATCTACATTAGGTATTTCTCCTAATGCTATCCCTCCCCTTGCCCCTCACCCACCAGCAAGCCCCAGTGTGTGATATTCCCCTCCCTGTGTCCATGTGTTCTCATTGTTCAACTCCCTCTTAGGAGTGAGAACATGCAGTGTTTGGTTTTCTGTTCCTGTGTTAGCTTGCTGAGAATGATGGTTTCCAGCTTCATCCATGTCCCTGCAAAGGACATGAACTCATCCTTTTTTATGGCTGCGTAGTATTCCATAGTGTATATATGCCACATTTTCTTTATCCAGTCTATCATTGATGGGCATTTGGGTTGGGTCCAAGTCTTTGCTATTGTGAATAATGTTGCAATAAACATACATGTGAATGTATCTTTATAGTGGAATGACTTATAATCCTTTGGGTATATACCCCATAATGGGAATGCTGGGTCAAATGGTATTTCTAGTTCTAGATCCTTGAGGAATCTCCACACTGTCTTCCACAAATAGTTGAACTAATTTACACTCCCACCAACAGTGTAAAAGCCTTCCTACTTCTCCACATCCTCTCCAACATCTGTTGTTTCCTGGCTTTTTAATGATCACCATTCTAACTGGCATGAGATGGTATCTCATTGTGGTTTTGATTTGCATTTCTCTGATGACCAGCGACAATGAGCATTTTTTCATATGTTTTTTGGCCTCATAAATGTCTTCTTTTGAAAAGTGTCTGTTCATATCCTTTGCCCACTTTTTGATGGAGTTGTTTGTTTGTTTCTTCTAAATTTGTTTAAGTTCCTTATAGATTCTGGATATTAGCCCTTTGTCAGGTGGATAGACTGCAAAAATTAAATAACATCACACATCTACAGCCATCTGATCTTTAACAAGCCTGACAACAACAAGCAATGGGGAAAGCGTTCCCTATTTAATAAACGGTGTTGGGAAAACTGGCTAGCCATGTGCAGAAAACTGAAACTGGACCCCTTCCTTACACCTTATACAAAAATTAAATCAAGATGGATTAAAGATTTAAATGTAAGCCCTAGAATCATAAAAACGCGAGAAGAAAACCTAGGCAATACCATTCAGGACATGGGCATAGGCAAAGACTTCACGACTAAAACACCAAAAGCAATTGCAACAAAGGCCAAAATTGAGAAATGGGATCTAATCAAACTAAATAGCTTCCGCAGAGCAAAAGAAACTTCTTTTTTTAAGTACGTTTTGTCCGATTTTCTCTAGGTTTCTCATACTTGCTATTTGCGTTGTGTATCTTTCGTTCTCATTCACTTTCCATTGGTTTGTACCTTTTTATTTAAAATATATCGCCTGTAGACAGTATAGAGTTGGTTTTTGTTTTTCTCCACATCCCCTGTCCACATCCTCTGTTGGTTTTGTTTTTCTCCACATACTCTGTCCAAGTCTAACAATCTCTGCCTTTTGCTTGAAATGTTTATTCCACTGACATTTAATGTTATTATTGATATGGTTGCATTTTGTAGTTTTGTATTTGTCTCATTTCTGTTTTGCTCCTCTTATTTGTCCTTTGCCATCTTTTGAGTTATTCAGAAATTTTTTAGTTTTCCATTTTAGTTTTTTTATTTGCTTCTTAGCGGTATCTCTTTGAATTTTTTAACTGGTTGCTCTACAGACTATATTATGCCTCTAAAATTTATTCCAATCTACTTAGAGATAATATATTATTATTTAAGGTAAAATATAAAAACTGTAAAATGGTTTTAATTTTCATTTTTATCCTAGAGCACACAGAAGTCTAAGATGGTCCTTAAGATTACTGTTCACTAGTGTGCATGAGGACACCATTCCCCTCTCCTTGGATGAGGGTAGAACCTGTGAAAATGATGGAATATCACTCGTGATTAGATTATTAATCAGCTGACTTTGGATTCCTCAAAAGAGAGGTATTTAGCAGGTCTAACATAATTAGATGTACCTTTATAAGGCACTGGGCCCTTTCTGAAGTCAGAGAGATTGAAAACATGACAGGGCCTATGGAGATGGCCACATGGCAAGAAAATATGGATGGCCTCTAGAAGCTGGGAATTGCCCCTGGTCAACTGCCATAATGAGAATAGGGGCTTCAGTCCTACAACTGCAAGGACTTGATTTCTTCCAACAACCACGTAAGCTTGAAAGAAGACCCTGTTGTTTATAAAGAAACACAACCCAGCTGATACCTTGATTTCAACTTTTTGAAATCTTGAACAGAGATCCCAGTTCAGACTTAGGACCTATAGAACTGTTAATTAATAAACGGATGTTGTTTTAAGCTACTAAGTTGGGATAATTTATTATGCAGCCTCTTATTCTTAGAACTGTTGTCATCATTCATGTTACATCTACAAACATTACAAACCCATTTAATACATTGTTATCATTTTTGCTTTAAAGAGGCATATGTATTTTAAATAGATTAACAAAAGAGAAATAGTCCTTTATATATACCAACAAAATATTTATCATTTCCAGAGCTCTTTCTGTGTGTGTGTGTGTGTGTGTGTGTGTGTGTAATTTCCCTTCCGACTTAAGAACATTCACTGATATTGCTTATATTGCCAAATAATGACAAACAAAAAAAAACTTTCTAGGTAAAAAGTCAAAATGATTCCCACCTTGTTTGGGAAATCAAACTTACTTCCCTTCAGGGATCACAGTTTTCTTCTACTGTTGCCTTTTTCCCAACATCCGAAAGTAATTATTGCATATTTTTATACAGTTTTGTCATTGTATAAAAAGGGAGGTATAGTCTGGTACAGTGACTCTGCCATTAATAGAAACAGAAATCTCTTGATGTTTAAAGATGCGGTATAACCAATGATTCAGCTATATGAAGAAAAGGCTGGTCCCACAGCCTGTTGTAGGGCTACAGCTAATGGGAGAAATGCAACTATAGATAAACTAATTGGTAGCGTTACAGGCTTCAGGATTGATCTGATCCTGGAACTCCATGAGATTCATCTATCTTTCCAGTCAATCCTCCATGAGGTCAGTTTTAATAGAAGTTTGATTCTCCTCCTTGTTATATGATGGCTGTCAACATCTCCTGGCTACACATTTGTTCACTTAAGTCCAAAAGGGGAGCATTTCTATCTCAAACAAATGTCCTTAGCTTCCCTCTGACTGAACCAACTTGAATATCATAATGTTCACTCCTGAGCCAACTGCTTAGCTATGGAAGAGGGAAAGCCTGATTAGTGTACTTTCTAAACCAATCATGTGACTAGGGAAAAGTAACTTTCGTTGGCTCTTCCCTGGAACTGAGCCTGACGCTGGTAAATTCTAATCATGTAGCTTCGACATAGTGGAGGAAGGGTACAACAAATGTTGGTATGACAACTGTAATGCCCATTCTCATTACACTAAAAAATTTGGAAATATTCTACTTTTTGTTTATAGGACATATGCTAAAATGTTTCCTATATTGCAGATTGCTTTCTAATTCTTAGATGCATTTATCAAAATGAAAGAAAATTCTCAATATTTTGAATGAAAAAATAGCATTTACAATATTTTATAACAAAAGTTTGAGTGGAAATCTTTATACCAAAATGTAATAGAGGTTATTTCTGAGTCATAAAATTGTGATGAGTTTTTCAGGAATTTTTTTTCTTTCTTTTTCTGCATTAGGCAGGTATTTCTCATGTAATTGAAGAGAATAAATAAATCCATTAAGATAATGTTTGTGGAGTTGCAAGAAAAAAACAGTATTTCAGCACTAAAAGAAGCAATTCATGTTAAAAGTGGAGTATAGATTTTGGGCTCGCCTAACCTGGGTTCATGGCCTGGCTTCACCACATACTTCCTCTACAAAATGGGGCTACTAGCATGGTACTACCACGTACATGATAAAATCAGGCACTTTGAAAAGTCTGTTCACAAATAATATAAATTTAATCTTTATGTTAGTGTGAGGTAAGAATCCTTTTTTACATTGCAGATGAGGAAATTCAGGCCCTCAAAGATTAAGTAAATGGCAAAAATAACACAGCCAGTAAGAGAACAGGCTGATTTGGACCCGCATCTGTCTAACAGCAAAGCTCTTCCTCTTCTCCTCACTCCGGCACAAGTGAATCAGAAATTGTGGTGCATATCGGAATCACCAGGAGGGCTTGTTAAAACCGTCTTTTGAGCCTTACCTCCAGAATTACATATTCAGTAGGTCTTGGTGTAGCTTGAGAATTTGCATTTCTAACAAGTTCTCTAGTAATTCTGATGCTGTTGGTCTGAGGACCACACACTGAGATCCACTGGTCTATACAGCATTTTCAGAGTTATTGTGCATACATAATGATCTAATAATTTCAACATCACTCTTCATAAATGGAAGTGTTACCTGGTGTTTACTTGGATGTCTGTTTCCTAATCCCTTGTTTTTGTGATTTTTGTCTTCTGATAAAGTTCCCAGTTACACCAAGAGGCTGGAGAAATCCTCTCTTGAGTCATTATTTCTAGTACTTTCTCCAGTCCAGTGCCCTAAGTGGTTTTCTAGTGGTCTAGAAGAGTTAATGCCCTTCCCACTTCGTAATTTAATTCTAGGGAGTAAATAAGCCACAAGACAAAATTTGTTATCTATCAATCCATTTATCAAGGTTTTGAAAGCATTAAAGTAATTTATCACAAAATCATGTCACATGAATAAAAAAGCTCTCTGTAAGCTCGTGGTTTCATTTTAAACTTGATTTTTTTCTCCCAGTATCTACCTTTTGCTATAGCTATATGGGTAAGTTGATAATAATTTTGCCCCATGGGGCTCTATTACCTTAAGGAGAGCTTTTCTCTTTCATTATTATATTGAGTGTTTCTACCAGCCCCAAGCTTTGGCCAGGAAGATCACACGCAGCTGCATCAGAGATTCTGCGTGCAGTTTACTGAGTAGTAAAATGTGTTATTACTTTCTGCATGTTCTGTTTCTGTGATAAGTTGTGACGTGGTCAGCTTATGAGGACTAATATGAACACCCTCTTGTTAGTCGGCAACTGTATATGTCTGACTAGAAGGCAGAAGGCAAGATTTTTTTTTCTTAAAATCATTCCTCAAAATTAGAAGGAAGCCTTTTAAATGCCTTGTATTATGGTGAACTCCCAATTACTTTACAATGAATGAGATGGTAATTAAAGCACACACCCTCATATTATGCCAATAGATACTTGGTGTTAGGAGTTGACTTGTATTTGGATATATATGGTACCTCTAGCATTTTTATTCTCAGAATGTTTTAGATCTAAGAATCTGAAATAAATTAGTTTAATTCAGATTATTTGATTACAAGAAAAAGAAACCCACTGCAACCAAACTTGTTTAATCAATAACGGGGATTGTTTTAAGAACCCAGATGTCTTCACAAATTTCAAGAGTGGGAAAAGCTGAGTCTCTGGAAGGGACCAGAATAAGGAACTGAATACTCATGTACTCAGACCATGAACTCAGGTTAGCTGAGCCCAAAATCTTTGCTCCACTTTTAACATGAGATGCTTCTTCTAGTGCTGAAATCCTGTTTTTTCTTGCAACTCCACAAACATCTCAACAAGGGCCCAGCCAGCATTCTCTTTTTCTCTTGTCTTTGCTTTTCTCTTCTCTTCTACTTGAAATTTTTCTTTGAACATCAACTTTCTCAACTTCTCTGTGCATATGCAGGTAGGAAGACTCCCCTCCCCACCCCACCACATGTGCACACAGCTAGCCCCTGAGAATACATTCTCCATCCAAGAGGCTAGCCTAGATGCTCAGTTCCCTCTCCATCTTATCCCAAATGTTAACAGAAAGATTCAAATTCATCCACCTTAGATCATGTATCTAAAGGTACATAATACAGATATGGTAAAGTTGGTCATTATGAGTTGAGAGGAAGATACAAAATTCCCACTTTTTAAACAAACGATTTTTTAAAATAGAGTTATTTGTTTTAGTAATCCCGTATTTGGTGTCAAAGTAAACCCTTACAGACATAATATGGTAAAATTAAGTAATGATATTTATTTATTCAGTTAGTCTGCCTAGCATTTCTTCCTTTGTTCCCTATAGCAGCACCCCACTTTCTCATTAGGTTATGAATTTCCCCATTCCCTGAAGTCCTGGTGGTGATGCTGTGTGCATCTTAAGACTTTTCTCTCTGCCACAGCAACCACGCAGGCTTGGTAGAAGCAACCCAAATGTCAATCAACAGAGGAATGGATAAACAAAATGTAGAATATGTTTATCATGGAATATTACTTGACCATGAAAATGAATGAAATTCTGATACAGGCTACAAACATAGATGAAATTTAGGAACAATATGCTAAGTGAAATAAACCAGACACAAAAGACAAACATATGATGCCACTTTTATAAGGTACTTGGAATAGGTAAAGTCATAGTAGAACAAGGGTTACAAGGAGGTGGGGAAGTGAGCAATGGGGTGTTACTCTTTAATAGGTACAGACTTTCTGTTTAAGATGAGGAGATGCATGGCAGTGATGGTTGCACAACACTGTGGATGTATTTGATGCCACTGAATTTTGTACTTTAAAATGGTTAAAATGATAATTTTATTTTATGCATATTTTGCCACAATAAAAACAAATAAATAATAAATAGAAAGAATGAGGCCATCTTATCTACTTTACATTGATAATACATGGAGTGGTACAGTCAAGTGAGCTGATTGTATTTATCTCTGCAAGTATGTACATCTGCATGGTGATTTGCTTTGTTTTTTTTTTTAAGAACTATAATAGATTTGTCTCCTTTTCCTCTATCTCTGAGTTGCTCTCCAGATACCAGATTGCAACAAAGCAACATCTCCACTCTACTTTCAACCAAGCTCAGGACAGTAAGTAAAGAAAGGCATCAGAATACACTTTACTCTAAAAGTAATCTTGCTGAGACAGTGACTAGAGAGAACCAGTTCTTCCCCATAGAAACATAGAATGTTAGATCAAGTCCAGCATTTGCCAAACTTTAGTCTTTAGCAAGTCAAGGTCAAGATCTTTGCTACATACACTGCCCATACTGTTTTACTTTAAATCAGCTCATTATTTTTACTGAAATATAGCTTCAGAAAGAAAATTTTATAGTATTATTGTAAATATAAATCTGATGTCCATTGTCATAATGACAAACTTTAAAAATAAATATAATAAAAAATAAGGCAAGATATCAAATTCTTATTATTGCCTATTAAAGGATTAAGGCTTGCTTTCTTAAATAATGAGTTGTTAAGCCATTCTAGCACTAAACAAAGATGTTCTCTTTGATTTAAGAAGAAGATAGGGATGAGATTTGCAATGGGAACGTATTTTTATGTAGAGATTCAAGTTTATCGAGTACTGTTTCCATGTAATGCTTTACATTGTCTTGTTTTTAACACCAGTGGTTTGCATCCTACTCTTCAGGTGACATAGATCTTATTCAGTCTTCTTATTTTAATGATGGGGAGACAAATACCTGAGAAGGAAAGCACTTTCCCAAGTTATACTGCTAACAGTAACTAACCTGTACTAAATGTATACCGTGCCAGACACTACCATGCACTTTGCACGTACCACAGCTTTAAACCCGTACAACAGCTCTGCAGCATAGCATCTCCGTTCTATAGACAAGGCTCAGACACATCAAATTTCTGGCCTGAGTTGACACACAGCAATGAACAACCTGAGCCTCTAAAGTCAGCAACCAGCCTCTTTATATTTGATACCTAGAGCCTTCATCTTTTCTTACTTCTGGGTTTGACTAAAAGTGAATGCAGAATCCTGCTTTTTTTTCCAATCATGGAGCTTTTTATTTGGTTTCCTGTCCATGAAGAGTTGTGCATTTTTATCCTCTGTTAGAAAAAATAACCATTGGGTTTCAATACAGAAACATAGCTAACGAAATTTTAATCTGTAGTACAGAAGGCATTAATTTCTGATAAAGACAAATATACATTAGCCTAATTCCATTGTATTTTTATTTTTATGTTGTTTATTTTTATCCGTTTTTTTAAAAAGGGTATCTATTAATAAGTCTGGTCTAAGATTACACCACGAGTAAACCTTTCACTAGGGTAATCTTTCTAAAATAGCAATGAGTGGAAAAGCATGGGAGGCCAGATAAATAAAAGCCATTTTTCTTCTGAGCACAGAAACTTTTGCTTTTCTTTCCACTCAGCAGCTTACTTCTGTACAGTAACAGACTGGGGAAATCATGTTGCAAAATTTGGCATCTCCGGAGTTTATATTTTTGAGAATATTTAATAAAAGGCCACCAAATGTTAAAATTATCCATTTCCTGTATGTGTGCGTTTTTTCCATTGCTAAAATTTCTTAATTAAAAAATTAATTAAATGGGTTCTTTTAATTAAGAGGCTACTGTAGACCTTGCAACCACTGAAAACTGTAAAACTTCTGTTTCCTTCATGGTTGTCTTAATCACCATCTCAGGAAAAGTCCTTCTAGCTGGTCCATGAAGAGCCTTGTACCCTTGGATTGTGTGAATAAGATGAGAAACACCAATCTGTTGCTTCATTTGCAGGTGTGGGTTACTGTGTGCTTTATATAAGATCATCATCTCCCCACAATGAGTGTCATTTCATGTTTTATGATACATAAACGTGCACCATATACACTGACTTTAGATGCTAATTCTTACGTGAGATACAGCTCTGGATGCAAAGTCAAAATGCTTTGGAGAAAGGTGTGTGTGTGTGTGTGTGTGTGTGTGTGTGTGTGTGTGTATGTGTTCATTAGCTTTTCTTTATCTCCCTACCATATTATTGGGTCTTTTCCTTTAGCTTCAGTTTCCCCATTAGACACAAGACAAATTGTGTCCTGTGGTCCTTTTTACTCTCTCCTGCAACTCTATCTGCATTACTAATGGAAGGTGACCCTTTTTCTCATGCTTGCATGGGCTTTTATGAGTTGCCTGTGCAACACAGAACACAGGAAGCTTTTACTTACAGATCTTTATTTTGTTCTTCAAAGCCTTTGTAAAGAAAACACACAGGAGCTGGGAGGTAGGATGTAGAACTGGTAAGAAAGATTGAGGCAACTAGGCCAACTACCCCAGTGTTCACCACAACAAATGCATAGGCTTTTCCAAATAATACTCAAAAAGTATAGGTCATAAAGAAAAAAAAAAACACATATATGCCTACATCAAAATAAAGGTTTAATGCAAAAGTGAGGAATATAAGCAAAGGTAAGAGATATAATCAATTTTAAATCAGTTTCATTTTCCTGAGGTGAATTTGAGAATAAGAAGGGAAGATAAGGACAGAATCGAGTATGATGCTTGTTCCTTGCTTGGGAGCCTAAGTGAATGGTGATGCTAATTGAAGACTACAGCAATGTATGATGAGCTTAGACCCAAATATACAAGTCCAATTGCCTATGGGACACCCAGGTGGATGTTCTCAGGAGGTAATTTATTCATTTATTTCTTCAAAAGGCATTTTTTCATGTAGTTTCTCTGAGTCAGGCATTGTGCTAAAGTGCTAGGGATACGTAAATGAATAAAACAAAACTTATCCTTGAGGGGCTTACACTCTATTAGGGGAAAATAGGGATTCAGATATTTTATTAGTCCTTCAATGAACTAATATGTCAATGTGTCATACATTGCTCTAGACTTTGAGTACACAGCAGTGAAAAAATAGGCAAGTTTCCTTCTCTTGTTAACAATCTAGTATAGAGAAATAGACAATAAGTAATTAAACTATTCATAGTAGTCACAGTAGCGACAGGGAGAGAATAATGTAAGAATTTGGAGGGGAGTTATTTTTCAATTTGAGTCAGGAAAGTCAGCCCACAGAGGTGGCATTTAAGCTGAGATGTAAAAAAGACAAAATCAAACCTTTGGAGGAGAAGAAGGAAAAGCATTCCAGGTGAAGGGAAGAGCACATGCAAAGCCTCAAATTCTGGGAGGATCTTTTTGTGTCTGACAGAAAGAAAGGACCATGGGGTTTCAATAGAGTACAAGAGCAAGAGACTGGCATGAGATTGGTTCAGCAGCCATATTCAATTTATGTGCCTGGTTTTCCTGACTAAACTGAGGTTAAATCATGCACCATCTTAAAACACAAAGATAATATAAATTCAAAGAGTAGCACTTAGATTCTTAAAAGTAGAGTTAATTTCAGTGTTTCTCAAATTGTCTGTGAAGTAGGAGAATTTTTTTTAATACTGCAGACCAATGTATTTGTAAAATACAATAAATATGAAACTGTAGAAAACTCAAATAAGAAATAGAAAACATGAGCTCATTTAAAAATCATGACACTCTGCAGTCCTCGTTTTATTGCTATACAAGTTGTGAAATGCTCGGTCTCAATTTCTATGTGCGTCTTGTTGTGTGCTGGTAAACAGGTCATGAACTAGCAGGAGGTCACAGACCACACTTTGAGTAGCACTGGACTGTGTAACTCGAAAGTTTTTATTACATTTTTAAAGCTCTCATTATTCAAAGACACAGTAGATAGACTGCCCCTTAATATCATTTGATAACTGGATTAGAAAAATTGTATAATTTCCCTTATATCCTGATATGAATCAGGGTGTGTGTGTATGTATGTGTATGGGGGGTGTGGATGTGGGTGTGTATGTCATTTTATCTAGAATGTTATTAGGTTCTTGATTTCTTTAAAGTACAGTAATATATGAGCCCAATGTTCCCAATGTGCTTTTGGCATTATTTATAAAAAACAGTCTTTAATTACCAAGCTTAACACATTATCCTTGGTGGAGACTCAAATCTCTTTTCCAACTTTAAACTGAGCAAAAGCTTTCATCTGGCAAGGTACTGAAGCCCACTATGAAAATTTTGTGCATAGAATTATCACCAAGAGCTATTTGGCAGCTTCTCCATCTCAATGAAAAGGACTCTGGATTTTATCTTCACACAAATAACTCTTGCCACCATTTAAATTATTTTCTCAATTATCTTTCAACCTTTTTGCAATAAGGTTTCCTGAATAAGAACTGGAAATATCTACATCACATTCCATGTCACATTTCTTGATCCAAATTATTTTAATTGGTTACTTAGCCCAAATCTATTTCAGGCACAACAATTTCCGGTCTATCTGGAAGAGAAGTGGGAAATTTTTACCTCATCTAACCCTATCATGGACCATAACCCCATATTAATCTGGGAGACGGCCAACGCTTTTCTCTGGAGTGGTGTTACTTCTCATTTAGCCTGCAAGATATTTTTGCATTGGAAGTGAAATTTTGTAATTGTGAAAGAGATTTCCAACACACATTTTCCAGTCAATCCCAAGTGAAGTGTAAGCCATCGGGGTATCTTATGGCATCCAGTTCAATCACAATATTCCCTTTTTCATTTTCAGAGCACAGATTTTATGCTCCTGGGACGGAGCCAAGGAAAGTGCTGGTTCAGCACACTCAATTCCAAAGGAGCATCTCATTTTATTGTCTCTCCCTCTAATTTCAGAGAACAATGGGGTTAGCCACGAGTCTATAGTGTGACTCAGATTGTTCAGTTATTTTCAAATCAACAACACCCTTGAATTAGTTTCCCTTTCCACTTTCCTGGTAACATGCCATCCCACTTCTCTCTGATGCACTCAAAAACATCTTAATAGCTCCATGTGACCACCTGAACCAACAGATATCCCTTCAAATTGAGCAGTCCTGGGAGACATTGATCATTGTTGGCTGTGGCATGTAGTTTTAGGGCAAAAGCTTATGTGACACAAACTCATTGTTGGGCTTTGCTGGAGAGAGAGAGATGTTCTTCCTTTGTAGTCTGAGCAATAGCCTCAAATGGGACCATTTCAAATACACTACACGTGCATTTGAATGAAAGCATTGAAATGTCGTTATCTAAAAATCTAACGAAACATTTGGCTCTATCTGAAAGAAGCACAAGTTAATTGCTTATCAAACTATCAACTTTTATTTCACAAAATGACTGATATCTCTGTGAGTCTGTGAGGAGAAAGCACTACACTTTATTTCAAGGGCAATTTTTTTTAACCACAAGTAAAGAGTGAGCATGGATATAGACAGAATCCACTCTATCAATAATCCATCACTAATTTTCTCAGGTAAAGCAGTCATATTGTTTACATGCAAAATACTTTCATTGTGGGGGTAAATGACCTCCTTCGCTTGCAAAATCTGCTCTTTGTTTCCACAAAAAACACAGACTTATTCATGGTTTTAAAAAAAATTCTCCTAAATGTGATTCCAAAACAAACTGGTACTAGTGATGTGTCTCAAGAGACTCCCTCAGGAAAAAAAAAAAAAAAAAAAAAAAAAACAAGTAAAAAAGTGCCTTGGATTAAACCAAGCCAGTTGTGAATTTCTAGGAGTCCATGATCCTTTCACTCCAAAGGTAGCTTTTCGGGGAGAGGGGATCTTGAAAACAATAACAACAACACACCAAAGATATCTAGTGTGTTTAACAGAAACTCAAAAGGAAGAGAGAAAATAACGTCTGAAATAAAACAGAAGTCAGTGGGGGCGGGGGGGTGGTGGTGAAATTATAAATTGCTAAAGTAGAACTTTCTCACTCTTTGTCGCTTTTTCCTTCGCAGTAAACCACAGAAAGCTTCACCTACATCAAGGAATGGTTTTCACACATTTGATGGGAATGAGGAAGCTAATTCTCCAACCTTCTAAGGAAATAAGAGCTGATAGGCAGCCAAACAAACCTCCCGGCCACAGCCAGGCAGGTAGACACACGCTTAGACGGGCTGAAATCATTCCACCAACCTTTACAGTTCTTTCCCGTTTTAAACGCAGTAATAAAAAAAAAAAAAAAACGCTACGGAGACTATCTTCCTCTAGGCAGTACCTTCCTGTGTTTCTTTTGTTGTTCTGGCTTTTCTGAGTGATGACTGTTCTAAATCAACATCCCCTCTATTTCAACCTGCTCTCCTTGAGCAGCTGGACTAATTTTTTTTTTCTCCCTGCCCTCCCACTCTATCCCCTTTCATTCTTCTCTTGGCAAGAGGTCTCGATTGCAAGTCTTCTTCTCATTCTCATTCTCAGGTCTTTCCATCAGACTCCTCCCCCGCCTCCTTTGTCCCCTCTTGTCGGAGCACTCTACCTGCTCAGTGCCACCAGGACGAGCTCACGCATTCTGCACCCCCCTGCAGCTTGTCCCCTTCTCCTCATCTTTCTACGTGCCAGGCAGGCTCTGCTCCACAATTTCATCTGGTGGCCTGGGGGTAAGGGTAAGCCAGCTGTCACTTAAACTCCTTCCATCTCAGCCAGCCTGAAATGGAAAGTGTGATAAATGGAACCGTACAAGCCTCAATTTGGTCTGGAAATTTCAAACTTATGATGTTCAAATAGGTTCATAAATTCCCCTATAATGCATCTCTGCTCCCTAATGCCCAATTGCAGGTTTCAACTGAGCAGGCCTCTCTACCTGTTTTTATAGCCCAAGATATTCAGATCTTGGCATGCGTCTAGTGCCTTCGCTTTGGCATGCTTTTAATCGTGTGCCCAGCTTGGGGATGCAGACACCACATATATATCTGCTGATTCTTTTCCAGAGGAAGAGTGTCGGCCATAGACAACACAGGTAGTCTTCAAAGGAATTTCACTCAGGGCCGCTTTGATTTCTCTGTGTCTAAAAGCCAGCACTGGCTTTGTTGTTGGCAAATATGTTTCTACATGTCCTGTCCTGGGGAAAAATTGTCAAGTGGAGAATCGTCAAACTGTGCTCTTGCTGTCTCACCAAAAGAAAGGCTATTCTCTTCCATTTTCTCCCTCATTTCTGTTCCTTATCTTCAGGAAATGGTCCTTAAAGTAACATGAGTGTGCATACACCATTGGGAAGAAAAAATGATCAGCTATGCCTTTTTATTTGTTTTTTTTAAGCTAGCAAACACAGGTACCAGGAGTTCTTTTTTAAAAATTTGAGTATGTGTAAAAGGTTAAAGGTAAATTTAAATAAATAATTTGAGGGTTTTTTTAATTAATGTGTAATTACACAAACAATACAAAGAGAAATTATTTTTCTCATCTCCCTTGGCCATGTTTTCCAAATCAAGTACCTTCACCAGATATAACTACTATTTTTTAAATTACATTTTTTTTCTGTATTCAGACCATATATGTCTATAAAAATATGTAACGTTTGTGTTTTTAAAACAAAATGGTATTATTTTGGATGCCTTGTTCTACAACTTGCTTTTTCCACTCAAAATATACCTTGGAGATCTTACCATATTATTATAGTTGTAATTCTTTTTTAACTGCTATGTATTATTTCGTCTATCCGTATCTATATCAAGTTTTTAAAAGTATTTCCTAGGAACATTTAGATAGTCTATAATTTTTCTGTCTTTCATTTACAAATGATATTTCAATGAGTATTTCTGAATATGCACCCTAATATATATCAGTGATTTCTTTTTTCTCCAGCGTTGATACAAAGAAATGAAACTGGTGGACAAAAAAATGTCCATTTTTAATTTTCATAAATGTCAACTTGCCTTCCAAATTAGTTTTGCCAATGTGGTTATGTCTTCCTGCGAATCAGCATTTTTATCATGTCATCTTTAACTCCCTCTAAATGGAATGACTTACAAGCCTAAAAGCAAAAACCAATTTTCTTAGTCTGTTGAGACTAAGAAAAAACACCAAAAATTGAGTGGCTTATAAACTACAGAAATTTATTTCTTTTAGTTCTGGAGGCTGAGAAGTCTAAGATCAAGGCACTGGCAGACTGGGGTCCGGTGGGGACTACTCTCTGCTTCAGAGAAGGTGTCTGTCTATTCACTGCATCCTCACATGGGGGAAGGGCAAACAAGCTCTCTTGGGCCTCTTTTATAAGGATACTAGTGCCATTCTTGAGGGCTCCACTCCCATGGCCTAATCTCCCAAAAGTCCCCACCTCTTAATACCATCACTTTGGGGGTTAGGATTTTAACATATGAATTTTGAGAGGACACAGATATTCAGACCATAGAACAAATGAAAGGGAATTTTATAAACATAATGCTTTCTTCTTACTGGATACAATGTATTCTTTTCTCCATTCCACACCAGGTCCCAATACTCCCAAAGCTGATATCTATAATGTGAAAGGAGAACATGTTTTCTCAATACAAAAGCTCACTTTAGAAGAAAAGAGAAGCGAAAAGTCCAAACATGGAGGACTAGTGCATTAGTTCATTCTCACACTGCTATAAAGGACTGCCCAAAACTGGGTAGTTTATAAAGAAAAGAAGTTTAATTGAGTCACAGTCCCACATGGCTGGGGAGGCCTCAAGAAACTTACAATCATGGTGGAAAGGGAAGCAGACACATCCTCCTTCTTCACATGATGGCAGGAATAAGTTCAGAGCAAAAGGGGGAAAAGCTTATAAAACCATCATATCTTGTGAGAACTCACTCACTATCACAAGAACAGCAGCATGGGGGTAACTTCTCCTCTTTTCAGTTACCTCCCACCAGGTCCCTCCCACAACATGTCAGGATTATGGGAACTACAATGCAAGATGAGATTGTGGGGGGACACAGCCAAACCATATCAACTAGGAATATATTTTTCTATTTCAAGTCATTGAAACAGAGATATTTTGAAGGGTACAGAAACGTCATTCATATTAGAAAGTATTTACTCCAGCCGGGCACGGTGGCTCAAGCCTGTAATCCCAAAACTTTAGGAGGCCGAGGCGGGTGGATCACAAGGTCAGGAGATCAAGACCATCCTGGCTAACACGGTGAAACCCCATCTCTACTAAAAATACAAAAAATTAGCTGGGCGTGGTGGCGGGCGCCTGTAGTCCCAGCTACTCGGGAGGCTGAGGCAGGAGAATGGCATGAACCCGGGAGGTGGAGCTTGCAGTGAGCCGAGATCGCGCCACTGCACTCCAGCTTGGGTGACAGAGTGAGACTCCGTCTCAAAAAAAAGAAAAGAAAGTATTTACTCCAAAAATGTCCTCTACTTTAAAAAGGCTAACTTTTAATATGTTTTATTAATTATATTAATTTAAAGTAAGCCGCTGATGTGGGTTGCATGTCCACGCAAACGTTGTAATGGAGAATGACTTAAAAATGTTAAGAAAATAATTCAGCTATTTGGGTTAAATATGTGTGAACTCGTAAAGTTTATTATGCTAAATTATTTACAAATTCTACATTTTGCTTTGTGTATAATCACAGTCTTGGAGTTTTTAGTTCAGTTTTCCAATAGGTTCATCCATGGCTTTTAAAAAAATATGCCTTGAAATAGGAGATGCAAAATAACTTCTGAAAACAAAATGTCCATGGTAAACTAGGTTTGGGAAACGCTATAATCGGTATGCATCCCACTCTCAGATATTCAGACAGTCACAATCGTGTTAGCATATCAAAGGCTCCAGAAGGTTTGTAATACCAAAGATTGTCCAGCTTAGTTCCCAAACCCTATTTGTCTATGACAACCTATTTTTAACATAACAATTTTTACACTCTCTGGAAGCACTGTTGCAGGCAACAGACCTTGAGAAGCCTTGTAAAAGTATAGATTGTCAGTAGAGTGAAATATATGAAACCAATGAGCTTCAAAGGGAATAAAAGCAGGCTACATTAAGCTAAACAGGACAGAGATTCTAGATCCTGAGGAAGAAAGTTGATAACAAAGGCATAATATGGACGCCAGAGAGCTATTGAAAGGTAATGTACTTTACTCAACTAATATTTATTGAGTGCCTATTTGCAACAGGCCCTGTTCTAGGCTCTGCGGATAAAGCAGTTGTCAAAATGAATAAAAAACTCCTATTCCTTTTTAAATATTTCAAAATACGATTTACTGAAAAGCTCACGTTCTGAAACTCAGTAAATGAATATATTAAATTAAAATGTTTAATATATCAAAAGGTACCTTTGGAAAAATAGTTTTTAAGACATAGACTGAAAGAATACAAAGAACTCCTACAAATCAAGAAAATTTGAGAAAATAACAAATAACTCAATAAAAAAAGGTCAAGAGACATCCACAAAGGAAGAAACCAAAACAGACAGTAAACATGTATGATTCTCAACCTCATAAGAAATGAACTAAATGCGAAATCATACCACAGAAAGATACGGTTAACAGATACTATAGCAAAAATAAAAATGTAATAATACAACGTGTTAACAAGAATATGGGGGAGTTCCTATACATCACTGGTAAGAGACTAAATTGGGTTAACTTCTTTGGAGAACACTTAGACCAGCACTGCCCAATATAAATATAACAAGAGCCACAAATGCATGCTGTACTTTCCAGTAGCCTTGTTTTTTAAAGTAAATATAAACAGGTAAAGTTAATTTTAATAATATATTTTATTTAACCCAGTATACCCTTATCATTTCAACAAGTAATTTATCTAAAAACTTATTAAATATTTTACATTCTTTATTTCATACTAAGTCTTTGAAATCTTTGAAGTATGTATTTTATACTTACAGTAAATCTCAATTCAGTCCAGCCACATTTTAAGGGCTCAGTAACCACATGTAGGAAGTGGCTGCCATATTGGACAGTACTGCACTAGTCAATGTCTAGTAAAGTTGATACTGTACAGTAATCCTCCCTTATCCACAGGTGCACTTTAGCAGTTTCAGTTACCTGTGGTCAACTATGGTCTGAAAATATTAAATGTAAATTTCCAGAAATAAACAATTTATAAGTTTTAAATCTCATGCCATTCTGAATAGCTTAATGAACTCTCATGACATCCTGCTCCATCCCACTTGTGGAGTAAATCATTCCTTTGTCCAGCATATCCCACTGTACACACTACCTACCCCTTAGTCACTTTGTAGCTGTCTTTGTTATCAGATTTAAAAAAACATCCTATGTATAGTTGACCCTTGGACAACTGAGTGGTTAGGGACACTGACTTCCTGCATAGTTGAAAATTTGTGTATAACTTTTGACTTCTCTAAAACATAATTACTAATACCCTACGGTTGACCGAAAGCCTTACCAATAACAAGTTGTTGATTAATACATATTTTGTATGTTATATGCATTGTGTGTCATATTCTTATAACAAAGTGAGTTAGAGAAAAGAACATTTTATTAAGAACATTATAAGGAAGAGAAAATATATTTACTATTCATTAAGTGGAAGTGGATCATCATAAAGATCTTCATCCTCACAATCTTCACCTTGAGCAGGCTGAGGAAGAAGAGGATAAGAAGGGGTTGGTCTTGCTGTCTCAGAGGAGCAGAAGTGGAAGAGGGGGAGGAGGTGGGAGGGGAAGCAGGACAGGCAGACACACTCAGGATAACTTTTATGGAAATACAGTGTAATTTATGTCTGACTTTTTTGCTTTTTCATTTCTCTAAAAAATATTTCTATATGGCACCAATCCTTCTCCCATCATTTGCTTTAGTTTCAGTGCCCACATCATAGAAGGGTCTAGGTTGTAAAAGAAATCAAAAGCAATCTTAAATAACTGAAACCCTTCTGCCAGATTGTCTGTTGTCAATTTATTTCCTGGCACTGCTTCTTCTACATCTTTTCCCTCATGTTTTGGTACTAAGTCTGAAGTACTCATCTCCACCAAGTTGTCTTCTGCTAATTCCTCTGGTGTCTATTAGCTCTTGAGTTTTCCAAGATCTATACCTTGAAACCACTCACCCCCCACCTTTTTTGCCACATCCACAATCTTTTTCATGATTTCCTTTATTGGCTCTATTGCCAATTCTATGAAGCCATGCACAGCATATGGACATGGTTTTCTCTAGCAGGAATTTCTTATTTTGGGCTTGATGGCTTTCATAGCATTTTCTACAACAATGGTGGCATCTTCAATGGTGTACTCTTTCCAGGCTTTCATGATGTTCTCTTTTTTAGGGTTCTCTTCCATAGCATTGACAATCCTTTCCATATAGTACCATATGTAAGAAGCCTTAAGGGTCCTTATGATCCTGATCCAGAGGTTAATTAGAGATTTTGTGTTTAGGGGCAAGTAGACCACTTTCACACCTTTGTTGTTGAACTTATACAGTTCTGGGTGGCCAGGGCCATTGTCCAATATCAAAAGAACTTTAAAAGGCAGTCCCTTACTGGTAAGGTACTGCCTGACTTCAAGGAGAAACTGTCAATGGACCCAATTCAGAAAAATTGTTCTCATGTCCAGGCCTTCTTGTTATACAGCCAAAAGACTGACAAAAGACTGACAACTGATTTATTTTTCTTTCTTCATGGCTTGGGGGTTACAGCTTTATAGATAGTCCTGATCACAAATTCAATTGCTTTTGCACAAAGCAGTAGAACAACAGAGTTAGCCTATCCCTTTCTGCTTTTAATCTTGGTGCTTGCTTCTCTTCCTTACTAGTAAATATGCTTTGTAGTGCTTTTTTTTTTTTTTTTCAGAATAGGGCACTTTTATCTGCATTAAAAACCTGTTCAAGCAAACATCCTTTCTCATAAATGATTTTCATAATCGTATCTGGGAACTCAACTGCTGCCTCTCAGTTGGCAGAAGCTACTTTCCCTATTATCTTGACAATTTTTAAGCCAAACTTCTTTCTAAAATTATTAAACCATCCTTGCCTGTTATTAAATTCTACAGTTTTTAGATCCTTCACCATCCCTTTGCTTTAAGTTGCCATATAGCAACTTCATTTTTTCTCAAACCATGTATGATTCTATATATACCTTTCTCATAGGAATCCTGCATCCACATAAAAGTTGCACTTTCAATAAAAGATGAAAAGGTATTTTGAAAAAAGTGCAAGGTCTTCACACCTGCTGGCATAGCTGCAGTGAAAGCTTCACAGAATTCCTTTTCTTGTTTTTACAATGGTCATTGCACTGCATTCATTTATCTTGAAATGGCAGAAAACTGTAGAACTGTAGCTGCAGACCTCAATTTATGGGACATATCAAGCAATTCAACTTTTTCTTGTAATGTCATGACTTTTCTCTGATTCTTGGAAGTACTTCCAGCATCACTAGTGCACTTCATATGTGTCCCATGGTGTTATTCAAGGTTTACAGTATTGCACTAGGCATGATGAAAAATACATGAGAATCATGAGAGCTCCTTTTTTTCTGCAAAATACAACTTACTGAACAGACAAATGGCTCACACAGAGATGATCAGTATCCAAGTGGATACTTGGAACACTTGAACTCACCACAATAGCAACAGAAGGTGGCTGTGAAATTATTAACTATACACTATAGTTAATTTTATACAATTATGATTTAATAGTGCATCTTTACATTTGTTTACATTTCTCTCACTGTGAATGTTGCCATGTGTGGTCTATAAGTTTCTGTGTACATTTTAATAAATCTTAATTTTTATAATAGATTTGTGTATATTTTATGGTAATAAATGATAAAATAGACTAGTATCTATATTTTATGCATTCATGACATAACTAACCTTTTCTTAATTTTTCAATATTTCTAGGCTATGCAGTTCACCTGCAAGTTTTTTCAAATTGTCACAAACCTCCAAAAATTTTTCAAGTATTTTTATTTTAAAAATCCACATGTATTAGTCTGTTTTCACACTACTATTAAAAAACTACCTGAGACTGGGTAATTTATGAAGGAAAGAGGTTGAATTGACTCACAGTTCCACAGGCTTAACAGGAAGCATGACTGGGAGGCCTCAAGAAACTTGTAATCATGGCAGAAGGTGAAGGAGAAGCAAGCACATCTTACAATGATGGAGCAGGGGATTGAGAGAGAGAGAGAAAGAGAAAAGGGGGAAGTGCCACACACGCTTTCAAACAACCATATCTCATAAGAAGTCACTCACTATCATGAAAACAGCAAGAGGGATGTCTGCCCCCATGACTCAGTCACCTTTCACCAGGCCCCTCCCCCAACACATGGTGGTAACAATTCAAGATCAGATTTGGGTGGGGACCCAGAGCAAACTGTATCATTCTGCTGCTGGCCCCACTCAGATCTCATGTTATTTTCTTTTTTTTTTTTTTTTTTGATGGAGTCTTGCTCTGTCACCCAGGCTGGAGTGCAGTGGCGCAATCTCGGCTCACTGCAAGTTCCAACTCCTGGGTTCACACCATTCTCCTCCCTCAGCCTCCTGAGTAGCTGGGACTACAGGTGCCCACCACCACACCTGGCTAATTTTTTTTTTTTTTTAGTAGAGACGGGGTTTCACCGTGTTAGCCAGGATGGTCTCAATCTCCTGACATCGAGATCCTCCCACCTCAGCTTCCCAAAGTGCTGAGATTACAGGCATGAGCCACCACACCTGGCCTCTCATGTTCTTTTCACATTGCAAAACCAATCATGCCTTCTCAATAGTACCCCAAAGTCTTAACTCATTCCAGCATTAACTCAAAAGTCCAAGTCCAAAGTCTCCTCTGATACAAGACAAGTTCCTTCTGCCTATGAGCCTGTAAAATAAAAACCAAGTTAGTTACTTCCAAGATCCAATAGGGGTACAGGCATTGGGTAAATGCTCCCATTCCAAAAGGGAGAAATTGGCCCAAACCAAGGAGCTAGAGGCCCCATGCAAGCCCAAAACCCATCAGGGCAGTAATTAAATCTTAAAGCTCCAAAAAAATCTTCTCTGACTCCATATATCACATCAAGGGCACACTGATGCAAGGGTGGGCTCCCAATGCCTTGGGAAGCTCTGTCCCTGTGGCTGTGCAGGGTACAGCCCCACAGCTGCTTTCATGGGCTGGTGTTGAGTGCCTGTGGCTTTTCCAGGCATACATACAGGCTGTCCATGGATTAACCATTCTGGGGTCTGGAGGATGGTGGCTGTCTTCTCATAACTCCACTAGTCAGTGCTCCAGTGGGGGCTCTGTGTGAGGGTCCAAACCCCATATTTCCCCTCTGCATTGCCCTAGTAGAGGTTCTCTGTGAGGGCTCCGCCCCTGCAGCAGACTTCTGCCTGGATATCCAGGCATTTCCACACATCCTCTGAAATTTAGGTGGAGGTTCCCAAACCTCAACTCTTGCCTTCTGCACACCCTTAGGACCATCACCATATGGAAGCTGCCAAGGCTTGGGGCTTGCCCCCTCTGAAACAAAGATGCAACCTGTACATTGGCCCCTTTTAGCCATTGCTGGAGCTAGAGTGGCTTTGATGCAGGGCACCATGTCCTGAGGCTGCACAGAGCAGTGAGACACTGGGCCTTGCCCACAAAACCATTTATCCCTTCTAGGCCCCCAGGCCTGTGATAGAAGGGGCTGTCATGAAGGTCTCTGACATGGCCTGGAGACATTTTCCCCATTCTCTTTGCCACTAACATTTGTCTCTGCTTTACTTATGCAGATTTCTGCAGCTGGCTTAAATTTCCTCCCAGAAATTTTCTTTTCTACCATACGGGTAGGCTGCAAATTTCCCAAACTTTTATGCTGTGCCTCTCTTTTAAACATGTTCCAATTTCAGGCTATGTTTTCATGAACACATATGACTGTATGCTGTCAGGAGCAGCCAGGACACATGTTGAACACATTCCTGCTTAGAAATGTCTTCTACTACATATTTATCTCTCTCAACTTCAAAGTTCCACAGATCCCTAGAGCAGGGGCACAATGCCACCAGTCTCTTGCTAAAACATAGCAGGAGTGACTGTTGCTCCTGTTCCCAATAAATTCCTCATCTCCATCTGAAACCATCTCAGCCTGGACTTAATTGTCCATATCACTATCAGCATGTTGGTCAAAACCACTCAACAAGTTTCTAGGAAGTTCAAAACTTTCCTTCATCTTCCTGTTTTCTTCTGAGCCCTGCAACTGTTCCAACCTCTGCCCATTACCCCATCCAAAGTTGCTTCTGCATTTTCTGTTTACTTTATACCAGTACCCTACTCCTGGTACCAATTTTCTGTATTAATCTGCTTTCACACTGCTATAAAGAACTATCTCAGACTGGGTAATTTATGAAGAAAAGAGGTTTAATTGACTCACAGTTCCACAGGCTTAACAGGAAACATGATCAGGAGGCTTCAGGAAACTTACAATCATGGCAGAAGGCAAAGGGGAAGAAAGTACATCTTACCATGGTAGACCAGGAGAGAGAGAGACAGAGCAAAGAGGGAAGTGCCACACACTTTTAAACAACCAAATCTCATAAGAACCCACTATTATCAGAACAGCCAGGGGGAAGTCTGTGCCTATAATTCAATCACTTCCCACCAGGCCTCTCCCCTGACAGATGGGGATTACAATTTGAGATGAGATTTGGGTGGGGACACAGAGCCAAAGCATATCACCACCTATAAATGAATCCACACACCTCAAAACCGTGTTGTTCAATAGTCAACTGTATAGGGTTTGGTAATACCTGCTGTTTAAGACATCTACTGGGGATCTCGAAATATATTCCCCATGGATAAGGGGAGACCACTGTCCCCAAGAAAACCACTGCAAGTTTACACCAGAAATTTGAAGAATATTCATTACAATCATGTTACAAGACACAAAATGAACATGTTCATCAACAAGAGAATGAGTTTAAGAATTGTGGCATATTCACATCATATGATATGATGAAGCATGAAAATAAATGAATTAGAGTTATACTTAAGATAAAAGTATACTGTGTGATAAAAGAAAATTGCAGAGGAATACATAAAGTATGATATCATTTAAGTAAATCTCAAAAATAAATAATACTATTTATTCCTTAATTCTTCATTTATCTGATATGAAT
This sequence comes from Homo sapiens, assembly GCF_000001405.40. Taxonomy (NCBI): domain Eukaryota; kingdom Metazoa; phylum Chordata; class Mammalia; order Primates; family Hominidae; genus Homo; species Homo sapiens. Next base: position 70,714,428 of record NC_000003.12, read on the forward strand.
ATGCATATCTCACAGGTTAAAGGTATATAAGAAAATGATAAATATCAAATTTCATATAGTAGCTACCAAGAAGAGAGAGGGGAATAATTTAGGAGTGAGACAGAAAATTTCATCTATATTCACGATGTTCTATTTCCTAACCTAGGTGGTTCATATATTTTTACTTGTCATATTACAATATAAACTTATCATATATGTAAAATGTTTTAGAGTGTTTGCAAAAAGTCAGTAGTAGATAGAACATTCCAAGGTGTCAATTCTCTAGTCAATGAGAACAAGATTCACATGCATGGATTTTTTTCCTGTTTTCTTTTAAATAAACATAGTCATTTAATTTGTTTTTGAAAGAAGTGTTAGATCTGTCACCACTTTTCCTGCAGTGCCCCTTGGGCAGTCAAGTTTGGTTCATGTATGTTTCGATGAGAGGTGTAGTCACTTAATAGCAGCAACACTTGGCCCAAAGCTAGGTGCAAGGAAGAGGACAAGGAACATGCAAACACTGGAAGATTCCAGCCAGCAGAAAGAACAGCACCTGCGTCGCCCTGGGTACATATGTAGACAGAGCTTGTTGGCAGAGAAGTCAGGTGAGAATTCACAAAAGCTTTTCTGACTTGGATTCTATCAGGATTCTTTTAGCTTTACACAGTGTCAAACACATACCCAGCTCTCACTCACCCCATCACTGTAAATGCAGTGTCCAGCTACCACATTGAAATCCACAAAAAGTCAAGGTTAAGTGGATATTTGCTCCATAGCCAGCATTTTGGGAAACAAATACCACATCAACACCAAAAAAAAAAAAAACACCACATAGTTAATGTCAAACTGCTGTATGAGGCACTTCTCTTGAGAATTTGTACAGCTTCAAAGAAACACCCACCAAAAGCCAACTAAAAGAAAAACATCATTTTAAAAATAAAAAAGAGCGGTTTTCTCTATGATACTGTAGTGTATTCTTTTAATAACATGAAATTGTATTGTATTTGTTGAGTGTAAAGTATAATTTATTATTCCATAGCCTTACTATAGAACACTACAATCTAATATAACATGCTACATGAATATTCTACAATAGAACTATGCTTTGCAAATTTGCCTGACAATAAAACCCCCCTAGGGCTATTGCATAAACTATTTTTCCAGGTTCTCCCCAGTGCCTGCAGAATTAGAATCTCAAGGGTAGGAGTTTTTCTTCTATAACAGTGGTTATCTGTGTGTGGTACCCAGGCCAGCATCACCTAAGAACTGTGAGAAATGCAAATTAACACATTTCACCCCAGATGTATTGAATCAGAAACTCTGGCAGGTAGAGCTCAGCAATCTGTAAGGCCTCCAGGTGATCCTAAGATTGCTAAACTTCAAGACCCACTGGCCTAGAGCCTGGTTAATCAAACTATACTGGGAGGATCCTCAGCCTCAGTATCAGCCAGGAGGGCAACAGAAATGCAAAATCTGAGGTCCCAGCCCTATGGAATCAGAATCTGCATTTTTAACGTCCCCAGGTGATTAGTTTGATCACTAAAGTTTGAGAACCATTGTACTATGAACAAGGATTTGACATCACATTTCCTGGGTTTGAAACTCAACTTCACATCTCATCAGGCTTGTGAACTTAGGCAAGTTATTTGATCTCTCTCATCCTCAGTTACCTCTCCTGCAACCTGAGCAGGATAATAATACCTCTGATAATCTTCAAAGGATTGTTCTGAAGATGAAATGAGTTAAGGTATCTGCAGTGCTTAGCGTGATGCCTGGCACATAGCAAATGCTCAATTAGTAGTGGCTACAGTTAATTTCTGATCATCTTTTTAAAAGAACCCACTTATCTAACGTTGAGAAGATATCTACAAATAAGGGCAAACAAGATTGTTAAGATATATAAATAAGATCAGTTAAATTATCAAGATGTATAAATTAGATCAAATCAGTGAGCCTGAAATATTGCTGTACAGTAACTTGAGTTCTGAAAATCTCAGAATAAATATTTTAGCATTTAGGGTCTAACACACAATAATTAGATAATAACTGCCAAAAAAGTCTTGGAGAATGACAAGCTCATTATGAACAGAATTTTCTCAGTAAATCAAGAGGCTTAGGAGGCCTTGCCAGGCTGAATGAAGGTGAAGAGCAGTCAAGAACATAGAATAATTTTGGTCTCAAACTTCCTTGTTTAAATAGGAAAATAAGTTAAACCAAGTAAAGTTCTAGGGTTTTTTTACCCTCAGTTTACCCCAACAGGTGTGTGAGAAAGAATTGTTTCTCATTTTGGTAATCTGTCCCTTTTGTGTTAAGTATGCGACTTTTACAGAGACAAAAACAATCAAGGGATTAAACAGAAGATCCATTATTCTATTAATATGTTTTCTCACTGACTCTAATGGTTAGAAAATTCTTTTTCATATATTTTTTAAAATCTGACCTGATATCTTAAGGGCATTTATATCTTAGTTGTGAAATGGTTCTGCACTTTTCCCAAATATCTTCTGCTTTTTGCGCTATTTGCAAGAAATGGAATTAGAATGACTTCATGTTTAACAGGAACATAAAGTTCAATGAATGAAACATCCTGTCCCTCGCTGCAGCTGCGGAAGCACACAGCTATGGCAGAGTACCTCCAGGAACAAAATTTATGAATTAACTGCTGCTGAAAAGCCAACAGAGGGAGCACAAACCATTGTTTTTTGTGACACGTTAAAAAAATACACAGCTATTAAAAATAAACTTTCCTGGTGGCATAGCATAAGATTTTACAAAATTATATTCATGTATCTAGATTTTGAAGACATTCATCAGGTAATAACTACTAAAATGGGTCATATTTTCTTATTTAAAATTCTGCCAGAAACAGAGGAATGATTTAGGAAACATTTTTATTATGGGAGAAGAGAGCTGGCCTGATGGCTTTTCTGGGCTTATCTCCTTATATTTATGAAGCTCTAGCAAAGTCTCTTAAAATTCTTCTTACTCGTTCCGTTGCCTTTTCATGATCATTCCCTCCTTTCTATCGGTAATGAACTGCAGCATATTCCACATGTGGAGGGGCTGGCGAGGGCAATTGTACAAGCTCATTCCTTACAAGTTTAGGTCTTAAATCTGAAATTTCTCCTTCTCAATCAAAGGAATCTTACTTTTCTCATACATACAGATTTCTGATCTATGAAAAATACAGAGCCCCCCTCAATGTTTTTGCCTATGGACTTTCAATATTATTTGGCTTCTCAAGAGAAAATTCCTAACTCTTGTATTTAAAGCAGAGTTTTCATAACGCTGCGGGTTTACCAGTCCTCTTTGATTTTTCAGTGAAAACTTTAATTTTGGAACATACACAAAAGTCTATACACCAACTATCAACACATTAACAATTTTTAGATTTATGGTTATCCAAAATATGGACAATTTTCTCCACACTGCCTTTCTTGCAGTGATTCTACAAAGTTATCTATCAATAATGACTTTTCCCCTAGTGACATGTGTTCATTTTGCTTGGTGAAAGCCTTAAGGGTAGAATACTTTTAAGATCAAATACTAGAAATGATATTTGTTGATTAAATACTTATATATGAATAGTTAGTTCTCCATGTCTCTGATAGTTTATGGGGAGTCCAGAATTTTGCTACCACACACACACACACACACACACACACACAAATGTTTAACACTCTGGCTTTACTACTTTGTCACAACTGTGATAGAATGGAGATTACTGGCCATTCAAATATTATTTAAACCCAACTGCCAGTTGCTGTAGTCATACAAAAGGCCCTCTACGTAACCAGCTGTGTCTTATAAAGCTGGTTGTTCTCTTTCCCCTACCACCAGTTTTCTTTATTTTATCAGCAAGCTGTGGTTGGTTGTTTTTCCACCATCCAAACATATTTGGCCACATTAGAGTTTTATTTGTTGGGGTAACTTCTAGATGAGATTTTATGTCGGTCCTAATCTAAAACATGAATTCCAGCAGCTTCCCCTCCTGTCTTGTTTGAGGGCATAGAGGGGCAATGCACACAATAAAATTTGGTGAATGTTGCTATTAGAAGTTCCTTATGAGGAATGTAATAATTTGAACTAGGTTGCTGGTCTGAGCTCACAGAGATAACCTTTTAAACCAGTTTGTAGGATACTGTGTCTTATTATTTTCACATCTTCAATACAATCTTCTGTTTGACCCCTACGATATCAGGATTAAATCTACCCCCATACATATGGCCGCCAGAATGTAGCAAAGGGAAATGGTTAAGTGATTTAAATTCTTCACCCCTGAAAGCTTTCAACTCATTGATGTTCAAAAATAAGTTGAAGAATCTAGCACAGGCTGCTCAGAAACTAACAAATCAATGTGCCAATTGCCAATCAAACATATAAAGCCAATTTTCAGCTACCCTCCCCTTCAAACTATTCACAGAGGGTCCAGTTTAAGAGAGAAGTCAGCCAGAGTCTTCTCTTCATGGTCTTTAGGCTGCCGTTCAATTAATGGAAAGAAGTGGCAACAGAAGTTAATAACTATTCCTGATCATTGAAGCAATCTACAGAAGAGGCTGGGAGGTAAGAGAACTGGGAGAAATTGAATCTGATAGGTGGAGCCATGTAAATATCCTCTGTGCTTCTTTACTATCCCCTCTCCACCAGGCAGTGCCATGGCATCTGCTCCCAAACTGTTCCCATCCTGTTCAAAAACTGACCTGAATATATATTGGGCTTAATGACCAAATGTTTAAAAATTCATTGCACAAGAACAGCTGAAAGCAGTTGATTGGTTTGAACTTTATTGGATGCACCTTGCTTCCCAGAACTGCAGTAAAGGGGAAGGTCAGCTGGTAAACATTTGGGCATTTAAAAACTAAGAGGCCCGAGATTTCCCAACATCCCTGTCTGTTTTCCTTACCCAGAGCATTGGGCACTACTAAGTTCTTTGTGCTGAGCTGAAGGTTTGGTTTCATCTGCTGGTGTCCTAATACAGGAGGGTCAGAACGGACTTGGAGAAGTGCCTGCCCAATAACTCCTGTCAGACTCCAGCCCTGTGATGTTAATGTCTGCAAACTTTGTCTTCCTCGATGTGGGGAGTCATTTCAGTTGAAGAAAGTAGGTATTTTTTGTTTTTTCCTCAAGTACCGTTTATAAGTGATTGTCGTTCTGAGACAGATCAGTCTTCTCCAGGAAAGGCCAAATTGCATTATATTCTAAGGAGACTCATCACTGGACTGAACTTTAGAAGTTTGCCCTATGTGCATATAATAAAAGCACCAAGGGAATGGCAACTTCATAATGTCTTCCGTAATGTTACATTCTCAAATCATGGCATCACCTTGGAATGTATTATTGGGAAAAGAAATTATTTGCTAAAACAATGACTGTTTGGCATGACAAAACAGTCAAAGTCCTGCTTACAGTGGGCTGCTTAAGTAGATAAAGTCTATCTTAATTCTGGAAAAGCTTGTACAATTTTTAATACCCTGTTCCTTCTTTATTAGCCACAACTTTTCACTCCCTGCTTTTCCTTCTTTCTTGTCTGCGCAGGGAAACCCTGTGCTTCTCTACATCAGCTAATATTTGATCAATCTGATTCTAGTTATTATTGATGTAAACAAACCTCAAAGAAACTCAGGCACTGGAAGCATCTGTGAAATGGACTGTGTTGAACAATGGCATTTGGGGTGGGAGAGAGAAGGAATGAGGATGAATGGAAGAGATGGTATACTTCTTCTTCCCGCAGTTTCAAGCTATTTCCTCCTGTGATCTCATAGCATTTACTGTTGTTTCCACCCCTGCAATTATTTCTATTACAAAAACTGAGTCCTTTTGCTTTATTTGGGGGCCCTTGGAGTATACGTGTGTTTTAAACTCACTCTTCTCTTCAACTGATTTATTCCTTTCTTCTTTATAATTTTCCCTTTCTCAGTGTGTAGCCCTTTGTTATTAGAATGATAATCATAATAATAGCAGGAATGTAATTTCCCATAATGCTAATAGTAGCTGTGTGCACATACACACCCAGCTTATTCTTAGATTCATTTACGCTCTGACTTCTTCATCTCGTATTTAAATACAGCAGGTGTTTATCTTCATCAAGAAATGTTTGTTGAGCTTCTCCAGGGAGCATGGGGCTGTCCCTAGGTGCCGTGGGCTTACACAGGGCAGATTCAAAGATGTGGAAGTACTTTTTTTTTCCCTAAGACCCAGGAGCACAGAATTTTATTTCATTTCTTCAGATGTTGTAAGTGGCAGAAAGTTTAATTCTGCTTACCTAAAATTCCCTCAGCTCTGTTGGCAAGGACAGACAGACCAAAGCGTACTAACTTCAATTATTGAATAGCGTCCTGCTTTTAATGTGGTACTCTGCTTCAAAAGTATTATTGAGAGGGATTCTCTTTTTGCAGGCATTAGATGGAAAGAATAGATGGTGATTAAATAAGTGCTGTTATTATTTTTTTTTTTTTCTGAAGCTCTTCAGCAGCCTGAGAACATGACATTACTCTTCATGGTGCCTTTACGATACAGGTAGAATTCAATCGAACAAGGAAGTTGAGTCCTCAAAGTGGGTTATATGTAGTAATAATAATACCTTTCTAAATTAGCTTTTGGTTTTAAAAAGTGCTTCCTGCTTTTTTTTTTTTGAGATGGATTCTGAAGTATCTAAAATAAATACATACTAATATCTGTAGTTATTTTTAAAAATTTATCAAAAGTAATACAAATACAGCAAAATATAATCATTCAATCTCAAAAGAAACAACAAAAAGTGTTTCTTTATAATTCTTCTCATTGGTACCTCATTAAAGCCCAGTGAATTTGTTACAACAAAAAGTTTCATCCCTGTTTTATAGACGAGGATCATGTGGCTAAGAGAAGTAGACTGCTTAAGATCACATGGCTAACAACTGCTTTCATCAGGATCAGGATGCAGGTTTTCTAATTCCAAATCCAGCGCTTTCATTTTCCTTCTTTTTAACCATAGTAGGTTGCTCCCTAACAATTATAGTTACAACTGAACATTCAGGTTGGTCCACATTAGTTGATTGTGGATCTAACATTAGTTGTGTCCACAACATTAGTTTTGGACCTAACCTTCTAAAATCTGGATTGACAACTTTACTATCAAATAGAAGCACTGAATTAATCAGACAAATTATCCAAGGTAAAACTTAAAATGTGTCCAAATTGGCCAGTAACTTAAAATATGTTCATGTTTTCTATCTTGAATTTCTTACTTTTAGTAGGATAACATAATGTTAACAGCTGAGATTCTGGGGGTAAGTCAGATTATCAGAGTGACCCTGAATAAGTGTTTTTACCCTCTCATACCATAGTGTAGGTAATAGAAGCACCTGCTCACAGAGTTGTGAATATTAAATAAGGTAATGTACTTGAAGTTCTTAACACTATGTCTGCTACAGAGTAAAAGCTCAAATACTACTCACTAAATACTGTAGTTATTACTGGTGACACTACTACATTTACATTAAATTAAACCTCAGCCAGTGTACCTTAAACGTTGAAATGGCTATAAAAAAATCGAAAATTTTACCTAAAAAAAAAATAAGAAGTTAGAGCACATGAAAACTACTTAAACTAGATATACCTTGGTCACTGTAATGTACCTAGATACATCCACCAGAACACCAGAAAGCAAGATCAAAATAAAATATAGGCTATTGGGTCTTTTCTGGAGGTAAAGAGCAATGGATAAAATATCGAGATTACTGAATATGATGGGATTCAAGATTATTGGTAATGAAAAGCTGTAGTTTCAAAAGGATGAATAGATAATTTAAGGAGAACAAATCTGAATGATCAGCAAATATGAAATGCTCCAGGTCATGAGTATTCAGAAGTGCAAGTTAAAGTAACAGTGAGATATATCACCTAACAAATTGTCAAAGAAAATTATTTAAAGTGATAATACTAATTACTTGTAGGGATGCACAGAAAAAGTAATCTCATATATTCTAATGACAGAAATGAAGTAGAAATATGATTCTAATGACAGCCATGAAAAATAAATTGTGTAAAGGGTTCAAATCCATTTCTGGAAATATAGTCCTTGGATATAAAACCACCAGTAGGCAAGTCCACATATACAAAGCATATTATAAGATTGTTCATAGGAATAAAATCTAGAACCAGTGACTGGCTAATGATATGTATGGTACATCTACACCATGTAATATGTCCATTAAAAAGAACAGATTAGTGCTCTTCCAGTTTACTTGAGAGGATTTCCAAGAGTGTTATGGAGCAAAAACAGTAAGATGCAAACAAAGGTTTGCCAAATGGTCACATTTTAATAAAGCAAACAATATATACATGATGTGTGTGTGTATGCTTATATGAGCATTGAGGAAAGTAAAGTGGAATGCATAGAAGAGTGTTAAACTTATAGCATGCAGGAGACAAAAGTTTTAAGTGCACCAAAAATATATGCACACCTGTATATAAGACACGTCCCATTTAAACTATAATACATATATAGTGTATATATGTCTTATATATAAGTATGTAGAAATTAAAGAATTGTTTGAATGTATTAACTTATTGGAAGTTAATGGAGTATATAATAAATGGAGTATATAATGGAGTATATAATAAAGCAAATTTCAAGCAACTTGGTTAGCATCATGCCATGTTGTTTAAAAGCAAATGAACAGATAAAACCTGTGTGTGTATGTGTGTGTATATATATGTATATATGTGTGTGTGTGTATATATATACACACATACACACAAACGTGCGCGCACACACACACACACACACACACACACACATATATATATATATATATATATATATATAAATAAAACAGGACAGCAAATTTTGGCCAGTAGGCCACATTCCAGCTGGCTACCTATTCTTGTAAAGTTTTATGGGAACACAATCACATCTATTTTTGTGCTGTCTACCACTGTTTTCTTCCTATAAGGGCAGGGTTGAGCAGTTTCTACAAAGACCATATTACCAGCACAGACTAAAATATTTACTATGTAGCCCTTTACAGAAAGTTTGTCAGCCCCTAGCATACATGATTGTATATTCACATAAGCAAACAGAAAGGTGAGGGTGCACACCAGACTGTTACTATTGGCTATGTCAGGAATCAGGATTGGATGGGCATAAGGAATAATAATTAGCTTTTGTCACGATTGTTACTACATGCATGTATTATTTTCATAATTTGGTATCCAGTAAAGAGTACTAAAAGTTTAACAATTTCAAAAAGAACAATCACCTTAGAAAACATATAATTTGGGATGGGAGGATTGGGATTATTCATTCATAAACAAATATTTGAGTGAGTCCATGTGTTAAGTATTAGAGACATATATAAGCAGGAGAGTAGGAACTTACAGGCTCTGCAAGAAGCCAATGTAATCAGTGTTTTTAAAAAATGCCATAATGAAGATAAATGTGCTGAGGAGCAAACTAGTTCATTGAGAGATTTGGGAAATGCTTCACATAGCAGGTAACATTTGAGTTATATCTCAAAAGGTAAATCAGTGTTTCTTAGGTACAGAAAGGAATTGTCCAGGCAGAACTGAACAGAGAATAGAATGGGTCAATCAAAGACATGAATGAGAGCTCATAATTCACAGAGCAAGAAAAAGCTAAAGCATAGCTCAAAAACAAAGTTGCAGGGCTTATAGGAAGATGGTGGAGGAGGTTTGGGAGTCAAAGATAGGTTTTAAACTATAGGTTGTCCTTACCTTTTGGAAGGTAATGTAGGTTGTCTTGGACTTTGTTGTATCAACAATAGAGAGTCACTTCAGGTTTTTAAAGAAGTTATTATCTTGAGAAAACCTCCAAACTGTTCTCCATAGTGGCTGTGCTAATTTACATTCCCACCAACAGTGTGCAAGTGTTCTCCTTTCTCTGCATCCTCGCCAGCATTTGTTATTGCCCGTCTTTTGGAGATAAGCCATTTTAACTGGAGTGAGATGATAGCTCATTGTAGTTTTGATTTACAGTTCTCTGATCAGTGATGTTGAGCACTTTTTCATGTACCCATTTGCCATTTGTATGTCTTATTTTGAGAAATGCCTATTCCAATGTTTTGCCCATTTTTTTAATCAGATGATTGGATTTTTTTCCTATAGAATAGTGTGAGCTCTTTATCTATTCTGGTTATTAATCACTTGTCAGATGGGTAATTTGCAAATGTTTTCTCCCATTCTGTGGCTTGTCTCTTCACTTTGTTGACTATATCCTTTACTGCACAGAAGCTTTTGAACTTGATGTGATCCCATTTCTTCATTTTTGCTTTGGTTGCTTGTGCTTGTGGGGTATTGCTCAAGAAATGTTTGCCCAGACCAATGTCCTGGAGATTCTCCTCAGTGTTCTCTTGTAGTAGTTTCATAGTTTGAGGTCTTAGAGTTAAGTCTTTAATCCATTTTGATTTGATTTCTGTATATGGTGAGAGATACAGGTCTTGTTTCACTCTAATGCATGTGGATACTCAGTTTTCCCAGCACCATTTATTGAAGAGACTGTCTTTTCCTCAGTGTGTGTCTTCGACACCTTTGTCAAAAAATAAGTTCACTATAGGTGTGTGGGTTTGGTTTTGGGTTCTCTGTTCTGTTCCATTGGCTTACCATATGAGCCAGCAATCCCAGTGCTGGGTATATACCCAAAGTAAGGAAATCAGTATATTGAAGAGATATCTGCATTCCTTTTTTGCTGTTGTTGTTCCTTTTTTGTTGCAGCACTGTTTACAATAGCTAAGATTTGGAAGCAACCTAAGTGTCTATCAACAGATGAATGGATAAGGAAAATGTGGTACATACATACAATGGAGTACTATTCAGCCATAAAAAAGAATGAGATCAGTCATTTGTAACAATATAAATGGAACTGGAGATCATTACATTAAGTTAAATAAGCCAGGCACAGAAAGGCAAACATCATATGTTCTCACTTATCTGTGGGATCTAAAAATCAAAACAATTTGAACTCAGAGTAAAAGGATGGTTACCAGAGGTTGAGAAGGGTAGTGGGAGGCTGGGGACAAGGTGGGGATGGTTAATGGGTACCAAATAAATAGAATGAATAAGACCTAGTTTCTGATAGCACAATAGGGTGACTATAGTCAATAATAACTTAATTGTACTTTTAAAAATAGAGTGTAATTGTATTGTTTGTGATGCAAAGGATAAATGCTTGAGGGGATGGATAGCCCATTCTCCATGACATGCTTATTTCACGTTGCATGCCTTATCAAAACATCATATATTTATGGGGTACATGGTATGTTTTGATAAAGGCATGCAATGTGATATATATATACATGTACTATGTATCCACAAAAATTTTATAAAATAAAAAAGCTGATAGGTACAAAAATGATTATCTTGAGATTTGTGTTTCAGAAAGGTATCTCTCTCATCAAAGAGAAGATTTAGAGAGCAGGAGATGGTTACATTAACAGAACAAGCTACATGTAACTTTCTCAGGTTGACAAGGCATTTTAATAAACAATGAGGAAAATAGTAACAGCTAGTATTTATTGATTATTATGTATCAGGCACTCTTCTAAAGCACTCCGCATATGTTAATTCCTTATGTCCTCATATTGGTTACTTCCTCACATTTTACAGATGAGAAAACTGAGAAACTGAGACATTAAGTGACTTGCCCAAAGTCACAGAGTTATTAAATGGCACAGCTAGGATTTGAACCTGGACAGTTTGGCACCCGTCTATACTTCCAACTATTCCAGTATTCCATTTGAGGCAAGTTAACTTTCATTAATCTCCTGCCACATGCCAGGCAGTCTTACATGCTAGGGCCTCAGGCCTTGCTCTGTGAGAGTTTTCTCATAGTTTAATGCCTGGGCTAGCAAATGGATTGATTGGAAGTGGCTGACTGGTATGTTGAGTTGAGAGACTTTGACTCAGAGTTGGGTGATCCTTTAGATACGTGTGCCATGACTGAGGGAGGGAGGTAGTATAAGACTTGCTGACTTCCTAATGGCTTAGGTGGATACCGTGACTGACACAGAAAACAAAATAGGCAGAGATGGTCTTGTTCAGAATGGTTGCCCAGGGGAGTTTGGGTGGCATGTCTATATGTCCTTGTGGAGTTTTATTAGACTCTGCCCCTCCCCATAGTGCTCCCACCTACTGAACTCATCCAATTGTCCTGGTGGTTCGTGAGGTCAATTCCCCCAGACTCTAGGTCATCACTTAGCAATGCAGACTCCAGGATTTATTATTGCTGTCTCCTAGCAAATACATGAAATTCACTTTAGTTCAAACCACCCAAGCATGACAACTCCAATAATGATGTTTTAATAGTGTCTACTGTGTAAAAGTTTCTTGAAATCTGATATCTGACATGAGCTAATATAAGCAATATCACAGCCCCCCATTTTTTTTAATAAAACAGTTCCTTAAATGAGGAACTCAGTTGTACTGTACTGATAAAACCTAATGATTTCTAAAATGACGTTTTACTCCAATATTTATAATTTCATTGTTAACCAAGATTGTATTGTGGTATTTCAGAATATAAGCAATAATGTTCCTCAGCCTAAGTACGTTGAATTCACCTCAGAAAATTTAGGTAACTAATTATCTGAAACTACTGAGGCGGTGACTGTTTGCTTCCTGTATGATTACACTATAATGTGAGGTTTTTCTGTAATGGAACAAAAACAATCCAAATTCTTTGCTCAGTATGCTAACTGGCTACTCTAAAAATTGCTGTTAGGTTACTTGCAAATTTTTGTATAATGAGTATTCAGGTTCAGCTTAACAAGGTTGACATTGTTTGGGGGTAACAGATGTGTGCTTACATAGTTTTAAATGAAACCAAGCCCCAAAGAGGCTCAATAAACAAATGACAATGTTTGGAAAAGAAAGAAGCTTGTTTCCTTTGATAGGGTGCAGGGAATTTAACCAACCTGTGTTTATAATTACTGTCTGGTTTAGTTAGTGCGAAAGAATCTACTTGCTACTCACTTATAAATAAACAAAATAGACCTACTTTCCTATTTTGCAGCCGGCCTTTTGGAGTTTATTTTTCTTTTTCTTTCTCTTTTTTATTGACTACAGACCACTTACTTTATGTCCAAATTATGTTGTTCCATTTTAAACATTCTTCTGGTTTTAGAGTCTCCCCTTCTTTAATTCTTGGCCTGACTTATAAAGATGACACCTTCTCCCATATTTCAAGTCTTCCCTGCTCTCACAGCAAATCTGTAAATTACTAAACTGTAGTCAGTCGTCCACATTTGGATGTTTGGTTGAATACCAAAGGTGATTTTTTTTTTTTGGCAAGCTTATATAGAAAACAAGTTGCTACTACCCAGTTAATTGTAAAGCAACATCAAATGAACACTGTCAGTTTCGGGCCGTGGGAGAACATTGTGTAGAATATGAAGTCAATTGTTTGAACCTTCTGAACAGGCACATATTTTTGAGAAATTAAATCTCACCTTTTAAATACACAAAGGCATGCTGTCTACTTTTGAGAAGAATTGTAGAAATCCATTAATTGTTTTGAAATATTCCCTTGGAGATCTTGCTATCAGTAAATTTACTGCTTGCTTTATGTCTATTGTTAGTTAATTGGAGCAGGTATATTGATTTAAACTTTGGGTTGGCTTCACAAACTATTTCTTTTATTTTTCCCTTAACTTAAGAATTAATTGTGCTAACATAAAGATAGGTCATAAGGAAAAAGATATTGCATTTTCATTTCCATGTAGTTGTATTTTTAAAAAATCTACTTAACCAAATGCTTTCTCAAAATTCTCCTGCTCCTTGAAATTAACATTGGACTATTTGTTATTGAAATCACTCTTCGGTGTTAAGACAGATTTTTACTAGTATGTGGATTTACCTTTTATGAAGATTGCATTAATCCATCACGAAAATTTTAAAACTCAATAAATTCATTTTACCATAAAAGATGTATAAAGCCATAAGCCTTTTCCAGATGTGGATGTGGATATAAGTTAAAAAAAAACTCGTCTGTTCTGAGAGAGGAAAAACTGTTGACATTTCTTTGAAGTGTAATCTCTTTTGTTTATTTGGTTTTTAATAGCTTCCAGCAGTTAGCCACATATTTTTTAAGTGATGTTGCTCACATACTCTTTTTTTTTATTTTTAGTTGTGAGTGGCATTAACTTGCTGCCCTAAATTTAGAAGCATAACCTGTAAAGAAAGAAGACCATCCCTGAGATGTGTAAGTGAGTAATTGCCAAAAAGTGCAAGTCCCCATTGTGCTCAGCAACTGTTCTAAAATGGAAACTATGGGGAGCAGAGGTCAGTGAGTCAATTTGCTATTGTACTAGTCTTTAATATTTATTTATAAAGGACAATCTTTAGATGTTGCAGATTTTAATAGTAAAAACATTTTATTCTTTCTCTATGCCAGTTATCTGACCATTCAATGTAAACCAAAGATAAAGAATTTTTCAGCCTAACCATTGTGCATGTCACCTGTGTTCCATGGCATAACATGTGCATGTATGCACGTGGGGATGCACAAATATCCTGTAAATGAGAGGGGAAATTTACAGTGATAAAAAAAATCATTAAAATTGAGTGGCTGAAAAGCCTGACACTGAAAAATGGAAACTATTTGGAAAGTAAGTGAAAACTCAAAAAAAAAATATGTACAAGCTTTTGACATTTCATAATGATTTATATAACAGGCTGCATGAGAATTAATTTGATATCAGATATAATGCTAGCCATAACCAACTGCACAAAGCAGAGTGCATTCAAGGTTGAGAACGTTTTTATATATATAAATTAAGTTTGAAAACCATTTCTCATTCTGTCCAATCAATGTTTTTTAAATATTACTTATATTAATGGGATTCTCCAAAGTTTAATATGGTGGCTTTCGTATGTGCAAGTGGACTCGTGTAGGCATGTGGTTCATTCCCATCTGCAACAATTCTAATGTGCATTTTTATGTATGCTATATTTAAATGCTGTGTTTCTTTGGTTGAGATTGATTTTTTAACTGAGCTGAAAAATAGTCCTAAAATTTTAATACAATTCTACCAAACTGATACTATTGTTGTTAGAATAAATGAAAGAAGTGTGTCCTATAATTTTGAAGGAAATCCTGAGCAAAATCAACTTGTTCTATGTTTTTAATGCAGTTCTAAGCAATGTGCTGTACCCACTAGTAATAAAATTATTTTAAGGGATGCTCCTTGACCAGCAACTCAAGCTACATATTAAGATTTGCTCTGTTTTTCATGTGTTTTCCATCAGGGAAGTCTGTGGTTACCTTCCTGATTCTGCTGGACTGGAAAAACATAGCTAATATGGTGTGATCTGGAGAAAGCTTTGATGCAGGGACTTTGCAAATAAACCTCCAGATGCCATATGGTTTACATTCATCTCTCAATTTATTTCCTATAAATGTCTATTGAATATTCCATTGAACCAACACATGTGAAACAAGAGCTGAAAGAGAACAGTATATAGAATACTTTGTGGCAGCAAGTGATTATCATATTTCTTTCCCAATATTGCTACCAGCCTTAAATGCATGGCAAATTAGTCAAATGCCGAAGTTCTCAGACTTAAGGCAAAAATCAAGAGAAAATGTTTAAGTTATCAAAACAAACAGTCCCGTTTTTATGTTTGGGGTAAAGTATCATGCTTTGGAGCAGGATTTATTTGTGGCAGTACTGAGTCATGTGTTTAAGTTGCTGCCACTTAAAAAATAAAGTTCACGATGCCTAGGGAGGCAGAGAGAAATGCTATTAAGATGCTGCAAAGGAAAAATAATGCTCAGGGAAGAGTTTTACATGAATCTGTTTGTGGATTGGCAGGTTTTATATCATCCTCTTTGGTTCCATTCTGTTCTGGAATCCAGGCACCACCACACCATGATTCTGTATCAAGGAGACAGGCCAGAGTAATTCTTCTAAGAATTGTGTTTTCTTAATGCCTCCCTCAGCTCTCCATTCTCCTTCCTGTTAAGGCCAGTGTTTCCAAAGACTGTTTTCTTGAGGAAGACTGTTTCCTTGAGTAACTAGAGAAGATTGTCCTGTAATTTTAGAGAATCCTTTTTTTCTCTTAAAACTGCCTGCTTGTTGCTGGTTTTGTCTTCCAGTGAGAACTCTTTTTTTTTTTTTTTTTTTTTTGAGACAGAGTTTCGCTCTTATTGCCCAGGCTGGAGTGCACTGGTGTGATCTTGGCTCACCACAACCTCTGCCTCCCAGATTCAAGTGATTCTCCTGCCTCAGCCTCCCCAGTAGCTGAGATTACAGGCATGCGCCACCACACCTGGCTAATTTTGTATTTTTAATAGAGATGGGGTCTCTGCATGTTGGTCAGGCTGGTCTCAAACTCCCGACCTCAGGTGATCTGCCCACCTTGGCCTCCCAAAGTGCTGGGATTATAGGCGTAAGCCACCATGCCAAGCCAAGAAATCCATTTTTTTTCCCCAAAGAACATCCCTATGAAAATAGAAATAGCATCTAGCAATGACCTAATACATGGCGAATCAACTTCACTTCATGTTACCTCCATTGTTTACTGTTATGCGGCATTTAAACACATGTATATAAGTATGTGTTTATATGTAAATTGATGGCACTGGAGAAAATGTGGATAGGGAAATAAGAAAAAGCATTTTCTCAGATGCAGCAATTTGTGGCCTTTCAGAACTCAACTCTCCAAGTCTTTTGTTTAATACTTTAATATTACGGGTTTGGTAATGTAATAAAGCAAATGAGAAAAGCACAACAAATCAAAGTGTTGCTAAGTTCAATCTATTTGCAAAGAACTGTATACATCCTTAAAGGAAAATAGAACAATATCTCCTCAGGCTCTAGCCATGCCACAGCTTGTCCCTAGGATTACAAAACTTTGGGTGTTCTATACCAGCAACTCAACACGTGATTAGGTTTGTTTCCTTAAAAAGTATGGCATCAAACTGAATATCATTTCACAGCCAATATTTCATACATTGTAGGCCAAATGTATATAATAAATTTACACTGCCAGTTGCATTAAATAGGAAAGTAATAATAATCAGGAAGGGGGGAAGAAATCACTTTACTGAATTTTTGCTTTGTGCATGATGGGCTTGTGATACCAAAGCTGGGGTTGGGGAATCTTATATTTTAAAATGTAGGTCTTTGAAGGAAAAACAAATATCTCATTCAGATTTTTTTAAGTGAATGAATGACAGGAGAGAAATCCCTTACCTATTTTTAACCAAAAAAGATGCTTGAGATATTTGCATATGCTATTCCATTTATTTTGTTATTATAAAATAGACACTACCAGATGCTCCTAACTTTAAAAACTTCATTTTTAAAAAACTTCCTTTTTAAAAAACCACACTTTAAAAAATGAAGTTTTTAAAGTTTCCTTTAAAAAATCTGTAAATGACTAAATGGGGAAAGGACGGAGGTGAGGAGAGATTCTGATCTCTTTATGGGAATGGTTTATTTGTAATCATAAAATCTCTTGACCAAAGAATTTTACTAGTTATCAAGAAAATTCTAATATGTTTATTCCACACTTATTTAATATAAAATTAAGATGTTTACTGTTGTATAATTTTGCAAAAATTTTTTTCAAAATGCTGTCAGGTTATAATTCCTCTGTGACCTATTCTATCATTTTCTTATTTTCTAAGTGATTATTTCTTTTGTTTATTGAAGTAAAAATGCATCCAAAATAAAGTTACATTTCTTAAGGTGCAGTGCATCAATATCGTAGGGCTACAGGATCAGAGGATAAACAATTTGAGAAATTCAAATGCAAATTTCCCAGGAGTAACTCCTCATACCTTGTTCTTGAATGAAGAAAATTCCAAAGACAAATTATGAGTGTGCTTTTTAAAAGTAAATTTGCCTCCTTGAATTCCAGCCTAAAAGTCCAATCACAAGTAGTAAATCACATTTTCAAAATTACTGTTTATAATTACTGTATCTCTGATTGGTAATCCTACATTACCCAAGCACTTTAAATTAATACAACTAAGAATTTCTAGATGTCCCTTCCCCTGGTTTCATTATCTTACTAACTCGAAAAATGTAACATTTTTGGCTCTTCTGTTCCCTGTACTACTGAGAGTAACGGGGTCTATTATGTAGGGTATTAGGTAGGGTTTCTAATTTCCAGAACAACAACAACAACAACAACAACAAAATGCCACTTGCTTCCTTCTCTGGTCCCAGCCCAACAGAGGATTCTAATTTCTGCCGGAGGCATGTGCTATCAATCAATAATCACAGAGCTAGCCCCATGTCTCAGGGCCCTCATCTTTGCCAGCTGGTGCTCCTCTGCCAAGTTCTTGACAACTCCTGTGGATGCCCAGTGGACAAGCCCTCCATCTGAACCCCATCAACTTGTCCCTTTAGTTAACTGACCTGAGAATCCTGCCAATCTAGTGTAGTGCTCTGGAAACAAAAATCACCCTAAAATATTTTCAGGGTTGCCTTTTCAACAACAAATACAGATTTCAAGTTATGTTCTAGAACTGGTATTTATCCCTTGGGGAAAGGCTGGGGAAAGACTCATAAACTTAGTAGACATCCCTGATCACCAAACATTGTGACTTTCGTTTGATTTGTAAGGGTAGTCTTGCAAGTTAAGTGGTGTTGGCTTCTGACTATTAAATGAAAGGCACTGAAAGATACCCTAAGCCTAGAAAGTTCTCTCAAATGGCTTTTCTAATAATGAGTACAGATATGCCCAGATGTTTCAAGAGGAAACTTGTGATCAAAGAAGGTAATGAAGTTGAAAAGGCAAGAGTTGGATCTCTGAGTAAAAATAATTTCCCCTTGGAATCTGTGTGTGCATTTTCTAGGTATAAAAGTAGAGAGAAGGAATTCAGAAGTTTTTAAATAAACGTAGTTTCTCCTGCTCCCTTCTTTGCTATAGAATTAGAGCCTCAAATGGAGAAAGCCTCTAGAATGACTTGGACATTTCCATTTTTCTTAAATGACTTCATATCCCATTTTGATAGAAGAAAAAAGATGTTCCCCTTAAAGCATTTTCCCCTGGAAGTCATTCATCTTGGCCATTTCAGTAAGAGTCATCTTTCCCATTTCTCTGACCACCAAAAGCATCAAATCACACAACGGCTAGGGATGTGACACAATATATAAATTTGAGGCATACCTTGTGTCTCAGGTAAGGCACAACATAAGTGATCATTTGATAATGATCAAAATACAAGTTCATGAACAAGTTAACTATTTTAAGTAGAGCAGAGAAGTCTTCCCTATATCTTAAACATCTCAAGCTCTTCCAGTATGGATGGGTAGGGATGAAGTTATAGCTGTTGCCCTCAAACTGCTCATAAACCTCAGCTGATCTCTCTGCTAAAATGCCAGACATGTGAGGAGTCAAAGATTCTTGAATTGCAAGCAACAGTGTGTTTCAGTGAAACACACTTAAGAAAGGAATGGAGGGAAGGTGATTATGTCTCTCATGGAATTGAAGGAAATGCAGGCTCAGGAGAGGCTGCATATAGTCAACTATGGGACTGTAGAACTGTTCACTCAACATTGACCCACTTCTGGATTAAGGAGTCCTGTTTCTTTTATTGTTTTGTTTCCTTCTTGAATCATTCCTGCTAAATTTCAACCTGCCAAGAGAAAAGATCTGATTGGCCTAACATGGAGTCATATGTCAGCAATTTCCCATGGAAGACGGCACACCATGACCAGCTACCGTCAAGACCACACACGATGAAAGGAGATAGCATTCCACAAAGGAAATGGGATGCTGGTACCAAAGAGAAAGACCAAAAAGTAACAAATATTCACCATCATCATCTATCCTGTCAGTTAGAATGGAAAGGTTGAAGAGCATCCTGGATAAATGCGCCTGTCCTGCCACTCAAGCAAATACGTGCAAGCCTCCTTTCAGATGACACACAAGAATAAATGGCAAAAATACATACAACCGTTTGGGTTCAGCCTTACAGAGCCGTGATTTTGGCTACATCCTTTAGAATCTTTGGGCTCTCAGTTTCTTGTCTATAAAATTAATTTAGTAGCCTAAGTGACCCCTGGATTTTAAGAGTGTGGGTGCATATGTCTATATATCTCAGATTTGCCCTAATTACCGCTGGAATAAGACTGCACACATAAAATTTCCATTCATATCTTTCCGCAGAATGTGAATCATAGCAGGCACATACACATTTGTTCAGCAATAACTAAAGTGTCATTACCCGAAGAATGCTATCAGTGCCTTAGAACTCAGAACCGTAATACAGTTTGTAAGATCACAGAAGTCTTAATTTTCTGATCAGATTCCCTGTTAGTAGCAATGATTATTGCCAATAGAGTAAGGATAAAACAGGCCTGCATGTTAGGAATGTTTTAACCATTCCAAATGGTCTTATAGGTTGATGGGTCCCTAGCTGCTTTGTAATACTCTTGAATATTAAAATACTGCTTCAAAATACCTTATTTTCATTAACTCAGAAGACTGAAGCCAAGTGTATATATGGTCTGCATCTTTTGGCAGGCCAGGATTAGCTTAGTTGGAAAAAATACCTTCCAAGTATCACACTAACTTAAAATACACGTACGGCTTTATTCTCTCCATACCTTTCCCCTGTGTCACTCGGAGAACTTTGGAAATAAAGGTAGATTCTGCATGCCAAAAAAAACTCCCTACTTTCTATGTGTAAACTTTTATTTTGTTTGATTTTATCCAATTTTCCTCCCCATTCCCTGGTGATGGGTGCCATTTTCCTATGTCATCTCAAATAATATATGGGGGATTACCTGAATATAATTTGCTAGGCAAGTGAATGAAAAATGCTTTCATTTACATGATTAACTTTTAATTAACATTGTTAATTAACATTGATTTTTTAAAAAACTTTTTCAGCTGAAGTGTAACACTTAACATTGACCTTAACTTTTAAAATAAAAGCTAGGTGTTAAGAAAGCCCAGAGAAGTTGATGATTGATAACATGTATTATGATCTAGCTCCATGTGATCCGGGTAGAAGTTACGAAGTAATGTGCATTGTACCATATAAAACCCTAATGATGGTTAATGTTAGCTAATTAAGATGAACATTGAATGGAGCCAGCCTGGCTCATAGGGGTATTAACATCCCATTAGAGTCTAACAAAATATTATTTTAGTCAGAACTACATATGGTGAATCATTTTAGATTCTAAGACATATATTTGGAATCAAATTAGACACTAAAACCATATTCTAATCATTGTTGCCAATAGAGATAATGTTAAACACCTTCTTGAATTTAATGTTATACCACACAGTCTTTTTGTTTCATTTTGTTTTAATCTTAAACATAGAAGTATGCCATACTTTTATATATTACACCTAAGAAATCATGAATATTTGCCACCCCCAATTCTTTTAAACATCAGATATGTTTCATATTAACCCAGCTAACTGTAGTAAGGGTAATTCAAAACAGCCATTTCTATTGGCTACTGAAAACATCAGACTTTTCTATCTAGAATAATGTTCATTAATTTTCTTTTTTCTCTGGTAAAACATATTCAGGATGGATTTAAGCAGACATATCTGTGTGATGTGAGTAAGTCATTTTGCCTCTCTGGGACATAATGTCCTTGGCCTTCAGATGAAAGGATTGTACCATAAGGTCAAGGTGTCTTTAGGTCCCAAAATACTTCATTTTAATATATTTTTCATTTATTCAACATTTGAATGCCTAAGCATGTCTGTAGACAGTGGGAATACAGACATGAAGAAAGGTACTGTCTGATGAGTCAGACAGAAATATTTTTAAATTCCTATTTAGTTGGTAGGACTCAAATGAGGCAACACTCACTAAACTTGTCGGTTTGTTTGTCATGAAAAATACTTACATAAGGTATATATCCTCTAGCCTATTCTTTCTGTGCCCTCTAAGGAAAGAGGTTGAGAATTGGCAGGCCTGGGGCTGAATGCTTGTGTATCTGAGAAGCAGGACTGGCATATGGGCCCACAAAAAGTAACAGCTACTCTGCACCAGTTTCACAACCTAGGAATAATTATGTTTCTCAGGCAAAGTGTTCTGTGTAGTTAAATCATTTGAGCAGTATATTAAAACCCTATTTTTTTAAAGCAATCAAAGATATATAATACAGTCCAACATATGCATGGAATGTTAAGGTAAGAGATGCTGCTTTGCTGAGACTCTTCTGTAGCTTTGACAGGAGGCCTTGGCCCTCATGCCCTCTCCTCCATGACATGGGGTCTCTTTGGTGGTAGAGAATGGGGAATACTGATTAGTAATCTATTCCGTGCCCACCCCACCCTAGCACGCATGTGCACGTGCACACACACATGCGCACACACACACACATTTCGGTCTCTTCACTTCTCTGCACCTAATGCTCAGAGCAGCATCTCTACAGTAGGAACTCAATTATATGCTGAATGGATAAATACATACAGACCCTTGTGCTTATAAAGTAATGAGTGGTCTCATTTGTTTCTAAACAGTAGATACACAAGAAATGTTTGAGTTAAAACAATGCTTTTAATGATGCCATTAAAATATACATAAACATATTGATATGGAGGCCTCTTCCGTGGCAAATACTATAATATCCCTTGAACGAGACCCTCTGAAGGAAGATACCAGAAATATTTCTTATTTTATTTTTCTATTTATTGAAGTTGTGAAGGGAGAAAAGAATTAAAGTTGAATATTATATTCTCTTTAAATTTTAATACACACTGCATAAAACCAACCAGCTTCTGTGGAAGGATAAATCCTGTATTGTTAGACTGGTTGTGACGGTGACTGCAGGGGAGAGACAGGCCAGGGGAGGAGCCATTCATTCTACTTTAGGGTTGACAATTGTCAATGTCTAGGCCAAATCCAGCCTGGAGATATGTTTTATTTGGTCAACAATATATTTGGGTTTTAAAGTAGTTGCTACTATTTAAAAATGGGAAGATTTCTCAAAATACACTTTTCTGGCTTAAAGCCTAAAGAACAGGTAACAATGAATCCACATTCTTGTTGGGCCTGAATAGTGGCTGCCTCAGTGAGACAGGGCACCTACTCTCCTTGCCACAGCCCCAAAGAACTCTGCCCTAGGTTAATATCGAATTTCTTTAGGCATTTGAGTTTTCAAATCTGTCTTAGATGACCCTGTACCATTTGAACTTTTTTATTATCGATAAGAAAGTGGCATCTATTTTTGCAATTCATATCACTGAAGTGTGTTTAAGGCACAGAAAATTGAAGAATTATTTTCAAGCAAGTGACAAAGCAATTTGTGCAGTATAATTCAACTTTTCAAATATATATGAATATATATACATTTAATGTTTGTATACATGTGAAGCATATTTTACATTTTACATATATATATAAATGTGAAATGAAACCTTCAAATATGTATGTAAATATAGAAAAAAGACTGGAAGGATATATTCCAGAATATTAACAGTAGTCATAGTGATTCTCCACATGATGACATCTCAGAGGGCTTTTATTTTGAATTTTGGTTTTTTTCCATTTCCTATTTTTGCTTTTCTGTCTTTTCTACATTTCACACAATGAACAATGAATTGTTATCTTCTTGATAGGAAGGAGATTTTTTTAGATGGAGTTCAGCATGTGTGTGGTTCTCATTAGTTTCTGCATTTTTCTGGCTCCTTTGTAAGGAGTCTCTGCCCTGCATCTCATTGTAAGATCTGCCATTCGTGTTTACCTGCCAGCAGCACCCAGCTCTGTGTTTGTTTTTCTCCTCTGTGTACATACTGGTCTTTCCACTGCTCACATCCTGAGGTGGTTCACGTTGGAGTGACTGACAGTGAATCAAAATTAAAAACACCAGTTGGCATTAAAGGTCACTGCTTTATTAGAATTATTCATTCAAATACAATTAACTTACCCCTGCTCTGGGGAAAAAGGAAGAGTTTACTCCAGGGAGAAGGAAGGATCTAAAGGGTTCTCCATTTATAGCTTTTCTCCCATTCGAATTTTTTTTTCCCAACAACTTTATTGACATGACAGACAGCTTGAAACAAAGAAAGGGCAAAGAGTGGGAAGGTGTTTCCTTTGATACACACGAGGCAAGGCTAACTTCCTTATTTTGAACGCAGAATAAGGTTTGAGACAAGTGAGTTCTTAGAAAATCTTGTTCACACAGTGATCCACATAACACAGAACACTGAAGTTTTGTCGACCTTTTTTATCCTAGTAGGATGAAGCACACTGAAGGACCATGACTCACCCACCACTCAGGCAGCCCTGGTCAGCACCTAGGAAAGGTGGCTCTATCATTTTTGCATCATGGCTACTTTTGAAATTCTGATAGTGCTACAGGAATGTATACCATATGTACCTAAACCATTACAAACAAATTAGTGAGGCCTCTATTAGCATCCTCTCTAGAATTAAGAAATCCTGTCCTAGAGTAAGAACTCCTATCCTTATGATTCATTCATTCGTGTTCAGCTTTGGAGTCAAGACAACCTGGGCTTCAAATTCTGACATGGCCCTGGGCAAATTACTTAATCCCTCTAAGGCTATAGCCTTATCTCTGCATGAGGATAAAAATAGTACCTATTCAATGATTGTTTCAGGGATTAAATTAGAATCTGTAATGTTCTTCATTGCATACTTCAAATAAATGGAAGTATTGATAAATATTACTGTAATTATTCATTACCTGTGTCCTGACAGTTGTGCTAAGAGTTAGAAAGAAAATGTTATTTTAAAAAGTATGAGCCATGCCTTCAGGAAGCTTACGGTCTTCTCAAAGGATACCCCCAAAGAAGTAATGTAAGACGGCATGAAATCAATAGAAGGATAAAGTAGGCTATTGGTAGTCTGGGACTGGAGGTGGGTGAGAATGGGGAGTGACTGAATGGGCATAAGGGATCTTTTTTGGTGTGATGGAAATGTTCTAAAATTGGATTGAGATGATGACTGAACCATGCTGTAAATTTACTACAAATCATTGAACCATATATTTTAAATTGGTAGATTTTATGATATGATAGAAATCATACTTCAAAGCTATTGAAAGCACAGAACAGCATAATAGTTGTGTATGTAGATTTATACTTAGGGCAGTGGTTGGACAGAGGAAAGAATGACCTCCTAGTACAGAGGAGGGGGTGTGAAGCTGAGTCCCAAAAGGTAAGTAGCATTTGGCAGGGTGCATGGTGACATTCCAAGCAGAGAAAGTAACTATCAAGTCCCTCAGGCAAGTAGGATCAAAGTAATTTGTTGAATCAAAATAAATGTATTGACTATCCTTACATCCAAAATATCACTTCCTCCTTATACAATGCAGAATGCCTGATTTGTTACTATCCTCTCTTTCCAACCCCATCACAAGGTCTCCTTGACCCTAGAGAAAGTAAGGTAGACCTAAATTTGTAGATGTACCCACCTTCCTTTCAAGAAAAATAATAATTATTATTTTAAAAAAACATCATTGCCATGTATCTCTAAAGTCTGGTAGTCCAATTGTTATGACAGGCAATTTTAAATGTAAAAACTGCGATTTTAAATTGAATTTAATTTGAGGATGAGGAAACACATGAGAGTAGTGATTGTAGTGTTGTTTTCCATGTCCCACATAAGCAATTTTAGGAAAAAAAAAATAAGCCAAAAACATGGTCCTAGTACCCACTTCTCAGGGCCCCTTAGGATTTTCTCTGTGTGTACATGTGGAATAGAGAAAAGGCAGTGTAGCTTCATTTCTCAAAATGCTGAGTTCTCAAACTCACTTAGAGATAGTCTTGATGAATGGTAATTTTAGCTCATGAAAACCAGGGTTTAGCTAGGCCCTTAATGTCTTAGTAGGTTACAAGTAATTGTATCCTGCAAAAAAAAGAAATGAGTTTTGAATTTGCATGTCATTTGTACAAAAGAATCAAAGTATCAACCCAAGAATGCCTTGGGCTATATCCGTCAATCATTGACTAGAAAGCCAAGTGGCTGCAGATAATCACTCAGTATGTAAAGGGAAGAACCAGGGTTAGAACCCACTTTTGTGCCTCCCAGTCAGGGCCTCTCAGCACTGCACTGGAAGACCCATTAATGCCACAACATACAAACACTCCCAGGCCACCAGAGGTAATGAAAGACAGTCTTTAAACAGAATGGAAGGAGTTGCTATTGGTACCTGATCAAAGAAAGTGAAGTTTGGAAAACAGGTGAGGCATGTGTCTGAAACAGGACTGGTGCACCACCTCCACAAAGCCCAAGGTTTGTATGTTAGGTTGTGGATGTGTTTCAGAAGCTCTGTTCTCATGTTATCATTCCTGGGTATGTAATTTCATTCTTGAGACCAAAAGATTCCAAAGAGATGCAATCTCAGAGCTAAATGCATCCTTCATATTCCCGAAGACTCATAAAATGAAAGCTCATGATTGGTTGTACACTTGGCTTGAAATTAACGCTTAATTATGCTCACCTCATAGTCTTTGGAAGTTTTGGGTTTCTTTTAAGCTTTTCCTATTTCTGGTCCCAGGAACATAGCAAAGTTTGCCAGAGAAATAGACTTCCTATATGATTACAAATAATCAGAAAGCAGTGTGTGTTTTACTTTCCCTTAGAAAGAAACACTGCAGTCAGGTCAAGAATGGTGTCAAATAAACAACTTTACCGTTTTGAATTTTTTAAAAGCTGAGGCTCCAGATAAAACAACTGCCTCTTGCACACAATATTCCCTGTGATCATATGTCATGATTGATGACAAGTCAAAACACACTTTGTTTACTCAGCTTTAATGTGAATGTGGTGGTCAGGATCTTGTATGGTTCCGAATGTTATTAGATAAATAACGTCCATAAACGTGGTAAAGGTAGAGTTTTGTTTCCCAAACAATGGAATGTTTCCTTTCCACACTTTTTGGGGTCCATTTTTAAAAAGGAAATTCACAACCACTTTGTCTACTCAAAATGCTCGACTTTCTTCATTGAAGGCTTCTCAAAGTCATTACTAATCTATACTTGATTCATTTTATGTGGTCTAGGGAAGGGTTTCTCAACCTCAGCACTACTGACATTTGGGCTGGCTGGGTAGTTCTTTCTTCTGAAGGGCTGTCCTGTGCACTGTAGGTTGTTCAGCAGCATCCCTGGCCTCTACCTACCTTTTTTTTTTTTTTTTTTTTTTTTTTTGTGAGTTGGAATCTTGCTCTGTCATCCAGGCTGGAATGCAGTGGCGCCATCTCAGCTTACTGCAACCTCCGCCTCTCGGGTTCAAGCGATTCTCCTATCTCAGCCTTCCGAGTAGCTGGGACTACAGGCGCATGCCAACATGCCTAACTTTTGTATTTTTAGTAGAGATGGGGTTTCACCATATTGGCCAGGCTGGTCTCAAACTCCTCACCTCGTGATCTGCCCACCTCAGCCTCCCAAAGTGCTGGGATTACAGATGTGAGCCCCTGCACCCGGCCATCTACCTACTATTAATAGATGCCAGTAAAACCCCCTAAGGCATGACAACCAAAAATGTCTTCAGAGATTTCCAAATATCCCCTGGGAAGCAAAGTCACCCAGGAGCTGTGAACCGCTGGTCTAGTTTTTTGAATATGGCATGAAGGTAAAGTATTCAGGGCCAACTAAATTTTATTAGATAAATAAGATTATTCACTACAATAGCATCATATAAAAGATTAATTATAACAAGAACTTAAATATCTTGAACAATACTGATTGTTTTAAACAAGTGAAATTGAATTACGTGGCCATTAAAAAAAAGAGGCAATCCTTAGTATTCCCATCAGTCTTGAGTGAGCAATATGGCATTTTCCAAGTAAAAATCCAGAATTTCTTTTTTCTTTCTTTCTCTGCATATTCCTATGGCATGCTGAAAGGAACAATCGCCTTCCATTTTTTTTTCCAGGAAATACTGCACCAACTCCATGGGAAAACACAAGTGAGTTTTTGTTTTTTTTTTCTTGCTGACTAAAACATTCCCCTGAGAAATTTCAGTCTTTTTTTTATACCACTATAGTTTATCCTTGGCCTTTCCGCAAACATATTTTAAGAAATTCTTTGCATATTCGTCTTCACTGGCGCTTCTGGTGTTATAATGAGGCATTTGTTATAAACATTAGTGACCATAATCAGATTTTAGTTTGAAATCTTATATCGGCAAACTTATGTAGGAAAGAGTAGAAGTGCAGACAACATTACTGAAGAAACAGTTAATACAATTTAAATAAAAAGGTTTATGGCTAATTTCAACTCATTTAGTGAATTGTAATCATATGATTACCTATAGAACCTCCATAGTATGATATTTGAAAGATCAAAGTTAGTGAAAAGTCAGCATGTAATTAGTTTCTTGCTTTGGAGCATTAGGTAGAATTACTGCAAAGAGGCAAAACTATCATTTTATAGAGACCCTTAGGAGATTTATAACGATGGTAGACAAATATATGCATACAATATCAGATGGTGTGCTAAAATTTAATTTTCATGAGAAAATGTGGTTGAAGATGATCACAATACGTGGGGATGTTCTTATTTTAATATTGGTGGATGTTATTAGAGAATCATATCAAAAGATATGTCACCAGGGAGAAAATATCATTTATAAATCACTAATGAGTAGCAAACAGTGTTTAGCTTGGAGGTATAAGGCATCTCTTCACAATGTGCATTTATGATCAAACACAAAAGATCAAGTGCAGAAAGAATAGTAGATCTATATTTTATCTCATTCTGCTAAGGAATATTTTTCTATACTTAGAGTTTCAGTGCCTACACTGTGTTTCCTGTTCATCAGAGAAGACTCTGCAATTAGAAAAGGATTTTTATGATGTCTAATTTGGAACTTAGCTAGTAAGATAATACATGACTGTACAGATTATGTATTGTATAGATTTTATTTATGTCTTTAGAGTAAGACATAGTTGTGCAGTCAGTTTATCCAGGAGAAAACGCCAGGAAATCTCATGGCTGACAACAGACATCCTCTGGGGACATTTTGAGATTTCTTGCCTTTAAATATAAGGTAAATTCAAATGGTTCTCAAGCTGTAGAGTGTAGTTCTTTGGGCCTTTAATCATCCATCTTTTCACTGTGTTAGGGTCCATCTAAAATCATTTCCTAAGAAAAATCCTAGGCATGGTCCCAGGTAAATGCAGGACTCTGAATACCTCTGAGCAGCAGGTGAATCATCTTCAGGAAAATTATGAGACCTTCTTAAGTACCCTATTCTTTAATGAGATGATATCAACCCATTTTTCCTCAGCTTAACAAACTCTTAAAATGTATGTCTCCAAACCTACCTAGAAACCTAGATGAACCACCGTCCGGGCCAACAGTTACCTTGAACCATTTTTTAATGATGCATATGTGGTTCATCCATTTTTCTGGAATACCTCATATTTGCCTCTGATCATTGGAAAGCTATGACCCTAAATCACATTGCTCTTGGGTACAATGCCATCTTACTGTACTGAAGACAGGGACAAGCTAGAGCCTTGAGAAATGTTTTGTTACGCCTGTTACATAGACCTTGTTGTTCATGTTACTAAGCACCTTCTTTATGAAAACACTTGGAGGCTTTTCTTTCTTGTCTTAGTATCAAGAACATTGCCCCTGCTAAAGAGCTGATTTGTGTTTATCTCATGGAGAATGTCATGTTCTGCTATTGATGTTAACTGCCAAGAATTTTATAATCAGATTTGTCATCCACATTGTGAAAGAATGTACATTTGTGGGTGTGGTGGCATGCACCTGTAATCCCAGCTACTCAGGAGGCTGAGGTAGGAGAATTGCTTGAACCTGGGAGGCAGAGGTTGCAGTGAGCCGAGATCGCACCACTGTACTCCAGTCCAGGCAACAGAGTGAGACTCTCTCTCTCAAAAAAAAAAAAATTAATTAATTAAAAAAAGAAAGTCAGAGGGCACGTGCTCTATATTGCAGGTGTTGGGTTGTGATCAAGAAGCTTCATGCATAGGCAATCCCCAAATTAAACATCATAAAAATCCTTTTCTAAGGGTGGACATTCGTGATGATGAACATTTGTAGTTCAACTCTACTTCTCCATTTCATCTAATGTCACTGCCCATATTGTTTCTTTTTCTCATCTTTCATATTTCTATCTTCTCTTACTGTATAGTATGGCTTTGTAAGTCATTTAAAATCTTTCTGGTAACGAAACAGAGACAATAAATAAAATGACTATAGTCTACAGAACTTACAGTCTAGTTATTTCACATTAATAAGTTGGCAGGTCTTCAGGGAAATCAGATAGGCAGATTCTCATATTTTCTATGTGTTTTTTCCCATGAAATTCTTGGGATTCCTTCAGAAGGTACTGCACCACTAGTTCAGGCGACTGTTGACTATGCTAGGCTGTCTCAATAGAAAAAGGATAAAGGAGAACTGGAAATATTAAGAAGGTAAGAATTCAAAGAGCAGACCAGGATATTCATAGGAATGTCATGGAAGCCTGCAGGCACGGAGATAAGAGATAAGAATATACAATATCAGCAGTGTAGAAATTTCAGATGGAGGAAGCGGTACAGAGCAGTATCTTATTTATTACCAGCCAGATTCTGTTTTGTTGCTGTGGAGAATCACCAGACATCCTTAAATTAATACCTGCTGCTAGTCACTCTGGGAGATCTTAGAGTTGCCTATGCATGAAGCTTCTTTATCACAACCCAACACCTGCTATATAGAGCATGTGCCCTCTGACTTTTTTTTTTCTTTTTCAGAGGGAGTCTCACTCTGTCGCCCAGGCTGGAGTGCCGTGGTGTGATCTCAGCTCACTGCAACTTCCACCTCCCAAGTTCGAGCGACTCTCCCGCCTCAGCCTCCTGAGTACCTGGGATTACAGGCACATGCCACCACGCCCAGCTAATTTTTTTTTTTTTTTTTTTTGGTAGAGACGGGGTTTCACCATGTTGGCCAGGCCAGCCTCGAACTCCTGACCTCAAGTGTTTTTCCCACCTCGTCCCCCCAAAATACTGTGATTACAGGCATGAGCCACCGCACCCAGCTGCCCTCCGATATTTGAATTAGGTTCACAAAACCCCTTGTTAGTTTGGTTGGCCCACAACACATTCTTGCATATGGTTTTTTCCCCTCAAATAGTACTTGCTTTTGTTCTATTTCCATTTAAAGTTCTCTGACATAAGGTTGATTATTTCTCTGGGCTTCCCCTAAAGTTCTGCTAAAATAAATTCCATTTACTCCATATCACTATATTTGAAGTCAGAAAGCATGTCAAAAACTTTGTTAAACTTAGCAAAAATTATTATATATTCTCTCAGCTTTCTAATTTGAAAAAGACAAAAGTGATTCGCTACAATAGATTGACCCAAATATAATAGGCAGGGTTGGATATTGTCTCAAATGTCCTTGTAAAAGAATGAGAAGTTCTTTATTGGAGTTGTTTAGGAAAAAGGCAAGTGATGGGTGAAAAGGTGTTCTGATGGAATTGTCTGTACTTTTAGAGCCAAGGTAAGTAGTATGTTTAGTAAAACAATGAATATTTTTAGGGTAAACAAGTTTTAATGTAATCATTTAAAAATTTCCCAACTGTTGGAAAATTAATCTGTGCTCTTAGAGGTCAGAATAGAAGTTCCCTTGAGGTTGGGGGTGGATAGTGAATAGAGCTGGAAGGGGGATTCTGGGATCATGAGAATGTTCTGTTTCTTAATCTGGGTACTGATTTAAGGATGTGTTAAGTTTGCAAATTTGTTGTACTTTTGTGTATGTACAAAGGAGTTTTACAAAGTTCCTGTTGGAAAGCCAGGAGAAATAGACAATCTTGTGATTGCTGGTGAGATTGTCCATTCAAATAACCCCTATGGAAGCAATCTGGCAATATCTATCAAAATTATAAATGCATGTATCCTTTGATCTAAATAATTTTCCTTTTTGGACTTTGTCCTAGTTGCACACATGGAAAATGATATGTAAATAAGAATCATTGCAGTTATTGTCTGTGATAGCAAAAAAAGAAAAAGAAACAACCTAAATGGCCATTAGTAGGACCAGTTAAATTAAAAAGGGAGCTGGGCATGGTGGTGCACACCTGTAGTCACAGCTACTCAGGTAGCTGAGAGTAGGAGCTTGAGCCCAGGAGTTCAAATCCAGCCTTGGCCACATAGCAAGACCCCTGTCTCATAAAATAATGATACAGCTATGTAATGAGCTGTTATATCAATGTTTAAAATTTTTAAGGTTAAATAAGAAACTTCTCAAGAACTGACTAGAAAAATCCCAAGGCATGTTGAATGAACTAAAAAAAAAAATGTTTAAGCAAGAGAGAATTAGAACATGTGTTTTTAAAGGAAGGGAATTATGTATTTATATTTACGTATATTCAAGGGCACACAAGCAAATGAGGTGACCTTATTAGTAACCTATCTTTTTTGTTATTTTTGAACCACTACATAAATTTCCTTTTCAAAATAATTTAATTAAAAATAATGATAATGTTAAAAAAAATAGACTGACTCCAAATGTGGTGAAATTGATATTGCAAGGTTTTTATTGCTACTCAATATGGAAAAAAATTGCAAACTATCTTTTTTTTTTTTTTTGGAGATGGAATCTCACTCCGTAGCCCAGGCTGGAGTGCAAATGGCCTGATCTCGGCTCACTGCAACCTCTGCCTCCCAGGTTCAAGTGATTCTCCTGCCTCAGCTTCCTGAGTAGCTGGGATTACAGCCACCCACCACTGCACCCAGTTAATTTTTGTATTTTTATTAGAGACGGGGTTTTGCCATGTTGGCCACGCTGGTTTCGAACTCCTGACCATGGGTGATCCACCTGCCTTGGCCTCCCAAGCCACTAACTTTTTAAAAGTTATTACCCACAGCTTAACCTTCACTGAAGTGAGCCATGAGTCAAAAGCCCTTGGAATCCCACCAGCCTCTTTCCATATTATCTAGATTCTGTTTCAGAAACCCAGGAAGGGGAGAGATGCTGGTTTCTTATTACAAAGGGTTCATCTTCCATGCCACGAGAATATGCTTGAGTTCTGAGTTCCCTGCTCTGGGTTCTCCCTTCTTTTCTCTTTGGCTCACTCTGGCCTTGGATGTATGAATGAGAAGCTGATACTATAAAATATCTTTATTCCTGCTTATATAATGACATAACTCCTTTTCACACTGTCATGTTAGTGGTGGAACAGACCCACGAAGAGATGATGGTAAGCATAGAGCCCATTTTCCTCAAACCTGGAGAAGATTGAGGCTCTGATAACTTTCCCAAGGTCACACAATTGCAATGGCACCCAGAACATGAATCCAGGTTTCATGACTCAAAGTAGATCATTGTATGTGCAGCAATCCTAGTTCCCTTAGATGAAAACTGGATTTGCTAGAGGTACACCTTTATGCGCTAACTATGGAAACCTTTTCAATACCATTCTTACTCGTGATGATATAATTGTGAATATCTTAATCGGAATTCTGTTCTCTCTTGAGTCAGCGGCCTACCAGAAGTTTCATGGATTTGTGCCATTATAAATTCCTGGAGGCAAGCTAAAGAAGTGCAAATGGAATTCTGAGCCAACTGATGGAGGCTATGTATAAAATTGAGAAGAGGGAAGGAGAATGAGGTCAATCTCAGAAGGAAAGTGAGTTGTACATAGTACATGAAGACCTGATATTTTTGCGATACCTTAGAAAACTGTAATTTTGGGCACACTGTGATAAATAGTCTTCATCTCTCATGACAACGTTGATTGCATCATTCTTGTAGCTGAAGGTCATTGTTAAGGGTTTTGAGTTTGCATCTAGCTACAGGTGGAAAGAGTACCATGATAGATAATGATGTCTGTCACGTGCATAGTCTCAGGGTGTGGCTGAGACCAGCTGCATCAGAATCTACCTTTATTTCGCCAACTTTCAGCATGTATTATTTCTCAAGCACTGATGACATAATTACATTTAAGATACCTTACTATCTTGCAGGGAGGGCAGACACTCAAAAAAAAAATCTAAGAAATTCCAATTAGATCCTAAGTTAGATCTTCTGCAACTTATATATGATTTTTCACTTTTTCTTTGAAATTAAAAGAGCAAGTCACTGCCATCATCAGTTCAATCAAACTATTTCAATCCAACCTATTTACTGAAGACAATTCAGGAGCTTGGCATGCCAAGCAAGCCGATCCACCAGTTGTTTCAAAGTCTACGTAGACTCTTTTTTGGAATGAAACGTATTCCCCTCCTTTGTCTCCAATGTCTCCCTCTTCCTCTTGTTTCCCCACCATGCAAATCTCAGACTCTGTATCACAGAGCTAAGTTTTATCAGAAACTCCACATTTAAGGATTGCGGCATGTGGTTCCCTAAAATAGAAAGCTTTGTGACCTTTTTCAAAATCCTCCCCATTCCATATATCCTTCCCAGATACACAGCCCATTCTTTCTGTGGAAGGGAACACTGTAAAGAATGCACAGCCAGCAAGAGGCTTTGGAGCCCAGCAGGGTCCTGGTGGAGGCATGCATATACATGGAATCAGGGGCGAACCGGATGGACCGTCTCTCCCAGTGAGTGAAAGTCTTAAACCGAGATTAACCTTGAAGCTCAAATTAGATAAAAACAAATAGAAATTTCTCCACAGGAATAAGAGCTTAATATAAAGGAAAAGTATTGGTAGCCCACATAACTTTAATTAAGATGAAAGGGTTTCCGAGTATCTGCTTCCTCGACAATCTTATGTTTAAAGATGTGTGTTGAGCTCAGCATGAAGGAACTAGTCTATGCAGCTCATTATTCACGTTTACAAGGGCCTACTTTGGGAGCTTTTTGTAAAGCTCTGACGTTCACTTCCAATTTTCTCTCCAAGCATGCCTTTCTCTAGGCCTTTGTTA
The DNA here is from genome assembly GCF_000001405.40 of Homo sapiens. NCBI lineage: Eukaryota > Metazoa > Chordata > Mammalia > Primates > Hominidae > Homo > Homo sapiens. The sequence goes on from NC_000003.12 coordinate 70,749,176, forward strand.
CAGTCTTGAGGAATCTGTCGACCTCTTTATCACAAGGTGGGCACACCTTACAGCTGAGACACCCCCTTCCAGTTGAAGGAAGACATCAACAGAAACAGAGACACCAACTTTTCCCCAGTGGCTGCAGCCACGTGTCAGAGAGCAGTGGTGGCCAGCTGGTTGTGCAATTTCTCACACAGAATTCATTGAGACAAGTTTTAAGACAAGTTATTATTTTTTTTTGATAGGGAAAATCGAGTAGGCAGAAGCTGCACAAGGAATAAAACAGACACATAAACACACTGAAAGACAAGAAAAACCCACTGAAGTTGTTAAAAGACTGAAATTTTTCTCTGTTTGTCTTAGAGATACAGTTCTGATGCTTGAGGTAAGCATCCTTCCATTTTCTTGTGTGCTTTTAAACCCTGGTTAGATATCAGTATTTTTCAGGAAACTTTGTTGGGAACAGATGCTCAACGGGTATCTCTGGAGCATTAAGAATAGCAGTTAAGTGCACGGATGTCAGCATCCCAGATGTGCAGGGAGTTGGTCCCACAAGTTGCTGACGGTGTGATGGTGCGTTCTCTTGACCTCCATTTCTAATCTGTAAACTGGAGAATTATAGTAGCACTTAGTCATTCTGGGAGGACTAAATTAGGTAATACTGTACCTATAAAACCCATATGTGCCTGACTCATAATAAGCATTTAAATAAATGCTAGCTACTTCATTATATCATTAAAGAGAACAGATGTCCACAAAACACATATACATGAAATATTTTCTGATGGTTTCAGTTCACTCATACTAGGTAGGATCTTAGGTAAACTATTTAATGTCCCAATGCCTCAGTTTATAATCTGTAAAATGGGGATGATATTTACCTGCCTTAGGAGTTGTTGGGAAGATGAAGAGAGACAATATAGAGAGAAACTATCTAGTATAATGCCTTGCAATAAGAAGATTTTAATGAACGTGAGACATTAACAGTTACTACTTAAAGTCTGTCTAGCATGTTTTAGATAAGTGCTGTCCTTGGGAATCCAGGATGTGAGTGATAACTCTGTGTTATTGCCTCATGGATTCAGCTAAAGTGGATCTACAAAATGTAGGGAATGTACTCTATGCAGAATAAAAGATCAAAAACCATAATATTTGCCCAACTGATCTTTTGTTATTAAAAAAGTGGGAGGTCTATATCCAAATTTTAAAAGCTTGAAAAATAATACATACCACCTCCTCCAATCCCACTGAGCCTTTAGTCCTTTGAGGATTCACAATGGCAGTTTTTGTTTTTGTTTTAAGCAAAGATAGTTCATAGTAAAGAAGCATGTGGAACTTGATTTCTACCTAGGTTTTCTAGTCTTAACCATGAACCCATTTTCCCCACAGTACTTACTACTCATGGTGACTGGTTGAAACATACCCTAGTAGAAGAATATAATCAGAATATTATAAGAATATAATCAGAAATAAAATGCTCTAATGAATTAAAATCAGATGATCATTTCTGAACCTGGAGAAGCAGCAATTTCTCACAACTTTTTGTGAATTAATATCCTGCAGAATTACTCCTCAAAGCACTGGTTGTATAAAACAAATTGACACTCAAACATATCTTGCTTGCATCAGCAAGGATAAAAAATACTCATCAATTTAGCAGAAACCTAAGATGACTGAGTGATCCAATCTAGAGGACCCCTCCCTAAGGCAGAATAGCAAACTCAGATTCCTAGAGGGGCCAGGTAACACTAAGAGTCAAAACTGCTGGATAATTTCATAGCAAACATGTCAGAACAGTCCCTATTTCCTTTTTTAAAAAATGTCTCCCATTTTCTTAAAGCACCGAGTCTTCTGTTTTCCTACTTTTGAGCAGGAGATTTCTGATCTTGGCTGCATCCAATTCTCCATCAGCCAGGAAAGACGTTGGTGTTAAGGTTGACATACCTGTCAAGGACGATAACTACCATGGCTTCCAGTGCTTTAACAAAACCTCAGATGCATGGACTTTGGGCCAAGCATCTGCGATTTCATATTATTGGAGTATTTGTTGTATCCCTGGGGGTTGTAGCTCTCTTTAAGTTTGCTGTGGCTGAACCAAGAAAGAAGGCATACACAGATTTCTGCAGAAATTATGATTCCATGAAAGATTTTGAGGAGATGAGGAAGGCTGGTATCTTTCAGAGGACAAAGTGATTTGGGAATATAAAGAAAGTCTTTGGGTTGAGTTACATAGAATTTTGTCACTGACCTGTGTTCCTGAACTATGAAACATGACTATGTAAACTAAGAAATTGTTTCTCTTGATTAAAAAAAAAGAGAGATTTCCAATCTTAGGAAAGATTGCACAATTGCAATGATAAATTGCAACTGATACTTCTTTACACTGCAGGAAGACAGTAAGAAGGGGCAGGGACAGTAGTAAACTGGAGAGAAATATTCCATCTAACTGGGGATACAGCCTCTTAAAGCTAGCTAGCTAATTGATACCCAAGACTGTGTGCCCAGTATTGCCAGAATTTGAATGTTTAGAGCAAATCTGATATTAAACATTTTAGTCTGAAACTTCCCTGCTTTTACACATTTTCTGAAATTGTTCAATATGCACCCACAATTAGCGTGTCCAGGTAGCTGGTTTATAATCATTTCCCATGGGTATGGGAGAGTTGGAGAATGTTCTGACGGAATTTCAAGGTACCAGATATACATAAGAAACGATGTCCATCATGAATCCGGGTAGATTTCATCATTTGAGTCTCTTCAAATCCAGATCAGTATCCCTAAACGTGTTCTGCATTTTCACGATATATTCAAGGAAGAAGGAATTGCAGGTCTGATTTGTGGCAGGATGTATTAAAGTGCTAGAGTCCCTTGAGAGTATTAGAGCCCTTGGGAGTGACTAGCTTATTCACGCATACCAATAATATATACTTAGGGCCTCCTTATGCCAAGCACCATTCTAGAATCTGGGCATACGTCAGGCAACAAGACAAATCAGTCTCTTTTTTTTCCACAGGACTTGGGCCCTAGTAGCCAGTCCACAGACAAGTGACTCCTTCATTTGTAAAAACAGGAGAGTCATCATAATTAGCATGGGTGGGAAGACAGTAATATGTCTTATGTGATGCATACTATAAGGAAATACAAGGCAGGGTAGCGGGGTGGGAAGTGACAGGACTAGAGAGAAAGTGGAATAAAGAATAGCTAAGTCTCTCTGGCGGAGGGGAAAAGGAAAAGCGCCAAAACTCTACTGAGACACAGAAAACACAGTATGACCAGGTCAAATGGGAACCTAACACGTACCAAATCCTTTCCATGTGCCAAACACTGTGCTGTAAGCTTTGCTTGGATGAATCCATTTCATCTGCACAGCCACCCTAGGAGATCAGTTCTTTGATCATCCCCTTTTAACAGATGTATTAGTCTGTTCTCACACTGCTATAAAGAACTACCTGAGACTGGATAATTTTTGAAGAAAAGAGGTTTAATTGACTCACAGTTTCACAGGCTATATAGGAAGTATGACTGGGAAGCCTCAGTAAACTTACAATCATGGCGGAAGGTGAAGGGGAAGCAAGTACGTCTTGCCATGGTGGAGCAGGAGAGAAATAAAGTGAAGCACACACTTTCGGACAACCAGATCTCATGAGAACTCACAGTCACCAGTACAGCCAGGGGGAAGTCTGCCCCCATGATTCAATCACCTCTACCAGGTCCCTCTCCTGACATGTAAGGATTACACTTTGAGATGAGATTTGGGTAGGGACACAACAAAACCACATCAACAGATGAGGAAATAGAGGGCCGAAGAGGCTGAGTCCTTGCCCTCTGTCACAGAGCTCCTGAGGAATGCCACTGGGGTCTACTCAGGCAGCCTGAACCAGTCTTTGGTTCTGAACTCCATCTAGTTTTCCATTTGCTTACTGGGGTGTAGTGGAGTGGGTCAGGGCTTGCTTTAGAAGAGGAAGAGGCAGTCAAGAAAACCTGTGACATTACTTGACTACTCTAGCCTTGACTCTGAGCTCTCACCCAGACCCTTCCTCATCAGCATACATACACAGAAGAAAAATGAGAAAATGCATTTTGCTTTCAAAAGGGAATGTAGTATCATAAATACAAAATACAAATGAAGAATAAAAGTTTCTAGTTATTTCTTTGGGAGGCTGAGGCGGGCGGATCACGAGGTCAGGAGATCAAGACCACCCTGGCTAACACGGTGAAAAACCCGTCTCTACTAAAAATACAAAAAATTACCCGGGCATAGTGGCAGGCGGCTGTAGTCCCAGCTACTTGAGAGGTTGAGGCAGGAGAATGGCGTGAACCCGGGAGGCAGAGCTTTCAGTGAGACAAGATCACGCCACTGAACTCCAGCCTGGGTGACACAGCGAGACTCCGTCTCAAAAAAAAAAAAAAAAAAAAAAAAAAGTTTCTAGTTATTTCCATTATATGACATTTTGGGCTTGATTTTTTTTTCAATTTATTCCATACCCATTAAAATCCTACTCCAATTCCTTCTATTGTTAATGAGCAAATAAAGGAATTTGCTGTTGTCATGTACTAAGCTTTTACTTCGTACACTTGGGACAGACAGATTGGAGAGAGTGAGGAGGCTCCCTCTAGCTTCCATTAGAGATGGCGCTGAGGCAAGTGAGCTGGACAGGCACTGGGTTCCTGTGTGCCTCACTGAGGAAAAATAAACATGGGCAAAGGAGATCCTATGACACCAAGAGGTGAATGTCATTATACGTGTTCTTTGTGTAAACTTGTCAAAAGGAGCTCAAGAAGCAGCACCCAGGTGCTTCAGCCAACTCCTCCTTACAGTTTTCTAAGATACACTCAGAGAGGTGGAAGACCATGTCTGCTAAGGTGAAAGGAAAATTTGAAGACACAGCAAAGGCAGACGAGGCCCATTATTTAATTAAAAAGAAAACAACTATATTTCTTCTAAAGGAGAAACAAAAAAGTTCAAGGATTCCAATGCACCCCAGAAGCCTCCTTTGGCCTTTTTCTCCTTCTGTTCTGAGTATTGCCCCAAAAGCAAAGGAGAACATCCCAGCCTATCCATTGGTGATGCTGCAAGGAAACTGATAGAGATGTAGAGTAACACTGCTGCAGATGGCAAGCAACCTCATGAAAAGGTGCAGCTAGGCATTGTGGCACATGCCTGTAATGGTGCACTTTGGGAGGCTGTGGCAGGGGGACTGCTAAGGCTAGGAGTTCAAGACCATCCTGGACAATATAACAAGACCCCATCTCTATGAAAAAAAAATTTAATGAAAATAAAGGCTGCCAAGCTGAAGGAAAAATAAGAAAAGGATATTGCTACATACCAAGCTAAAGGAAAGCCTGATGCAACAAAAAATTGACTCATCAAGGCAGAGAAAAGCAAGAAAAAGAAGAGGAAGATGAAGATGATGAATAAGTTGGCCCTAGCAGTTTTTTTCCTTGTCTATAAAGCATTGTACCTCCCTACACACTACTCATTCTTTTTAAAGGAAAACATTAAAATAAAAGGCTGTGTAAGGTTTGTTTTTAAATTGCAAAGTGTCTTTTGTAGAGGTGGCACACTAGGAAATGTGTCTTTAGATAGCCCCAGTGCCAGTGGCATTTTCAGTAGCCACTAACCTTGCCTGGTGTAGTATGGGGTTGCAAATTGGCAAGGAAGACTAAAACAGGTTCTCGTTGGTGCACAGCACAAATTTGTTATATACGGGGATGACAGTTTTTTCATCTTCAATTGTCTCTGATGCAATTTACACGAAACAATTGTCACTCTGTGACCTGAATACCACTCTGTAATTGCAAAAAAAGATGCAGCTGTTTTGTTGACATCCTTAATGCTTCAAGTAAATACAATGTTTTATTTAGAATAAATAAAAAATTGGAACAGGGTATAGAAATTTCAAAGCATGTGACATTTTGTGTCAGATTCTAATCCTGGTCATCTCACTGCTTCTTTTCTAATTTCCTTACCTTCTCACTTTGCTCATCACTCGGCTTAGAATTCGGTTCCTAATAAGTGCTCAATAAAAGTTAAACTGAGCAGGTGAACCTGTACTCCTTATTTGTTCCTTGGTACATTTGTCAGTGCGCTTGCGTGAGTGTTTCCAAAATACTTAGTGATCTTCAGATCAAATCATTCTCTAAGTACAAGGGGGTTGTTATTTATAATACTCAGCCTATGGAATGGTGTTGCGGTAAAAAAAATTTTCCCACAGAGCAGAGTAGAATGAACTTTTTATTCACTTTGTGCAAAAAGCCAAAATTAACATCTTTTTGCTTTTTTGCATTTAGTGTCGAATATTTAATTCAGCCCTACGTTGGGAGTTTTTAGGATTTTTAAAAATCATTTGTTGAACTAAGGGCTTCACTGCTCCCGTGAAGTCCATCATTTCCTGGTATTAGATACAGCTTTTCATTTAATTAATTTTAATACAGTAATTTATTTTTATATTTTCCTCTAATCTTGTCAACCCAATGTGGATTTTGCTTTTAATAAAGTACAGGGTAAGCTACTTAAAGTGAACTAATTGGGCAAAGCCTGGCTTGTCCATCTGATCAGAACGGACACTTGAAAGGAGGTGGGGCTGGCGGGGGCACAGACAGCAAAAGAGAAGAAAACTCATGCTCAGAGCCCGTGGGGCAGAGGCTGCAAAGTGGTTAGAACTTGCCAGCACACAGAGGGTATAATCGGACTGTGTAGGACCCCAGGAGAGTTCAGAAAATTGATTTCCTTTATGGCTCCAGCAGCAGCCCTAGCTCTCATGAGACAGAAAAAAATATTCTGAGTTTTTGAAAGTGGATTGTAATCCATTACGCAGTCCTGTAATTCCTATGGAATTCTTCCTATAGCTCTGTCCTTTGGCAAGAATGCTCATGTGTATAAGCATGTGCACACTTTCATCAGCACTCTTAGTTTTTACAGACCTTTATTTTCTATGAGCAAACTACAGTTTTGTTTTCAAAGAATCCTGCATTCCACTCAGTTCTACACCCATCTTGACTGTATAATCACGGGCCAGGCTCATACTAGACACGGGGTGCAGGGATTTTAAACATGAAAGGCAGCCCGGCCGGGCAGGGTGGCTCACGCCTGTAATCCCAGCACTTTGGGAGGTCGAGGTGGGTGGATCACGAGGTCAGGAGATCGAGACCATCCTGGCTAACACGGTGAAACCCAATCTCTACTAAGAATACAAAAAATTAGCCGGGCGTGGTGGTGGGTGCCTGTAGTCCCAGCTATTCAGGAGGCTGAAGCAGGAGAATGGCGTGAACCCAGGAGGTGGAGCTTGCAGTGAGCTGAGATCATGCCACTGGACTCCAGCTCAGGTGACAGAGCGAGACTCTGTCTCAAAAAAAAAAAAAAAGAAAGAAAGAAAGGTAGCCCTTGCCCTACCAGAGGCTACCCTCTATTGAAGTAAGAGCCTGAAGAAACCCTCTAACCCTCCTTGAGCTGGGTTAGGACTAGTTACTTTGGAAACCATAAAGGTTCCCCATCAAATTGATTCTATGCCCAATTAGACTAGTGAGATGTAGTGATGAAGGTCCCCAGTTCTGAAACTAGGCTGCTTGGGTTTGAATTCTGGATCTGCCATTGACTTGGGATCATATGGTTTTCCTGCCTACAAAATGCAGATGTAACTGCAGCAGCCTTACAGTGTTCTTAGAGGACTATATGAGAGTACATCAAGGGTTTCGTGGGATTCACATGTGGTAAGTACCATGTGCTAATGCTGAATATTTATCAGACTCTTCTGGTTGCAAGCAACAGAAACTCAAACTGGCTTAGGCAACAAGGGGTTAAATTCACTCAATGTAAAAATGCAAAGGCAGAAATGAATGCAGGTGTGCAACTCATTTCTTCAGATCCTCTCTCTCCCTGACTCCCCTGTGCATCCAGCCTTTCTCTGTGTTGGCTTCCTTTTCAGGAAAGTTCCCTCCCTGTGTCCCCCAACAACCCAGCTGCCAGTATCATCTCCAGTGGAAAAGAGAGATTCTCCTTTGCCATAGCCCTGACAACACTCACAGGACCATGTTTCATTGTACAGGCTTGAGACACAGGCACATCTCTGGAACCTTCATTGTGAGTTCTGTGCTTCTCAAGGCAGACCTACATCACATGTCACGTCACCCAGGCGCAAGGAGGCAAAGGATCCTTGGATAGAGAGTAGGAGAGTGGTGACCACCTAAATATAAAAATGATCTGTTACTGAAAGATAGTGGACAGACACTGGGCCAAGAAATCATAATGATTGCTATGCGTGCTAGACTAAGATGCTTGAACTGATGTGTCCCACTCCATTGCTGTCTGGTGCACTAAGCAGTAACAAAGTGCATTCACCACAGGGGCAAGCCTTGTTTTCTTCAAGTACTTTTTATTATGGAATATGTAATTGGCTTGTTTAAATGGCTTTTATTAAAATACGCATATACGTCTCTAAACCCCAACTGTTCACACAATATCTGCACCTCCTTTCTGGTTTTTGAAAGCAGTTTAGCCTAGAGGCCATGCATTGACCAAGGTAGCTGTTGCTTTAGAGATATGGGCACATCTTTTCTCTGGCCACTCCCTATGGGAGCCTACCCCAACCCTAATTTTTCTGAGCCCTGCCTTCTACCCCTCTGGGGAGAATTCTCGTCGTTATTCTTCTTCACCTGCTCAGGAGCTTGGCTTCAGTCTCCTCCCATGCTGCTTCAGATATGCAATGTAAACACTGATTTTAACAAGAAAACTTCCTCCTAGGGAAGTCCTCCAAGTTTATCCACATGTGCACTGTGTTGCTTGCTAAAACCCTAGAGAAAATTACAGGAGGCTCATGTAGGTTAAAGGGAGGCAGAAGTGATGAGAGCATGGCATTGGAGCAGTTGGCATGGGAGTGTCAGAGATGAGAGTGCAGACCTGGGACAAGCCTATAAAGAGAGAATAGATGCATGAGGGGACCATGCTTGAGACCATGGGGAAGCTAAACCCATGAGCGCCATTTAGGTGAGCACATCTGTATTCTGCTCCATTAGCTGGTCATCTAAATTGGAGGCATGGGGAGTTTCCGTCAGCAACATCAGCCTAATGTTGCCTTTGGATGCTTCAGCAAAGGGCCCTGAGACTTTGCCAGGTCCCCAAAATTACCCTGTGGATAGACTATGTTTTAAGTGGCCCAACATGCCCAGAACCTTGTGATGTTAGAAGGCACTGAGTAATGGCGAAACCCACCCCTAAGACATGAGTATGTATTATCATCAAAGGATGAAGATACATCCTGCTTTTAATATCTCAGTCAGTTGATGTGAGCCCTTTGCTCAGAGGCCCTGCATGTTTACTGATACCCAACAAGCTTCCTGTGCTCATTGAGTGACACACATATCTCCAATATGAGCGCTTTTTCCCTAATGCAACTCTAAAAAGAGTGTGGTCAAGCATAGAATATTGTCAACATCCGTTCTTTCATAGCTTTAACTCTGCACAGAAAAAAAAAAAAAAAACCACTCCTTTACTGCCTAAGTATATAGGCATTGAAACATAGATTATGTAGCAATGGGTTGAGATGCTCTAGAGATTTGCCCAGATAAAACGAAACAAAGGCAAGTACATTTAGAAACAGTAGTCGAAGTGTCAAGCAAAAAGAAAAAGTTTGCCTGTCAGTGTAATAGACACAGTATGAAATGAGACGGTAACACAGTTCAAGATTTGAGACAGTCCTTGGGTTTGTTGAGCCACATGTCCAAAAGCTAGATCATGACTAAGATAAGTCATGATGGCTACTGTCTACTAAAATAGTAAAAACATATTTTATCCTCTGGTGTAACATTCTTCTGGTTGCTAAATTGGCAGAACATCTATTGGGGAGCTTAAACCTACAGTGGGAAAGAGTTCTGCATTGGATGCTGTTATTAATAATTTGTGTAATGCCTTCTAGATGGTATATTAGCTGTGTGATATTTCTCCATGCAATAAATGTATGCCTGATGTATGCCAGGCAATGTTTTGATGATGTACGATATATGCTAGGTCCTAGGGATTCTGAGGTCAATAAGAATGGGTGAGGTAGGAACAGGGAATATATGAACAAATAGACAAATAAATTATTTAGGCAGTCACGGTGGCTCACGCCTGTAATCCCAGCACTTTGGGAGGCTGAGGCGGGTGGATTGATTGAGCCCAGGAGTTGGAGACCAGCCTGGGCAAATAGCGACACTCCATCTCTAAGAACAAACAACAAACAAAAACAAAAACAAAAGAGAAAATAGATACTGATTAAAAACTATGAAAACAGGATGAGTGATGACAAGTAACGGGTGGCTCTTTTGGATTTTGTTCTTAGGAAAGACCCTTTGAAACCTTTGAAGTCTGAATGACCAGAAGGAAATGCCATGTGGCAGGAAGCAAAGAATATTCCAGAGAAAAGACACAGTTAATGCAAACTTCTAAAAAGGGGCAAGAATTCATTCATTCATAGGTCTATGGTACAAATACTTATTGAGTCTCCTTCAGTGGCCAGGCCCTGTGTTAGGCATTAGAATTCAACAGTGAACAAAATGAAGATCGCTGCACCACAGCACCTATGTTCTAGAAGTGGAATGGATGATAAACAATAAGCATAATATACAAGTTATGTTTCATGTTGAAGATTGGTAACTGTTATAACAAATAGGGCATTGCAGGAGGGAATTGAGAGAGAAAGGGACAGGGAGTGGTGGGCATGCCAAGAGCAGATTCCCACAGAAAGTAGGTTGGTGAAGGTAGACGTCATTGAAAAGAAGTTTTGAACAAATGATGAAGGGGTAGCCAAAAAATCATCTAGTGGAATTGAGAAGCAGGTAAGGAACAGGCAGTACCAACTGCCCTCTGGCAGGAGTGGGACTTATGTCTTTCAGGAACAGCAAGGAAGCCACAGTGGCTGGAGCAGAGTGAACAAGGAGGAAATCAGAAAGTTAGTGGGGGAATAAGATTATGTAGGTCCTTGTAGCCAAAGTAAGAATTTTTATGTTACTTGGAGTGAAATGTAGAGCAAATTTTGAACACAGGAGTGACATGATCTGGACTACATTTCTAAAGACCCACTCTGGCTATGGTATTAGAGACTCAGGTGGCAAGTGGAGACACAGGAAGGACAATGATGAGGCTTCACTGGGAATCCAGGCAAGAGACGAAGGTGCATGGACTGGAATTATGGAGGTGATAAAGGTGGACGGGACATGGGACATGGTCCAATTCTGGATGTATTTTGCAGGTCAAGCCACTAGGAGTTCTTTTTGGGTTAAATATGGATTGCACAGGAAAGAGAAGTCAAGGAATACTGTCTGAGCAAGTAAGCAAATGGCACTGCTATTGATTAAGGGTAAAACAGCTTTGGTGATGGAAGAGTTAAGTGGTCTTGGAGGTCAGTTTTGGTCATGTTAATGTTAAGGTGTTATTAGGCATCTGAGTAGAGATGACAAATAGGTAGTTGAATATAGAAGTCTGAAGTGCAGGAGAGGGATCTGTTATTTCATGCCAGAAGGAGTGGGTGAGATGGAAATGACAAGGCCAAGAGCCAAGCCATGGGACACTCCAGCATTAAGAGTTTGGAGAGAAGGAGGGGAACTATAAAGCATCTGAGAAAGAGAAACCCGTGGAGTAAAAGGAAATCCAAGTTTGATGTCCCAGAGGCCACATGGAGAAATGGACCAAAGAGGAGATTGTGATCAACTCTACCCAATGCTGCTGATGGGTTAAGTAACATTGGATTGGAGCTAGCTTGAAAGAGGGGAATCAGAGATAGAAAATATACCTCTTTAAAGACCTCTGCTGGACCAGGGAGCAAAGGTCTAGGAAGGGAGTAGGCAGGACAAGCGTGGTCGGGAGAAGGGTGTCTGGGGTTTGGTTTGGTTTAGTTTTTAACATGGGAGAAATAACAGCATGTCACATGTTTGTAGGTGAGACTGATCCAGTAGAGAGGGAAAGTTGATGATGGAGAGGAAAAAAGAAAGAATTAGTGAGCCATGCCTGCTCCTATACTGGTGAAGGGGTGATCTAGATGAGAACAGGGGAAATTTAACTATGATAACAGGCAAATAGGCAAAGTATGTGGGAGTAGAGGCTAGTAGGTGACTGTATGGGTTAATGATAGCCTGTTAATTTCTCTCGTTGTTGATCCCATTTTTCTCAGTGGGAAACAGGCAAGCAGAGTGAGAAGGGGATGGGGAGGGATTGTTGGGAAGTTAGAGAAGAGTGAAGGGTTGATGGGCAGAGTGTGTGGTGGACGGGGAGGTGCCGTGTGCTCGCCTGGCAGCAGGAAGGGTCCACCTGAGGCTCCTGGTTTCCTGGAGGCCAGAGTATCTGAAACATAGCTCTTCACTGGGAGAACAACCTGGGCTGGTGGCAGGGGAATAGGGCAGGCCGGGGCGTGTAGGATTTGCTAAATCTGGGCAAAGCGTTTTGATTTTACTCCAAATGAATGCTTAAGAAAATTATTTAAACTCTTTCTACCTCTGCATTCCACTTTTGAAAAAATAAAGTAAGAACACATAAATTTTCACCTCCAAAATTCTTGACCCTATGAGAAAGTGAGAATTAATTACTAAGTGTTCATTAAACTAACAGCTCACATCTCCTGATTATTAAGCATCTGTCAAAAAGTAAAATTTTGCACCCATACATTTTTCCCTTTTATTCTTTGAAAAGCCTTCAGCTTGTCTTCAATATCCTGATCTTCAAACTGTCCTCTCTTTCTGGAATTTGCTTTACGAACTCAAGTCTAAAATCTTCCACAAAGGAAGCAAACATGGGCCAATCATTCAGCTTGTATTTCTTGAGCAAAGATCATAATCCTGGCACTGTGAACTTATTTTTGGCAGTTTTTGAATACTTTGCAGGAATATGAAGGTTAAAAGATTAAATGTAATTTTAGTGAAATTTGATGGGCAAACCCAAAACCAGAAATCTTTCTTGGTCTTCTGGATTGATATCAAAGCTGGGATTTATCTTCTGCAGGGATTTTATTTTTCCTCTTTTTTTGTTTCTTAGTATTTTCAGGTGAAGTTACTTTGTCCTTTTGTGAGAATGCTGATCACAGCATCATTATAATAGAAAAAAATCACAAGCATTCTCTATACCCCAAAATCTTGGAATCATAAAATAAATTATCCATGTGATGAAAAATGCACAATCTTATAAAAATTCTCATTTTGAAGACTATTTAGTGACATGGGAGGAATGTTCATGTTGTAAGTGAAGAACATATTAGAATAAAATTTTACTATAATTTCAATTTCTAGGTGAATGTGCTTTTTTATTTATAACCTGTGATATAAGATATCATAACATTTTTGGCAAAACAGTGATTTTTCTCAATGTAGTATGACTATGGATGATTTGTTTTATTTCCCTCTGAAACTTTTTTAATTTTTCTATAATGAACATGTATTCTTTATATGATGAAACTGAAATTATATTAAGTAAGACACCATGATTTTTCTCATGTCTAGAGAGAATTGGTGGTTGAAACAAATTCAGTGTTTTTCTCAGTAGAGTGGATCCCCATTCCCCACTCATAGGTGGTGTCTAGCAGAAAAACCAAGGGCTACCATATAGGAGCATTAGTTCCTTGAGCCACTTTGGGGTGAATAAACAGTAATCCCCTAGATTTAAAGTTACGGAAAAATAATATAGAGGAAAAGAACTGATTGCAGTTTGGGTGCAAAACATAAAGCCATATACCAGGCCTTCAATCTTGTAAAGTGATAAATAGCCCTGTCCTTTCTCTGTAGAATGCGTTAAACATTTGTTTAACAAATATTTTAGGGTCTGTTATTTATTTGACACACTTATATAGCACTTGCTATGTGCCAGCACTGTTTCTAAGTGCTTTATATGTAACTCATTTTAATAATCCTCGAATCATCTTCACCATGTAGACAGCATCTCTGTATTATTGATTAAAAAACTGAGACACAGGGAAGTTACGTAGGTTACCTGATGTCCCACGCTAAACAAATGGCAGGGTTGAGATTCAGACCCCACAGTCAGCCTCCATAGTCGGGTTCCTGCCCCACACCATGTTGCCTGGCACTGCACTAGCCTCTTGGTTTAACTCATTACTAAACAGCAGCATGTACCAAGTCTCTGACTTTGGGAACATGCAGTCTCATAGGAAGACCCATCAACAGTCACACAAAATAAATGATTACAAAAATTATGACATTTAATAAACTTAGGAAAACAGTGTGTGTGTGTGCGTGCGCACGCATGTGCGTGTGCACGTGCACATGTGCACATGTGCACGTATGCACAAAAAAAATGAGGTTGTTGCATTTTAGGAAATGATAGGGTGCCTCTCTTGAGCTCATTCGTCTTCCTCCTCATGGCCATTACATACAATCAAGGTGTAATCTACTGGAGGTTGTTCAAAAGAAAGCAAAAAGGAAAACCTCACCACTTTTAATACTTGTTACAGATCAAAGCCTATGACACCCTCTGGGCTTTCAGTGGAGGGGCAATGTGGATCAGCGTGAGCATGGACATAGGAACTAATTTCTCCCTTGAAAAAGAATCAAGGGGCAAACACATATTTGAGCAGAAGTGTGTATCACTATTGGATACTCTCCAGTAAGCTGCCAATATCTCCCACCAGCATATATCCTTATACGTTTCTATTGTCCCCTTTGGGTGGGAAAGGGATGAAAACACAGTATAAGGAATAATTGTAGTTTGAATTTGTGATTAATTTTTTTGAGCATAGATTTATAAATTTTGATGGTATAGTCTATGGGATTTGGAGGTTTGTTTTGTTTTTGTCTTTCAGCAGAGAAAGGAAAGATGTCTTTAATTGGAAGCCAGACCTTGCTTGTGTGGGCGGGATAATGTGAACTGTACCATCCAAATCATTTTTTTTTCTTTTTTAAGTTTCTATATGTGTATGATATTTTGGTTTGGACACATTGATGTAACATGTGGGAAATCTTTTCATTATGAAATCTCCTTTGAGGTAAACTAAATTTCAGTTTCTGGAATAAAGTTCTCTGGAGAGCTCTATTCACATGTTTCACAGGTTTTACAGAAATCGCATGTCTAGAATACAGCATCTTCTCAGCTGGAGGGATACCAAGTGGACATCTCAGATCTAGGCAGAATTTAATCCCAAGACAACAGAGCATCAAACCACAGATGCCATGTGGACTGGATCCCACCTTTGAGGAACTAGGGACTGCTTCAGGCACTGCCACTTATTTAGCTGAACATCCTAGGAAAGCAGCCAGTGATTCCAGAACCTCAGAAGACTGTGTGTACTCATGTGCCAGTGGGAGTCTCAGTCATTCCAGCCCTGCTTCTGGGGCACATGTGCAAATTTGCTCTCTCCTCAACATAGTGGCAGGTAAACTTCGTAGAGCATCTGCCAGTTTCTCACCCTGCCACCTTGATCTACCCCGTGGGTCTCTTTCAATGAGGCCCTGATCTCTCAGTCCCAGTTGACTAGACAACCACACTGGAAGGAGTGAAAATTTGTAACAAATTTGACTTCCATCAATTCCTTTTCTGGGTGACTGAAATTGAGAAGCAGAAAAAAATCATTACTTCATGAGAAAATAACTTATCTGTAAAATTTGGGAGTTGTTGGGGACCATCTTCTGTTTGCATTGCATAACAAATAAAGTTGTTTCAGCAGGGGAAGGAATTGAAGTAGAGTCATGGAGTCAACCAGCCATGAGAGGTGGGAAAGGCTCCTCTGTAGGTTCCTCTGGGTCTAGTTCTTTCTGAGGCCTAATAGATTCTTTGCTCAGGAATCCTTGGGACACCTTTTATGCCTTTTCCTTTTCTCATTTGCTTGGTTGGTTGGTTTTGCTTTAAATTAAGCTTGATTGCTGTTACTTGGAACTGAAGAGTCTTAGCTAATATAGTGGCTTTAATAATTCAAAGAGAATACTCACTATAGTCACATACCACATCCTTTGGAACTAGATGCATTGGATATCATGCCCACATGCCTGGTTATAGATGGGCACACGGATCACCTACTCCCATATTAAAGTAGCAAAGATATCAAGTGGGGAAAAAAGAAAGAAAAATGCAAAGAAGTTTTAGTTTGAGAAAAAGTAGCAGGCATTTCCTAGAAATAGCTCTGACCCAAACCCAGCCAGAGCAGATTCAACCGGAGGGATATAAACAGAAATCACACCCTGACTGCTATAATTAAACTAAACTAGATGTTAGAGGAAATTCTTCTTTGTGAAAAGCAAAGAGTCTCTAGAATGGTTCGGTCTTCCTAAGCACTTAGGCAAACGATTATCAAATTTGTGGTTTGCAGGCTGAAATATTTTTCAGACCAAGCTGATCAATGTAAAAATAAAATTTAAGAAATCCTTTTTATCAATGCTGAAATAATGCCCATGCTGAGGTTATAAGGGGTCAACAGTATTAGATGTTTCCTGGAGACTAGAGTCTCCACCCAACACATGTCTTAGATAATCAAGTTCAGTATAGCCTTTGTCATTATGCTTTTGTCTTAATAGTCTTGTATGTTAATAGACCCTTTAATCTATCTTTTATCTTCCTACTTGGTGTCTGATTGTACTATTCATATGTAGGAATATGAGTCCCTGATAACTTTAAGAGGATTAATATAAAGGAAATGGACTTTATTAATTTGGATTTGTTTTATTAGCATTCTACAGTTTGATTTGAATGAGAATGTCGAGAGAGTCTTGTTTGCCAAGCAGAGGTAAAAACAACATAAAATGAAATAAACTGAACCTCAATGTATTATTGATAGAACACGAAGACACTTTCCACAATATTACTTTAAGTACAAAGGTCCTTGTATAAGACAATAGAGGAGAACAAAGACACTTTTAATTTATTTTTCCTGACTGCTTTTAGTTCTTTGGCAGATATTTTAAGCGAAGGGCATACTCTTTCTTTAAAGGAAATTTAGAGAGTAAGATACCAAAATATACCAGACAACTATATTGAAATATTTACCATTTGTTGATTTGGGACATAGAGTGAATGACAGATTTCAGCATAATATTTGCAGAGGGAAAAAGAGAATTTTCCATGAGCATCTAGAATGTTGTTTTGCTTGGGTTTATGCAAAAAATACGTCTGAGAAAAATGAAAATTAATCTTGGAGAGGAGGAGAATTCCTCTGAGAATATAACCATATAATGTCAACAGAACTTTTGAAGTGATTAGCAGTAAAGAAATAAGATTGTGGATGGATATTTTTTCAATATAATTTTTGCAAAATGAATTGAGCTCTTTTGTAGAATGGCTAAGTGACAAAATGGGTGTGGTCCTGGATAAGTCCTTAAAATACATACACGCTGTGTGCGTGTTTGCATATGCTTCTCTTCTACCCTCATCTTCTCCCCCACCCCCATGGTTTGATAAATTCAGTAACTGGTTATAGATTTGGAGATTTTCCCTGTAAAAGTCATTTTGAGTAAAAGCATATGATTAGCTAAAATCACTGGCAAGCCAAAGAACAATAAGTGGGAAAGAAACCAATTGGAAGTTTTCATTTTTTTCTTTCTTCCTTCCTTTCTTTTTTTTGAGTTTTTTCTTTAGAGTTTGAGAGTTCTAGCAAATGGAATAAGGAACTTGTTCATTAGTTGAATGGAAAATGTAATAACAGAGATGGTCAATCAATATAAGAGTTAATCTACTTGTTTAGTAAGAGAAGCTCTCCCATGTAAGAGAACTATTTTAAGATTGGAGGAGTAAACTAATATCCCAAATGTCTCAAAAGTATGTTTATTTGATGGAAAGATTTTATTTAATATGAGATCCAGAAATACTGATTCTAGGAAAACAGGTCTAGGCACTCTGGACATAAAAATCTATCTACTTATTTATAAAGAAAGCTTTAGTGGTCTTGTAGAATAATGCAAGAGCATCCATTTATAATCAGACAATACTGGGTTTGATTGCTGGTCCTGCCACTCAACATCTGGGTAATAGTGAACAGATGGGTCTCAATTTTCTTTTCTGCATAATAGATATTAGAATATTATTTATGAATTAAAAATATAATTTACCTAGTACTCTGCCTAGCATATAAGTACTCTCTGAAAGGAAGCTGTCACTATTTCTAAACTTTTTTTTAATCACAAGAGCCTCTTCATCTACGCCAGAACTGCAGCTTTTATCATTGTGTCATTATCAAATGTCCTGGCTTCATTCTGTAGAGAATGCAGAATTAAATTTTACATTTCACACAATTTCAGTGAATCAGATCATCTTTATCTCAACTAATTCAGCCTCACTTGGTACCACCTTCTATATTTTTTCAGGTTTATCAAAGTTTAATTGACAAAATTCTGTATATTTAAACTATACAAAGTGATGATTTGATATATGTCATATACCTTGTGAAATAATTATCACAAACAATTAAAATATCACCTTACATGGTTACCTTTATTTCTTTTTTTGGTGAGAATGCTTAAGATGTATTTTCTTAGCAAATTTGATATATACATTACAGTATTATTAACTATAGTTGTACATTAGATCCTTAGAATTTATTCATGAGTCAAATCATCTTTTGTCACTTCCTAATCTCAATTTACCTGTCACACCTTCTTCCCTTCACTACATAGATTATACATCCAAAACTCTGGGTCAAACTATTCAAATCAGTTTGGAAATATTTGCAAATTGTTGGCGTAACCTGATCTTCAAGCACAGGAACAATTTTTATAGATTAATTATTCCTGGTACCTCTGTGAGAAGAGGATAGGCAGAAATCTATCGTATTTAATGTTAAAATTCTAGTTTAAATAGTTTTTAAAACTTCTAAAGTAGTAATAAATTATTTGCAAAACATGAAAAAGTATACTCATGTACATACTGCTGTTCTTTATCAAATCATATTTTACCATATTTCTTTCAGTTTTTGAAGAAATAAAACATTACGGACTTATTTGAAGCCTAATTCCAGCATCCTCCAGAATAACCACTATTCAGAATTTTATGTCGATCATTCCCATGCATATATTTATAGCACACATATAATTGTATACAAATTTAACATGATTCTTTTTAAATTTTATAGTTGTATTTTACTTTACATAAGATCCCAGTTGTTATTTTTGTTTAATATTTTTAAGATTTATCATATTGATACATGATTTATTTTCACCACGGTATAATAACCTATAGCATGAGTATAATGAAATTTATTGGCCCATTCTTCTATTAATTGATACTTAATTTATGCCAGTTTCTCCCTATACCAATGACAATGTGTCCACATCTTCTCAGGTACCTGCAAAGGTATTTCTCTAAGATGTATTTCTAGAAGTAGAATGATACTCCTCACTTAACTAAAGATATATCTAAAGGAACTAAAAGCAGTCTGGAAAAGGGGTGAAGGGAAAACAGGATACACACCTTCAACTTTACCAGATATTCCAAAGTTGTTCTCCAGAATGATTGTGACAATTTATATCCCCACCAATGATGTATGAAAATTCCTAATTCTCCCCATCTATCCTAAAACATGATATCATCAGATTTTTTTACTTTTTTAAAAATCTTGCAAGCATATATTGGTTTATTAATTTGCCTGATCCTGATTACCAGGGAGATTAGTTCTCTTAAATATGCTTATGGACATTCATATTATCTGTCTTAAGAAAACTGCATGTCCTTATCTGTGCTTCATTTTCTTCTATAAAAACAACATTTTAACTTTTATTTTAGGCTCAAGGGTACATATGCAGGTTTGTTACATAGGTAAATTGTGTGTCATGGGGGTTTTACGCAGACTATTTCATCACCTAGTTAATAGGCATAGTACCTGATAGGTAGGTTTTCGATTCTCTCCCTCCTCCCACCCTCTACCCTCAAGTAGGCCCCGGTATCTGTTGTTCTTTTCTTTGTGTCCATATATATTGATTGTTTAGCTCTTACTTATAAGTGAGAACATGTGGTATTTGATTTTCTGTTCCTGCATGAGTTCACTTAGAGTAATAGCCTCCAGCTCCATCCATGTTTCAGCAAATGACATGATCTCATTCTTTTTATGGCTGCATAGTATTCCATGGTGTGTATGTTCCACATTTTCTTTATCCAACCTACCATTGATGGGCATTTAGGTTGATTATATGTCTTTCCTATTGTGAATAGTGCTATGATGAACATATGCATGCATGTGTCTTTATGATAGAATGATTTATATTCCTTTGGGTATATAGCCAATAATGGGATTGCTGGGCCAAATGGTAATTCTGGTTTAAGTTATTTGAGAAATCATCACACTACTTTCACAATGGCTGAACTAATTTACATTCCCATCAACAGTGTATAAGCGTACCTTTTCCTCTGCAACCTTGCCAACATCTGTTTTTTTTTTTTTTTTTGACTTTTTAATTCTAGCCATTCTGATTTGTGTGAGATATTATCCCATTGTGGGTTTGATTTGCATTTCTCTAATGATTAGTGATATTGAGCTTTCTTTCACATGCTTGTTGCCTGCATGTATATCTTCTTTTGAAAAATGTCTATGTCATTTGCCCACTTCTTAATGGGGTTATTTGGTTTTTGCTTGTTAATTTGTTTAAGTTCCTTATAGATTCTGGATATTTGACCTTTGTCAGATGCATAGTTTGCAAATATTTTCTCCCATTCCGTAGGTTGTCTGTTTACTCTGTTGATAGTTTCTTTTGTTCTACAGAAGCTCTTTAATTTAATTAGGTCTCATTTGTTAATTTTTGTTTCTGTTGCAATTGCTTTTGGCATCTTTGTCATGTAATCTTTGCCAGGTCTTATGTCCAGAATGGTATTTCCTAGGTTATCTTCCAGAGTTTTTATAGTTTAGGTTTTACACTTAAGTCTTTAATCCATCTTGAGTTTATTTTTGTATATGGTGTAAGGAAGGGGTCCAGCTTCAGTCTTCTGCATATGGCTAGCCAGTTATCCCATGTGCTCTATTTTCTACGTCCTTTATTGCATGTTGATTTTAGGAATTCTTCATGGATTCTGAAGGATAATCTTGTGTTATATGTGTTGCAGAAATCTTTTCTGGCCAGTCTGTATTTTAACACTGTGGAGTCTTTTATATTTAAAATTCTTCTCTACTCTGAGGTCATAACAAATTATTCTTTTAGATGTAAGTATTTGATCTAACTGGAATTTGCCTGTAACATGAAGTAGAGATTTGATCTTCATTATTTTACATATGGGTAATTATTTGTCACAGACACTTTGAAAAATCCACCTTTCCTCTCAAATCAGTAAAGATGCCCTTTACTTATTTTCATTGTTTTAAACCTTAGCCTTGTATTAAAGCCATTTTACTAAAGCCATATTATGATAACTTCATAATCATTCTAGCACACTGAATGGTATGCTCCTTCCCGCCACACCTCTGACATTGCCTTCAAAATTACTTAGATATTTACGATACTTTGTTCATCCAAATGGATTGCAGGGTCATATTGTTAAATTCCATGAAAAGCTGTTGGGATTTTGCCTGAATTCTAGTGATTTCATAATTGGGGGAGAATTGACAGCATTATGTCATTGAGACTCTATATCCATATTCTTGTATATCTCTCCTTTTGTTCAGCTCTTCCTTTACAGCTTTCAACAATTCTATTAGTTGGGATTAACTGAACTATGTAAAACAGAAGCTGAAACAAAAGAGTTTCCTTCTCTTTCACGTAAATGAAGTCTGGAGGTAGGTGATTCAGAGCAACATCTCACTGTCACCAGAAATCCAAGCTCCTTCTAACTTTCTGCTCCACCCTCCTAGAACATGCCTTTGCCTTTAAAGTCACCTAATTATCCATGATGGCTCTTGTAGCTCCAACTGTCTCATCTACATTTAGTTAGAAAGGAGGGAAGGCAAAAAGGGCATAATCTGCCTGTCATCCCTTTAAGAAACCTTACCAAATGGCCCTCCCAGTAACTAATTTTACATCTTACTAACCAGAACATAGTCTTTTGTCCCTAATTAGGTACAAGGGAGGCTGGGAACTGTGGTCTTTTAACTAGACCCAGCACTGCCCTTAATGATATCAGCAGCTTTGTTATTAGGGAGAAAAGTACAAACAGATATTAACAGTCTGTCACATAATGCTTTTAGATACATTTTATAAGATTTGTAGATTCATTCTTTTATTTTTGCTGCCATTATAATTTTGTTCATTTATATTGCCTAGTTAATCTGACTCATACATAGGAATGCTTTCCCATTTTTCTATGTTAATCTTTGATCTAGCAATACTGGAGAATTGTTCTTTGCCCTAACAATTTGACAATTGTTTGTATTTAGACAATTGTTTTGTGGACTCAATTCTGTTCTCCCCAAAATCCATATGTTGAAGTCCTAACCCCAGTAACTTAGAATATGACTGTATTTGGAGATAGGGTCTTCCAAGAGGTAATTAAGTTAAATGAGATCATTAGGGTGTGTCAATGCAATATGACTGATGTCCTTATAAAAAGAGATTAGGACACAGACACACCCAGCGGGAAGATCATGTGAAGACACGGAGAAAACAGTCATCTACAAGCTAAGGAGAGAGCGCTCAGAAGAAACCAACTCAGGGTGTCACCTTGCTGAAACCTTGATCTAAAGCTTCTAGCTTCCAGAACTATGAGAAAATGAATTTCTATAAACACCTTGTTTATAGTACTTTGTTATAGCAGCCTGAGAAAGCTCAAACAGCAATTTCATCTGCAAATAAGGGAATTATATCTCTGATTTTCCAATTCTATAGTTCTCATTTTTATTTCTAATTATATAACAGTGACTAGAACCCACAATGACTTCACTAGGAAATGTGAAGTTTCACCATTAGTCATAATGTTTCCTCTAGGTTTTCATAAACGTAAAAATTACCTAAATCCAGCCTGTCACATGATTTCATCATTAGCACAACATTTTACTGAATCCTTATGATGTATTCTTTGAATTGATCATTTGGTTCATGTTCTTTAATCTTTTCTTTGCTTTATTATATCAAAAGATTCTTTCAAACTTTTCATTCCAGGGCTGAGCCCTGTGTTTTCATGATAGAGATATAAATATAAATATAGATTTCAATTTTTGGCATCTTTTTTAGAATATTTGCCTTTTGCCCATAAGACAAATTGGTTTAAAATATTATTTTCTTGTACTATTCTTGTCTTTTGATTTAAAAATTACACCATTGTCACAAAAAGATTAGGAAATTTTCTATACTCTGAAAAACTTAGGATATATTATGGGTTATCTATAAATTAAAATTTTGGTAAAACTTGCATATAACAAGCCAGTTTCTTGAAGCTTCACTTTCCAAGCCAATTATTTTTTACATTTCAGACAATTTCAGTGAATCAGATCATCTTTATCTTAACTAATTCAGCCTCGGTTGGTACCACCTTCTATATTTTTTCAGGTTAATCAAAGTTTAACTGACAAAATTCTATATATTTAAACTATACAAAGTGATGATTTGATATATGTCATATACCTTGTGAAATAATTATCACAAACAAGTCAATTAAAATATTCATCACCTTATGTGGTTACCTTTATTTCTTTTTTTGGTGAGAGTGCTTAAGATGTATTTTCTTAGCAAATTTGATATATACATTACAGTATTATTAACTATAGTTGTATATTAGATCCTTGGAATTTATTCATGAGTCATCTTTTGTCACTTCCTAATCTCAATCTTCACTTTCCATATTTTAAAAATCTTTCCACTTTTTAAAAATGCAGTTTTATGGCGATACATTTACCTGTAAGTACAAATTTAGCTGCATGTCACAAGTTTTAATATACACTACTTTAGATTCATTCTTTGGGATTTTCTCCTTTTCCACCAAGTTATTTATGAGTTTATTTGTTTTATAAGCACATGGTTTGCCAAGGATTTTTTTATTGTTGTATGTTTCTAATTTAATTTCATCACATCAAATAATGAGATCTAATAATAATTCTTTGAAATTAACAATTTTGAAATGTGAAATTGAATCAGTTTTGATTTCCAAATTTTGATCATTGCAATGTGGTTATGTCAATGTTAACACATATAAAAGATATATGGGAATTCTCTATTTTTGCAACTTTTTATATATCTGAAATTTCTTCAAAATGAAAGTTTAAGAAAAAATAATTAAAAATAGATTATTTCCTTGACTAATTCAAAATATGACTTAACAAGAAATAAACTGAAGTATATTCTCATACCATTATGGAGGTTTAGAGGCAGTGTCAGGGCAGTAGTTGAGAACACGTGCTGTAGATTCAGATTGCCAAGGCTGGTGGCCTTTCTAGATGTGTCCTTGTTCGGTTTTTAATATCTGTATGCTCCAGTTTCTCCATCAGGAAAATGAAAATAGCAATTATACATCAGAGTTATGAGAATCTAATGAAATAGATGTATGGTGCCTTGATCTTTTTAAGCAATCATAAATAATAGTTGCCATTATTATACTCAAAATAATTATTCTAGAAAAGAGGACAATCAGGGAAAGTGACTTAGCCAATGCCACACAGTGCTGGAATTCAGTTTTGCAATGGTCTTTCTTTTAGTATGCTTTAGGGATCATGAAATTTATAGTATATTAGTTCAATTAAAATCTAAAATGAAAATATTGATCATAAAATGAGTAGGTGTTTTATTATGTGCATTTTGTAATGTGAATGATCAACTTTTTTCACTGCTAATTTGACATTCAGATTTCTATTTGCTTATAGTTCATTTGAGTTCATGGTCAGAAGAATTTATTATCTTTGCCTACAATTTTCTTTAATTCAGATTTTCAATAATCTAGCATCATTATCCATCAAATTGTTCTGTCTAGGTGATTTGTTAGATATTAAGAAATTTTAAACAGATGAATTTGTTTTCATCCGAGTGTACCTCTGGTTCTTTTTGTAGGTTAGCTTTAATTTTAAATCCTCTTATATTTTACATGACCCCTTGCCAAAAGGTTGATGTGATAGCCCAAGCCAATTTTTTTTTTTAATTATTTGGTTTCTTGCATAGGAACTAATCCCTTTATTCTCATCTGGAGTGTGAATTATCTCCCAAAATATAACTGTATTAGATGTTCTACTACCATAAAACAAAATAGGACCCTACGACATGAGAGTTGACTTTGTATTTATTGTTGTATTATTTTACATTTGGTCATGGTAGGCTATAATTAGTGAAGCAAGAGGCCAAAAGCAGCAGTATTGAACTAAATGAGCTAATGAGTGAAAACCATCCTTCGTGCCTCTGAGGCACTTTCTCTGCTATCTCTTTGATACCTGCAGATGTCAAGAAAGCTGCAATCAACAGGTGCAGTAACTGATCTCTCAGGAATTTACATTTATTGACAGTGAATATGTGCCAGCCTCTGATGTAACTGCTTGATACAACCCTGTGAGCAGAACTGATCCACATACAGTTCCTCTGCAACTCATACATATTTGACACAGTGCCTTTAGATTAAGGGACTAGAATACAGAAGATAAACCACCATGAGTGTAAAAATCATCACTTCTTTGTGTCCCAAAAGTTTGGTTAACCAGTGATACTACCTTAAAGAGATTATCTTTTTTAAAAGGAATTGATTTGATATATTCTAAAAGAAAAGGGTGCATACAAGCCCTTTTTTCTTCCCCATTGAATACTCTCTTTATCCTCAAGGTTTATCTGTTCATTCACTCACTCAGTCACATGTTGAATGAAAACATTTGAGTGCCTCCTATGTGCCAAACACAGTACTAAGTGTGATTCATGCAACATTGCACAAAACAGACGTGGCCTGGTCCCTGTGCTCATGGAATTCATCAAGTAGTTTTTAAAAGGGTTTCAGAGACTGCATTCAAAGAGATGCCTGGAGCTAAGATGTCCAATATAGACTTGTGTGACTATTTAAATTTAAATCAATTACAATAAACAAAATTTCAGTCCCATGAGCATTTTTCGTGCCCTAAATCCTTGTGTCGCTGGTGGCTACCATATTGGACCATGCAAATTTAGAACATTCCATCACCACAAAGGCTTTGTTGGAAAGCACTGCTCCAGAGTTTGAGATAGCAAGTGGATGGGTGAGAAAGATCAACCATGGAGGCTTCTCTAGAAAGCTGCTTATACAACATAAGAAAATCAAGATTGGAGGAAAAGACCAAGAGCTTATGCTGAGGTAACAGTTAATGGCTTGGCTAAAGACTAAAGGGAGTCACTAATGTCTTCTTTAGTCCTCGGATGAGAAACTTTCAGTACTATTCAGCAGCAGATGAGGGAGCTCCAGGAAATTTCCAAAAAGGAAGGATTTGGCCGGGAACATCTCCAACAGAGAAAAGTTCAATAATTGTGTGAAATCATTCGATGCTGACTTGGCTAAATTTCTGTGGTAATTTTGATCTTCACAAAATGTCAGTTATTTCACACACACACACAAAAATATTTGTAATGCATAATTTCAGCTACTCTGAACAATTTGCCAGCATTTCCCGTATTTTACCTTTGAATTTTGTAAAATTTCAAGATATTTTGTGGTCACATCCAGAATAAATTTTAGGCTATTTTTTTTGTTTCTTTTAAAAAACCATAAGCTCTTATGAACTTGCAGTCTTCCATTCATTTCTCAAAATTGACATGTTAAATCCATCAACTTTCTTATAAAATAAATATGTGGCCCAAATATAATTACATATTAATACAAATCAGAATGACCCATTTTTGTTTAACTTTAATAACAGCTGGAATGGTGTGTATGTTATTGGGAAGAAGTAGATGATTGGGAAGTAAAATAAACTTTAAAATGAATCAGCAGTTGGGGTCAAAATAAAAGTCCTAAAAACACAATAAATCTCCCAAACTTCAGTAATATATTTCTTTTGGACAGATTTGGTCATTATAAGCAACAAATAATAAATGTGACTGTATTTTTCCTGAAAACTTCCAATATTGTCATCATTTTAAAATACTTTATATAGTATTTACAAATGCTTATTGTGAGTTTGAATATTTTTCATTCATAGTTGTATAAATACTTTATATAGTATTTTAAAAGGGGGAAAAAAACTTGAACATCTATAACAATGGTCCCTTAATGGAAACTTTAGCAAACATGTTTTTGCTGAATATCTAAATTTAGAGCATACTATTGAACCAAACATCCGTTTTATCTTTTATCCATCAAATGTGCCCCATTCAAAAACAAAAACAAAACGAGGAAACCTATCATTCATCCATCTGAGTCATGATAAAGCCATACTAGGAGGTGTGAGATTTAAAAGTAAATTTGAGGATTTACTTAATGTAGGAGCAGAAATATAAATTTAAGTCAAGGTCCCTGATCCCTGATCCCAGTTACTTGCCTCATTCTCTAGTATAGATGAACTTGTCACAGGGCAAATTCAATCAGGGTTCAACTTGGGAATGACTTTGCGACAGTATTTGAAGGCAAAAAATGATATAAAAATGAGCCAAATGGCCGTTATTTGTACTATTTTCACTGAAAATAGAATGGTGAGTTTAGTTTAACAAGGCAATTTGAACTAATAAAAATATACAACTATGAATGAAAAAGCATTCAAACTCACAATAAGCATTTGTAGAAATTTCAAAGCAGGGTTTAAAAGTAACAATTCAGTAAAGATCAGGTTGCAGTATTCCCTGGGTTGCAATGTTGCATCAGTTTCATAATATAGCTTGGAGCTTCCTTAAAAAGCACTTTTCAAAAGAAGACATATATGTGGCCAGCAAGCATATGAAAAAATGTTCAACATCACTAATCGTTCACGAAATGCAAATCAAAACCACAATAAGACACCATCTCACACCAGTCAGAAAACTAATATTAAAAAGTCAACAAATAACAGATGCTGGCAAGGTTGCAGAAAAAAAGGGAATGCTTATTGACTGCTGGTGGGAATGTAAACTCATTCTGTCATTGTGGAAAGCAGTGAGACAATTTCTCAAAGAACTTAAAACAGAACTACCATTCAACCCAGGAATTCTATTATCAGATATGTACCCAAAATAATATAAATCATTCCACCATAAAGACACATGCACACATATGTTCTTCACAGCATTATTCACAATAGCAAAGACACGAAATCAACCTAAATACCCATCCATGGTAGACTGGATGAAGAAAATGTGGTACATACACAACATGGAATACTACACAGCCATAAAAAAGAATAGAATGTGTCCTTTCCAGCAATATGGATAGAGTAGGAGGCCATTTTCCTAAGCAAACTAATGCAGGAACAGAAAACCAAACACCCTGTGTTCCCACTCATAAGTGGGAGCTAAACATAGAGTACACATGGACTCAAAGAATGAATCAATAAACACTGGGGCCTCCTTGAGGGTGGAGGGTAGAAGGAGGGAGAGGATCAAAAAACTACCTATTGGGTACTACGCTTATTACTTGGGTGATGAAATAGTATATACACCGAATCACCATGACATGCAATTTATCTATATATCCGACCTACACATGTACCCCTGAACCTAAAAGTTAAAAAAAAAAACGTAAAAACAGACTAGAAGGAAATCACAGCCTAGTGCTAAGTGTACTTGTGATTAGATGATGAAATTATGCCATTTTTTTCATGAATCACTTTGCTGCATTTTCCAGATTGTCTAAGCTGCATATTTATCTTCAAACAGTATGATCAAAATTAATTTAGAATAATAAATAAACCTACCTTAAAAAAAGAAGTCCGTATGGCCTTGTTGATCCATATTCTGATGCAAATATTGTATACAATCCATTAAATATCATCAATGTGAATTTATGAATTCTGAATTATAGAATATCTTTAGAAGAAATACTCTTTAGATACTCTATCTAAGGGCTTACACCATGGAATTAAACTAAGATATCTACCAGATGTTCTTCAGAATGCTACTTTGTTAGTTGGGATGGTTATAGATCACCAACTCTTATTGTCTCTGACAATGAGTCATCTGTCTTAGTAAATGGTGGAATTCTGTCTTAGGACCTCCAGTTACAGATTTCTGTGTCAAAAATTCGAGAGCCAGGAGCTAGAATGTCAAATATGTAAGAGGCCTTGCTTTAGACAGAAACACCTGGTTGTAAGTTCCTGAATAAACTTTTCATAGAAGCCACAGGAAAGGATCTCTTATTTCTTCTAATAATCTACAGGTAAATAATTCTGTTTACCTAAGGTAAACTTCTGATTTGAAAACATGTCCATTCCTACCTTTGACTATTCATTAGGTGAATTCTTGCTTTTCCATCTTCATATCCAGTTGTTTTCTGGGACCCATCCTTGCAAAATGAATGCAAACACTAAGGTAATTTGTAATCAGGTTACTGAATTGTGAGCACGAAAATATATCCTACTTACTGGGCACAGTGGCTCACGCCTGTAATACCGCACTTTGGGAGGCCAAGGCAGGAAGATCGCTTGAGCCCAGGAGCTTGACACCAACCTAGGCAACATAGTGAGACCTCACCTCTACAAAAAATTTAAAAATTACCTTGGGGTGGTAGCATGCCTATAGTCCTAGCTACGCAGAGGAGGCTGAGGCAGGAGGATCACTTGAGCCTTTGAGGTCAAGGCTGCGGTGAACCATGAAAACACTATTACACTCCAGCCTGGGCAAGAGAGTGAGACCCTGTCTCAAAAATAAAAATATATCATACTCAAATGCTTTTACACAGATATTGGCAAACTTTTTTGTAAAGGGCCAAGTAGTAAATATTTAGGCTTTGTAGAACAATCTCTGTCACAATTATTCAACTGCTGCTATAGTGCAAAAGTAGCCACAGACAATATATCAATGAAGGGACATCGTAGTAGTCCAATAAAACTTTATGTATGAACACTAAAATTTGAATTTCATGTAATTTTCATGTATCAGGAAATATTATTCTTTTGATTTTTGTCAACCATTTATCAATGTAAAGGCCATTCTTTAGCTTGTGTACTGTTTAACAACACAGCAGGCTAGATTCAGACTATAGGCAGTAGTTTATCCACCACAGCTTTGAACATTTTCCTTGAGCAATTTAAGGATCTTTCTTGAAATTTCTCTTACCACATCATTAATTACTCTTGGAAATATTCTTAAGTAGAAAAAGAATAACAACTTAATGACCCCAATTGTCTCAAGTTGAGTAGAAGAGCCAGATTGAAGCATCTTACCATAGACTGATATGCCCGGGAGGGCATGTGTTATTTCTGTGTGGCACAAACTATCCTCACCAGTCTTCTTTCTTCTTCCTGGGAACATACTTTCAAGCCTCCTTTGTAGTTAGTTTAGAGCTGCTTGACTAGTTTTGGCTGGTAGGATGTGGTCCGGAATTCCGTACACTACTTCTGCGTCCTGTGAGATTTCTTAGCCTCATCTCTTGTCAACTTGTAAAATGGCTGGATGCCAGAGATGCCATGGAATCCTTAATGGGGTCAGAGCCAACAGATGAAATAAGGCTGGATAACCGTATCAGCTCAGGGAGGGCTGCCCACAATATACCCAACTGGGCTGTGACACAAGCAAGAGAGAACTTTATTTTGTTAAGTCACTGAAATGTGGAGATTTGTTACCACAGCACAGCTTAGCCTCACCTGACTAATGCCATCTGTTTTGTCCATCTGAATGCTTAGTAGAGTGTGTAGCACATAATAGGTGCTGATTAGGCATTTGTTGATTGCTGATAAATAACTTTCCTAATAATTGTACATTTCATAATGTCATGTTTTACATTATTAAAATCTGTTTGTGATATGTGACCAGGCTTCACTAATTTTATACATGAATTAAAAAAAAAAAAAAGAGATGAGACAGAAATCCTTCTCTAGTGTGATTAATGATCCAAACAGTCTACAGCATTGTGATTATTATGGTACAATGGCAAACATTTGCTGAGCTGCTACTATGTGCCAGAAACCAAGACTGGGGATACAAATATAAGTCATTTATGGCAAGTTTAAGGACAGTTTTCCGGGCCTCATAGTTCAGCGTGAAGATGGGCAAACTAGAACTTACCCAAGGAAGAGAAATCAGAGTCACAAGGCTAGGGAAGGAAATTAAAAGCATGTTTAAAAAAAGAAGAAAAAGAAAAAAAAATTTATTTTGTGCAGAAATCAATGTGAGTGATGAGAATACTGTTAAGTCCTCACTTAATGTCATAGAGAGGTTCTTGGAAACTGTGTCTATTGTCATGCATTCATGTAATTATCATATACTTTATAAATTTTTATTTAACAATAATTCGTATTCCTTTGTTTTTCAACCCAGTTATTCCAGCTCAGGGTTGCTGGTGACTGGAGCCCATCCCAGCAGCTCAAGATGTAAAGTGGGAACCAACCCTGGACATGGCATCCTCCCATCACATGGAACATTCACACACACACACACACACACACACATACACTTACTCTGATTGGGACAGTTTAGCACACACACTTACTCTGATTGGGACAGTTTAGACATGCCAATTCACCTGAAGTTCACAGCTTTGGGATGTGGGAGGAAACCAGAGTACCTGGAGAAAACCCTCACAGACATAGAACATGCAAGCTCCACACAGACAGGAGACTCAGCCAGGGATCAATTTTATTATTATGAACTTTATAACAAGACATCATTGGACAAAAGGATGTTATTAGAGGACCTGCTGTACTCAAACAAATCAACCACTTTCCCACTCTTCAGGAGTTACAGTATATTGAGGCAGATGGACAAGGGGCAGAGTGATCTGCCAGAGACATCTGCCCTAAAGCTCTGTGAGGACAGGGAGAAGAGGAAATCCCTCTTTCTGATGGGATCACAGAAGGCTCCAAAGAAGTGGCATTTGAACTGAGTCTTGAAAAAATGATGTCACTTGGCAGATAAGGGGAAAGCAAGTGTTCCATGTACCTAGGGGGAAGGATATGGTGCAAGGTGTCTGATGTAATAGGCTGAGCTCATAGCCACAAAGAAATATCAGCAGGAGAAAAATAATCAGATAGGCCAGGTCATGGAGGTCTGAGATAATACTCCAAATGGCTGGGGCTTTTCCTACTGATAGCATGGAACCATTAACAATGTTGGAAAGGAGAATGTGACTGGGACATTTGTATTTTTTGAAAAAATAAATGAACAAGAAAATTTCAGATGTTGAAAATGCTAGAAAGACAACAAAATCATTGTCTATTTTTACAATGCCTTATTGTATATTACTGAAATATGGGTGTGATATGTGACCTGGGGCATGAATGGGGAATAAATGTGTTTAGATGATGACCAGAGCAAGCCTCGTTGAGGAGATGAGGTTGAGCTGCAACATGGAAGAAGTGGATCCAGTAAGGCTGCAAAGAGGAACAAGTGCATGAGCCCTAATCTAGGACAGAGTTGGGCACACTGTGGGGTCAGAAAGATGGCCAGTGGGATTGGATTACAGCGAGAGAAGTGGGAGTGGGAAAGTGTTGGTCAGAGTTCACTCTGGGCCATTAACATCTTTTACATCAGGGTAAGAAATATGGATTTTTTTTTCCTAAATGCAGTGGGAAGCCTTTTTTGAGATTTTTTAAAAATATCACTCCAGCAACTGAAAGGAAAGGGGATTGCAAATAGGCTGGAGAGATAGCGGGGCTGTCTTGAGGAAACTCTTAATCAGCCTTGAGATGAGAAGTGTTTGCCGAGGAGTTGGGAAGAACTAGATTCCACTGGGACGTATTTGGAGGAAGAGCCCAGACAACTCGTGAATGGTTGGTTGTGAGGGCCGAGGCAAAGGGAGGAGTCAAGTATTACTCCTCAGTTTTTACTTTATCAAGTAGAAGGAAGGTCCCACTTACTGAAATGGGAACAAGCAGGGTAGGAAGAAGTTCACAAAAGAACAGAGAGTCCTAATTACCCATGCTAAGTTTGAGTTTCCTGTCAACTGTCCAAAAAGAGATGTCAAGTAGACAGCTGAATATGAGAGTTTAGAGATGTCAGGGCTACAGACGTAAATTTGAGATATAAATTAATTACAATTAATGCCTTGGAACTTTATGTGATCATCTAGGAGGGAGTGAAGATAGAATAGAGTTGAACTCTAGGACTGAGCCATGGGGCATTTCAACCATCAGAGGATGAATAAACTGAAGGGGGGAACAAATGAAAGACCCTGACAAGAAGTCAGTACAGTGTATGGAAAATCAGAGAATGCAGCTTTAAAAAAATAAAAAATGAAGCACCCTTTCAAATGCTGCTTGAGAAGTCAAGTAAGAAGAGCACAGATCACTGACCATTGGATTTTTCCATGCAAAGGTCATGGTCACCTTGGCAAGAGCCCATTGTGAATATTTTTTTAAAAACACAATAAGAGAAAGGGTAACGAGTAATTCCTAAGAAGTTTTCCTTGAAGGAATCATAACAATAGAGTTGTAGATGAAGGGAAATTTGGGGACAAGGACTGTGGATTAAGAAGATTAACATTGGAACAGGTTTGTTTGTTGGTGGGAAAGCATCAAAACCAAAAAGATGGAACAAATTAACGGTGTAGGAAAGAGCATAGTTGCAGGACCAGCATCACTGAGAGGATGTGGGATCCACAGAACAAATAAACGGAGGAGTTTATCTTTTTTTAGACTGTACGCCCTAGAGTAGTTTCATCCAGAAAGGGTGTAAAGAGTGAGGTTACAGGTGCAAGTAAGTTGATTTAAGTAGGGCAGCTCAGTTTATATCCATTTTGTATATTGTTTTAAGATTGGGTGAGAACAATGAGATACCATCTCACACCAGTTAGAATGGCAATCATTAAAAAGTCAGGAAACAACAGGTGCTGGAGAGGATGTGGAGAAACAGGAACACTTTTACACTGTTGGTGAGACTGTAAACTAGTTCAACCATTGTGGAAGTCAGGGTGGCGTTTCCTCAGGGATCTAGAACTAGAAATACCATTTGACCCAGCCATCCCATTACTGGGTATATACCCAAAGGACTATAAATCATGCTGCTATAAAGACACATGCACACGTATGTTTATTGTGGCACTATTCACAATAGCAAAGACTTGGAACCAACCCAAATGTCCAACAACGATAGACTGGATTAAGAAAATGTGGCACATATACACCATGGAATACTATGCAGCCATAAAAAATGATAAGTTCATGTCCTTTTTAGGGACATGGATGAAATTGGAAATCATCATTCTCAGTAAACTATTGCAAGGACAGAAAACCAAACACCGCATGTTCTCACTCATAGGTGGGAATTGAACAATGAGAAAACATGGACACAGGAAGGGGAACATCACACTCTGGGAACTGTTGTGGGGTGGGGGGAGGGGGGAGGGATAGCATTAGGAGATATACCTAATGCTAAATGACGAGTTAATGGGTTCAGCACACCAGCATGGCACATGTATACATATGTAACTAACCTGCACATTGTGCACATGTACCCTAAAACTTAAAGTATAATAAAAAAAATTGGCTGAGAAAACACTTAAAAACTATATTCTTAAGTAGTAACAATTATTGGAAAGTTATCTTTTCCTTGCTTGAAATCAAAATTCACCTTCAACTTGCCGTTAACCTAAATTTGAACATACATCATAAAGCGTGCTCTGGATAACAAGAGACTATTACATCCTTCAGTGTGGACAGTAATTCTATTAATTCAACCCAAGAGACCTTTAAATATATGTGAATTCACAACAAATTATTTGGGGCTTGTTTAATATGGGCCAGATAAAATTTCAGATTTTTTATATGAGCAAATGTCAATTTAAATGCCTTTATTTTGGGCTTAATTTATTGTGGGAGAAGATTATCTAAAGAAATTTATTTTTGTATCTGTTAATTTTTAGCTTGTAAATCTATTTTATCTCAATGGTTTTTTTTCTAGCAGTAATGTAAAATTTTGCCTCATTTGTCCAAAATACTTTTAATTTTAATTTTTTAATTTGTGTCCTTTTAATTTTGTGTCACCCACAAATTGGATGACATCTGTCTTCTCAATCAGTGATCTCCAATCTATTAAGTCTCAAAAGAGGAAATGTTTGACTTATTTTTTTCTCTTAAGATATCTTTTATGGAACAATCCATTCAAAATTTTACTAATAATTAACATTGACTTTATTCTAGACCTTCTTAAGCCTACTCATTATATTATTTCTAAATACTAGGACCGGTCTGCCCCTCTGTCCCTTGTTCCACACCCTAGTTCCACACCCACTCTTCCATATTACTAAAGTATTTTATTTATTGGACATATAGAATTTTTTAAAAAAAAAATCTTGACTCCAAAATAAGTTTTCTCCATGGTAACACTGATTTGTTTAAATATCTCCCTCCTCTTTCAGTTTAATGTTTATGTAATCAGATTTACTTCTGAGGAGACACTCAGAAATCTTCAAGCATAGTCTCTTAGACTGTGTCCAAAGGATCACATTTGATACGGTTTAGATCTGCGTCCCCACCCAAATCTCAGATTCAATTGTAATCCTCAGTGTTGGAGGTGGGGCCTAGTGGGAGATGATTGGATCATGGGGCTAGTTTCTAAAGGTTTAGCACCATCCTCTTCATGCTGTTCTTTGATGGTGAGTGAGTGAGTTATGAGATCTGGTTGTTTAAAAGTGTGTTGCACCTCCCTCCACCTTCTGCTCTGGGCCAGGTGAAGTGCCTGCTTTCCCTTTGCCATCCACCATGATTGTAAGTTTCCTGCAGCCTCCCTAGAAGCAGAAGCCCCTCTGCTTCCGATACAGCCTACAGAACTATGAGCCAATTATTTCTTTATAAATTACCCAATCTCAAGTATTTCTTTATAACAGTGTGAGAATGGACTAATACAACATTTATACTTCCTATTTCCTATACAATGTAGTGGTGCATATATGAGATCAAGTATTGACTAGCTGCCTGAATAGCTTATTATTCTCTTATCTCACTGTTGCTGATTTCAGAACATGTTGGCTCCTCCTTCTAAAGTTCCAGCTCAGCTTTTCATTCTTCCATGAGATCAGATTTAATTGTTTCTTCCATTATTTTATATCATCTGCTCCTGAGCAATGGAGTATCAGTTCACTTTGCCTTTCAGGGATATCAAGGCAACGCCACATATATTAGGGGTTTGATACTGTAGTACTTATTTGTAGGAATGCTTTCTGTATTGGTCATTTTAATCTAAATTGTGGTATGGCAGCAATTCTTGAAATCTCAGTGGCTTAACACAACAACAGCTTATTTCTTAAGAAAAGTCCACTGTGAGTTCAGCAGCTCTCCAGGGCATCTGTCTCCCATGCAGTAATTCATGAAATCCAACAGCTTCCATCTCATGACACCACCATGTCAACATATAACACCAGGATCACTGCAGAAGGATAGTGGCTGGAAAGTTACACATTAACTCTTAAATGCTCCAGACTGCAAATGATATACATCGTTCATTCTCATAGCTTATTGGCCGGAACTACTAGGTATATGGCCCTATATAACGGCAAGGGGGCCTAGAAATGTGGGAGAGCACATGAGTATTTGCTGAGGAATAAATATCTCTACCAACCTTACCCATGAGGGAACCCTTAATCTGTTCTCCATTTCTATAATCTTTGTCATTTCAAGACTATCATGTAAGTAGAATTATACTGTATATGACCTTTCAAGATTGGCTTTTCTTACCCATCATAATTTTCTAAAGATTCATCCAGGTTGTTGCATGGATCAGGAGTTCATCCCTTTCCATTGCTGAGTGGCATTCCATGGTTTGGACGAAACAAAATTTGTTTAACCATTCACTCATTGAAGGATATATGGGTTGTTTCCAGTTTTTGTCTATTATGAATAAAACTGCTTTAAACATCTACATACAGGTTTTTGTGTGAACATATGTCTTTTTCTATATTAAATGCCTAAGAGTGCCATTACTGTGTCATATGGTAGTTAAATATTTCATTTTTAAAGAAATCGCCAAGCTTTTTCCAGAGTGACTTTATCATTTTTAATTATTTATTTATTTTATGATTTTATTTATTTTATTGATATAAAATAGATGTATATATTTTTAGAATACAGGCAATAATTTGATACATTCATGTAATCAAACCAGGATACTTGGGATATCCATCCTACTAGCAATGTACGAGTGATCCAGTTTCTTCACATCCTCGCCAAGATGTGGTGGTGTCACTGTGCTTTAATTATGCCATTCTGATAGGTGTGTGGTGATATTTCATCATGGTTTTCAATTGCACTTTCCTAGTGGCTAATGATGTTGAGCATTTCTTCATGTGCTTATGTGCCATCTACATACTCTTTGGTGAAATGTCTCTTATATCTTTTATCCATTTTCTAATTGGATTGTTTGAGGGTATTTTCTGTTGGGTTTTAAGAGTTTTTGATATACGTTAAGTGTCAGTCCTTTGTCAGATCTGTGATTTGCAAATATTTTCTCCTAGTCTGTAGCTTGTCTTTTCCTCCTCTTAACAGGGTCTTTTTCAGAGTTAATACTTTTTAGTTAGATAAGGTACAATTAATTCATCAAGTTTTTCTTTCTGTAAATCATACTTTTGCTATCAAGTATAACACTTTTTGCCTTGTCCTAGATCCCAAAGATTTTCTGTTTTTTTCTAAACGTTTTATAGTTTTATACTTAAGTCTGTGCTCCATTTTGAGTTAATTTTTTATAAATTGTAAATCTTAGATCGAGGTTTATTTTTTTCACTTATGGAAGTGCCTTTGCTCCAATACCATTTGTTGAAAAGGCTATCTTTCCTTCAGTGGATTGTTTTTGTACCTTTGTCAAAAATCAGTTGGTGGATTACCCAGACTAGAAGCTCCAATACTGTGCTGAACAGAAGTGAGGAGAGCAGACATCCCTGTCTTCTTTCTGGTCATAGGGCAAAGAGGTTAGTCTTTCACTATTATGAAGTTAGCTCAAGGTATTTTATAGGTGCTCTTTATCAAGTTAAGATCTAGTCTATTTCAGTTTTTCTGAGGGTTTTTATCAGAAATGGATATTGAATTTTGTCAAATGCTTTTTCTGCATTGATTGATGTGATTATGTGAATTTTCTTCTTTAGCCTGTTAATCTGGTAGATTACATTGATTTTTCAAACATTAAATCAGTCCTGCAGCCCTGGAATAAACCTTAGTTGGTCACAGTATATAATTCTTTGATATATTGCTGAATTATGTTTACTAATATTTTGATTAAAATGTTTGCATTTATATTCATGTTATTTTCTAGTTTTTGTTTTCTATTTTTTGAGGGTTATGTGTGTGCTATCTTTGATTTTATTATCAGAATAATATCAGCTTCATAAAATGAATAGGAAATTATTCCCTAGTCTTCTACTGTCTAGAAGAGATTGTGTACAACTGGGATTAATTCTTTTTTAAATATTTGGTAAAATTCTTCAGTGAAACCATCTGAAATTGGAGGGCATTTTATGGGGCGGTTTTTCAATTACAAATGCATCTTCCTTAAAGATTATAGAGCCATTTTAATTATTTCATATTGGGTAAGTTATAGTAGTTTGTGTTTTTCAAAGAATTGGTCCATTTCTTTTAAGTTGTCAAATTTACGTGTGTGGAGTTGTTTGCAGTATTCTCTTATTGCACTTTTGATATCTACAAGGTCTATATTGATATCCTCTGCTTCATTTTTTTTTTGTAAAAAATGAAGTAATTTTTGACGTCTCCCTTTTTGTTTGTCTCTGTCTTGCTATAAGTTTGCCAGTGATCATTTCCATCAACCAGCTCATTGTTCTATTAATTACTTCTGTTGTTTTTCTGTGTCAAAATAATTGATTTCTGCACTTATCTTCATTATTTCCCTCTTTCTCTTTGCCTTCAGTCTATTTTGCTTATCTAGGTTCTTGTAGTGGGAGTTTTGATTATTGATTTGAACTATTTCTCTCTCCTTTGATTTGAACTATTTCTGTCTCCTTTTTTAATGCTTCTTTTCTTAGATTATTGATTTGACATTTTTCCTCTTTTCTAGCATTTAGTGCTAGAAATTCCCCTTTTCTACACTGCTTTAGCTTCTCTGTATGATTTCAATTCTTTACATTTGTTGGGGCTTGTTTTATGGCCCAGGATATTATCCATTTTGGCATATCTTCCATATCCTCGGCCTTTGTTGATGCCAGGGGCACTTAAAAAAGATGTGTATGCTACCATTGTTTGGCTGAGGGCCTTACAAATATCCATAGGGATTTTTTGACAGATGGTATTGAGTTTTTTTAATATATCCTTACTGTTTTCTCTGTAGTTTTTAATCAGTTGTTGAGAGTAGGGTATGGAGGTCTCCAGTTATAATCTGGGATTTCTCTATTTCTCCTTCTAGTTCTATCAATCTTTCCTTCACATATTTTTTAGCTCTGTTGCCTGGTGCATATACCTTAGTGGACTAAGACTTTTATCACCATGTAATGTCTCTATCTCTGGTGATATTCTTGGATCTGAGGTCTACTTATCTGATATTAACATAGCCATTCCTGCTTTCTTTAATTAATGTTTGCATAATACATCTTTTTCTATCTTCTTACTTTCCACCTGCATACATCTTATTTGAAGTAAGTTTTACTTGAAGTAAGTTTGTTTTTTAATCTATTTTGTCTTTTAATGTATATATTTAAACCATATACATTTAAATAATTATTGACATGTTAAGACTTATGTCTGTCATTTTAATTTTTGTTTTCTCTCTGCTTTTTATTCCTCTGTTTTCTTTTTCCTGCCTTCCTATGGGTTACCTGAACATTTTTTAGATCCCATTTTTGTTCATATATAGTGTTTTTGAGGATATCTCTATGTTTAGCTTTTTATGTTGTTGCTCTAGATAGAGACCTTTACATTCCATTACTGTCCTCATTTATAATGTAGTTGTATTAAATATTTCCTCTAATGCATTTAGAACCAAATCTGACAATGTTATGATTTTTACTTCAACTATCAAAAATAGCTTAGAAAATCGAAGAGAAGAAAAGCCTATTGTATTTACCCATATTTTTGCTAATCATGTTCTTTCTTCCTCCTTGTTCCAAGTTTCCTTCTTTTAACTTTGTGTGTGTGTGTGTGTCTGTGTGTGTGTGTGTGTGTGTGTGTGTGTGTTTAGAGAACTTCCTTTAGCCATTCTTTTAAATGAGATCTGCTGGAAACAAATTCTTAGTTTTCCTTTATCTAAGATTGTTCTACAGGTCCCTGAGAGATGCTTTCAGATCTTTTCAGTCTATTTTCTCTCTGTTGTTCAGATTGGATAATTTCTATTGTTATTTTTTCACAACACATTGATTATGTTCTCTTCCCTCCATTCTGCTGTTGTGTCCACACACCAATCTTTTTATTTTGATTATCATATTTTTTTAGTTCTAAAATTTCTACCTGGGGCCAGGCCTGGTTGCTTACGCCTGTAATCATAGCACTTTGGGAGGCTGAGGTGGGCAGATTGCTTGAGCTCAGGAGTTTCAGACCAGCCTGGGCAACATGGTGAAACCCCATCTCTACAAAAAAAAATACAAAAATCAGCCTGGCATGATGGCTTGTGCCTGCAGTCTCAGCTACTTGAGGGGTGAGTTGGAAAAGATGGTGTGAACCTGGGAGGTTGAGGCTGCAGTGAGCTGAGATCACGCCACTGTACTCCAGCCTGGGTGACACAGTGATACCCTGGCTCAAAAAATAAAATTTCCACTCAGTTCTGTTTTATATCTCCTATTTCTTCATTGAGACTTCATTGAGATTTTTTTCATTCAGACATTCTCTTTTTCCTTTGTTTCAAGCAGATTTGTAATTTTTTTATTCAGCATATTTAGCATGGCTGTTTTAAAATCTTCAATAATTCTAATGTCTCTGTCATCTTGGTGCTGGTATCTGTTGATTGTCTTCTTTCAGTCAGACTTAGATCTTACTGGTTCTTAGTATTATAGATGTTTTCAGTTGAAATCTAGACATTTTTGTTTTATATTACGAGATTTTATTTAAACCTCTGTTTTAGCTGAATTTTTCTTTTTTTTTTATTTGCAACTAAAGACACTACATTTTATTTCATCATCAGTGAAACTTATTTCATTGATTATGTCATAATTCTATTATAATCAATACCATTATATCATAATCAATGTTTTACTCTACAAGGAATTTATACGGAAAAGTGATAGGAAGTTCTGTTTATATTTTTGTAATAATTATTTTGCATTGCAATAAAATCAATATCTTAAAAATTCATATAAATTACTTTTTGAACAGTCCTTGTAGAGTATATTTATGTTTAGAATCAGTATGCTGCTATACAACAGTATTCCACTTAGAGTTTTTTAAATGTGAGAATTGGTGTTGTCTATTTTGAGACTATAAATTAAATGACCATTGCTGACTTAGAAGTATTTCTCTCTTTATAGAAAAAAAATCTCTTCAATCATCAAAATATCCCTGATGCTTTTATGATTAATTAATTTGGTAGAGGAGGATAGCAAAGAAACATTAAGCTTAGTGGTCAATGAAGATTAGTGAGAAATTGATACAACACGGAAGAAACATTGACAACAATGGAAGAAAACAGACTTAATTGAACAACTTTATTCGATGCACAACTTTTCAGGAACACATCTGTTCTATAAAGAGGAATACACTTGTTGCACAGGTGTTTATGAATGTTATTTTAAATAAACTCTCAATGACATCACTTTGATTAAAATGTAACCTCCTGACTAAATACCTCACAGCAGCATGGTTTCCAATGACAGTCAAGGGTATTTAAATGCCTCCACTTATACTCCACCTTGTCATAAGATGTCTGATATGGTTTGGCTCTGTGTCCCCACCCAAATCTCATCTTGTAGCCTCCCACATATTGTGGTAGGGACCCGGTGGGAGATGATTGAATCATGGGGGTGGGTCTATCCCATGCTGTTCTCCTGATAGTGAAACAGTCTCACAAGGGCTATTGGTTTTAAAAATGAGAATTTCTCTGCACAAGCTCTTTTTCCCTGCCACCATCCACATAAGATGTGACTTGCTCCTCCTTGCCTTCCACCATGATCGTGAGGCTTCCACAGCCACGTGAAACTATAAGTTCAATTAAACCTCTTTCTTTTGTAAATTGCCCAGTATCAGGTATGTTTTTATCAGCAGCATGAAAATGTACTAATATAATGGCCCTTTCTTGGTTTTGCTTGTCCTTTAATATTGAATTACCTTATCTTCCTTCCTCTCATGCTCTACCCAAGGTGAATCAGTTCATGCGTCCCATCTGTCTTCAGAGGGGGCTTTTTGACTTTTGCAATTTATTTACCTGGTTACCCTGTAACCTAACCTCTCTGATGGGTTCCAGAAAAGTTAGAATTTTGTAGCTTATCCAGCTTTTTCTTTTTTTTTTTTTTTTAATTGTACTTGAAGTTTTAGGGTACATGTGCACAATGTGCAGGTTTGTTACATATGTATACATGTGCCATGCTGGGGTGCTGCACCCATTAACTCGTCATCTACATTAGGTATATCTCCTAATGCTATCCCTCCCCCCTCCCCCCACCCCACAACAGGCCCCGGGTTTTGATGTTCCCCTTCCTGTGTCCAAGCGTTCTCCTTGTTCAATTCCCACCTATGAGTGAGAATATGCGGTGTTTGGTTTTTTGTCCTTGCGATAGTTTGCTGAGAATGATGGTTTCCAGCTTCATCCATGTCCCTACAAAGGACATGAACTCATCCTTCTTTATGGCTGCATAGTATTCCATGGTGCATATGTGCCACATTTTCTTAATCCAGTCTATCATTGTCGGACATTTGGGTTGGTTCCAAGTCTTTGCTATTGTGAATAGTGCCACAATAAACATACGTGTGCATGTGCCTTTATAGAAGGATGATTTATAATCCTTTGGGTATATACCCAGTAATGGGATGGCTGGGTCAAATGATATTTCTAGTTCTAGATCCCTGAGGAATCACCACCCTGACTTCCACAATGGTTGAACTAGTTTACAGTCCCACCAACAGTGTAAAAGTGTTCTTATTTCTCCACATCCTCTCCAGCACCTGTTGTTTCCTGACTTTTTAATGATTGCCATTCTAACTGGTGTGAGATGGTATCTCATTGTGGTTTAGATTTGCATTTTTCTGATGGCCAGTGATGATGAGCATTTTTTCATGTGTCTTTTGGCTGCATAAATGTCTTCTTTTGAGGAGTGTCTATTCATATCCTTTGCCCACTTTTTGATGGGGTTGTTTTTTTCTTATAAATTTGTTTGAGTTCATTGTAGATTCTGGATATTAGCCCTTTGTCAGATGAGTAGATTGCAAAAGTTTTCTCCCATTCTGTAGGTTGCCTGTTCACTCTGAGGGAAATTTCTTTTGCTGTGCAGAAGCTCTTTAGTTTAATTAGATCCCATTTGTCAATTTTGGCTTTTGTTGCCATTGCTTTTGGTGTTTTAGACATGAAGTCCTTGCCCATGCCTATGTCCTGAATGTTATTGCCTAGGTTTTCTTCTAGGGTTTTTACGGTTTTAGGTCTAACATGTAGGTCTTTAATCCATCTTGAATTAATTTTTGTCTAAGGTGTAAGGAAGGGGTCCAGTTTCAGCTTTCTACATATGGCTAGCCAGTTTTCCCAGCACCATTTATTAAATAGGGAATCCCTTCCCCATTTCTTGTTTTTGTCAGGCTTGTCAAAGATCAGATAGTTGTAGATGTGTGGTATTATTTCTGAGGGCTCTGTTCCATTTCACTGGTCTATATCTCTGTTTTGGTACCAGTACCATGCTGTTTTGGTTACTATAGCCTTGTAGTATAGTTTGAAGTCGGGTAGCTTGATGCCTCCAGCTTTGTTCTTTTGGCTTAGGATTGACTTGGCAATGCAGGCTCTTTTTAGTTTCCATATAAACTTTAAAGTAGTTTTTTCCAATTCTGTGAAGAAAGTCATTGGTAGCTTGATGGGGATGGCATTGAATCTCTAAATTACCTTGGGCAGTATGGCCATTTTCACGATATTGATTCTTCCTATCCATGAGCATGGAATGTTCTTCCATTTGTTTGTATCCTTTTATTTCATTGAGCAGTGGTTTGTAGTTCTCCTTGAAGAGGTCCTTCACATCCCTTGTAAGTTGGATTCCTAGGTATTTTCTTCTCTTTGAGGCAATTGTGAATGGGAGTTCACTCATGATTTGTCTCTCTGTTTGTCTGTTTTTGGTGTATAAGAATGCTTGTGATTTTTGTACATTGATTTTGTATCCTGAGACTTTGCTGAAGTCGCTCATCAGCTTAAGGAGATTTTGGGCTGAGACGATGGGGTTTTCTAGATATACAATCATGTCATCTGCAAACAGGGACAATTTGATTTCCTCTTTTCCTAATTGACTACCCTTTATTTCCTTCTCCTGCCTGATTGCCCCGGCCAGAACTTCCAACACTATGTTGAATAGGAGTGGTGAGAGAGGGCATCCCTGTCTTGTGCCAGTTTTCAAAGGGAATGCTTCCAGTTTTTGCCCATTCAGTATGATATTGGCTGTGGGTTTGTCATAAATAGCTCTTATTATTTTGAGATACGTCCCATCAATACCTAATTTATTGAGAGTTTTTAGCATGAAGGGCTGTTGAATTTTGTCAAAGGCCTTTTCTGCATCTATTGAGATAATCATGTGGTTTTTGTCATTGGTTTTGTTTATATGCTGGATTACATTTATTGATTTGCATATGTTGAACCAGCCTTGCATCCCAGGGATGAAGCCCACTTGATCATGGTGGATAAGCTTTTTGATGTGCTGCTGGATTTGGTTTGCCAGTATTTTATTGAGGATTTTTGCATCGATGTTCATCAGGGATATTGGTCTAAAATTCTCTTTTTTTGTTGTGTCTC
The DNA here is from genome assembly GCF_000001405.40 of Homo sapiens. Lineage (NCBI taxonomy): Eukaryota > Metazoa > Chordata > Mammalia > Primates > Hominidae > Homo > Homo sapiens. The sequence goes on from NC_000003.12 coordinate 70,793,864, forward strand.
TGCCAGACTTTGGTATCAGGATGATGCTGGCCTCATAAAATGAGTTAGGGAGGATTCCCTTTTTTTCTATTGATTGGAATACTTTCAGAAGGAATGGTACCAGCTCCTCCTTGTACCTCTGGTAGAATTCGGCTGTGAATCCATCTGGTCCTGGACTTTTTTTGGTTGGTAAGCTATTAATTATTGCCTCAATTTCAGAGCCTGTTATTGGTCTATTCAGAGATTCAGCTTCTTCCTGGTTTAGTCTTGGGAGGGTGTATGTGTCCAGGAATTTATCCATTTCTTCTAGATTTTCTAATTTATTTGCATAGAGGTGTTTATAGTATTCTCTGATGGTAGTTCATATTTCTGTGGGATCGGTGGTGATATCCCCTTTGTCATTTTTTATTGTGTCTATTTGATTCTTCTCTCTTTTCTTCTTTATTAGTCTTGCTAGCAGTCTATCAATTTTGTTGATCTTTTCAAAAAACCAGATCCTGGATTCATTGATTTTTTGAAGGGTTTTTTGTGTCTCCATTTCCTTCAGTTATGCTCTATTTCCTTCAGTTCTGCTCTGATCTTAGTTATTTCTTGCCTTCTGCTAGCTTTTGAATGTGTAGATGCTCTTGCTTCTCTAGTTCTTTTAATTGTAATGTTAGGGTGTCAATTTTAGATTTTTCCTGCTTTCTCTTGTGGGCATTTAGTGCTATAAATTTCCCTCTGCACACTGCTTTAAATGTGTCCCAGAGATTCTGGTATTTTGTGTCTTTGTTCTCATTGGTTTCAAAGAACATCTTTATTTCTGCCTTCATTTCGTTATGTACCCAGTAGTCATTCAGGAGCAGGTTGTTCAGTTTCCATGTAGTTGAGCGGTTTTGAGTGAGTTTCTTAATCCTGAGTTCTAGTTTGATTGCACTGTGGTCTGAGAGACAGTTTGTTATAATTTCTGTTCTTTTACATTTGCTGAGGAGAGCTTTACTTCCAACTATGTGGTCAATTTTGGAATAAGTGCGGTGTGGTGCTGAGAAGAATGTATATTCTGTTGATTTGGGGTGGAGAGTTCTGTAGATGTCTATTAGGTCTGCTTGGTGCAGAGCTGAGTTCAATTCCTGGATATCCTTGTTAACTTTCTGTCTCGTGGATCTGTCTGATGTTGACAGTGGGGTGTTAAAGTCTCCCCTTATTATTGGGTGGGAGTGTAAGTCTCTTTGTAGGTCTCTAAGGACTTGCTTTATGAATATGGGTGTTCCTGTATTGGGTGCATATATATTTAGGATCGTTAGCTCTTCTTGTTGAATTGATCCCTTTACCATTATGTAATGGCCTTCTTTGTCTCTTTTGATCTTTGTTGGTTTAAAGTCTGTTTTAACAGAGACTAGGATTGCAACCCCTGCCTTTTTTTGTTTTTCATTTGCTTGGTAGATCTTCCTCCATCCCTTTATTTTGAGCCTATGTGTGTCACAGCACATGAGATGGCTTTCCTGAATACAGCACACTGATGGGTCTTGACTCTTTATCCAATTTGCCAGTCTGTGTCTTTTAATTGGAGCATTTAGCCCATTTACATTTAAGGTTAATATTGTTATGTGTGAATTTGATCCTGTCATTACGATGTTAGCTGGTTATTTTGCTCGTTAGTTGATGCAGTTTCTTCCTAGCCTCAATGGTCTTTACAATTTGGCATGTTTTTGCAGTGGCTGGTACCGGTTGTTCCTTTCCATGTTTAGTGCTTCCTTCAGGAGCTCTTTTAGGGCAGGCCTGGTGGTGACAAAATCAGCATTTGCTTGTCTGTAAAGGATTTTATTTCTTCCTCATTTATGAAGCTTAGTTTGGCTGGATATGAAATTCTAGGTTGAAAATTCTTTTCTTTAAGAATGTTGAATATTGGCCCCCACTCTCTTCTGGCTTGTAGAGTTTCTGCTTTGAGATCAGCTGTTAGTCTGATGGGCTTCCCTTTGTGGGTAACCCGACCTTTCTCTTTGGCTGCCCTTAACATTTTTTCCCTCGTTTCAACTTTGGTGAGTCTGATAATTATTTGTCTTGGAGTTGCTCTGCTCGAGGAGTATCTTTGTGGCATTCTCTGTATTTCCTGAATTTGAATGTTGGCCTGCCTTTCTAGATTGGGGAAGTTCTTCTGGAAAATATCCTTCAGAGTGTTTTCCAACTGGGTTCCATTCTCCCCATCACTTTCAGATACACCAATCAGACGTAGATTTGGTCTTTTCACATAGTCCCATATTTCTTGGATGCTTTATTCGTTCCTTTTTATTCTTTTTTCTCTAAACTTCTCTTCTCACTTCATTTCATTCATTTGATCTTCCATCACTGATACCCTTTCTTCCAGTTGATCGAATCGGCTACTGAGGCTTGTGCATTTGTCACGCAGTTCTTGTGCCATGGTTTTCAGCTCCATCAGGTACTTTAAGGACTTCTCTGCATTGGTTATTCTAGTTAGTCATTCGTCTAATCTTTTTTCAAAGTTTTTAACTTCTTTGCCATGGGTTCGAACTTCCTCCTTTAGCTCGGAGAAGTTTGATCGTCTGAAGCCTTTTTCTCTCAACTCGTCAAAGTCATTCTCCATCCATCTTTGTTCTGTTGCTGGTGAGGAGCTGCGTTCCTTTGGAGGAGGAAAGGCACTCTGATTTTTAGAATTTTCCCTTTTTCTGCTCTGTTTTTTCCCCATCTTTATGGTTTTATCCACCTTTGGTCTTTGATGATGGTGACGTACAGATGGGGTTTTGGTGTGGATGTCCTTTCTGTTAGTTTTCCTTCTAATGGCCAGGACCCTCAGCTGCAGGTCTGTTGGAGTTCACCGGAGGTCCACTCCAGACCCTGTTTGCCTGGGAATCAGCAGCGGAGGCTGCAGAACAGCGAATATTGGTGAACAGCAAACATTGCTGCCTGATCGTTCCTCTGGAAGTTTTGTCTCAGAGGGGTACCCAGCCATGTGATGAGTCAGTCTGCCCCTACTGGGGGATGCCTCCCAGTTAGGCTACTTGGGGGTCAGGGACGCACTTGAGGAGGCACTCTGTCCATTCTCAGATCTCAAGCTGCATGCTGGGAGAACCACTACTGTCTTCCAATCTTAGTTGGAAATGCAGAAATCATCCATCTTCTGCGTCACTCACTCTGGGAGCTGTAGACTGGAGCTGTTCCTAATTGGCCATCTTGGAATGGCCCCTTAGCTGAAGTTTTCCATCACCACTTCAGCAGGGAAGGCAGAAGCAATGTTTTGTCACTGCCAAATGAGATAGCAGTCCATGTTCTTAACTTGGCCTTTGTTGATGCTAGAGGTGATGGTAGGCTCCACATTATTGCCGGGTGGGGATGGAAGTCTCAGCTTCCCATGCAATGCCCAGCAACACAGTGGGGATGAGGGTTGAGGTGTCTCATGACTACTCAGTAAAAATCTGGGCTCTCTACTCAGCCTTCTCTGACACTAGCCTAGTGGTAGTGTTGGGGAGCCTCATTACAGTCTCACAAAAGTGGGCATCTAGGCTCCCCACTTTATCTTTGCTGGTGTGGGTCAGGTGAGACCACATTTTTTTCAGTGGTGTTTGGCTGGAATAGAATGGTTATTTTCTACAAGTTTTCTGGTAGGCTGCCATTTCCTAATCCTTTGACAAGATAGTAGACTTTTGTTTGGGATTGCTTTTCTTTTTCCTGGGCCCATTGGCAGTGCCGGATTGCTGGCTTCTTCAGCTCCAAGTCTGGGATATATGACACAAAAAGGAAGCCCTGGAAATTCACTTCCATCTTTTTCCTTAAATCCTAAAGTCCCTACCTGGTCTATCTTCTGTACTCCACTTTTCAGGGGTCTATGGAGTAGAGAAAACCACATCTGCCTGTCTTCCCAGAAGTAAAAGTTCATGGATCTTTAACAGGTAGATGAAGACCTCAGAGAAAGATCCTATTTTTGAGGATCTGACCCCCTATGTTTTATTTTAGCTAGTAATTAAATAATCCTACTAACAGTACTCAGAACTATCGGTAACTAATAAGTAAATAACTCAAGTCTACTCACACAGGGCACCCATCATAATCTCCTACTTACTTACCCCAGGCCCTCAACAACGGTCTATATCTTTGACACTGTCCATTTAACTAAGATACTCTTCTCTAATAAAAGAGAACATATCCCTGGTCTATATCCCTGATTAAACCTCCAATATTCTTGGAGGATATTATTTAGCCCTGGTTATATACATACTGTTAATTTGTTAATCAGACTACAACATCCAATATTTGCCACTTTTATCCAAATGATTCCAAACTCTGCTTCAGAAGTCAATTTGGAGAAAACACTCAGAATTGCTCAATCCACTTTCAAGTCTTTAATTACGATTTACAGAAATCACCCAAATGATGGCTCCAGCTTAGAGTTCTCTTTTGTTTTCCAGCACTGTCTGTCTACCTGGCCACCTGAACTTGAAGTCTGTTTCTTCAATCTCACTATCGCCCAGCCTAACCAATGACACTCTCTTCCCTATCCCTAGCCAACAAACCTAGTTATTCTCTAATGTTTCCCCTATACGGGAATGAGGAGCACCATTCAGGCAGTTAACAAGACAGAAACTGGCAGCCATCTTTGGCTATTTCTTTTCTCTTGACCCATATTCTCAGTAGTATAATGTTTAACAACAAGTTATCTTAAAAAATAATAATAGTGTATACATACATATTTAGATTTATCATAGATAATATTGATATAAAACTATAGCACACAGTTTATGAATAATAATAAAATATACAATACCCTTTATTGTAAATTTCATATAGCATATTGATTCTCACAGAATACTTTCATTGTTTTTTGCCAAACTCTTAGATCCATAGCCAACTTATTGTTGCAACTAACGGACAAGAGTATTTCTGACATGTGTGTTGGTTGATCATTTCCTTTACATTAAAGAGTAAGACAAGGGTGAAACAATAAAAACATATGCTGAAATTTTATTGTTTTGTCCATAATGTGAAAGACTTCTTTGATGGATCAAATGATTGTTTTTACACACTGGAAGAATATTTTCTCTATTTCATGTGATTTAACAATGAGACATCTACAGACATGACACACTTAAATTTAATCTGAATCATTGACACTTTCTCCATCACTTGCTTAAGTCTAGAAAATCAATAGTGCAATAAATCAAGCCCTTAGTTATAGTAGTTGACAATTACCAAGGAGCAAATCCTCCCACCATAGCTGATTTCAAGCTACCAATATGACATAACTGAATGTGAATTGGAAAGATTTGTGTGATAATACACCAACATATAGTATTTCACCAAAAAGCACCACAGATATAAATAATCTCAAGAGTTAGCTAATAGCAAAATGTAGTGAAATAATTAGGAATGAATGGCTTTTGAGTACTTATTACCCGTGTTTTGATGTAATTTATTATAAGTTTATATAATTTAATTTTTAATATCTGTGCTTACAACCAACTCACAGAATTTCTGAAAATTTAAAATCAGCTCTTGCAAATCAGTGTGAGCCAGGTTTAGCTGTAAGTATCCAATCTAGAGCCTGATGATTCTATCTAAAAAAAAAAAATACCTTAAAACCAGTTTACTTTTCTTCATTTCTGCCATCATCTCCCTAGTCTGTGTTTTCATTGTTTTTTTACTGGACCCTCAAAATAGCCTCTTGTTTTTCTACATCTACATTTAACCCTTCCCAACTTGTTCTTCAAGTTTCAGCCAGTGTAATTTTCTTAAAATGCCAATATGATTTTGTTGACCAATGCATTTATTAATTGGTTTATTTAGCAAATGATTATTGAGTTTTATGTCCTAGGCACTGTTTTAGTGGATTAGGATAAATGTGTGAACAAAGGATAACAATTGCTTCCCTCATGTAGAGTACATATGACTTGTAGAGGAGGGCCAGGGTATAGACAATGTGCAAAACATAATAAATAAATTGTGCTGAAAATCAGAAGGTAATGAGTGCTATGGGGAGAAAAAATGCAAAGCAAGGTAAAAGTAGATGTAGTAGGGAAGTTACAGTATTAAGTCTGGTGCTCAGGATATGCCTGATAGACAAGATGACATTTGAGAAAGGACTTGAATAAGATAAGGATTAGCCATTTGGATTTCAGGGGGAAATAGCCAGTGGGCACAGAGACCAGTGTAGCTAGAGCACCATGAGCAGTGGATAGGGGTGAAAAAAAGTTAAGTTGGAGAGCTATAGAGAAAATAACATGGAGGTTCCTGGAGGTGATTGTAAAGACTTCAGCTTTTACCCTATTTGAAATAGGGAATCATCACAGGGTTTTGAACAGAAGAGTGTCAAACTTTTGAAGCAGATCACTCTTGCTTAAAATCCTTCAGTGTCTTCCCATTGTTCTTTAGGTAAAATCTAGCATTCTTCACATAGCCCTTCAAGCCCAACAGAATGTGGTCTTTGTGTCATCTCACCATACTGATCTCTGGCTTCTCTCTTCCTCCCTCGTGTTTCTTCCAGTCCTTGAATGGGGTGCTACTCTCTACATCAGACAGAGCCTCCATCAGACACTCATAGCTACCTGAACTTGTCCTTCATAATAATACTTTCATACTAAACGGTTGATTGTGATTTCATGATCAGTTGTTAATTGTTTATGTTGCCTACCTGCACTGCTCTTCCCTGCTGGAAAGGAAGCTAGATTTAAGCAGCGATATTGTATCTTTCGTTCACTGATGTATCTCAAAGAATTAAACCAGTGCTTGGGACATAGTAGACAAATATCAATTGAATGAATGAATGTCTTATATATTAATATATTCCCAGTGTTTAACGCGGGGTCTATTCCATGATAGACCTTCTGTAATTTTTTTGTAGAATGAATAGATAATCAAATGGATGGATGAGTGAATAGATGATTGAATGAGTGAAAATAATGAATAAGTGAATGATGTATATTTCTATTATATTCCCAGTACTGAACTCAAAAGTCTGGCTTGTGGTAGCACATTCTGCATTTTTTTTTTTTTTTTTTGCTGTTGAGTGAATAGATAACTGAATAGATGGATGAATAGATGTTTGAATGTGTGAAAATATGGAAGGACTGAATAAACAAATGAATAAATGAATCATTTTTAGTCAAGTCAGAAGAGTTTCTGTCTTCCAAGAAGAATATCTCTTCTGCCCAGAGTGGGTCACTTGATCGGCCCATTAGTTCTCTATTTGGTTTCCTGCCATGGATATATTTTGAAGAACATTTTTATTAGCTTTGGAGTCACTTGCAAGGTACTCTTGAATTCTCTTTTGGCTTGCCTGCATTCTTGTTCACACCTGACCTGCCATAGTTTGCGGATCTCCCTGGTTTCCTTACTTGGGCCACATTTCCAAGTGTCCCTTTGATCTCTGGCACATACTTTTGCTAGGCTTCCAGTAAGGTGTTTTTAAACAGTCTCCAGATTTCCTGTGGCTTATTGACTTTTTAAATTATTCCTTTCATTTGTTTTTCCTAACCAGTGCCTACACTTGTTCTTAGGTTCCTTTTATAAAATTGAGTAACCACATGATATATAAATGTTCTCTCCCAGCCCAGAATGGTCACAGTGTTGTGATCACTCAGAGATACTTTTTCTTCCAGGTCCTGCCCACCACTCAAAGCCAAGTCTAAAATATTTTTCTTCCTTAATAATTCTAAAAGGCATTTTTCTAAGAGGAGATCATTTATCTTATCCAATAATATATTTGTAATCTATATGTGAACCCTGAATAAATTAGTCTCCAAGAAAGTACAGAGCATGCTGCGTATATGTGCTGTAGAATGAGTGTGTGTGTGTGTGTGTGTGTGTGTGTGTGTGTGTATACCGCATAAAGTAAAGGTACTTTAAAAACGATCTCATTTCTAAGTTGGAAAGTCTCTAATCATGATAACTCCTTTACAGAAACTAAAATCTATTCAAATAGGAGTCAGAAAACGTTTCTGGTTCCCATCTACACAGATCAAATGCTAGTTTGTCTCTTTGTTGTCCTATTTTCTCCTACCAAAGCCTATTTGAAGAAAGGAGTTCAGCAACCTAAGAGAAATAGAAATCATTTAACATAATGAAAAATTCGCTTTCACTTTTTTTAACCAAACATTTCATCAGTCAGGATTTTTCCTACCAAAGATGTTTATTTTCAACCATTTGCTTTATTTGGCTAAAAGGTACGTTCTTTGCTACATTTAATAGGCATGTGTATGCTGCTCAAACTAGAGATCACAGAGTTTTCATCTGCAAATTTTTACCAGACTAAAGTGAACCAAAGAACATGTTAGAAATTTGAGCCTATAGTGCATATATACTTCTCGCAAATATTTTAGCAGACTGTCTGTTTCTCAAAAATTTTATATGATAAAACACATCATCAGTGTTTACTCAGATTCTAGGTTGTGGTGCAAATGTAATAGATTTTGTCTTAAATAGTGAAAACTGGAAATACACCTTTTTCCACTTCAAACTTTTGAATTCGTCAAGTTATAATGAAGAAGCTTTAAAGATGTGGTGATATGTTTTCCACCCATGATATTGACATATGCACATAATTACCTTTTTTTTTCTTTTTGATACAATTTCATTATTTGTCATGCTGGCTGTGGCGTACCAATAAAGCCAAAATATCATATTAGAATTCATGACAGTTTTCACATTGTATTATCAATATGTGGAAATAATTGTCTGCTCTGAGATTAAATTACATTATTGTGTATCTTTTTCATGCCTAATAAATAATGATGGATGGCTTTTATTTTCATCACCACCTGCAACCATTTAGTCACCCCTTGATTGTTGAAGATAAAATAATAAAAGGCAAGTGTTATGTTGCAAGCAGAAGAATGTAGTCAAAACAGTTGTATGTTCCTTGTTTCCATTTGCATTATTTGAGTCCCTAAAGAGCAATGCATGGTGGTCTATAAAAGATAGCAACCTGGGAGAAACATGGCAAACAGTTCACGTAAATGAGGGGAGAAAGTGGGAAAATATTTTTTTCTAGTAGAACAATAATTATTTCTTGGTGCACGATTCTTAATCTGAAAATGAGTTTTTTGTTCTGCTGTGCAAATCAGTTACATGCAATCAGAATGCAAAGCAGAGGCACATCTTACTGTTTAGCCTTTTTAAATAGAAATGAAAACAGCCCGGAAATTGTAGCAAAGTTGAAAATGCATGCTAGGTAATTTTGAAATCCAAAGACATAAAACCATGCATAATAAAAAGGCCACTCTAAACTCATTACATTTTTTTGAAATTGGCAATTAGAAGGCTTAATTTTAAAATTAGAACTTGCATGTTTGGAAACTTATTAACTGTATTTTGAATGGTCAAGTCCATTGCCAATGTTAAAGTGTGTTTTGTTTACAATTCCACTGCCTCATAATTTGGTTTTATCTATGTCAGACCTGCTCAGATGCTTTTTTTTAATTGTTCAACATTATGCTTAAGCAAAATTGATTCACCTTTTCTGGTGAAACTTTCGAATTAAAATTATAATCAGCAAATGCTGTGAGTCTTAAGGGGAACAGAATTGCCTTGGAGGTTTATGATACTATTATATTTCATCTCGGAAGAATGTCAAGCTTTTTTACAAAATAAATATATGGTGTTTATAATGGAAACTAGTCATTTGATCATTTCAGTTATAACAGTGAGGTAAGAAAGCAAACTGTAGACAAAATCTTTTTTGATATTTGGTTATGAGTCACAGGTTGACTCTTTACAGAACAGTTTCGCATGTTTGGCTCTATTATCTTTAAATCAAAAGAAGACAATCTCAGGCATAGCAGAGACTGAGACCAAAATCCAAAGGTAATCCTATCAAATGTCAAGTTACTGCAGAGAAATGGCTTGAAAAATAGGCCAGTGGTCCATTATTTGATGAACCCCAAGTGAATGCATAAGCTTGCGAGTCTGTCTTTCGCCGGGTGTTCTATTAATGTTCTTCCCAATTGTTTTAGAGCATTCATTTAAAAACAGAGGGGCCTTTCCCTTGTTTATGGCTGTTTTGCTATCTGACTACCCATCTCCCTCTATAATTAAATGCCACGAATAAAATAATAATAAACATAATTTTATTTGTACCATTACTCACTGCAGAAATTACATCTTTACATTTCCTATGAGAATCAAAGAGCAGTCATGCCTCCTTCCTTCACATTTGAGAGAGCTGTGTAGAAGTCGGAGGCTTTTCTAGATTCTCTGAGCCTGGGGGGGAATTTTGTGGGTTAGCAACCTTTGAGACAAATTATTTTGCAGTGTGTACATATATACCTATCTTCCCTTGATGATCAAGATTTTACCTGGCCCATGTAAACACCTTGGAAGACTAATTCTATAAAACAGACTTGCATAAAAATCACCCACAACTTGAAACTGGGACATCTATCTGTGGGCATAACGCCATGCACTCTAAAGAAAGTAAGCTTTAGCACATGCTGCAAAACTCTTCTAATTAGAAGCCCCTGCTAGTCTTTTGTCCCTCAGTGCTCAGTGGAAGTTCTAAGAATCCAAAGCTTTACCCAAATGTACCTTGCCCCAAGCATCCTGATCTCACTCCCTGGTAACAGGAAGTTCCAGAATGACATCCTCATGGAATTGTTTTATTTTTCTCTTGCATTATCTCTCGTCTGTTGTGATTTTCTTCAGCCAAAGTCTCCCTGTCATGACCTACCAAAAAAGAAAACATGTTGAATAACTGCACCATAAATACACAAAATGGAAACGCTGAACTAGCTCCATTAAAATAAATCATTCTTAGTACTGTAAACCTTTTTGTTTTAATTTCACACTTTCTATCATCCTAGTGGTTTGCTAGTTCTAATAATGTTTCTGGAGTCTGTGCTACATATATGAAGACATTCAGGAGTTTTTAACAAACACAAAAATTATTAACTTTCCTGCCTTACGTATTTGCAAGAAGGGGATGTATGAACAAAATAACTTATATCCAAGCATGCAGCTGAAATATTGGAATGTGAAAACTCCCCTGCCATTAACAGTTAATAGTTCAGTGCTCTGGGGTAACAGCAGTTGCTCTGCACTTCTCAGAAAAACATTTGGGAAAAAATACTTTGGACTAATAAAATTAACGTTAGAATGACAACAAATTTCAACATCTGTGAAGCTTTTGGGGAACTTTCAACTCTTACCAATAATACATGCAATTTTATAATTTTTAGGCAACGTACCTATTTATAAAGGCAATTTTTAACATCAAAGGAAAAATTGCTTTATCTAAAATGTATACTCAATATTCAAAGCATTACCACAAGATAAGTAATTTTGGACAAAGATTCTTAAAACTACTAACTGAGCAGTAAATATTTGTTCAATTGGACATTCTAAATGTTGAAATGTGTTAGTCATTTTGGTTGAACTAATACAGTACAATGAGATTGCTTTCACTTTTCCAGCAGCCTTCTTAAGTCATTTTAGTGTTTAAAAACTAGTCCTGGGCTCCAGAAAACACTGTGTTAGGGAAGGAAAAACAGACTCTTTGGCTAGAGTTATGGAAGGAGGGTGGAACCTTATGAGTTACATGACTACATAAGATGTAGGCAATTTTATTTTGGCAACAAATTCAGGCTTTTGCATTGGGTTTTTTCTTAGACTGTTAATTCAAATACACATGCACGAATCTCCTACGAAAGGAAAGATTCTTACTCATCTGCAGAGCATAGATAACGATTAATTGTTCCATTTCATCTTTCAGGCTACAGTACTATGAGTTTAGGAACTCTGCAAACTGCGAAATGATCTGCCCCGGGGGAAGTGACTAGGATCACAATGTAATTACTCAAAAAATGGACTCAGATCATATCCCAAATCTACATGAAGAGAGGTATATGCTTGATAAATAGTAAAGATGATGTCAAAGATCAGCTTTCTCCCTCTGGTGGAATGTTCAGCACTCTCAGTTGTCTTCACAATATTATATATAAAGCACCTAGAACATAGAACCTTATGTGATGATCATTTCTCAGGTGAAATAGTGCACTGGACTATCCAGCTATTTCACTGGCTAGATGTTTATTTGGAAACTCAAAACAAAAACGCAGAATGACTGGTGACATTTATGATATTTGCCACTGGGCCAGTTGGACCTTCCTTCACGATGAAATAGGATCTCAGTCTCTAATCTGCATGTCCAGACCAAAGACAATTTGATGTAACTCCATTATAGCATATTTTAAACTTTTCTTGAAGTTCAGGAATATATCTTTCAGAATCCGTCAGTACTTCAGAAGCGTGGCTCGCCAAACCAATCAATCTAGTACAAAGTTTGTTTTTAGAATTCAAGTTCCTTGTTACTGCTTTGCAAGCAGATGTCTTCAAAGATATAATATGGTGAAGAGATTATGTGATTTTTGGGTGTAGCAATTCTGCCAGTTATAATTAAAAGGGCCAACATCCAAGTTTTGTTTTCTTTATAAACACTGCAGAGTGTGTCAGTGGCCAATCTAAAATTACCCACAGAGGAGTGTGTGCTCTCTTCTTTAGCACAAGATAATGAAGATGGTGTGTGAACGCACTATGGTTATAATAAGCTGATGGACTTGCGGTCCTACGCACAAACTTGTCCAAATGTAATTATAAGAGTTTTGAGAGAATTGTTGCTTCCTAAACTGACTAGTCAAGTGACTCAAAAGTTAATATCATCAAATTAACAGTCTGACTTTGAAGGTCTACAATTGTACCTTAGAAAATAAATACTTGCAATCAGTCATTCTTTCTTAAAGGGAAAAAGATATCTTTGAGAAGTGTCTCAATGCAGGGCAGTCTATTCAGCATTCTCTCTATGTATTGCTTCTGGAGAGGTGAATTGAGTCTAAAAATAAAAAGTAACAAAGGGCTGAGCGTCCAGCTCTTTCCCTCGTGTGTGGAGGAGAGAAGGCCAGTCTGAACCTGCGCTGGTGTTGATGTGGTTGAGAGGGTGCGTTTGTCAGGCTCTGCAGCCTGGATCGCAAGGGTGAGAAATACAGTCGGGGCCCCGAGAAGGAAAAGGAATATCTCAAGGTGATTACTGAATCATAAGCCTCCATAGCAGCAGTTCTCATATACAGAGAGAAAGAAAACAAGTCTATATAAAAGATTCAAGATATCAACATCTCATTCTCTTGGGAACTGGAAAACAATCTGAGACAGAGGGACATGGTTGTCAGAAATCTGGGTAGATCAGAGAGGGAAGCCAAGCAGGTCTTTCTCCTTTGTGTTTTGGGCACAGTCCTTCATAAATTTTGTGGACAAACTGTGGTGTCTCCTTATCTTCCAAATAATGAGTGTCAAAGCATCCCAGTGTCTTTTGAGGGGAGTCCTCTTACTTGGTTGCTGTGGATGAGTGACTTGCAGGTTTCCACAGGGGATTGGATGCTAGGGCAACTGATAACAAAAATCTCACTCACACCAGCCTCGTAGTTCACTGCAATCTCATTTGCTTTGGATGTTCACACTGGCCTAAGACCAATGTCTCCTGTCTCAAACTTGCCATATTGAACTACTGATCTATAATGGTAAAAAAAAAAAAAAAAAAAAAAAAAAAAAAGACACAAAGGTGAAAGTAACAAGTTTACCAAAACACCAATCATCCAAATCCCAAAAACTTTTCCTTTGCTGAACTGTTTTTATATTTCCTTTTTTCCTGAGCTATGTCTCTCTCTTTTTTTTTTTTTTTTTTTTTTTTTGAGACGGTGTCTCACTCTGTCACCCAGGCTGGAGTGCAGTGGCACAATCTCAGCTCAGTGAAACCTCTGCCTTCTGGGCTCAGGTGATTCTCCCACCTAAGGCTCCCAAGTAGCTGGGACTACAGGTACATGCCGCCAGGCTTGGCCAATTTTTTTGTATTTTTTTTGTAGAGACAAGGTTTTACCATGTTACTTAGGCTGGTCTCGAACTCCTGGACTCAAGTGATCCACCCATCTTGTCCTCTCAAAATACTGGTATTACAGGCATGAGCCACCACACCCAGCCAGGTACATGTATCTTGACAGGTGAGTCTCATATTACCACATACTCCCTTCATATAAATATAGGTACATGTTCATGTCCAATCCATTCCCCAAAATGTAGCCAGAGCAGTGTTTTTCAAAGGGCAAAGGGCAAATGTCATTCTTTAGTGTCTAAGTGAAGAGTAAAATACTTCCTCTAACCTGTACTCTTATCTAGGCTCACCTGACCCATTTCCCTTCACTCTGCCTGCTCCACCCACTCTGACCCTCTTTCATTTTGTCTCCTGCCATCTGACTTTCATGTGGTAACCACACATCTGCCCCTCTCAGCATGGAATCCTTCCTCATGGATGCCTCCCTAATGAAGTCAAATATTTCTATTTTTATGTCTGATAGGATCATGATTCTGTATGTCATAGAAAGGAGCATGGTTATAATTTTACATTTATATGTGTATCCATTGGTCAACATCTACTTCCTGGACTATAAGCTCTGTGGACTATAACCACGCCTATTTGGCTTTTTATGGTATCCCCCGAACTTATCCAATGCTTGGAAAATAACACTCAAAAACATTTCAGAGTACTCAGTTCAAAGCACATATACTAAAATTGGAACAATACGGAGATTAGCATGGCCTCTGCACAAGGATGACACGCAAATTTGTGGAACATTCTATATTTTTCTGTCACATGTTCTCAAATGTAGGAGCTAAAAAAAAGTTGACCTTATGGAAATAGAGAGTAGAATGATCATTACCAGAGAGGCCAGGGAGGGTACTGAGGAGGTGGTGGGGATGAAGATTGGTTAGTCAGTGGATCTACACTTGAGTTAGATAGAAGGAATGACATCTAATGTTCAGTAACATAATAGAGCAAGTACAATTAAAAATAATTTATTGTATATTTTAAAATAACTATAGAAGTAGAATTGGAATGTTCCTAACACAAAGAAATAATAAGTGTTTGAGGTGATGGATATTCTAATTACCCTAATTTGATCATTACCCACTCTCTGCCTGTATCAAATTATTGCATATACCCCACAAATATATACTACTATGTATTCATGAAAATTAAAATTTAAAATATTAAAATTTAAAAAAAAATTCTGAGATGAGGGAATAAATGTCCAGACACATTTCAATTAAGTTGTCATATGTTACAAAGGCCATATTTCTATATTATATACTATATAATATCTGGTGGAACTCCTAAAGAATATAGTTGGGGATTTCTCTAACTATTACACTATCATTACTAATCAGGTTAAGTAACCCTAGTTGTTGAAACACACAGTCCCAGCATTTCAGCAGATTAACATAACAGAGGGTGATGTGTCACCCTTGGCACAGTCAAATTTGGGTTGAGAGTGTGGGGTCACTCTGCTCCACAGAGTCATACATGGACCCAGTCTCCTTACTTCTACTGTTCAGACCTCCCTTAAGTCTCAGAATCCTCCCTAGATTCTTGAGATCTATCATCCAACAAGCGAAGAAAGAGAAGAGTGAGACCTGGAAGTGGCTATATCACTCTGTCCACATTCTATTGGCCAAAACATCATTGTACGATCCCATCTGGTTGCAAGGTAGGTTGGGAAATGTGGCCTTCCTAGTGCTACCCATCATTTTGGTTTAGCTCCAGTTAGGTAAGATGACTAAAATTTGCCAGCAGTTACTAGATACTCCAAAAACTATATTATCAGCAAGGAAGGGAGAACAGTACTCAAAACCAAACTCTCAAGTAAGGAAAGTGCCAACATTAAATGGACTGATTTAGTGGTATTGTGTCTGTCTAGGAATGTGCTACATGGTTTGGTAAATACAGTTTTCCTACAGCAGAGAATCTCAAAACAAGTACATTTTAAAAATGAACTTTGAAGAATCAGCTGGAGGGTATACAGATTTTCATATTCACTTTAGGATTTTTCATTTTCATATTGTACTAGTTAATGTGCCAAAATGAAAATAGCTTTCCACAAAATGGAAGTTACACTATAAAGTTGGAATTGGTATTATCTGCTGCTGAATTGCAATGGAATCTCAAAAGGAGTGATGTAACTATGGAAGCAGGATCTTCTCCTTGAATGTTTCGCTAAGATTCTGTCAAACAGATCAGGAAAACGGAATATATGCAAGATTGACTTTGCAATCAACAAGCACAAAAAGGCCCTGGTAGATAAATCAGTTGAAAGAGAACATATACAATGACTGACTGGCAGTATTGTAAGACACCATTTGAGGTTTGACATTGAAGATATTCTTGAAGAATAATTTATCTGAGAAAAGATCAACTTGCTCTATAGAAGTGCCAAATTTAGAGTTATCCTACTTAATGCATCAACATCAACCTTAATATTTGGGAAGGTTTTTCTCTTTTAATTTAAGTTGTTCCTTCAAGAAAATATGTAGCATGGACCTATTTTTGCTCTTTGATGTACAAAGCAGACATTAAATTGGATTTCAGATTCAGTGACAGAGGCGGACTAAGATTAAACACCAAGGTCGTCTATGAAATTGATTGAATCATTTGTTTAATCATGGCATACCTCGCCATAGAGAAGTGCTTACCAACTTTATGCTTTTATCTTTACTAGTCAGCAATTCATTGAATACCTTTTATTATCATTGCTTTCTTCTATTTTCAGGGCAGGAGAGGGCAGTAGGTAGCATCGTTCTTGGTCACTATTACCATCTGTCTCTCTCATTCTCTTTTTACCTCACTTCTTAGATGACAGAAGGTGACATCTCAACTAACTCCCATATTTCATTGACTCTAAGATACTGTAAATTGTAAGGCACACTATTTTTTTTTACTTACCACTAAGAAAGAAAAACATGGCTGCTTAAACTTCACCGTAATGCTTTCTTATCACCTAGAATTTTTATTCTATACTTATCAAAATAACAGTTTTAAACTTTGTCACATATTTGTATCATATTTCACGCTTGTGAAAACACAAAAAAGTAAGTAAAATAAATGGTTAAAATACCTAAAATTTCTGCATATTTATAGTTTAACCCATCCAAATTCATTTTTTACACAGTTGTTGATATTTGTGTTTTTCAATATATTCTTAAGTTCTGCACTATTTGAATATTAGCATCCTTAAATTATTATCTCCAAGACTTTCTTCCAAACTGCTGACACTCACTGCTGCAGTGAGCTTTCCTGAGCAAGCACAGGTGATAACTCTGTCACAACCACTGCCTGGTCAGCAGCAATGTTAAGGTGCTTTAAAAAAAAAAAAAAAGTACATCAAGAATTTGTTAAATACAATCTGTGGTTTAAGATGCATCTGAAAATATAACCCAACAGCTTACCTCTGTTCCTTAATTGGTCTGGTGTTTTCTGAATATAAAATATAACTACCATTACATGTCTTTAGCCTTTTATGTTAATATAGGTGTTTACTTGTAAAGGACACTCCTTCCTTCTTGGTATAAACTCTTTGAATTATGATTTCAACAAATGTTTCATTCACCATCTTAATTGTAATTCACAAATTATTTTGTGGAAACAACAAACTTCCCATGAAATTCATGTAGGTAACATATATTAAAATCTTTATGTTTCTGTTTTTACTCAAACTTTGCAAGTTCAAATGTTAACTTCATCTAGCCACTCAAAGACAATGGCAGTTCAACATAGGCATTCCTCAGGTAATGTGTTATTGCATTCCTGAAGAACTGTGATTAAATCAAACATTCATAAATAGAATCATGTTTTCCTACTGTCTTAGATTTTTATATCAGAGCTCGCTTTTTTCAGCTTCTGCTAGATCTTAAACATTCTATCCTTTCTCGAAACTAGCCTTTACCTTGATCTCCTTTTCTCCTGCCCACATCTCTCTTTAAGATAAAGTTATGCAAACTTGAGCTTAATTTACTTGGGAGTGCTCAACGTTTGAAATAAGCTCCCCACAAATACTCTTGTGATGTCTTAAAATTAACGTGTCTTGCGATTAATAAACCCAATGATTTAGATTTGTTTTATTTTACAGGCTGGCTTACACTGGGGACATTTTGGTTTCCATTTATGGGGTAACACCCCTAAACATGTTCTGCTGAACATTGTAACCCATCCTAACAACTTTGCCATAAAAGCAAAGAATTTTTTATCAACTCCATTATTTTTTATTTGTGTTTTAATTGTTTTTTCCTATGTGTTTGTTTTAAAATGCATTTTCCATGGTAGTAGCTATGCAAGCCTTAGAAATGCAACTAGACAGATGTACTGACCACGGTTACCAAGGGAGCAGTTTCCTTGGCAATGGCCAACAGTCATCAAAGCAGTTCACGTTCTCTTTCCTTCCCTTGTGACTTGCTCTCACATGTTGCAAAACTTGGGTAGTGGAAACAGCTCTTTGTAAATCATGAGCCTCTATCCACTCAAAACACCACCAATTTTCATGAAGCCAGCAATTGAGAGAGGGTGGTAAATTGTTTGTGATGTTCTTTGAGAAGTTTTAAAAGGGCCCCAAGCCACAATTCACCATGAAGGATTTCTGATCTCTCTTTCAATTTTGAGCCAGAATTTATCCCGGTCATTTGAAGATGATCCAAAAATGTACCAGCCAGTGCCCAAAGGTCAAAGCTGCAAGAGATCCAATAACAAGGGAGAGTTCTTTTATAGAGTAAATATTTCCTAGTGGTTCGAGAGAGAGGGATAAAGAATCAGGTATTTTCTCAACCGTGACTTGCAGTCAAACTACTGTCTATATTTCTACAAGTCATGAATGAGAATATTAATATTTATTTGTAGAGTACCTTTTGATCCTCTTAGTAAAGTCTATGATTAAGATTGATTTTTTTATCTTAAGAAAGGTTAGAAAAAAATTTAGTTATATCCCCAAACCATGAAAAATCTAAAGTGACATGCAAAAACTACAATGAACTATTTTTTCCCCAAATAGAGTATACAATATAGTTGGCATGTGAAGATTTGCTGAAAGTGAGGCCTACGTGTTAAATGTCTTATGTGGCCGGGTGCAGTGGTTCATGCATGTAATCCCAACACTTTGGGAGGCCAAGATGGGCAGATCACCTGAAGTCAGAAGTTTGAGACCAGCCTGGCCAACATGGTGAAACCCCATCTTTACTAAAAATATGAAAATTAGCCGGGAGTGTGATGGGCGCCTGTAATTCTAGCTACTCGGGAGGCTGAGGCAGAAGAATTGCTGGAACCTGGGAGGCAGAGGTTGCAGTGAGCCAAGGTCATGCCACTGCACTCCATCCTGGGTGGCAGAGAGAGACTCTGTCTCTAAATGAATGAATGAATGAATGAATGAATGAATGAATGTCTTATGTGCACTATGTCATTTTCTCCTCACAATAAATCTGGCTGGCTACTTCTACTATTCTCATTTTACACACAAAAAAACTGAGACTTTGGGAAAGATAATTGTTTGTCAAATTTCTACAACTAGGAATTAGTGTAAGGATTTGAACTCCAGGCCAGCTGACTACAGATTTCATATCCAACCCCACTACCCAAAAGTTCTCCTTCTTTATGTGTGCAGACTTTCTTATGTGTCAAATTAACACACATTGATCGCTGTCCTTTTTTCCTATTCTCCCTCCTGCATATATTAGCATGATTGCACCATGTATAAAATCCAAGAATTTGATGTATCAGCTTAGAGTTTTAAAAACATAGAAAAAGAATTTGTAATAAATTTCCACAAGTTTTCATCTAACCACAAATTTTGGAAACCAGAAAATACCAGTGGAGATATTCATGTCCCCAAAGTATTAAGAAATATTGTTGCAATACAAAAAGTTGACCAGTCACGGTAAACTTAATCAGATGGTTCATCTACAGCATTCATTTTCTTGCAGCAGAATTTCAGCAGAATTTTTTGAAAGATTTTCAGGTTGAGGCTCCACGTATAAATATGTGGGAGGGGAACAGAAAAGAGTAACAAAAATTACTAATATTAGGAATCAAATCTGAATAAACAAAGGCAGATAAAGCAATATGTATCACACCACACTTTAGGTATTCTTTGTAGACCGAACTGGGTCAATAACATATTCCCTTTAACAAGGATTTGAGGACCACCTATACCCCCTTCAACCTGAGCAGTTTTGATCTGTTTTATATATTAAAATTGTAATTGAAGAGAGAGTTCTTGGGCTAAAACAGTTTGAGAACAATTGTTTTAGAGAAGCAAAAACAAAGGAGCAATTTTTATATCTCAAAAAATATGTAATATGGTAGATGCTATTCCGTTTCTTCTAGGGGCAAGAAAAGAGAAAACAGTGATAAATAACAATGGAAGGAAAGACAGGAGGAAATGCTCCTCGTTTCTGAGAGCATTGACATCTTATAGAAATTTACTTAAGTGGGTCAAAGTAACAGATCTTCCTTAGAAACATTATGGGCAGTATCAAAACCTTCAGAATAATTTTATATTCCCATTTTTCATCTATATCTTACTCCAAGCAGACCATTATTTAATACAACCTAGTTTCTACATGGGAATGTTTCTACTTGTCCCATAAACTAAGAACTGTGTTCAAGTTAGAAAGAAGTGAATCGTGTTTTCAAAATGGCTCCAATCAATTCGAGTTTGTAAATTTGTCGCATATATGGTTTAAAATATTTGTAGGTGAAACAAATATATCACATGTTAAAAAAATAAATATGAAACTGTTCTCTAAACCTGCCTTTCAGATAAAGTTTAAAAGCCTTTCTTAATTTGGCAAATGGGCACAAAATATTAAGTATTTGCAGTATCTTTTTCTTTTTAAAAATAGACACTTCTTAACTATGGCCCATTACAACTCCATCTTTAACAGTCACACTGTGGTTTGGGGATTGTTGTTTTTTAAGCGACACAACATGATTGATGTAATCTGGCATGATTCATTACGATGTCAAGCATCAGCAGAACATTTTGGAAAAAATATTCATCAAAATCTATTACTGTAGAAATTGCCACTTGCAAATTCTTTTTCTGGTTAATTTCCTGCGTGGTGAAACAACACCTTGTTGACGTCAGAGCGCATGTTTTTAGGAAGTGTGGTTATTAAAATAGGTGTTCCTCAAGTCCCAGCATTACCTTCAGGCTTATCATTAAGCATCCAAGGAATATCAAGCAAAATCTCAAAGAAGTTTCTTCCACTATCCACTAACTTTGACTAAAAGGAATATAGTGTTGTGACTTGTGCTCCTGCCTGGTCCCACTTTTTATCTAGCAGGGATGAAGGTTGGTATGTTCAGCTTGGCTGCAGCTTAATTAGACGATGACAAAGAGAAGCAGAGCTAGATTCCCAATTGTCCCACTGCCTGTTGCTTACATGAATGTAGAAATACTTGCTACATAAAGTTCAGGGTCATAAGGCAAGAGACTAACACCTCTTTTTTATTATTATTATTTTCTCTCCAGCAGACAGACATTCACAGACAGGTTTCATTGTCCATGTTGCAACTGACAGTGACCCTGATAGAGGCCAGCCACCACCCTGTTTACAAACACTCTGAAGCCAGATCAGTCTGACAGTCATGAGATACTGAAGGCGCCATTCCTTACCTGGCTTGCGTCTCAGTGTCCATAGGAACAAGATGGAAGAAGGACTATAAGTCAAGAAATATTCTGAGCAAATATATATCACAACAATATTATTAAATTAAACAATTCTCTAGTTTCAATATTATGTTTCTTTTGCATATTAAACCTTTAAAAAAAAAAAAGAAATCCATCTCTCCAAAGCTAATATTCACTATATCTGCTTAAGCAGACTCAGTAATTACTATATGAAGCCTCAGCCAGTACTCAAATGTCTTTTCAACTGGTTTTTAAAATATTTGGTGTTCAACTAACTCCTTAGATTGTAATCCTTTCAATCAGGAATTGTTTCTTCCTTTATACTTGGCATAGAGTGAATTATTGAAATGTCACAATTGTTAAAAGATTTGAGCAAAGGTACTGGTTTAGAGACATATGTTAAAACTTATGGGAATTTTTTTTGAAGAAAGATTCTGTGCAGTAGCTTCACAATTTATTTTCAAAAATTACTTTACCACAAAAATTCTCCTCTGCCTCAGTTTTATCTGGGCTACTAAAATACACATCACGTTTGCCATGACTCTGTCTTTTTAGGTGCCCCCAACCTTTTTATATTCTATGTTGTGTGTGTGGCATACAACAAAATTATTCATGCAAAAAATGTTTGAGTATGTACTGGATGCCAGTCACTGCACTAAGCCCCGGGACACACAGTATACAGAAAAATGTACGCCCCACCCACCTTTTATAATGCTTCTATCGGGAAGACAGGAAGTAACCAAATGTATAAGTAAATATACAATGTGTCATATTTGATTAATGCTAGGGAGAAAAAAAAGTGAAGTGAAGGTATAGGGTGAAGTGGGGACACTCTAATTCATTTGTTCATTTATTACAAATATACATATTAAACACAATGAACTTATGTGTTAGGCACTGTGCCAGGCTAGAATGAAGTAGAAGGAAAGATATACCCAAGCCCTGGCTTATTATACCTGATAACAAAAGAAGAAACTTCATTTTTAACCAGTGTATTAAGCATTCCAAACCCTGATGAGGTTGTACTATCCTGAAGCAGCACAACCATTACTTTCAAGTGTTTCCTTTCCTATCCATGTTTCCTTTCCTATCCCTTAATGATACAATGAGGCTCATGTCTGAGTTCTCCAGAAAGCCCTGCAGGCTTCCTCTTCACTCAGAATTTTCCAGTGTGGCTTAAGCTCTTCTGATACCCCAGTCTCCCTCCAGATGCCATTCCCAGTCTCCAACCCAAGTCTCTTGGCAGGCCGCCCTTTAGAGTGGAGAGCTGGCAATACA
The DNA here is from genome assembly GCF_000001405.40 of Homo sapiens. Lineage (NCBI taxonomy): Eukaryota > Metazoa > Chordata > Mammalia > Primates > Hominidae > Homo > Homo sapiens. The sequence goes on from NC_000003.12 coordinate 70,816,597, forward strand.
GTACAAGCCTAGTCCACTTAATCCTCACAGAATTCGTATGTTCTTGTTGCAAAGAGTAAGGCAATATAGGCTGGTTCACTGTTGCCCTCTCTTCACCTAGTTGTCTCTTCTCAGTTCTTTTTCTCGTGTTTGAAAGGGCACACAGACTGATCTTCAAGGGTGTTGTACATCAAGCGCCCAACTAGGGAGTAGAATTTCAGTCTTCCTTCCTGCAGATACCCACTGTCTCTACAAGCGGATGTCTTGAAGCCCTACACTTGGTTAGAGGAATGGACTGTTCTATTCTCATTCTCCACAAGGTGGAATGGAGAAAAGCCACAGCTTTTTTCTCAGAATCTTTCATCTTTTAGACTCCTTACATTTCATGTAGTCAAGTAGGAAATAAAAAATTACAAGATACGAGAAGCAAGAAAATGTGATACATAATCAATAGAAAACATAGCCAATAAAAACAGACCATAGACGACCCAATTATTGAACTTAGCAAAGGTTTTAAATAATTATAATTATATAAATTATAAATACATTTAATGTTTTATAGGAAAAGATAGATGTAATGGAGATATTTCAGGCAAGATATGAAAACTTTCCAAAGAACCAAATGGAAATTCTAGCACCAAAATATACAATATCTGTTATTTTTTTTAATTCACAAGAGAGGCTTGGTTGCAGATTGGACACCAAAGAATAAAGAATTAATACAGGCAGTTTAATGAAAGGTATTCAAACTGAAACGCAGAAGAAGGAGAGGATGAAAGACTTAAATACATAGAGCATCAGTGAACTGTGAGATAATCTGAAAAGATCTAATTGTACAATTGAGACCTGTAAGGAAAATAGAGAATGGGGCAGAAAAACATTTGAAGAAATGATGTTAAATTTTTTTCCAAATGTAGTTAAAAAAAAAAAAAAAGAAAAGAAAAAAGTTTGACCCATACATCCAAGAAGCTCAACAAACCTCAGCTAGTATAAATACAAAATAAATACTTGGGATAAAATAGCAAAATATTAGGTGAATATTAGGCTAGACCCAAGTTCGATAGGTTTCTTTTTTGGGGCACTTTCTAGAGTCTTTAATATATGCATTACAAAATTCCTACAAGGGAATATATAATAGACATATTTCACAATTTTCTTCATTAACCTTTTAAGAGAGACTTTCTAGGGCTGCTATTCTCAGGCACATGTTTTGAGAATTTCTGGGATAGTGGTAGAGAGAGATATACAAATAGGCTAAAACCTGGGAATTTCATTACAGTAATATGGAGAACATGTTTTATAAATACAACTAGTAGAAAAAGTAGCTTTACCTGAGATTAGAACAAATATGCAGGTGAGTAAAAGGATAAGAGTATTCTAGGTGAATTAAAAGGCTCCCGTAAAAGTAAAATACCAAAATGATATGTACCTGTGCTAACCCTGGTACCTGGTAATCTGACCTTATTTGGTATTAGGGTCTTTGCAAATGTAATCAAGTTAAGATGAAGTCATGTGGATTAAGGAGGGCACTAAATCCAATGACTGGTGTCCTTATAAGGAGAGAGATAGGCACATGGAAACACACAGAGAAACACTATGTTAAAGATGGAAGCAGGGATTGGAGTGATGCAGCTACAAACCAAGAAACACCAAGGATTGCTGGCAACCACCAGAACCTAGGAGGAGGCAAGGAAGTGTTCGTCCCTGGAGCCTTCAGAGGGATCATGGCCTTGTACAGAGGTCCCCAGCCCCAGGGCCACAGACTGCTACCAGTCCACAGCCTGTTAGGAACCTGGCCACATGCCCAGCAGGAGGTGAGCTGCAAGTGAGTGAGCATTACCACCTGAGCTCCACCCCCCATCAGATCAGCACCTGCATTAAATTCTCACAGGAATGTGAACCCTATTGTGAACTGCACATGCGAGGGAACTAGGTTGCCCACTCCTTAGGATTATCCAATGCCTGATGACCCGAGATGGAACAGTTTCATTCTGAAACCACTCCCCACATCCAGCGGCCCAAGTCTGTGGAAAAATTGTCTTCCGTAAAACCCATCGCTGGTGCCAAAACGGTTGGGGACCAACCACTGCCCTTGCAGACATCTTGATTTTTGGACTGCTAGTCTCCAGAAATGAGAGAATGAATTGCTAACTTAAGCCACTTTGTAACAGCAGCCATAGGAATCAAATACATATACATATCTGTTCAAACCATAAAACATTGCTCTTTTTCTCCATCTGGATGAATGTCAAGCCATTTCATACAATTCAGCTTATTACTTTTTAGATGATAAGCTAAGTTACAGAAATGTACATTCACATACCCAAGGTCACATGCCTAGAAAGTAGTAAAGCCGGGATTTTAATTCAAAATTTGGGTCCAGACCTATGCTTTTGATTACTTCACACAACAAATGGTGCAGAACCCAATGTATAAGTGAGTAATTAGTTTAGCTCCGCTTTGCTTTTTCTTGTAATAAGATCATTTAGTAGCCGGGACTTATTTTCACCTAGACCAAATGAAACAGATGTTGCTGGACATCTGAGAAAAGATGGGAAGATGATGTGATAGACTCGGCCTCCATGTCTATGGCATTACAACAATTTGGGGTCTTGTTCCGGTTTTATTCTCTGCATACAGAACCTTGGGCCAAGCCCCTTTTCTAAGTGCATTTGAAGCTGAGACTATACATTCCTCCAGGTACAACATGGGCCATAAATTCCTGTTTCTTTCTGCAGATCCTTTGGTGTGGCCTTGTGTCAGGGGAAAAATTACATATCGTGTAATATACACACATAGAAGCAGCAAACTCTGAAACAAATATTTAGGCTTTAAGAAAAAAAAAACACCACTTAATGCATTCCTATACAGCCCCAATTTACCTTCTTTATCTCCCAAGACAACCAAATCCAGTTTAAAGATTATAGAAACCAAACATGTGAAACTGCTTTGCAGGTTTCTTCAGTGAACCGCTATGTGTTCTCTTGAATATTTGAGCTCAAGCATGAACTGTAAAATCGACACTTATTAGGAAAGTGATTTCATACAAAAACTCTTCTTTTAGTGACCCCTTTCGGTTGATCTTCTAGAATTCCTGACAGTAGTTAGAAAGGTTCTGAAACTTTCTTGAGATGGGGAACACTGGACTCCCCTGAAAAATGCACATAACATATACAACACAAATGTTGTTTGAGATTTCAGGGCTTGGTTAATCCTGGATCTCCAAATGAAGAATCCACCTTAAGGATTCTTCTATTGAGCTTCAGGATCCAAATGGGTAAAATAACAGGACTATGGGATATACAAAGTAAGGTTGTATCACAGGATTTTTTCACTTGCAAGTGAAAAAACCCTGGCTTAGATGGGAAGAGAAAAAAAAAAGGGTAGCGAAGGTAAACGAAGGAGAGAATGGTTTGCATAAATCCTGGTGTAGTGCTGACTTCAGGCATGAAGTCACAGATCACAGATGATTTGACCAAGATCCTCTCCTTCCTCTGGGTTAGCTCTTTGCTTAAAAGATGAAGTCAAGGCCGGGTGCGGTGGCTCATGTCTGTAATCCCAGCACTTTGGGAGGCTGAGGCGGGCAGATCACTTGAGGTCAGGAGTTCAAGACCAGCTTGGCCAACATTGTGAAACCCCGTCTCTACTAAAAATACAAAAATCAGCTGGGCGTGCTGGCGAGTGCCTGTAATCCCATCTACTAGGGAGGCTCAGGCAGGAGAATCGCTTGAACCTGGGAGGTGGAGGGTGCAGTGAGCAGAGATCATGCCATTGCCCTCCAGCCTGGGTGACAGAGACTCCGTCTCAAAAAAAAAAAAAAAAAAAAAGTCAAAAATGTCTGCCAGCAATCCCTGGAGCTTTTTCCCTCGTTACCCATTCAGCAGAAAAGAAAACATCTCTTTCTTCAACTGTGAATAAATATTCTTGGCATCAGGAATTGGAGCATCTAATGGTTAAGATGCCCATCTTTAAACCAATCACTGTAGCCAAGAAGTGTGGGTTCAATTTGGCCTTCTCACTCCTGAGCTGGGAGAGTAGTCAGCTTCCTCCAGAGTAAATGGGCAAGAAGAACAACCCAAATAGGAAATCAGACAAAGAATAATAGACCCTGAGAGGCCAAAAACAGCAAATATCTACCACAGGATAGAAATTAAGGTTTCCATTTAAAATGTATACATGAGATGTGGTTGAAAAAATTACTCATTGCTTCCTGGATCTGGATAGCCATAATCAAGTCATGTCCCTTGAGTCCTAACAGTGTGTACCTTAATGGGCCAATGTTAATTGGTCACCAGTGAGAAGCCTGTGGCCTTCCCTTGCACCAGCATTTTAAAAAGGTCCCACTGAAGTCATTTATATATTTTAGAGTAGTTAATGTGCCCCACTGGGCCTGCAGCAAAAGATGCATTTTGAAATATCTAATGAGTAAATGGGGCATTTAGTAAGACACAGTCTAATTACTTTGGGTCTTTGTAAAATATTAATTTAAGGCAACTGCAGCATTAAGGAATAAGTTTGCCAAGCGGTGCTCAGTGATTTAGCTCCATGACTGCCGTTAATATCAATAGAAGTCTTACAGCTTGCTTGCTGCCCATTGCTTTGGAAGTGTACCCCTAAGGTATAGAAATCAGCTACTGTAAATTTTGTTTTCAATTAAAGTTCCAGGAGTTAGTGTGGCATTTCGTTTTTCTACATAGGTATATCACCTGCATTGATAGGGCCATGGTCTTGGTGGGGGCTGATGTCCACGAACTCAGATTTGCATTCCATGTTGTGACATCACTGGTGTTGAATTTCTGGAGTGAATGATATTTCAGATTCTAGAAGAACACCTGTAAGAATAAAGCCAATTATCACACAGGAGAACATGATTTGCCTTGGAATTAAAATACTTTTCTAAGAAACTGTGTATTGTGTATACACCAGTCAGATTTATTAATGCATTTTCCTAAAGATGCCAGATGTCAGTTTTAATATGCATTGAAATGAACCCTGAATAATTCTGAATTGAAACTTACAAAAGAGTACCGCTGAACAACCCTGAAGTTATCTTGCATAGAGCTGTCTTGTATAGGACAACTCCTCAGTAGTGGACTTGGCTGGTTTGGCACCCATGAAAGGGAATGAACTGGGAGTTTTTTGTGCTATTCTAAAATGCCTGACTCTATTTAGAGGAGCTAGTTAGACATATTCCAGTGGCTTACTTGCCTGACGTCACCTTATTTGCCTCATTAATGACTTCTTCAAATGTGGTGAGGAAGATATTCTGGGAAATAAGTAGTCATCCTTTACTCCCTACAATTGCATGATCACAATTCTCAGTGTTGGACAAGAGGAGTGGTTTCGATGTCATGGTGTGCAATGAGAAGTGTTGGGATGGGGAGGGCTGCGGAAATGTAAAGATGGACAGCTCTCTCATGGCTCCAGGGGAGAATTACTGATGTGGAGATGGCTGTGGAATAAAAAGCTTAGTTAATTGGATGGGCCCTAAACCTTGCAAGATGCAAAGTGGCTATCCTGCTGGTGTTTGTGGTTAAAAGTTTAAGAAACAGTGGCCATTGGTTCTTTAGCATGGAAACAACATATATCATGGAAGGGAACATGCAGCATAGGCATAGTTTTTAAAACCATTCAGGAAGGTTCAGTATCATTCACAGATTTATTTATGGCCAAGCCACACACCTTTGTGTTCAACTTCATCCAATCCCTTTTCCTAGAAAGTCCCCTGTATCTTTCGTTTCTGGATCCCTTTGCAAGTTGCAAGAGCTAATTTAATTTGGGGGTGGGCAGGCTAAATCCCCATGCTCCCTTTCAACTCCAGCAAATATTTCATTGTTTGTAATGCCTCTTAATATGCTAAACAATATTTATGCTGCACTGTACAACATTTTATAACTTTCTTCTAATTGCCTTAGCAGTCTTTAAAACCAGAGCTTAGCACTTCAATAATAAGCGTATTAATTTGTCTAACGTTTAAGTTCTTACAAAGGAAGAGACAAGCATTAATTTTGTTTAGTTAAAACAAGCTTTGCTTTTGAACAGCAGGTGGTAATTGAAACAAAACAAGGACTCATTAGAGGAGCGTCTGGTGGCTCATGATACAAACAGAGCACACTAGAAAACCCAAACACAAGAGCCCTGAAATAAAGTGGTCATCATCTAATTAACAGAACATGTTTTAATTACCGAGTAAACCATGCAGCGCCGTGTGTCAATTTAACTGATGTGCTAAGTGCCAGTTTACAATATCAGAAACAGACAAATAATTGGAATCTAATTACATGCAGGTCTATTGCACACCAGCGCCTCCAGCCCATCTTAATAAACAAGTTTTTACATCAAACCATGAATAGCAAATACAGCCGTGCTGTTAATTGCTACATTGTGATATTGGGACTTTGCCAGCTCTGACTATTAAAATAAGCTCTTGTGTGGATTGCAGTTTCTCTGCTACGCTTTAATTAGAATCAAATGAGAGGCAGAGATCGGGCTGTATTACTGCAATTCAATATATGTAAATAAGATAACTGGCTAATCTTTTTATTTTATTTCTGAGCCTCCATGCAATAGGCGGTTTAGTTATGGTAATAGGTTATCACTTTGCAAATGAAGTAGACTTGCATTGTGAGATGAATCAAGAAACATGTAATCTTTGCTAGAGAGTCTAAATATTCCCCAATCATTGCACGTGGGATCCAGAGAACTTTCTTGCCCAAGATATATGGTGCTATATTTTTAATGCCCATATTGGCCTAGTTTTTCAGTGATAGCTTTTGATGTTGTATTTCACTTGTCTAAATAAACGCGTGATCCATAACATACTATTTACAATGCTCAGACAGATATTTCGAGATAAACTCTTTTAATGGAGAATCATTTGTTTGAGCACTTGAAAGGTTGCAGGGAAGGTCTACATAAATACTGTATAATGCAAATTTTAAATTAAGACCAAGGCACAGATAACGCTCATATTTCATACTGTATATACATGTGCTGCTTGTCAGAGAACTAATCAGGGATTCAGAAATACCGAGTATGAAAATGAAATCTATGGTAGAGACGTTGATGGGCCATTTTTCTATATTTTCCAAATAGGGAAGTAGATGGTATAGCTATTGTTGAAAAATTACCAAGTAATGATCTCCTGGGAAGATCTCCTTATGTTTCATTAGAATTGTAATTAGAAGTGGCCGTGACCTTGGGAAACCTGCTTCAGGAGCAAGCTCTCCTCTCTTTTGTTTAAGAAAAACCTCTAAGTTTCCTCTACTCATGGGCCCGAGGCAATGTTAACTGAACTCCATAGAAAGAACATAATCAAGCATTTAAAATGTACTTTTCTGTTGCAATAAATGGAAATAAGCAAATACAGAATGGGTTATCATCCACTCAATTTTGGTTGTAGTTTGTCATTATAAATTAAAACCATCTGGAGGATCTATTTCCCTCTGGAGGGGTATTTTTGCCATTTCCTAGGTCAAACCAGTCCTTAGAACTACCTTCTAATGAAGATTGGGATGCTTATTGAATACCTGGAAACTCCTAGAACTTTAAGGACAACCCTGAACCATTTTCAACTTCTGCCTTCAAGTATGAAAGCCAAGCCACTCATTGGCTTGAACTAAAGTCAGCCTAAAACAATACTCTGCAAACTTGGCGCAGGTCCTTGCCTATTTAAATTTCCATCACACCATTGTCAGAGTCTCATGCCTTTCACATGGTTAGCCTGGTGGATGTGTTCCAACTCCCAGAAGGGAGCAAGTGCACCACAAAAACACTGGAAGGGCTCACATGTTTCCAACACCTCATCGGATGCTTCAGTGCAGGGGTAAAAACATTCCTGGTACTCATGTTGTTGGAGAAATCACAAAGGATTTCAGGCTGGTACCTCATCCATCTCAGTTAAAAAATGAAATGGAGACTCCTGGTCAATTGTCAAAAAAAAAAAAAAAAAACCACACACACACACACACACACAAAACTCCACATATCCCCTGGTTTTTCCCCAACTTCCTTGCCTCCTGCAAAGCCATGCCAGCCTCAGTAACAATATAATCAAAATGTTTAAAATGCAAAGTAAGTGTGTATAAAAAATGCACAGGGGCTGGAAAAGGAATGTAATAAGGTTAAATTTTACAAGCATAATTCCATATGTTGAAAGCATCTTGTAGTTATGTCAAATACAGATGAAGCTATAAATTACCCCAGAATCAAAAGTGTCAAGTTTCAGGCTAATGCTGAATATATATATATATATATACCCACAGCTTCAGAATTCTTATTAAAATATGAAAACATGCTAAACATAGAAAAGCTAACAACTGTACCAAAAGTAAGACAAAGTGTTACTAATGTCTGCCAACTGGTATTACTCACCAGGGCAATCAATCACACATGAGCAAACCTCTGTGGCAGGCAACCAGGAAAGCTGAAACCCACCTCTCCTTCATGGTTGTCTTATTTGTGGTTACTTTTGCAAGGATTCCACACTATTCCATTTGCTTGTTCTTAACCCTGAGAGGGCATGGTTAGCAAGAGGAAAACGTTTATTCAATTATAATGTCTTTATTTCTGCTTAAAACACATACAAAACTGTCAGCAATAGACAAATTAGTACTTTGGGCCAAAGCATGTGCTCCGTTTATTCTGTATTTGAATTCTAATAAATTATATCCACATTATTACAAAAATTATAACTGACATGCTGTCAGAGCTATACATGTATATGCCTAGAAATATACATAATGCTTTGAAAGCTGTCACATTTAGTCCTGTTGTAAACATCACCCTCATTTGCTAAACAGTGTTGTTGTGTATTTGGTCCACCGTAATTTTTCCCTTACTTCTAAGCCTACGATTCTGAATATATCTTAACAATGAAGAAAAATAATGTCTCCTTTAAGGGTTGTAACGCTCTATCACAAGATTCAGCATAGCATATGGAAATAGTTTCTTTCAAAAGCATCCTAGGCCAAGTAATAAGATAGGGCTATTTGGTGAAGTAGCCCCCTTTCCAATCTACATTGACAACAATGTGTTGACAATGTTTTGGATACCTTGAAAGGGATTTTCTTCAATATCTGGTGAAGTTGCATCTATTTTTGTTAATGTGGGCTCTGCACTAGAAGTTAACATAACTATCACAAAGGTAAAAATGTGACTTCTGCTGAATGGTGGTGAAAACTGAATATTTGTGTTTCTCCAAAATTTATATGTTTTAGATGCTACAGACTGAATATTTGTGTTTCTCCAAAATTTATATGTCAAAATCATGACCCCCAAGTGATAGTATTAGGAGGTGGGGCCTTTGGAAGGTGATTAGCTCATAAAGGTACATCCCTCATAAATGAGATTAGTGCTCTTATAAAAGAGACAACAGAGAGATGCCTTGCCCCTTCTGCCATGCAAGGGTTCAATGAAAAGACAGTGATCTGTAAACAAGGTAGTGGGCCCTCACCAGACACCAAATCTGCTGGGGCCTTGGTCTTGGACTTCCCAGCCTCCAGAACTGTGAAAAACAAATATTTCCTATTTATAAGCCACCTGGTTTATAGTATTTTCTTACAGCAGCTGGAATAAACTGAGACTAAGAGCGAAAAAATGTTTTTCATAATCATGCATTTCTCTCCCTTTCATCTCTTGGGTGCCTGGTATGTGTCCAAAATAGCACCAGATGCTTCTGGCAGAGGCCCTACCTACATAAAGGGTATCATCCAGGGAAGAAGTCAGACAGCAAAAACTAAGTGCAATTAATATGACCAAATGGGTGGTTCTGGGTTCCAGGACCATAGAGCTAGAAGCTGATATTCAGAGTTTTAAGCAGAAAAAGAAAGATTGGATAAGAAATTGTTTTGAAGACTCCTAAAGGATTATAAACATTTAAGGAATTGGCAATGCTTAGGGAGGATACCTTGGTTTGGGGTGGGGTTTTTTTTTTGTTTGTTTTTTGTTTGTTTGTTTGTTTTTTCCATTTAGAGCACATGGTTGCAAGCAACAGAAACCAATTCTGTTACTTTAAGTTAAAGAGAATTCACTGGAAGGAAACTGAAATCGATAACTCACAGAATGTATGGGCTGCAAAAAAACCTGGGCTTAAAATTGGGCAGGAAGAGAGGACTGGGCAGTAGGAACTAGAGTGTAATAGTAGGAGTGGTCTAGTGAGCTGGCTGCTGATTTCTGGCCGGTCTTTTCATTCTCATAGTATCTGCTCAGGACCCAAAGTTCTGGGAAATGATTTTTTGCTGGTTGAGCTTAGGTCTTGCACCTATTCGTGGGCTCTCTTGAGGTTGGGGGAAGGAGAAGGTGAATCCTCACTTGCTGCAGCGTAAAGCCAATACAAGGAATTGTACTTCCACCAAGAATATTTGCCAGGTGAAGAGCTAATTCCTCAAAAGAAAATTGAGATAATCAAAAACGAATAATAGATGCAAGGCAACAAATCACCACAAAATTTGCTTAACCACTTCTCATTTATTAGTTCAGAATCTTGGAAAAGAAATGTCTGTTTTTTTAATTAATCAAATATTAGTAGTTTCAGCTGGGCGCGGTGGCTTACGCTTGTAATCCCAGCACTTTGGGAGGCCGAGGCACACAGACTGCCTGAACTCAGAAGTTCGAGACCAGCCTGGGCAACGTGGTGGAACCTTGTCTCTACTGAAAATACGAAAAATTTGCCTCATGTGGTGGCACACACCTGTGGTCCCAGCTACTTGGGAGACTGAGACTGAAGTGGGAGGATTGCTTGAGCCTGAGAGATGGAGGTTGCAGTGAGCCAAAATTGCACTACTGCACTCCAGCCTGAGCAACACAGTGAGACTCCCGTCTCAAAAATATATGTATACACACACACACACACACACACACACATATATACATATACATATGTAGTTTGCTTATAGTATTATATTGAACTTCCTGACTGGATCTACATAGGTTTTGAAGCTAGCTATATTGCACTCTTTAAAGGGGTCACTTTTTAATGTCTGAATGTAAAGTGCTTTAATTAGTAAAGATATTTAGGCAAAAATATCCCCAATATAATTTTTAAATTTGCGCATTCATAAGTAAAAAGTAGAAATAAGAAAATTACAGCAGTTGATATCAGAGATTCTGCCACTGAGAATCTTAATTACTTTTCAATAACTGGTGTTTAATTTGTATGAAGGCAATGTAGCCTAAAGTATATATATATGTGTGTATTCAAAAGAATTGTACTAAATGCATTATAGATCTTCTATTGCATCCTGGACTAGAATAAAAGAAACAACAGTGAAAATCAATACAATCCAAATAAAGCCTGTACTTTCATTAGTAATACTGTTCCAAGGTCTATATCTTAATTTTAACAAATATTCCATAGTTATGTAAAATGTTAACATAACGAGAAGCTGGATAAAGAACATATAGGAATCCTAGACTATCTGTGCAACTCTTTCATAAGTCTAAAATTATTTCAAGATAAGAAGTTTTTATTGCAAAACGCCATGCACATAGTAGGTGTTCAATTAGTTAATTGCATCTTACTTTGCCCTCTCTTGATCTTGAAATATTTATGTTCATCAGTTTCCTCGGACAATTTCTTATCATTCCTTCCTTCATTAATCTCTCTCTAGAAGCCAAAAACAAAACGGGGAGAGGGAGAAAACAAAATTAAAGAAAAACCCCAATATAATTTTGCTCTGTTTCGTTATGAGATGCAGTTATTCTTTAAGAAATGTCTAGACATGTTTCACCCAGGGGCATCCTAACATTGGCTCCACAGACTCAGTGCTAACAATGACAACGTATTTGCCTAACAGTTACCATTAGACAGCTAGTTATTCTTTTTCTCTGCTTTCACTTTACTTATAGACAAAACTAACTCTGTCAGACATCTTGAGAATGCTATAGTTCATCTTCAACAGATAGAATTTTGTTCTTATTTTGTTAAATGTTACATTTACATAATTGTGTATGTCATTGGTGTTTATGAGGATACACCAAAAAAGTAAAAGTTTTCCTATCAGAGTATAGAGGATGATTACTCTAAAACCAATACAGGTGTCCCACTCTGTGATAACTCACACTCTGAATTCAGGAACCAAATAGATTTTAGATAATGAGGGCTAGTTTTCTTACTCTGCTCTAAGATAAGTCACTTATTCTTTGCACAGAAGTTACACTGGAGTTAGAGATGATCTTTTTTTTTTTTTAATCACAGAGTATATAGCTTTAGAAATTCCTCACAGTAGGCCAGATGACATTGCTAATCTTTGTTTTCATTTTGTGAAGTTAGATGCCCTTAAAATGTTATGTCTTGGGTAGGTTACTCAATTTCAGTTAAAATCACAAAGCAACTCTTGTAAAATAACACCTGGTGATTGAATAGTTAACTATAGAACTTACTGTTGTGGAAATATTCTTATCTCCAGACACAAAGATATTTATATGAAAACTGCATTCTTTGTGACAAACCAGAATCTTATTTTGCTGAGGCCAAATGCAATGGACATCTGTTGTTTTTGCCTGCCCAGCACATATTCCTCCCTTTACCATTAGAAGAGGCTGGATTTGGCCATGGGGGTGGGAGGGGTGGCTGCAGGGGAATCCACCCCTCTCCTCCTCTCAGTTCGAATGGTTTCGGGAGGACCCTCATCCTCACCCGCAAACTTCCAACCTCTCTCTTGAAGGGTGGACCTATGACTCAGACCCAGCCAGACATCACAGCCTTTCCTGTTGGCCAGAGTTTGGCTCCAAATGAGCATGCGATTCCAGGCAGACCAGAGAGATGCAATTCAAAGAATCATACTGGAATGACTGGAATAAAGAAGCTCTTTTTTCCTGGAAATGAATCTAAGAGGATGTCAGTCTGGAGCTACTGGGGGCATTCTTATGACAAACCCCACCAACTAAAGAAAGATATCGACCGAAGCTAGTGATGTATTTGAACAGTACCTGGATCCAGCCACCCTGAAGATGAGAACTTCAACTATTCGAGAAATAATGTTCATTTTTTTCCCCCTTAAACTTGTTTGAATCAGGTTTATAGGTTTATGTCTCTTGCAACTAACATAATTTTAAGTAATTCATAAAATTTCCATGCATATTCTTCTTACTTCATGAATCTAAGTCAGGTGAAACTTGTATTTCCATTCATTTAATATATATGTACTCAGTGAATATTGTACAATGCAATGAAAGGGATAAAAAGATTCATTAGATATAATTTGTACCCTCAAAGGAAAATGTGAAGAAAAATCTGTAGAAATTAATTGACCTTTTAGAGACAGAGAGAAAGTGAAATTTCTGTTTTCTTTTCTATAAATGATGTATTATGATTTTTTTTTTTTAAGGAAGGCAATTAGTTAAGAAATCCCTAGGACACAGTATTTAGGAGCGTAGGTGGTTTTTTTGTGTTTTGTTGTTGTTTGTTTGCTTGTTTGTTTGTTTGAGACAGGGTCTCTGTTGCCCAGGCTGGAGTGCAGTGGCACTATCATGGTTCACTGCAGCCTCTACTTTCTCAGGCTCAAGTGATCCTCCCCGCTCAGCCTCCCAGGTAGCTGGAAGGACAGGTGTGCGTCACCATGCCCAGCTAAAGGAGCAGGGGTTTTACATCAGACAACCTGGTTTAAGCCTGTTTCTGTCTCCTACTACATGATCTACAAGTTACTTCACTTCTCTTAGTATTCATTTTCCTGTCTACAAAGTTAGTACAAATATACCTGGGTCAAATAATTTTTTGAAGATTGAGAAAATACATACAAATTATATATTATGCCAGATACATAGCATTAAGTGGTGGTTTTTAAAAGAAAATACTTAATACATGATTCAGTATAGTTCTTCACCAATTTTAGAATTTTTGGTTTGGTATCCAACACACAAAAAAGGCTATTTTAATTTGTATCTCCAGCCCAGTTTTATTTCTATGCATCAGGCTCCATGCAGATGTACAACTGCATACTGGTTATAGCCACTAGAATTTCTCACAGGCACATGGACTCCACCATGTCCAAAACCAAATTTAGTATTTCTCTCTGACCCCAAACCCACGTCTGTTTCTGCAATCTCCGTTTCAGTAAATGGTACCATCATGCACCAGAATCCCAGCTCACTCCCACACGCCCTCACTCCCCACATTAAATCAGTGGCCACAGTAGCCCACCAGCCTTCTAACTGGTCTCTCTGCCTCTATCCTTTTATCCCCTGGTCTGCATTCTGCACAGGAGTCAACTGATCTCCTCAATTCGCACACTTCCTGAAAACCAACAATGGTTTATCACTGGCCTTAGGATAAAGACAAACTCCTTAGCATGGACTACCTTTCTTCATGTTCCAGTGTCTTCACTGCTGCAGTCTGGGCTCATAACCCTTCCAAACCACACCCACCTCACCACCCCATGGTCCAGCCCTAGAAACTTCTCTCATCCCTCCTATACCTGCTCTATTTTGTTTCATGGAGTTTGCATATATAGTTTCTTTTTCCTGAAAGAGTACTTACTTCTCTCTCCTTACACCTCTCGCTTCATTTGATCTTATTTTTTATGTCCTAACCTACCTGTTATTTCTTCCAAATATCTCAGCCTTCCCTTACCAACACCTGAAGTAGGGATTATAATAGCATCTGTACCTTTCTGTGACAAAACCTACCACATATTTTATTTCTATATAAATATGTAGATATAGACATAGTGTAGTAGAATTATCAAATTCAGTGTCTATTCCAATGCCAGGAATGATTAACCTGGCTTGACAAACCCCCACAGATAGATATTCAGGAGGTGGGCTATAAACTTAATTGGGAAAAAGATTGCATCATTTTTTTCACTAACCTCAAACTGAAATTTATTCTTTCTAGTATGAATAGAGGCAACAAAACACAGTAGCATTAACAGTAGCTGTGATTTTGTCAACAATACATCATAGACATTTTATATCACATTACAGATATTGCTGATTTCTTGAAATACCATTTATGCTCATCATTTCTAAATTATGGTACTTTCTAGACATGCTGCAAAAATTTATTCAACGTGCATTAGTAGGCTGGGTGCGGTGGTTCACGCCTGTAATCTCAGCACTTTGGGAGGCTGAGGCAGGTAGATTGCTTCAGGTCAGGAGTTTGAAACTAGCCTGGTCAACATGGTGAAACCTCATCTCTACTAAAATACAAAAATAAGCCGGGCGTGGTGGTAGGCACCTATAATCCCAGCTACTAGGGAGGCTGAGGCAGGAGAATCACTTGAACCCAGGAGGCAGAGGTTGCAGTGAGCCAAGATCACACCACTGCACTCCAGACTGGGCAGTGAAGTGAGACTTAGTCTCAAAAAAAAAAAAAAAAAAAAAAAACAAAACAAAACAAAACAAAACAAACCAATGTGCATTAGTAAAGAAGCACATATACATTATAACACAGTATTTATATATTTAACAATTTCATTATCATTAGTTTACTTTATAAACCTATGTATTTAATATATTTAAAAATAGTATTCTGAGAAGGGGCTCATGGGCTTCACCAAACTTCAAAAGAGCTCTATAGCACAGAAGAGGTAAGAACTCCAGCACTTGGGTAAAAGCTCCATGAGGCCAGGCCACATGGGGCTGTTTCACTGCTATTTCTGCAGGGCCTTGCACAAGGTCTGTCAGAGTGCACGTCTCAGTAAATATGTGTTGAACTGATGAAAGCTTATTTTAATCAGGCATTATGTAGTAGTAAGCTCTCCACGAATCCAGACAATTCACTTGTCCCTGAGGGAGATGGTGGACCCAGCGGTAATGAATGGTTTATGTCCCAATCTGACGTATGTCAGGCTGATGTCCTGTACAGTAAAATGGGATGAGAACTTGCTGAGAATATGGCATTAACATTTTAAAAGATATCATGGGAAACAGTAGCCAATTCTTTCCCTATATCAAAAGCAGCTGGCAACACTGACCTTGGTGATGCAAAGACCAGTGAATAACTGTCACTGAACAAGTGTGATCTATTTTATAAAGCCCTATTTTTAACTTGACTTGGAGCCAGTTTTTTGACTGGACAACTCTCATGCAAACATCTGCTGCCAGCTTTTTCCTTTTATGCATAGTGGGCAGCTTGTGCAAGAAAGGAAGTTGTCAGACAGTGGCTGGGCCCCTGAGTCAGTGGACAGCTGAGCTCTTCCCAGTTTTCCATAGCAGAAAAGCCCCCTGATCGAGTCACTCCAAGCACATTCCAACTGACAGTATTTGACTTTGGAGTGGGCTCCTGAGATCTTTATAAATTTTTTTTCCAACAGTTATTTAAAGACCTGATACAGATGAAAGACCTCAAAGACCCTCAGATATATCCCAGGAGGCCTCTTGGACCTCTTTCCTGAAGTAAAACTGGATTCTTGTGGTCAGCCATTCCACAGGGTTTTGAGAGCCTGTTATGTGTCAGGAATTTATTAAGTTTGGGGTTTTTGTTTTTTGGTTTTTGTTGTTTTTGGCAGTAGAGAGGTCAATGAGTAAATCAGTGGCAGGAAAATTAGGACAAACCTTTCATCTGGTGCCAGGTTTCAGGTCTGAGCCAAATGTGTAGGAACAGTGGGGACTGGAAAGAGATGCCTCTGTACCATGTATGTCATCCCCAGAGCCACCAAAAATGAAAGTCTCCCTCCAAAGAGGAACTGGAGCATCCCAGAGGTAGTGTTCTTAAAAGTACAGATGTGGGCTACCTGTGTCAGAATTACCTGAGCCCCACCTGAGACCTACCTGAGGTTATGGGGCTGGAGCCCCAGGTGTTTCTAATGCATACTAATTTTGAGAACTATTGTTCTGGGCAATTTAAGGAAGCTGGGAGGAAATCATCTCATTCAGTGTGGGGGATTTGGTCTTTAACATCTCAAAGACCTGCCTTCCAGGAAGCTGACATCCCCAAATGGAGAATCATAAAAAGCAGAAGTCTCAGAATGTGCCTGAGCAATTCGTTATTTCCCACTCACTCGTGGAACTGGCCTTCAACATTCACCAGTGGTGGTAAATAGGTTCATGTAGCTTGTCACGGTAGATTGGAATGGACTCTTTGAGGCACTGTGTTGTGGATTTTGAGTTCATAGTTTGGCTAATTGACTACAAAACTCTTTCCTATGGAGCCAAACCACAGACTTTTGATAGGGGAAGAGCAAACCCCTTACAATTTTGCCTGTCACTGCCTTACCTCATCCTCTATCACTTTCGAGAAGGAAACAAAGGCATGCGTGTAAATGTCCAACTCTCTGTTCTCATTCTGAAGAGGATGCAAAGTTGGACGGGAAGTAAGTAGCTTTTGAAATCATACAATTGCAAGTTTGCCCACTCTGTGGGAATCTATACACTTTTGCATCTCTCTCCTGTAGTGTAGATCCCGGGAAAGCCTGACCCAAGAGAGCAAAATAAAAATAGAATTTGTTTGGAAATAAAACAAGATAGATCTACAACCTTCCATGACCTGTTCTCCCTTTCGTAAGTTGAGGATCAGTAGAAAGTAATTACACCCTTACTGCTCTAAATAAAATGCCACTTACTTTAGAGATGAGCTCTCTAATGTGGCCAGGGCATTTGTTTTATTATAGCTGACTTCCTTAATCAAGGAAATTTGTGTACTAAGGTGGTGGAAAAGAAAATGATGAAGCTGGAAATTGGAATCATTCACTGTTAGAGAAAATTTGTATGAAACACAGCTTTTTAAAAAAATTTTGGTTTTTTGTTTTGTTTGTTTTTATGTTCTTTGATCAAAGAATAGTTGCAATGCCTATTGCCTAAATTGCCCAATATTTTTAATTTTTATTATACAAAATGTTATACCCACAACATATCTCTAACACATATACAAGGTATAAAGATAACAATTATCCATGGAACTGCCACCCACTTTTAGAAATAAGCCCCATAGCACTAGAGCCCCCGAGTGCCCCTACCTGATTGGATGCCCCTGTCTCTCTACCTGACCCTTCCAGAGACAACCAATATTTAACCACCTTGAAAATATTTCATTACTTAAGGGAAGTGATCTTACTAACTCCTTACTAGGTATATACTTGAAGCCTTTTCATTGAAAATGCTCCAGACTGGCTAGCCATGATTGATTGATTAATCGATTTTTTTTGAGACAGGATCTGTCACCCAGGCTGGAGTGCAGTGGCACAGTCACAGCTCACTGCAGCCTCAACTTACCAGGCTCAAGTGATCCTCCCACCTCAGCCTCTCGGGTAGCTGGGATTATAGGCATGCACCACCACACCCAGCTAATTTTGTTTTGTTTTGTTTTGTTTGGTAGAGATGGGATTTCACTATGTTGCCCAGGCTGGTTTTAAACTCCTGGGCTCAAGCGATCTACCCGCCTTACCTTCCCAAAGCGCTTAGATTACAGGCAGGAGTCACTGCGCATAGCTCACGATTTAACCCTTACTTGTTCCAATTTATGTTCCTCCTAAATGGCTAATGTAGAAAAACCTTTGGGTTTTACCATAAAATAACAGGTTGCTTTAATGTGGGAGTTGGGAAAAGGTTCTTGCCATTAAGTTTCCAAATATGACAGAAACATTGAGGAAACCCATGAATGGCAGACTTTCCTGGAAGGGAGAATTTGGAGAACAGAGACAGATAGGTACGTATAGTAGGACCTAAAATTAAAGCCAAGTTTCCTGGCAATTGTACAAAGAAAGGATTTCAATCTCATCTACAGGGATTTTCATTTTTTTTAAGCACAGATGGCAGGGTCCCATCTCAGACCTTCTTAATCTGAATATTTGAAGATAGGGCCTAGGTGTGTATGTGAGTTTCTTTCTTTCTTTTTATGTATTTATTTATTTTTGAGATGGGGATCTCACTGTGTCACCCAGGCTAGAGTGCAGTGGTGTAATCTCGGCTCACTGCAACCTCCACCTCCCAGGCTCGAGCAATCCTTCTAACTCAGCCTCCCGAATAGCCAGGACTCCAGTCACACACCACCATGCCCAGCTAATTTTTGTATTTTCTGGTAGAGACGGAGTTTCGCTATGTTGGCCAGGTTGGTCCCGAACTCCCGAGCTCAAGCAATCTGCCCACCTCAGCCTCTCAAAGTACTGGGATTACAGTCGTGAGCCACTACGCTCATCTGTGAGTTTATTTCTATACATATTTACACATGGTGGATCTGTTATGCAATCTTGGTTAAGAATCATTGGTATAAAAGAAACCTTTGATTTCTTGCATCCCTTTCACCACCTAAAAGTACTTTGGTATTTCCTAGGTCTTCAGCCTTTACTTTGGCACCATAGAGAGATTGTAGGTGAAGAAAGTTTTGTTCCTGCCCTTGGGAAACTTACAGATGATTACTGTGCAAATGAGGTGAAAGCTGAATGTGAAGCTGAGTGTTTCAAGGTAGCGTACAGTACAAGCAACAGAAAGCTCAGCCAACCATGGCTTCTAAACCTATGAAGAAATCTGGAAATAGGCAACCCAGAATTGTTACTGCTGCTCAACACTGCCAGGCTCTTTCTGGCTTCCACACCATCTGGTATGGTTTGGCTGTGTCCCCACCCAAATCTCATCTTGAATTGTACCTCCCATAATTTGCTCATGTTGTGAGAGGGACCCAATGGGAGATAATTTAGTGTGGTTTCGCCTATACTGTTCTTATGGTAGTGAATACATCTCACCTCACAAGATCTGATGATTTTATAAGAGGAAACCCCTTTCACTTGATGCTGATTCTCTCTTGCCGCTGCCATGTAAGAAGTGCCTTTTGCCTTCCCCTGTGATTGTGAGGTCTCCCCAGCCACATGGAACTGTGAGTCCATTAAACCTATTTTACTTTATAAATTACCCAGTGTTGGGTACATCTTTATCAGCAGCATGAAAACGGACTAATACACCATCATTAGTGAGATTTTGTCCTTGTCCTGTATGTCTCATGTTGTTAATATGCCTGCTCCATCTCCAGGCTTCACATCCATGTTTCTGGCACAAAGAAGAGCAGTAAAACAAAGGGCGATAGGCTTAAAAAAATAGTTTAAAGATATGCCAATCCAGCCTTTTTCAATTAAGAAAGCAAAAGCTTTCCAGGAAGCCCAATCCAAAGGATTTCCGCTTATTTCTTATTAACCAGAAATGTGTCACATGGCCAAACCTAGCGGCAAGAGAACCTGAAAGCTGGGCTCATCTAGGCACGTGATCATCCCAAACAAAATCAGGGTTCTAGGAACAGAAAAGAAGAGCAAAAATTGGGTAGGCAACTAAGGCAATAGCAATGTCTGTCATGATAGAGGGGAGCATGGACGATGAGAGCAAAGGGTCTGGAGAAAGATAAGCATGCTTCACTCTTTCCAGAATTCACAACTTATCACTCAGTTGGAGGAAATGCTTCCTCTGCCCATTTGACTTGTTATTTGGGTTAATGCTGTTGAAAATGCTCATCTTCCAACTATTTGTTGATTTTCTGACTCCCAGAGAGCACTCATCTCCAGGTTTTTATGCTGCACTCCACTGATGCTCATCAACACCAACAGCAGTGGTCGTGTCCTCAACCAGTGCCCAGTTTATATTATGGGATATTTTTCATTGATAATTCATTCAGATATTATCCAGAGTTTCTACATACAATTGCCTCATTAAGTCATATTATCCTGTTTGCTGGCTCTAACATGTTTTCTGAAACAACTGTAAGTAATGGTGTTCACAATTGTATGAATTTCATGCCTGGTACAATCTGATTTTGGAGAAGGAGGGTCTTGAGGAGGAAGATGTGAATGCTCTCAGGTCATATATTAGCTCTGATTTTGTCCTCCAATCTATGAAAAATATATGCGTGTATATTCTTACTGCATTTATTATGTTTTCTTAAATTTAATCATAAGCCTATTCCAAAATTACCCTTCCTTCTATAACCAAATTTCCTGGGTTTAATTACTTCTTAAGGACCAATTAATTTGGATGTTTTTTTCTTTTGCCCTGTCAACATCCTAACCCTCTATCCCTCAAGAGATTAATTTAAAATTCTGGAGAAGGTTTTGGTTTTGACAACTGTGCAAAGCTATCCTTTGGAATGAACTGGTCTGGAATCACTCAAGATTTTAAACCCCCTTAAAACTGGTAAGAAAAGAAGATGTTGAGCATCAGAAACACACTCACTGAGTACACCTACCTGTGCCCCATAACTAAGGCTGCCTGCTGGAGTTATACGAAATTAGGTTTTGTTATTGGTATTCAACATGAGCTATTATATTTCTCTAATAATAACTTCAATAATAATATAATCTTTGTTTAACATGGGCACCTGGTTAGCTAAATGAGACCCCAGCTGTCAGTGAAATACCTACCCCAATATAGGAGTTAAAAGTTAATAAATTCACAATATGAGTAAAGAAAATAATAATAATGCTTTGCTTCCCTCCAAGGAATTCAAAGCACTGTGTGGGTACCATTTCATAAATCTCCATATAAATCTTAGGTGCATGATGGAAAAAAGTGTTTTAAACCTTAGAATAAACTGACTATGAAATTATAGTCTGTTTTGACTCTAAAATCAATCCCAAATCAATCCACTTCTCTCCATCTGCATGGCATCCACGTGGTCCAAGCTGCCATCATCTTGCCTGAAATACTAGATAGCCTTCACAAATCTCCCTGCACTCATTCTTACCTCTCTTTAATCAGTCCCTCACGGAGCCCTCAGGATGTATTTTTTAAATTAAAATCAGATATCACTCTTAAGCTAAAACCATTTGAGTGGATCCTCACCACTCTCTCTTCTTACTCACTCTAGCTACTTCATCATGCTTGACTTCCTTTCTGTTCCTCCTATAAGCCTAGTGCTTGGCTGTCTCAGGGCCTTTAAACTTCCTGACCTGCTCTTGAGCAAACTCAGGTTTTAACATCACTGGTTCACTGTCTTCTTCCAGCTTTTATCTCTTAGCCACCTTAGCATAAGTTCTCCCTTAGCTTAGAGTAGTTCCCTCCCCCAAGTTACTCTCCATCCTACACATATCTATTTTCTTTATAGCATTTATTTTCCTTAGTCCACAATTCTTTTGCTTATTTGCCCATATTTATTGCCTGATGCTCCTTGCCCTTGAACCAGCCACAGCCTGAGACTAAGCTCCTGAGAGCAGGCAAGTTACCTGAGATATTCCACTGGTGCATCTCCATGGCTTAGCATGGTGCCTGGAGCACAGTAAGTGTTCATAAATATTTTTTAAATGAATAAACGAATGTTGACATAGTTGCTGTCTGTATCCTGCAGCACTCCTCTTATTCTCGTTTTCCATAGTCACATCTAAATTCAAAATGTGTGTGCATTTGTGCACAAGTGTGGACACATACTGGCTGAGCCTTTATTTTCCACCCAGGCTGTCTGCTGTACCTTATGGAAACCTCTCACTCAGTAATGCCAAGTTCTCCCTCTCTGCAAGTAATACCCAATATCCAATCTCCGTTCCTACAGAGAGCCTTGCTGCCTGCATTCAAGTCTCTTGTTTCCTCCTGGCAAAGCTTTGGTTCATGTTGAGTTGTCCTGTGATAAAGAAATCCCTTCTTTTAATCCAGGGCCTACATTATTATAGAGTGAATTTTCGTAAGACAAGGGGTATGAATGAGTTAGTGCAAAAATGCAGGGGACAATATCCAAAAACAAGCAGGTAGAAAAAAAAATTCCATCTGGAAAGTTTCCTCCTATTAATGCTACGGATTCTGTTACATTAATGAATCTCATCAAAGGTCCCTTTCGACTGTTTTGAGTTTATCAAATTCCTGATGATAGATCATAAATCTAATTGTCTCTTTACAGACCTTTTTTTTTTTCCAAAGCAAATTTCTTCCAGGTGCTTGAGTATGAATCAAGCCCTGACTTTAATTCACTGATAGGAATTAGCCTCCTTAATAAACTTAGTCAGAAGCCGAGGCCACTGCGGCATCACCACACTCAGATACTTAGCTGCTAATCAAATTCTCCTCACTTCCTTCACAGAGGGCCAGGAATCCTTTGGGGGCTAAAGAATCAGACTCATTTCTGTGCATGGGTAACCTCCATGGGGAGTCCATTCTTTATTAGACTTTCAGATCAGCCATTTCCAATCTTATTCATTGGTGAGAACAGCCCTTTGTGCTTCCTGTTGTTTGGTCTTGCTGCAACGAGCAATGAGCAGTGGTGGGGCCAGGACAGCAGAGACCCCTGGAGCCACACCAGCCCATTTCACCACCTTGTCATAATTCACTACTTCATCCCTTTTTTTTTTAATCGAGAAACAGACTTGGACATATCTGTTGTATATGTCAAAGCCTCTCATTTGTCAAAGTGTTAGTGGTCCAGTGTCAACATAAATACATCTGTCCATAAATCTTGACAGGTATAATGATTTGTTGCATTTGAAAGGCATGACTCTAACATTAGACCCCTTTTTGATTCCTAACATGATTATCTTTAAAGTCAGGCATTTCAGATGCCTTCTGAATTGGCTTCTGTCAAGTGATTGAGTAGCTCCCGCTGACTTATCTACTCTTATGAAGTTAATACCAACATGGCTCCTGCTGTCTGTCCCCTGCATCGAAGGCCACCTGGACAGGGGCAGAAATTACCTTCTTGATGTGCTCATTATTCTTTGCTGTAGAAATGCCTCCATTGTCTGGCTTTTGTTTTGGTTTTCAGTAGGATACTGTTGTGTTTTTTTGTTGCTTGTTTTGCAGCAGGGAAATGGGTTTGGCACATTGGTCAAATGAAGCATTTCCTAGCACTCAGCCAGGAAACTCATAAAGCTAAAAACGTGAAAGCGGGCCTCTGCTGTGAGATAGCAAATAGCTTTGTAATCATTTCACAGTGGAATCTGCAAACCCAAAAGGAAGGAAATCTCATCTGGTGGTTAGACAAAAAGAGCTCTTTTTTGTATGATAGTTAGCATTTATTGAGTGTTTATTAGGTGCCAAACCCTATGCTAAGAGCTTCCCATGCAGTATCTCATTTAATCTTCCCAACAACTTACAGATACTATTAAACCCACTGCCCAGGAGCAGTCTCCTAATTTGCCTAAGGCAAACAGCTGGTACTGGATGGAGCCGATATTTGACACCCAGGTGTCTGACTCAGTAGTGGTCTGATTCCTTACCCAAAAGGTTTAACCACAAAAGCAAAAGGCTTCAACCTTCTTGCCTTTGTTTCACTTGCTAAGGCACCAGGGCTTTCTTGCTGCTTGAATTGACACTGCTCTAAAATGTGCACAGTGTCCCTGGGAAAGCTTCCGATCATGCATGTGTGTGCTAACAGGTGTCTGAGATGACTCTGAGTTTGGCTATTTACTTTGTGATTTGGAAATCTTCCTAGTTCTCAGAGAATTATGTAAACTTTCAAACAGGTAGATTAGAAATATTTTAACTTTAAATAATGTTTTCAACTATGACTATTGCACTTTTAAAAAATACTGAATCCTCTAACAGTTTTTTTTAATCCATTCAATTTGCAATCTCTTCTTCTACCTTTCTTGGTTTTCTTCCTTCTTTTCCCCTTCTTCTTTCTTCCCATTTATGAAATTACTAGTACTGAGAAATCTACTCTGCTGATGCCTTTTGCAAACCCTTTAATCCCAAATAGGTTTCTTCCTGTTCTGAGATTCCTCTGAACCCTACCTCTGTTGTTTGTTTAGATACACAAAACAGGAAGTGTGGCCCACAAGGAAAAATGAATTAGATGCTAAATCTGCTGCAAACAATTTCCTTAGGGTACTCACTTAAAAGCATATTTTCCTATTTGAGTTTGACATGCATTTATTAAATACCTACTATGTGGACTCAGGGGAAAAAAATTAAAACCTGAACCTGATCCGAATCTTAAAAGTACCTGCGAAGGAAAAGGATATATGGGTAAACATTCCTGTTTTTTTGAGACTGAGTTTCGCTCTGGTGCCTAGACTAGAGTGCAGTGGTGCGATCTCCGCTCACTGCAACCTCCACCTTCCGGGTTCAAGTGATTCTCCTGCATCAGCCTCCTGAGTAGCTGGGATTACAGGTACACACCACCACACCCAGCTAATTTTTTTTTTTTTTTTTTTTTTTTTTTTTTTTGCATTTTCAATAGAGATGGGATTTCCCCATGTTGGCCAGGCTGGTCTCAAACTCCTGACCTCAAGGATGCACTTCCTCGACCTCCCAAAGTGCTGGGATTACAGGTGTGAGCCACTGCACCCGGCCCACATTTCTTACCACCTAAGGGAATAATTTTAAAGCAATGTATAACACGTATAATGAGGACAATATATAGATGTGCTAATATATTTTAGATTAGGAAAAATTGTGGAAATGTATGAAGGCTTTGTGAAAGAAGCATAATTAATGTGATTAATACAGTGACACAGTAAGTAATAGATAGGTACCTTCAAACTGGGCATGAGGAAAAGAAGCACACACAGGCAGGATGGATGCATAAGCAAAGCCGTGAGATGGAAGTAAAAATACTATTTGGATAGAAAGGATGGCCCATGGAGGAATGTAGACTAAATCTCACGGTGATATAGACTCTGTGGCAGGAGCCATATTCATTTCTGGAACACCAGTGTTCAAGAATACATGAATGAATGAATGCTTTAGGTATAATAACTTGTCACCTGTGTGAAGGATAGTTTGAAATGGAGAAGTGGATAGGGAGGCAGAAAACCGCTGCTCCTGGTCTTTGAAAAGCTGATGTCTTCTTGGCCTTCACACTCCACTTAATCATCACCTCTTCATTGAGAGCTTCTCTGATTCCCAGTTGACAGTTGCTAATCAATCATGTTCTATCACATCACCCAGGGAAGACAAGCTTTCTACTTCCAACAATGTAAAAAGAATATGTTCCTTTCCCCTAACTGAGCAGTCCCATCTATGGAGAACGAAGTCTTACCTGACATGAGTTTTGTAAAACCTAGCTTTCTTTTCACCTCCGGCTACGCTTAATCCCTATGGAGCACAAGATGGAGGCCTATAGGCCAGGAAGGGTGATAAATCATAGAGATCTCCACTCTAGGTAGGTTATAAAGAAGTGGTCCTCAAACTTCAGCTTGCACACGGAGAACTTGATAAAACACAGAATGCTGGACACCATTCCCAGAGTTTCTGATTCAGCTGGGTCTACGGAGTGGTCCAAGAATTTGTAATTCTAACAAGTACCCAGGTGATGCTGATACTGCTAGTCTGGGGCCTATACTTTGAGAATCACTCATAGAGAGCATAATGAGGGTAGAGGAAAGTGGGTGTCATCTAGCTTGACTGCAAGTTGCCACAAGACCCCCATCAGTCGGAGAAGGAACTGCAATTCAGAAAGGCAACTCCAGCCCCGGGAACTCCAGCATGAACTGTGAATGTCCTAATTACAACAGGCTGCCCCATCAGGAAACCGGGATGCTCCTCATAATAAGGCATTATGAACTAGTCACATGCATACAGAAATCCACCAAATGTATCACACAAGCAGTATCTGTTGCACTAGCACTACTGCCCCATATCTCTCTACATCTGGTTTATAACTTAGAGTGCACACTCCTCCAATACCATTCTTCACTAAGTCTAAGTCACATACCTTTCCATATTTTACCTTCCCTGAAATCAGGATGCATCTTATAATCACTATCCTCAGGCAGTGGTGATGAGTCTTGGGGTGGGAGAAGGGTGATGGTGGGTGATTGTGAGAAGTAGCAGAGAGGAATAGACAGGGAGAGAGGGGAAGAAGTCGTGCTGGGGGTATGGTTAGAGGAAGGGAAATATGGGGCATCAGAGCAAAGACTTGCAGATCAGAAACTGGGAAAGGGGGTGAGAAACAAAGGAGAGAATAAAAGAAGCCATGGAAAAGGGGCAGGAAATCAAATGTCACACATGGGACTTCTTTCTGGGCTCACCCACAGTGAGGTTTCTCTCCTTATTTGCTCCTAAGCTCACTACTTTTCTGTGTGTGTACAATAACAATGTAAGATAAAAATCCATTTAAATGACTTTGAAAGAGCTCTTTCAATAAGGGTAAAGTAGAAGTTCTATGCAGTGAGAAAGGCTTGTGCTACATTTTAACTAAAGCATTTTTTTTCTTCTTTAGTAGTATAACAATAATGATGCCCCTTATAATTGGTGGAGTCTTAGAGCCAGTGAAATTTAGTGATTCAAGGAATAGTGTAATGAGAGAAGAACGAAATACTTATAACGGGGTTGCATTTTCTTAGGAAATTTTCCAGGTGGCTGTTTCCAACATATTCTGTTTTAATATGCTGCATAGCACTTAGAATAACAAGTAGTCACTCTTCGAATAATATTGCAATTGTTTGTCTGCCTGTCTTTTTCTTCTAAAACAGGGATGGGCAAACACTTTCTGTTAAAGCACTCGATAATAAATATTTTATGCTTTGTGGGCCATGAAGTCTCTGTCAAAACTACTCAACTTTGGTGTTTTAGTGAGAAAGTCTTCATAAGACAACACAAAAACAAATGAGTATGACTGCATCCCAATATAACTTTACTTACACATAACAGGCTCCGAGGCAATGGGCCTGATCTGGTCTATAGGCCACCGTTTCTTCATGCCTGGTATAGAGTGAGAGAAAATATAAATGTGTATTGTGATCCACCATCTTGAACCAGAAAACACATATTTTTCATAACGCTTTTCTTTGAGTTATCATTTATGTACCACAAAATTCACGCAGTAAAAGTGTACAGTTCTATGGTTTCTAATATACTCAAGGATGTGTGCAGTCAATTTTATAACATTTTCATCACCTCAAAAAGAAACCCTGTACTCTTTATCTTCCACTCCTCTATCCCCACCCCCAGCTTCCACCAGCCCTTAGCAACAAGGATCTCCCTTCTGTCTCCATAGATTTACCTATTCTGGACGTTTCATATAAATATATGTGGTCTTCTGTGACTGGCTTCTTTCATTCAGTATAATGTTTTCAAGGTTCATCCATATTGCAGCATGTGTATCCATACTTCCTTTTTGTGGCCAAATAATATTCCATCATGATATACTACGTTTTGCTTATTCATAGTTGATGGACATCTGGATTGTTCAGAAAACATTTTCGAGTCTTTTAACCTCTTTGTGTCACCAAAAACTCTAGAACTCAAAAGTGTACCTGGACATACACAAACATTGGTGATATAGTTTGGGTATTTGTCCCTGCCCAAATCTCATGTTGAATTGTAATTCCCAGTACTGGAGGTGGGACCTGGTGGAAGGTACTTGGGTCATAGGAGTGGATCAAGCCATGAGTGGCTTGGTGCTGTCTTCATAATAGCGAGTCCTTGTGAGATCTGGCCATTTAAAAGTGTGTGGCATCTCCCCCTAACCCACTTTCTCTTGCTCCTGCTTTCGCCATGTGACATGCCAACTCCGCCTTTGCCTTCTGCCATGATTGTAAGCTTCTTGAGCCTTTATCAGAAGCCAAGCAGATACAGAGCACCATGCTTTAGTACAGCCTGTAGAGCTGTAAGCCAATTAAATCTTTTTCCTTTACAAATTACCCAGTTTCAGGTATTCATAGCAATGTAAGAATGGCCTAATTACAGTTGGGAACCTCTTAAGTAGAAAGTTTCCATAAAGTGAGAGTGATTAATCCTGAATTACATTCTTTAAAAAATAGTAGAGAGTTTACTATGGTCAGAAAATTGATAAGTACCACTTTAGCAAAGCACTGTATTCCTAGCCATACCCTACAGTTTCACATAATAATATTAATGATGGAAAATATTTGCAATAGGATTCTTTCCTACTTGGAGTTGAAAACAAGCATTTCATTTAGGACATAGCTTGTGCCAGGCATCTTCTAGGCACTGAGCAGGATAGATGTCTCTCTTCCCATGGTGCAGACCCTCTGGTATGGGGAGACATTTAACAAGCAAGCAGACACTTTCAGATGTTGATAATTGCCAAGACAAATGAGAATAATGAGGTAGAGGGTGCTTCAAGGTGGGAGGAAATGTTGCTATTTGTGATCACCAAAGGCCTTTCTGAGAGGAAACATTTGGGCTGAGACTTAAATAGTGAGAAGCTAGCCATGGGAATATCTAGGAGAAGAGTTCTCCATATTGAGGAATGCTCTAGGGTGGGAATGGGCTTGACATGGTCACGGAGGAGATGAAAGTTACCATGGCTGGAAACTGATGAGCCTAAATGAACCACATGTTTAGACTTTTTTATGTTTTGGAGGTTATGGACTTAGACCTGGTCACTGAGACACAAAATTTCCACTCTCTTTCCTAAAGCTAATGCATACCTCATGCAAATTTCAGCAAATACAAAAGCTATGTCTACAAATAATATCAAAAAATGCAGGAATTCAGACGAATTGTGTGCACTTTTCAACAGGTAACTGAACAAAGTCATAATTGCAAATCTCCTGGTTTTACTTGTCACTAATAATGTCTCTTACTTGACCAGTATGAAGCCAACATTAAAGTTCCACATGCTATGAGAATTCTAATTTTCAGTGAGAAGGGACTACTTTCTAAGCCCCAGTTTTCATGCAGATTGGAAAAATGGTTTTCTTTCTCCCTTCCTTTTTTTCTTTTCTTTTTTTTTTTTTTTTTCAAGACAGGGTCCCACTCTGTCAACCAGGCTGCAGTGCAGTGGTGCAGTTATAGCTCACTGCAGCCTCGACTTCCTTGGCTCAAACGATCCTCCCACCTTAGCCTCCAGAGTAGCTGGGGACTATAGGCACGTGCCACCAAGCCCAGCTAATTTTTTCTTTTTAAAAAAATGTTATTTAATTTTTTTACTTTAAGTTCTGGGATACATGTGCAGAATGTGCAGGTTTGTTACATAAGTATACATGTGCCACGGTGGTTTGCTGTACCTACCAACCTGTCATCTAGGTTTCAAGCCCTGCATGCATTAGGCACTTGTCCTAATGCTATCCCTCCTTTTGCTCCCCACCCCCCAACCGGCCCCTCCCTGTGTCCATGTGTTCTCATTGTTTAACTCCTACTTATGAGTGAGAACATGCAGTGTTTGGTTTTCTGTTTCTGTGTAATTGTTGAGAATGATGGTTTCCAGCTTCGTCTATGTCCCTCCAAAGGACATGAATTCATCCATTTTTATGGCTGCATAGTATTCCATGGTGTGTATGTGCCACATTTTCTTTATCCAGCCTATCATTGATGGGCATTTGCGTTGGTTCCAAATCTTTGCTATTGTAAATAGTGCTGCAATAAACATACGTGTGCATGTGTCTTTATGGTAGAATGACTTATAATCCTTTAGGTATATACCCAGTAATGGGATTGCTGGGTCAAATGTTATGTATGGTTCTAGATCCTTGAGGAATTGCCACACTGTTTTCCACAATGGTTGAACTAATTTACACTCCCACCAACAGTGTAAAAGCTTTCTTATTTCTCCACATCCTCTCCAGCATCTGTTGTTTCCTGATTTTTTAATGATCACCATTCTAACTGGCGAGAGATGGTATCTCATTGTGGTTTTGATTTTTGTTTCTCTAATGACCAGTAATGATGAGCTTTTTTTCATATGTTTGTTGGCCACATAAATGTCTTCTTTTGAGAAGTGTCTGTTCATCTCCTTTGCCCACTTTTTGATGGGGTAGTTTGTTTTTTTCTTGTAAATTTGTTTAAGTTTCTTGAAGATTCTGGATATTAGCCCTTTGTCAGATGAGTAGATTGCAAAAGTTTTCTCCCATTCTGTAGGTTGCCTGTTCACTCTGATGATAGTTTCTTTTGCTGTGCAGAAGCTCTTTAGTTTTATTAGATCTCATTTCTCAATTTTGGCTTTTGTTGCCATTGCTTTTTGTGTTTTAGTCATGAAGTCTTTGCCCATGCCTATGTCCTGAATGGTATTGCCTAGGTTTTCTTCTAGGATTTTTATGGTTTTAGGTTTTACATTCAAGTCTTTAATCCAACTCAAGTTAATTTTTGTATAAGGTGTAAGGAAGGGGTCCAGTTTCTGTTTTCTGCATATGGCTATCCAGTTTTCCCAGTACCATTTGTTAAATAGAGAATCATTTCCCCATTTCTTGTTTTTGTCAGGTTTGTCAAAGATCAGATGGTTGTAGATGTGTGGCATTAATTCTGAGGTCCCTGTTCTGTTCCATTGGTCTATATATCAGTTTTGGTACCAGTAGCATGCTGTTTTGGTTACTGTAGCCTTGTAGTATAGTTTGAAGTCAAGAAGCATGATGCTGCCAGCTGTGTTCTTCTTCCTTAGCATTGTCTTGGCTATACTGGCTCTTTTTTGATTCCATATGAAATTTAAAGTAGTTTTTTCTAATTCTGTGAAGAAAGTCAATGATGGTTTGATGGAAATAGTATTTAATCTAAAAATTACTTTGCGCAGTATGGCCGTTTTCTCAATATTGATTCTTCCTATCCACGAGCATGGAATGTTTCTGCATTTGTTTATGTTCTCTCTTATTTCCTTGAGCAGTGGTTTGTAGTTCTCCTTGAAGAGGTCCTTCACATGCCTTGTAAATTGTATTCCTAGGTATTTTATTCTCTTTGTAGCAATTGTGAATGGGAGTTCACTCATGATTTGGCTCTCTGCTTGTCTATTATCAGTGCATAGGAATGCTTGTGATATTTGCAAATTGATTTTGTATCCTGAGACTTTGCTGAAGTTGCTTATCAGCTTAAGGAGTTTTGGGGTTGCGACGCTGGAGTTTTCTAAATATAGAATCATGTCATCTGCAAACAGAGACAATTTGACTTCCTCTCTTCCTATTTGAATACCCCTTATTCCTTTCTTTTGCCTGATTGTCCTGGCCAGAACTTCCAATTCTATATTGAACAGGAGTGGTGACAGAGGGCATCCTTGTTTTGTGCCAGTTTTAAAAGGGAATGCTTCCAGCTTTTGCCCATTCACTATGATATTGGCTGTGGGTTTGGCATAAATAGCTCTTATTATTTTGAGATACATTCCATCAATACTTAGTTTATTGAGAGTTTTTAGCATGAAGGGATATTGAATTTTATCAAAGGCCTTTTCTGCATGTATTGAGATAATCACATGGTTTCTGTCATTGGTTCTGTTTATGTAATGGATTACATTTATTGATTTGCATATGTTGAACCAGCCTTGCATCCCAGGGATAAAGCCAACTTGATCGTGGTGGATAAGCTTTTTGATGTGCTGCTGGATTTGGTTTGCCAGTATTTTATTGAGGATTTTTCCATTGATGTCCATTAGGGATATTGGCCTGAAATTTTCTTTTGTTGTGTCTCTGCCAGGTTTTGGTATCAGGATGTGCTGGACTCATAAAATAACTTAGGGAGGAGACCTTCTTTTTCAGTTGTTTGGGATAGTTTCAGAAGGAATGGTACCAGCTCCTCTTTGTACCTCTGGTAGAATTCAGCTGTGAATCTGTCTGGTCCTGGGCTTTTTTTGGTTGGTAGGCTATTAATTACTGCCTCAATGTCAGACTTGTAGTTGGTCTATTCAGGGATTTGACTTCTTCCTGGTTTAGTGTTGGGAGGGTGTATGTGTCCAGGAATTTATCCATTTATTCTAGATTTTCTAGTTTATTTCCAAAGAGGTGTTTATGGTATTCTCTGATGGTAGTTTGTATTTCTGTGGGATCAGTGGTGATATCCCCTTTATCATTCTTTATTGTGTCTATTTGATTCTTCTCTCTTTTCTTCTTTGTTAGTCTGACTAGTAGTCTATCTATTTTGTTAATCTTTTCAAAAAAACAGCATGGTGGCGGGCACCTGTAATCCCAGCTACTTGGGAACCTGAGGCAGGAGAATTGCTTGAATCCGGGGGGTGGAAGTTGCAGTGAGCCGAGATCACACCACTGCACACCAGCCTGGGCCACAGAGCAAAACTCCATCTCAAAAAAACAAAATAAAACAAACAAAAAAACACTTTATTTTACAAGAGGAAGTGGTGATATGCTTAGAAAGTATAGAGAAACTGAAATCCCTTAATTGGGATTTCAAGTTGTACTTTAATTAAAAAAAGACCAAGGTGACCTTCCAGTGAAAAACTCTACGAAACACAGTATGAAAGAAAATGAGAGGAATCCGACATACCTTTCTTCATCTCTCATCAGCTTGACCCTCAAATTACCCAAACAAAATGTTCCAAAACTGAAATTCAAAAGTATTCCAATTCCTTCTTTGCTTGCTTCCTAGAGGAAATATTTATTTATTTTATATATTATATATATATATATATATATTTTTTTTTTTACAGAAAACCCTATCTGGCAAACAAAAAAGCATGCAAATTAATTAAGCAGAAGAACCTTTCTTACGAAAGGTACACAGAAGGCCCAAAAACACATTAGACATTTCTAAAGATCACAAATTAGCAAACACTGAAAGCGAGCTGTCAAAAAAAAATAAAGAAAAAAAGAAAAAGAAGCCTCCTCTGAACATAAGGTTCTTAAAAGACATTTTGAGAGGAATTAAATCTCTTGCACCTTTTAAACTCTCTTTCTCAGCTATCCATAGAGTTCGCTAGAGATGGAAGCAGCTCAGGGTGACACACCCTTCACTTATTTGGGGAATGTGATTTTCCATCCTGCCATTTCCTGGCACCCAGACAAGTGTTATAAAAATATGTCATCATAAGCAGCCTAGAATAAATACTCAGATCTTCAGGGTTGTTTATCATTTCTCAAATGTCTTCCCCAGTTTTTACAATCCTAGCTCTTTGTTACATTTGGGGAGGATAGGTTGTTTGGAATACTCCAGGATGGCCAACCCAAAGGTCGTTCACATAGGCCAGGGAGCATTCCAGCATGTGGCAACATGCCAGGAGGCTTACACTGAACCAATTTTACCTAGATTCCTGGCTCGAAGGATGCACATTCAATCCATTAAAATCAGCCCAAATGTTTCCTTTTATTTGATGTGATTATTTTTGTTTAATTATGATCTTTGTCTTCTTGGCCAATGAATAAAACGTAATAGTATCTTTCCATAGAAGTTGAAAATGTACAACCACATCAGTGCTATGACATTGAATACGTTTAGGTGCAAGACGCCACCATAGGAGCCAGGGAACAGGGAAGAGAAAGTTGAATTCACACAGTGTCAGTCCTGCAGGGGCTCAGATGGGCAGTGGAAGGAAAAGATTCACACTGACCAATTCAATCAAGTCAAGTAAGTACCACCTCTAGAATGCAACCTACCTTTTATGGTGACTCTTTTGGTCTGGCCTCACTCTATTTTATAAAAAGATTCTACACTTGTTCATTTAACATACAACTAGGACTAGTTAGTTAAACTCTCAATATATACTGGAATTAAACTAAATCTAGATTCTATAATTTTTATATTCTAAATCGTTATATATTTTTCATTAGAAAATGTGTCAGGGGATAGTGGCTCACACCTGTAATCCCAGCATTTTGGGAGGCCGAGGAGGGCGGATTGCTTGAGCTCAGGAGTTCAAGACAAGCCTATATAACATGGTGATACCGCTTCTCTACAAAAAAATTTTAAAACTAGCCGGGTGTGGTAGTGCACTCCTGTAGTTACAGCTACTCGGGAGGCTGAGGTGGGAGGATGGCTTAAGTCCTTTTTGAGTGGGACCGTGTCTCAAAAAAGAAAGCAACAGTACTGACCATTTGGAGTATGGCTTCGTGTTAGGTACTATTTTGAATCACCTTCCAATGGTTTAATGAACTTGTACTGAATGGAGATGTGCCTTGGTGTGTGTTTGTAAACAAGTCCACCAGCCAAGACATACATGTGTAAACATCATCACACATTATAGCAGGATGTCTGTTACCACAAGGATCTGGCATTTCACATGACCTTAAAGAGCTCCTGGAGGCTTAGTTTTCAATGACAGCCTGTTTCATCTGTTAAATAAATAACAATACTTAGCTTTCATATTGTTATATTCTGCCTTTTGAAACATTTCCTGTAGCATGACTTTGCCAGTACAAAGCTGGCTTTTTAAGTGATTTGTCTGTAACCAGGCAGTTTTAGAACTTTTACTTCCTTAGTCTGTGCTAAAAAGCAATTCAAGAAGACTTAAAATTCTCCTGGGGGCTGATTTTATAGCAACAGTGAAAGCGCACAAACGTTGCACTAGCAGCCAATTTCTTTCTTCAGTGAGGAAACAGCATCGCCGGTAGAGCCTCAGCACAAATGGTTTAACACCATCGTAAAAACCACTAACCATTGGGTATTAACATACTTTTTATCATGAAGTTTTTATTGAAAATGATATTTGGAAGCTACTAATTTGGCGGTGATTTTTACCCTCTGGCATTGAAGGTGGATGCAACTTAACGTGCTTGGAGGACCACGGAACACCTTGGCCCAGCCAAGCTGGAGAAAAGAGATCTGCTTTCTCACCCGCTGCCTTGGTGGTCGTGAGCTCAGCTGCAGGGATGGGCAGTGGCTTTCGGATTCTCCTCCCAAGGCATGCTCAGCCAAAAAAGAAACAACTCCCACTCTGTCACCACCCTCATCCCTAGAACCGTGCCATAGGCCACTTGGGGAGGGGCTCGTACTAGCACGAGGCCAGTCTGTGCCACTGGGAGAGCATCACTCTTGGTCTTAGCATTGGCCCTACACAAAACACATGGGAAAACCTGTTCCTTTCTCAAAAAGAAGTCAAAACAGACTGCACATGCACATAGATGGGAGAGATGCATCCAAAAAAAAAAAGAGAGAGAGAGAGAGAGAGAAATGTTTGTGCCCGCATTCTTCATTCCATCTGGCACACGATTGGAGTAAACTTATCTGGGCAAATGTCGGGCTCCGATCATTACCCTGAAAACCCTAGGGCCCTTTTGGAGAATGTCAGCGAGGCCATCGGTGTCGGTGTATGGGTGGACGGTGCATGTACCACAGAGCCAAATGTGAACCCTACACACGCCACCCAGAAAAACCTGGGCTTTTCCCAAAAGGAAGTGAAGACAGACCGCACGCTCACGGAAATAGCGTTTGTGCCTTCCTGCCATCTGGAACAGGAGCCCGGCAGGAGTAAACTGACGGGGGGAGTAAAATGCTGCTTTTTCCCAATACGTAGTTACGTTAGATCTGGATGTACCCAAACTATAGAGGGTCAAACTACAGCCAGATTTTCCTGTAAAATGTCACCTTCCATCTCAGGCTCCTGAAGAAACTCATGTCATTACCCACTGGCAAGTGGTTTATATGACAGTTTCAAGATGTTTGTATGTGTGTAGAAAACGTGTGTGTGTGAGTATGTAGAAACTCTATTATTAGGGTTGTTTTTCTTACAGAAAAAAGAAATTGTTCATGAAGAGTTGTAAGCATTTACTAGAGGATAAAATGTTCTGATATTGGGGTTTTGTTTGCTTCTTTGACGTTCTATTTGGCTTGGTTTGGTTTACATTAACCAGTCCAAATCCTACCAAAGAGACCAGGTTACCGGCCCCCCACGTCACTCTTTCCATTTTATTTTAGAATCATACCGGGTTCTTATTAAAAATGGCCCTGTAAGAATAACTGAATCTGGATCTTTGGAAATGATCCGTAAGAATGTGCATCCCACCCCCACCCCAGCACGCCCAGGTGACTCCAATATACACTAAAGTTTATGAGCTCCTGCCTTACAGATTTCATGGTGTGGCTTGTTATATAGCTCACTTTAAATAATGTAAAGGTCTCAACTTTCAAGTTTCTCCTTTGTTCTTTTCAATATGTCCTCAGTGCTAATCACAAGCAAAGGTGAGCTTTCCCACTTGAATTGGTGCCCATCTGTGGGGTGATCCGAGTGAACTGAAGGGGAAGAACTGTAGATGGAACTTCTACCAGACAAAGGAAAGCTTCCGCTTGCTCAGTATGCATTCTTTGGAGACAGCTATCTTCTCCAAAAATAATAAATGACTGAGACATGACAAAATTCAGGATTCCCAGGACATTTTTTTTAAGTGAAAGAGGCAAAGCCTTTTCCCAGCTCAGCAGTTAATTTAGCACATTAAATGACCGTGTGTCCTAATGGCAGTCTGGCCATGCCCTGGATGGCTGATCAGAAGTTGTGAGCAGATGTTGGAAAATTCACTGTGACTGAAACAATCTAATAAATAAACGGGTTGGAGGATGGGATGGCCAAGGTAGTCAGCTTGTTATTATTTCTAGCTGTGTAGTTTCCACTTTGGTCTAAGCAAACAAGACTCATCTATTCAACATTTAGAATACAACAATGAATATTCAATCCTGGTTCTGATTTTTGGCAGAACCCAGCAAAATGAAAAAAGAAAAATCCTTTTCTTTCCCCTGGGGGTTTTGCAAATCTCCCTTGAAGGGGATTGGAGAAGCCTCTGCAGGAAGGCCAGCCCTAGCTTCAAGAAACTGCTTTGGTCTCTTTATGTATATTAGGACAATTAACATCTAGTTTCACCATACAAAGGACTTTCTCTCCTTTTATGTTTTAGTTCTTAAAATACCCAGAATGGTGTACAGTAAAACTGTTCACTTGAGAAATTAAGTACCGTATGTGATAAGACAGTTGGATGAAATTTTTAAGCTGTCATTAAAAATGATTATAATTAGGACAAACTACAAGAAAATGCTTTAAAATTGAGACCCAAGTGAATTAAAAATTAAGGGGTGTATTATGTATTATCATGTTGAAGGGCTGGGTTTTACGTGGCTAACACCCATTAACACTACCACAGGTTGCCTGCATAAATCCCCACATACGGAGACAAGAAGACACCCCTCTCATTTGTTTTAGCTGAACTGCCTGAGAACTTGCAGCATGCTAACAAGATAGTTCTTTCAGTGGCTCAAAGCTAGCAGGGCAAGGAGGAAATGTCAACAATGCATCGTTTCCTCTTCTGTGAGAGTTTCTCCTAAGAAATCTTTTCTATCCAGAGAGGACATTAAAATACTTCACACCAAGTTTGCGTTTTCTCTTATCCTGAAGTATGTCCCAGAACCATCAAGGGTGAACCTATAATGATGTCATTGAAATCGTCTTTATTCCCTCGGGGGTAAAAGAGTCTTTAGCCACTTACTCGCTTGGGAAAATTAGAATCAGACATGTTCAGTCATGCCCAAGTACCTAAAGGCCACACAGGCCAAGTTCATCTTACTATTAGCAGGTCCCAAAGATGGTGCAAAGTAGTCTGTTGCTTTCTTTATCAAGCCACATATCAGATCAGCCTACTTTCATCTCCCACAGGTCTCTGTAAGTTATCCTCCTCTCTTTGATCTCCTTTCATCTGCTATAACTCACCATCCATTAGCATTTTGCATCCCTCAGCCCTCCCAGGGACTCTCATAGATTGTGAAGAAACAGAATTTCAAAGCTTATACTTTCTTATACTAATGTTGACCTCTCGTAGCATTAGTTCAATGCACTCTTCAGCTAAGAAAATCCTGGACTTTTGGACCTTTTCCTCACCTTGGAGTTGGGGGAGGGAATAGCAGATATATGAAAGTTACATTAAGGGAGCAGACAGGAAGTCCTCTTTTGTCACGGCATCTTGAGGCAGAAGGAGCAAGGGTAACTGAACACCCAGGCCACAGCTACACATGTGCCAGCAGGGGTGGGCTCCCATTGAGTCGGTGTTCAATAAAACTGTGTTGATTGGCTCTCTAAGGTAGGAACTTAACTCATAGAACAAGGCAAAGACAGAAAGGCTTTTGTTTTTACAGAATTAATATTGGCAATTTTGATTATTCAAGAGACAACCCAAAGTACTATGGTCTTTTGCACTTATAATTGTGCAGATGTACTGTGGTGGGCAGAGGCTTGGCCTCCATCATCCCCACACCCTGGTATTCACACCTTTGTGTAATCCCTTCTCCTTGAGTGCAGACAGACATGTGACTTGCTTCTAACCACTGGGTTATAGCACACGGGGCTTCTAATCACTAGGATATAGTGTGTATTTACAAGTAATGATTACATAAGACTGTAGTGCTGTCTTGCTGGAATGTCTCCCTCCTCTTTTGCTGTCTAAGAGGCACACTGCCTTCAAGTAAGTGACATGTTGGCGAAACCCATGTGGCAAGGAGCTGTAGATAGCCTCCAGATGCTGAGAGTGACCAAAAGCTGACAGCTAGCCAAAAAAAAAAAAAAAAAAAAAAAAAAAGAAAAGAAAAAAAAGTGCTCTCAATCCTATAACCGCAAGGAACTGAATCTACCTACAACTTATGAGCAGGAAAACAGGCCTTCCCTGGCCAAGCCTCCACTTGAGACCCTACCCCTGGCTGACACTTCAGTTGTAGTCTTCTGAGGCCCGAAGCAGATAACCCAACTAAGCCAACACTAGACCATCTCATACAAACTGAGATAATAAAAGTGTATTGGCCAGGTGCAGTGGTACATGCTTATAATCCCAGCACTTTGGGAGGCCGAGGCAGTCAGATCACTTGAGCCCAGGCATTCAAGATCAGCCTGAGCAACATGACAAAACCCCATCTCTACAAAAAATACAAAAATTAGCTGGGCATGATAGTGCATGCCTAGAGTCCCAGCTACTCGAGAGGCTGAGGTGGGAGGATCACTTGAGCCCGGGAGGTCAAGGCTGCAATGAGCCAAGATTGCACTCCAGCCTGGGCATCAGAGTGAGACCCTGTCTCAAAAAAAAAAAAAAAATGTCTAAGTTTGCAATGACTTGTTATACAGCAATAGGTAACTAACACGGGTGCTAATTTGGATTCATGTATGGTAAGTTTAGATTTTAAGAGCTCATCCCTTGATTCATGAACGAGTACCTCAACATCACTTTCTTGCCTCTATACTTTGTCTTTTGCAAATGCCAAAATTCTTACTACAGATGCAAGAGAGTCCCTTAAATTTTTTCTGTGGTGCTTAACTACCATTTTTGGCCAAAATTATATTTGCAATGGTCTCAAGACATATCCCTCCCAAATGTCAAGTGTCTGCTACATAAGCTCACAGGAGAGATGAGACCTTTTAACAAAAAGTCTCCTCAGCCCTGAGTAGAGATTTATCACTTCACCTAGAAGAGAGATTTTTTTTTTAACTTTCTCATGTAAGACAACCTGTAGGACTGTTGCTCAGGAAGGCACACTGAAAGACTGCAAAACCGGGGTTCAATGATTAGACATATTGTTATAGGGGAAGCTAACTCAGTGTTCAAACTGAAGTCATTGTTAATGATCTCTAATATATTACCATTCCAGAACAAAAGAGTGTGGGTGGGTTGGTTAGATTAGATCACTCATTGCATTAAGCTTTTGGGGTTTTGTGGGGATTTTTTTTTTTTTTTTTGCAGGGGGACGGGGTTGGTAGGGGTTTTTGTTTTTTGTTTGTATTTTTGATTTTTTTTTAACTCTCAAGGTCTGTTAAAGATCTTGTGAATATTGATTTTGTATGTAAAAACCCCCTTACCTCTTTTCTCCTCACCCCTAACCCCAGCATTATAAAATCAATTTCTTCATCTTGGTTGAGCTTATGTTTCTGTATTTTTTAAACCACAGTAGTTTCTCCTATGATTCATAAGCTGAATTCCTCTATATGTAACACATGATTCAGCAAACCTACGTGATATGATTCCATCATCATAAGTAACCACATAGTTTGCTGTCGTGGAAGATCGCTAGACAATGCTTGTCCTCAGTCTAGATATTCATGGAAGCATCACCTTCCCTTCCTGGATGGAATTTTCAAGTCATGACATCATTGAAACCATTTATTGACTACTTCTTACAATGTGCCAGGCACAGTGCGGGTACTTCATACACATTTGGTTCATCCACGCTTTTGTGAGGCTGGTATTTGTCCTCTTATTTACCAGAATAAGAAACTGAGGCTTAGAGGCTATGTTTATATTACCTTCTATATAACACCTGTGTAAATTACATGTGGCGATTTGAAGGAATGATTTGATTCAGGGTTAGAAATGCCAGTGTTTGTATACCTTAAACAAAATGAAAATTTTCTGATCCTATTTCAATATAAGAATTATCCTAACGTAATTTGACATGTAAAGTAATAAAAGCCTCATTCCTCTTAATAGGTTTTCCCAGTGGCAAAATAAAGAAATCAAATTCTGGCATAGCTAATCAGCACACAGCCTATTTAGACCTTGGTTCTGGTCTCAGTTCTTTTTTTGGTTCACTCTGCAGCATTGGATAGGTCATGTCACCTGTCTCTGCTACAGTTTACTCATCTGTGAGAGGAAGGAAACATACTAAAATTTCATCTAAGGAGAGCTTCCAGCTCGAAGACTCTGTGCCTACCTTGTTATCATTATAATTTTTGTTTATTACTTAAACTTTTATTCTGATGACAAAAGCAACATCATATGTATACGTACGTACACCCACATATATATACATATACATATATATGCATATTTTAGGGGTTTATTTTTAAAGTAATGAAAGGCAAATTAGATTTCTTTCTCATTAGTCACCAACCATTCAGGAGCAGTAATGTCACTATCATTGATTCTGGTGTTTCGATCACAACTCTTCTGAAAAAGTGCCCGAGTTATAGTCATTGGGCATTTGGGGAATGTCTAGCCACCTCTTACCCCCGCCAACCTGGCTGGACTTCAAGATTAAAGCAGACTGATTAGCAAGGAATCCCTATTCCGGGCCTTAAAATGAAATCCCTGGGAGTTGCCAGACATAAAGTGATTTGATGCCAAAACATCCAGGTGGGGGAAAAAATAATAAATTATAGGGATATTTTATATATACAATTCCAAATATGGTTACGTGTAGTTTGGAAACATCTGGGTGATGAATTGGAATTTCACTTTTGCTTCAGCTCTTCGGCATAACGTAAACACAGCCTGCAAGTCCCTAGAGATAAATGGGAGAGTTGGAAACTGCAAAAGGTAGATAGAGACAAAATCAGATTTTAAAACTGCGTCCCGTGCTGCTTGCCAAGTGGGAAAAAATTCTAAAAATTCAAAGCAGTCCAGAGCATTTTCTCTCATAGTTAAATTAAAGATATAGCATCCCAGGTAGCTAAAATTAGAAGCTATTTTGCATATTCTTTCACCCTTTAGATGTAAAGTTTGGAGAAATATGTATTTTTTACATTTTAGTTTATATTTGTTTTAAAGGCCTATTAATGTGCTGTTGGTTACAGTTTTCTCCTACTGATTCTACATATGAACTAAGATTTGGGGCATTGAAAGAACTATTTTCTGAAAATAGTCTTCAAAAGTGCTATCCCTTTAAAAGTCCCAGATGAAGATATTTGCTATACAGCACAGGCAGTTACAGTATGAATTTTAAAGCCTTTCACATACAATTACTTGCAATAACTTAGTCTCTTTCCCAGCCTATAATAAATCATGTATATATAAATGCTACAGAATTTAAATATGAGCAGAGTTTTAGTATAATAGTATATCACTAAGAACCAGTATTTTTGTTATATATAGTACTGTTTAACATAAGTGAAGTAAAATCTCATTGATTTGGGTTTACTAATTCAGAGTTGGTGGAGCCGGCTTGAAGTTGACTCTTCATTAGGGAAGTCATTCTTCATAGAAAGCTCAAATTAAAGGTGTAAATAAGACTGCAAATGGGAATGTATAAAGTACTTAAGAGTAAATTTAAAGTACTTTAGAAGTACCATTTGCATATGAAATTGTTATGCTAATTATAAGTAATTCTTATTAAAGTAGGTCTCCTAAGATGATCTTCTAGGCAAGTTCCCTTAGTGAATTTGAGTTACAGAATGTGGTAGGAAGTAATAAACCAGAGTTTCTTTTAAATACTGTACTCGCTAATTCAGAATTTTCATTAATTGTAAATTATCTTCTTGCTAATTAATCCAAATTGCTAACATTTTGCTAGCAATGTCAATTCAGTTCCTAACTGTCTTTCTAGAAAGTTCAAGTAAGGTTTTAAAAATAGGATTAAATCGTAGCTTTCTAACTAAATTTTGTATTTCCCAACATCACACTGGTGCCGCTATTATGGTCTAACATTGTGTACAGTCAGCTCTCCATATCTGTGGGCTCCACAACTGCAGATTCAACCAACCGCAGACAGAAAATATGTGGGGGAAAAAATAACAAAAATTAACAATACAACAAAAAAATACAAATTTTAAAACAATACAGTATAACTATTTACATAGCATTTGCATTGTGTTAGGTATTATTAAGGGAGGAGACCACCCTTCGTATTGTCTTATGCCCAATTTCTGCCTCCAAAGAAAGAAAAAGTAAAAACTAAAAGGCAGAAATGAAATCCACAAGCAGACAGCCCGGTGCCACACCCTGGGCCTGGTAGTTAAAGATCGACCCCTGACCTAATCGGTTATGTTAACTATAGATTACAGACATTGTATAGAGAAGCTCTGTGAAAGTCCCTATCCTGTTTTG
This sequence comes from Homo sapiens, assembly GCF_000001405.40. Lineage (NCBI taxonomy): Eukaryota > Metazoa > Chordata > Mammalia > Primates > Hominidae > Homo > Homo sapiens. Next base: position 70,859,751 of record NC_000003.12, read on the forward strand.
TTCCGATCTAATTACCGGTGCATGCAGCCCCCAGTCACGTACCCTCTGCTTGCTCAATCGATCACAACCCTCTCACTCGCACCCTCTTAAGAGTTGTGAGCCCTTAAAAGGGACAGAAATTGCTCACTCAGGGAGCTCGGCTATTGAGACAGGAGTCTTGCCGATGCCCCCGGCCGAATAAACCCCTTCCTTCTTTAACTCGGTGTCTGAGGAGTTTTGTCTGCGGCTCGTCCTGCTACATTATAAGCAATCTGGAGATGATTTAAAGTAAACAGAAGGATGTGCTTTGGTTATATGCAAATACTATACCATTTTATGTCATACATATCATGGACTTGATTATCCATGGAGTTTGGAATCCTGAAGGGTCTAGAATCAATCCTCTTTGGATACCAAGAAATGACTGTATTTCCCAGTGTTTAGAGCCGACGTGCAGGTAAAAGTTACTAAGAAAAATATAGAGTGAAGTAAAACTTTCCAACTAAGGTGACTCAAATTAGAATCGGTTGCCTCCTCAAGTAAGTGAAGTTCAAGACTAAAGTTTGTCAATAAAGAATCCAATGAAAAGCTAGGTGACAGAGAAAGCCAAGTACTAGACTAGCAGTTAGACTTACCAAGCAAAAGGTAACCCTAGTCAGCCATACATCAGTTGCTGGATAACTAGGCATTCATGTTTAAGTTCCTGTAAATATAACGTGGAAGCAACCATTTGGAAAATGGAGATGATGTTGCACTTGATTTGAGTCAGAGCTCTCCGAAGCAGAGATGATGAATGAGAACCACCCACCCTGCAGGCCCCTCTTGGCACTGCCACTCTTTTGCCTTCTGGGAAATGGCAAAGCACAAACAACCACTCTGCTCTCAAAGACTCTGAGACAACACCCACCTCTGCCTGTCCTCCATGACTGGGCTACAACCCATCTCCAACCTTCTGCCTGACTCCTTGACTCTCCAATATCTCTCTAATTTACTCCCCTCTATAAATCCCTCAGTTCATTTCTTTTTCTTTGAGATGATCTGCATTAATGTGTGTTCTCCCTATTGCAATACCCTGAATAAAATCATCTCATATTTGTCCTGTGTATCTTCTTTCACAGTTTTGGTGGTGTGACTTAGGTAGTATAGGACCTCACCTTCAAGTCCCTCCTTACTCCACCTGGGTAACAAGGTCTCATGGAGCGCCTCCTGCTATGTTCCTGGTTGGCAATCCAGGGACCAAACAATGAGTCTAACTCCCACTCCTGTGCTTTGGATTTTTGTCCCTTGGTAGCAAGGTAAGGATGTGACTTTTTTTCTTTCTGAGTACTCCCTTGATTTCAGGTGCTGACTTTTGGATTCACGGTCTGATCATTTGGTGATTTCTGTAAACAGATAATTGGCTCATAAAAATATGGTCTCTGTTGGAACCAACCTGCAAATTGGACTAGAGCCTCCTATCTTGCTCAAATTATTAGTCCTTACCAAATTTTCAGTTCTTACAGTTTCCTTCAATATCCGGCTACAGTCCTCCAAACTGATGTTTCCAATTTTTCCCATCCTGCCTGACTCAACATCACCAAGAACTGAAAACTGAAGGCCCAGATCCCTGTCAGAGTCTAAGTTGCCTTGCAGCTGGCATATTTCCTGAAAATCCGAGGAAGCTTGCAAGCTGAAGCCTAAGGACTTACACACCTCAAAGGACTCATCACTGCAGCAGACCATGCATGGGCCAGAATTCTCCCTGTACAAGTCACTGTCTGGACCACTAAGGAAGTCTGGTATGCATTTATATAAGAGGAAATGAATACTGTGAACAACATCATTCAGAGCATCAACATCCTAGTTCAAGAGTATCCAGAAATTACAATGGCATAATCAAAAGATTTTCCTCCACAGATCTCTTGGAATCCATGGACTGCTACCCTTAGGGTCACCTTCTGGCTGTTTTCTGGAATACAGCCTTTTATATTAGTCTTTTTCTTTTTCATCTTAGAGATTCCTCTTTTAAAATGCCTGATCTCTAGGACTCTAAAACAGAAAGCTTTCCCACAACCTCTCAACAGATGGTTCAACTGATTTTGGAGGAATGCAAACAAGAATCCCTGAGAGACAGTTTCTTATACCTTGCTTGGCCCAGCTCAGGTTATTGATCACCTCTGACAAGTCCAGCAACAAAGTATATTCATTCATCTTGAACGAAAGAAGGGACTGGACTGTTGGACTTGGTCTGAGCCCTATGCTCCCAGAAAGGAGCAACAGTTGAGAAATTCTCCCTACCCTCTTGTATTCTGAGAAAGATCTAACCCCGAAGGACAATGCTGCTCCCACACACTCTGAGCTAAGCCTCACTTTCCCCAATGACTCATAAGAAGTCAAAGATAAGACCCATTTTTTTCATCTTCCTAATGATTCCCATAAGACTTGGGATGACTCCCTTGTTTACTTGCTTCTATAAAAACCCACCCTCTTTTCTTTTTTATTTTTTTTGAGATGTTCCTCATTAACAACATCTTCCTTATTGCAATAGGCTGAATAAAATAATCTCCTTAGTTATTTAAGCATATTGTCTTTCACAGTGGAAGATTTTATTAAAAAACAAATGTGACTGCATGTGTCCTTTAGGATACACCTACACAGAGGTTGGGGGAGGAGTGTTCAAAGTAACGGGGATGGCCACATTTCTAAAAGTTTTATTCGTGGTTGTTCAGGACACACAGTCATTCTCCATAATAGTTTAAACTAATAAAACAATTGTCAATATCTCAGCTGGGGCTGTGTAGACACCTCCTTAAAAACTCTGATCCTCATTAATTTTATCTCTTCCCACAAAACCCAATTATTCATGCCCAGAGAAAAATGGGACCTGAACATTTTCTGACTGGCTGGCTATTTATTTTCTGTAGATGAAATTGAACCACTTGTCAAACTTAAAAAAAAAAAAATAGTTGCTCACTTTCTCCTGCTTATCACTAAGAAGATGTCAATCTAAATCTCTTGTATAGGTCAGTTCCTGATGCTCTCATGTCAAATAGATTTTCTTTCCCCTTCCATCTTCTGTATTTTATAAGCACAGAGAGTGAGAAAAGATAGGAAGATGAAAGAATAGGGGAGAAAAGGTAAAATTAGAGTAAAATATGTAAATTGGAAAACTAAAGAATTTTCCTCCATAATTGAAGATATGATCATCAAGAAGGCCTATCTCTGCAATCTACTTTATCTTCCAATTAAAAGTACAGAGAATAGATCTACCTTTTGACTAATAATAAAAAGTCTAAGTTGCTTATATGGCTTGTGTCATTCAAGTCCTGTTTTCAAAAAATTGCATCCAGAACACTCTATCTTAAGAGGATGAACTGTTATTTCTGTAGCTTTTAATAACTGACAACTCCACATTTAAATCCCTGGCTGTACATAAACTGTCAGCATCCAAATTTGCCCAGACAAACGAATTGGAAAAAACAAAAATAACATGAAGAAAAAATGTGCTATTAACAGCTGTGTAAATAACAGCGGCAACATTAACTAATAAAAGGAAACCAGCAATCTCAGTAAGAACCCAAGAAGGAATTCAAGTTGCTACAAGTAGATTTAGAAGGATTGACTGCTGTTTGTTTCCTTCCAAAATTTAGTTTGTCTTTCCAAGTTAACTGTATCAAGGAGTCTGGAGGAAAACCTTTCACAGCAAAGTCTTAGGCCGGGCACGGTGGCTCACGCCTGTAATCCCAAAGCTTTGGGAGGCCAAGGTGGCCAGGCAGATCACTTGAGCCCAGGAGTTCTAGACCAGCCTGGGCAACATGGTGAGACCCTGTCTCTACAAAAAATACAAAAACTAGCCAGGCACAGTGATGCACGCTTGTAGTCCCAGCTACTCGGGAGGCTGAGGTGGGAGGATCACTTGAGCCCAGGAGATCCAGGCTGTGATGAGACATGACCACACCATTGCACTCCAGCCTGGGTGACAGAGCAAGACTATCTAAAAAAAAAAAAGAAAAGAAAAGAAAAGAAAAGAAAAGAAAAGAAAAAAACTCTTAGATTATTAAATAAGAAATAAGAATCAAGTGAAAATGTTTTATACTTACTGTAGAGAGAGAAAGGAAAAGAGAGCCAGTTATTATTCTTTTCCCTAATCATTTGTCTTCACATTTATATTTGACTAGGACTGCAAAGTTGCTCCAGTTTCAAAAATTGAGTGAAGAAACCTCACTCCCTTCAGAGCAGCAACTGTACTATCTTAGTCGAAGCCCCTTTGGTTGCTGGTGATAGAAACGCTTTCAAAGTTGCTCAAGCAAAACAAGGGACTTTTATTAAAAAGCTTCCAGGGAAAAATCACTGGTAACTCAACAGAGGGAAGTACAACTGGGTCTTGTCAAGAAATAATGATCAGGTACCTGAAATTTCTCCATGCTGGAGACCAAGGATGAAGGAGACCATCAGAGTTCCCAGTCCCAGGTGGGCTTGCATTCTAGTGGGAGGAAACAGACCATGAAAACACAGTGAAGTAAATAAGTACGTCAAGTGCCAATCAATGGTTGCTATGAAGAGGATAAAGTAAGTATGTATTACACAAAATCAGATGAAATGAGCCCTGGAATTTGAGGGAGGTGGGAAGTGGGAGGGCTTGTTGCATTGGGAAGATGTTCCTTTAATAGATGGCACTTCTATTGAGACCTGAATAAATTGAAAGTGGCTGGAGCTCTGAGTCATACAAAATCTAGGGGCACCACTTTGCAAGCAGAAGGAACCAGTCAAAAGCTGAGAGACTAGAGCAGCACTGTCCAATAAAAATATGATGTGATTTTTAAATTTTACTCAAGTAATTTTTCAATTTTCTAGTTGCCACATTTAAAAAAAGCAAAAAAGGAACAGATGAAATTATTTTTAACATATTTCATTTAACCTAACATAACCAGTATATTGTCATTTCATTTCAACATATAATTAATTTAAAAGCCATGAATGAGATGTTTTACATTTTTTTATACTGTCTTCAAAATCTAGTATGTACTTTATCCTAAAAACACATCTCAATGTGAATGCTGAAGTTCCGACAGTTAAAGTGAAATGTAATTCTACCAAAACAATAAAGTCATGTTTAATGGGAAAATGTTTTATGCTCCTTCAGTTCCTAAGTTAAAATGTAAATTAATTAAAATGTAATTTAATTTAAAATCTCAGCTCCGCAGTTGCCCTTATCATATTTCAAGTGTTCAGGAGCTATGTTTAGCTCACGGCTACCATTTTAGACAGGACAGGACAGGACTGGAGGACACAGAGTGAGGTAGAATGAAGGTAGATGCAGTTGAGAAGAAAGAGCCAGCCATGTAAGCCTCGGCAAATAATTAGAAATTTGGGTTTTATTCTAAGTGTAATAAACGGCTATTACAAGGTATATTACTTTCTTATTTCTCATGTAACAAATTATCACAAATGCAGAGACTCAACACAAATGTACTATCTTACAACTCTGGAGGTTAGAAGTCTGAAATGACTTATATGGAACTAAAATCAAGGTGTCTATTAAGCTGTTTTTTTTTCTGAAAGTCCCAAGGGAGAATCCATTCCTGGCTTCTTTCACATTACGGAGGTTGCTGGCATTCCTTGGCTTGTGGCTGCATCACTCCAACTTTGCTTCTGTTGTCACATCACATCTTCCCCTGTCTACCTGACCCTTCTGCCTTCTTCTTGCAAGAACCCTTGTGATTACAGTGGTTCCACTTAAATATTCCACAATAATACCCCCATCTCAAGATTCTTAACTTCATCTGCAAAGTCTCTTTTGCCATGTGAGGTAATGTATTCACAGGCATTGGAGAATATGTGGACATTGTAGGAGAGGAAAAATATCTTTTACCTTCTATCCTTCTAGGTTCTTGGCTGGGTCTCTGAAACAAAAGACAGATTAACAACAGAAAAGCTTACAAATTTATTTAATGTAAGTTTCATGTGACATGGAAGACTTCATAAAAAAATGAAGCCAAAGACAGAGTTAAACCTGAGTGTTTTTATACCAGTTTTGATGAAGAGGGGAGAGTCATGGAAAAAAAATGATAGGACAAAAGGGGTATAAGCTACCTGCAACAAACAGGGGGAACTTAACAAGGCTTGTTCATTCAGATTCTTCTCAGCAGCCTTTTGTCTTTGGAGATAAAGATGCTCTTTTCCTCCAAGTACAGGGAGAGCATTTCTCACATGATCTGCTTCAGGGGAAGTTCAGAGAGTCCTTCCTGCACCTGCCATTTCTCAAATTCCTTCAGTTTAAAATATTCAATATGCCAAGACCGTATTTGAGGGTAGCATGTCTTGAGCCCCATCAGTATCTTTGGGAGGGGGCATTATTTATCCTTTCGAAGAGGGTTTTAACACAGGAGAAGGAGCATGATTTCATATATTCTTTAGAAAAATAACACTAACTATTAGGTACAGAATGTCCTACCCATAAAGAAATAAGAAAATAGGAAAAGAGGTTGTTCCACACAAACCCAGATGACAGTGGGTGAACGCATCATGGAAAAATGCTAGGTTTTGTCTGTCTAGTACCTCACCTACTCTCCCTTGAGAAAACTACTCACCACCACATCAGTTATGAGCTTGAAAGAACTCCCAGGGCTTTGGGTCCCCTGGTGAAAATGAATACAGGCCTCAAGCCCAGCCAATCATCATAGTTCATTCACCCGGCCAAGATGGCTGGTCCAGGAATGTGCATGTGCCTCCAAGTGAATTTTTCATCTTGAATTGTTGAGTTTGGAACTGGAATAAAAACTGGTCTTATCTCCTGGCTTATAGACTTGAAAGCATGAAAATCAGGGGCTACAAGCAGCTGTCTCTGCTGCCATATGAAGAGAACTTCTCTGCTGAGAGACAGAATGAAGCCTGCTCAAAGAATAAGATGGAGCCTGGGAAGAAAAGAACAAATCCTGACAACAGTTTGTGTTCCCGTATCAAGTCATGTCTGAAGCATCACTCTTGGGCTCTCTGGCTGCATGACACAAATGGATTTCCTTTTTTTGCTTATGTAAGTGTCAGTTGTGTTGCTGTCACTTGCAACCAAAAGCATCCTGGCTAATATGGGTCTCAAAAGGAATGGGAACTAGACATGGATACACCTTCTCTCCTTATCTCCGAGACTATATATTCTCTCATTCTTGCTTCTCTGCATTCGGATTCCTTCATCTCTTTCCCTGCAGAACAGCTCTCTCAGCTTTTGTATCATTTGACAAAGATGGTCCTTTCTGAAAACATCCAGCAGGGACCAACATGAATGAATCCCAAAGAGAAATTCCCAGGAAAGAGAATGTGTACAGCCCAGCTTGGGTCTGGTGACTCCACAAGGTTCAGAGGGCCTATCCCTTGGGAAGTAGTGGTGGAGGCATGTCTTAGAGCAGGGTTCACATGGGCAGGGTGCACACTCAATTGTTGACCATCGTATACAAACTCCTGTCTACCACTCTTCCTCCCTAACACCTTCCCAAAATAGCTCAGAGTACATCTATGTGATTAAAGAATGGAATTAAAAAACTCCTTTCTTCTGTGATTTCAGACCCAGGTAGAAGAAAAAAGTGCTCTCTCCTTGCCCAACTCTGTTATTTAGAGAAGAGATGCCTGGGTTTAATCTATAAACCAACTTGCTACCAGTTTACCAGCTTAGTTTAGAAATAACAATTTGTATATTGGCTCATAAGCTTCTGAGTTTATTTTGAGCCACTTTCTAGATTTGTAGGGTCAGAGGTGGGGACATGATGCAGATCAGAAAAAACAGGAAGTAAACAGCTAAATAGTTAGCTCTTTACCAGAATGATAAATGAAGGTCAACAATCTTGCAGCTCAATAAAGTAGTACTAGGCTTAAGATGATTTGCAAACCATCTCATCAACACTGCAGTTTATTTCCAACTATATTCCATACCAAGTGGCAATGTGCCAGAATCTTGTTTTTTAAAAAAACCTACCCAGTTGAGAGAGAGAGAGACGATGATAGTTGAACATTAATCAAACTGATATAGATTTTTATGATGATTGAATCTCCAACAACCATTGCTTATCCATTCACCCATTCAACAAATATTTACTGAGTTTCTATGATAACTCATGCACTGTTCTTGGTTTTATTATAAGAGATGGGGTTTCACCATGTTAGCCAGGCTGGTCTCGAACTCCCAACCTCAGGTGATCTGCCCACCTCAGCATCCCAAAGTGCTGGGATTACAGGTGTGAGCCACCGTGCCTGGCCAACATTATCATTTTAATGCAGCTTGCTTTGATTCTTGGTCATAACCTAAGCTTCATAGCCAAAGGAGTTGCAAATTCATATTTTTACCTTTTCTCAAGTTTGAAAACTATGAGATCTGTTTTTTATAAGATTCAATATTAATGTATTATAAATGAGCATCAGTAAAACTGATATTTTATGCAAGCAATTGCCAAAGCAACAAGCAAATGGCAGTGACATTTCCCCCCTGCTGTGGTCTAAACATGCCTCCCAAAATTCATGTTTTGGGAACTTAATCCCCACATGCAATAGTGTCGGGAAATGGGGCCTAATGGGAAGTGTTTAGGTCATGAAGCCTTCATCTACATGGATGGATTGTTGCTGCTATGAAAAGGGCTTGTGAAAGTGAGTGGACATTGTCTTCCTCTCTTGCTGTCTCTCTCTTCTGCTGTTCTGTCATGTGATGATATGGTGTTCCTCCACTCAGGAGGATGCAATGGTTAAGGTGCCATCCTTGAAGCAGAGAAACTGGCCCTAACCTGCCAGTGCCCTGATCTTGGACTTCCCAGCCTCCAGAACTGTGAGAGAATAAGTTTACGTTGTTTATAAATTACCCAGTCATGGTTATTCTGTTATAGCAGCACAAACAGAATAAGATATGAACCCCCCTCACCCTGCTCCCCACTCGGTTAAATGCTCAAGATGTGAATTCTCTTTGAGATTGCTTTTCATGGGCAGGATGAGAAGGCTACTCAGCAAGCAAAATTTGGAGGATGAACCAATTGTTTTACTTTCTTCATTTGCAAGATTTCTATACTTCATTATATGCATGGTCAGCAATCAACTTCTCTCTTGGTTCTAAAATTAACATATATAACTGATCAAACATTTTCACTGTAATGTTCTTGGTATCTGGCCCCCCCGACATGAGCACAAGTGAAAACCTGCTCTGAGATTTGCAGCTGCTTTGTGAATACCATCTCTAAATCATGCATGCTCTGTCCTTTCCCTTCCTAGACAGACAGAAAGAAAGAAGGATATGAAGCCCTCTGCTTTGTTGTTCACCATTGTACTGAATGACATATAATGCAGTCTAGAGTTTATTTCTTTTTTGTTTATTGTCTATGTATTCCCACTAGAATAGAAGCTACCTGAGAGTAGAGATTTTTGTATTTTTGTTCTCTATGTTCCCATATACCTAGAATAGTGCATACGTTATGGTAGAAACTCTGTAAATATTTGTTGAATGAATGAATGGATAAGCAATTGTTGCTGGAGATTCAATCTTCATAAAAATCTATATTAGTTTGATCGATGTTCAACTATCATCACCCCTCTGCTGGTTATACCCCTGCCAATTTCTGCTGCCTCTTCCTGCAGCAAATGTCCTACCCCACTCCACTGTGTGCTCCAGATCTACTCTCAGTCCCCCAAGCTTACTGTGTTCCTTTCTGAGTCCTGCTCTAGAGTTTTTGTTCATTTTCATCCCTCTCTGTCAGGAAGTATCCCTACTAGGCTGCAGTGCCCTGAGGACATAAACTCTGATTTTGCTCTCTATAGCATTACCATCATACCTGACACATGGTAGGTTATAGGGGAATAATGCTGCCCTCTCCAAAGATGTCCACATTTTATCCTCGAAACCTGTGAATATGTTACTTTACATGGCAAAGAAGCTTTGCAGATGTGACTAAGTGAAGCATGTTGAGTTGAAGAGATTATCCTGGAATACCTGAGTGGGCGCAATGTAATCACAGGGGTCCTTAAAAGAGGAACACAGGAGGGTCAGTGACAGAGACTGAGATATGACAACAGAAGCAGAGGTTGAAGTGATGTGAGGCCAGGAGCCAAGTAATTTGGGCAGCCTCTACAAGCTGGGAATGGTGAAAAAACAGGTTCTCTTTCAGAGCACCCAGAAGGAATACAGCCCTGTCATCTCCTTGACTCTAGCCCAGTGAGACAAGTTTTAGACTTCTGACCTCCAAAACTGTGAAACAATAAATTTATATTGTTTTAAGTCACTAAATTCGGGGTGATTTCTTACCACAGCAATTGGAAATTAATACACAGGTGCTTATGAAATATTTATGGAATGACTAAAGATATAAGTAATAGATAAGGATTCATTAGGAAACAAGATAGACCCAGAAATCTTAATTTCATTGTCTCATTAATTAACTCAGACATATACAATTAATCATCAATATGCTGAGATTTCAAAAAAGAAATCCCAGAAACTATGGGGATATATACTAGAGAAAAGGTAGATATATGACTACCTTAAGGACATACACTTTCTTTAATGCATCAAATACCCTCACAACAAAAAATCCAACTTCTACAACAGTGCTCAGCAATGCAACTTTTACACAAACTTTCCTAAATGAGGCAAAAGGGAGGATTACCTGTTGAACTATTTAACAAAACAAAAGGGGTCAGGTTAAATTTTCCTAAAAGAAGTGTTATTCAAACTGGCAGAAATTTGTGTAACTTCACAGGGCCACTACTTTTGGCTGAAGTTCAGGAGGAAAGTATTTCTTTTCATTGATCTCTGTTGATGACCCACATTGGTTGGTTGTTTTAATTTCATGTTTAGATTTTCTAGTGAACTGTTTATGACTGTGAGGATCAATGAGGCTCCTCTTTCCCATAAATCCCTCCATTGACACAAAGCTTTTTGAGAACAAATGTAACCTAGATGCAATAGCCTCACTCCAAGCAGTTTTTGTCTTTGCTCTATAGCTACCTTAAGGCCATACACTACTCTTAATGCACCAAACACACTCATAACAAATGATCTAACTCCTAAAACATTGCTTGGCAATGCACCTTTTATACAAGCTTTCCTAATGAGGCAAAAGAGAGGATTATCTGTTGAACCATTTAACAATACTTAATCCTATTTATTCTTCACTGCCCCTCTCTGTATTCCAACCTCCTTCCTCCAGATATCCTGTAAAAAATCTTTACTTTCCCTGACCAGAGCTCTGTGCCCTTAGGTAGCATATCTTACTCAGCAAACCAAAAGCAATAGGATGCAGAGGCTTAGCAAAAAAGAAAAGGAGAAAAATACTATCCTGGACCCTTTCCTGTTTCAAATAGACCTTGCTCTCCAATGCCTTAGGGGAAAAATGTCTGCTATGGTTTGAATGTGTCCCCCAAATTCATGTTTTGGAAACTTAATGCCCAATGCAACAGTGTTGGGAGGTATGGCCTGTGTGAGGCAATGGGGTCTTGAGGGCTCTGCATTATGGACTAATTAATGCTGTTATCACAGGAGTGGACTCATGATATGGTTTGGCTGTTTTCCAACCCAAATCTCACCTTGAATTATGATAATCTCCACATGTCAAGGACAGGGCGAGGTGGAGATAATTGAATCATGCAGGCAGTTTCCTCATACTGTTCTTGTGGTAGTGAACAAGTCTCACGAGATCTGATGGTTTTATAAATGGGAGTTTCCCTGAACAAGCTCTCTCTTGCCTGCTGCCATGTAAGAAGTGCCTTTGCTCCTTCTTTGAGTTTCACCATGATTGTGAGGACTCCCCAGCCATGTGGGACTCTGAGTCCATTAAACTTCTTTTTCTTTATAAATGACCCAGTATTAGGTATTTCTTCATAGCCGTATGAAAATAGACTAATACAGTTCATTATTGCAGAAGTAGCTTTGCCATAAAATTGAACTCTGTCTTGCACGTGCTCTCTTGCCCATCGGCCTATTCACCATGGGATGACCCTTGCCTGACATTGGCACCATGCTCTTGGACTTCCCCACCTTCAGAACTGTAAGCCAAATAAACTTCTTTTCTTTATAAATTACCCAGTCTGTAGTATTCTGTTACAGCAACAGAAAATGGACTAAGACAAAGGCAAAAAGCAAGAGAAACACAAGAAGCTAATATTTGGGTTTGGGGCTTGCAAGAATCCAGCTCTTGATGATTTTAAATTCATATTCATGGGCAGGTTTTATTTTTATTGTACATAATTTTCTCCCTAATTACTGACTTTAGAAACAAACTCTATTTGAACGTGATAAAGTCTGTGGTGTTCCAGCAACATTGCTCTTGATACAATAGCCCAGAAAAGGAAAGAGAAAAGGGTCACTTTAGCTGGGCCTTGAAGGATAGATGACTAGGATCTCAGCAGGGGGTGATATTGGGAAAGATCCTGCTTCATTCCTTGCTCCTGACCTTGCAGCCTCTTGTCTTGCGTAATTTCTGCTGTAGGCATTCTAGCCACACTTGCTTTCTGTGGATTTCATAGCTTTTGCACTTACTGCACTCTTTTCCTGATCTCTTCCTTCCTCACTTCCAGTCCTTGGCCCTGTTGACACTTTTCCTCTCTCAGATCTCATTTCAGTGATCATTCCTTTACACATTACAAAATACAGCATCCTTTAGTGTGACTATTTGTTCAGTGCACAGCTCCCTCACTAGACCATCAATTCCATAAGGGAGTAAATCAGCCTGCTCTTCCTGTCTGCTTTACGACATCCAGAGCATGAGCTTAACAAATACTTTCTGAATGAAAGAATGGATGCTATCTACAATAGATCTAAGGGCGCCAGAATTTGAATTGTAGATATAGGCAGAGCAGTTTCCATCTCTTGCCACTTTGAACCCCTTGGTGTTGGTGCTATGTTGGGAAAGACTTTGAGGTTACACTCAGACTTATTACAAGAGAACTCCTTGGCCTTCTGTGGTGGAGCAAGTCAGTCTCTGGGCCATGAATTACCTACCATCTATGAAAAAACAAAGGCTTAGTTGCCTTTTGATTTATCCTTTAGTATCTAAAACAATCATTTTATTCCCTTATTAAAAACACTTGGGATACCTTCCCCCCACCCACCCACCCTGGAGAAATTCCCATGGGGATTGTTTCAGGTTTACTTGCCTTCCATAGTTATAGATTTTGGAGTCACAGACAGCATATATAGCCAAATAGTGATCGTCCATACCAGGAAATAGGAGAGGCAACTTATAAGATACTGAAGATATGCTAGAACTCACCTGTGTGCCAGTTTAGTAGCCTGGCCTGCCTTCTCAACGATTGAGATTCCTTGGAGCTTTTGTCATTCTCCTGACTTAAGTTGACATACTTTTGGCATCAGCTTCACAATTCTACTTTGTGCCATCAGGCAGCACCGAACCATTGTCTCAGAGTCATTTTGACAATCGGAAGTCACATTCAAGTGACAAGGAAATTATTGCTAAAATAAAAAAAGTTGAGAGAAGTGATTATTGTGTATTCTCATTATCTGGCTTTCAAACTTAAATATTTTGGCCATTAGAAAGCATTTGTTTTTTAAAATAAAATGAAAAACATAGACTGCATTCATTCAAAGGGGGTTTCTTAGAAACCAGATTTTTTTTTTTAACTTTTTAATGAGACACTTAGCAAACATGGGTAGAAACTGTCAGCTTTTCAGGAATAATCTGTCAGAGATTGGGAAAAGTTAGTTTTAAGGAGAAAAATGGTATAGCAAATCAAGGTTCGGTTACATTTCCAGAACTACCTGGCCTTAGTCTATTCTAATATCCATTGACATCAAAACGTCCATTAAACCTTAAGCTCCTACAGGTAAAACTGACATGACACTATTAAATATTTGAATTTCTGCTCAATAAGTAAGCTTCTCATGATTTGGCTTCCCTACTGGTTGTGCCAGAAACTGACATTCTTATCCCAAGTACTGGGGTCTGTGGGTGGGATGTGGGGACCCATGAACCCCTTTAAATTATATTGAAGTGATTGAGAGCTTGTACATTTTTCTGGAGAGAAGACTTACAGCTATCTTCTTGATCTCAAAACTTTCCACGAACCCCAAAGATTAAGAACCCACTGGCCCCTTACAATGTAGACCTCATGTGAATTACGTCTCCTAGTAAACTAAAAATTTGATTTTCTGGCTTTGTCAGTCTTGCAGACATGGTCAGATTGTGCAATGCATAGCCTGCATATCCACATGTAGGTGTGTAACTTGCTAAACATGGGTGCGTCCTGGGTGAGTGGGGGAGAAAGGAAGAGAGACAGAAAGAGATCTGTGGGTTCGCCGCTAGACCTTGATGAATTATCTAAGATTCTTGATGACACTCCTAAAGATTCTTCTTATCACTACTGACTAAAAATACACCTTTTCCTATTTGAATCTCCTTCATAAGCCCTTCATTAAAAAATGGTTCACTTAATTAATAGTCTAAGGCACATTTAGTAAATTAGACTTGCTTTTAAATTTCCTTATGTGAGTTCTAACTGATTTTATGCTTGAGCCTGAAGAAGGACAATTTTTTTTAAGCCAGCTTTCTCTGTAAGAGCCTTGGCAAGAAATAGAAAACTTTCATTTTTCTCAGGGAAAAATAAACAGGGGCTAGAAAGGTATGGAGGATGAAGTGAGAGGTTTACAGGTTCAGCTCTGAGTGCGGTACAGTTGGCCGGAACCTCAGTGACATGTTGTTTATGAATGCGCACAGATCCTGGAAAGCATCTGCCAAAGAGGCCAAACAGCTGTAGTCAATCCCTTATTAGAACACTGTTTGTCTGAATTTGGTAAATATCACCACACTGCACAGGTCATTGAGATATATTGGATACATTTTATGCTAAGTATCTCAAGGGAAATACTTGGAGATAACCAGTACAGGGGGGACCCTGGAAGCTTTTTCTACAAAGTTGTAGGAAAACAGGACAGAGTTTTCCCAGGTTGCTATTCTGTGCTAGCATCAGATGAGAATCACCCCCTGGTTTTCGGAGATGAGTGTGCCCCCCTTCTGCATTGGCAAATCCTTGATTGGGGCTTCTCAGAGGTCAGTTCCTGCCCAAAGGAGGTCAGACAGGGAGCTCTCTGTTCCACCCAAGCCAGCATTCCAGAGGTCCACGGAGCCTCATCCATCTTGGACAAGTGGGTTGCAAGGAGTAGCTGCAGGATACTGTGCCTGCCTTATGGCAGTCACTACAGCAAGGTGCTTATGCAAACTAGACTTGGAGGTGACTTAGGTCCAAATCCCAGCTCTGCCAATTTCTAGCTGAGTCCTTGCTTAAGTCATTTACTCCTCCTGAGTATAATGAGGATACTCATTTGCTCTGCTATCATTTGCTTTGCTTGTCCCCTCCAAATCTCATGTTGAAACCTGATCCCCAGTGCTGTAGGCAGGACCTAATGGGAGGTGTTTGGGCCATGGGGGCGGATCCCTCATGAATGGCTTGGTGATGTCCTTGCAGTAATGAGTGAGCTCTCACTTTATTAGTTCCTACTAGAGCTGCTTGTTAAAAAGAGCCTGCCCCCTCCCCTCTCTCTCTTGCCTCTCTTTCCATGTTGTCTGTGCACACACCAGCTCCTCTCCACCTTCTGCCATGAGTAGAAGCAGCCTGAGGCCCTTACCAGAGGTTGAGCAGGTACCAACACCATGAATCTTGTACAGCCTGCAGAACGGTGAGCCAAATAAACCCCTTTTCTTTATAAAGTACCCAGCCTCACATACTCCATTATAGCAAAACAAATGGACTGAGACAATGTCTTTCTCACAGGGAAGTATGACTTCATGAGATGCAGAGGGTGGTGCTTGACACTCCGTAATAACCCAGCGTTTGTATCTTTTATTATAATTTTTCATTGTCATCATTATCATTTATGTCACCTCATCTTAGCATAACAGCCCACTTTCCCTCCCATTTTAACTACAGCAAATCCTTGGAATGGGGGCTTTTGCTGAGTAGTTTGTTTTTGTTTTGTTTTTGTTTTTGTTTTTGTTTTTTTGAGACAGAGTTTCACTCTTGTTGCCCAGGCTAGAGTGCAGTGGTGCAATCTCGGCTCACTGCAACCCCTGCCTCCCAGGTTCAAGCGATTTTTCTGCCTCAGCCTCCTGAGTAGCTGGGATTACAGGCATCCGCCACCATGCCTGGCTAATTTTCTGTATGTTTAGTAGAGACGGGGTTTCGCCATGTTCGCCAGACTGGTCTCAAACTCCTGACCTCAGGTGATCCACCAGCATCAGCCACCCAAAGTGCTGGGATTACAGGCATGAGCCACCATGCCACATAGTTTTTAAATAATTAATTATAAGCATGCTCTAGCAAGCAAAGGAAGAAAATATTCAACCATGAACCCTCAAACACTCAGATCAACCCTATAAATCCAGCCATCCAGCCTCAAAGACAAGCTTTACTGGCCTTGTCTTCCCAAAACAAGAAGGAAGCTAGAAGTCTTCACTGAACTCCAATATTTGAGTCTTGGTTTTGCATCCATGCTGTGCTAGTTGGTGATTCATGTGCTGAAAAGATGCTCCAGAGTTTAGTTTATGATGATCTCTTCAAAATAAATGGTCAAAATAAGCCAATAGTTTGCTTTAAAATGTATTTTTAAAATATAAGTATCAGGTAGTGTTCAACTGACCTATCACCTGGAATCTTAGAAGCTAACATTGCGTAACTACTCACTGGATGTCAACCATTCTGCTGTGTTATTTATTTTAGTCCTCACGACAATCTAATAAATTGGGTCCTGTTATTATCCTCATTTTATGTCTGAGTAACTTGAAGCTTAAAGATGTTAAGGAGCTTGGCAGAAGTCAAACAGCTACGAAGTATGATAATATATGTAACACATTTAGAATAATATTGGATGTAGTCAACCCTCATTAATATTACCTGCTGCTTCTGCTGCTACTATTGGTGCTATCATTTTCATCATCATTATTATTAAAGGACAAATCACCATTTGAACTCAGGCAATGAAATTTTAGAATCTGTGTTCTTAAACACTACACATATACTGCCCCCCACACACATAAAAAAATTCCACTCCAAGGAATTACCACACTTTTTCACCCTGACCAAGAGAAAACACGGAACCAATCATGGTTAAGCCCCCAGACCCCCTGAGCAAGTTTTCAGAGAAAATAAACTAAAAGAAGCAATGCTGAGAGTGAGGCACAAGGGCAGAGCCAACCCTGCTCTGATGGGCAGATCTGCGGGTGGGGGGCCTGTAGCAGGAGGCCCCCTGCACTATGGCAGGGCTAAGCTTCCATGGGGCAGGAGGGGACAGCGACAGTTCATGTCTGAATCAGATTTGAGAGCTGCTTCCACCTCTCTGATTTCTGCACACAAACCAGCAATAACGACTCGGGTCCAGCAGCAATTAAGCCATGGTCAGAGAATGATCACTGGCATTGCCTTCATCCACAGCCCCCAGCTGTGTGAGGAGTGGGATGGGCCCACGGAGGAGGGTAGATCTTTCTTTCCCTGCTTTGTCTACTTTACCCAAGTACGCAGGCCTCTTCCTACTGCAATAGCTGCTTTGAGTCCTTGTGGTCACGTTATAGAGGAGCGTAAAATAGCAGTTCTTCAGCTCCCTGTCCTGCTCCCAACTTGAAAAGGCCTTTCCTGAACACATGTCTAGTTGACTCTAGCTCGAAGGACTTTTCTGACCTACTGTGAAGAGGCAGAAAACATGCGGAAAGTAATTTTTATCACCAATCTTATCACAAAGCACAGATCCAAGAATATTGCTGAACAGTAGCAAAGAGTTGGCCACAGTGGCTTGCTATATGTAGCCAAAATTCCAGTCAGCATCAGGAATAATCAGAGAGAGAAATCCTCAATTCTGGCTGCAATACATAGTTCACAAAACTCACATTTAGTGTGCTTTATCAGGTAGAGTTCTTTTCTTGCAAAAATACAGAAATGAACTCTAGCTAACATAAGCAGAGAAAGAGTTTATTGGGAGGAGAACATGTTGGAATGCTCTCAGATGCAAGGGAAGGAGTATTTCACTATAAGTGACTTAAACAAATGAGGGTTTAATTTTCTTCAACAGCAAGGATCCTGAAAGGAGATTGTCACTGGGTTTGCTTTAATGGCTGAACAGTGTAAGAACTGAGTGCCTGTGATTCTATTGGCTTTTGTCTCATGGCCACAAAATGGCTGCCAGAGCACCAAGCTACATCAACCTGCAAGTCAGGAGGAAGGGGAAGGAATAGCTGTTTCTGTCTCTTTTATCAGGCAAGCAAATTTCTCCTTTAGTCTCTCTGATCAGAATGGTATCATCTGGACACCTGATCCTTAGTGCAAGAGAGGCTGGGAAAGTGAATATTTTTTAGTCTCTATAGGGAAGAACATAAAAAAGAGGGGATTGGAGATGGGCATTGGGTTCACTCAGAGTTTCTCAATCTTAGCACTAGGGATATTTTGGGCCAGGTAATTCTTTAATGGAGGGTGGGGGGAGGCTGTTCAGTATAATGTAGGATATTTAGTAGCATTCCTGGCCTCCACGAAATAGATGCCAGTAGCATCCCTCCCCTGGTGGTAACAACCAAAAATGTCTCCAGATATTGCCAAATGTCTCCTGGGTGGGGAGGGGGAAATTGCCTCAGGTCAGAACCACTGTGTTACCCCACTCACAGCATCTGCCATAGATTATAGGGTAACTCCAAGAATCAAAGACAGAAAAAGATCCAGGCTTCAGAAATAGACAGATCAGTTCCTGGGTTCCAGGTAGCAGGACCTAAGAGACAGTCTCTACCAAAGCAGTTACCTTGGGATAAATTAGTTCCAAACCTTTTCAGTCTGTTAGGGCTTAGGACAAGCATTCCAAGAATTTATTGGCCTTGGGTTACAAGCCATCTTTGGCGAAGGAAGGGCAGGTACACTGATTGTCCTACCAAGACTGGATCCATTGTAGAAGGGATAGCTCCCTATAGCTATTATTTAAGAGTGATAGGATAGGGAGAGCAGGGGGAATGGATGCTTGTCAGAGTAGAATATATTAGATCAGTTCAAAAGTAATTGCCATTTTGCCATTACTTTTAATGGCAAAAACCACAATTACTTTTGCACCAACCTAATATCATGCAATGACTTTGGACAACTGATCCTATTTCTGACAAATGGCTGAGTCCCTTGTGTTAGTTTGAGAAAAGACTATTCTGAAAAGGGCTTTTGAGGAAGAATCCAGAATGTCTATGCAACCCCAGGAAAATCAGTTGCCCTTTGAACCTCTAGATGTTTATGTGTAAAATTAGAGTTTCAGGCAATGAATCTCCAAGATCTCTTTATGCTCTCACATGCTGCATCTCAGTGATATGGTTTCACTTCCTGTACCCACCCAAATCCCATCTGGAATTGTAATCCCCACGTGTCAAGGGAGATACCTGGTGGGAAGTGATTGGATCATGGGGGCGGTTCCCCCCATGCTGTTCTCCTGATAGTGGGTAAGTTCTCACAAGATCTGATGGTTTTATAAGGGGCTCTTCCCTCTTCACTCTCACTTCTCTCTCCTGCCACCTTGTGAAGAGGTCCCTGCTTCCCCTTTGCCTTTCACCATGATTATAAGTTTCCTGAGGCCTCCCCAGCCATGTGGAACTGTGAGCCAATTAAACCTCTTTTCTTTATAAATTACCCAGTCTCAGTTATTTCCTTATAGCACTGTGAAAATGGACCAATACACTCAGCTTCGAGAAAGTGGTTCCAGCTTCTTCCTTCCTCCTCTCTACATGCCACAGTTTGTTCTATCTCCCAAAACCATACCTCCATTCCCTAGATTTGGGCTGTCTAGATAGTGAGAAGGAGAAGGAATGCAACATGACTGTCCAGGAGCTGGCTGTGGCATGCATACATGTAGCTTGAGATTTAGCCTTAACCCAAGTAAAGGCCGTTGTCAGTTTCATTTTGGGTTTGGTCTCATCTGGGATTACCAAATGCAGTAAACCCACCTCAAGTTCTCTTGAAACAAATCACAGCTCAGCCCTGTGGCCTCCCAGCATCTTGCAGTAATCTTACTACAGAAAGTGACCTTCCTCTGTATGGTTGGCACCTACCAGCAGGTTCTCCAGTGACAGTGACAGATTCTATAATGGAAAAGACCACAGTGGTCCTATGCTGTGGTTTCGATGCTACCTCGTTAATTTATTTAGTGCAGTGGTAAAGGGGAGAGGAATTGGAGCAAGGGGTGGAGGGAGATGGGGATTAAAAATGTAAATATGTGATTACTTTTAATGACCTTATTACTCGACATCAAATCTGTTTGTATTGACAAATAAGTATGCAAATGTCTATATCAACACTCACTTCATTAAAATAGTAAATGGTTGAAGTTAATATTAGTGCAGCATTGAAATCTTGAGTAGTTTTGATTACATAGCAATAAGCTACTGATGAGTATCATTATGTACCAATCATACAAAAATGAGACACCAAAGGCCATATTTCCAAAATTGAGTTGAGCAAGTACATCCACAAAAAACAGAGACACACACTAAGTGCCAGACTTTCCCTGTCTTCATATCATAGTTTCAAGGCACAAAATGCAAAATCACATCTGCAGAAATGCATCCAGACATAGAATTACACAATTATTGCCCCATAGAAAGAAGGCACAGGTGTTTCAGACTTTAGAGACACTTCTACCCCTCATAGACCACCCCACCTGTATTCTCTCGATTTGTTTTCCAAAAGATGATTTTTATCCTAGAGACAAGGTATCTTAAAAAAGACCACAGTCTTTACAAGGAAGCAGGTGTGAGTGTGTGTGTTTGTCTGTTGCGTGGCAAACAGCTGGGTCTAATATTCCTGGAGGAATCCAGCATGTGGACTGAATTCTCTAGTTCTACTACTTCTCAGATTATTTGCTGAACACACTTTACCATGCAAATAGTAACGAGGATTCAGCCAATGAGAAAGGAGAATTGAAAGATGCAAAATGTCTCAGATGGACACAGAGCTAATAGTTTGAGAACATTTCAGCAGCTACAACTGAGGTTTTCTTAGGCTTGAGAAAGTTGGCTCTTTAGCCTTCATTGCCACATGTTTTAAATTGTCAGGCAAGGCTGGGAGGAGAAGTCCTTTGTATTAATAAAGTGCTGAGTTTTTCACACAGAAATGAATTGTAAATAGGTTTTTATTTCCTAACAGTGAGGATCCAATCAAGCAGTGATCAGTCAGTGAGTAGGTGTTTATTGATCACGTAGTATGAGGAAGGTGTTCGCTAAGGTATCTGGAATGAGCTCTGCTTCCCAACGTGTACATTTGCATTGGCAGGCAAAAGACTGTACAGTGAAATGCTAAATTAGGTGTTGGAAGCTAAGTCCAACTAACCAGAAAAGAGAAGCCAAGAGGGCTGTTGTGATGGGAGGGCTGCCTGAACAAGAAGGTGAAATTGATCTTGGATTTGGGCTAAAAATCAGCCGGTGATGGGCAGAGGGGTGATGGGGTATTTTTGACTGCAGAAAGAAGCCAGAAACATGAATGGAGAGATCCTCTCCTGGATCAGTAAAGCGTGCCAGGGGCACCATGGGAATGAGACAACACTGGGAGGGTGGTATCTCATTACAGAGGTCCCAACACATCAGCCAAGGCATTATGGAAATAATGCAGCCACTGGGAGCTATCTTAGAATTTTTAATTTTGAAACAATCTCAAACTTAGAAGAAAGGTGTAAGAACATTACAAAGGTTAAGTTGTGGCATGACCCTCTTTCACCTCCAATACTTCAGAGTGTGTTTCCTACAAACAAGAATGTTTGTTTTTCTACGTAACTACCATACAAATATGGAAATCAGGAAATCAACATTGTCAGAGTCATGAGTTGCATATGTTGTCAATTTCTCTTTTGCCTTCCTTCTTGCCTGCAACTGTTTCCTGGACTTTTGTGATGTGAAGGCTTTTGAAGATACAGGCCAGTACTTTTATAGAATGTCCCTCAATTTGGGTTCGTCTAATGACCTCTCATGATTAGAGTCAGGTAATTTGCCTTTGCCAACAATATCACAGGAGTGATGCTGTGTTCTTCTCAGAGCATTCTGTCTGTGGCTTGGAATTTTAATTATCCCATTCCTGGTGATATTAACTCTGATCAGTGGATTAAAGGGATGTCTTTCAGGTTTGTCCACTATAGAGTTACCTTCTTTACTTTTACTGGCAAACTTTGAGCAGAGAAGTAAAAAATTCAACTTGACAATTAGGGAAAATTATGGATTCTCTTACCTCAGCCAAACAGATTTGAGGGGGATTTTTGAGTGGCCAACCCAAAGCAAGGCCCTTGGAGCATGTTAGCTTCTGGGGCAGAAGGAATACATTGTCCTGCTCTTTTGATCTTGAACCCTAGTCCATAAGCCTTACCCCTCATAACTTCTGAGTTTCCCAACAGCAAACCATATGGCCAAGATGTCAGAGGAAGTGCCAAGTATGAGAAATTAAAGAAGATTGAGTTGGTTTACCAGCTGTACCTTTGTCTTTCCTAGGCATGAGCTGTGATGCCATGAGCAAAGGATGGACTTCGGAGTCAGACAGAGTATCATATGGTGGGAAATCCCCATTTAATTAACTACCAGGAGTTTGTTTTTCTGGCAGGGAATTCAAGTTGAGGGCAAGATCTGAATTGCTTGGCAATTTTTAGAGGATGTTTGCAATAGGAGGCAAGAGTCCCAGGCAGGAGGAGAGAACCTTAAGTAAACACATAGAGTGGAAAAGCTGACGCATGCAATGCATATCCTTCTGCCCTTGTTTCAGACTGAATTGAAATCTCTCCAAGGAGTGAGATATAATGGGGTAAAAGTCCTGGCCTCGGCCGGGCGCTGTGGCTCACAACTGTAATCTCAGCACTTTGGGAGGCCCAGAAGGGTTGATCACAAGGTCAGGAGTTCAAGACCAGCCTGGCCAACATGGTGAAACCCCCATCTCTACTAAAAATACAAAACTTAGCTGGGCGTGGTGGCAGGCGCCTGTAATCCCAGCTATTCAGGAGGCTGAGGCAGGAGAATCGCTTGAAACTGGAAGGCTGAGGTTGCAGTGAGCCGAGATGGTGCCACGGCACTCCAGCCTGGGCAACAAGAGTGAAAGCTGAGATCACACCACTGCACTCCAGCCTGCACGACAAGAGTGAAACTCTGTCTCAAAAAAAAAAAAAAAAAAAAAGGCCTGGGCTCAAATACAGGCCCTACCACATACTGCCTTGGGACAAATTAACTAACTTGGCTGAGCCTCAGTTTCCACATGTAAAATAGGGAAATTAGGCTGGGCACAGTGGCTCATGCCTGTAATCCCAGCACTTTGGAAGGCCAAAGTGGGCGGATCACTTGAGGTCAGAAGTTCGAGACCAGCCTGGCCAACATGATGAAAGCCCGTCTCTACTAAAAATACAAAAATTAGCTGGGCATCGCGGCAAATGCCTATAATCTCAGCCACTCAGGAAGCTGAGGAAGGAAATCGCTTGAACCCAGGAGGCAGAGGTTGCAGTGAGTCGAGATCCACCGCTGCACTCCTGCCTGGGCAACGGAACGAGACTTCATCTCAAAAAACAAAACAAAAACAAAAAGGGACATTAGTACCTATCTCTCAGAGGGACTTTATGAGAATTAGATGAGATAATGCATTAAAATGACAATACAAAACTCTGGACATCAGGTAGGTGCTTAAATACAAGGCATTGTTTATTGTACGTCCCCAGGGACTGAACACAGTATTCTGCAAATCAGAAGCTGCAAGGGACATCCATACAATGGAACATTACTGAGCCTTAAGAAGAAATGAGCTATCAAGCCAAGAAAAAGCAGGAAGGAACTTTAAATGCACATTGCCAAGTAAATGAAGCCAGTTTGAAAAGACCACATACTCTATGATTTCAACTGTATGACGTTCTGAGAAAGGTAAAACAGCAGAGACAATAAACAGATAAGTGGTCGCCAGTGGTTGAGGGGAGGAAGGGAGAAATGAGTAAAGGGTGCACAGGGGATCTTTAGGGCAGTGAGACTATTCTGGAGGATACTATAATGGTGGATATATGTCATCATGCATTTGCGGAAACCCACAGAATGTACCATACAAAGCATGAGACCTAATGTAAATTATGGAGTTGAGCTAATAATAATATATCAGTATTGGTTTATCAGTTGTTACAAATATACCATACTACGGCAAGATGGTAATAATAGTGGAAACTGGGAGGTAGGAGGAGGAGAGAGGGAGGGGTATGGAACTCTCTGCCCTTTCTGCTAAACCTCAAACTGCTCTAAAAACTAAAGTCTACTACGTGCTGAATAAGTGAAGGAATACATGATTTTCGCAAGAGACAGCATTTTATCGTCCCTCAATGACACCTGATTTCAAAGGCCCTATAGA
The DNA here is from genome assembly GCF_000001405.40 of Homo sapiens. NCBI lineage: Eukaryota > Metazoa > Chordata > Mammalia > Primates > Hominidae > Homo > Homo sapiens. The sequence goes on from NC_000003.12 coordinate 70,884,042, forward strand.
ATTCTTGCTCTGTCTTATATGGGATCATCCACATCTCAGCCTCTTCCCTAGCCCTGCTGACCTTTACTGGGGACCAGCATGAACCCCAGCTCTACCTTTGAGAGAATCAGAAAAAGATGACTCCTCCAGGTGGTGCAGCCCTGTGGGAGCTTGGTTCTGCAGGCAGAGCTTGGTCAAGAATCCAGCCGGCTCTTGCCTCCTTGGTGAGGACCACCATCAGTGGCAGACACAAACCTTCCAGTGGCTCTGTCACCCCATTCTTTTGGGTAATACTTCACCGATAGAGCACCGTTACCCGTGCTGCCTCTGCTGGCCCTCTTGTCTGACCTGGGGCTTTCCCTACCAATGCCCTTGGCACACATTGAAGAGCCGTTCCTGGGCTCCTGGTTATGGGCCAGGGGAACCTAAATGTTCCGCTAGTGGCCAGGAATGAAATTTCCTCCAGCAATTTCAACCCAGCCAGAAGGTACTGAATCCGGAACTGCTTCCTCCCAATTGTATCTCCCCCTTGACGTCTCACTGTGCACAGAATCGCGGATGAGTCAGTGCTAGGGGATCATTCGGAGCTAGCCATGACCCTGGCGTTCCCACTGTCTTAAAGCAGAAACTCTGCCTTAGACGAGGGGACCCAGCAGGTCAAAATGCAGTGTCTGGAAAAAAATGTCAACCCCTGCAGCCCTGCTCACCAACACAGGTGGAGAGACCATGCACCATGGGGAACAGAGCACAAATTTGGGAATAAAATCCCAGAGTTCAAGCCCTGTACTTGCCTCTTCTGACCTATGCAATTTCTCAGAATTTAACTCCTTGAGCTTCCACATGTTCACCTAAACAAGGGAATGATTGTCTTGCTGGATCATTGTATTAGACATGGTAACTGTAATAGCTAACAGTTACTAAAAGCTTACTGTGTGCCAAGCAGTGGGCCAGGCATGTGATATATATGATTTTATGTACTCCTGACAACAATTCTGTGAGACAATATACATTGTAGAAAGCAAGTATACCACAAGTAACAATATTACCAATATGTTGCATCAGATGCAACCATTTTTTTACCTACAGAAACAGCCATTTCATATCTTTCATCTGGGTATTGAAAGAAAGGGGCTGAACGGTTTCCAGACTAGAGATTTAGGCAGGTTGGGAACAGATTAAAGTAAAACCAACCCAAGCCAGTGACAGGCAGGTGAGGGTGAGGTACAGCCCCTCAGTGCAATAGCTAAAAAGGGAGAATAGCCTTATTTCAGATCTCCGATTTGAAAGGAAACTTGGAATTCTCGCACTAAATAGTAAACTGAGGCAGGAGCCTCGCAGCAAGAAAGAACTGATCCAGGGCCGGGCGCGGTGGCTCATGCCTATAATCCCAGCACTTTGGGAGGTGAGGCTGGTGGATCACCTGAGGTCAGGAGTTTGAGACCAGCCTGGCCAACATGGTGCAACCCCATCTCTACTAAAAGTACAAAAAATTAGCCAGGCGTGGTGGTGCACGCCTATAATCCCAGCTACTCTGGAGGCTGAGGCAGGAGAATCGCTTGAACCCAGGAGGTGCAGGTTGCAGTGAGCAGAGATTGTGCCACTGCACTCCAGGCTGGGTGGTGACAGAGCAAGACTCTGCCTCAAAAAGAAAAAAAAAAAAAAAAGAACTGACCTGGGCACAGGGCACATCAGGAAAGCTCTAGACGAGTGCTTGACAACCTTGAGCTTGCAGCTGAGTCTCACAGCGGCCTTATTGAAACACAGACTGCTGGGACCTTCCCTGAGGGTCTCTGACTCAGTAGATCCCAGGTGGCGCCCGAGAGTTTACATTTCCAACAAGTTCCCAGGTGATACAGATATTGCTGGTCAGAGAATCACACTTCGAGAACCACTGCTGTAGACCAAAGGTTGTAAACTGGTGCCGTGAAAACCAAAGTCAACTTCCAGTGTCATTTTTTTTTTCTACACCTAGGTTTGAATTTTTTAAGTTATTTTTTCCATACTTAAAATCAGGAGGTTTCACACATAAAAAATTCAGATTTTCACCTTGGAAAATTGAGAGAATTTTGAAACCCCTATTCCTGCAGCACACCCATTGGCTGGAGTGAGTAGATGTTGCCCCCAGTTAGGTGGAGTCTGTTCTCTGTCTGGCTGTTGGTGGGGATACATGATTTGTACCTCTGAGTTTTGTGTTTCCAAGGTCAGCTGTCAAGGCATATTTTACATCTATATTTTAATTCACTGCTGTGTGCTTTAATAGAAGCTTTAGTTTATTAGCCAGAGTTTAGTACCAGAATCTAGGCCAGAGGAGAAAATGCCAATTGGGCCAACATGTCCTATATTCATTGGTACTAATCTACAAACCCACACTGAGAACCTATTATATGCCTGCTTTCTTCCACTAGTATCCTGTTTCTACCACAGATAAACAAACCAATTAATGGTCCTGGGGAGTCAGGGAGGGATATCTAGAAACATTTACAAAGAGATGTGACAGCCTCTAAAGTGACCCGAGCGATCCCACCTGCAAGCCATGAGGTTGCTGATTTTCTCCGTGGTGGTGCTTGCAGAAGTAATGATAGGGGGTTGGCTGGGAATAAAATGTGATTCATGTTCAGGGCTATCTGGAGCATCCAGCCGATAGAGTCACCTGCTGTCAAAGCTTTCTGATATGTTTGTGTCTTTCCAAAAAAGTCATATGTTGAAATCCTAATCTCCAATGTGGTGGTATTGAGAGGTGGCCCCTTTGTGAGGTGATTAGCTCATGATTAGTGCCCTTATAAAAGGGCTGGAGGAACCTCTTCATCTCTTCCACCACATGAGGAAGCAGCAACGAGGTGCCTTCTTTCAAGAAGAGGGCGATCCCCATCAGACACTGAATCTGTTGGGTCTCAATCTTGGATTTCCTAGCCTCCAAAACTGTGAGTGATACATTTTTGCTGTGTACAAATTAGTCTAAGATATTTTGTTATAACAGCGCTAACATACTAAGCCACCTTCTATATGGAATTTTGTTCTCATCTGAATTTTCTTCCCATGTTCTTATTGTCTAGTAACACTCCGTTAAAAAAAATTAATCAGTTCAAGTACAAGGACTTTCTATAACATTTACATAAGTGAAATGTGAGTTGCATTATTGTGTTTAGTTGGTTTTCTCTCCCCGCTTTACTACGATCCAGTCATTTCAACAGTGTATTTTAAGATACGTGGTGCCAAAAGTGCATAAACTTCCAGAAACTAACATCTTTGAATTCCCACTATTCAAACCGTGGTCTGAGGGTCAGGGCCATTCCATTTCCTGGGAGCCTGTGGTGATTGCTGAATTACAAGTCCAGGCAAACTCAATCAAAATCTGTAGGACAACAAGATCCCCAGGTGACTTATTTGAGAAATCAAGCTTAGAGCAACAGTGCTCTAAACCAAGTATTAGATATAGAACTGTACATGGATCTCAGTAGAAACTGATACAGTGATTAAAAAAAACACTTTCCTACAAGTTTCTCTGATGTCTTGTATCTGAAGATGCAGAACATGAAATTAGATTTTCTTGATGACCATTATTAGGATTGTAAACATCTATAATTGTTCAGCTTTTTCTTCCAAACTTTTCTTTCTTAATGGTTGATTAGAGAAAATTTTGCATTTATTATATATGCCTTGGGTGCCTCCAGCCCCCTGCAGTATTTATCACCTGAAATGGGCAAATAATCTGTCTCAAAAAAAAACTGTGGAAAAATCTCGAAAATGTAGTCTGCAGGTGCCTTTAAGTTTGGAGGATCCCTTTGCAAAATAAATATTTAAATATTTTATGAACCCACCTGACAGTAGAGATATATTTGTGTTCATCTCTTTCTAAAACATTCAATGAGTAATACTTTTAAATGAGTGTGTACATGATTAATCAGATCATCTATATAATTTGGAAAATATTCATATATTTATATGTGTAAGATTTTTTTTCAGTTCTATGAGCAATGCTTGCACACATACGGATTCTCAAAGTCCTCGTAGCAACTTCACAACCCACAGATTGAGTGGGAAATACTGGCCTAGAAAAATAATGATTAATAAATTACCATTATAGCATACATTTTCCTGTGCAAAAAAATCTAGAGCAGTTGAAGAAGACAAAACATACAAAAACAATCACACAAAGTTGTTTCTGTATGTTTTCTTTTAGATACAGGGTCTCACTCTGTCTGCCAGGCTGGACCACAGTGGCGTGACCGTAGCTCACTGCAGCCTTGAACTCCTGGGCTCATGAGATTCTCCAGCCCCAGCCTCCCAAGTAGCTGAGATTACAGGGGTGACCAAAAAATAATAAATGTGTGACCAAAAAAATTGGTAAATGGTTCATGTCCAACTTCCGAATCTAATTAATAGCCTATACCAGTGGCTTTTGAACTTGAGTGAGAATCACGTAAAAACTTGATAAAACTACAAAGGCTCAGGCCCTCCCTGTTTTGCCAAACCCCTATTAATTCCAATAGTGAAGGCACCAGGTTCAAGAAGAGACCCAGAGCCAGCAAAGGAGACCTGGGGTTTTATTAGGGGTTCCATACAGGGGGGAGAGTCCAGTGGCAGTGGGCTGGACAGGAGAACCAACTTAATTACCAAAATGATCCAGTGGCAACTGGCTAGACAACACATCCACTTTCCTACAGTGCTGACTGACGGGGCAGTAGAACCCCAACCGCCTGCAAACATCATGAATCAAATATTATATAGCGTTTTCACTTAACACCCTCCCACTAACAACCCCCTCCTGGAAACCTTCATTTAACCCAAGAACTCAGGGCCTCAATCCCCTATATGCGCCGTGTTAGATGGGACAGGCTGGGGGCTCAAACATTTATCATAGATAAGGAATGAAATCTCCGGGTTGGCCACTCCTGGATTCCCTAGCTCAGAAAACACATGCAGGTGCATCTGCCATACGGGGTCATTCTCAGGGTGTACTTATGTTATTGCTCTCAGGTGTGTTTACCCCACAGTCACCTCAATGAGCCTGGGCCTTTGCCTTCTTAGCTGTCCAGATGGTTTTGACACACATCCATGTTTAAGAATCACTGTTCAAGAGCTAGGCTTCTTGCCTGTAATCCATCACTTTGGGAGGCCAAGGCACATGGATTGCTTGAGGCCAGGAGTTCGAGACCAGCCTGGCCAACATGGCGAAACCCCATCTCTACTAAAAATACAAAAAAATTAGCTGGGTGTGGTGGCATGTGCCTGTAATCCCAGCTACTCAGCAGGCTGAGGCAGAAGAATCACTTGAACCTGGGAGGTTGCAGTGAGCTGAGATTGCACCACTGCATTCCAGCCTGGGTGTACAGAGTAAGACTCTGTCTCAAAAATAAAAGAGCTAGGTTTCTCAGCCTCAGCACTGTCAACATTTGGGGCTGAATAATCCTTTGCTGTGGGTCCCTGTCCTGGGCACCGTAGAATTCTTAGCAGCTTTCCTGGTCCCTACCCACCAGATGCCAGTAGCAACCTTCCCAAATATGCAAACCAAAAATGCCTCCACACGTTGCCCAGTGTCCCTGGCAGGAGAGCAGGAGTGGGGGTATGGGGGTGTGGATGCTCACCCCTAATTGAGAAGCACTGGCTGAACAATATGGATTCTATGTTAGATTCCTAGGATGACATGGGCTTTGGTTGAGATCTGCACAGGACCACCGGAACCACAGAGCTGGGTGGCTCTGCTCACCTACACCAAATTCCCTGGGTCCTGCCTGATAGTCGGTATCTACAATTAGCTGTGTCTCTGACTATAAAAAGTTCTAGTACATTCTGATCTTGACACATTGAGAGTAACACGGCTGAATGACTCAAATATTACTTCATGGTTTGAGTTCAATTTCGAGGCAACATGCAGGGCTCAGCCAGACATGTGTCTTAAGTCAAGGCCAGAGTCACATTTGTCACACACAAACCAGACCACTAAATATCTCTTTCAAAAAAAGAAAAAAGTCTTTTCTAAAGCCAACTTCCAGTCTATGTTTGAAAATTATATTCCACAAAGATGAAAAACATACATTTTCATTTTGTTTCGAATTAGCACGGTAAACAGCTGGCTCTTTTCTTTCCAGTGGAGGCCTTAGCTCCATTTGTTAGCTCTGTTTCTGATATTTCACCTATTCTTTATTTACTTAACAGAGTTTGACAGGAAATTCTCAGAGAGATAATATATCTCCATTAATAGGGTGACTGGGGGAACATATTCTAAGGTTTCAAGTGGCCTGGAACAATAACTTACATCTTTGACATTTTTGTCAGCTACCATCCCATTAATAGCATCCAATACCACTTCCCCGCAATCCATGCAGTCTTACAAGTGTTTTGTGGAAAAGCACACTTTTTCTATTTTTCAGAAGATGCAGGCTCATTACGCTGTTATCAGCAGATAATGGTGCAAATTAAAAAGGCTTGTGAGAAAGGCCACCTGATCTCCATAAACACAGTCTCCTGACATAAATCAGACTACTAGAACAAGCGAAAATGAATCAAGCTGGATTTCTGGGTGGATCTAGGGATTTAAGGGTCTATAACGTCTTCCTCCTCAGGGTCACCAATTTGTGTTGAACTCAAAAGTGTATAAAGAGAAATTTGTTCCCCAAATGAGAAACTTTTCCTCTGTTTTAGTGGGAGGGTGGCTATTGGTGAACAACAGAGAGTATTGTAGGTTTTTACCAAGAGATAAAAGCATTTTTATGTTGACAAACATAAATGTACTTTCTTCTTTGTAAGACATCAGTAAAAAGCTAAAAAATAAGTCAGAGGTTCATCTGTTAGGAATTCCCCTGCCTGCTCAATAGCTTTTTACACCGACATTGCAAAAAAAATCCCAGAATGAATTGAAGCGATGTCTTATATCAATGTTTTCACGGCCAAATTATGGAGATCCAGCCTTGCAAGGGAAAGTAAAAAATTTCCCCATCTATCAGATGCTTCTCCAATTACTCATGGCCCCAATTCCGTTTAAGAAGTGCCTCCAATAATTGATAATGCAAGGGGCATGATATGAGCTAACAATGCAATTTATAGCAGAGAGATAAAACCCAGATAGAAGAACATTTACCTTATAATGCTATTAATATAAAAGTAATTATGAGGGTTGGTTCTAATTAGAATGTTCACTTAGAATCAAGATAGAATGGCCAGAATAGTGAGTTTCCTGGTGTTGGAACTTCATTCTTTGACTTGAAAGGTTACATGCGTTTTCCAAGTAGGACATTAAAATCTTTATTTTTAAGATGGTGCCATTTAAAAATCAGTCTGAAGTTGATTCTCTCCTCCATATCTGTAAAATCATCTATCAAGAGAAAGTATATACTTTGTATGATTTTACACTGTATATTCTATAGCACATGGTCACATATCTAATATGTACACATATTTAGGGGGTTGAATTTATCCCCACCAAAAAGATACCTGCAAGTCCTAACCTCCAATACCTGTGAATGTGACCTTATTTGGAAATAGGGACTTTGAAGATGTAATCAAGTTAAAGTGAAATCATACTGGATTAGGGTGGGCCCTGAATTTAATGATTGCTGTCCTTGAAAGGAGACACAAAGCTATATGAAGATGACAGGAAACACTGGAGTGTGCAGCTACAAGCCAGAGAAAGCCAAGAGTTGCCAGCAACCACAAGAAGCTAGGAGAGAGGCATGGGACAGATTCTTCCTCAGAGTTTCCAGAAGAAATCGACCCCGCTGACGTCTTGATTTCAGATGCCTGGCCTCCTGAACTGCAGGAGAATACATTTTGTTGTTTTAAGCCATGTAGTTTGCAGTAATTCATTACAGCAACCCTGGGAAACTAATAAAACATACATAATTTTTTGGTTCTATTCTTATTACGTATATTTGTGTTCAAAATAAACACATTTTTGATTGAAAACTAAACTTTTTACATACTTAAATGTTTTATAAAATCTATTTGAGACTAAAAAGTAGACATTTCATTCAATCTTAGTGTACGAAAGATGGTTTCTTTAATTAAAAACCAAATAATATCATTTTCCTTTTGAAAGCTGTTGTTCTAAAAGTCTTCTGGAAACCTGGAACATGATCCCTACCAAAAAACTAATTAAAAAAAAACACAAACCAAAAATCTAAAAGAGCTCTGATTGCCTAAAATAATTGTCATGTAGGTGTCACAGCTCTGTCCTCTGAACTTAGTTTTTGCAACTTCATTCAATAATTGTTGACTCTTATTTAACAAATATTTCTAACAGATTATTTGCCCATTTCAGGTGATAAATACTGCAGGGGGCTGGAGGCACCCAAGGCATATATAATAAATGCAAAATTTTCTCTAATCAACCATTAAGAAAGAAAAGTTTGGAAGAAAAAGCTGAACAATTATAGATGTTTATAATCCTAATAATGGTCATCAAGAAAATCTAATTTCATGTTCTGCATCTTCAGATACAAGACATCAGAGAAACTTGTAGGAAAGGGTCTATCGGAACTCATTTTTTTTTTTAAGTTTTAGGGTACACAACGTGCAGGTTTGTTACATATGTATACATGTGCCATGTTGGTGTGCTGTACTCATTAACTCGTAATTTAAGAGTAGATATATCTCCTAACGCTATCCCTCCCCCCCCCCACCCCACAACAGACCCCAGTGTGTGATGTTCCCCTTCCTGTGTCCATGTGTTCTCATTGTTCAATTCCCACCTATGAGTGAGAACATATGGTGTTTGGTTTTTTGTCCTTAAAATAGTTTGCTGAGAATGATGGTTTCCAGCTTCATCTATGTCCCTACAAAGGACATGAACTCATCATTTTTTAGGGCTGCATAGTATTCCATGGTGTATATGTGCCACATTTTCTTAATCCAGTCTATCATTGATGGACATTTGGGTTGGTTCCAAGTCTTTGCTATTGAGAATAGTGCCACAATAAACATACGTGTGCATGTGTCGTTATAGCAGCATGATTTATAATCCTTTGGGTATATACCCAGTAATGGGATGGCTGGGTCAAATGGCATTTCTAGTTCTAGATCCCTGAGGAATTGCCACACTGCCTTCCACAATGGTTGAACTAGTTTACAGTCCCACCAACAGTGTAAAAGTGTTCCTGTTTCTCCACATCCTCTCCAGCACCTGTTGTTTCCTGACTTTTTAATGATTGCCATTCTAACTGGTGTGAGATGGTGTCTCATTGTGGTTTTGTTTTGCATTTCTCTGATGATCAGTGATGACGAGCATTTTTTCATGTGTCTTTTGGCTGCATAAATGTCTTCTTTAGAGAAATGTCTGTTCGTATCCTTTGCCCACTGTTTGATGGGGTTGTTTGTTTTTTTCTTGTAAATGTGTTTGAGTTCTTTGTAGATTCTGGATATTAGCCCTTTGTCAGATGAGTAGATTGCAAAAATTTTCTCCCATTCTGTAGGTTGCCTGTTCACTCTGATGGTAGTTTCTTTTGCTGTGCAGAAGCTCTTTAGTTTAATTAGATCCCATTTGTCAACTTTGGCTTTTGTTGCCATTGCTTTTGGTGTTTTAGACATGAAGTCCTTGCCCATGCCTATGTCCTGAATGGTATTGCCTAGGTTTTCTTCTAGGGTTTTTATGGTTTTAGGTCTAACATGTAAGTCTTTAATCCATCTTGAATTAATTTTTGTATAAAGTGTAAGGAAGGGATCCAGTTTCAGCTTTCTCCATATGGCTAGCCAGTTTTCCCAGCACCATTTATTAAATAGGGAATCCTTTCCCCATTGCTTGTTTTTCTCAGGTTTGTCAAAAATCAGATAGTGGTAGATATGAGGCATTATTTCTGAGGGCTCTGTTCTGTTCCATTGGTCTATATCTCTGTTTTGGTACCAGTACCATGCTGTTTTGGTTAATGTAGCCTTGTAGTATAGTTTGAAGTCAGGTAGTGTGATGCCTCCAGCTTTGTTCTTTTGGCTTCGGATTGACTTGGCAACGCGGGCTCTTTTTTGGTTTTGTATGAACTTTAGAGTAGTTTTTTCCAATTCTGTGAAGAAAGCCATTGGTAGCTTGATGGGGATGGCATTGAATCTGTAAATTACCTTGGGCAGTATGGCCATTTTCACGATATTGATTCTTCCTACCCATGAGCATGGAATGTTCATCCATTTGTTTGTATCCTCTTTTATTTCGTTGAGCAGTTGGCCTGTGGGCACTACAATAGTAAAGCTCCAGGGAATATGAGGGGGGTGGGTACCAATAGCATTGCTACAACATTGTTCAGAAAATGTTATATATAAAGTTTCGGTGCCACAAAAGAAAGAGCACTCGAATATAAAATTTTCTTTTTAATTCTCAGCAAGGCAAGTTACTTCTATATAGAAAGTTGCGCCCTTACAGATGAAACAATGGTGAGTGCACACTTGGACAAGGGAGGGGAAGGGGTTCTTATCCCTGACGCACGTGGCCCCTAATGTGTCCTTCCCCTATTGGCTAGGGTTAGACCACACAGGCTAAACTAATTCCGATTGGCTAATTGTAGTTCTCCTCAAAAAGGTCCCTCACGTCCCTTGGAAGTTGGATTCCTGGGTATTTTATGCTCTTTGTAGCAATTGTGAATGGGAGTTCACTCACGATTTGCCTCTCTGTTTGTCTGTTATTGGTGTATAAGAATGCTTGTGATTTTTGCACATTGATTTTGTATCCTGAGACTTTGCTGAAGTTGCCTATCAGCTTAAGGAGATTTTGGGCTGAGACGATGGGGTTTTCTAGATACACAATCACGTCATCTGCAAACAGGGACAATTTGACTTCCTCTTTTCCTAATTGAATACCCTTTATTTCTTTCTCCTACCTGATTGCCCTGGCCAGAACTTCCAACACTATGTTGAATAGGAGTGGTGAGAGAGGTCACCACTTGTGCCAGTTTTCAAAGGGAATGCTTCCAGTTTTTGCCCATTCAGTATGATATTGGCTGTGGGTTTGTCATAGATAGCTTTTATTATTTTGAGATACGTCCCATCAATACCTAATTTATTGAGAGTTTTTAGCATGAAGCGTTGTTGAATTTTGTCAAAGGCCTTTTCTGCATCTATTGAGATAATCATGTGGTTTTTGTCTTTGGTTCTGTTTATATGATGGATTACATTTATTGATTTGCATATGTTGAACCAGCCTTGCATCCCAGGGATGAGGCCCACTTGATCATGGTGAATAAGCTTTTTGATGTGCTGCTGGATTTGGTTTGCCAGTATTTTATTGAGGATTTTTGCATCGATGTTCATCAGGGATATTGGTCTAAAATTCTCTTTTTTTGTTGTGTCTCTGCCAGGCTTTGGTATCAGGATGATGCAGGCCTCATAAAATGAGTTAGGGAGGATTCCCTTTTTTTCTATTGATTGGAATAGTTTCAGAAGGAATGGTACCAGCTCCTCCTTGTACCTCTGGTAGAATTTGGCTGTGAATTCATCTGGTCCTGGACTTTTTTGGTTGGTAAGCTATTAATTATTGCCTCAATTTCAGAGCCTGTTATTGGTCTATTCAGAGATTCAACTTCTTCCTGGTTTAGTCTTGGGAGGGTGTATGTGTCCAGGAATTTATCCATTTCTTCTAGATTTTCTAGTTTATTGGCGTAGAGGTGTTTACAGTATTCTCTGATGGTAGTTTGTATTTCTGTGGGATTGGTGGTGATATCCCCTTTATCATGTTTTATTGCATTTATTTGATTCTTCTCTTTTTTCTTCTTTATTAGTCTTGCTAGTGGTGTATCAATTTTGTTGTTCTTTTCAAAAAACCAGATCCTGGATTCATTCATTTTTTGAAGGGTTTTTTGTGTGTCTATTTCCTTCAGTTCTGCTCTGATCTTAGTTATTTCTTGCCTTCTGCTAGCTTTTGAATGTGTTTGCTCTTGCTTCTCTAGTTCTTTTAATTGTGAGGTTAGGGTGTCAATTTTAGATCTTTCCTGCTTTCTCTTGTGGGCATGTAGTGCTATAAATTTCCCTCTCCACACTGCTTTAAATGTGTCCCAGAGATTCTGGTATGTTGTGTTTTGTTCTCATTGGTTTCAGAGAACATCTTTATTTCTGCCTTCATTTTGTTATGTACCCAGTAGTCATTCAGCAGCAGGTTGTTCAGTTTCCATGTAGTTGAGTGGTTTTGAGTGAGTTTCTTAATACTCAGTTCTAGTTTGATTGCACTGTGGTCTGAGAGACAGTTTGTTATAATTTCTGTTCTTTTACATTTGCTGAGAAGTGCTTTACTTCCAAGTATGTGGTCAATTTTGGAATAGGTGTGGTGTGGTGCTGAAAAGAATGTATATTCTGTTGATTTGGGGTGGAGAGTTCTGTAGATGTCTATTAGGTCCGCTTGGTGCAGAGCTGAGTTCAATTCCTGGATATCCTTGTTAACTTTCTGTCTCGTGGATCTGTCTCATGTTGATAGTGGGATGTTAAAGCCTCCCATTATTATTGTGTGGGAGTGTAAGTCTCTTTCTAGGTCTCTAAGGACTTGCTTTATGAATCTGGGTGCTCTTGTATTGGGTGCATGTATATTTAGGATAGTTAGCTCTTCTTGTTGAATTGATCCCTTTACCATTATATAATGGCCTTCTTTGTCTGTTTTGATCTTTGTTGGTTTAAAGTCTGTTTTATCAGAGACTAGGATTGCAACCCCTGCCTTTTTTTGTTTTCCATTTGCTTGGTAGATCTTCCTCCATCCCTTTATTTTGAGCCTATGTGTGTCTCTGCACATGAGATGGCTTTCCTGAATACAGCACACTGATGGGTCTTGACTCTTTATCCAGTTAGCCAGTCTGTGTCTTTTAATTGGAGCATTTAGCCCATTTACATTTAAGGTTAATATTGTTATGAGTGTATTTGATCCTGTCATTATGATGTTAGCTGGTTATTTTGCTCATTAGTTGATGCAGTTTCTTCCTAGCCTCGATGGTCTTTACAATTTGGCATGTTTTTGCAGTGGCTGGTACCGGTTGTTCCTTTCCATGTTTAGTGCTTCCTTCAGGAGCTCTTTTAGGGCAGGCCTGGTGGTGACAAAATCTCTCAGCATTTGCTTGTTTGTAAAGGATTTTATTTCTCCTTCACTTATGAAGCTTAGTTTGGCTGGATATGAAATTCTAGGTTGAAAATTCTTTTCTTTAAGAATGTTGAATATTGGCCCCAACTCTCTTCTGGCTTATAGAGTTTCTGCTGAGAGATCAGCTGTTAGTCTGATGGGCTTCCCTTTGTGGGTAACTCGACCTTTCTCTCTGGCTGAGCTTGACATTTTTTCCTTCATTTCAACTTTGGTGACTCTGACAATTATGTGTCTTGGAGTTGCTCTTCTCGAGGAGTATCTTTGTGATGTTCTCTGTATTTCCTGAATCTGAATGTTGGCCTGCCGTGCTAGATTGGGAAAGTTCTCCTGGATAATAATATCCTGTAGAGTGTTTTCCAACTTGGTTCCATTCTCCCAGTCAGTTTCAGGTGCACCAGTCAGACGTAGATTTGGCCTTTTCACATAGTCCCATATTTCTTGGAGGCTTTGTTCATTTCTTTTTATTCTTTTTTCTTTAAACTTCTCTTCTCGCTTCATTTTGCTCATTTGATCTTCCGTCACTGATACCCTTTCTTGCAGTTCATCAAATCAGCTACTGAGGCTTGTGCATTTATCAAGTAGTTCTCATGCTGTGGTTTTCAGCTCCATCAGGTCCTTTAACGACTTCTCTGCATTGGTTATTCTAGTTATCCATTTGTCTAATCTTTTTTCAATGTGTTTAACTTCTTTGCCATGGGTTTGAACTTTCTCTTTTAGCTTGGAGTAGTTTGATCGTCTGAAGCCTTCTTCTCTCAACGCATCAAAGTCATTCTCCATCCGGCTTTGTTCCCTTGCTGGTGAGGAGCTGTGTTCCTTTGGATGAGAAGAGGGGCTCTGAGTTTTAGCATTTTCAGTTTTTCTGCTCTGTTTTTTCCCCATCTTTGTGGTTTTATCTACCTTTGGTCTTTGATGATGGTGATGTACAGATGGGGTTTTGGTGTTGGTGTCCTTTCTGTTTGTTAGTTTTCCTTCTAACAGTCAGGACCCTCAGCTGCAGGTCTGTTGGAGTTTGCTGGAGGTCCACTCCAGACCCTGTTTGCCTGGGTATCAGCAGTGGAGGCTGCAGAACAGTGGATATTGATGAACAGCAGATGTTGCTGTCAGATCATTCCTCTGGAAGTTTGGTCTCAGAGGAGTACCCGCCCATGTGAGGTGTCAGTCTGCCCTACTGGGGGGTGCCTCCCAGTTAGGCTACTTGGGGGTCAGGGACCCACTTGAGGAGGCAGTCTGTACATTCTCAAATCTCAAACTGTGTGCGGGAGAACCGCTATTCTCTTCAAAGCTGTCAGACAGGGACATTTAAGTCTGCAGAGGTTTCTGCTGCCTTTTGTTTGGCTATGCCCTGCCCCCAGAGGTGGAGTCTACAGAGGCAGGCAGGCCTCCTTGAGCTGTGGTGGGCTCCACCCAGTTTGAGCTTCCTGGCCAGTTTGTTTACCTACTCAAGCCTCGGCAATGGCAGGCGTCCCTCCCCCAGCCTCGCTGCCACCTTGCAGTTTGATCTCAGACTGCTGTGCTAGCAATGAGCAAGGCTCCGTGGGCATAGGACCCTCCAAGCCAGGCACGGGATACAGTCTCCTGATGTGCCGTTTGCTAAGACTGTTGGAAAAGCGCAGTATTAGGGTGGGAGTGACCCAGTTTTCCAGGTGCTGTCTGTCACCCCTTTCCTTTGCTAGGAAAGGGAATTCCCTGACCCCTTGAACTTCCTGGGTGAGGCGATGCCTCGCTCTGCTTCGGCTCACACTCGGTGCGCTGCAGCCACTGTCCTGCACCCACTGTCCAACAATCCCCAGTGAGATGAACCCGGTACCTCAGTTGGAAATGCGGAAATCATTCATCTTCTTCATTGCTCACATTGGGAGCTGTAGACTGGAGCTGTTCCTATTCGGCCATCTTGGTTCCACCCCTCTCTATTGGAACTCTTAAATATAAACATTTTAAAACTGCGTCTTAAGAAAAAAAAAAAACCTTCAATCATAGTGGACACTTTACTTCTATGTAGCACACATTATCCTTCAGTCCTGATTACAAGTGTTACTTTAGCTGCGAAAAAATAATATTTAATTTTGGAAACAATTTTTTAATTAATTTGTTCTTATTTAGAAAATTCTTATGAATGTAAATGGGCTTGTCTGTGATCTGTGTTGATATTTAAGGTGCTTACATAACCATATGGAAAATGAGATGAAAATTCCTGTTTACATTTCTTGAACATTTTACATATTTTTTAAAGTTCAAATTTTTTAATGTTAAGAGTGTTCTTGTTTATAACGCACATAAATATGTTTCTCAGAAAAGTAATTTTAATAAATGTCTGTTTGCTTGAATTAAAAGGCAATGCTTTGAATTCAGCTTCTTAGTACGGTACTGGGAGCTTGGGAACTACCTGAGGGAAAGCAAGCCATTAAGCCATCTTCCTTGAGGCTAACTAGTAGCTAGTTACCAGTTCATGAATCGGAGATTTGGTTATCTTTGCAGACCTGTAGACTAACATGTGAAATCTTAACTGTTTTTTTTTCTTTTCCTCTAGAAGCTCAGCCACCACCTCAAGAATTTTATACTAGTGGCCTTGCAAACAAATTTCGTTGACATATGGTTTTTTCAGCCATATCCAACACTTTAAAATTTGTTTACATTTGAATGCCTTTAAGCAAGGTGGGCATTACTAATTCTCCTCAGTCCCCACTGTTCTCTGTTTTATGCAGGCCTTTTTGTCCATGTACATTTTCTGTCTGGTCTCCTAAAACATCTGAATTTTCCTCTGGCTACAACGTAGCCTCTAATTTACAGTTAGTGACAAAAGTTGCCAGTTTTATCTACAATGGCAGTATTTGATCTTGCTACTTGGAGTTTCAAATGATGATGAAAATTCAACCGTGTGGATTAATTTTCCTTGAGTCAAAGGATCACCAGAAAAGCCTTAGGCTATCCTAGCAGACCTCCACATGCCTCACAAAACTGGCTAAGAAAGGACACACACAATGAGCATTTCTCGGATTCCTTTCTGTTCCTTCCAGCATTTGATACCATATCATTGAAGCAACTAAATTTGCTGAATATAAACTGTTTCAGACCATGCCAGTAGCACTTCTGAGCCAGTAATGCAGGGATAGTTATTTGGTTTATGACGTCTGGCCCATTGTGGGATGTAACCTGGTGCAGTCATCTTGAGAATATTGCAGGAGAAAGTAGAGCGTAGGATTTAACATTGAAAATTAGAAGTTGATCCTACTTCTTAGACAAAATTGAGATTGACAAAATTGAGGTTTATCTACATAAACCCTTAAACAAAGATGTGGTTCTGAATCAAAATTAGGGAACCGGGGGAGAAAAAAATGAAGTTGAGGATTTTGTCCTGTTTAATTTCTTAAAGGAAAAGAACATAAGAAAGAAAGATAGAATCAGCTCTCTTCCTGTGCTCTTTTGGGCTGGTTGCTGGCTAGCACCATTTTGGCCACACATTTTCTTGAAAGGGCAGTTTCTGTGCGTTCTATAACTTCTGAGATCCTTTACTACTTAACTGTGGTTCAAAGGCCTCGAACCACTGAATTTTCCATGGGCTGGTAAACCAAGCATTTCTTGACAAGTCCTTTCAGAATTAGAAGTAGGTTCTCTATAAAAGGCTGGCTTCAGATCATTTCTTCATTTTTAGGTTTGACTTGTTCTGTGTGAAAAGTTGGCTAGTTAAATTAGATCACAGATTAGTTGAAACAGACCCCCTTGCAATGTGTTTGCATTAAGAATCTTTTCTGTGGCAGCTCTCCCAGTGGTTTGTTGGAATAATCACACAATGACTTTGGGTTCGTTTCAAAAACAAGAAGTGACCACTAAGGGCTTCAGGTTTTTGCCTAAGAGTTACATATTTCAGCTATGTGATAGCCAGAATATAGCCTCAAAAATACTTCATTTAATAAGTGAGTTCATCAACGTCACAGGATACAAGGTCAGCATAAAAAAAACCAAAAACATTTCTGTATACTAACATTGAACATATAGAAACTAACATTAAAACTATAATATATAACACTGCTGTAAAGAAAGCTAAATACTTAGGTATGCACTTAACAAAACATCTACAGTATTTATATGCTTAAAATTACAAATGCTGAAGAATGAAATCAAAGATAACCTAAATAACTGGAGAGACATACAGTGTTCATGGATAGAAAGACTGGAAATATTAATGGTACATGTCTCCCCAAACTGATCTATATGTTTAATACAATTCATATCCAAATACCAGCAAGGTTTTTCATAGACATAGATAAGCTTATTCTAAAATGTATATGGCGAGGCACACATCCTAAAATATCTAAATCCTGGCACAATCCTGGCACAGAAGAATAAAGTGAAAGGAATTACTTACCTGATCTGAAGGCTTACTATAGAGCTACAGTAATGAAGAAAGTACAATGAATTAATTAGTAAATTAGTATTAATTAGAAAGTACAATGAGTATTAATGAAGGGATAGGCACGTAGAGCAGTGGAACACAAGACAGAAACAGACTCACACAAATATGCCCACGTGACTTCAGACAAATGTGCCAAACCAATTCAGTAGAAAAAGGGTATCCTTTTCAATGAACATTGCTGGAGTAATTAGGCATTCTCAGGCAGAACAAAGTGTATCTAAACCTCACACCTTATACAAAAATTAACTGAAAATGGATCATATTCTTAATTGTAAAACACAAAACTATAAAACTTTTTTAGAAAAACATGTAGGAGAAAAATCTCTAGGATCTAAAGGCTAAGCTAAGCATTCTTAAACTTGACAACAGAAACATAATCCATAAAACGAAAACTTAATAATGCTCCAAAATTATAAACTGTTGTTCTTTTAAGCCCCTGTGCAAAAAATGAAAGACAAGTTACAGACCCAGAGAAAATATTTGCAAACTATATATCCAACAAAAGACAGTTATCGAATACAAGTTAAAAAAAACTTTCAAAACTCAACAGTAAATAAATGAGCAATAAAATTGGAAAATGGGTAAAAGATATAAGCAGATATTTTACAGAAGAGGATACACAAAGGCAGATGAACACATAGAACACTTAAACATATGTTTGACATGGTTAACCAACAAGGAAATGCAAATTAAAACCACAATGATATATTACTACAGACTTATCAGAATGACATTTAAAAAAAATACAACATGAATGCTGGTGAGGATGTGGAGAAACTGTACCACTTACACATTGCTTTGCTGATGAGAATGTAAAATGGTATAGCCACTATGGAAAATAGTACTGCAGTTTCTAAAAACACTAAACATGCAACTACCATATGACCCAGCAATTGCACTCCCAGGCCTTATCCCACAGAAATGAAATTTATGCTCACACAAAAACCTGTGCATAAATGTTCACAGCAGCTCTATTTGTAATAGCCCCAAACTGGAACTGGCTCAGATTTCCCTCAACAGGTGAATAGTTGAACCAACAGTGATACATACTATGTGGTACCTACATAGCATGGAATACTACTCAGCAATTAGAAGGGAGAAATGATTGATAATGTGTAAGAACCTGGATGGATCTCCAAGGAATAATGCTAAGTGAAAAACTCATCCCCTAAAGGTTACATATAATACAATTCCATTTATGTAGCATTTTTGAAATAAGATTTTAAAAGGTGGGGTGTGGACATTGCCAGGAGTGAGGTATGGGAGTGGGTAGAGGGTAGGTGTGGCTAAGAAAGGGCAACAGGAGAGATCTTGTGGTGGTGGATGGTAATGGAACTGTTCAACATCTTCACTGTGGTGGTGGATGCAGAAACCTACACGGCTGATAACATTATACTTAATACACACCACTCATACACAAACAAATACAAGTATAACTGGGGAAATCAGAATCAGATCAGTGGATCATATCAATATCTGTATATTAATTGTGATATTATACTATAGTTTTACAAAATACTACCATTGGGCAAGGCTGGGTAAAGTGTACAAGGGATCTTTCTGCAATATTTCTTGCAACCACAAGTGAATCTACAGTGACCTCAAAAGAAATTTCACTGGGGAAGAAAAAGATAATTTGAAACCAAGATTTAACAAGGTCCACATAAATGCAAATTTAGGAACTGGAAAGGTAGGTAATTAATTAAAAGATCTTTGATAAAAGTGAGGCCAATATGAGATATTGTCTTGTAAGTCATTATGACAATTTTATAACTGAGGGAAGATTTAACCGGCACCTGGTTTAAAACTCTGGCCTCAAAGTGATGTACTACAGGAATATTTAAAACTTGTCATCTTTCTCCTAGTTTGTTGCTTGTAATGATGTGATTCAGATCTCTGCCTGGTCAAACCAAAAATGCAAACATGAACCAATAGGTCAACCTACAAGAACATAAACCACCTACTTTCATTTGGATATTCAGGCACAAATTGATAAAAATGACACTTCTCTATGTTATTCCTCTTCTAACGAGTATGGAAAAGATTTGATGTTGAGATTTCTGACTGTAACTTCGTGCTGCAGTCTCTCTGAATCTGGTCATTTAGGGAGAAGTCTCCATTCTTCCCTGGTGAAATTGATCTTGACACTCTTTCTTTTAGTAGATATTAATAGACCACCTACAGCCATGTGCCCAGCACTGAGCTGGGTTGACCTCAACCTCCCCTTTCCAACCCCTGCAAAAGGCCATATCCCCAGACCCTGCAAGGGAGCTAGCCATTCAAGTGTTCTGTGTTGCTTTAAGGATAGATACCTAAATAAAGACATTTTTTAAGTCCCAAAGAAAGCCTTCTGCTCATCCATATTGAGCATTAAACTATGAAGTGTGGCTGGTTGGACATCACAAGTACGTTGAACAATAGCAATCCTGATAATAATAGCAGCTCACATTTATTTAGTCCTCAACTTGTGCCAGCCACTGTACTAAGCAGGACAGTCATCTCGTCTGCTTCCACCCTTCAGGAACCATTTTGATTCTCATTTGACAGATGAAGAGGCTGAGACTTGTAACAACTAAGTATCTGGTACACAACCACACAGCTAGGAAAGAGCATGGCTGAAATGAAAACCAGCAATCTGACCCCAGAGCCCAAGCTTTTGACCACCATAATATGCTGTCTGCAGGTTTTCTAAAGGAGCTTCACAACTGTCTGTTTTTCTGAGGATGTGTTTTGCTTTGGGGTGGGTTCTGACAGTATCATTTCAATAAACCCTAAATGATGCTGAGGGCTCTCATTTATCAACACAGGTGCAACTGTACCTCCTCTCTCAATACTCCACTAAGGATTGGTTTGAAATCTCCCTGCGGTGTTGTTTTGTCATGGGCTTCATTGCTCTTGGCATGGTTTGGATTCTTTCTTAGAAAACCCACCTATCAGACAGCAGAATTTATACAGGCTGGACAAAGCCTCAGGGAAAAAACTACTTTCTTGCATTCATTGATTCCCATCCAACAATTCAATTCAACAAATATGAATTGAGTTATACTCTCTGTAAAGTACAAAATCCTGGGAATATTAGGATCAACTGGAGTTTACATTACAGAGGGGAGAAAAGACAAACAATGAACAAGTAAATACATATCAAGAGGTTAGTTTGGAGAGCTAGGGTTGAAAGATGGCCATGTGGATGCTATTTTTTATACGGTGGCCAGGGAAGTTTTCTCTGGTAAATTCAGTTTTAGGCTCAGACCTAAAGGAAGTGAGAGAAAGAATCATGAAAGTTTCTGGGAGAAAAAGATTTCAGGGAGTAGAAAGAGCCAAGGCAAAGGCCATCAAAGTGGGATTGTGCTTGATGGGTTAGAGGAACTGCAAGGAGGCATGTGTAGGTTGCACTGACTGAGCAAGGAGAAAAGAAATACAGGAACTATTAGAAGTGGGGGCATATAATGCAGGGAGGGTCTATGGGTTACTGTAAGAAAGAGTGATTCAGCCACTGGTGGGTATCAAGTGGAAGAAGAACGCAGATCCAACTTATCTTCTGAAAGAATCACTGGTTGCTGAATTACACATACACTGTAGGAGAGAAAGGCTGAATCCAGAAGTGCATTTAGGAAGTTATTGCAATAGCTCTGGCAAGTAGTAATGGTGGCTGTGGAGGTTGGAAGATGGAGATCAGGCTCTCAATATACTTTGAAATGATATGACCAGATTTGCCAGTGGAGATCTAATGTAGTACATGAGAGACAGAAGGATGTTAAGGATAATTCAAGGACTTGGGGTCTAAACAATGCTGAAGATTTAATTAATATATTCAACAAATTTTTTAAGCTTACTTTAGTTATAGAAAGTGATGCCAGCTGGATGCAGTGGCTCACGCCTGTAATCCTAGCACTTTCGGAGGCCCAGGCAGGTGGATTGCCTGAGCTCAGGAGCTGGAGACCAGCGTGGGCAACACGGTGAAACCTCATTTCTACTAAAATACAAAAAAAAAAAATTAGTTGGGCATGGTGTCATGTGCCTGTAGTCCCAGCTACTCGGGAGGCTGAGGTAGGAGAATTGCTTGAACCCGAGAGACGGAGATTGCAGTGAGTCGAGATCGCACCATTGCACTCCAGCCTGGTCGACAGCGCGAGACTCCATCTCCGTAAAAAAAAAAAAAAGTGATGCCTGAGCTGAGTCCTGGAGAAAAACAGCAGTTAATCATCCAATTGATGAGGCAGAAAGAGTGTTCCAGCCTTGCCTAAGCATGCATGTAACCCCCAGAAAGAAAAATCATGGCCAGACAAGGCGGAGAAAGCTACTCAGTATGCCTGACATGTGGTCAACAAAGTTTGCCATGTCACTCAATTTTCATTACTGCAAGAAGCCATGTGCTAGTGTCAGGCCTACTGTCTTCCTACTCAATACCCAAATTAACCTGTACGTATGTTTGCAATACTGCCTTGGTTAACTAATATTGATTGAGAACCTGCTTGTGCCAAGACAAAGGTACTATCCTCAAAGAGTTTATGTTCAAGTAACAGGTGATCCTCAATTGTGGCAGCTTGAAAATTCAATCATTGGTTCATTCGTCCGGCCAACCAATTTTACTGAGCAGCTACCCTCTTCTAGGCACATTACTCAGCCTTGAAGATAAAGTGATGAACCAAACAAAAATCCCAGAATAGATGGGGTTGAGAGACAGTAGGAAAAATAAGCAAAATATAGAATGTGTTGAGTAATGATAAATGCTAAGGAGAAGAAACTAAGGAAGGGGGATAGGAATAGGGTGGGAATTATAATTTTAGATAAATTACACAGACATTCAGGGTATCATTTACTAGTACTCTATTTTAAAAATCATAAATGTGGTTCAAATGTGGAGGGTCTTCCTCACTTGAAGTTAAACCATTCCCCTTAAGAGAAGGTTAACAGTGAATGTTAATTCTCAGCTCTCCAGATCTCTGCCTTAAATAGGAACAGTCTTTTTATATTAAAACATGAGGACAGTAGCCTTTGGAAAAGATGTGCAATCTAATTAAAATGGAGAGATTAGCTGCCCTCGGAATATTTGCAAAGCCTAGAAAGGTAATTTAGTGAAATGTATACAATTTTATCTGGCTTTAATTTTTAATGAGATAGTTTATAATGTGTCCCTATTTTTCTCATTTACCTGAATTGGCCAAACTGTGAAGCTGTTTACAAACAGACAGTGTTCCAAGACCAGGGTGGGGATCAAGGTCTTGAGATAAAGGGCCCATTAATTGATACAAGACAGAAATTCCATGCCTGCCTATCAAATACTACCTTTCAGCTTGGGTAGAAATAAGTTCCCCATCTGAGACTCTGAAGCCAGAAATACCTGAAAAATCTAAGCTGTGCCAGAAAATATACTCCAGGGTGAGTTAAACACTCACTGTAGTCGGACGGATTCTGACCCATGAGCATAAGAGGTGCCTTGATACCCATAGCAGCTGTTACACATTTTTAAATAAAAGATGTTTTCTTTATATCATGCTGAAACACTATTTGCTATGGGCTGTGCCACAACATTTTTAAAATGTTAATGAACAAATTCCCCCTCCTTCCAGGCATAGGACAGTTTCACGCTTTCTCCTTGTCTTTCAAGGTAGGCATGGCCAGATGTTTTGCCTTGACCAATGGAATGTAGATGGAGATTTTAGGTGTCATTGCCAGAGTGAAGCTTTAGAAGCCTGTGCATAAGTCACAGTTTCCTTGTTCCAAAATTGGCCATCCTAGGGCAAGATGCATCAGTCTGACTTCCTAGGTGGCTGGAAGGAGCCAAGACCCTGCTGAGCCGCACTGGACACGTAGCATGAGTGACATTCAAAGCCTCGTTGTATTAAGCCACTGATATCTGGAGGCATGTTGGTTACCGCAACTTGCCCTAGCATATTCTGCCTGGATCTGGAATAAGGAATATAAAGAAATAAATGAGAAACCAGTACCTACAGAGGAATCCTTTGGATTAAGTGATTTGAAAAGGATGACATGTAAAGGGTGTTAAATTACTCCGCGGAGATGTGTTCGAGGCAATGGGTGGTTAAACTGGCCTGTGTTTGTCTCTCTGCCTTTCTGCGTTTCACATAGGCTTTGGGCAGGGCACTTAATGTTTCTGAGTCTCAGTTTCCTCTTTTGTGAAGTGATGGCATTTGTAATATGTTATAGCTCCAAATATAAGGGCCTGGACCTTACTAGGAACTCAGAATATGTTATTTCCCTTCCTGGTGTTGTTTCCTTTGTTTTCGTAGCTAAGCAGTTCAGCTTGGTTATAAGAACAGAAAGCCTAATAATGCTCTTAAGCTTCAAAAGGCAGTTAGATTGCATCCCAAGATGAGCAAATTTAAAAGAGGGAAGAAAGTGAAACAAAATCCCAAGAACTGGTTTATTTATCGTGAGCAATTACATCTTCAATATATTAGAAGATAGGTTTTCAGCTTAGAAGGTAAATAAAAGGCTAAATAATATTGTCACAGCTTGATACAAGTTCAAGATCATGATGCTTGTACTAATAGTTTATGGAAAAGAGCATTGGGTTTTTTGTTTCTGTTTTTGTTTTTGAGATGGAGTCTCGCTCTGTCACCTAGGGTGGAATGCAATGGAGCGATCTTAGCTCACTGCAACCTCCACCTCCCGGGTTCAAGCGATTCTCCTGCCTCAGCCTCCGGAGTAGCTGAGACTACAGGCACATGCCACCATGCCCGGCTAATTTTTGTATTTTTAGTGGAGACGGGGTTTCACCATGTTGACCAGGCTGGTCTCAAACTCCTGATCTCAAGAGATCCAGATCCGCCCTCCTCGGCCTCCCAAAGTGCTGAGATTATAGGTGTGTGCCACCATGCCTGGCCAGAGCATTGCTTTGATGAAACAGTTGACCTGGATGGAAGTGGGAGAGCATATTAGAATCATCTGAGAGGGTTTTTCAAATGGTGGCTGCTTCCTCCCACCACCCCTCCCCCAAATCTGACTTGCCCCTCAGAGAGCTTGTATCAGTCGGGATAGGTGATGCTGTAGTAAAACAAAACAGCAACAACAAGGAGAGAACAAAAACCTCATCAGTGAATTTCATCTCAGTGGCTTACAAGGTGTACTGTTTCCTTGCATGACCTGCCCATCATGGCTTGGCCGCATCTCTGCTCCCCAGCACCTTCACTTTAGGACCTGAGCTAAGGGATTTGTCTCTATCTGAAACACCACCCATCCCATGAGAGAAGGAAAGGGTGACATGGTAAACCCCACACAGACTCACAGACTTTTATGCTTCTAGCCAGAGGGGACAGATCACCTCTAGTCTCATTGCACTGGCCAGAGAAGATTACATAGCAAAGCCTGACGCCAGTGGGGAGAAGGAAGGATAACCTTGCCCAGAGAGAGGTGGCAAGAATCTGTGAACAGTAATCAAGCTAATCACCCCAGAGGGTGCGGCACTCCCCATCATGCTTCTGCAGTGAGTGCCTCCATCATGGATAGGGGGATGGAGGGTGAGGGTGGGGGTGTCATAGGCATTGGCTATGCCAGAGCAGAAACAAAGGGTGAAAAACAACTTGAATCTATGCCCTCCCTTCTAGCTATAACTCTTTACTAAATGATGAAAACACTGTAAAAATAATAAAAGTGGATGTTTTTGCCAAGCCACGCTTAGAACTTGGTTTTCCTCCTCAGCCATCCAAGATTTTCTTCTCTTTTAATACCACACTCTTTTTGTAAATCAACAAATAAAAATACCACACTTTTGACAGGTAGTTGATAGAACTCACTTGGTTAGGAATCCTCAAGAATGATTTATGTCAGACTAAAGAAAGGGCATGCTATTGTTTTGTCTATTTGACATGAAACCACAAGTTAACTCATTCCAAAGAGCTTTCAGTTGGGCAGGAAAACTAGATGCAGTGATTGTGTACTAAGCTATTAGGGCACAATAATCCATGTGATAACCTCACTTTTCCTCACCTTTGCACAGATGTGTGAATATACTGAAGTTATAGCCTCAAATCTCCCCAGTTTATCATATTCATCCTCTGCCTGAATGCTATTTCTGTCTTGATTAGTTTAAACCAATGGCGTGGATTGAGGTCAAATATTGGAAGCCAAGTCACAGTGTAGGTTGAAGGGATTTCTCCTTGTAGTTTTAACCCTAATGAGAAGGAAATGACCTTATCCATGCTTTTAAAGCTATGTAGGCAGGAATCCAACAAAAGAAGAGTATTTTTTTAAATAACATTACCAATGCCTTTATATCACTAAATGAAGTTATTAAGCTGAAAATCATTAAATATTGATTGAGTCACTGATTGGTTGCATTTCTTTTGTCATATTTTACTTTGCAAAAGATCTGTAAGCAAAATGTGCCATTTCCCCCAGCTAAAGTGTCTTGGTAGAAGCACAGGTCAGCAGGATGCTCTTTAGCGCATCTCAGAGCTTCCCAGCACCCATTAACACAATTTGGCTGAAGGAACTTCATTATGTGCCCCCAACAACATTTTGGCTCTAGGTCTCTCTTCATCATGCACCATCTGATTCAAGTTCTAGTTATTGCTAATTCAGTTAATGGGTTGAAATACTGCTTTTCCCTCTATCAAGGCGCTTTATGCTATGAACATTTAAATCTTCCTGTCATCTCTGGGTTGGACAATCATCATCCGCTTTGCAGTTCACAACTGAAAGATAACCAATCCTCAAACACTACTGCCAAGAGCGTCTGAGAAGTCTTGTTTTGTCCCAGTTTATGAAATAGTTCATCTTGAACATCTGATGTAATATAGTGGAATCTCATGTCTGTAAAAACACTGTTGCTAGCAGTGAGTGTGCTTAACTTATTTTCTGTATCACTGCAATGCCATTATCGCAGCTAACAAAATTAACAATGATTCCTTTGCATCATCTAATATGCAGTTCACGTTCAAGTTTTCCTTCTTGTCTCAAATGTCTCTCTGCACTTCATTTGTAGGAATCGGAATCCAAACAGGGTCCATTGCATTTGGTGAATTTCCCACATTCTGGATGTGGCTGATGGTTTCCTCATGGTATCATTTCATTCGTTCCTCTATCTTTCTAATTTCCTGTAGGCAGATCATAAGATCTAGAGACTTTATTAAATTCTGGTAAAATTTTATTTTTGGCAGGAATCCTTCAGAGGTGGGGATTGTGTATTTCTTCTTGCATTACCTCAGGATGCACATGATTTCTGTTTGTTCCTCTTTATCGATGCTAAGATTGATCAGTATTGTTGACCACAAGGGGTAGAATTTGGGTTGCTACATCGATTCTCCATAGTCTATGGCTCAACTTACTGGGAAGAGTTTCAATTATCCAGAGGAAGCTCAGGTTACAGTTGCTGATCAATAGACTATAAACCTCCTGACTACATGTAGGAAGCATAGACGTCTCTCTTTTCCATCAGAATCATTTGAGTGAAGGAGCGCAGCTTCAGTGATGAAAATTTGTATTCCACAATCGACTCCGAAGGCCTGCGAGAGGAAGGTGAGAACATTAGTACACAAGCTATCAGGTATCACAAGTGTTATAAAGTCATCATTAGACTGGAACTAACCTCTAAAAGCAAATTAAAATCTGAGGAAAGAACATGCAAGGTCAGAATGAGATCATATATGTTGAAGACCTCATGATATATGCAAGGTTGCAGACCTCTGGGATTTTACATATTGATATGAGAAAATTGACACTTGACGTTTTGCCCAAGTTACATGTTCTCTCTGGGTAAAGATCCTAAAAACAACAATTGGATTTTAAAAAGTAAACAATACAGCAGCACCATTTGAATAGACATCACTGGTAAAATGCAGGGGCCTTCAAAGACAATACCAACATTTTCCGAAGGTGAAGTTGAAGTCATCTGGGGTTCCCATCCAGCTCAGTGTCATGGAGTGAAATTTGAAGAAATACAGTTCAACTACCAAAAGAAATGTAGAAGAAATTCCATTTAAAAAGGTCTAAATATATAACGTATGCCAAACTTTCTCAACATTGGCATTATTGATACTTTGTTCAGGTAATTCTTTGCTCTAGGAGCTGTACTGTGCACCGTAGGCTGTTTAATAGCATCCCTGGCCTCTACCCACCAATGCAAGTAGTAATCTAGCTGTGAAAAACAAAAATGTCTCCACTTTGCCAAACGTGGGGTGGGGGGCAGGGGGTGGAGGAATCACTCCAGGTAAAGAACCATTGATCTGTAGTAACACTTATCAAAATTCTTCCCCAACTTGCCAGAAGTTATATCTTTTATTTTGGGTACCAGAAGATACCCTAGTAAAGTTATGAGGCTTAAACATGTGCCATTTGGCTGCCCACGGCAGTGCTTCAAAGAGCTGACTACTCTGAAGCCTGGTTACCTGGGAGCAAATTCCAGATCTACCAATTACTACTTCTGAAATGCTGGGGAGTTTACATGTTCTGTATTGTAGCATGGATCTACCTCAAACACGTGTTGTCTATCCATGAAACACATGCATCAGAGTCACCTGTGTAGCATTCTCGACATGTACAGCCCTGGGTCCTATTCCAGACTCCCTGGTTAGGGCTTGGGAATCATCATTTTTAACCTAAGTTCCACGGTCAGGAATTGTGTTCTCGGAACAGCATGCTCAGCTTTCATGTGTGTGAGTGTGTGTGTGCTTTGGCCTTGTTTATAGCAAAATAGACGTAACAAAATTTATCATGTTAACCATTTTAAGTGTATAGTTTGGCAGCATTAAGTACACTCACAATGTTGTGCAGTCATCATCACTATCCATCCTGAACTTTTTCCTCTTTCCCAACCGAAACTGCACCCATTAAACTCAAATCTCTATCCCCCAACCCTGACTCCCTGACAACCACCGTTCTACTTTCTGTCTCTATGAACTTAACTACCCTAAGTACCTTATGTAAGTAGAATCATACAATATTTGCTCTTTTGTGACTGGCTTATTACACTTAGCAAAATATCTTCAAGTTTCATCCATGTGTCAGAATTTCCTTCCTTTTGAAGGCTGAATATCATGTCATTGTCTTTATATACCATATTTTATTTATCCATTTATCTATCGATGCACATTTGGATTGCTTCTACGTTTTGGCTATTGTGAGTAATACTGCTGTGCATATGATTGTACAAATACCTGTTGAAGGCTGGGTGCAGTGGCTCACGCCTGTAATCCCAGCACTTTGGGAGGCCTAGCGGGGCAGACCATTTGAGGTCAGGAATTCGAGACTAGCCTGGCCAACATGGTGAAACCCCGTCTCTACTAAAAAAATAAATAAAAAATTAGCCGAAATGGTAGCGGCTGCCTGTAGTCCCAACTACTCAGGAGGCTGAGGCAGGAGAATTGCTTGAACCTGGGAGACAGAGGTTACAGTGAGCCAAGATTGCACCACTGCACTTCAGGCTGGGAGACCATGCAAGATGTTGTCTCAAAAAAAAAAAAAAAAAAAAAAAAAAAAAAAAACACTTGTTCACATACCTGCTTTCACTTCTTTTGATTGCATATGTGGAAGTGGAATTGCTGGATCATACAGTAATTTGATGTTTAATTTTGTGAGGAATTGCCATGCCATTTGCCACAGCAGCTGCACCATTTCACATTCCCACCAGCAATGCATAAGGGGTCCAATTTCTCCACATCCTTGCCTACACTTGTTATTTTGCGGAATTCTTTTGTTTGTTTGTATTAATAGCTTTCCTAATCAGTGTGAAGTGATATCTCATAGTTTTGATTTGCATTTCCCTAAGGATTGGTGACTTTGAGCATCTTTTCATATGCTATTTAGCCATTTGTATATCTTCTTTGCTGAAATGTCTATCCAAGTCTTTTGTCATATGTTTTGAGTCATGTTCTACATCATGGTGAGAAACACAAGATCTGGAGCCTCAAAGCCCTGGTCTCTAACCTCAATTCTATAATTTTCTTATTTGTGTGATCTTGGGCAAGTTTTTGACCTCTCTGAGCCACCATTTTCTCAATCAAAATGACAAGAGTAGAACAAGCTTGAAGTGGGTTGTTTTTGAGACGGAGTCTTGCTCTGTCATCCAGGATGGAGTGCAGTGGCACTGTCTCAGCTCACTGCAACCTCCACCTCCTGAATTCAAGCAATTCTCCTGCCTAGGTCTCCCAAGTAGCTGGGATTACAGGTGCCTACCACCACGCCTGACTTATTTTTGTATTTTTAGTAAAGATGGAGTTTCACTATGTTGGCCAGAGTGGTCTCAAACTCCTGATCTCAGGTGATCCACCCACCTCGGCCCCACAAAGTGCTGGGATTACAGGCATGAGCCACTGCGCCTGGCCTTGAAGTGGGTTTTGAGAAGAAAATGAAATAATGCCCTATATAAAACACCTTGGATCTGTTGTTATTGTTTCCCATGTGGAGAATTAAGGAGATTTATTGACTATGATATTCATACATCAGAAGGAAAGCAGGAAATACTTTCAATAGCAAAATAATGAAATGATGTAAGGATATACCTACAAGCTTTCAAAGCTAATGAAAAAAGTAGCATGAGAGACCACCTCAATGCTCTCCTTGGCATAAAAGTGTTTGCTCAGCTGAGCACAGTGGCTCACACCTGTAATCCCAGCAATTTGGGAAACTAATGAGGAAGATCCCTTGGGCCCAGGAGTTCAAGGTCAGCCTGGGCAATATAGAGAGACCCCATCTCTACAAAAAATAAAAAAAGTACATGTGTGGTGTGGTGGTGTACTCCTGTAGTCCCAGCTACTTGGGAGACTGATGTGGGAGGATTACTTGAGCTGGGGAGGTAGAGGCTACCATGAGCCATGAACGCACCACTGCACTCCAGCCTGAGTAACAGAGCAAGAACCTGTCTCACAAAAAAAAAAAAAAAAAAAAAAAAAAAATTGTTTGCTCTAGCTCTCATTTAAAAACAAACAAAAAGGAAAACTTATAATAATCCAGGTCTTAACTTGAAACTTCTATTTGTTGGAGGATTAAATGACAAGGTGAAATAAAAATGTGTTCCATGAGATGCTCTAGGATGAACAGTCACTACAGCATATATAAACCCCAGGTACACCCTTCAACGTTGGCCTTGCTGTTGAATTGTAGTTGGGAAGGTGTTATTGTCCAGTTGGATACCAATAGATTCTTTGGATGTCCATCTTTTTATCAAATAGAACAACCCATGAGCAATTAGAAGCCAACAATACAGACAGACCACTTGGGCTTGCAAAGCCTTCCTGCTTAAGAAGGGTATTTTCTTAGACTGTATTCTCACTTTGTTTTTCTGTTGCCCCTTGGTTTCCTGGGAACACATTCTCTTGAGATCTGTGGGAAGTGCCTTTATTCTCTTGGGCTGCCTTTTTCTCACTCTTCTTGTCTGGGTAACCCAGTAATCTTAGGCAATACCCATGGTCCTCAATCCCCATCTGTTTCCAAGAGCCTGAGATACCTGTCAAGCCACGCATGAAGTACTGAGGTGATACCATGGAGAGAAAACCTCCAATAATGGGGAAATATGGGCAAGTGCAAGGGAAGACAGAAGGAAATTAACATTTAGTGAGTGCCTAGTGTAAAAGAACAAAAAATTAACATGGAATGTGCATGAACTTGAGCAACTCCCCCAGCCTGCCAAAGGAAATTTTGAAATTGCCAGTCCTATTTTCCTTCTTTTCTCTTCTAAAGAGTATGAGTTTTTCTTCTAGGAGAGAGGCCAAGTGAGTCTACATAATAAAGGGCCAAGAAAGAGAAAAATGGAGGAGGAAAGGAAAACTAAGTCACAGGTGATAGGTGGAGAATTTACTTTCAGGAAATGTTAAGGAAAGAGCCCCTGAGGAGTTGCAGTGTATGAGTGATGTGGCAGGAAAGGGAAGAGAATTTTGATAAGAGTTTCTCAAATATTTGGGCTTTCTTTAATGGAACATTTTTTTTAAAAAATTCTTTTTGGCAGTTAAACTGTGTTTTCTCAAATTTGATTCCATGATATTGAACTATGTGGGAACCTCAGATGTATTAGAATTACACACATATGTATTATCTGCTTTTTCACATGAATTCAGTATTTTATGGACATATCATTGTATTTTATAGGATCAGTTGAACACAGTGAGGCCTCTTGAGTCAGTCTGGGTTCAAAACATAGTTCAACAACTTAGCTGTGTGAACGTGGATAAGTTACTTTACCTCTCTGTGTCTTGATGTTATCATCTGGAGAATAAGACTAACAGAAATAGCTCCAAAATTTCTATGAGGAAAAAATAATTTAAAACTGTGCGGCACATAATTGTTGGTACTTGCCATTAATATTATTCTTACACATGATACATTTGAAGATATTAAATAACTTGTTGAAGAGCACATAGTCTATGAGTAGGGTTGCCACATATAATTCAAGAGACCTTGTTAAAATGGAATATCAGATAAACAACAAACACTTTAGTATAAATATGTCCTGAATATTACATGGGGCATACTTTTTTTTAGTTTTTATTTTTTTTGTAGAGTCAAGGTCTCACACTCTGTCACATAGTGGCTATTCACAGGCATGATCATAGCTCACTGCTGCAGCCTCCAGAACTCCCAGGTTCAAGCCATCCTCCTGTCTCAGCCTCCCAAGTAGCTGGAACCACAAGGCTATTTTTTTCTTTTTTCTTTCTTTTTTTTTTTTTTTTAAGAAATGGAGTCTTGCTATGTTTCCCAGGCTGGTCTCAAACTCCTGGCTTCTAGCAATCTTCCTGCCTCAGCTTCCCAAAGCACTGGGATTACAGGCGTGAGCCATCATGCCTAGCCTACATGGGGCAATACTTACACTAAAAAAGGTATTTATACTTTATCTGAAATTCAACTTTAGCTGGTGCCTGTATTTTTATTTGCTAAATCTGACCACTCTAACCATGAAGAGTGATTCAAATCCATGCTTCCTGGCTGCCAAATCCATGTTCTTCCACTCGCTCAAAAGGTGTAGGCAGAGCCTTGGAATGGAAGTGAGTGCCAAGTGGTTCATAGACATCCAAGGAAACACTGTAAGGAGAGTATACTGAACACCTTCTATGTGTCCAAACCGTGCTCAGTGATACATGTTACATTATCAGTAACTTCTGCAACAGTTCAGTTAGATCCATGTTATCTCCATTTTACAGAAGGGAAAATTGAGAGTCTAAGACAGTAAGAAACTGACCAAGAACACAACAGATGGAAGTAATAGAGTCAGAGTTCCAAAGTCAGACCTGCACTTGAGAACAATGATCTACCGATCTACCCTTCAGGTCATCTTCTAAGCAGTTTTTCTGGGAAGGATTTATGAGGCATAAGAAGATGACCCACTGTTTTCCTGAGAATATCTAGGAGAATGCCATTTCTCTTTGAATGACTCAGCTCTATACAGTAAAGTGAAGAATGGGCTTTCCTCTTGCAGGTTTAAATATACAGACAACGAATGTATAGATACCCTAAAGCAAAACTAATCCAAGCTGATGGTCTATGCACCCTGCATTCATTGGATGGTTGCCAGCACTGCACTTAGCAAAGGAAGGGAGTAAAGTTCCCCTCTTTTATTCCTGAGGCTGACAAAGTTAGTCATGTGACCTGTACAAAAATATGTGTAAAGTCACCAAAATGACACACGCACAAAAGTTTGTTCACGCAGCTCTGTCAAAGCCAAATGCACTTTATAGATTTTTCCATATTTATTTTGAGAATAGAATCTCTCTGTTTGACAGTCTGAAAAATGAAGTACCTAGGGCAAGGACTCTTCTGATATTTCTGAAATATAGAGAAACTTTTTTTTTTTTAATTCCCCCCAAATGCTATTAGCAATTTCAAGTCCTGAGTGTTTACTCATTCAGTTGAGACAGTTAAGAAGAGGCTATCATTTCCTTAGTCCAAAAGCAGATTGATATTTAACTGGGGAACTGGCTCAGTTCATAAATGACAACAATTACACTTCTGGCTGTAGACAGGAAATTCTAACGGGCCTTTCATTCAGTAGGCAAATTATTTTCTGTCACTTACAATGTGGCAGGACCCTACCAGGCACTGGGAAAATAGTGACTCATGAGAGTTTAGACCCTACTCTTCTTTTTTTTTTTTTTTGAGACAGAGTCTTGCTCTGTCACCCAGGCTGGAGTGTAGTGGTGCGATCTTGGCTCAATGCAAGCTCCGCCTCCCAGGTTCACGCCATTCTCCTGCCTCAGCCTCCAGAGTAGCTGGGGCTACAGGCACCCGCCACCATGCCCGGCTAATTTTTTTTGTATTTTTAAAAGAGACAGGGTTTCACCGTGTTAGCCAGGATGGTCTCGATCTCCTGACCCTACTCTTATAAAACATGAGGATACCTTTCCTCAAAAACTAGCAAATTTTGTGCTATAGTTGAAAACAAAAAAAAAGTAACAGAAGCTGTTGAGCTATAAGAAAAAAAAAGGAAGAAAAAGTATTGAGATTGTTTAGCACATGCTTTTCCAATTTGGGATTTTTTTCACTTCTCAGTGTGTTGGCCTGTTAACTTGAGGGTAAGTATTATTCTCATCTATTCAGAAGAGGAAATATAAGTTGAGAGAATGCAAATGTTTACTAGTTTGGCTAGCCCTCCACATTAAGATTAGGAAAATTTTGTTTTTCTTTGACATGTATAGTTGGTACTTACGTTAGCCAGAACTTGTGTAGCTGCAATTGACAGACACTCAATTCAGAGTGACTTAAGCTAAAAAGGGCTTTTCTCAGGTCGGGAAATCAAATTGTCCAAGGCTGAGCACAGTGGCTCATGCCTGTAATCCCAGCATTTTTGAGGCCAAGGCAGGTGGATCACTTGAGGTCAGGAGTTCGAGAGCAGCCTGGCCAACATGGTGAAACTCTCTCTCTACTAAAAACACAAAAATTAGCCAGGCATGGTGGCAGGTACCTATAATCCCAGCTACTCAGGAGGCTGAGACAGGAGAATTGCTTAAACCTGGAAGGCGGAGGTTGCAGTGAGCTGAAATTGCACCGCAGCACTCTATCTAGCCTGGGTGACAAAGCGAGACTCTATTTCAAAAAAAGAAAGAAATCAAATTGTCCAGAGAGTGAATCTGAATGGATCAAGGGCTCAAGTGCACCAGGAATATTTCTTCCTTCATTTTTTGGCTCTGATTGAATTTGAAGACTCAAGGAGCTCCTAATTCACATTTTCTAGTTCAGTCAAAAAAAAAAAAGAAGATAAAAACCTACTTTTTCCCAATGATTCCCACTAAGTTTCCATCCTGGAATCAATCATAAAAGCATTTGGGATGATGGTGTCCAAACCATGCAAGATTTTGATTGTCTGAGATTGGGGTGGGTCAACTTCACAAGAATAACAAGGACAGAGAGTGGAAAGGAAGGGTCACTCAGAAAACTGAGAGGCTGCATCATGAGAGGAAAGGGAGATGCATATTGGAAAGAGAAAAACAAAACATATCAAAAGAGTCAAAGATTTTTTATGAAGGTGTAAGAGGCAATAGTCTGCTGTCTTTAAGGTGCCCGCCCCAAACCTAGAAATGAAGTGGAAATATGGGGGATTAATGTTGACAGGGAGAATCTCCACCAACTTTTTCTCCTAGAGCCAGGGTTCACAAACCTTACAGATCATCTTCCTGGAGAAAGTGGATGGACTTAAGTTTAGCTAAATGTGTAAATCATTGATTTCAAAGTGAGAACTGATGACAAATTATTAGATAGTACAGCAGTCTTGGGAAGCAGAGCTCAGTTAAAAAAACTTCACCACTCAGTAGCTCCGCGACCTGGAACGTGTTCACTCTCCTTCAACTTCAATGTCCCCATCTGTAAAATGGGAGCAATAATACCTACAGGGTTGTTTAGGGATGAAACATGATCACTCAAGATGCTAAGCATGGAACATGACTCACGGTAAGAGCTCAGGAAATGCTTGACATTTTGTCTTTTTTCTTTCTTTCCGTAAGAAAAATAATATGGAGACAAAGATTCAGTGCTCTTACGTGTTGATGCTCACTAGAAAAAGCTCCATAATTTTGAGGACCCAGTGAACAATGAAAACACGGGGGCCTTCACTCAAAGATAATTAAGATTTGCAAGATGGCAGCAGCAGAGCATTAAACCAAGTGTGGGCCCTTCTGAGCGCAGGGCTCTGTGCCACAGCGATTCTCACATTGTTTTTGCTAAAAGAAAAGAATGTTAAAGTAGACCACTTCTGAGTAAGAAGGGAATAGGAACATTAGCCCGGAGTCTAGTTCCTGGAGCAAAATCTTTGAGAAGGAGCTTCCATTTTCTTTCTCTACTGGGAGCAAAAGAAACTTCAGACACGGATAAGAGGTGGACCCATTCCCAGGAGGTGCCACTTTCAATTGATTTTAAGGAGGTGTAGAAGAGAGAAAAAAGACTTCTCTTTTCTAATTTGGATGAGAAGCTTTCTGGAGATGGAAGACAAATGACAATATGGAAAGGAATTTTCAGAGGGGTAACATTATAAATAGCTCTGAAAGCATAACAAAGTGAAGCCAATAAAAATGGATGTGCTGCACAGTCCGAAATTCCACAAAGATTCTCTTTCAACGGTATACTTTATTAATAAATCAGCTTTCTTTGCTCCATTAAAATCATAAAGCTAAGCAATTTGTAGCTGAGTTAATGTCTTTTTTTCCTCAAAGAGCTCAGTTGAGCAACAAAGAATTGTCTTGGTCTAAGATATTTAAAAGTATATTTTAAAAAATTTAATTCCTATAAATTAAAAAACAGAAATCTTGTTAATACCCAGCTATATATTATTCTGTAGCTCTACAACAATAACGAGGAGGAGCTAAATAATCCTCTAATCTCTGTGGGCCTCAAAGACAGATGGGAAAATCCTCTTGCTCTGCCTGATCCAGACTAATCTAAGATGATGGGAATGTTGTCCCAGCTTCAACTCGAGGGTAGGAAGCTGGGCCATGCCCTTCTCATTTTGATTTGGGTGGTAATTTAGCCTTGATGCTAACCATTTCCAGTAGCAAAATGACATGCTGCTTAGTCAATTTAAACATTAAACATTTATTTAAAATTCAGTATATAAAAAGCAGTCAACTGGGTGACAGGGACATATTTATTTTCACCTCCCAAATAAAGAGAAAAAAACTAGAGGTCTGAGAATTAATCTAAAGCAAGGCTTGCACCAGCAGTCATTGCAAGAAGCACCAGAAAGGGTTTTTGTTTGTTTTTAAGAAAAGGTAGAGATTGATAGATAGATTGATTATGGACAGGAACATTTCAAAGCAATTTTGCTTTTTCACATATCAAAAACTTAACCTCTTTCCCGGGGACATGGGAACGTGGTTAAAATGTTATCTTGTTTTTGAATGAGGAGTTTGCAATGTCGGTATTCCACATCCACACGACACGTGTCTGGCCCACGTGGAGATTTCCT
Organism: Homo sapiens; assembly: GCF_000001405.40. NCBI lineage: Eukaryota > Metazoa > Chordata > Mammalia > Primates > Hominidae > Homo > Homo sapiens. The sequence continues at coordinate 70,920,807 of NC_000003.12, forward strand.
CTAGGGACTCATGATCTCAGACAAGTAATAGCTCAATTAACTTCCAGGGTGAATTTGGATTTGTTAAAAAGAATTGTCAACAATTTCAATGGTTACCTCAGGGCTCTAGGTGTTCCTCAAGGCAGATTCATCCTCAAGAGAGGCAGCAAAAATTCTTTCTAATAGACTCTTGAAGACAGAGCTTGAAAAGTATGGTAGATACCTCTCACTATTCTTCTCCAAGTGGCTGTAATCTCAGTCAGGAAAGATTCAACACAAAATTCTGTGTATTAGAATTGCCATGAAAATACATATTTCTAGGCCACATCACCTTTCTGAATGAGATCTTAGAATTTGTTTGGGTTTAGGGTGTGGTGGCTCACGCCTGTAATCCTAGCACTTTGGGGGGCTGAGGATTGCTTGAGACCAGGAGTTTGAGAATTTGTTTGGGTTTATTATTATTATTATTATTATTATTATTATTATTATTATTATTTTTAGAGACAGGGTCTTGCTTTGTCACTCAGGCCGAAGTGCAATGACACCATCACAGCTCACTGTAGCCTTGAACTCTTGGGCAGAAGCCATCCTCCCACTTCAGCCTCCCGAGTAACTGGAATTACTGACACATACCACCACTCCCAGCTAATTTGTTATTGTTGTTATTTTTTGTAGTTGCCTAGGCTGGTCTCAAACTCCTGGGCTAAAGCGATCCTCCCACCTCAGCCTCCCAAAGTGCTGAAATTACGGGCATGAGCCACTGCGCCCAGCCCTGGAACTTGTATTTTTAAAACTTTCCATGATAATCCTGACTTGAGACCATTTAACTCTGTACAACTCAGTCCTTCTGCTCTCAATGTATAACAGATTATTCCTGCTTCACCTGCATCAGCCTTCACTGCAATTATTTTCCATCCTTGGGAGGCCTACAAGCAGGTTGGAGTGTGTATTCCTAAGTAGTGCATATTAAAATAAGGGTCAACAAACGATGACCCAGAAGTCAAATCTGACCAGCACTCTATTTATATAAATAAAGCTTTATTGGAACACAGCCATGCCCATTTGTTTATATATTGTCTATTGCTGCTTTCACACTATATGGTCAGATTTGAATAGCTGCTTCAGAGACTGTATGATCTTCAAAGGCTAAACTATTTGCTTTCTGACCCTTTTCAGAAAATGCTGTGAACCTCTAGTTTAGAAGATAATAATAGCTAAATTTTTTGGGAGTTTATCACATACTTAGAATCGGACCAACTGGTAAAAGGAAGTCCTATAATGCAGTCAAGGCTACCCAGCCAGTGAGAAGCAGAGCTAAGATTTAACCTCTAGCCTGGAGCTCACACTCCTTTAGTTACTGTTCTGTGCTGCGCAAGACTTCATCAAATCCCTGCCTTGGCTAGAAGTAAAGCCCAGCCTACCCATGAAGGGTATCACTTAACTAAATGATTTATTCACTTGGATAAAAGGAAGGATTGGGCTGGATTTTAACCCAGCCATTAATAAGCTTGTTAACCCTGACCTTTCAAATCAATCTTCTATATTTACCTTTACCTTTTAAGAAGGATTCAATCATTTTCCAGTGATAAAGCACATTTTCTTCTTCTTACGATCTAGTGATCACTTGCTGTAATACTAGACATCAGAGCAGTCCATCAAACCATTAGTTACACATAAAACCTGTTAATATACAGTATTCACAGTCGCATTTCTTTCAAGTCAATAAAAAGAAAACAATTTATTATAAGGGTCCTGATATCTACCTTGGTGCAATAAGAGAGTCTTTCCCAAAGAGTTACGTGTTATGCCAACCATATTTAGGGTCCAAGGTAGTTAGGATAAGCACCACAAGCCTATGCTTCTCTCATTGACTTGGTCACTTAGAGCTGTGTGGTCTGGCTGGGGACCAAAACTTCCTATGTATTGATTATTTTCATCTGTAAAATAGGGATGACACCACCTACCTTGAAGAGTTTTATGGAGATTAAACTTCAAAACTTATATAAAATTAAGTAGGATGAATGCAGAATAAGTAATCAACACGTAACTTATGAAACTATTTTTTTTCTCCAAACCTAAAGATACTCAATCATCTAAATGTTAAATTTTGCTGTGGAAGAATTCTCAAATTCCCCTAAAGCAGCCTTCTTTGGGCATCCAGCAAACCTGAACAAAGGGATTCTAGGAAAGCATCTCAGACTACAAATGTCAATCATCTATCTCAAAGAAAAGGGAGTACTTCAACAAAAGTTGCAAATTTTTAAAATATACTTTTAATCCTCAAAACTAGCCAGAGATCAGCCTGCTCTACTAGTCTAGTCCTCACCACTGAATGCCTAACCTCTAGATTTCCAGCCACAGAAATGTGCAATTAAAAAAAATTACCATGTTGATACGGTTTGAATGTGTCCCACCCAAATCTAACCTTGAATTGTAACTCCCATAATCCCCACATGTTGTGGGAGGGACCTGGTGGGAGGTAATTGAATCATGGGGCAAGTCTTTCCCGTGCTGTTCTTGTGATAGTGAATAAGTCTCATGAGATCTGATGGTTTTATAAAGGGGAGTTCCTCTGCACACACACTCTTGCCTGTTGCCATGTAAGATGTACCTTTGCTCCTCCTTCACCTTCCACCATGATTGTGAGGCCTCCCCAGCCATGTGGAACTCTGAGTCCATTAAACCTCTTTTTCTTTATAAATTACCCAGTCTTGTGTATGTCTTTATTAACAGTATGAGAATGGACTAATACACATGGTTAAAACCAATCACTCAACCACCAAACACTCTGGGAGCTTTTAATATCCACCTAGAAGCAGGAAGGCCAAGAATAGAGAAGGGACATGATGTAGCTTCCCACTTACAACATTTTTCAACAAGGCAAAAAAACACAAATAACTGAACAAACCATTAATATGTGGTCCTTGTGCTTGGAGAAGGCTGATAATTTTGAGAGTTTATCACATACTTAGCACTGGACCAACTCTGGTAGGTGAATTGTCTCATGGAATTCTCCCATCAGTTCTGGAGATTTTAATCTTCATTTCCTTCAATTCAGAAAACTGGTACCAAGAAGTCCTATAATGCAGTCGAGGCTACCCAGCCAGTGAAGGGATTAAGGTCAAACAAGTGATGGGAAAAGCCAGTGATGCTAGCCTAGGTTGGAATATGGTCAGTACTCTCAACAGGGTGAGATTCCTGCAAGTGGAGGAACATTGGCACAAGAAGCACAGTCTCAGTTGGGTTCCACAGCATGGGTAGGATTGAGCTTTGGTAGGGCAGAAAGAAACAGTATTCTAGAAGTAAGGAAAATAGCAAATGCTGAGAAGTGGGAAAGATGGAGCTGTGTTGAGGCCTAGGTCTAAATATAATGGGCATCAGAGGGAAAAGCTGCAGGGAATGTTGAGAACACATTTTCCATGGCCATGGGGTACGGGATGTAAAAGTGGGATTTTATTCTGAGTAGTAAGTGTGTCTTCAATAGAAACAAGTCTTTGGCAAAAGGCGGACCCTGCTAGTGCTGATGTCCCTCTTCCCTTCCCTCACATCCACCTTGAGCTTCTTCCCAAGAATCCATGCAGATTTGATTGGATCTCAGCACATTGCCTGGTTAGCATCCCAGCACTGCCATTTAACCTTGGATGGAATGACATCTCGTGAACATTTGGTACAAAAGATGGCTCATATAGGCAGAAGGTGACTCAGGCCAACATCAGCCTTGCACATCCTTCAGAAGGTACCTCCCAATAGGGCCTGCCATTTTCTCCCAAGTATGCCCAAGGTGGCCAGTTTTTCTCACTATCTTGGAACAGATCACCACTTTTTTGCTAGAGTGCATGATGAAGTCTTTCAATGTTTTAGGAACCTGGTGTTTGGAAAATGTGAACCTTTTAACATCAGAATCACACTTATTTTGGCAGCAGGCTGAAGCATGAGACAGTGGCACCTGGGAACAGAGTCTGACTGAGGCAACAGTGCTTTTTCTCCCACTTCCTGCTTGCTCTGGGGCCGACCCTCCTAGTCTGCAGTAGTAAGCAGGAAAGCCCATACTATGAAATTCTTTCTCTCTTTTGTTGCCAGGCACACAGGGCTTGATTCCAGTCATTTCGACGAGTTTATGATTTGGCTCCACTTTGCATGTGCTCTCTTATTTAATTCTCACAACAACTGTAGGCACGGGGAAACATTAACAACTTTATTTTATTTATTTTATGTATTTTGACATAGTCTTTCTCTGTCACCCAGATTGGAGTGCAGTGGCATGATCTCAGCTCACTGCAACCTCTGCTTCCTGGGTTTAAGCAATTTTCCCACCTCAGCCTCCCGAGTGGCTGGGACTACAGGTGTGCACCACCACACCCAGCTAATTTTTGTATTTTTGATAGAGTCGGGGTTTCACCATGTTGGCCCGGCTGGTCTTGAACTTCTGACCTCAAGTGATCCACCTGCCTCAGCCTCCCAAAGTGCTGGGATTACAGGCATGAACCACAGCATAGCCAACAACCTTATTTTAAAGATGTAGAAACTGAGGCCTAGAGAATTTAAGGAACAAACAACAATGGCTTGTAAGTGTTGGAGGTGGAATTTGAACCCAGGTTCTAGGGCTCTTGGCACAACTAGTCCTTTATCCTTGGGATAGGTGCTTAACCTCTCGGAGGCACTATATTGTGGTCTGTAAAATGATCATAGAACCATCTCATAGGGAAGACCTACGGAATAAAGACACCACTCTTCATCATCATGGTAACTTCCACAGATTAACTATGGTTGTCATCTTCATGTATCTGGAAGGGAAACACAAATGACATATTTTTTGAGGCACTGTTCCCACCGTCCACGAGATCTAGGCTAACCGAGACAAGACAAACATGGAAGGTATAAACCAATGGCACATATGATTAAGTACCCAGAGAAGCCATTCAGCAAAAAGCAATCAGGTGTCTCAAGGAGGAGCGCTCTACAGGCCAGTCACAGTAGACAGAGTGACGGTTATTTTGGATCTTGATGTGAAGGCAAGAATGGGTGTCCAGATGCAGAGAGGGATGGTAGAAAAAACCATGGGCAAAAGTTTGGATCCAGGAAATGACCTGGTATATCCAGTTAACTAGAAGAGTCTAAAGATTTTATTGTCAAATTGTTTATGACACTGAAAAAATGTGAAACAGTAGGGAAGTCAATGAAATGACTATGACCTATCCACAGAATAATATAAGATATAGCCTTAAGATAAGGTAGATTTCTTTTTTTTTTTTTTTTTTTTTTTTTTGAGACGGAGTCTAGCTCTGTGTCCCAGGCTGTAGTACTGTGGTGCAATTTCGGCTAACTGCAACCTCCGCCTCATGGGTTCAAGCAATTCTGCTGCCACAGCCTCCCTAGTAGCTGGGATTACAGGCATGTGCTACCATGCCCTGCTAATTTTTGTATTACTAGAGAGACAGGGTTTTGCCGTGTTGGCCAGGCTGGTCTCAAATTCCTAACCTCAAATGATTCACCCATCTTGGCCTCCCAAACTCCTGGGATTACAGGCATGAGCCACCACACTTGGCCGGTAGATTTTTAATATACATATGTAGGACAAAGACTTCCCTGCTTTCCAGGACAAGGTTAAACTTTCTTTCATGAGCACCCACAGTTTCTTGTACCTCTCTTCTGTAGCACTCCTCACATTTGTTGATTAATTATAGTGTGATTATTTGGATAATGCCTGTATCTTTCCCAATTAGACCTATAAGTACCATGGAATTAGGAACCACAACCACAGACCTTTAGGTTAATAATTATATTCCCATCCTCCAGCCTAATGCCTGGTACATAATGAGTACTTCTTCAAATTTGTTCCAGTTAAGGCCAGGCCTCACACCTGTAGTCCCAGCTACTCAGGAGACATAGGCAGGAGGATCGCCTGAGCCCAGGAGTTCAAGGCTGCAGTGAGCTACCATCATGCCATTGCGCTCCTGCCTGGGTGACGGAGCAACACGCTGTCTCTAAAATAATGTTTAAAACTTGTTCAAATTTTTTGCACATATACATAAATGAAAGAATAAATGAATCTATGTTACATATGCAAGTAAAAATTTACTAATTATCAGTAATATTTAGTTAGGATGACAAGTCCAATCTACTGGTTGTGCCTGTGAAGGGTCTCAGCCGTTGTTCAAGTTTAGGGAGGAAACAAAGTCTTGCGGGAGGAATGCCTGCCATTGTCATCCCTAGCCCGTGTGACAGCTCACTGCCATGTTAGGTGTCAGCCAACGTATTATATATAAATTATGTGTGTAAGAGTATGACATGATGAATGACTTACCTAGAATATTATTCACCACGTTTTTACAGTGACTTTTCTTGGGTGATTTTTACTTTAGATTTTCTTGGTTGCTTTAATTTTCCGAGTGTCTGTGACCTTGATGACTAAGAAAAAAATTGGGCTATTTTCCTTTTCGAGGGCTTAACTGCCTCTCCCCTCCTCTGGTTGGGTCCCTGCTACACCTCCTTTCCCCTTCTCCTCCTACTCCAACCCCTGCTCTATCTGGGAGGATTTTGTTCCCCACAGAGGCACAGAGACCAGCACTGCCTCCACCTCCATTCTCCAACCTCCTTGCTAAGAGGGGGTAATCATCACTTCTCTTAGGAAAGTGAGAGTGACTCCCTACCTGGATGGGCAATAGGGAACAACCACCTCATGAATATGCATTGGATTCCGACAGGCTTTCAGCGGCAGGATGGCAGAGCTGCTTTGACGCCCGCCATGACAGAGGGAAGGAAGCAGAAAATTCAAATACAGTAGTTTGTGGAGCAGAAGGATGCCCAGAGCCAACAGGCTAGAAGAAATTAAAGGTTCACTGACATTCCACTCAACCAAAGGCCTTCTTTATTCTAAGGAGGGAATAGCTATCTACAAAGAACTTGTCTTGTGACTATTCATTTCTGCCATTACCACCGGCACAGTAGAGGCCTAAGGCAGCACACAACATCACCTAGAATGTCACTGATTCCTCCTTTAGGGCAGCAGTACAAGCCCAGAGTGTCTGACTGAGAGTTCCCAGAGCTGCCCACTATATTAGAGTTCTCCAGAGAACCAGAACAAATATGAGAGATGCACAGACGATCCCCAACTTAGGATGGTTTGGCTCACAATTTTTTGACTTACATGGTGCAAAAACAACATACATTCAGTAGAAACTCTGATTCGAGTATCTGTATGATCATTCTGGTTTTGACTTTCAGCATGGTATTCAATAAATTACATGAGATACTCAACAGCTTATTATAAATTGGATTTTGTGTTAGATGATTTTGCCCAACTTCAGGTTAGTATGAGTGATCTGAGCATGTTTAAGGGAGGTTAGGCTCAGCTATGAAGGTGATGCTCAGTAGGTTCAGATATATTTTGAGATGGGTTAAGAGACTCTTTGTGTTTAATATTAAATGCATTTTTGACTGATGATATTTTCAACTTGTGATGGGTTTAACAGGACCTAACTGTGTTATAAATTGAAGTGTATCCATATATCATATATATAATATATACACACACATATATAATATTCTAATATATATACATGTATAGAATATTCTATTATACATGTATATTATGTAATATATGAGAATATATATTATATTATATATTCATATATAATTCATTATAATCATAGATATATATGAATATATAAATTCATATCTAATATATATCCGATATATGAATATAATCATATATCCGATATATGGATATAATCATATATCCGATATATGGATATAATCATATATCCGATATATGGATATAATCATATATCGGATATATGATTATATCCATATATCGGATATATGAATGCATCATACATCGGATATATGATTATATATCATACCTCTGATATATGATTATATATCATACCTCTGATATATGATTATATATCATACCTCTGATATATGAATATATAATATATGCTATATATCTATTTTTCATACACACAGATATCTACGGATTGGATGAATCCCTCCCACAACAGTGAGAGCTTACCTTCTTTCCTGAGACTACTGATTCAAATGCTAATCTCTTCCAGAAACACCCTAACAGACACACCCAGAAGTAATGTTTTACCAGCTGTCTGGGCATCACTTAGCCCAGTCAGGTTGATGCCTAAAGCTCATCATCACAAGGGGGACCCACTAGGAATTTCAGCCCCATTTCCCAAAGTGTGGTACCAGGATACCCATCTAATAGGATGTTAATTGTTACCCTGCGTAGAAAGGTTGTATAAATGGGGTATGATGGCTCACACCTGTAATCCCAGCATATTGAGAGGCCAAGGCAGGAAGACCACTTGAGCCCAGAAGTTCAACACCAGCCTGGGCAAGAGGGCAAGATCTTCTCTACGAAAAAAAAATTTTTTTTAGCCAGACATGGTGGCACGTGCGTATAGTCCCAGCTACTTGGAAGACTGATGTGGGAGGATTGCTTGAACCTAGGCATTTGAGATGGCAGTGAGCTATGATTGTGCCACTGCACTCCAGCCAGGGTGATAAAGAAAGACTGTGTCTCTTAAAAAAAAAAACAGGTTGTGTAATAAACAAGTGTAGGATGTGTTAGTAAAACAACATAGCATCGGTTTTTTCACTTACTGTGGGATTTTGACACGGAGCTATACATTGTGAGGCTGGAACAGGTAAGTGAGGCTGACATTTTCTCAGCCTTATTTGACCAGAGAATACTTTTCTCATGTAATGTCTGGATGGACAAGTATTTCAATGAACAGAGTTCCAGAAATGTTGACATAAATATCTGTGGCAAGAGTCAGTGGGATTCCTCAGATATATTTTGAGATGGGTTAGGGGACCCTTTGTGTTTGATTGTTTTTCAGGATTTGACATCACAGTGGCAGCTGAATTGCCAAACGAAAAAGAAAAGTCTACAAGTCTTAGAAATGCAAGGTGGAGGAGAGAGGGAGATGTTGACCAAAGGGTATAAACTTGCAGTTATAAGTCCTGGGGACTTAATGTACAGCATGCTTGTGACAGTTAATAATAATGTGTACTTAAAATTTACTAGGAGAGTAGATGTTAAGTGTTCTTTCCACAAAAAGGTAACTATGTGAGGCGGTGGCTATGTTAATTAGCTTGATTGTGGCAATAGTTTTACAATATATACGTATATCAAAACAGGTCATACACCTTGAATGCATACAAATTTGTCAAGTATACCTCAACAAAGCTAAAAAATACAACATTATTTGTTCCTGAATTGGTCATGTGCAACATGCAATCTTGCAAAGTGAACCCCATTGCTAGGGACAGGCAATCTTGCTAGTGAACCCCATTGTGCCACTGGTTCCCACTATAAGATTTGAGATGTGTTTTCTGAGATAGGATTTCCCTTCTTCAGCCAAGCTAGATGCCTCTCCAAAGCAGAGGTGGTGTAACAGCTTCTTCCAAAGCAAGAATCTTCTCTCCTCCTAGAAATGGTAACGTTCCTCCTGCACCGCCCCGTGCCTAACACCCTCCGTTCACACCCCAGATTTCTTTCTTGCTTTGCAGTTAGTTTAGTACTTCCCCTAAATCTATAAACTCCCCTGTTAGCTAAGTCAGAATTTTTCTTATATCTAGAGAAACCCTCATTTCCCCAGTGAGGCTTCCAGAACAGGATCATTATAGCTAAAGAAAAGTTTCTCATAATTTGAGTATAATGTATAGCATACATAAGCCAGGGGCCAAACTGTTACAGTAAATAGGAGAAGGAGGTGGTTAAATTGGGACTTTATCTTGGAAAAAAAGTTAACAATTGTTAATATTAGCTTTTTCTTTATATTTAGGTTGTAATCATAACTGTGAACTTTTTTGGCCACCAAACAACATGGTAGTGTGATTTGCACTGAACAATATACTTCATTCCATAACGTCTATATCAAAGTCATAAACATTTTACAAAAATATTCCAGAGTTTTATCAAATTATCCCAGACCCCCTTATGATTCTTTGATATCTACATCTTTCTTTTCTGAAATGCTCATCTGTGATTTTCATGATTCATTATTTCCTCCTCTTTCTTTGTTAAATGGCCTAATTTTACCAGGCTCCTCTTTATCAATGGCTTTGCATATGGTTCCAAAGTAGTTCTTATAAAACTCTCCTCCATACTCCCTAAGCAGTAGTTTTTCAATATCACTTTCATCAGTCTCATGAAATTTTGCTCCTTTTCCAACATAGAAAATTTCACTTTTTAATCAATTCACATTGTTTTATTGGATGTTTAAAAGTATTCATGAGAGTGACCACAAACACTTAGAAGTGGCAGTTAGTGTTAAGTAGAAAGAAATGATTGAGTGGAGACAGATCTGAGTAGTTATTACTGATTTTTTCTCATTGTGATGGCATCTGTTTTCTTTGGAAACCTGATCAACTGGGGTACTCAAATCATGTGGAGTCTTTATGCACGCATCTGAAAATTCCTAAATTATAAACAACTAGTCCATTTTTCAGCTTGCAGTTTCACAAATATCAGACTTATAAATAAAAGAAAGATTTGAAGTGTTTTGTTGAGTGTTAGATTCTAAAATCAGAATTTTATGGGCATTTTTGAGGAAAAATATCACATAAAATCTACCAGCAATGGTGAAAAACCAGAGCACTTCTATTTTAATGTCTCATATTTTACTTGAGTATCTTTTGCACCCAATAAGTTGTAGTTCCACTTAAATACATTGAAATATGGATACATTTGCTTCTGTTTATATAAAGTTAAAAACTAGGCAAAACTAGCCTTATGCTGTTTGAAATCGGGATAGTGATTACTCTTAGAATTCCTCGTAAGAAATATTTGTCTCTTTTTTCCCATTTATTTATTAAGTATTTTTAATAGTCAGGATCTCACTCCATGGCCCAGGCTGGATTACAGTGGTGTGATCATAGCTCATTGCAACCTCAAACTCCTGGGCTCAACTGATCCTCCTTCCCCAGCCTCCCAAGAAGCTGAGACGACTGGTGTACACACCATATCTGGTTAATTTTCTCATTAAATTTTTTTTTTTTTTTTTTGTAGAGACAGGGTTTCACTATGTTGCTCAGGCTGGTCTCAAACTCCTGGCCTCAAAGAATCCTCCAGCCTTGGACATTTATTATATATTCTATAATTTATTTGTATGACTATGGACTCATGAATAGTAAGTTTACACTTTGGGTTACAATCTAGTACTGTGTTATTTATTTATTTTGGCTCAAATTGTTCCATCTTTGACCATTAGGAACACCTTTAGGTTGGCTCCTCTGTCCTTTTGAAGAGCTACATTTGTATTTTGAGAATTTCCTTAATTTCTAGCAACACAAGGTGCTATAGGCCCATTCTGTTTTTTCCTGCCCCAGCTCTAAACTCAGCTATTTCTCCAAAAATCCCTGGCTCCTATAATTGGAGAATTGTGGAAAATATAAACTTCTTGAAGACACTAATTTCTCCACATTCCTTTTCACCACATTCCAATACCTATAAAAGTCCTCAGCACCTAATAAGCCCTGGATTAGTTCTCGCAGAATGAACACTTGAATGACTGAAAGGGTGTTATAACTTTATGAAATGTTCCAATATCCTCTAGATATATCATGTCTTAGCTAATAATCTGCTTAAAAGGGAAACAATGAGCTTGGCCTCTGTATGCAGTGGGCCTGCTTAACTTTATGCTTTATTTCTTTATCTGTGTAATGGGGATAATAACACCTATTCCATAGGATTGTTACGAACTAATCAAATGGGACATTCTATTCAAAGCACTAAGAGGCATATGTGGCACATAGTAAGTGATCAATAAATACTAAGTATTGTTAGCCTTAGTGTATTGTGTACCCAGTGTGACCTGCATGTTGGTTTTGTGGTTCTTCCATGTATCTCCTATGGCAGCACCTATTGATTGACACAAATTCTCTATTTTAATCTGCTCATTAGAGCCAAGGAGCAGCCTTCATCTCACCTTGTACTGTAGTCTGAGGAATATAAATAGTCACACCCTCCTCCTTTGGGCTTCAGACCCAACTGGAGAGAGAAAAAAAAAAGAAGAAGACAAAGTCCGATAAGAAGAAGGAATCCAAACCTTACTCCTGGTAACGTCCGGTTTTATCATTTGGTGTAAACCTGAGATCCAAATGGCCTGTTCACTCCTTCCCATAAGGTTAGACATGGGACCTGCTGGGAGATGGTTGGCTCCAAAGAGGGGCAAAAAAACTGGAAGCTACCAGTTGAGATTAGGTTGCTCAAAAGACAGGCCATACGGGTGCAGCAAAGTTTGATACATTAGCCCTGCATAGGAGAGGGTTGTAGGCCAATGGATCTCAAACTCTGATTGAATCATCATATAGAGGAATTACACGATGGGGGAGAAGCTAGTGAGGAGCAGAGTAAAGACAGCAGCCTCTGCTCAATACTTCAGGGCAAGCTTATGTCTCCATTTTATGGACTTGCAATAATGACAAGAGAGGAAGAAAATGGTCCTTCACATCCTCCACCCACTTCCTATGAAGTGTGAATCACAGGAAACACAAATATCCCTTCCTGCTCATTATCAGGCTTATGTCACATGTAAAGAACTTCAGCAACTGAAAAAGACCTCTCTGATTCACCTGAGCCAGAAAAATGCAGGGATCTGATTTATTTGATTTTTCTTTTTTTAAACTCTGTGTCCTTGGGCCCAAAACAAATACTATACATGGAAGTCAGTTACTTAGTTAGCACAAGAAGAGTTTTGTTTCCATGACATAAATTCAAGTTAGGATAGGTCAGGAGACTCGGGCAAAAACCACAGGCATCCCTCACACTGTGGATCACCTGACCTGAAAAGTGGATTTTTCAGACTTTTATGAATGGACTGATTGGCAGCCTCGAACCCGTTGGCACGGATGTGGCTGAGGATATTAAACTCAAGAACTGAGCTTGCAAAGAGGCCGTATGTCACCTGTCAGCGCTGATGGATTGTGAGTGGGTGCTTAGAGTCTGATACTAAGCATTTTGAGGCCACTTTGAGCTCAGTGGGAAAGATGGCTGCAATATCACCAAGCTAAGTAGTGGTAAAGGCTTGGTTATTGTGATTCTTCTACCTTCTAGTTGGTCACATGTCAGCTTTTGCAGTAATTTCCCGACTTCTCGAAATCTCAAAAGGCTCAAATACTTGTCTCTTTCTATAAGATGGATGCATCTTTGGGAGGGTAAGCTGTAAGACAGGACTCGTGGCAAGGACCAGAAACTCATTTAACTAGCAGGCAGGTGAAGTTATTACACCAGCAATATAGTATGATTTAGTTGAAATACTATTGCTACTAGTAATAGTAATAGCAGTAGTTATTTCAATAACATGAACACCTACAGGCCTGGTGTGGTGGCTTATGCCTGTAATCCCAGTGCTTTGGGAGGCCAAGGCAGGAGGATGACTTGAGACCAGAAGTTCAAGACCTGACCAGGCAACATAGTGAGGCCCCATCTCTACAAAAAGAATTTAAAAATTAGCCATGTGTGGCGGTGCTCACCTCTAATCCCAGCTACTAAAGAGGTTGAAGTGGGAGAATCTCTTGAGCTCAAGAGTTCCAAGTTGTAATGAGCCACGATTGTACCACCACACTCCAGTCTGGGCAATAGAGACCTCGTCTCTCTTGAAAAAAAACAAAAACAAAAAAAAAACCAGCTATAAACTTGCCACAAAGTAAACTAAATAGAATATTGCCAGAATCATGGAATCTCCTTCTATGCCCAACCCAAATCCTATTCCTCACATAGTTTCCCTAGAGGAAACAAAAAACCTGTTGTTTTTCTTTAGTGGTTTGCCATACTCCTAAACAAAATATTGTTTCATTTTGGTGTTTGAGGAGATGATGAAAATGGAATCCTACCACATTTATTCTGCAGTTACTTGTTTTCTTTGTTAAACCTTATGTTCCTGAGAATTCCAGTTTTTATGGTATGTTCACTGTCACGTCCTTTATAGGTTTCCAATTTTTACATGACAATTAATTTTTCTATTCTATTATTGTGGGCTGTTTCCAGCATTTTATCATTACAAGCAATACTGCTATAAACATAACTTTTACGTGACTCTAGGTGCACATTTGCAAGATTTCTCTAGCGTATATTCCTAGAAGTAGAATTTTGAGACTGCAAGCAATGTGCTAATTCAACTTCGCTAATTGGTGCCATATTGTCTTCTAAAGTGGTTGTGTCATTTAAAACTCCCACTTGTCAGGTAGTAGAGCTCCCCTTGTTTCCCATTTTCAGCAACACTTGGTATTGTTGGCTCGTTGATTTTTGCCAAACGACTGAGTGTGAAATGGTAATCTCTTTGAGATTTTAATTTGCATTTTTCTGACAACAAATGAGGTTGAGCATCTTTTAATTTTTTTATGGGCATTTATATTTCCTTTGAAATGACTGTTGATGTCTTTTGTATATGTTTTTTTCAATTGGATGTTTTGTCTAAATTTCTGTTGGGTCATTTTGAGGACATTTAAGTTCTTAAAATCATCTGGAATTGATATTTATGTGTAGTGTGAAATAGGAATCCAACTTCATGTTGTTTATATTGAAAACCAATTGTCCCAGTACAATTTTTTGGATAGTACATCCTTTCTTCACTTACATACCATGCCAGCTGTGTCAGGTTTCCATCTATGTGGGTTTTCTTCTAGAGTCACTGTTCTTGTACAATAGTTGATGTATCCCTATGACATATCACACAATCACCATGATTATAACTTCATAATAAGTGTTGATATTTGGCAGAGTAAGGTCCCTGTCTGGCTCCTCTTTTAAACTGTTGTTATGACTCTATTCTAGTTCTCATAAATTTTAGAATTAGATTGTAAAATCTCTCCCTGTCCTCAGACCCCTAACCTCAACCCTCCGACACACCAAAAAAACCTTATTAGGAGTTGAGTTTAAATGGCATTGAATATAAAGGTCTATTTGAAGAGAATTAATGTCTGTATAATATGGCTTCCCATTTATTTAGTAATTTCAACAGCATTTTATAACTTTCTACAGACTATATGTTTTAAAACAGATTTATTGCTAGGAAAATTTCATTTGTCTCTCTCTGTGTCTCTTTTTAAGACAGGGTCTGTCTCTCACTTATTTTTTAAGACATGGTCTCACTGCCATTGTTCAGGTTGGAGTGCAGTGGCGCGATCTCGGCTCACTGCAGCCTGAATCTCTGGGGCTCAGGTGGTCCTCCCACCTCAGCCTCCTGAGTGGCTGGGACCACAGCTGTGTGCCACCACACCTAGCTAATTTTTGTATTTTTAGTAGAGACAAGGTCTTCCTGTGTTGCCGGGGCTGGTCTCAAATTCCTAGGCTCCCGTGATCTGACCACCTCAGCCTCCCAAAGTGCCAGGATTACAAGTGTGAGCCACCATGTCCAGCCTCATTTCTCTTTCAGTCTGTATACATATTAATTTATTTGTTTTTGAAATGAATAGGATCTCTAGCATTATTTTGAACAGTAGTGATGATAGAAAACATCAGTGTCTTGTTTCCGATCTTATACACATTGAAGATTTTTCCGTTATATATGATCTTTTCTATGGTTTTTGTTACCAAGCTATTTAATACTTTCAAGTTGAAAATACTTATATGCTGAGATAGATATTAAATGGGTGAATAAATCGAGATAGACTGAGATGATAGAAATGATAAGTAGATTTCTATCAATGTATATTTTCACTAATAGGTGTTGAAATTTATCAGATTTTTGTGTTTGTTGTTAATCCTGTAATTTTCCTTTTTAAGTTCTGAAGTCAGACCATCCCTATAGCCCAGAGTAAAGACCTATTTGATTATAATGTATTTATAATACGTCTTTTATTCACTCAGCTCTATTTTACTGTGTGTTCACATGTAAATATTCTTAAGAGAAATAGACTTGTAAATTGCTTTCTTGTTTTATCCTTATCACATTTTGGGATCAAGGAGGTACTTGACTTATAAAATGAATTGTGCAATTTTCTCTTTCTCCCTTTTTTTTCCTCCTGGAAAAACTGAGTAGAGTAAGAATTATCTGCTCTTTGAAAGCTTGGAAGATCTCACCTGTAGAATCATTTGGGTCTGAGGCATATTGTAGAAGTGGGTAGGTGTTTAATGGCCATTGTAATTTCTATTCTATTTTTCTATTTTTATCTTATGCCAAAGTGTTTCTTTTGTCCTTCTTTCAATTCCACTGAAATTGGAGTTGTTCGTAATGCTCTTTCATTTAATCTCTATAGTTATCTCCCCTTATCATTCTATATTTTGTTTTTCTGATTTTTTCCTTTGTGTACATGATCAGTCTTGCCAAAAGTTAATCTTTTTATCTTTTCAATTTTCTCTGCTTTTCCCCTCTGTCTGCTCTTATCTTTAGTGTATCCTTACTTCCTCACATATATCTATTTGCTCTATTTCCTTTCTCAACTTTATTTTTAAAGAGTTTTATTATGGTATAATTAACATAGAAAACTTAACTGCATAAAATGCAGGATTGATGAGATTTTACAAATGTATACACCCATGAGCCAATCACCACAATCAAAAGAATGAACACCTCCACCACACTCAACAGATTCCCTTATGCCCCTTTGTAACTTACTTCTTGCTCCCACCCATCCCAGCATCTTGGTCCACAGGCAATCACTGATCTGCTTTCTGTTACTATAAACTAGTTTGCATTTCATATAATTTTACATAAATAATAATATATGTACTCTTTTTTGTATGACTTTTCTCAGCATAATTATTTTGAGATTCATCTATATTGTTGTATCAAATATAGATATTGTGTCAGTACTTTATTTTTTTGATGCTGGGTGGTTTTTCATGATGTTTTGTGTGTGAGTCTTTGTATTGACATCTGTTCTTTTTTCTCTTGGGTCACTACCCAGGAATGGCTTACTATATTATGTGGTTGGTAGGTGATTAATTTTCTTTTTTATTTTATTTTATTATTATTATACTTTAAGTTTTAGGGTACATGTGCACAATGTGCAGGTTAGTTACATATGTATACATGTGATTAATTTTCAAGAACCTTTCAAAATGCCTTTCCAATGTGACTGCATCATTTTACATTCTCAGCAGTATTGTATGGTTTCAGTTCTTCTCTACCCTTGAAAACACTTGCTATGACAAGTCTTTAAATTGTATTCATCTTAATAGATATGTAGTGGCAACCCCTTATGAGGACTAATAAAACCTTACTTTGCATTTCCCTAATGACTAATGATGTTCAGCATCTTTTCATGTGCTTATTGACCATTCATATGTCTTTTCAATGAAGTGTCCAAATCTTTTGCTCATTTTAAATTGGGTAATCTGTTTTCTTATTATTTAATTACAAGAGTTCTTTATATATTTTGGTTACAAGTCCTTTGTCAAATGTATGATTTGCAAATATTTTTCCCAGTCCGTGGCATATCTTTTCATTATCTTCATAGTGTTTTTCAAGTAGCAAAAATTTTTAATTTTGATGAAGTCCAATTAATCATACATTTTTATGATCATCCTTTTAGTGTAGTAGTATAGTAAGAAATCTTTGCCTAACCCAGCCTCACAAAATTTTTTTTACTATATTTCTTTTTACAAGTTTTATAGTTGAATGTCTGTTGAGTTTTTGTATAAGTATGAGATATATGTAGAAAGTCATTTTGCATACAGATATCCAATTGTTTCAACATGTTTTCTTGAAAGACCATTCTTTCTCTGCTGAATATCATTTACCACCCCCCACCCCCACTGCAAAAAGAAATCAGTTGTCTGTAGTATATATGTAGGTGTATCCTGAGACTCTATTCCCTTCCACTGATCTATTTGCCTATTTATGCCAGTACAATACTGTCCTGATAACTGCAACTTGATGAGTCTTGCAAATAAGCCATACTAGACCTCCATGTTTGTTCTTCTTTTTGAAAGTTGTTTTGGCTGTTCTAGGTCCTACATATTTCCATAGGAATTTTACAATCAACTTGACAATTTCTATTAAAATTATGCTAGGATTTTGACGGGGGAGTATGTTGAATCTCCTGATTAAATTTGGGATAATTTACACCTCAAGATTAAATATTTCAACCAATGGACATTTATTTAGTTTTTCTTTAATTTCTCCTAGCAATGTCTTACAGTTTTCAGTGTATTTGAATTTCACGTATTTAGTTTGATTTATCTCTAGGTATGTCATAATTTTTAATGTCATTGTCAATGACATTGCTTTTTAATTTCCATTCTACATTGTTCATTGCTAATACACATAAATAAAGTGGATATTTGTCTATTGGTCTTCTATTTTGCAATCTCTCTAAACTCACTAGTTCTCGTTTCTTTCCATAGATTTCGTCAGATTTTCTACATAAAATTTTACTTCTTCCTTTGCAATCTGGGTGCCTTACTGCACTGGATAGTGCAATGCAAAGTTGAATAGGAGTGGTAAGCACACAGCTTCTTAGACTGTGAGTTTATAGCTTCCAACAAATTTGGGGATAATTTAGTCATTATTTCTTCAACTATTTTTTTTTGAGAAGGAGCCTCGCTCTGTCGCCCAGGCTGGAGTGGAGTGGTGCGATCTCGGCTCACTGCCAGCTCCGCCTCCAGGGTTCCCGCCATTCTCCTGCCTCAGCCTCCCGAGTAGCTGGGACTACAGGCGCCCGCCACCACACCCAGCTAATTTTTTTGTATTTTTAGTAGAGATGGGTTTTCACTGTGTTAACTGGGATGGTCTTGAACTCTTGACCTCATGATCCGCCCGCCTCAGCCTCCCAAAGTGCTAGGATTACAGGCGTGAGCCACTGCGCCCAGTCTCTTCAACTATTTTTATTCTTCGCTCCTGACTTTGGGGATTCCAGCTACATGTAGATTATGTTGCTTGAAGTTATCTCCCAGCTCACTGATGCTCTTTTCTTCCTTCCTTCTTCCCTCCCTGCCTTCTTTCCTTCCTTCTTCTCTTTGTCTTTTTCTCTCTTTTTTTCTTCTATTCATTCTCTTTTTCATTTTGGATAGTTTTCATTGCTATGTCTTCAAGTTCATTCTTTCCTTTTACAATGTCCAAAGTGCCATTAATCCCATCCAGTATGTTTTTCTTCTCAGACACTATAGTTTTCATTTCTAAAAATTCAATTTGAGCCTTGTTTTATATATGCTATGTCTTGACTTAAGTTGTTTAACATATGAAACAGTTATAATAAATATTTTTAAGTCTTTGTCTGATAATTTTAACATCTATGTTAGCTCAAGTTATTGATTTTTCCCCCCTCTTCAAATGTGTCATACTGTTCTGTGTCTTTTCTTGCCTGATAATTTTTTATTGGATGCCAGATGTGAATTTTACCTAATTGGGTGCAGAATTTTTTTACTATTATTATTCCCACAAATATTCCTGAGCTTTGTTCTTGGATGCAGTTAAGTTACTTGGAAATAGTTTGATCTTTTAGAGTCTAGCTTTTAAGATTTGTTAGGTGGTACCTGAGCAATGTTTATTCCAGAGCTAATTAATCCTCATTAATGAGACAAGACCCTTCTAAGTACTCTGATCAATGTCCTGTGAATCTTGAGGTTTTCCAGTCTAGCTAGTGGCAACAGCACTGTTGCCAGCACTGTGTGAGGGCTGACTACTGTTTTCTCATCTCTTGGGTTTTGCCTCCCTGTGCTTCAGGCTGCAAACTCTCTCAACGCAACAGTCTGGGCAATCTTTTTTGGGGGGTGGTGTGGAGGGCTGGAAGCAGCAGCAGTCTTCAACTCTTTGAATTAGTTTTTTATGCTCCTTTACTTGCCATCAAATGTTTTTAATGCTATATTTTCCTCTAAGAACAACTTTAGCACTTTTACTATCATTCATTTCTAAGTATTTTTAAATTTTTATTATGATTTTTACCTAAGTTAGGCTTGCTGTGTCTCTAGGCTTATGAAATGCTTAAACTATCATGTAGGAGAATGTCATTTTTGATATTCTTTTGTATTTAACGCTTGTTTTATGAATTAGTACCTGCTTAATTTGGGGAATATTCCACGTATGGCTAAAAACAATAATACTTTTTTTGTTTGATATACAGTTCTCTTCATATACATTTATCTCTATTAGCTTGAATCTTCAGATCAATTTATTCAGATGTTCTATATTTGTGGTTAATTTTTTTCTTATTGATCCAACACATTCTGAGAGGAGTATACTAAATCTTTCATCTACAGTGTTTTATTCATTTTTCTCCTTAACTCCAGTTGTTGCTTAGTATGTTTTGAGGCTATATTCTTAGATGGATATTAAACATTCATTACCATTATATCTTCTTTATCTTTTATCTTTACCATTATATCTTCTTTATCTCTTATTTCTTTGTCAGGCTTCTAACTTACCTCTTTGCCCATTGTGATTTTTTCTCCCTTCTATTGAAATGGTACCAAAAAGTCCTCTTTTTCTCCATCTGTTGAAATGGTTACCACCGTTTTCTTTTGGTTCATTATTTTTTCTTTCTTATCACTTCATTTTCAAACTCTGTATCCTTTTGTTTATGTGCTTCTTATAAAGAACATATTGCTAGAACTTGTTTTCTCTAACAAACATCAGTCTTTCATTTTTGAATTTAACATGTTTATATGTATTGTAAAACCATTTATTAACACTTGTCCTTGCTAACTTGTTTCCTGTTTTCTATATATTCTGTTTTCCTCATCATTTTTTCCCTGCTGATGGCTTGAGAGTTCTGCATACAATTTTCATTATTTTGATGGTTACAACTACTTTATTAAGATCCATGTATATTACTATGCTTCCATTATAAATTTCTTAAGCCTACAAATAAACTATTCTCTGAATAAGACAGCTACCGTGGCTTGCTCTCCCCTCTCTCTTGTTATACTCTTAGATCAGAGCCCCTTTCCCCTGCCACAACACTTGCTTGTTGATGTCATCTGGAATTTTGTTCTGGATTGTTAAGATTGTGTGTTGTTTTCATCCCTGCTTTTATACACAAAAGTAAACTTTGCTATGTTATTTATTTATCCTCATTTAGCAAATATAATAGGACTCATTTTTCTTTTGTTGGAAAACTTCCTCTAAGAGTGTTCTCTAGAAGGTCCATGCTGAGAGCTGGGCACGGTGGCTCATGCCTGTAATCCCAACACTTTGGGAGGCTGAGGCGGGTAGATCACCTGAGGTCAGGAGTTTGAGACCAGCCTGGCCAACATAGTGAAACCCCATCTATACTAAAAATACAAAAATTAGCTGGACGTGGTGGTGGGTGCCTGTAATCCCAGATACTTACTTGGAGGCTGAGGCAGGTGAATCGCTTGAACCCAGGAGGTGGAGGTTGCAGTGAGCCAAGATCACACCACTGCACTCCAGCCTGGGCAACAGAGTGAGACCCCATCTCAAAAATAAAATGCCCATGCTGAAAATCTCTACTTTGACTTTATTTTAAAATGATAGCTATCTGTCTTTCACAGTACATTGTATTTCTGAGGTGTCTTGTTTTTCCCCCTCTACTTATGCAGCCTGTGGTATTAGCTTATCTGGGTAGTAAAGTGGATTCTGGGATAAAGCTGCACCCAGACCCTCGGAGAAGGGTTGGGTGTTTGAGCCTCTTGCCTCACAACAGGCGTGGCTGTATCATATTTTCCACCTCCCTGCCAGCTGAACCCAACCCTCAAGGAATTTGCTTGTGCTTCGAATTTGGACACTACTCTTTTCCAAGAGCAGTCTCCCTTAGTGGGATTTTCTATATATCAAAGAATAGAAGAAGAGAGGAGGAGAAAGAAATGCTTGATGGGGCTTATCTCTGCCTATGTTTTCCCCACTCTACCTGGGTGCCAGTAATAGTAAACTATTACTTCTCAGTTTCTAGGCTCATATCCACTCCTGAGAAGAAAGGTCACCTCCTCTCATCATCACCGTTATCTCTTGTTAAGAGTGCTTTTTGGGTACAGATTTCTTTGTATCTGGCTTAATCCTGAAAAACCTAGATCAGGAGTTTTCCATTTCAGAATCCCTCTGAACTTATTTGGGGTCTCTGACATTTACCCCAGGTGGGGCGCTGTGTTGGGTACTTCTCAGACTCAAGCTTCTAAGTTGTAGTCATCTTTGCTCCAAATTTTGCTTCCTACCTGCTGATCAAACTCCATTCTTTATGGTTGGAGACATTGCTTTCCATCCTGCTTCCCTACTCGGAGGTTCATAGAATAAATTCTGTTGGAGATTTTGAGATGATGTTCACAACTCTTCCCAAACAAAGTCCAAGCCCAGAATCTCCAAGCCTCAGCTCTCAAGGCACAAATTGATGATTTTTAGAGTTTCAAATATAGTATTGTCAGATTCAAACCATGGCTCTTGTGTAACTTGTATGCACTATGGATTGTGTTTAGAAGAAATTTTATTTTGCTGGGTCTTCTAGGCAACTCCACAGTCTTCAATGGCTTCACTTCAGGAAAGATGTGTAGGAAGTTGACACAGGAAGAAGGCATTTGACCTCTTTATGGACCTCAGCTACAAATAAGTTCAAATAATTTGTATTAACCTAAAAAAGTTGTCATCTTTGGAAACTATCCCTGGGGGAATCATCTAGGTTTTTCTGCTTACCCCTTGCCACTTCCTTTCTCTCTAATGCTGATTGTGTTGATTATTATTTATTAGCGAGACCTGAGATTTCTCCCTGAGCAGAGACACCCTAAGAGTAGCTGAGGTCCGTAAAGAGGTGAAATGCCTTCTTCCTGTGCCAACTGATTACATCTTTCCTGAAGTGAAGCCATTGAACGCTGTGGGATTGCCTGGAGAAGACCCACCAAAATAAAATTTCTTCCAGACACAATCCATAGTGCATAAAAATTAATCAAGTCCTACCATGACTTGCTTTATTCATAATACTTAATGGTCATGTAATAGGAGTTTTTATTCAGCAGTTAAAGTTCATAAGTGCGGGTTTTACAAGGAGATAGGTATTATGCTGATGGTTTAATTACACACATTTTTGCACACCAAAGGAAATGGGTTATGCAGGTTCTGTAATTAAGAAGGACTTCTGAGACAGAATGAACCTAGGGTCAACTGATCTTTTTGAAAATGTTTATTTTTAAATTAGTAACTCTGAAAATGTCCAACCTTGGAAATTATACTTGAGATTAGAAGTTGCGTATATATATAAACAACATTGTCTTTCTCTCCCCATCCTCCACACAGAATTTTTCTAGTTCTCATGTTAAAAATTAAAGTTTTTTTTGTTTTGTTTAATGAACTTAACACTGAGTAGTTATAACAATCTCCTTTAAGGCTAGCATAGGAGATTTTTTTCCCAAGGACATCAATTTCAGTTCATTAAGCAAGTCACCTGGTGTTGGGCCAAAAATGAGTCATCTGAATCTCCAAATTTTTGATTTCATTGAATCCAAACTATTCGATTTCTCCAAATTAGATTCCATTTTCATCAGACAAGGATTTTCTATCTTCTCTGTGTTACTGAAACTGAAATATAATGGACTCTTTCCTGCCCTTACCTAACCCACACCCCTGCACGTACGCAGCTCTGACCTCTGAACTCCAGGCTCCTTTAGTCAGCTGCCTATTCAACATCTGTAGTTGGTTAGAAAGCCTCATGGTCTTAAAAGTCCAAAAGAATATTCTGCTATTACTTGAAACCTATTTATCCTACAGTCTCAGATTAGTACATGGCAACCCTATTGTTTCAGTTTATTACACCAACACGTTTGGGGTCTCCATTGACCCTTTTCATCTCTCACACCTGACACCACATTCAGCAGCAAATTCCATCAAGTCATTTTTCAACATATAATGTCTTCTTGCCATCTGTCATCTCTACTGCTACCCTATAGGTCCCAGCCACCCTCTATCTCATAAGGGACCCCTCTTCTTCCACATCTGCTTCCCCATGTTTACTCTGCAGCAGCCAGTGTTCTTCTCTAAAAATTCACATCAGTTGATGTCATATTTGTGCTCCCAATCCGCCAGTGGCTTTCATCTACCCAGAGGAAAATCCAGTGTCCTCGCAATGGGGCCATTGCTACATGGTGCCACCTGCTCCCCATAACCTCCTATGACCCTCTTCCACACTCTTTTTGCTCCAATCTCAGAATTTTTGCCTCTTTGTTCTTTCTGCCTAGGACGTTCTTTTCCATGATATCCACCTAGTTTGCTTCCTTCAGAAGTCCTTGTTCAAAAGTCACTTCCCCATTGAGGCCTTTACCATGGCAACTACTCTACCAGCCCACTCCCCAATGCTTTCTGTTCCCCTTCCCTGCTTTATTTTTCTACCAACCACTTATCATCATCTAATTTACTGTTGTCTGTTTCCCCTCTCTAGAAAGTAAGTTTCAGAAGGAAGGGATTTTTTTCTGCTTTGTTTACTGAATCCCCAGAGCCTAACAAGGTGTCTGACATACAGTAGGCATTCAATATAACTGTTTGTTAAATCAATAGTCTAAGGTATCACTAGATTATAGCCATTTGAGGGCCATGACTTAAGTCTTTCGATGGTGTTAAACATTATAAGCAACACAATGCTTAACATTACAGGGGTAGTGGACAACTATTGTTTTGACCTCCCTGGTAATACTGCTTTTTAGGGGAACAGTTTTACCCGCACTCAATGTGATTCTGGTAAGGCTGGCAAATATATGTCTCACAGGCATGGCCACTTGGAAGACACACCCTTCCCCACTGTTGTTGGTCATTGTGATTGTCTAAGAGTGCAATGCATGATCCAGGTTGGGTCAATCATAGTCCTTCTCTAGACTTTTCCAATGGTGAAAACGGGAGACATTGACTTTGGGTCCACAGGACAAGGCACTACCTGTGGCCATCTTCTTTTCTTCGTAGAGGAAACCAGGGACAATATTCAAAACATTCAACAGCTTGTATGGCATGGGCAGCAATCAGTCAGAATTAGACAATGATATCCCCATATAGGTGTGTACAAACTGAGTTTCAGCCATGGAAACACACCTGTGGTGGGAGAGTGTGAGGCTTTTACACAGACACAGGCAGTGTTTGTGAGTAGGATGGGTGGGGGGGAGAGAGATGGAGAATATTTCATTAGCGGGGAAGGAAGCACATAAAATATGTGCCACCTTTGGGTTCATTCTCTGTGTGTCTCATTGTCTTGCTCTTTAGCATATTTTGTGTAATATTCTTTTTTTTTTTTTGAGATGGAGTCTCACTCTGTCGCCCAGGCTAGAGTGAAGTGGTGTGATCTTGGCTCACTGCAACTGCCGCCTCCCAGGTTCAAGTGATTCTGCTGCCTCAGCCTCCCAAGTATTTGGAACTACAGGCATGCATCACCAGGCCCAGCTAAATTCTGCATTTTTAGTAGAGACAGGGTTTTGTCATGTTGTCCAGGCTGGTCTCGAACTCCTGACCTCAGGTGATCCACCTGCCTTGGCCTCCCAAAGTGCTGGAATTACAGGTGTGAGCCACTGCACCTGGCGTTGTCATATTCTTAATTGACATGTTTATTTAATACCAGAAAGACATTTTTTTGAAAAAAAAAAAAAAAAAACACACCACTTTTGGAGGCTGTGTTTAGGTGTAGTGACCCCCGCTCGCTCTGCTTAGCTGTGATTATGCATTTGAGCCCTGCATCTAGTGATGCCTCAAGCCAAGTTCCCTCTGATCAAGCTGTGAGAGAAGTGATATAAAATTCATCCAAGTCATTTTTCCATGACCTGGATCAACTATCCCTTTTTGGCATTTTTGATTATGTTGAATTTTGTTAAAGCACAAAACAGTCATTTTACTTCTGTTCTAGCCCCAAAGAGGTGTCATTCTTAGCCCTGATACCAGTGTATTTGGTAGTCTTAGTTTTATCTGCAAAATGAGAGAAGTATAATTTAGAACATATATTTAGTGTGTTGCATGGTTCTTTCTCAGGAAGCCGTGATAATGAGTGTTCTAGCCGTTGCTTTTGCCTTGAACATCAACTACCCTATGTTGTCTCTGACATTTGGAGCTCCAGCCATATAGGCCCCCTTTCAGGTCCTGGAACTTGTAATGTCTCCTCCTGCTATAAGGCCTTAATGCACGTGGTTGCCTTTGTGAAATGCCCCCCACCCCAGAGTATATTCATTAGGACTCTTTGATTATAAGAGACAGAAAATCAACTCAAATTGGCATATACAAGAGAATTTACTGACTCACATAATTGAAAATCCAGGCATGTATCTCTAGCTTCAGGAATGGCCAGATCCAGGGACTCAAGTAATTGATCAGTATTTGGTGTGTAGGTACCTCTGTTTCTTGTTTCCAACTTGGGGTTTAGTCTCCCTTCTTGGCTTTCCATCTTGGTCTTGGTCTCAGATCTAAATCTTGTTCTTAGCTTCCACCTTTGTTTCTTTCTCTTTCATTTCTGTTTTCCTCTTTTTCCTTTCATTGGGGTCTACCTTTCCCATATTATAGCTCCAGGACCATGTCCTAGTCTATCAATCTTTTCAGGAAGAGTATTTATTACAACAATTTTAGTAAAAGTCATGGGATTAGATCTGAGCAGTCAGGCTAACGGTGACAATCCTATTGAAGCAATACTGACAGATAGAAGAAGAGTAGCTCCTCAAATGAAAAATAAGGGTGCTATAATTGAAGAAAATGGGAATGAATGCAGGGTAACATAAGTCATTGAAATCCACCTAGCTGATTCTTACTCATCTTTCACATCTTAAACATATTCCCTGATTCCTCCTTGTCAGAGCATAGCTCTGCGTACTGCAACTTCTTGTAACACATGGACTTTCATATTTCTCTGTGAAACTGATTAATGCCTGGCTCCCAGCTAGACTGTAAAACACACAAAGACAGGCTGGTTGATGCCACACCCCCCCCCAAAATTCTACCCCATTTATTGAGAATGTATTCTATGGCCTACTCTTTACATATATATACTATCTCATTTAATCATTATCATGCTCTTGTAATGTCAGAATTTTGGCTGAAGCTCAGAGAGGTGTAAGTAAATTGCCAAAAGTTGCGCAGTCATCAAGAGGTCAGGGAGACTGCATTCCACTTGTCTGGCTCCAGTTCCAGGCCTGTCTCTCCCAGCCCCAGCTTCTGTGTTTCTCTGCCAGGCATGCTCAGGGTGGCTCCACCATGAATGGGACAGAGTGAGTCTTGTCATCAAGGAGCTCATGGTTGCTCTCTGTGTTCCTCCAGGGATGCTGGATCCCAGCTAAGGCATGAAATTCTAGATATAAATGTTTTTCTCTACCTATTAGTAAGACTTCTAATGTATGTACCTTATTACATTAAACAGACTCAAGGAAGTTGGAGGGCTATTCACCATTGCAGTCAGGACTAGAAATATTCGTCTTTGAGGTGAGGCAAGCCATGAAGACACCATGATACCCCAGTAGATACCCAATAGACAGAGCCTACAATTCAGTCTTGTTCCATGCTGGGGCATGGTTCTCCTGACACACTATTTAACTGTGGGCATGACAGCCTATATAGGGCTCACATTTAGATGGTTTTTCTCCACATTATTTGATAACTTCATAACATCTTTTTTTTTTTTTAGACGGGGTCTCAGTCACCCAGGCTGGAGTGATACGGAGTCACCCAGGCTGGAGTGGATATGATCTTGGCTCACTGCAATCTCTGCCTCCTGGGTTCAAGTGATTCTCCTGCCTCAGCCTCCTGAGTAGCTGGGATTACAGGTGTGTGCTACCATGCCCGACTAATTTTTGTATTTTTAGTATAGATGGGGTTTCACCATGTTGGCCAGGCTGGTTTCGAACTTCTGACCTCAGGTGATCCACTTGTCTCAGCCTCCCCAAGTGCTGCGATTACAGGTGTGAGCCACTGTGCCCCGCCTGATAACTTCATAACATCTTAAAAATTGACGTCAATGGCTTTGTTTTAAAGCTATATTATTATGTGAGCATATTTGGTACCTTTGTATAAAACCCTTTATTTTGTTAAGAGGCTCTCTGGAGGTGGTGGCAGGACCAGGGCTAATAGACAGGGCTGTGGAATCAGTTATGGAGGTAAATATCAACTCCCCGGGTTCTTCTCCATGCAACCTTGAGCATGTCACGTAGAAGACTCCAGCGTCGGGCCGGGTGTGGTGGCTCACACCTGTAATCCCAGAACTTTGGGAGGCCAAGGCCGGCAGATCACCTGAGGTCAGGAGTTCGAGATCAGCCTGGCCAACATATAGTGAAACCCTGTCTCTACTAAAAAATACAAAAATTAGCTGGGCATGGTGGCACATGCCTGTAATCCCAGCTACTTGGGAGGCTGAGGCAGGAGAACCACTTGAACCCGGGAGGTGGAGGTTGCAGTGAGCTGAAATTGGGCCACCCTACTCCAGCCTGGGAGACAGAGCAAGACACTGTCTCTCAAAAAAAAAAAAAAAAAAAAAGAAAGACCCCAGCATCCTCATCAGTAAAATGCTGGTGACCATTCCCCACCTTGCAGATTCAGTGTGAAAGTTTGAGAAATGATATTTGGTTTTGGTTGGCTATGAAATACAATGAAATAGTTTACACAGGCAGGCTCTGTTATCTGATTGCAAGGGTTCAAATCCTACCTCTACTCTTCCTAGCAGCATGTTTGTTCACTCATTCATTCAACAAACGTGAGCATTGATTCCTGGTCTTCATGCTGGGAATGCAGCAGGGAACCACAAGGGCAAAGTCTCTGCCCTTGTAGTTGGAAGGGAGATGTGAGTAAGCAAAGACACAAATGAATATACAATGTTGAGAGGGGTTAAGTGCAATGGAAACAATAAAGAAGGCCGGGGGATGGGGCATGGAGTGGGGAGTAGAGTGGGCCATGCGAGTGCCATTTACCCTGCACGGTTGGGAAAGGCTTCTCTGCTGGAACATTGCAGTAGGGGACCTGCAGGGAGAAGGAGGGTGTGAACCACAGAGACAGCCAGGGAGAGAGCATTCCTGGCAAAGGGAAGAGCAACTTCCCGCCCTGAGGCAGAGCATGCTTGGTGGGTTCAGGCCTCCAAATTCATCAGCTCACAATGGCAAGACGACCAGTGTGGCCAGAGAAGAAGAGATCTTGAGGGGCTGGGCAGGTCTCTTGACCTCGCTGTGCCTCAGTTTCCCAATCTGAAAGAACTGATTTCAGTAACACCTCCTGAGGAATGACTGAGCTAGACCACATGAAGCACTGGATGGTATTAATTATTGTTAGATGGTAACTGCAATGATGACTTAGTGTATTTTTTTTTTAATGTTTTTTGCCTCCCTCTGCTTGGAAAGTCTCATACCTCTCATACCCCAGATCCTGCCAGAGCGCTATTCCCTTTGCTTAGAACATTCCCTCCCTCCCTCTAGCCGGCAGAGCCTTAGCCATCTTTTGGGTTTCAGTTAAACCTTGCATGTTCCAGGAAGCTTCCCTGATGGTCCCCAGTGGAAGCAGGCGGTCTTCCTGTGTATTCCTGTACTTGCCCTCTCATTGGCACTGCGTGCACTGCAACTCCTCCCTGTGAACCATTAGGTACAATGAGGCCAAGCCTGTGTCTATCTTATTCTGAGCTGTAGGTCGTTTAACGCCTTTAAAGCTTCTTTGTGGGTGAGTAGATGGATGGATGAATAGATGAGTGGATAGAAACATGTATGCTAGTGAAATTTCCTTCCGACAGGGCAAGTTACAAGGCAGGATTTGATAAGACTATTTCAGAATATTGGTTGAAATATGAAGTGCCACACTACTCTTTTATGCTGAGACTATGGATTTCATCAAGAGAAGTCCCCAAGGGAGAATATGTTATTAAAACTTTAGAACTTTAAAATTGGAAGAAACCCTTTTCATCATTTAGTTAAATGTCAATTAACAGAGGAAGCTGAGGACCAAAGAGATGAAGGAACTTTGCTAACGTCACCCAGTTTCTTTTGGTTAGGGCTGGAACTGGTAGCCTGGTATGTGGATTCTCTAGCGTTTGATTTCAGAGTGTGCTGGGCACGGTCTACTTCTAGGATCCCAGGATCCAAACACTGAATGGATCATGGATCTACTGAAGGAAGGAGCTGTGCAGGGGTGGGAGGGACTGCTAGGCTGTGTTCTTGAGGTGAGTGTTTTTAGATGTGATGCATTTTGTGGGAAGGAAATCAGTACTTTATGTATATGGCTACTAAACCCTTCAGCCCAGCTGAACACTTTAAAAAATTATTTTTGTTTTTTAGATTCAGGGGGTACATGTGCAGTTTTCTTACACAGCCAGCTGAATACTTCTAAAGAATTTAAATTTCTGGTCAGACAAATAATGCTCCGACCTGTTTGGCAGATTTTTTTTTTTCTATCCATAGAGTCCTAAAGTAGCAAGCTTGATTTGAAAAGAAATTATTAGTAAACATTTGAAAATGTGAAACAAATTATTCCCCAAACACTTAGCTCCTTCCTTCAAATACACGCTTGAAAAATGCTAAAATCTATTCTGCGAGAATGCTTGAATCTCTCCCTAAATCATAACACGGGTAAACTTACCGAACTATTTTTACAATTTTATTAGAGGTTTTAATTCACTGCTTTATCTATCTCTGTTAGACTGCAAAATAGCTTTAAATATTCAAGTGGTAATTAATGAATCTTTTATGTTGCAAATCAAACATTTTTCATCTGTGCACTGGTGGAGTAGCAGTGAGGAAGGATTTAAAGAGTAATTGTTCCCCCTCTTCCCCACTGGTGACCAGCATCTACGTTACGTTTTGGGGAAAGTGGGCTTGTGTTCCCTGCCCAGTGGGGTGAATGCGCAGTGTGAATGATGTCTGATGTCTTTCGGGAGGTCAGGATTTCTTGACATGTTTCTTGCCAGAGACATTCCCGACTAGATGGAAAGTCTTTGAATGTGGAATTTTTGCTTGAGTGCAAAATAATAAAAAGCATGTGTATGTTTGAAAAAAAAAAAAAGGATCAGCTTAATGGCAAAAGAGCATTGGCTTACATTAATATTCTATTACAGTAAAAACTTCTGTTTAATAAATTTTCTCCAGACTTTTTTCCTCCAGAATCTCACATATTTTTCTAAGTGGCATGCCAACCTAAAGAAAGTATATATGATACATTTGATTGATGTTAAGTCAATAGCGTGCAAAAGCCATTTAAAATTGTATTTTAAGTGTAGAAATATAAACCCAAGGAAACATGTATAGTACCCTATATTGAAAAGGGGAAAAAGGGTTAGCTTTTCAGGGGCTGAAATGCCTTGTAAATATTATTCTGTTTAGAAGATAGTTTTAAAATGTGGCGTTTTATGTCCAATAGTAAGAAAGCAAGTCTGAAATCCTGCGATTTAGTTTAAAACCCAAAATCAAGCTGGTATTAAAGACTTCGCATAACAAAATAGTTTTCCTTTTCTCTC
The DNA here is from genome assembly GCF_000001405.40 of Homo sapiens. Classification (NCBI taxonomy): domain Eukaryota; kingdom Metazoa; phylum Chordata; class Mammalia; order Primates; family Hominidae; genus Homo; species Homo sapiens. The sequence goes on from NC_000003.12 coordinate 70,952,064, forward strand.
TCTGTCACTAATGAGAAATGAGCCAGTGAGAGCAGCCCTTCAGAACTTTCACAAAGGACTGACAAATTCTTGATTGGATGCCATATCGGCCACCCTCTGCTGTTCTATGGCCCTAATTAATACTGGGCTTGGTGACATTTATGTATCAGAGCAGTAAGCTAAACAGGAAACAATTTATGTCACCTAAAGCTTTTTAACAAATCGATGCAACTATTTGTAATTGCTTGTTTCACAAGATTAAAAGTGCTAAGGCCTGATCTTCGCCCACGGATTTGTGGTCAACATGACCTGTGCTTCCGTTGTTTAAAAAAGAAAGAAAGAAAGAAAGAAAGAGTTGGTGATCAGCACTGACTTCCATCAAGTAATCCATATTGCTAATATTTCTGGAATTTTAATGTAGTTACAATTTATAGCCGATCAAATGTGGTTACCTAAATTGCTGTTGCTAGTAGACAGTTTAACTGTCTTTATTAATTACAGTATAATTTAATGTTTGAGTACCGGCACTTGTGTTGGTCATTTTTACAGCTCGAGCAGTTATCTGCCTTATGACGAACCATTTTAGCATTTTCAATGGAAATTTGCTAATATGATGAGTGATAAAAATGTCACACGCTGGTAAATAATGATTATTGCTTTGGCTGAAATTAATTCTTGAAAGGCCGGTTACCTTCAAATTAACATTATAACTTGAAGCTTGTCTTTTTCCCTTCACAATATTTTCAATATAAACCAAAAAAAAAGGACCGTTGATAATTTCAAATGTGTATATATATATATATTTTGGTATTAAGCATTGAATGTCATTTTACAATCAAAGTGGAAATAAGACAACATTGGGTTTTGTTATTTTAAAAAATAAAATACCATTTAAAAATAAATATAAGTAGGTTATATCTAGAGATGGTTTTCTAATCCAAATATTGTCCCACAGTTAAAACCAGTGTTTTTGTATGTAACTTAATTTCCCTCCAACGTGAATTTTGTCTTAAACCTTTCATCAATTCATTAAATGAAGGTTTGAGACACCCAACTTCACATTATTTGAATAAAGAATACTTTTATTTGATTCAACTACAATGAAGATGAAGGATAAATTGTGATTACTACCCTACACATAAATACGTAATATCATCAAAGACAAAAATCTAATAAGAAAGACTAATTATACTTTGTTTTTATCTTTTTTAGTGGGGAGGGAGAGGTGGTTACTATTATGAAGCTGCCTGTGTTGGTGTGAAATTAGTCTTAAGAGTTTTATGTTCTTTATATAAAGGCGCCTATTTATAAGAAGAGCCAATATTTTGGGTTTGCTGCCTCGTTTATGAGAGTGACAAGCCTGAAATAAATATGTAAAAGAGTGTTCCTGCTTGAGAACAATTCCTGAAATATAAGTTAAAATGTACTATGCCTCAACCAGCAAAATCTTCACTAACATATCGTCATACTTGGTTTAGGTCCTCCAGTTTATTAAAAGAAGTATCTGTACATTTTTAAATTTTACTAATGTATAGGCTGTAAGCAGTATTTAGGTTTAAGCCTGGTAATTACAGGAATTTGAATTAACCCTAAGATTATAGTCTCAGTAGCCAGGTGAGAATTAAAGGTTCAAATGTTTTGCTAATTATTGAGACTAAGGGGTTTCTAGATAGGGCATAATTGTTAATTCAAAGAGGACACTAGTTTGCAACTTAATAGCAAAATCTACTTGTTAAAAACACACACACAGACACACACACACAACTTTGCTAATATGGGCTTTTCAAAACAATGCTGGGAAAGAATGTTCACTTGTATCCTCAGCATCGGTGGGTGTTTTGCAGAATAAAGACTGGGAGGTTAATTTTCAAGTCATCCTTTGCCCTGAATTATGTGCTCTGAATTATATATGTAATGGTTTTATGTTACCACGGTTTGGCCACTTAAAATACTGCTTTCATATTGGCAATTTAATTTTTTATTGAAAGGTGATGCTCAAATTCATTAATCCCTAGAATATATACTATAGAGTAATATTAAAAAGAAACAGCACATTTCCTAAATGCATCTAATTATTTTTTTAAAATCTCAAAATTAAGATGGTTTTTCTGGAATATTTAGGTACTGAAGTTCTGTTTTCTTCAATGAATGCAATTATCTAGCATACTTTTGATAGAATATTTTTATAAAATCATTTGTTCTAATCTAAGCATTTATCATTATATGCAAAAAGATTTCTTGATGAGAATATTATAGACGGTGCATGTTTTTGACATTAGCATTTTATTTGGATGACTAATCTTGCAGATGTGAAATTTTAATGAATTATTCATGAAATTGCTTTCCTCTGAAATTTTAGTTTGCTCTTAATGCTAGTTATTAAACATTTTGTTTTTCTTTATAAAATTTGATGAAAAAAATAAGAGTGTGCTTCCTCAAGAGAAAAGATAACATCTCTTGCTCTTTTTTTTTTACTTCCCAATTCTCTAAGTGGATACTTTCACTTGGAAATCCTGAGGATAAGAGCTTCAGCCTTCCCTGATCATGAAAGCTTTAAGATTGATTTTAATTCTGCATTGGAAGCAGCTGGTGATAAACCTAAGGCATATGCCTAACATACAATATCAGCAGGTCAGAAAGGGAAACAAACTTAGGCTGTGGCAACTTTTACTACCAGCGTGAACAACCAGCATTTTTATTGCATTTGAGAATGCTTATAATGTCAGTAATTAGTACTGACTACACAACATTTTTTTTATTGTCTGTATCCGCAGACATGGAATGATGGAATTACAGTTGATGTCAAGGAATGAGTTTCTTTTATGCCTTATCAAAACAAAACAAAACAAAACAAAAAAATTCTTGTTACTGGCAGCACATATACATGAAGCACCATGCTCACAGTCCGGACTGTATCATCTTCATCAAGGCTTATGGGTAGCAGAGATTGCGTGAGCTACACTGGGCCCAAGAAATGCCTTCAGCATTGTAAATCTGATTTTCAGGATAAAGAAGCAAAACTGACTTTGAAGACATCCAGAATTTCAGGAGGCTATGTCATTAACCAAAAGGTACCAAAAAGATTCAAAATCTGAATAAGCACACTCTTCTTTGTGCCTTTGGAAACGGAGTTCAGCTGGAATATGGAAAAGAGAGGAAATATTTTTTAACTCTATTTTTTTTCATGAGGAAAAAAAAGCTAGTGATTTACAGCCTATCTTGGGTTAAGAATCCAAGGTTTTCTTTACTAGGTCTGACTGGATGCTGGGGATGGTGTTAGAGCTGTCCAAAGGTGGCAGGACTGGTGGTAACTCTTCACGTATGTACATAAGCCTTGATATTCCATTTTGTGGCTGGTCCAAGGGGCAGCCTAACTCATCTTACAAGACGGACTCTAGGGACAGGTAGGTTGGATCCTCATTCCTGACAGTGCATTTGTCTGACACACGGGACTACCTCCCTAATGTATGCTTTTCTTTGAGAAAAAAAAAGTAACAGATTTTCTTTACATCTTGGCACCTTGTAAAGTTTTTTTTTTTTTATACAAAAGTTCAATAGTTTTGACACTCCCCATTGTTAATCACTACTTCACTGATAAACTTGGAAAAGTGTGACCCTGGAATTTCATCATGCAAAATATTTACTGCAGCAGGAGAAAACATTTTTTAAACAACATTTTTTTTTCTTTTCAAATGTATGAACTTGTTTAAGATAGCCAGGAAGGCAGTGGTAGGATAAACACAAGGGATAGGAATGTATCAAAAAACAGATTAACACACACGCACGCGCGCACACACACACACACACACACACAAAACCTGTACAAAATGCTCCAATCAATGAGAACAGAAAAAAGAAATCTTCAACTATGTTACAGTTTAAAAGCAGAAAAAAAAAGTTAGGGAGTTTCTCCCTCCCACATGTCAGGAAATGTCATCCAATATTCTTAAAGCAAGGATAACTAAATAAAATACATGTGCAGCATATTCTGCAATTCCGTTACATACAGTAGTTTTTTTTCCAAAGCTATTTTTTTTTAGTATCGTTAATATAAAGCAGTTGCACAAAAAGCAAAGGTGTTTTGACAAACAGGTGTATGCATTTATTCCTTTTTAGGAACAATATCTAAAAAAAGAACCGCCCTCTGCCCTCCCCCAAAAAAGACAAAGATTCACACAGACACATCGGGATATATGTACAACGTAATAAACCCCATCCTAAAGAAGCAACTGGGATAACCCCCAGGGGATACAGAATCAGAATTGTAAAAATCATAGTGAAGTTTGCTTGCTGTAAAGCCTGAGAATTTTTTTTTCAGTTGGTTCTTCTGCAAGGCTGTGATACCTGCAAAGATATGTAAAATCTAATTTTTCTTTTTTTTTTTTTTTTGCTACAGTCTTTAGACTAAGCATGCAAGACATACGACTAAGTGCAACTGAGTGAAATGTTTTTTTTTTAAATTTTAATCATTCCCTAAAGGTTTGAACTGAGGTATGCGTACTAACAGTTTCTCATGCTGTTATCTTTACTCATGTCTAGCTACACATGCTGAGAATGAACTAATCTACCAGATTTTTATCCTCTTTTGAATACCAAACTAACCAGCAACCACTCAGTTTAGAAGCACAGGGCCCCCTTCCCATGACCCTGTCTGGCTACTGCCTGCACATCATGAAGCTGCCTGGAAAAGTTTTTTTTTTTTTTTTTTTTTTTTTTTTTTTTTTTTTTTTTAAAGTCTTGCGTGACCACAGACTGCCCTTTATACAGAAAGCAGAGTGAAGCTTCAAAAGTAACTGCCAGAGAAGTTTTTGTACCAAGCTTATGAGTGGATGGGAGTGTTACTTTTCTTTAAATGAAAAATGCTGACCAAAGCCTAATCGGAAAAAAAGGAAAAATTAAAAATAAAAACAAACTGAAGGATATATGCCAAGATAAACCAAAATTAATACAGTGATCACAGCACAGTTCTTAAACAAAAGTGGCATACAATCTAAAAATATCTCTTTTTCTAGAAATACTATTATGTAATCTAGTTCAATTATGGAAGCTTTTCTGTCCTGACTCTAAACTGTCTCCTTTATTGGATACTCTAATTGCAGTGGCATACATTCATTTTTTTTTTGAGATGGGACTCCCTTCCTTCTGTAGCTCCTTTAATATTGTGTCCTATTTTTATCTGCAGTAGCCCCATAAAATCTCTTTAAGAGAATGAGTTTTGGTCTCTGTAGAGGTACACAAAAAGAAAAAGGAAAAATAACTACTAGAAAAAAGTAACAACTTTGGTTCCATTATCTACTTGGTCTTCTAAATTTACGATGAAGGAGCAGTTCTCTTTCTCAGGTTGCAATAGCCTATCGCTTGTCATTTGCCTCTAAATTCTTTTGCCTCCTTTGATCAACAATAAGAGGATATTTGGCTTCATCAGATAAAGCATAAAACAGAGAACATAATTTACCTTTGTGTAATATCTTTGGTAATTTTAGAAAAAAGGTACAAAGAAAGAATATAAATTAAGCTTCGAAAGGCTCTCGAACTAAAAAAAACTACAGTCCTATATAAATAAATGACAGGAAAGTGGGTGCAGAGCTGAAGTGTGGAGGGGTTCTAAGGACTGAGGTTGTACTGACCTGTAACCATCACATTTCTGCATACCATGTTTGGGACCCCCCCAAAGCCCAGGGCCTACATGATATCTTCTATGAGTTTTTGTGATACTGGGTTGGTGATATAATATTGCATAACAAACTGCAGTACCAAATTTGCATATTTGAAATTAACACTTTAGCATTTGCTGAACTCAGCCCTCGTTAACTCCCTTAACAAGTTCAATCTGAAATCGAATTTGCATTCAAACAGTTTAATGCCACCAAGTAGGTCTGAACTAATGTATAAACTCAGCGCCGCCGCCGCCACCCCTACTTTCAGGGCAGCTGCTCGGGGAAGCCGGTTTTTTTTTTTGGCCATTTTGCAAACAAAACCAACCCACACCCGTTATCGCAGAGCACCCAAGGCCCATGGCAACTTGGTTCCACAAGGGAGAGCCTTCCAAGGCCATATTGTCAGTCTAATTAATATGAGCTTTTTTTTTTTTTTCAGTGCTGCCTATGTTTCCTTGTGCTGGTAGAATGTGGTGGCATTTATTAATGGTTGCTGCAAAAAAAAAAAAAGAAAAGAAAAGAAAAAAAGAAAATCCGAAACACCCCTCCCCCGAACCACCCCCAATACTGCTGCGTGGAATGAATCGGCATTGTTCCTAGAGTTTGTCTCTCTTTTTTTTTTCTGTCATTCATTCTCTTTCTGGCAGGACGTCACGTCTGTGTGAGAGGGCCTTCATGTGTAGAGTGCAGCATTTGGGACCTTTTTGAAAAAGACCAAAACGGAATGTTTTCTGACTTTAGAGAAACGTGGTGATGTCTGAAGGAAGATGGAATGAGTGACAGAAAGCTACAAACGAGAAATGACATTCAGCTTTGTATAATAAAAACACCTATTAACATTCATCACAAGGTACAGAAAACTTTAAGCCTCCAAGAGGCCATCGGCCCAAATGGAGGCCTGAGGTCAGAACTTAAAATGGTATAGTAGAAGGAAAAAAAAAAAAAAAAAAAGCAATACATTAAAAAGTTTGGGATAATTATTTTTTAACCCCTCCCCCCAATACACACACAAAGGCCTTCCCCATCCCAACTGGAAGCAAAAAAAAAAAAAAAAAAAAAAAAAAAAAAGGAGTAAAGGCAGTGATAATCAACATGCAGTACTGTGCAAATAGGTCGTCCATTGGAATCCTTAAATTCTGGGCAAAGGCTTGGTCTGCAGCTTAGGTGCACAAGCTCTGTCGGGCGTCCTCAGTGTCCAACGTTGGCAGGACTGCAGTTCAAAGTCTGCTGCTAAAAGTGAATCAGTTTAGCAAATTTACAACACTGATGTTGACGGTTAAGAGAGGAAAATCCCAAGTACCAAACAAGTCCATCCAATGCACAGAGTACAAATTCCTTTTTTCAACAAAAAGTAGAAAAATCAAAAATACTCCCAAATGGGGTTCTTGATGGCACTAAGAGTTAACACATTTCAGAGTTGTCAAAACGTAGTGAAAATCCTCCAGACTGTACAACAAATGGAGAACAATTTCACTGCTAACTTTTGACGTGTTTTTTTTTTTTTCCTTTTTCCAATCTTCATTCTCGGGGTTGGCCCGCCCCGATAGTCACTCCATGTCCTCGTTTACTGGTTCATCTTCGTAATCTCTGTCATGGTCAAAATCTGGACTGTGGTTGGCTGTTGTCACTAAGGACAGGGGCCCTTCAGCTTCCTCTGGATCGAGGGGCTCTTCTTTGACGTGTACAGGATGCCTGGAAAAAATATGCAGAGGTTCAGTGAGGGTACTTCCCAGCCCATTGCAGCTCAGGTGCACTGAAAAGTTTGGGGCAACAGAAAAGCCGCACTCTAGAACTAGAACTCTGTCCAGTATTGTTACCATTAGCCACACGTGGCTCTTTAAATTGAAATGAACGAAATCTTACTACATTTAATATTCAGTTTCTGAGTTGTGCTAGCCACATTTATGTTCAAAGGCCCCATGTGACTAGCGGTTAATTCTGGCCAGCACAGAGACAGACGGAACATTTGCATCACTGCGTAAAGTTCTCTTGGGTAGTGATGCTCTGAATCACTAGTCTCTGGACTGGTGTGGGCCTCTCCTCCCTGGTGGCATTTCTCATACTTTAACACACGCTGCAGTCACCTGTGGGCCTTGTTGAAATGCAGTGTGTGATTCAGGTCTGGGGTGGGGCCTGAGACTCTGCATCTCTAACAAGCCCCCAAGTGATGCCGGTGGTCCTAGAACCACACTGAGTACCAGATAACAGGTCCCGTAGTGGCATCCTGGGTGGATGAATACCCATCTTCAAATAATTACACGAAATAAGAATCTGTAATGCAACGGCAGTTTGTGGGGACCACTGAGCAGAGGAGGCTGGGCTAATCATGGCTTGCTGTGTGTTCTGCTTTGCTAGTTAACATGCAGAACCTGTGAAAGAACTCTCCAGAGGACGACCCCAAGCGAGGTTCTATCATTAATCAACTTCAAGCAAACACAGCAAAGAGACACCATGATATACATGCTTGAAACTCCAAATTAATGCATATTTTTACAAACTGTCAATAAGGCAAGAAAAGCCCTGCCAGGAAACACAAACGTAGAGGAAAAGGCTCGCTCAACACAACAATATGATAAGAAAGCAGAGCCCCAATCAGAATAATAACGCTGTCAGCTGTAAACAAGGCAAAACATGAGGCCCGGCTGGTAGCAGCCACTGGGATGAGCGTGGTTGCGATGAGGTCTGCCAACTTTCTCATTATGGACCAGCGCATGGTTCACCCAAAGGGGACTGGGGTGATCACACAAAACCGCTCGGATAACTATTGAGAAATGTTGTTCGTAAATCATATTTACAACTGATCCTTTGCATATACAAATGACTTTCTGTTGCAGGGGCTTTTGATATGTAAAAGAACCATTTGAGTTAAAATGGTCCCATCTCTGGGACAGGCTGCAGAAGGGAAGATTTTTAAATTGACGTTATCAAGTATTAGTAATAAGAGGTGGTAATGGGGATGGTTGGCTTCCTAAATAATTGATGCTGTATGCAAACCCCAAAGGCCCCTTGAACCATTTAAAAACAAACAGAGGAGTGCTTTGGACTGCCCTTGAAGACAGGAACCTTCAGAATCAATTGACTCTAAAATTAGCACAGCCTAGAGAGCATTTAGGGGGGCTAGATGTTACCTTTAAAAAAATAATTTTTTTTTTTTTTTTTTGAGACGGAGTCTTGCTCTGTCGCCCAGGCTGGAGTGCAGTGGCGTGATCTTGGCTCACTGCAAGCTCCGCCTCCCGGGTTCACGCCATTCTCCTGCCTCAGCCTCCTGAGTAAGCTGGGACTATAGGCACCTGCCACCGCGCCCGGCTAAATTTTTTTGTATTTTTAGTAGAGAAGAGGTTTCACCGTGGTCTCGATCTCCTGACCTCGTGATCCGCCCGCCTTGGCCTCCCAAAGTGCTGGGATTACAGGCGTGAGCCACTGCGCCCGGCTGCTAAAAAAATAATTTCTTTATTCTTAAAAACTTTGCAAAACAAAATGTAGCAAAGTTGCATTACATTACATTTTATGTATGGCTCTCCAGCTATTTTATTTATTTATTTATTTATTGAGACATAGTCGTGCTCTGTCACCCAGGCTGGAGTGCAGTGGCAGGATCTCGGCTCACTGCAACCTCCAACCCCCAGGCTCAAGTAATTCTTCTGGCTCAGCCTCCCAAGTAGCTGAGATTACAGGGGCCCACCACCACACCTGGCTAATTTTTGTATTTTTAGTACAGATGAGGTTTCACCATATTGGTGAGGCTGGTCTTGAACTCCTGACCTCAAGTGATCCACCCGCCTTGGCCTCCCAAACTGCTGGGATTACAGGCGTGAGACACCATGGCTCGCCGGATATTTTTATTTAAAAGGAACAGTTGTACATCAGTGCAAGGAAGGCTGCATGGGGAGTCACCCTCCCAGCAGTCTGTATTAAGCATTACGGATGGGGATTTTTTTTTTTAATGGCTGTATTAGTGTTTCAGCAGTAAGAATTAGGACTGGCTGCATAATTTTGGAAGCCCAGTGCAAAATGACAATCTGGGGTCTTTGGCTCAAAAATTAAAATTTCAAGACAAAAATGGCATTAAAGCAAGTACATGCCAGGCATGGTGGTGTGTGCCTGTAGTCCAAGTTACTTGGGAGGCTAAGGTAGGATGATCACTTGAGCCCAGGAGTTCGAGTCCAGCCTGGGTGATACAGTAAGACCCCTATCTCTAAATAAAAAGGTAATAAAAGCACATAAAATCAAGTGCAGTGTCCTTTTAGGCATGAGATCCTATGTGACTGCATGTCACACACCTGTGAACCAGCTCTGCTAAAATACCCTACATTCTTTTAGGAAGAATTAGTTATGCTGATGATGATTCCTTTAAAAAACACAAACCCTTAGTTAAGGCCAGTTTTCTTATTTTTGCCAATCTGTTTCCATTTGAGGTCATATTTTTAAATATTGTAAATTCAGCAGGAATGCTATTTTTTAAATTTTCCTAGCTTTACAATTTATAATGTTTATGGCTAGATGAGATTCCACTGTGTTGACATATGTCAGTTTCTGAATACTAGGCATTTGAGGATCATCTTTCTCTTTCTCTTTTACTGTTTGTATAATACAATGACCACTTTTATCCATTAATCTTTCTACTCTATTTCTGTTGATTTACCTCCTTAGGATAAATTTCTAAGAATGGAATTGTTAGAGCAAAGGCCAAAACATCTTTATGGTTCCTATGATTTATTGTGATATTAACTTCCAAAGGGGCTATCAATTTAAACTCAATCTCATCAGCAGCAAGCATTATTTGTGAAAAATATTTTGTTGCTTAGCAGGTACAAGGTAAGCTCAGGTTACCTTAAATTGTGTTTCTCAGATTACTGACAATGGTGAACATTTCCTAATGTTTGTTTCAAACTTTCATTGTTGAGAACTGCAACTTCATAAATTACTGAAATTTATGTTTTAGCTATATGCTGATTGAGGTTCAAATGTTGTTTTCCAAATCAACATTTTCCTACTTTCTTAACTATCAGGTCTATCAATCTTTTCATGTTTATAACCCAGAATTGAATGATAGAAGAATGTAAGATCATACAAGACCTTGGGGAGGGGGAAGGAGGATGAGGACCCCTAGAAGAAATAGAACCATCCATCTCCATCTTAATGAAGTTCTTGCTGTATAATTTTAGACTTTGACCAATATTTTGCTAACCTTATCCAAAAAATCAGGTGCATGTAAAGCCCCACAAAACACAGTTCACAACATCAGAGAATATTTCGTTTACCTAATTATCCTCATTTGATCATTACACATTGTATACATGTATCAAAATAACACATGTACCCCCAAAATATGTAGTTACGAGGTATCAATTTTAAAAGCTGTAGAAGTGAAAAAACAAATAAACAAAACACGTTTTCCCCCTAAATTGGTAGCCAAAATTCATGAGGATTATTTACTATCCACAAGACAGAGGTAATGATCCTGTCATGCCTGTAGGCTCGACTCCCAGTGCCTCATGCAGAGTGGATGCAGAGTGGGTCCCCAACAAATGTTAACTGGCTAGATCTACTGTGTGACCACCTGATGACACAACCAGGTTAGACAGTAAGGTTTCGAAACTTTAGAGAAGTGAAATCCGATTTCGGGACATTTCTTGATGCCGGCAGATACCCCTGGGGTGTGGCAAACGTGTAGCACAAGCACACAGCACTTCAAAGAACAAAAGAGGATGGGATTCCACGAAAGATACATTTGAGATGAGATGCAGACTACTGAAGACACTACACTTCACATACACTCACCGTGTCTCCTGGAAGTTAGGGCTGTGTATGATGCACCTTCCTCTCCTTGCAGACACTGCCCCCACCCTTTCTCTCCAACTCCTACTTCCGAAAGGGCTACCGCTGAATAACTGTGTGCAAAACCACACATTTCCCTTCTCCTTACATCTGAGTAATTCCTTTGTTTAGCCACTCTGGGAACACAAGAGTTTTAAAATAAAGCTGACTGGCGTTTAAAGGCATTGTGTTCTGGGGGTGTCTGCACAGCATGGAGTATTTTGCTTTGTAGCTCCTTTAGCGCCTATCAGGATAAAAGTAGAATGCCCCAAAGCCATAATTATGTGACCACTTTCTAGTGTTTCAAAGGACGAACGAAACGTAGTGGTATCTGACTGTCACAGAAAGGGTAAGAATGAAGAGTTCTGTTTCAACACTCAATATTAGCTAGGCCGCCTTCCTAACAAGGTCCTTCAAGCCGTGCCGTAAAGTTTATGGCTTGATTTATTCCAATAGACTGGAACAGTTGAAAAACAATTTGCATCATAGCAGGGTAATGCATATTGGACAAGAATGGAAACTCTTGTCACTACAGAATTCTCTTAATGGAAATATGAGGTCAAAAAGAGTAACAGTCTATTACACAGATAGCAGGCGCAGGGAATCTGCTGTTGACATATAATTACATTTAGCAAACAGCACAAACCTGTGAGATTTGAGCAACGCATGTTGACATTTTTGTGTAGGGTTTCTTGTAAAAAATAGTTGAAACCTTCATTTCATCAAAAATTACAAAGACTATTGTAAAACATGGTTTGGGTAATACTGGGGTTAATTCAAATTTGTTAAACAAATTAACCCTGCAGTGACTTTCTTTCGTACAGCAAAATCAGCATCACTCTGAACTGGTGCCTGTGGCTTGTATCCAAGTATCTCTTTGTTTTAGTGATTCTTTATACTAATAGGAATATATGTCAACAAAAACTTGGAGTTTGTACAGATTATGAGAAATAGCATCACTTCCATTCAATAACCAGACATTTTTGTTCTGAGTATTTCTTGCAGTAGCTTATACCAATTTACGTTTGCTCTGAACTTCGTTAGTATCTAAGTAAATACTCGTGTCATGACAATGATTTAAGATGAATACAAATGTGGTAACAGGAAAATCGGAAACACTAAGTTGCTTTGGAAAGGATGAAATATAGCAGCATCAGTGTGAAAGATAAACACACTCTTAAAATGCTGTGAAGCAAATGCTAAGATACTGTTCATATAAATTAAAAATGATTATTTCCATATCCAGAAAGGATAGTAAAGATCCTTTCTGAAGTGCTGTGGAGATGAAACTCAAATGCTAGAAAATCAAATTTCAGATTTCCACGTACCCTCCAAATTATGCTGGCAGATAACACTTTTTTCTTTGTCATTAGATGCCAATTCCATATGCTCCTAATTGTTACAGGTCATAATTTCCATTCCGATCACTTAAATTATCTTAAAATAAGATGTTGGTCAGTAATTCAGAAGTAATGTGTAGACAAGCAGCCTATTCTAGGAACTGACAGTACTGCAAACACGAAATGGGTTAGTACCTTAAAGTGGGCAACAGTTTTGAAGAACCTCACTAAAAGGGAGAGACTGTCATCCCACAGCATCTCCTGCAAAGCCAATCATTTGGAATAATGTGGTTTCTTCGCTCTGTTTGAAAACTTTTCCTGGGAGAGAGGGTGTTATAGTTACACCAAGTTCTCTCCCATCACCCACTCACAGGGGCATCACAGTCTCCTGGCCTCCGCCTTTCCTGTGGTTTGCAGTCCTGGTTCCATTCACATTCAGCATGGGCAGCCATCGCCCATCACTTCATTCAGTTATATGTGCACTCATTATACTGCCGTCTGCTGCTATAATGCTCCTATTAATTTTCCTTTTGATATTTTAAGAGCAATCTATAAATCATGCCGCCTTTCATTTGTGCCATCATTAATGGTTGGTAATAATGCTGCGGCGGCGTGTTCGTGGTGAACCTTAGTGCACCACCAAGTAAACAAGCATCTTTTTCTCTCGGCTAGGTTCAACATGCCCGAAAGTTGAACAAACTGCAAACTTTTTCATAGGAATGCATATTAGTTTGAGGAGGAAAAAGTAGTGTGGCTTAAATAATGGCCTGGGATGTGATAAAGCAGAGGGAAAAAAAGCAAACCTGTTTCTCATTTTATTGCTGTGAATTGCTTTTATGGGAAAGTTAGCAAATAGTCCTTTTATGCACTAACCAAGCTGAACATTTCTTGAAGTACAAACTTCTAGCTTGGTTCTGGGAAATCAGAAATTACAGAAAAGGTATATAAAGCCCAGAGAAAGGGCTGTCTCCCTGCGTGTACCTAGGGAGACTAGGGTCAGATAGCAAAGACCTGTTGGGTGGACAATACTCACACGGCTTGCATAGGAGATCTGCCTGGACTGCTGTCACTCTCGTTGCTGTTGGTATGCTCCATTGCCCCGTTCAGCTCTTCCCGTATTGCGCTGGCTAAGTTGCCCAGAGTGGGATTTCCCATGGAAGCGGTAGTGTATAGAGGTATACTATTCTCAGCCATTGAAGCCTGTCATCAACCAAGAGAAAATTTATGAAGACACAGGGTATGTAAGACAAGGAAACTACTAATTATGGGTGTACTCGATAATCTTCAGTTTGAGTTAATTGTAGCATGGCTGGCAAATACAAGTTTCTAAGAGGTGTTGAAAGATTTTGCTTTAAAAACGACTCGTGGCACCTGTCCCAAGCTTGGTTTTGAAGAGCTAACTGGGGGCCAGGGGGGACCAAGTGCCTGTGGGTAGGAAGGACTCAATTTGGTCCTGCTTGGTAGTCACATGGTTTAGACGGGCTTTCGAATATGAGGTTTATGTCGGATGCGTTTTTAAGAGGAGCTGAATATTTCCAGATCACAGTGAAATATAATAGAATTTTTATTTCTTTATCCATTTTGATGACTCCAGTATTGGATATTAGAGATTTTGATCAGATTATCCTGGCCGCACCGCTCAAACTTATGAGAACTTCCATAAACATTTACCTCTTAGATCCTATAGAAAAGGAAGAGATTATAGAATTGGAATCAATTTTTTATCTCCTCCCATCATTTCTGTTTTAATGATTTTTGAATCTGTTTAGTGCAGTTTGAGATAACTGGTTGAAGGAAACACCACGTAGTGTTTCAGAGTCCGACCAATTGCCTAGGATTTTAGGACTAAAGAACTCTGGCAAAGGGAAGCTCTAACTCATATTTATTTTTGGTGCCAAAGTACATCAATATTAAAGGTTACAAAGTTACTCCACGTGAGTGTCAGCAAAAAAGTGAGGAAATGAAAAAGAAGAAATCCTAAACTTTATTTAGGATAGGTAGGATATTATTCACTTCCTGTTATACTGCATTTGAATAAAAGGGACACCAAGTCTGAAATGCAGACGCTAGTTACATATACCACTGGACTAAGTAAGGTACCCAAAAATTTGTTTCATCCAGGTGGTGATTACGACCCACTGACTTTTCATTTCATTAAAGAGGACACTTTCAAAAACTGGCAGCTGTAATTAAACCAAGATTTATCACAACTGTCCTCCTGCAGACTAGACTATGCCTGCTTTTCCATCCTAATGAGAAGAAAAGTACATTAGATGTACTTCTTTTCACAAGATGATCTGGCATAGTGACTTCCACTGGCCAGTCATACAAGAGTCCGAACTATTCTAGAAATCCTGGCTCTAGAAAGAAAGTAAAAGCCAAAAGAGTGCAAAGCTGGGCTGCAGAAATCTGTCTGGCTAGTATGACAATCGCAGCCTCACTCACTGTACAAACCGCAAAGCCAGGGCTTTCTAGGTACAAGCCCTGTGTTAGAAGTCCTGTGCACACTCACCAAACACAGCATTGGATAATGGACTGTTTCAAAGCTCGGCCCTATGTAAGCCCACAGCTTTTCCTTCCTTCTACTTGTAAATGTGTATAACTGCCTTCTTTTAAAAAGTAGGGGGAAAATCCTGTGTTTATTTCCAAATGTGGTGAACTCATTTTGATGAACAGCAAATGTGAACATTCCACACTCTCCTACAGTGTGTCAAATAATTTGCATCAAGTACTTTTTCCAACAGCTCTTTTATAATTGCGATAAAGCTTTTTTTCTTTCTTTCTTTTTGTTTTTTTTTTGGCAGAGCAGTTGCCAGAACTACTATTATTTGTTTTTTTTTTTTGTTTTTTTTTGTTTTTTTTTTTTTTTTTTGCAAACTGCAGTTGGACAAGCATCTTAACTGCTTTTATCTGAGAGAGGTGTGACCACTGTTGTCTCAGTCACAGAAATTCTGCTGAGTGTCTTTCCACTGGAAATACCATAAGATAAGCTCTCATAAGACAATTTCACTATTCCAAGGTCAGAATGTGGCAAAAGTGGGGCTGCTGCTAGCTTAATTATTTTAGCAGCTTCCCTGGTCAAAAACTGTGAAGACAAAATTGAAATGCTGATATGAACGTGTTCATTGGGATGAGTTTGTCATCCTCTAGAGAAGGCAACTTTCTTGGGATGAGTATTTATTCTCTTTGGCTCTCAAAGTATTCTAGGTCAAGGCCATTGCTGATTGGGATTGGATCATAGAACATGGGCTGAGACCCAACAGCCACAGTAGTGAAACGCATACAAAGGCAAGCACTTATACTGATCCCTGGGTTCTCAGGCAAGAACGATGTAAGTGATGAAAACCAGCCTTGTCCCTTGAAAAAATGATCAAATGGGCTGCAGAGAGATCCCAGTGCCTGATCCGCAAGAGAGCTTCTTGAACACGCTCTCTGTTAAGCAAGTGATCAGAGCAACCCACCCAAGGTTAGATAAATTTTCACTAACTGCTTCTGCCTAACAAAGTGTTTTTTTTTTTTTTTTTTTGGTAGTTGATGTCCACTTAGAAGCAGGTGTGTTACAAAAATGGAGTTAATTATATAAATGGTCCTTGCACAGCATGTGGTTTCATATCAAGCTGGCACCTCTGCCAAAAAATGAAGTTGCTTAAGTAATGGTGCAGAAGTCCATAAGCACCCTCGCTCCTGGAACATTAACCACTCTGAGATCCTCAGGGGAAAGGCAGTCTATAAATACGAAGCTTTACGGTTACCCTTAGTTACTTCACTTTTCAGAGCATAATGCAATCTGTCCCAAGTCCCATGTTTTATTTCTGTAGTGGATTCTGCTGTCCTATTTTATATATTGTATATCATGCATTATGTTGCTCTAGTAATTTTTTTGAAGATATTGTTCCACTATTATTTTTACTTGTCTTGAAAAATGGAAATAGGCGGTAATGGAAAGGAAGGCCTGCTGGCAGAATCCTTATTTAATTTGCACAGTAGAAAGTTGTCTTATGTGTCTGTCTACTGATCAGGGATCCAAACTCGTAGAAGAGAGGGAAACAATCCACTTCTCAAATCATGAATTTGTATCAATTTATTCCCCTTGCCTCATTATGGACGGAAAGTGTTCTTGGAAAACGGCAGGACAGTTTTGGGCTACTGAAGAAGATGCCAAAAGCAAATGTTCAGAGATGAAACCTGAACAGTTCTGTAATGACAAAGCATACTAATTGAAATTAGTCACATAGTTAAGAGAATTCAGAGGATGGAGGATCACTTTTTTTTTTTTTTTGCCTTTCCGGCTCATGAATATAAAATGTGCTTGTAATCTTAATACTATTCCATATTCCAGATAGAGCAGGCTTTAAATTCACACTTCACAAGACTCCAGGGAAAATAAGTTACTAATGAATGGTATTTACAGTGGCAGCATCGAAGCATGCTTTCATTTACTCTTCTAAAGTTACTGTGTAAACTACAAGTAATTAAAAGAAACGCAGAAAGTAGTTTCTCCTATTAAATCTGGTTCAGGCTAAAAATAAATAAATATAATTACTGAAATGCTAAGGCCAGTGAATCTGCCTCTAAACTGAAACTGGGTAAATGGCCTATCATCAATTCCCAGGAGCCTTAAGACTATTCTGGGCCTGTAGGGTACAGAGTCGTGCTCCATAAATATCTGTTTAATGTCCATAAATATCTGTTTAATGCAGAGCAAGACCCAGGGCTCCTGTCAGTATCTCCTCCTTCCTCATCCTGTTCCCATCATACTAAAGGTCTCAACTGTTTTTTCATTATTGTCCCTTTTTAGACTTTTGTTTCTCTCTTTCTGCCCTCACCCCAAGAAATGTTCATATTTGCTCAAGTATTATGGTCCTTTGGAAGGACACAAGACATTGCAGTATCTCAGAACCAATCTAGGGGTGATACAGCCCCCATTGAGAATGTATGCTGCAGAGGACTGCAATGGTATTGGATGACAAATGTCAGATTTATCTATAGAATATGCTTCTCGAACAGTCTGGGTAGGGGCAAAAACAGGACCACTGGCCAAAAGGATACTGCTTACTTATGAACTCTTGAGGGGGGACTTGAGTACTACACCCAGGTACTTTAATGAAATGACACTGGAGTAGCCTTCATTTAAGAACTGAAATGTGCAACATGTAAAAAGTTTGCTAGAAGCTGGGCTGCCTCAGGTAGCTCCTTTTTGGGTGGTAATCTCGCTCCTGCTCAAAACCCGCGTCTTCATCTCCTGGTACCATTGGTGATGTAACAAGTACTTGGTTTGTCAGTAGGAAATAAATACTCCGTGTGATTATCATGTAATCTTGAACAATCTGCAGGAAAACTAAAGAGTCTTCTTAAACACCTCTATTGTTTAAACAGACATGGTTTACTTTTACAAAGTGAACCAGACCCCAGATCCTCCCCACCCCAGACAAAAGCCAAGATGCTACAGTCGACTTTAAAAGAAGAAAAAGAAATACAAAGCCCTGCTTTCTCTTTAAACCCATGAACAATAGAAGGTCATGTGACGCAGTGGCCTATCATCCAGCACATTAATAGCTGTGCTAGAGTAATTACACTTGTGGTATTTTTGCCTCAAGTGAAATTCTGAAATAAGAGGATGGAAATTATGATACTGCTGATAAATATTAATAAGTGAACTTTTAATTTTTTTGCCACAATATTCAAAATGCTAAGCATCCCGCTAACGCTGAAGCAGCCCGATGTGTTTGCCTCCAGGGAGTATGATGCTTTGTGCACTTAAGAAAAAAGTTTAACGGAATTAAAATTTAATATCTAATTAGAGCAAGGCTAATATATTTTGAAATGAGTAGGGGAGACCTGTGCCTCTGCTGCATATTCGGGACGGCCGTTAATCTTACCTGTAAAGCTGCATTGAGAGGTGTGCAGTAGGCGTGGCTGCTCTGCATGTTTTTAATAAGGGAAGGGTTACTGTGTAAGAAAAACATAAAAACTCAAAGTTAAACACAGTCGACTGCTGAGTTCCTAGCTAAGTTTTGTTTTAAGCTTGCTGGTGCCCTTCCAAATGAGCAATTTCCCCCACTAGCAAAACCCAAGAAAAGTCAGGCTTTCTCCCCGTCACTGATTTGCAGGGCGGGTGTGTGTGCACACCTCTGGGGTTGGACTTCTCTATTCAAGGAAACTAGGTGTAAAATTCTGGCTTAGGTAGTAACAGGCTTGGGTCCTCCCTCCAGAGACCTCTCTGCAGATTTTTAGGAGTTAGCCTGACTCCAGACTCCAACAGAAAGGAAGGCAGCAGCCTAGGAGGTCGTGCTGGGGAAGGCAGTGAGCTCACAGCAGGGGCTGCTGGGCACGAGCAGAGAGAATCTTGGCTCCTAAGCATCTTTGAGATTTGAACTTTACAGTGACTGCTAGAGGGATGGCAGGAAGGCTTTTAAGGAATATCCACAAGGCACGTTTATTGCCAACAGGCGATGGAGAGTAGGGTATGCCAGGGGAGGGTCGTTCCTAAATAAGGGGATGTCTTAGCCAGATCTGGGAGGGTCTGAGAATATTTGCTGCCATCTCCATTCACGGACCAAATGAAACTAACATACTGTTGTCAGAAAATCTCTAGCCTCGTAAGGATAAAAATATTAAAAAATTACATAGGGCATACTGAGGGAAAAGGGTGCCTCCCAGTAGGCAATTACCTACATTTATCAGTGGTCTTTAAAGGAAGTGTATGCAATATGACCTATTTCTTTACTATGCTTGGAACATTTTAGTCATTCACTTCATTACATTTGTATTATTATAGTGAGTGAACAAATAAGAAATCTACCCCAATAGTATATACACACATTTTAACTAACCAAAAATTCCCTTTTTACTTGGGGTGGGGAGAGAGGGGGGATTATGGGTTAAGCACAAGTATTTAGTTCTAGGGTCCCCGTAAGCTGCTGAATCAAAATAGAACGAATATTTGCATTAAAGACGTCAAAAAAGCATTATTCAAGGCACTGGTGTTCCAAAGAGAAACGAGAGCAATACATGTACAAATCACACAATTTAGTTTCGTTGCAGAAAGCTGTGGCACTGCTATTGGTGAAATGCAAAACTACATGGGATGAGTCAACCATGCAAAGCCAAAGCAACAGCAGAAAAAAAAAACAAAAGCAAGTAAAGGCTCTTACTGTGCGACAAGCTCGTCAAAGTTTTCATCGGGGCAGTATTTGCGAGGACGGCCTCGTTGAATATGGCGGCCACGTTTAAACTCTTCATCATCAACTGTCCAAAAGGACCCAAACTCATCCTCTACTCTGATAAAGCACTTATGCAGTGAGAGGTTGGTGCGAATGGCACCCTGGGATAGGAGCAGCAGCAAAGGAGATGGAGTGGCAACAAAAGGAGACGGGGTTGGGGGCAGAACAGACATCCAATACAGGGAACAGGAAAAAGAAAATAAAATGCAATAAGCATAAGCAAATGGTTTGTGAGGGTTAATATGCATTGCCACCTAAAAGCTACTAGCATGTGATGCAACAAAGACCAGCAAGCAGGGCAGGGGGACTGGTGGGTATACAAAACAGGAGGGATGAAATGCTTTTTTGCTTCCCTTAACTGAGACAACGTGAAACCAGTTCTTTGGTCTAACACCATCTAGCAGCCAAAGCCTCTACGTTATACTTGTTAGCACAATCCAAGCTAGGCTAAGAAGTTCAAACATGGTGGACGTACCCACTGATCTTTTGTGGCCTTCGTTTTTGGAATTCTACTTCATCCACTGTCCATACTGCCCCTTTAACGTTTTCTACTCGCACAAAACACTTGTGAAGACTAAGATTATGACGCACTGCATTCTGCAGCAAGTATAAAAGAGAGAACATTTACATTTTCTATAAGAAAAGACTCCAAAAACAGCAGTAAATTCAGCCTAACAGTCCACATTTGTAAAACCATCCCCAAGAGCTGTAGCTACCACCCCCGTGGAGGACCTTCTCATGGTTAAGGATGTCTTTTCCAAAAGCAAAAATAAACCAAAATTATAAATTAATCGTACTTTGGCATTTTCGTCTAGTCTCTGGTAATAACTGACCAGCAGAAATATTTTTTAATATGCATACAAGCCCAAAATAGGTTCCAGAGTACAAATCTGAAAATGTTACTGTGACTTCAAAACAACACATGCAAAGTATGAAACTGCCCTTTTTAAGCCCACCTACCTCCCATAAAAAGGGGGTATTTTTTTCAAACCACGAAAGAGGAACACTTGGTTAATACTGCTAAATACAGTTTTGTTCTTGATGGCTTCTGGCTTTTAAAACTTCCAGAGGTCCTATGAAGAATTCTAAAGTGGATTTTACCGTTGAGAGTATCGCCTTGTATAGTCAAAGGATCGGGGGGTGGTGAACGGACCCCCCGCCCCCGCCCCGCCCCGCCCCGGTCAAGAGATCAGTAGCTATCATGTTATGTCTCACCTTCCAGAATATGAGAGTTGGCCCTAACTATCGGCAAGTATTTTAACTGAGTAAATGCCAAAGGAACACGAGTGGAACTCTCAATGGCAAAATGACTATATTCCTACAGTTGATGGTTTCTGCAGACATATCTTGCTTATGGTTAAAAGTCCTTTCTGGCCATTCCTAAGCTGAGACCCTTAACATCGATAATTTATCAAAAAGGAGGATCTCAACTCAAGGGTGAAGAGCTTTTAATATCTCATCTTTCCTTTGGGTTTCAGAAGAATCCCCAACCCTTACTGGGTACAGTAACAAGCAAGGCTTCATTTCTTTAGTCCCGCCTGGTTAAACTTACGGATCCAGACTCAACGCTGGACATGAAGACATTCTAAAGAGATTCAGGTCATTTACTTAAAATTTTCTTCTTATTCAGAGTAAGTAGATGACTCAATAGTAGGTGACTCAATTGGGGCTTGAGAAGTTGATACATACATCACACTGGGTAAAGTCCTCACTCAATTCCAGCAACACTGCTATTGCACAAGCGTTTTGCACACCGCCCCCCCCCCCCCACCCCCCAACACATCCCATTCTGCCACCTGGAGTATTTCCTTCCTGAATTATCCTTAACGGTGGTGAATCTTGATACTCTGAGAGGTGCTTCAGTTTTTGGACAATCACAATTGGTGGCTGTGAGGATTCAAGCTACATAATGATTTTTCTTTTCTGATATGGAATATTTAGAAGATAATGAGACAAGTTTTTTAATGCATGGTGTGATGAATTGCTTGAAAGGAGAATTCACAGGATAAATTCCCAAAAAGTTTTTGAGTAATGTCAGCATAATTGAGGTCGGTTCAAGATACCCAGGTGACTATGAAAGGACACTCCTGATTCAAAAAAGTTGGAAGAAGGATTTGCTTAAAAATAAAAATCTCTAAACCGAAAACATTTGGCATGTCATACACTTGATAGGACAATTTTCTATGCATATAAACTGCAGTCTAGTCTAAATAAGCAGTTTTTTTTTTTCTTTTTTTGAAACTAGGTCTTGCTCTGTTGCCTGACTGCAGTGCAGTGGTTCAATTATGGCTCACTGAAGCCTTGTATTCCTGGGCTCAAGCGAGTCTCCTGCCTTAGCCTCCTGAGTAGTTGGGACTAGAGACATGTGTCACCACACCCAGCTAATTTTAAAAATTTTTTGTAGAGATGGGGTCTTGCTATGTTGCCCAGGCTGATCTTGAACTCCTGGGCTCAAGTGATCCTCCAGCCTCCTGAAGTGCCGGGATCACAGGCAGGAGCCACTGCATTTGGCTGCATTTTAAAAAAATATATTGCCCAAAGGCATACAATAGAAGGTCTACTGTTACTTACTGGAACAAAATTGAGGTGGTATAAATAAACGGACAGAGCCAATTTCCTTTAAAAATCCAGACAGGGCATGACACATGTAAGAGATATAACTTGAAAAGAAGTCAACATTGCTCCTAATCCTAATCACTGCTTGATGCTTTAAAATAAGTATCAAAATGTACAGAAATGAAAGGTCTTAAAGCTACTTTTGACAAAATAATTTCTGTAGATCAGGTTGAGCAATATAACCATGTGAGTAAAGACACAAAGCCAAAACTTCAGTTCTGTTTTCCAAAACTGCACATCTAAGCAGAAAGCGACGAGAAGTCAAGAGTTTTCAAAAAAAAGATGTGTAAGCTCTTTTCAGTCATAACCTTAACTGGGCATTTCATCTTTTGTCTAAGATCATGGTACAAACAAGGACACGTACAGAAAATTATACGTATTTATGAGTCACTATTTCATCTAAGGCTGTTTATATTAATGACACTTTTTCCTGCAGTTTGCAAAACGAAAAAGTGCAATCTGAAGATCTAAGCTTAAATATTATATTCACAACTGGTAATTATTTTTAAATTTCATCATTTCTATTTATAAAAGGCAATCTGAAGAAAATGTCTGCCTCATGCTTCGACTTCCTAAATTTTTTAAAGCATTCATGGCTAAAGATCCTTTCATATTTTATCTTCCAAGGCAGGCTGAGGCAAAGAGGGTAAGATTTTGAACATAGGTTCCCTTCAGTGCCCATGTGTCTTAATGGAAATGAAAGGATAATTTGGGCCATAATGGATATTCACAGCTCTGTAAAGTTGATGAATTAATTCTATGGTTATATTCGTTTTCTTTTAAAATGCTAATTTATCAGGAACTTAACAGAGGAAATGTATTTTTCTGTCTTTTGCTTTGGTTTTTCTCCGGTATAAAATTAAGGAATTAGCAAGGAAGGCATTTATTTCAGGCGAAGGAAGTTTTCCTTGTGTCCTATAACACATCCTTATCATATTTAGATTAATGGCATGTAAAAATAGCCTCAAATGTTTGTTATCACATGTCTCTAAATGTTTTGGATTTCAGGGATTACAAGAATTCCAGGTAGTAAAAAATGCAAAAATACAAATGACAGAGTGTACCTGTCCCCTTCTATAAGCAAGAATATTAGACACCAAGAAATCAAAAATGGGAAAGCCCAAAAATATGTGAGGGATCAATCTAATATAAGGGAGTAAATACCAGTGGAATCTTTGAGCCAGCTGCTGACCTGGGAATGAGGTAAGCCATATATGACCCCAAGCACTACTGGGGGCATCCAATAAAGAGCTATGCAATTTGACTTGTTTTTACAGCAAATAGTATTATAATGAATATAATGAAGTTCGAAATCTACTTTTCTTCCTTAGTATATCTATGAGGGACAATCTCCTTTTTTTTTTTTTTTTTTGAGACAGGGTCTTGCTCTGTTGCCCAGGCTGGAGTGCAGTGGCATGAACAGGGCTCACTGCAGCCTCAACCTCCTTGCCTCAAGCAATCGTCCCACCTCTGCCTCTGGAGTAGCTGTTGACCACAGGTGCATGCCACCATGCCTGGCTAATTCATTGAATTTTTTTTGTAGAGACAGGGTCTCGCTACGTTGCCCAGGCTGGTCTCTAACTCCTGAGCTCAAGTGATCCTCTTGCCTTAGCCTCCCAAAGTGCTGGGATTATAGGCATGAGCCACTGTGCCTGGCCGACAATCTCTTGACTTAAAACCAAAAAAAGAAAAACAAAAACCCCTGCCCCTTAATAATACATTGTGTTCTCCATTAATAACTCCTACAAACAGTGCTAGTGCTTGGATTGCACAGCTTTCTCTACTAATTGGGTTAATGAGCTATTTATCCAACCATTGAAGGCTGTGTCAAGTTTGGTCATTTCTCCAGGTTCCATCTCTGGAGATAGATCGCTGGAGATACATCTCTGCAAATATCGGCTGTGGCTGAAGACCTAACGGCATGAGGTTTGTGCAAGTAATATGGCAACCTCCACTTCTGGGCGACGGTGTTGTCTCCTTTTCTCTACATATTCCAACCAGAGAGAGATCACTTTACTGGCTGGCCCCTCCACACTGCTGATGCTGGTATAATGGGAGTCTTCCATCAGAGCATTTCAACCACAATGGCACTATTTTCCCAATCAAATACACCTAGAGATTGGACACTTTAAGAGTATCAAAACAATATAAATGTAGCTTCCTTATAGCACAACTGCATTTTATCAACAACAAACTGTTCTATGAACGTCAAGATCCAAGAATAAACAGGCCTGAGAAAGCTTACCTTCCACGTGGCCGCGTTGCGTCGGAAGTAAGCAAACATTCGTGTGAACCAGTTATAGATCTCATTTAGTGTTAGCTGCTTTTCTGGAGATTCGAGAATGGCCTGTGAAGCAGAATGTAACAGAAGATAATTTATGACCAAATCAGCAGAGTCGTCATTCCACAGTTTCTCGAAAATATAAAATCACTGTGATTCAGAGCTAAATCCTGAGAAAGGTTTTACAAAATGATCTAAGATTAATGGTTGTATTTAACAGTTCAATAGCAAAATTCAAAATGGAATTATCTAATTGTTTTGAGTTTTTATTTCTGTTTCCGTACAGAAATATTAATTTATTAGTCATTCATAAAGCAGAATCAAAGAGAAATGCAAAACATTTCACTAGCTGATTAAAGCTCAGTAATTATTTAGAGCTCAGATTAATTCTAGGGATCAGAGATTACTGTAGCTTGTGATAATTGACTTGCCATCTTTAAACAGGCTCATTTTCACTGTTGTGTGAAATGAATTTCCTAATAATCACATCGTATTGTAATACTTAATCAAAAGCAATTATGTTATATATTGCAGTTTTAAAAAACCTTATAGAAAAGGTTTCAGCATGCTTGCATACTAAACGGTTTTTAAATCTACTTCATCAATATATATCCATGTACACATATACCTTCTGACAGAATTTCATATACTGTGTTATTTACTTACCTGCCTAATTAAAGATGCATATGTAAATGGTGGTCTAACTTCTGCGTTCTTATAAAATTCTTGGTTCTGCGCAATATCTGCTGAATAAGAATCATTGTCCTATTAATTATCACTTTTTCAAAAGGGGCTGGTCTACAAGAATTGCAGATTACAACTCTACGTGAGGCAAAAGGTGGAGTATCTACCTGACGAAATGGGCACGTTGTATTTGTCTGAGTACCGCCTGCGGATGGGTCCCACCGTGTGCATGCTGGTGGTTGTGATGACAGAGGGGCCTTGGGTGACGGGAGTCAGGGGGGCGGTTGGGGTCGTTGGAGTATGAGGTAAGCTCTGTGGAGAAGCCTCCGATGCGGACTTGGAGAGAGTGACACTTGATACCAGATTCAACTGCAAGGAAAAAAACAACGTCTTAGAAGACCTTCAGAAAACCAGAGCAACCCAGGAACCACATCTAGCAGGAGTAACACAGAGGATGCGTGGGCACCGTTTCTTCCTCTATGTAGATGGTATGTTTACCATGAACCGAAACACACGGTGAGTCCTGCGTGAATTCACTTAGGATGCAGTGTAAGATATCTCTGGCAGCGGTCTCTTTTCCAAAGGCTGCTACATGGGTGTTTACAGGCTCAAAAAGGGGTTACCTACCTGAGGGAGTGTGAGAAACCCTGAGTCAAGACATTTATTTCATTGTGATGTCTCACCTATAGGCTTTGATCGCCCATCAGGCCTTGTCAACCTCAAAGAGGGAGAGAAGTCCTTAGCAATACCAGTGAAGCTGAGTATTTTAGGTGACACCAGTTGGGATACGCTGGTGTAGATCTGAAGAAGTGTCCAGCAGAATTTCTGCAATATGCTAGCACAACCAAAGAGCTGTTTTTACTTGATTTTTATTAAAATTAAACTTTAATAAATGTAAATGGAAAGAGCCCCATGTGGCTAGTAGCTACCATACTAGACAGCCCAGGAAGAGCCTACTGAGCTCCCTCATGCAGCTTCGTGGATGACGAGAACTCCTGCAAATATGTGTGGCCTATTTATTACTCATATTAAACACAATGGGCCTGACCCCACCAGCTGTCATTTGTTTCTATCAATCAATCAATCAGTTGGCAGAAAATAATCCTTAACAGCATTATGAATAACCTTTATTAAATCTATCAAATACAGGCTTGGGATCTGTTAATTTTTTTTATTGTGACATTCTTTTACAGAATACGGGAGATCTGCAACTGAGGTTTTTGATTTTTTTCCTTCAAGTTTTGAATGTTCTATAAAATGGGAAATAATCTGCTTCAAGTTAGGAAATGAATATTACTTATTTGAAGTAGAAGAGAATAAAATAGGCCGGGCATGGTGGCTCACACCTGTAATCCCAGCACCTTGGGAGGCTGAGGTGGGAGGATCTCTTGAGGCCAGGAGTTTGAAACCAGGCTGGACAACATGGTGAAACTCTGTCTCCATTAACGCACACACATACACACACACACAAATTAGCCATGTGTGGTGGCACATGCCTGTAGTCCCAGCTACCTAGGAGGCTGAGGTGGGAAGATAGCTTGAGTCTGGGAGGCAGAGGTTGCAGTGAGCTGAGATCACCACTGCATTCCAGCCTGGGTGATAGAGTGAGACTCTACCTCAAAAAAAAAAAAAAAAAAAAAAAAAAAAAAAAAAAAAAAAAGAAAAAAATAAATTAATGAGCACTGTTTCAATTTATCTTTCTTATCTTCACCTTAAAGTACTGTTCTTACAAATACTAAAAGGCATAACCCTTCCCCAAAATTTGTTGCAACAGAAATATTATTTTACGTCTGGCAATGCTGAAGAATTTGGTTGTTTTCAGCGTATGTATTACTGTTTATGTGCTGTCTCAGATACACAGACCCACCCTAAAATCCAATAAACTTCAGCAAAGTAGGCTTACTTGGTAATATTTTCTCAAACCAGATTTCAAATCACTTACCATAGTAAGTCTATTTCACCAAGTCTAATTCACCATTGCTATAGTCAGTCTTAAGTACAAGGCAGTATTTGTGGAAGGTATTAAAAATGAGATTCCTCTGAGATCATAATCAAAGAACTTATTAAAAGAGAGTTCCAATATGTTGGGAAGACTCGACCTTTACTCACACTCTAGTTAAAAAAAAAAAAAAAGGGAGGGGGGCCTGAGAATCCTCTCTAATATGTTTCAGGAGAGTTTCATAAAAAAGCAATGAACCTGAAGAAAAGAAAGATCAAATATCATGAAGAAATACTAATGGAAAAATGTAAACATGGCGCTGGAAACAGAATGTTGTGAGCTTTGAGTTGTGCTTTCCTTTTTATTTTCAGCGTAGAATGTTGTCTCGGTGAGCAAGAGACAATGCCTGCGAAGAGCAAGCTCTGGAGATGGCACTGCCCTTACAAATGCCCCAGCAAGCTGAGCAGATGCCATGAGCGGGTTTTTCTCTATAATGTTGGAAACCTGGCTTTCTGACACACATTTGCAAACTAAGTGTGAACAGTTCAGAGTAGCAGCCGCAGGATGGGGCAGAGCTGAGAAGCCAAGGGGGGAAGAGTTGGGGCTGACCTCTTCTTCACCTCGGGCCTTAATCACTGACCAAGTCCAGGAACAGTATGTATAAGCATCAGCCCAAGCAAAGGGTCAAGGAAATTAGTGCATGAAAGGCTAATGCTCATAAATATACAGCTTTTATAATTCAGACGCTGCTAAGCCTAAGAATCTCAGAGCGCTTTGGAAAGTCATGGGTAACATTTGTAAAAATCATGTTTTAAAACCACCTGCCACTGTGTGGTCTCCTTCAATTCTCATACCACCACTAATATCTGAGATGTTATTACTCATACTTTACAGATAAGCAAACTGAGGCTTGGAGAGATTAAATAATTTGCCCATATTCCCAACCCAGACCCAAGGTCAAACCACACACTTGTATGATTCTAGATCCTTTGTATAATCATCTTATGCCTAGTTAATAGCAAAAATGAACACTAACCAGTTTCATTTTTCTGTATGCTCATTTTTGGAAAAGATTCCGTGCAGAGCATTTTATCCCTGCTTATGCATGACAATCAACACGTGTAACTGAGCAAATATAAGGCAGTTACTCCTACAATGACAAAAACAGGAAGAAAACAGCTAATTGCTGCCCTTGAAGCGCTTACCATCAAACACATACGTCAGTCAAAGGGCAAAGGTACACAGTAACCACAAAGCAGTTCTGAGGACTGACTATACTTCTCGGCTTCTCTTTTCAGTTTAAGAACTTTTCCCTAAACACTGTGGCTTTCTGAAAGATGCAATGAAAATTACAAACACAAATGTCCTTCATGCCTGCTCCCTTTCAGTTTTGGGAGGAAGATCACCAAGTTAACTGAGTTCCAGTTTCATTGTCAGAAATCAAAACTCATTCAGCAAGTGCAAGCCCATCTTTTTGGGTGTTCACAGCTACGAAGAATAGACAAATCCCACAGTAAAATGTCATCAAAATGCCGAAAGGATGTGAGCCTTGTAGCTATTACCAAGATCGCACCACTAGGACTCTTTCTACCAAAAAAAAAAAAAAAAAAAAAAAAAAAGCAACAGCGAAAAATAAAATCCCTCCAAGTTAGCACAATCCACAAAGGAAGAGATGAAGGTAGAATTTTCTGGAGGCTTTTGAACATTAGCAAGTGGGAATAAATACTGAGCCAGAAGAGAGCAGAGAGGGGGCTTACCAGGCTTGACAAATGACACCGTGATTCACACCCACTGCTGGGCTGTCTCTAATAAGCCACAGAGGAAGCAGCCAATCTCAGCTAATTACCAGATAAAAATGTATTGTAAGGACTCTAATTAGGAGACGCGGATGGAGGTGATCTAATGATTAAATGCTGCATTCGACTGACCCCACCATCAATGTGCAGTGGTGCAAGATGTCACTGGAATATTTTGTAGAAACAGTAATTTTATTTCGAGGAGGGGAGGCAGTAATATTTGTAATGATGGCTATGAGGTAAACTAATTAAAAGACAGTTCCTAGAGGAAGAGGGTGGCTGAGAGCAGCTGTGGCCATTCCAAAACCAAGTGCCAAGTCTCAATAGAGGAGCTGCAGTCAAGTGGAAAATTTCTGCCTGACCTCTGCCCTTGCTATTAATTTGCAGGAAAACTAATGACACATATACATATTCCCACAAAATTGTTCTAATTGCTAATTTGCCAAAGGAGCCCAGATTCCAAATTAAACATGACTAGCCCGTGAGGGAAGGAAGAAGAAAAAGCTGTACACTCCAAACACAGGGTGCTTTGCCACACAAAATCATTTGAAGGCTGAACCAACAAGTTAATGAAATGTCAACCTTGTCAACTGGTACAGAAGTTTCTTAACTTTTAAACTTCTGTTTGATGATCACATGCTTGTCTGGAGGAGAAACCATCTTCGAAAGGGAAGGTTGAGAGAGAAAGAATGGAGAAGAAAGACTCAAAGCAGGCTCTGTGTTCAAACCAAACCTGCTCTCTTAATTAAGGCCTCTTTGAAAAAAGAGTGCCCCCCCAAAAAAAATTAATTACAGACTTAGAACAGAAGAGCAAATGGGGAATGGTGTGTGTTTTTGCTGTAATCTTGAAATATTCATCTTAATTGTAAACTATTAAATCTTAATGTAATCATCAATTAGAAATGAAAGCATATGTGCTTTGTGTTTCTGATTGCAGTTCAGGTTTTAAAAGATAATTTTTTCTGGGGCATGGGGCAGGAAGGGAATGGACTGGGAGGGTTTCTTTTCCTGATGGAAAGCCTATTTTTCTTATTGTGTTCCTTTTCTATTTAAAAGAAGTTGCTATGTTTAGAAAAGTCAGTAACTCTGATATTTTCTACATGGCAAGTTTCCATCATGTGATGATTTCAGCAAAGATAATCTCTTTGAAACTCTGGCCAAAAGTTAAATTCTTATGTCATTTAAAATTGCTGTAGGGTTTTATTTTTTAAATTTATTTGTACTCTCAGGCATCAGCTTTTCTTTTAGCCATCGAAACTATTCAAACTTGGTTGGCTACCCACTATTCTGCTTAGTCCCTTTTTTTTTTTAATTAATTAATCTTTCTTTAGTTTTTAACAGTAATCTCCCCTCCTGTTTAAAGATGATGAGTCACTCACATTAAAAAAATAAACTGCTGATGTAAACCCCTGACAGAAACAGACTTGTAAGTATTCCCATAAGAACTCATTTTTATTTTTGTTTGTGCTCTTGCCTCACATGAAAACAGATTCTGAGAACAAAAGACAAACCTGAAACCCAAACACCAAGGGACACAACTGCGTAGTAGGGACTTTCGGGCTCACAGAACTTGTTTTTCTGCTCTTGTTTTACTGGCCTGAGCCAGCTCAAGTCCTGCTTTAACTGCATGGCAGTGTCATTTCTGGGCATGAATCACTGAGTTCAGAGACGGCCTTTCTGAGGCTGGAGGGACGTTACCAGGCCGTGCGGAGGGCAGGACAATGGGTGGCAGCCTTTGTTACAAGCCTTTCCTTTCCTTTCCTTTACCATCTCAGCCTGGCCCTGTTTTAGAGAAGCGAACTCGTGGAAGGTTATGACTTACTTAGAAGGTGGTGGTACTGGCAGGGATACTAAAAGCAAAAACAAAAAAATTCTAGTTGAAAGGTTGGTGGGGGTGGGGCACTTAATGAAAAACAGTATATAAAACAGCTTTTGTGTATTGTGCCTAAGAATCCCTTTTTATGACTGCTTAATATTATTTCTCCAACTCTAAAGCAAGGACCCAGGCAGCCCAAATGATCCTTGAAGAGTTAAAAGACCCTTTCTTTTCGGGGGGGCACTTTGTTTTTATAGGAGCTAAAAACTCTTTCAAAACAGTCCTAATGGCTATGGTTAGAGGAAAAGAAAATGTATAAAAATGAAAATCTAATACTATATTTCATTACAAATATCCAAGTTCCTGTAAGTGCTTTATAAGATTTTCGTCAAGAAGAATATACCACCTACACTGTAATTACGTGCCCACCAAATCTAAAAGAATGTGGTTTCTCCAGGAGCAGAAGTTGTTCTCTGATGTGCAGGAATACCCTAAAGCAAAGCGTTCTTCTCATGTACTCAGTATTATAAAATACGATTTACAGTGTTTTCCTGACATAATGACAGAGTGTGAAAAGTCTTTTTAAGAAATCCGTAGTAATTTAATAAAGTCATCATATCACAGACATGTTTCTTTTTGTTTTTGTTTTGTCCTCTTAGTTTTTCACTCCCTCCCCCAAATGAAGTATCTTGGCAAATTCTCCACAGAGTAAGCACGGAGAAATTAACCTCCAAGCAAGACATTTGGGTGTTTACTTTGAGAATGTTTACTGAGTCTGGAACAAAAGAATATCAATCATTTTCATTAGGGCAGTTTACTATTGTTTGTTTTTGCTTTTCTTTCCATAGAAAAGAA
This sequence comes from Homo sapiens, assembly GCF_000001405.40. Classification (NCBI taxonomy): domain Eukaryota; kingdom Metazoa; phylum Chordata; class Mammalia; order Primates; family Hominidae; genus Homo; species Homo sapiens. The sequence goes on from NC_000003.12 coordinate 70,984,067, forward strand.
TAGAATCTTTTAAAATAACAAGAAATGTGGCCATTCTAAATGTAAGAACTGCTTTTCGGCTCTATGTACCTGAGAGCTAGAGCTTAGGGCTGCTCTGGTCAACTTACACATACTACATACGTCCACGCAGGGTCCAGTCTTTATAAAATTAAAAGTTTGAAAAGCTTGTCTTAACTGATGTTGGCTATTCCTTTTCTTCCTCTACACTGATACTCACCAATCAGAGGGACCGATCTGGGCACCCACTCTTAACCTAAGGAAAGGTTCACAAGGCTGACCTCTTACCATTTCTTCCTGCTCATCTTGTAGGTTTCAGCTTAGACATCATTTCTCCCAGCAATCTCCCCTGACTTTACCATTCTGGGTCAGCTGTTCTACTTACAGGTAGTGCAATTCACGGAAAGTGAGACTGTGTGAGTATGTATGTAGTTTATCTGTTATTTCTTTTACCAGACTCTGAACACCTCCATGGCAGGGATGGGCCTTGCTCATGTGACTGACTACTTGTCACGTATGTCACATGCTCAAGAAATATTTGTTGATGGAATAGTTTGATTTTAAATGCAGAAATTCCCTTTCCATAACCAACCTGCACCTTGAGTCTTTGGTTTTGTTCTGAAAGGAAGATTTTACTTAGGTTTAAAGAGATGTGATAGCAAGCAGGAAGAAAGGCCGTCGAAGGAGTCTGAGGGATGGGAAGCCCGTGAGCTCCTGCCCCAGTTCACCCATAAGCTTTCTTCCTCAGATCCATGTCCAAAAACTTGGGCACCTTCCCGAGATGAGCGTATCCTCTAACTATCCAAATCTGATGAGTCCCACAATAAGATCCAGAAAATGCGTCTATGAGCTGATGTAAAAACAATCTAAGAACGTTTTAGCAGTTTCTTTGATGCAATGAAATGAGGACTGGTTGGATGATTGGATACAGCAAATGACACTTAACACCCAAATGGCATTTAGTGAAAAGCAACATTTACAGCAAAGCATTCTATCACTTAGTGACTAAGAATTTTAAAATAAACACGAGGTTTCTTCTACACAGAAATGGAAAAAAGAAAAAGCTTCATGAACTTACTGGCAAGGTTGTAACATGAAAGTCCCCATCTATGGTTAGATTTGAATCCTGGTGACTGCCTGTTTCAAATTAAAGATTCTAGAAGGATACTCATTCAAACAAACGCCATGCATTCTATTATTTAGGGCGGAATAAATTAATTACAGACTGCAGGGAATATTTTGCACATGAGAATCAGTCACCAGATAGCTCTGGGCCCTTAAAGTTGAAAGCATCAAGGGTTTGCTGTATGTGTGTGCCCTTTTTTTTTTCTTTTTGGCAAAGAAGTGAAAATTTATGCAAAACATTACACGTCTACCTTTTATAATTAATTTCCCAATGCCTCACCTATACATATTTTAATAATTCCTGATTTATAAGATGGTATCTTTAATAAAATTTTCTATTTTCCAATAAATGAAAAGAAGGCAGGTTCACTCCGACAACAGAGTGTCACACAATATCTGCTTGTCAGGCACCAATTTTTACTTCTTACATGTAAGTTAAAGGATAAGGAATTTATAATGCTGCCTGTGAAGGGAACCACTTTTCATACACAAATGTGATCTTTTTTTTTTTCAAAGGGTAATACAACAGTACATTTACATAAACTAATCCAAACAATCTATGTATTTGACAATGGCAAACCTCACACAGACGGCCTATTGTTGGTTTACATCTTGGAGTTCTTTATATTGGCTTGTAGCGCTGCTCTAGCTGTCAAAGGTTTGACTTGGACTCTAAATAAATGGTTATAGAAGTGCTGTGCAGCGATATTGGACTTCTTTGCAAAAGAAAACCTGCTGTGTATGAATTCAAAAGCTATTAATTTTTCAGTCAAAAATATTCGTGCCGATTTCTTCTAATAAAGAAATACTGTGCTGAGCTACTAAGAGATAATGTTGACTAGTGGTAGAGAATTTTCAATAGAGCAGTTAAAAATAAATTTAGTAGGAGGTCCCCTTCAAAGTTACAATTTTCTAGAAAGTAAAACATTTTTTTTTAATACTAATCAAGACAAACCTTCCATCCCTGTTCACTTCCCCCCATGCTTTTCCCTGTTTACCAGCTGCTTAACACTGGTCCACGTGAAGAATCCCAATGGTCCTTTTGTGGCCCACAGGGGCTTACACACATGGTGCTCTCTGCCAACACCCAGCCCGGTCACTCGCCAAGCGCCCTACGGGGTTTTGTAGTTCCTTATCTTTAATTGTATCCTTCCTCTTCCCAAGAAGCCCCAAGATCCAGGCCTACAGTGCTGGGTCCAACCATTATCCTATCACTGTTTTTAATCCGTGGAGGAAGACAGAGATAATCTCATTCTCTCGCTTGCTGCTAGGTGCAAAGATTTGAACCCTTCAATCTGGGAAAACCATTTCACTAAAGCCATCTGAAGACTTTCAAAAAGTTCCAAGGCAGTGAATGCCCTGTGCAATTGGCTATGCTTCTTCGAGATGACTTCAGCCAAGTTGTCTCAGAGGCTCACCATTTTGCTTAGCTGGGTTCTAGAAGGAGGGGTTGCTAGAAATAGCACAGCTGACTACTGATGCCACAACAGTGAATGACCTGGTTCTTTTTTTTCCTTTCTTTTTGGTAGCCTACACATCTAGTCCTATAGCCATTTACTGTAAAATAATACACGGAAACTAAGGACTCCTTCCTGGTAAAAATGGATGCACGAAGTGTTTAATAATTTTATGTCCTTTATCTCAGTAATGTGTTCTGTTTCAGACATTAATTTTGCCTGCCAACTGCATCTTGGCAGGCTACCATATTTGCTGGGTTAATAGTCTGACTCCGTTTTATTTCTATCACCATAAATCATACATATATGGGTGTATGTTTGCTTTATTTATAGAAAAAAATCAGTCAAAACAGATAAACCAATACTTTGCCATTACGCTGCATCATTGCATATTGATTAAAATCGCTGGTACTAACTATAGATTGTCAACGCTCAATTAATTTTCACACAGTGACTCCAAGCAAAATCAAATAAAGGCAGTGTACCTTTAAATTTTACAAATCTTAAAATCAAGAAGCAAAGCACTGTCTCCATTTTGAATAATCAGTTAAAGCTACTAGGAGAATTTTAGAAACGTAAGAGGAATATGACCGTTAAAGAGATCGATTTATTACAAGGAAGGAGGTCCAAGACAAACTTTTAGGTTCAGACACGATCCTTCTGCTTCGGTATTAACAGCCTGTGCTGGGATGACACCCTTCAAGGTCCAGTAAAAGGGAATAAGGCAAGAAAGAGGAGATTCTTACAAATTAAATGTAATTTCAGTATACTGTGTTTGGTCTCCTAACTGTGAAGGAATAATTTTCATTTCAAACTCCTTAGTAACCATTAGAGCCTCTCCATAATTTAGCCTCTGACTATTCCAACACTAGGTTTCCTATGTCTTTCCTCTGTTAAGAGTTAGACTGGACTACTACTCCCTGCTCTTTTTCCTACACACCACTGTCTCTCAGCTTACCCGAGCTGAAATGCCTCTTTGCTTTGCTGTCATGGTTTAGCTGTCTTCTCTGCGTTCCTACCATTCAGAAAGATTTTCTTTTTCCAGGGAGCTCTCATAATGTATTTCAGTACCTTGCTTGGGCACCAATCATTCTGCCTTTAAAGAAGAGCTGGGTGCTTGAGTCTTATGGGCAAGGACCATATCTGAATCATCCTGTATCTCCCCAAATGCCTAGCATATGACCTTCATCATAAAGGATAACCAGAAACAGTCGCATGAATCTAAGGCCCTCAAAACTCAAAGCTCCACCAAAGTAGGCTGGTCCTCCTTCCTCCATTTGGGGTGGGGAAGTAGAAAAGGAATACTGTGAGTTTTGTTTTTTTCCCCTTGGTGGGGATCAATACTTACGGGCTGAGGGGCGGCTTTGGGTTCTGTAGACTTCACATGCAGGTGGGTCATCATGGCTTGCAGGCGTTCTTTGTCTTTTGCAAGCTGGCAAGAAGAAAATGCTTTGTTATTTCTCTGAATAAAGATGCATGGCTCTTAACACCAAAAATGATACATATTACAAATTACGCTATGGCACCACAGCACATGATAAAATCATTTTCATTGCTTGTTTTTGAAATCTACATGACCATTGCCAAACTCGAAGTAACCGGAGGTGTTGGTGTGAGATTTCTCAACACAAGATGCATTAGACTTTAACTGGGAAGTTCTAGACCTGCTGGCACCACGCAGTCCCATGGAACACAGACAGCTAAAAGACAAATGTGAATCATGCCTATTAACCAACCTTATTCATGAGAAAAGCCAAGGGAAAGTGAGCTAGGTAGCTAAAACCCATAAATTCATCTGTTGTGGTTGTGGAAAAACTCCTAGACAGATGGATACATTTATGCAAAATTAGCTTCATCTTTCTTAACAGGTAGGCATAGATTAAGACAGTGCTGGCAAATGATATTAGCAGGCCAGGAGCAGGCTCCAAGGGATGACAGGTTCCCATTTTCAAACGAGTGTAGAACAAGCTTGCTCATTCAATTTACTCAAGATTTGAGTACCTGCTATGTGCTAGTCTCATCTTAATAATTTAAGTCTCCTTATTCTATAAAAAAAGATCTTCTGAAGTCACACAAGTTTCTAATTGGATATACATAGTAGGCACTCAAATACTACTGATTGGAAGCTACATCCTTTATGCTTCGCTTGGACTGCTTTAACTCGATATTTTCAATAGTTCAAGACAGTTGGGCATAGGGGACACATAACGATTACTTCTGTAAAAGAAGTGGGAAATATATCCCCTAAAGATAAAGGGATAGTCAAGAGAACAGCTGTGGCATTTAGGGAAGATGGAGAAGAGATTAATATGAGAGAGAGAGAGGAGAGAGGGAGAGAATACAGTTTAATTTCAATACTTTGGTACATCATTTGTCCAAAATAATGCCTTAGATTTAAGGAGGGACTCATTAGTTCTGTCACATAATTAACCTTAAATCCTTTAAAAATAAAGTTTTTTAAAGTCAAATTATTCCCAAATAAAAAAACAAATATAGTTTATCTATTTAAATACAGTTATTTTCTAAGGAAGAAGGGGGACAGGGGTCGGGGATTGTGGAAAGATGGAGAAAAGGGAAACCGTACAAAAGGGAGAAGGGAAAAAGCTTTCAGCTTATCCCTACTGGATGACTCAGTCTCCAGCCATATCACATTTGATTTTTTTTTTCTTTTTATTCCCTTGTGGTTCAGGGAGGAATAAATTAAGAAAGAAAGAAAAAAACAGCCGTACAGTGTTAGCATTTATCTTTCAACAAACAGGAAATGAAAATGATACCATATTAGGAGCCACTTGATGGTATTCCTCCTCTGTTCTTTAGTAAGTTATTGAACAGCCAAACTAAAAGATTCTCTGAACACATAATGCTAAAGGAATTTAGTTTTCCAAAGAGGCTTAGAACAATTAAAATGTTGGGAATGCTATTTTTCTGCCATTATTATTATTTTTTTTAAAATGTAAGTATCCTAAGCTTTTTGATGTCAAATACTCAGACTTTTTAAGAAATGTTTTGTTTTAAAGTTATCAAAGGCCAGAAGGAATTAAGAAATCAGTTGTATTTTTCTTAAAAACAAGCAGTAGTCTGTCATGCTGAACAATACAAATTAAAGGGTGAGAGGTGATATTTACTGAAGTCTGCTGAATATTAATTGTGACTTAATTTGGGGGTAAACGTTGTTGATGTAGCAATTATACCTTGTACCACTAAGTGTGGTATAAGGAAAATCCAAATCCTGGGCATTTAAAGGAAACATCTTCTCCATATTTCCATCCAAATGTCTACCAAACTGATCTTTTACTGGTCAGCCAAAGGTAGCAACACTACATTGCAAACACATACCTAGAATTTGTATACACAGCCACTTTCATAAACCCTGGAAGTAACTGCCATCGGAAACATTTTCATATTTTTCCATGAGCACATTGCTTAGAATTCATCGTCAATTCTGAGAGTTATCCAGGAACCTCAATTGTACCACCCTAGTTCTGCTTTTCTAAAAGATGGACAAGGTTACACAAAAAGGCAAAAATCTAACTTTTTGGTTTTGTTTGGTTAGTGAAAACTAATGTGTAGTATCATACTCTTGAATGAGTTTTAGACTTTAAATCAATTACAGCTCTAACACAAACTGTTTTAACAATTACAGAAAGAAACCCGCCAAATTCAGTTTTTCTTTTTTTTAGGCAAAAAGGCTAAACATTCACACCTATTGAAACCACATCCTGTCTACAATGTCTGTCTTGCATTTATAATACTAACTGCTCCTTCCAAAAGCTTTCACATTCTTTATTACTTTTTATGCCATCATCCCATGAGCTCACCATCCCCATCAATTTTCACGGCATCCTTTCATTATTAAAATATGAGGATACAAACATTTAATATTAGCAAGCATATTCCAGCATTTCCTCTTAAACTATGAATTCCATGAAAAGCAAAGAAAAGGAGGTTGAGACATTCAATCCGAAGGCCCACTAAAATTTGGTTGGCAAATTAAAGAGAAAATTTGTGTTGAAATATCAGAGAAGAGAATTACTCTCTAAAAGACTTTCCCAGTGGGTATGGAATGAGTATCTAGCATAAAGGAAATGACAACGGCCTAAACATTAGAGGGAGCTGCTTGTGCAGGGGTCATTTTAATCTACTGAATTTGTTCAACCATTCTGTAGAACGATGGCAGGGTGAAAACGGTTAAGGATGTGGACACAACAATCACACTGTGCTGTGTTCAAATCCTGGCTCAGTGACTCAGCACATTATGTAACCTTTTTAATTACCAAGTTTCTCCTTCTAAATACGGAATGATCATCTCTGAACTCTGAAGGGGTGTTCTGAAGATCAGATGAGGTCTTGCACATAACAAGCTTAGCAAAATGACTAGTGCTTTATGAATGCTCAACAACTTTCTAATTTTTTTTTTTTTTTTTAAGAAAAGTGAAATCGGTCCAGTGTATTTAAACTACTGGCTGAGTATATGTTTGAAATCTGGATCTGCCTAACAGGGGTTCAATGGAGTTTGCAGTTGGGCTAACTGGGAAGGGAAATAATTTTGATCGTTTAAAGAATGGAACAGAAAGCAAAGGAAAGATGAAGCCCACTTCCTATCAATTTGTCTCAGGTTCTTACTGTATCTTCCCCTCATCTTGGGCAAATATTTTTCTACCCTTTGGCCGAAATAGGTCATCTCCTCTTCTATTAGCCATGGCCTCAAATTAGGTTTAAGACAGTCTGGGCTGTGAAAGATCAGAATTTGTGTATTGCACCCGAGCCACTGATAACTGCCAAAGGCTAGGAGTTCCATTCAACATCCTCAAAGATACAAACTAAGATTAATCTTAAACTCATTATTTTAACAGAGAAAAGGGAACACGGTTTGGGGTTCATTTAACATCACCATTTTCTATGTTGTCAGGAGGACTAATCATTTTAAGGCCAATTTGGCAGTTCTCACTCGTGAGAAACAAAACTCTGCTGAAATAAATGAAGGGCTTTGTATGTGTAAAAATGCTAGACTTCTTGAGGACAGATGAGAAGAAAGGGCCAAGACACTCCTTTGATTTAACAGAGGTAAAGGCTACTGTGGCTATTTCAAATCCATTAATCCTATTCTGTTTTATAATTGGGGAAACTGAGGTTTGCAAGGTAAACATATCTGAGGTCAGGGAACTGGGAAGGGGCAGAAATAAGACTAGGGTCCCAGTTGTATGATGCTTGGTCTGAGTTTCCCACACTAGTGTGATTCTAAGAATCACCTGGGACAATAACTCAAATCATAGGTCTTAGTCTCCCTCCCTGCTCTCATGCTGAACTACTGTTCCTAGAGTTAGACGGGATTTTAAATTATGAAAAGAAGGTGTCTTTTCAAAGAATCTCCATGGAAGGGGGGCACATGGAGTTTTAAGAGGCACCTAAATGAATGCATGAGTTCAGATTATCCCATACAATGATGATCTCCAAGTGAAACGACTGCGGTCTCACCTAAACATGCTGGAGCCAACACTCCAACAGTGAGGCTTGGAAGTAGGTATTTTTAAATAAGGACCCCAAGTGTCCAAGTTTAATCAAGTTAAGTGAGAGACACTACTTTCTGCCACGGACTGAGAAGGCCTTAAACAGTGGCTGTATACGTTTCCTCAGTAGTTTCGTATACAATGATGATCCAAAGAGATTAACCCGATGTGGCCCAAGCATATCCAGTTACTTAGGCAGGGTATATCCAGTTACTTAGGCAGGGTATATCCAATAACACAGGTCTCTGACGTACATATGATGAAAAGAAGAAAAACAAGGGGGAGAAAAAGCAGTGACTAGAAGGAGCAGAACTCAAATTACTCTACCAAACTGAGCATTTATCAATTATTTTTGACCCACCTTGTCAAACTATGGCTTCAGAACTTAGTACCAGTGAAAAACTTTTAAATGAGTTCTTTCACACCAACTACCGCATTCAGGTGGTGGGCAATATATGGCTCATTGCACCCCAATCGAAGAATTTCCCTACTTTTATTGTACTCTGTCACCATCTTAACGTTCCTTACATGTTATTATTAAAGACTCTCTTGACATTTAAAGCAGACGCACACTAATACTAAGTCATAGTCTAGGAATTCTAATGCTCCCAGAGTAAGGCAGGATTTTAAATTATGAAAAATAAGTGTCGTGGTTTTCACAGAAGGACATGGAAGTGAGAAACCCAGAGACTCTCTCTCTTCTTTTTCTTGGCTCCAGTTACAAAGCACTGGCAATATGGAACTACCGTGCTGTTAGGACCTCTCTTTCCCCGACGTGCTCAGGGCTTGTGCAGGGCATATCAGGAGGCTCTGTGAGGCCGCTAGTATAGGAACTGTCCTGAGTATTGCCTCAAACAGGGTTAGACAGGGCCAAAGGGGGATACATTACAGATAATAAATTTGCTAAAGTCTAGGAGGCTGGTGTGATTACAAATAGCACCACTAATGGTACAGTAATCACATGTAAAGTTCGTACGGTAATTGATTTGTGTTAGGATTAATGTCTCCCTCTGCTACTGAAACTTGTGCACTTTTCTCCCTGCTGACATTTTCTTAGAGCTTACAATTCCTGGTGTAGATGATTTGGGAGATGTTGGAGTGATCCCAGTGTCACCGGACTCCAGCCTTGCCTTGCTACCATGGAATGCCCAGGACAGAGCTCCGCAAGGCAGAGTGGCATGGCCCCCAAAGCCGGGTTTTAAAACCAGTTCCTGCGTAGAGCCCAGCTGGGCCACAATGATCCTCTGGGTGGAAGCGTTAAGGCAGGATCCCACAATAAAAGGAGCACAGGCTACAAAGGCTGGGTTAACCTCCTGGGCTCTGCCCTTATTCGCCATTGGCATTAAACAAGTTAATCAGACCTCCTAAACTTCAGTTTCCTCATCTGGGAGGGATCCCTGCAAATTATTTCTTTGACTCTAAGAGGCCAGTGATAGTTAAAATAACCATGGATTTAGTAATACCTTCTCAAAGAATGAGAAGAAACATTACATTAAACACACTCATTAAATGTAAGACATATATTGATTTCCAAATGTTATATTTTTCTTTTAAAAAGTGACTCCTACCTGGGCACACTGGCCTGTAATCCCAGCACTCTGGGAGGCCGAGGCAGGCGGATCCCTTGAGCTCAGGAATTTGAGATCATGCTGGCCAACATGATGAAACCTGTCTCTACTAAAAATACAAAAATTAGCAGGGCATGGTGGCACATGCCTATAGTCCCAGCTACTTGGGAGACTGAGTCAGGAGAATCGCTTGAACCCGGGAGGTGGAAGTTGCAGTGAGCCGAGATCCTGCCACCTACACTCCAGCCTGGGCAACAGAGCAAAACTCCGTCTCAAAAGAAGAAAAAGAAAAAGAAAAAGAAAAAGAAAAAGAAAAAGAAAAAAAAGTGACTCTTAGAATCAAGGAAATAGGGTGGTGTGTACTCACAGAGGGACTGTGGGGATTCCAAGAAATTCGGGACATAAGGCACCTAGGACAGTGCCCTGGCATACAGCAGGAGCTCAACAGCTGGCCAGTCAAATGGTTTCCAAGCCAGATGAAATAATTACAAGCAGAAGATGGGGCATTCAATAGCTCTCTCCCACAGCTAGTGGAGTAGGGTGACCCAACTCCTCCCAGCTTGCCCAGGACTCTTCCAGTTTTGAAACTGAAAATCCCAACTCCCAGGAATCCCTTCAGTCCAAGAAAGTAAACTGGGACAGTTGGTCACCCTATTTCGTGTTAAACAGACAGATTAATTTTAAGAGCAATATATCCTTCCACTATCCTTTCTTCCTTATCCTACAATCTAGGCAACGTCTTCCATGGCTCCCTTGGCCTGGAATGTCCTTGCCAACAACCCTTTCCACTGTCACCTTCCCCAATCCCTCACCCCTTGCTTTTAGAAACTCTGCCTGGCAGGGAAGTTAAAGGCATCCTGGTCTTACCCTACTAGGTTGTGTATTACGGGAAGAGGCCACACCACCTTACTATCTGTATCCAGTGCTCCCTATATAATAGGTGCTTGGTAAGTAGTGACTGAATGGAATAAAATCATTAAAGAATACAAGGTACACACACCTCCACCCCCGTCGCCTGCCAGGCAGATCAACCTTGGTTTGGTTGATTCCTTTTTCCCTTGCCTGCTTTCAATATTCATTTTAAAGGGCCTAGAGGCTGAGGGGTTGTAGGGAGCCTGTCCTGAACCTGCCCCGATGACACATGATGAAAACATCAGGACATCTTCATCCATCAGAAAAAATATACAGCAGTTTAGCAATGTCACATGATCACAGAACAAATTAAAACCACTACATGTGATCAGAAATATGTATCTGTACCACTGTCTCAGCTTCCTAAGTGAAGTCAATTCTGTCAGATGTTTTTTGTATTTTTTTTTTTTCTGTCTGTGAAATCAGATGGTTTCCCCTTTTCCCCAAACGGAATTAAAATCCAACCACCACTGCAACTTTTTGTGACATCTCTTCTTTAGCTTAGAGGCTGGAAGAGTTCATATGAATGTCCCACCTAAGAGGACCCAAGTAATCTGGATTCATATGAATTTAAATCCCTAGGCCCACGGCCGGTGGACAGTGGGGGCCCAATATCGCGGAAGCTTCAAGTGTTTCCTTACAATCCTGGCCATGGCATTTCTCAGTGGGGAGTTCTTATCCTCAACAACTTTCTAGTTCCTGTGTCTCTGTCCCTCTGTCATGGTGGGGGTGGAGGGAAGACTGCACATTTCATAACCTGTATAAGATTATGTATACTGATTATGGGAACTTTGCTCCATTCCATTTCTAACTCATCTCATCTGTACATCATTCCAAAAGAATCTGTCAAAAAAGAACAGATGAAATCTTACTGCATTCCCTGATTTCAAAAAGCCATGTATGTCATCGACCCAAATGATTTTTATGGTGTCTGTCTCACTGTTAGGTGTCTATGTGTATAGTATAAGGAACTCACACACCTCTCAGGGTTTACACTTTTAGATCCCAGTTAATAGCTGGGGTCCACTGGTAAAATGTTTAAAAATTATAACTGTCTTTGCAATAATGAAATGCAGTAGGAAATGTTTGAAAAGGCTCAGAAGGCCCACTGAGATGTCTTCTTGACTCTTCTCCAAATAAGACCAGTAGAAGGTTGCAACAAGAGAATGGAATTAACCAACCCTTCCCTGTTAACAAGCTCTACATAAACATTCTTTCTACCGCTAAGAAAACATTCACCATATATTTTTACATCTTTCAACAATAATTTAACAAACATAGATGTACCTTGCCTTTTGTAATTGGTATTTCTATTGAAACTGTGGTTTCGTAAATCAAGTCATATTTTATTTTATGATTATTAATTTTCTTGAGATGGAGTTTTGCTCTTATTGCCCAGGCTGCAATGCAATGGCGCAATCTCGGGTCACTGCAACCTCCACCTCCCAGGTTCAAGCAATTCTCCTGCCTCAGCCGCCTGTGTAGCTGGGATTACAGGCATGTATCACTGTGCCTGGCTAATTTTGTGTTTTTAGAGATGGGGTAATCTCCATGTTGGTCAGGCTGGTCTCGAACTCCCGACCTTAGGTGATCTGCCCGCCTCAGCCTTCCAAAGTGCTGGTATTACAGGCGTGAGCCACCACGCCTGCCCGGCCTCAAGTCATATTTTAAATACACAGGGACAGGACAGCTGTCATGCACAGTGCTGATTAGACAGTCTAAATCAGTCTCCACAACCCATTGTCTTTATTTCTGCCCAGCTTCCTGAAATCTCACCAGTACAGCCTTGAAAGCTTTTCAGTTTAATTCAAGTTTGGTATTGTACAGATAGCTCTGTGAAGGGGAACATCTCCAGCCACTATCCCCTATGGCTAACAGTAGTTATTTTGGAAAAATTGCATCTTTTTCTTTAGGGAGGTTTGTCTGATAGATCAGAGACACAAGGGCCTTCCATTTTGGGTGAAAGTTTTCTGGGGTTTAGATTCAAGGAGGCTGTCTAGGTACACAGCACTTAAGTGACCTTCACCAGCTTTGGTTGCTTCTACAGCTACTGTGCCCTCTGAATTGTCCTGTGGAATCCTTTTATGATGACCCTCTAGGTTAGACATCCTGAACCTCCATCGATGTATATGGTAAGATTCAATCTGAGCTTACTGGGTTTGCTTTTACGATGGGGCACATGTGTGGTCTATCTCTACCACATGTGAACACTTACGTACCATGCTGAAGAGAGAGGTCTTGTGAGTCTGAGTGGCAGGGGAGATTTGTCCTCCTACTCTAATACAGTGATCATCCCCCTTTGGAAATTGATGAAAACTTAACTGCTCTTTCCTGTAGTGCTACGTGGGACAAATGTTTTTCAAGTTCAAGCTAATCAATGATAATTTTGTAACACACTGAGATACTTGGAGGTTCAGGTTTTTCCTGGACTGATAAATGCTTTAAGAAATACGAAATAGGCTTTGGGTCAGTAATGTGCAGGTAATCCCCTCTAAAGGAGGTGATGCACCAGTCAGTGGCTGAGAGAACAAGGGAGGGACGATGCCAACAGAAAACGGAAATAGGCTGTTTGACGACAAGCACATCTCTTTAAGTGTTCCTGCTGCTGGAGGGACCTGATTGCCCCAATAATTCAGGTTCTATGGGCACAATGACTGGTAGTCAAGTAAGTTAAAAAGTATGTTTCTAGACACTGGTATGTTAAGTGGCAAATGCAACAGCACAAACCTAGCAATGCTGAACTGCGGAGAAGGAGGAAGCCTATAAAGAATAGATTCGAGTATAACTGTACTGTGTCCCAAATGCCCCCATATGTGGTAGGTCTGCAACTCAAAGACTCTCAATCGAATCCTTGGTTAAGGCTTCTCTTAACTGTGTCTCAGGGCAAGGGTTCTTTAAATACTAAAAATTGCTAACATTTTCTTATCTATTTCATCTGATTGAGTGATAACTAATGGATATAACCTGCTTTGGCTTGGCCCCTTTCTAGCACTGAAACTCTCTTTTGAATAAATTTCTGGTGTTCTCAAGAACCTGTTAATGTCAGCTAGCACTGCCCAATGAATGGACAGTCGCACTAGCAAATTATTTTGTAGTCTATTCTTCCTTCTAGAGTGTAAGAACTTGGAGGGCAGCTTTATCTGTTTTAATCATTGTACTCTGCAGTAGCTCCAGCAAGATTCCTGCTATCTGATAGGTTCGAAATATGCTTGCTAAATAAGTGGATGGATGAATGGATGTCTGGGTGGATGAATGGATGGATGGATGCATGGATGAAAGAATGAATTACTATCCCTCGTCCAGCTTTCCATGACCTCCAAAACTGGCAGGCACTTGCCATGTGAAGAGCTAGTAGGGAAAATTGACCCATGTGGAGACTAGACTGGTTTTATACACCCTGGCTAAGAAGAAAGAGATAAAAGCGGGTGAGCAGAGCTTAGGCAGCCAGAACCTAAGGGGACAAGTTGCTAATACTATAATATAAATTGTTTTTCTGATCCTCTTGACCAGGGGTGCCTGGCAAACTTCTGTAAGAGCCAGATCATAAATATTTTCAGCTTTGCAGGCCATGTAGATTTCAGTTTCAATTACTTGACTCTCCTACTGTAGTGCAAAAGCAGCAATAGGTAATCAGTAGATGAATGGGCATGAGTATGGCTGTGTTCTCATATAATTTTACGCATGGACACTGAAATTGGAATTTCCTAGACTTTTCACCAGTCACGAAATAATGTTCTTCAGATTTTTCCCTCAACCATTTAAAATATAAAAACATTCCTTAGCTTGTGAGATTTGGCCTGGGGTCTGTGGGTTGCTAACCCCTGCTCTCAACGAGGTCTATGTCATCACTCTGATAATTCCCTCAAGCTTTGCAGAAATGGAACACGTCAGAATTAGCCTGTCCCTTCTTCCATTACGGCAAACTCCCCGACAAAAACATTACGAGGAACATCACAGGTAACGACCACATTGTACTAACTTCTGGCCAGATCATCTTTGATGTCTATCAAAGCTGAAAAATCTGCCTTCAGTTTGATTTATAGCTGAAGGATAAAAGGAAATCTAGAAATAAATGAAATCTATAAATAATCAAAGAATCCTTGTATGTTTGTACTACTTCTAGGCCACACCCACCAAAAAACAACATGAAAGCTGCCAGGAAATAAACACTTAATTTACTGATGATGGTCTAAATCTTTTCCTTCTCCTGACCTCTTTTTGTGGAGAGCGAAGAATAATTCATAAAATAAATGCTCACTTCTTGAGTAATTAACAATGGCTGAACACTCTAATCTGTAGTCTAGAAACGGCTACCCGACAAACCATGACAATTCTAGTCAACGATTTATTTTAGCCCATCATTAAGAATTTAATGTTATCATATAAATAAATGCAGGAGCTCCTATCACTTTATAAGTACCACCAATATGTACAAATTCTGGTAGGAAGGTAGTTTATTCTTTCTCTTTTTTTTTGAGATGGAGTCTCACTCTGTCGCCCAGGCTGGAGTGCAGTGGCGCGACCTTGGCTCACTGCAACCTCTACCTCCCGGGTTCAAGCAATTCTTTTGCCTCAGCCTCCCGAGGAGCTGGGATTACAGGTGCCCGCCACCACACCTGGCTAATTTTTGTATTTTTAGTAGAGACGGGGTTTCACCATATTGGCCAGGCTGGTCTCGAACTCCTGACCTTGTGATCCACCCGCCTTGGCCTCCCAAAGGGCTGTGATTATAGGCCAGATCTTCCAGTTTATTCTTTTGAATCCAGTTTGTCAAGGGCTGTGTCTTAATCATAAAAGAACTCTGTGGGTGGGTTACATCTACTACTGTTTTTTTCTTCTCAATAAACATGTTAATTTAAAGATGTTTCCAAAGACTTATTTTAAAATGTTGAGATTTTATGATGTGCCCTTTTCTTGTATAAATATCTTACTGTTCTAATAAGTTTATATCCAGAGTTTGAATGGAAAAATATTAACTGGCTAACAAAAATAACTTTTGAGACAAATCCTACTAAAAAAATGTAATTGGTCATATAAGATGATAACTAATTAAAAAAAAATCCTTTCTATCCTGAAAAGTCACAACAAAAAGTTTAAGTGTATTTTGGCTGATTTTTCTCTGCAACTATTTGAAGCTGTAAATGACTTAACTCAGTAAAATTCCAAATGTAATTATCTTCTGTACTTAGCCTAGGGCTCTCCATATATCTCAGCATCGCTGTCTTGCATACAAAATAGGCTTTTCGATGGCTGGTAACAATATAATGTACAATATTGTTTTAATTTCCCCTAGTCGGCTAACCTCTTGCCTACACTAGACCAGCCAGAGGAAGAAGCCACTGTGAGTCATCAAGCACTCAAAAGCATTTTGGAACTCGGCTGCATAAATGGGGTTTGCAGGGTCAGGCTGTTGCAATTGTACATTTTAATAATCTCCTTTTCTGACCTAATTTTTACTTTTAGAAACTAATTTTCTATTAATTATACCAAGAATGGAATTATTGTTAAAATATGGTAGTTTATCAAGTTATACCCGGAAGTAGAACTCACATTTAAAAAAAAAGGCCCCATCTCTCACACTGTGATTCCCAGGAAAATCTGCAAACTTTATTTTCCCTAGTCATAAAGCACATTCAACATAGCCCAATGGGTTTCTAAATACTAGATTTTATATATATATATATATATACACTCTACATTAATATATCTGATTATGTGCATGTGTGTTTAAGATGTGCACGGTGAACTCTCAGTTATTCTTAGTGGTGGAGAGAAAAAAGGACAATGCAAAATGAGAAATAAACCCACATATAACTTCCATTGCGACTTGGGAAAACACGGTTTTGGGTGCACTGCCTTGCCGTCTTGGTCTCGCTCGCTCTTTCTCTCTTCATTCACATTCATTCTCTCAAACTCTCTTTCCCCAAGCTTGTCTTCCTAGCTCCAGTTTAATCATATGAGCAACGTCGAGGACTTACACTGACAACAGATAACCAGAAAATGCAAAGGAGAAGTGAGAAGAGAGGGAAAGTGAGAGAGAGATGGAAACATTCAAAGTGGCCGCTGAGAGTTGGCTGCATACACACAGGTGCCCAGAATTTGGAAACCTCTGAGCAGCAGTTCCAAAGAGTGAACTGGGGCTGAACCTGCCCAAAGAGGTAAAAAATAAAATAAAATAAAATAAAATAAAATAAAATAAAATAAAATAAAATAAAGGACAATGACAGGTTTTGGACCTTCCATTCAATAATGAGTACACAGGAACTCATTACAGAACACTACAGAAATCTGGAATTTGAGGCATACTGAGGTTAATATTAAAAATAAATGTGGTTTTACCTGTAGCTCTAACTGCTGTACAACCTGCATTTGTACTCTACATTGGGCTGTACTTCTATCGTCCAGCGCATGCTCACTGTTGAGATGTCTGCAACAATACATAGAAAATCATTAAGTGAAATGGAGAAACAAAAAGGAAAATATAAGTTACCAGGATGTTTAAGCATAAACTAGGCAGCGGGTCTAGCTCCCAGGAGATAGTAGTCCAGGGGGTGGCCTGTCCTTTCCATCCCCACCCTTTAATGCTGTCATTATGTATAATGTGGCACACACTGTTATCACCCAAAGAAAAGCCTTCCAGGGAGAAGTTCTGCAGGGCGTCTGGAGATAACCATTTACACATAAATAAGTAAGAAATTCAGCCAGGGTGGCATTTCAAGACCACCTTAATGGGCAGCAATCAGAGACAGGGCCTGCTAGGTATTTCGGAAGAGTCTAATTTGTATGGGTTGGAACAGGATCGTCTGACCACAGGAAAACTGACTTCATATAACTGATGATACATCCATATACTGAAATGCATTCACGTGAATGTCAGAAATGGCAAAGGGTAGAAAAGCAACTTTAAACATATGAAACCTGAAACATGAGCCTACACATGCAAATTATGTACCAATGGTGGGGGGTGGGGGAGAGAAATGCAGACAATTATTTAAAAGGAAAACTCTGCCTGGGTTCTTGATTGTTGATGGTCTAGATATCCAGTTTACGGATGATTCAGGCCACATGCTGAGTATGCCTGTCTTGTGGTCCTTTTACTATTTATTAGACTTTCCAACAGGGAAAAGGCTAACAAATTGAAATTTCAATCAGTTTTAGCATACGCAGGAGCTCTGGTAATCAGAGGGCTGAATCAAAGCCTAAAGTCTTGAAAATAAAAATTCATGTCTCTACATTACTCAGTCCTTTCTTACTAGTGATACAGCAGACCTGATTCTGTAATGGGATATTTGCCTCAAATTCTATGAACAAGACTGTCATGATATTTAGGCCACATTACAATTTGGATGTAAGATAAAAATAGTTGAATACTTCAATAACAACAACAACAACAGGGACAGCTGATTTTTAAGGCTTCTGGGTGCTACCCTATTTCAGGTTTTTGTTCCAAATGTGGTTTGAATCAGAGATTTAAAACCCAGGTCTGTAACCCTTTGAAACAACTAAGTAAAACAAATGTTCACCTCTGGTACTTGACTAGGTACAATTAAAGCTCACTCCTTTGTTAATGCATCCCCTCTTGTTTAACAGCCCTCAAAATGTAGTTATTTCATGTCCTAAAACTACTTGTAATGACTTTTACCTTAAAAACAAAACGGATACAAATTCTGCTGTTCTTCATACTTATTCATCTCATCCTCGCTCCCCTCCAAAAAAGCAGTAAAGAGGAGACATTATGGTGAACAACAGTGATGCACCTTCAAGGTATTACCTCCAATCTTAGGCCAGAATAATGACTATGGTGTATTCTGTTTAAAGAGTAAATGAACAAACAATAGAAGACCACACAAGGAAGCCCGAGCTAAGCAGTTTCACATGCTGCTCACTCACCTGGGGTGAATAATATTTTACAACTTGCTTTTAAAGAAGCATGTTGTAATTGAGAAAATGGCCTAGTTCAGGTGTTCTTAAACTGGGATCATTCCACTTCTTGAAACTGCATGCAAAAGTTTTAGCCTATGTTTTGGGGCCAGGGAGGGTCTGCAACTGTCAAGAGATTTGCAAAAGAGCCCACGATCCTCAAAGTGTCAGAACTCGGGAGTTAGTTCAATTCCTCATTTTACAAATTCAGAAATCGAGGTTCAAGAGATCCCAAGAGACTTGCCTCAAACCACGTGGGTAATCAGTGCCCCAACCCTTGCAATTAGTCTCTTGTCTCACCTAGGATTCCATCCACTCGATGACACTGTTTGCTTCACTGGAAGTAAAGAAAGAGGCTTTCATTCTAATAAGCTGTCACCAATGAAACAAGACCACAGACCAGGACCCAGTGGACTCCCTGAGTGTTGAGGGACTTTGGTAAGGAAATAGTACTAAACCCACTTATAAAATACATTCATTGGAAGGAGCTGGATTCATCTGTTTAACATTTGCTAAGAACCCAAACGACATGCCAGATGCTACTGGAAGCTGGGCATCACTGCCCTCAAGAAATTCCTCCAGGCTGCACCATCGCTCTTCAAAGTCACCCTCGCCAAACTGATAAAAGATCCAAACGGACAAAAAGCAAGGCCTTCACTTACTTGATTACTCCGCTAGCAGTGGATCTACAAGGGGTTGAAGATAATGAAACGCAGTGAGAGCCTGGTTCTGTGTCTCTTTTGCAGGACACAGTTATGTCCTTAATGATGTTTAAACACAGTATTTGTGGATTAACACATATGGTGATTTTGCACTGCTGTTGTGTATATATAAATGAATAAACCCCTTTTGGATTCCCTAAGACTCCTTATTTTTTTTTTTTCCCATAGCTTCAGCAGTTAATTATGTCATCAAGATAAGAGAAATCAAATGAAGCCAGAAGGAAGGCAAAGGACAACAAGAATAAGAAAGATGGAATCTGTCACAAGCTTGAATTATGAATATAATTATGCGTGATTATTTTATACTGCAAAGATGTTCCCTTTTTCTGCACATTTATAACTAATCTAAATAAGTAGCTTGCCGGCAGACAACGTATTTCATGATTTATATAAAATGGTCGAGATAAGGTTCACGACTGAAGGAAATATGATTGGAGGATTTTTATCAGCCTCTGCATGAATTACTGTTTGAAAATGCTTATGCAGGAGCATTTCATTAATCATTTAATCATAATCCTAGCAGGATGTTTGAACTGATTTCACAAATACCCTTTCATTTCACTACTTCATTATGCTCGCTAATGGATCCAATATATTATATATATCATAAATTATATCACATCTTCAGTGACCATGTAGGTCACTGTCACTAGGCATGCTTCCGTGCTCAACTTGGGAGTTCAGCAAATGTTGCCCAAGCTGACTTTGGGAATTTCACTTTTTTTTTTTGGTTATTTACTATAGTTTAAAGTTTCCTTTATCTAACCAACATAAAGAAAACACAGCATTGTGGACTTTAAGTGGAACCCTACATCCCCCCCCAAGTTCAGAAAATTAAAGCAAAACAATTGTTTCTGCAAGAATGGAGAATTCAAATGTTAGACAAACATTTGTTTTGTTAAAAATGCCACTGTATTTTGTTTTGTTTTTAAAATGATCACGGCTACCATACACTGGATAATTTGGTCAGCAGAAATAGCTCTGGGAAAAAAAAATATTACATGAGCCTGTTATAATCAAGGAGATTAGTAAAAAAAAAATGATTTTGCCTTATTTAATCACGATGATGATGATCTTTCTGAAAGCTAGAAATGTAATATGAAATTCTGATAATCCTGTTCTTTTTGATAAATTAACACCTACACTATATTTTCTTCCGTAACACCAATAAAATGAAAAGAGAGTTGTAGTGATTAATAGTTAAGAATTATTAGCTGAATAGTTAATGGCTATTAACCTATTAACTGAAGTGCACAGTTTTCATTAACAGCTATGTCTTTAACCAGGGTTTAAAGGTGAAATGCAAAAATTACAGATATAACTAAATACTTAACGTTGTGCACATTTTGACGACTTAAAAAAGAAAGACTTTCTACCTTCAGAATCCATTAATATTTTAACTAAAAATTCAGTCACCTAAAACATGCAGCAAAAGAAACAAGGTAAAGGTAGATTCCTTAAGCTTTAATTTAAGATGAATGCAATGGATTTCAAATTAGAGATGTTAAGCCGGTCATACGTGACAAGCTTTGGAATATTTTCTTTTGGTCACACTGCTTGATGGTTCTTTTCATCCTTTGTTACATTAGGGCTCTTTTTTATAATGACACTGAGAGTCACAGTGCATAATTAATAGGAAATGAAATATTCAAATGGCCTCTAATGCAGCCCAGTGAAATGCTGTTGAAATAAAAAGGGCTATGGAAAATGTGGAGACATCAGGAACGGTTATGAACGTTGGCATGTGTCATTTTTCCAGACCGAAATTGATGCAAATATAAAATCTTGCTAAAATACAGCTATAAAAACAACAGGCTACTATAAATATAGATTGTTTGGTAGGATTGAATTTTTATTACTTTTTCTTTAATTTTTTGGTAGACTGCCCTAGTTTCCATTATTCTATAACCATCCTAAGTTGAGACATCAAAAACTGGCAGCATCTCTTAGCCAGTGAGCTGACACTGAGACTCAGGAGCAGTAGTGGGTCTCTGTGAATAGAAACTGAATCAGAGGTGGAGAGAAACAAATACCTGATTTAAAAAAAAAAAAAAAAAAAAAAAAAAACCAGAATCATAAGGAGTGCCCTTTATGAAGACGGGTATAAGAGAAAAAAAATAATGCTAACTTCAGTTGATTTTTATTCTTCTTCAAGACTATAATATAATTTTCTTATCTGTAATAGGCAGAATTCTACTGAAACACATATTAAATCTGAGGATTAATATATTATTTGGGGGAAATGTATATCACCATAAAAACGAGAATAGAATTACACAGTCAAGACACATCATGGATGGAAAACACATTTGGAAAGAATGTGACCCTGTTCATGCATCTCCAAAGACCCACCCTTGATAGGATTGAGTTTAAGTCTATCAAACACAATGTACCTCTTGTTTATCACCATATGGAAGAAGCGCATAAAAAGCAGACGTGAAGAGATTTAAAAAACCTTCCAAAAATAAAGCAAGAAAATCCAAAGCAGAAAAGGAAAAGTAGAGCGCTTCCTTTCTGCCTGTGAGAGACGGAGAGCATTTCAACAGCTGATTCCAGCCTCGAAGTATACAGCACACATAAAATAAATACAGGTCACAAAAATTAACAAATCATCATAACTGTCTAATACATCCTGGGCTGGCTGCGGAAAAACAAGATCATTCTGGATTTATATCTGTAAGTATGGGATTTCCTGGACAGCTAATATCCACAAACAATCAAACACAGGAGGAACACGGGGGAAAAAGGCAGCATTATTTCAAATTTGAGCTGAGAGTCGTGATTTGTAAAGGGCTGAACAGGAACTGGAGTTGAAATTTGAAGCAAGGAAATTCTTGTACTAGGCACTGATGGACACTTCTCTGTTTCTCTTGGCTCCGTACAGGTTTTTAGGTCACTGGGTTTTGAACGTAATGCCAAATGAGAATCTCGCTAGTACAGAAGCTTTGAAAATGACAACTAACTTAATCTCTCAATTTAAATAAAATAATAATAATAAAAAAATCTAATGATACTTCACTCAAGAGTCAGAGCTTTTTATGAGACCTGTTGCCAATATTAGTGTCTTGGAATGATCTCATCTTTCATCCTGGCTAAATTCCAACACACAATTTCATTAACCCAGGTACCGCAGGTGATAAAACTCATTTTTCCCTAAAGAGACAGCTAAAAAGTACCAGTTATACGTTTATGAAGTACCAGCAATCAAAATTATGGATTTTCTAAAAGGTTTTTAACTACTTTTATTGAAAGGAAAATCGCTGTCTCAGACTTTTGTGACACTATTGCTAATAATAAATTTTACCATTTAGACATGGCCATAATATGGTAGACAGTGTCAATAAAAGTATGGAGCAAAGATGATCCCTGTCTTTTAAGTAATGCCTTCTAATTACATGCCGGAAATGATCACATGAAATACCTAAGCTAACTAATGGCTCTTAAAATATAAGAACACTCAACAATGCATCTACAGTGATATAGATGTACCGCATGCACATATGCAGTTATATGTAGAATTAATTGCATAAGTAGACATTCAAAAAATTTTCCAATGTTTTCAAAGCCTACAAGAAAAATTTAAATTTAATTTGCATTTCTAACTAAAATCTGTTTGTTGAAAAAAAATGCGTTCAAATGTTATTTGCTTCCTTTTGAGCAAAGAGGTGGCACTGGGCCTGTTATCTTTGGCAAACTTGTCTAAACTTTTCTATCTAATATTCTATATATCACTAGAGGGCACTGTGGTATTTAGGCCACTTTGACCTCTTCGAGTACTAAGAAAGGTCTTGAACTCCTAAGCAATGTCAGAAAGGTTAAAAAAGACATTAAAAGGGGGAAAAAATTTTTTTTGGTAACACCCTATTTTTATTTTTCTAAAACCAATAAAAAATGCATGATAAGTAGAAAAGTCAAATTCATAAAAATATACAGCTCATTTTGCAATACTCAAAGACTTGTCACCTCAGATCTGATGGGGAAAATTTTCATCCTCATCTTCTCGAGATTTAAATTGTGAGGCTGGAATTTGATTTGCATACATCCACAATTATAGACAGCTATTCCCTCTACATGGCTGAAGTCTCCTACACTAACTAGAGGTAATTTCACTGCAGAACATTCAGGCGTGCAAGCCGAGAGCCACAAATGGGTTTGAAACAATTTATGATATCCGGCCTCCTTCGACATGTATTAGCATATACCTGGTTTCTTTAACATACACTTTGTTTTTCCAAAACCACAAACATAGTTGCTGGAATTTCATGTGGAAGTGCTTAAGGGGCTGAAAGTTAACACCTTTGTGATCCACGCTGCCTCATGGTGGCTGTTAAACAAAAGCCTCTTTGTCGAGGCTTTCTTGAAGTGTTTTCTTAACATGTTCCAAGTAGTTTTAGGCAGGGAACTAAAGTAAACAAGATGTTACCATGATAAAAACACTTGTGAAAACATTACAGAGCACACTTAGTAGTTTCTTTCACACAAAACTCTTCACAGTTTTGAAAAGTAAAATTCACAGAAAAAAATTTTAAAAAGCAAGTTACCAATGAAATGTCCTCTACTGTCTACAGCCCTCGACCTTTCGGGAAGGGTCAAAGTTCCATTTCTGGGCATTTTCTTCAACATTTCTCTGTCTTCCATTACAGCACATATACAGTTTATTTTGGCTTTCATAAATTACATACATCTAACAAGCAAGGGAATTTTTGTTTTGTTCTGCATGAAGTTTTTCTCCCTGAGAAATCACCAAAAGAAAAA
Source organism: Homo sapiens (assembly GCF_000001405.40). Classification (NCBI taxonomy): domain Eukaryota; kingdom Metazoa; phylum Chordata; class Mammalia; order Primates; family Hominidae; genus Homo; species Homo sapiens. Next base: position 71,008,030 of record NC_000003.12, read on the forward strand.
AAATTCTTTTCAAATAGGATACTAAGCAAGGATACAAATGATACTTTTAGTAGACGTTATACAAGTGGTCACTTAAAAGAAAAACTAGGAGAAATGGAAACATTTTCCCCCAAGCACATAAGAGTACCTGGTGTTTGTGAAACTATGGGCCTGCATTTGATTTTACCTTCTAAGTTAAAAACAGGGAAATGTGGTCAGGATTTAACCTTCAAATCTACTCCTCATTTTGCCAATGCATTACATGAGCATTAAAAAAAGGGAGGGGGAGGAAAGGGAAGAATTACAAATCCACGTTTTTACTAGTGAAGATTGTGTCTTTCACCTGGTTTGAAAAGAAGAAAAAAGAAAGGACTCAAGTGGGGAGAAGATGGAAGAACGCCGATGAGCTTCACACCACTCTGGATGATACGGGACTTGTTTTTGTTTTTCTGTTATCGGAGGATGCCAAGCAATGCAGGGCTGGACGATTTCATTAGAGTTAGCAGGAGCACCTGCTGCTATCAGTTAGCACTAACAAATGCAACAGTCACATGATAACTCATGGTTGATAGATTAAAAAAAAATCAACACTAAAACTGCAAGTTGTTTTCAGAAGAAACAGGGAAATAAATGCATACAATAGACTGGGTATCTGCTGATTCTGATAAAGCGTCCCTCTGTTGGCGGTGAGGGAAAGACAACAGGATGGTTATTTGTACAGTATTTATCTTTGAAATCAAGGGCCCTGTGGTATACCTCACCTTGGGAACAAATGCTGCAGAATGATCACAGAAAAGTGTCAAATCTCTGGTTTTGATTTACCAACAGTTATGATATTTCTTCCTCAGGAGGGAAAAAAAAATATGCTTCAGTTTTAGACCTGTGAGTCCCCCCCACCTCTCTTTTTTCTGAACCCCTCTCTCTGTTAACAGTGGCACAGTATTGACAGATGGGATTTTTATCCTGAAGAACCAAGCTTGGCCTCTGTAACAGTTACAGCTTATTAATCTGGAGCTGCAGAAGACCAGAAAGCTGTTACCTGGCAAAGTCACTTCCTCTCCCTTAGTCTGAACCCTAAAAACTGGGTGGAAGAACCCAAGATCAAGGAAGTACAGCAACCATGGTTGGTCAATGAAATCATGGGGGCGGGGGGGGGGGGGCGCATGACACACGTGGATATCTCCCCTCAAATATGACTAACTTGAGGGTTCTGTGAATCCAAGCTAACATAACCCTGGATAGCTATGTCCGGGGCCACAAAAGCATTCCTCAGCTAAAAATATGTTGGTGACACCAAAAATGGTACAGCAAACTGTGGTCCAAGGGACACAGCCATACTCGTTCCTTGTTCCTTACGCATGGTCAACGGCTGCTTTTGTACCCCAATGGCAGAGCTAAGTCGAGTTGCTGTGACAGACACTGTATGGCCTGCAATGCTGAAAATATTTACTGTCTACCCCTTTATGGAAAAAATTTGCCATGCCCTCCCCTCTGTGTGGGACTTTTTACCAGAGGTTTCTGATTAAAACATTCTATTACAGAACAATTTCTTCGGATATATCAATGCTTTGCATAGTCACAACTCCTTTTCCTAGGTAGAAGGTTGGAAATTTTTGGATATTTAAAATTACTCATCCTTGAAAAATAAATATATCTAAGTAGGTTAAGAAGTTCTAACGCTTTTAAAGAGTGCCTAGTATGGGCTAGGCAGTTTATATGATGTACTTTTTATTTACTCATTCATTTATTTAATTTTTAGAGACAAGGTTTTGCTTTGCTACCTAGGCTACAGTACAGTGGCATTATCATAGCTCACTGCGGCCTCGAACTTCTGGGCTCAAGTGAGCCTCCCACCTTAGCTTCCCAATTAACTAAGACTATGGGCACATGCCACGACACCCAGCTGAATTTTTTTTTTTTTTTTTTTGGCAGAGATAGGGTCTTGCTATGTTGACCTGGCTGGTCTCAAACTCTTGGCCTCAAGAAATCCTTCCACCTTAGCCTCCAAATGCATTGGGATTACAGGGGTAAACCACCTGTGTCTTGCCTGGTGTACCTTTTAATTCTAACAACCGTAAAAAGTGGTTAACATCCCAAATCACATGTGCTGATACTGAGGCTCAGATGACATGTGGCTAGTTCAAAGAACATATTAATAATGTCCTCACTACCCAGTCAGGCTTTCTCCAAAACTTTCTTTACATCCACTGCCAAGCAGAAAGCAAACTGTCAATAAGAAGTGCTGCCTCTAACCAGGCTGTATAATGCAGCAGTTAAGAATAAGTCTTCTGAAGCCAGACTGCCTGGGTTTGGACCTTGACTCCACCTCTTATTAGCTGTGTGACCTTGGGTAAATCATTTAACCTCTCTGGGCATTAGTTTCCTTAACTCTATGCTGGGAATACTACTACAATACTAGCATAAACTGTTTGTGAGGATTAAATGAGTTAATATATGTGAAGCATTTCGGGACTATGCCTGTTTTAAGGTTCAGTACTATTTAATTATAAACTATTACTAGGGGAGTGTAAAATCAAGGGAACAGAAAATAGGTGAAAATAATCTATGAAGTAACACTTAAATCAAGGTCAAAGCAATGTTACCTTTATTAAGTAAGAATACCAAGGAGAATTCAAGCAACACTGCTATCAATTTGCCTAAACCATAAGAAATCCCTTCTAAAAAAGAAAGGGACAACTGAAGAGAAGCGTAGACTAGAGAATTTTGGGTCCACTGAAGCAAATGAAGATGCTTTCAGGATCTATGAATCCAGCAATCTGAGCAAAGTACTTGATGCATCACTCTCTGATGACAATAACCCCCCCTCCCCCCCCACCCAGTGAGATCATTCAAAGAAGCCAGGTGGTTTTTACTTGAACCACAGAAGTTTGCTAGCTTCTTTCAGTTCGGTTCAATGGAAAACAAAGTTGGTTTCATCAAAGTCAATTTGATTTCCCTTTAGACTGAACAGAGAAGTGGGAAATGTGAATCTACAAGAAGACTAACTTATTTTCCACTGCACTAGGCAAGATCCTGATACCTGAAGACAACTCTGAATTTCCAAGAGTTAAAATCATGTTGTAGAGGAAAACTGAAATCCTGAATTTGTTACATATGACCAGTCAATGCGTAACTCAGGAAAGCATCTAGGGGAGTTTCTTCTTACTCAGCATTTGCTCTCCTTTGCTACTTTACAATATTCATTTTTACATTCTTGAAGCAACTTTCTCATCCCCAGCCCCCATGTGGTTCACGTGGGGTGAACATCTCCCTCTGTTCTGGAGGCAGCATGTAATGCAAGCCAGGGCACATCATGGTGATTGGCTCAAAGCTAGAACACATGACTCAATCTGGGCCAATGACAGTCTGCCTATGGCTTTTTCTGGGGCTACATGGAAAGAGATACTCTGTGGGATTAATAAACCTGTCCTCTTCAGTTCCACTTGGAAAGAGCCCCCAGATGAAGACAACATAGAAAAACAGAGCTAATGGACAATCAATACTCCAACAGCCTTGGTTAAATATCAGGATCTAGCCATGCTTGAAGCCAGCTGTACCACTGGACTTCCTAGCAATAGGGGCCAATTATCATCCCTCATTTATTTATTTATTTTTTTCGCTTCAGCCAATTTAAGTTGGGTTTCTGTAACTTACAAACAAAAGTCGTCTTACAAATATAAGTCAATAAATAAGTACCAGGAAATAACCAAGCAACAGTTGCAGGTTGATAGTGGGCATTCCAATTCCACTGAGCAAACAGGAACTGAGAACATGTCGTGTCATGTGCAAAACCACAATAAATAATTGATAGGTGGTTTCCTATACAAGTGCCAGACTTCTAATATCTTTAGAAGAGAAATGGGCTCTTTTATAGGAATTGAGTCTAGGCCCCAATTCTAATGATCTTTATTTTCTTTAATACGAAAATTATTCTCTCTCCTTTTTGGGATAATCTTCTAATAAATATAACCTAATTGTCAGCTCACATAACAAATGAACCTATGATTTGAGGATTTTTTACGGTAGGCATAAGTTAGCCATTAACAAAATGTTTAAAATGGGTCTAGAAACTGTCATTTCCCTTTCTGACTCTGAAACTGATATATGTCCCTGAGCTTATGGATAGCAATTTTATAGTTCTAGAGACTTTATAACAATAAATCATATTTACAGATGTTTATCAGCCATTCTACAGATGGAAGAAATCGGTACCAAGGTATTTATCAAACCTAGCACTGGTGTAGAAGAAAAAACTCAGAATTTAAAAGTGGCTCTGCCAAGTTCTTTTTCTCTCATTATATAAATATGATTAGGCAAATGATCAGGAAAGAACAAAACTAAGATTCTATAGTGAGTGATTTCTAAACAAAACAAAACCCAATATCACTACTCTGAATGATAATAATTGTAAACGGCTGTTGCTTAATTTAAAATAAAGCATTGCTGATCGTGATTGTTCACATCTAGAAGCAATTTTGGACATCTCTTTTAAAATATTTTTAAGTACTTAAGTTTTCAATGACTACATAATGCTCTCAGAGTATAATCCTGAGGCAAGAAAGCTATGAAATAGATTCACAGGCTTCCATTCATTAACCAAAAATTTATATTCACCAAAACTGCTTGCAGGTAACACAAGGTATCTCTCTAAGGATGGCTTTATTACAATATTTGTATCGGGTCCATAAAGATAGATACAGAGACTGTTCTAACAATATAAAGACCACACAAAACTGGAGACCTGCACATAAATCAGCTCACCTCTGTTTCCCTGGGGCTTGAATGAGAGAGAAAAGCTAGAAGGAGATGGTCCCCAACACCCAATTTGTAAACCATCAAGCACCCAGATGTATACATGGGCATATGTTATAGTTATACATGTGCCTATGTTATAGGTATACATGTGCATATGTTTGATTACATGTCTATAATATCATGTAACATTATATTCAATTCATAGGTTAATGATTCAGTGATATTATGAATATATTTATATGATACAAAAATGGAGGGCAGTTTGGTCTAAATTTTATTTTTAACTGACAAGGTAACACAAGTAAGGAATAGCATAGAAGCATTTCACTTCAGCTATGAGATTAATATTATTTCCTTACAGAGATGCTTTATAGGTGTTATAGCTTCAAATGGGCCAACCCAGGTCTTAGTCATACTTTAACAGTAGAAATTGTTACTCCACTTTCCCTATAAGGACAAGAACCTGAACAAAAGTCAATACCAATATAGAAAGTTAAGAACCAAATTGGTAGCTTTCCTCGCCATCTGCTTTCTACATTTATAAAGTCAATTGTATAACAAAGAATGGGTCCAATCACCCAGCTGCAATTGGCCAGTAATTGTCACCAATTTTATAAAAATAAAGTGCATATGCAATTGCTTCAAAGAGAATAAAATACCTAGGAACCCAACTTGCAAGGGAAGTGAAGGACCTCTTCAAGGAGAACTACAAACCACTGCTCAATGAAATAAAAGAGGATACAAACAAATGGAAGAACATTCCATGCTCATGGATAGGAAGAATCAGTATCGTGAAAATGGCCACATTGCCCAAGGTAATTTATAGATTCAATGCCATCGCCATCAAGCTACCAATGACTTTCTTCACAGAATTGGAAAGAACTACTTTAAAGTTCATATGGAACCAAAAAAGAGCCCACATTGCCAAGATAATCCTAAGCAAAAAGAACAAAGCTGGAGGCATCACACTACCTGACTTCAAACTATACTACAAGGCTACAGTAACCAAAACAGCATGGTACTGGTACTACAACAGGGATATAGACCAAGGGAACAGAACAGAGCCCTCAGAAATAATACCACACATCTACAACCACCTGATCTTTGACAAACCTGACAAAAACAAGAAATGGGGAAAGGATTCCCTATTTAATAAATGGTGCTGGGAAAACTGGCTAGCCATATGGAGAAAGCTGAAACTGGATCCCTTCCTTACACCTTATACAAAAATTAATTCAAGATGGATTAAAGACTTAAACGTTAGACCTAAAAACCATAAAATCCCTAGAAAAAGAAAACCTAGGCAATACCATTCAGGGCATAGGCATGGGCAAGGACTTCATGACTAAAACAGCAAAAGCAATGGCAACAAAAGCCAAAATTGACAAATGGGATCTAATTAAACTAAAAAGCTTCTGCACAGCAAAAGAAACTACCATCAGAGTGAACAGGCAACCTACAGAATGGGAGAAAATTTTTGCAATCTACTCATCTGACAAAGGGCTAATCTACAAAGAACTTAATTTACAAGAAAAAAATCAAACAACCCCATCAAAAAGTGGGCGAAGGATATGAACAGACACTTCTCAAAAGAAGACATTTATGCAGCCAACAGACACATGAAAAAATGCTCATCATCACTGGCCATCAGAGAAACGCAAATCAAAACCGCAATGAGATACCATCTCACACCAGTTAGAATGGCAATCATTAAAAAGTCGGGAAACAACAGGTGCTGGAGAGGATGTGGAGAAATAGGAACACTTTTACAGTGCTGGTGGGAGTGTAAACTAGTACAACCATTGTGGAAGAAAGTGTGGCGATTCCTCGAGGATCTAAAACTAGAAATACCATTTGACCCAGCCATCCCATTACTGGGTATATACCCAAAGGTTTATAATTCATGCTGCTATAAAGACACATGCACATGTATGTTTATTGCGGCACTATTCACAATAGTAATACTTGGAACCAACCCAAATGTCCATCAATGATAGACTGGATTACGAAAATGTGGCACATATACACCATGGAATACTATGCAGCCATAAAAAAGGATGAGTTCATGTCCTCTGTAGGGACACAGATGAAGCTGGAAACCATAATTCTGAGCAAACTATCGCAAGGACAGAAAACCAAACACCGCATGTTCTCACACATAGGTGGGAATTGAACGATGAGAACACTTGGACACAGGGTGGGGAACATCACACATCAGGGCCTGTCGTGGGGTGGGGGGAGAGGGGAGGGGACAGCATTAGGAGATACACTTAATGTAAATGAGGAATGGGTGCAGCACACCAACATGGCACATGTATACATATGTAACAAACCTGCATGTTGTGCACACGTACCCTAGAACTTAAAGTATAATTTAAAAAAAAAAAGAAGATGACACCTCCAACAACAACAACAACAACAACAAAATTATAGTGTATATGTCATTGATTTGATATGTAAGGACATGAATAAAAGTAAACGCTAAAAAACTGCAAGTTTAATACTGGAATCGTTTTTTTTAATCCTTGTCACTCTGAAAAATGGGTAAATATGGGCTCTTACTAAGACTTACGCCTTTGAATGTAAGCCTTTTTCCCATTGTAGTACAACCCTCAATAGATTTTGTAACTATTCCTATGACAGTGCACTAGACCTTGTGATTTAGAGTCCACTCTCAAAGGGGTGAGGTGAAACTCTCCATCAAAAAGGCATTTTATGAGCAAAGCATGAACGGTGGGAGGTGTTGGCTATGTAAAAGAAGAAAACAAAATAAAATCATTCTTACTTTAGAAATGATTGGAAATCTTCGCACACTGCTTCACAGCCTGGCCACTTGCATACACCATGTCCATAGAGAGGATGGCTATGGGGGTGCTCCTCATGGGACAAACTGAAAGAAAACACACAGAAGACCAGAGAATGAATTTGCTGCCAAGAACCATTCCACCAGACGAGGATAAAAAAGGCAGGAGGAGCCCACATGGCCAAATGTGGACAAGACAAATCTGTGATTTCCCCCATCCCATGTAATTGACTAATTAATTCTGCATTGTTGCCTAAAAGCAAGAGTTAAATTGTACCTAAGTGTATTTAGTCAAATGTTAGAAATGTACATCTATGTATGAAAAAGTGTTTGACAGGCTTTTGTTAGATGCAAAGCTCTTTACTCAGACTGCGAAGGAGTCTTTAAAAAGCTAGAACTTATTTAATCTACATAATGAAAATTATAAAATCTGTACTTGATTTTGAGATTTTCTTGCTACATCTACAAGGAATATTATCCATTTTCTCCTCTTCCCTTCCCCCAGAAACTGCTTTCATATAATCACATATTTTTTCCCAAGTTAATTTTATCCAGCAAAGAGGAGTACAATTAAATAATTTGGAATAATACCAAAATAATTTAGGAAGACAAATGTATCCAAGCAGATGATTCGTGTTTTTTTTAAAAAAGCTAATAATGGCAAGAAGATTATATTCCTAAAATTCCTAACACCAACAGTGAGAGAAAATTTGGCATGAACACGAAGGGGTTAATCCTCCAGTGGGGTTCCAATCAATACGTAATGATCTGGCCACACGGATCCAAGTCATGGGATGCTTTGATCCGCACCATGTGGTGCTCGGGGAAGAGTATCTGTTGCACTCACCGATGAACCATATTCTCAAATATTTTCTCTATTATATTTCTGCATCCAGACTTCTTTCAGACAAATTATTTTTACAGTTGTTTCCATAACCTTAAATTCCATCAGATAGAAATGTAAAGCTAACATTGAGAGTTCTGTTTCGTACTCAAGTGCATTCCCTTCCCGGGAAGGGCTATTTTGCAACTTACTCGACTGTCTCTGCCTGACTTTGAACTTCAAGCACAATGAATGATGATTACAAGAACACACACACACACACACACACACACACACACACATGCATACACACAAGAGGCCTGTATTTCATTTCATATTGCCATCAGGATGTATATTCATGTATTTTATCAATTTACATTCATAGAGCATATGTACACAAATGCCATTTGTCCCTGACTTATAACACAACCCACAGTAAGTGTATTATGAACACAAACCAAGGAGCATAAAAAGTAAACACACAGACACACAGAACTACACCTGATCAAAGATCATTACGTCTCCCTATGACTTCTGAATAATTTTGCTGGAAATCTAATATAATTTAAAGATAATAACAAGCTATTTTGCCCTACCACAGAAAATAGGTCTTAGAATAAAAAAAAAGGAAAAGAAAAAGAAAAAAAGGTAGAAAAACAACTTGTAAAAATACAGAAAGGTGCCCCTCATACAAGAAAGGAATAAAACAAGGGAACTCAAGTAGCTATAGTGAGATTTATGAAGCCAAACAATAAAAGGATATTCTCTAAGCAGTTAACAGGGTAAAACTGCATTGGACTCAAGGAAAGAATTACTACCTATTTGTGTTCATCTTCAGATCTGTGAATGAATAAAATAGAAATGCAAAAATAGAATTTTAAGAATTTACTAACAGTATTACAAATGAAAGAATACTTCAACAGTAGTAGAATTCTCAGATATTCTAAGAGGGAAGAAAATAATTTAAAAAGAAAACTTTTAATCCACAGCTTAAAAAGAAAAGAAAAATATTCCAACTTTAATAATTATTTTCTTTAGCAATTTTATTAAGATTTAACTATTCTTATAACTTTAAAAGAGTAATATATTGTTATTGTAGAAAACTTGAAAATCCTGAAAAGAAAAAAAAAACCTACCTTCAAATACATACACACTTGATAAGGCACGAATATTTATATCATTCTTTTATATTTAACATAATTTTGTAAATACTTTCTCATGTTCTCAACTCATCTTCAAGAACCTTATTTACTGATGGGTAATAGTCTATCACGTATCAACTTAACTCTAGTTATATGCCAAAATTTAACCATTCCTCTATTTTGGACATTGAGTTTCTCTTCATGTTTGTTATATTTGTAGATAATGTTAGAAATAAAATTTACCAGCTTAAACATGCCAATATTATCACAACTGACTGCTACCAGAAGATACATTCAGAGAAATAGAATCACTCAATTAATGAGTACCAAAATTTAACACTGTGAATATTCTATCAAGTTGCTCTTGAAAAATGCTACATGCCGAGCACACTCTTAGCCAGTATACATATTTTGTGTGATTTTTTCAATTTGGAAACCAGGAACCTGAACTAGTTAGGATGAAAAATTAATATTACTAGTTAAGAACTGTAAGTGGTTAAACGGCTGTGCTTCCTGGGTTAAGCTGGGAGTGTTCTGAAAATAATAACATGAGAGAAAATAATAATATGCATTCACTAGCAGGGTTTTGGACTCGAAATGTGTAGAATTTAACACGATGTTTGCTGTTCCCCTTCCTGTTTGTAGTTAACTGACTTGTGAAGGATCCAAGATCTGAATAAAACTATTCACATCTAAGAATTTACTTTTAGTTCAACTTGTTATCCCTATACTTCAAAGGACAGATAACGACACACTAGGGCCTTAGAACGCAATCAGTTATACCTGAAGTCTAAAGAAACTCATACTCGTCACACACGGGTACAATTACACATTCAGAAGACCGCTTGTGAATTTGTCTCTTAGTTAAAAAAATTTCTTTATTATGAAAAAATTACATGCTCTTGTTTTCACAAGTTCACATATTAAACTGCAGTGGTTCCCGAAGGAAGTGCACCCCCACACCCCAACCTAGGCATCATTTACCATTCGGGTTTATATTGCATTTCTAACACATTATTATTTTAAAACATGGAAACATCCTGTACACACTGTTGTCATTTGCTTTTCATATTTAATATATAACTGGATACTTTTAAATACACAATTGTCTGAAATAAAGTGTTTGGCTTTGGAAGGAGAGAGAACAAGCTGGCAGAGGTGCCTCGATAGCATCTTTTTGGAAAGATACCTAAGAAACTGGAACAACTGTTGCCTCTGGGGAGGGGTACAGGGAGTCAGGAGTAGCAGGGAAACTCAGTTTTCACCATACTTCTTACATCTTTTGAAGTTTTAATTTTGCACATTGTAGGAACTGTTGCTGTGCAATTGTTAATTTTTTTGCACACATATGTGTGTTTGCATATATGTATGTAGTAGAAAAAGAATCAAGTGCTATGCAGGACTTGATTTCCAGTCTGCTGAGTGCTCTAACAGTGGCACAATGAATACCACACACCCGCTGCATGTGTGGCTGGGACTCGCTTCTAGCTTTGCAGTCGTTCTGTATGAAGCATCATTGGACAACACCAGCTGCACCTCTGAATGGGAGCTTTTCTGTTTTCTCAAAAAAGTGGAACAAGCATTTATATTCTTACTGCCTTTTGGGTCGTGCCAAAAAAGACAAGAAGGGAAATAAAAATGAGGAGAATAATGTTTTTATCTTGAATTAATTTAGAGCTACATTTACAGGATGAAACATGGTGGGAAAAGGATGATTTGGGCATCTGATGGTAAATAAAGCAGTGAGCCTAATCATTTAGATAAATTATTCAAGGGTAAACTCACCAATGTGTAAAGTATCATTTCTGAAAAGCTGTCAGGGTCAGTGATGAAAATAGATACATTTTCTTTTTAAAAGATTTAAACATGTTTGTCAAAATTAGACTTCTAAAACTTTAGGGTCAATTGTTTAATAAGGTGTATTTTACCACAAACTCCCAGGTTGAATATTCCTAGGGGCAGGGATCACTTTTTCGGCTCCATATACTCAGTACCTCCGACAGAACATAGGTTTGAGTTCGGGGGCGGTGGCTCACGCCTGTAATTCCAGCACTTTGGGAGGCCGCAGTGTGTGGATCATTTAAGGTGAGGAGTTTGAGACCTGCCTGGCCAACATGGTGAAACCCTGTCTCTACTAAAAAATACAAAAATTAGTCAGGTGTGGTGGTGGGCACCTATAATCCCAGCTACTCAGGAGTCTGAGGCAGGAGAATCGCTTGAACCTGGGAGGCAGAGGTTGCAGTGAGCCCGATTGCACCACTGCACTCCAGCCTGGGCGACAGATGACAGAGCGAGACACGGTCCCCCCCCCAAAAAAAACAAAACAAAACAAAACAAAACAAAACATAAAACCACGGGCTTGATGAATGTTAGGTGGATTTATGAATGAACAGACAGTAAATATATTGTTCTATTTCATTTCTGTGTGGCTATACATTCAACTGGTGTTGGCCTTTTTAAAAATGTCTTGTAGGTAAAGACCAGAATTATGCAAAGCTACATGAGAAACTATCGTTATGACACTTTCTATTATTTAATTTTATTCTGAATATATAAAACACAGATAGTATGCATTTGAGAAAAGCCAGTTAATTTAAATTTCTCTTGATAATCCTTGATATGTAAAAATTAAATATAATTTTAACACAAAAATAGTGATAGCATTTCAGATTAGAAAGAACCAACTTGCATGAAAAGTATAATTACATATAAATATGTAATAATTTCTGACATTAAATGATACCAAATCCAGTATATATTCAGTAGGATATAAGGGTGTCATTTTCAATGACAGTTAAGTAGGATATTTTGTTCTATTTATTTTTTTCTGCATCAAAGTATACCACCCAAGGTCTTCACTTCAACACTGACCTTAGTTTTTGAGACAATTTTATATAATGGTTATGGTTCCTTATGACATTTCATGGTTATATTCCCAAGGTCACTACTTAACCAAAGCTTCAAACTGGAATTACTAAATCCACCTGCTAAATAAGGACAACTTCTCAACTCTGCTGTCTGCAGTCTTTAGTGATCCTTACACTGTTAGTCCTGTAAGCTAATTTCCCCTGTGGTAACTAAGAGGGAAGAATTTCTGAAGGAGATGAAGCAAAGAGTGACCTTGCTATCTGCCAAGCCATTTCCTGCCAACTGAAATGCCAGTTTTCCCTTCACCTGAAGGCAGATTCCGAGCTTTTCCTGTGCACTGACCCAAGTTCTCATCTGTCTTTTAAGTATCCCCTTAATTTTTCTTCCCTTTTCCAAATCTGCCTCTTTCCAAATTTGCCTTGTTTTCCTCCTCTCCAAATTTCTGATTCATCTGCAGCAAAAGGCTACGTACATCTGTGCCCATTACGGTTTATGCCTCCCCACAAACACCAAAAAAACGAAATCCTGCCTAAATTATAAACTGTATTTTATTTCACTGGCATGTTATTTGATAAATTAAATTACAGAAGACTATGTTGGTTGTTCTCCACTCACTCAAAATTGTGGAAATACATTTTTCAAGTTTTACTGAGTTATAGTTTACATATCATACAATTCACTCACTTAAAGTGCATAATTCAATATTCACGGAGTTGTGTAACCATCATCACCAACTAATTTTGGAACATTTTTATCATCCCTCAAAAGAAATCCTGTACCCATTAGCAGTCATTCCCCATTTCCTCCCAACTCCCAGCCCTTGCCAATCCCTAATCTTTCTGTCTCTAGAGGTGTGTCTATTTTGGACATTTCACATCAAGGGAATCATACAGTATATGTTCTTTTATGCCTGGCTTCTTTCACTTCCCATAATCCTCGGAGTTTCATTCGTTTACACTGTAGCATTTACTAGTACTTTATTCCTTTTTGTAGCTGAATAGTATTCCATTGTACATACATAGCACATTTATCCATTCATCTGTTGATGAACATTTGGGCTATTTCCACATTTTGGCTATTGCGAGTAGTGCTGGTATGAAGGTGTATGTACATGTACTCTAAGTATCTGTTTTCAATTTTAGGGGATATCTACCTAGAAGTTGAATTGCTGGGTCCTATGGTAACTCTACGGTTGACATTTGGAGGAACTTTGAGACCGCTTTCCAAAGCACTTTATATTCTCACCAGCACTGTGTGAGGGTTCTAATTTCTCCACGTCCTTGCCAATACTTGTTACGTATCTTTATTCCAGCCATCCTCACAGCTAGGAAATGGTACCTTATTGTGCTTTTGATTGAATTTCCCTAATGATTAATGAGGCTGCACATATTTTCATGTGCTTACTGCTATGTGTGTATCTTCTACAGCAAAATGTCTATTACGAGCCTTTGCCTATTTTTTAATTGGGCTGTTTTTTGCAAATATTTACTCCTGTTTTGTGGGTTATCTTTTTACTTTCTTTACGGTGTGCTTTAAAGCACAAACATTTTGAATTCTGATGAGGTCCAATTTATATATTTTTTCTTTGGCTCCTTCTGTTTTTGGTGTTACATCTCAGAAACCATTGCCTAAACTCAAGGTAACAAAGAGTTACTTCTAGCTTTGCTTTAAAGAACTTTATAGCTTTAGCTTTCACATTTAAGCCTATGGTCTGTTTTAAGTTAATTTTTGCATATGATATGAGTCAGGGGTCCAAGTTCATTTTTTTTAATGTTGTCCCAGCACCATTTGATAAAAACACTACTCTATCCCCAATGAATGGTTTGATAAAAGTATCAAACCATTACTTTTGTCAAAATGAACGTAAATGTAAGCGTTGGCATTTTTTAAATTTCACTTTTCTTAGATTTCTTTTTCCCCAACATACTGCTCATGTTTTCAAAAGAATTTATAGTTAAAATTATATAACAACTTTTGAAATTACATTAAGCTATAAAATAACTTTTGAGGTTTGACGGGTAGGGGGAGAGATAGGTTTTTAATAAAAATAAAACCATAGCAGCTGAACTTTTTGAAGAATAAGTGCCTAAGGGCAACTTTGTTTCCCAGATCCTGTTGATCCTTTGTGTACTGAAAAACCTTTGCAGAATGAATGTGCTATGTGGCTTTCTCTGCTTAACATGTAAATGGAGTGTAACTGTTCCTTTTACTGAGGGCCAGCACTATTTCCCTATAGGAATGGTTGGGAGCATAGTGTTGGGAGGCCTCATTTGTCATGATAGCTCTGCTTGTAACCAGGAATCCTGCGAGTCCTTTCACTGCTCTGCCCTCCAATTCCCTCATTTGAAAGCTGAAGAGAATCACACAAGAGCTCCTCCCAGTGGTAAAACCTCCACCAAACTTCCACCAAGGATATGCAGATGGCATAGGGAACAGGCACCAATGGCACATCCTGGTATTGACAAGATGAATAAGGAGTAGGTGCTGAATGGAAATCCATTAAAGGAATGAATGAAGCCCCTCAGGAAGGAGTATCGGTGTCTTCATCATGGCTGTGGAGCAGGGGGCTGGTTGCTATTCCCCTCTCACTCATCCCTGACCCACAGCAAATACACAAACCAAAAGGCACTATGCATCCCCTTTCCCACCTCCTTTGACTTAAAAGCTGTTCTGCCTCCCTCCCTTCCCCCACTGGCCACCTTCTTCATTCCCACCATTTAGGACTTTCATCCGTCCAGCCAACATTTATGAACTCCGACCCTGAGACAGGCACCGAGCATACTCATCAGTAAGGCTGCTTTGTTGACAAAAGACTTCCATGTCTCTCTTTGTCTGTTATCCTTCCAAATTATTTGGTCTCATGTCCATGTGCACAACTTTATGTCAACCTAACAACACTGTAAGCCACAGAATCCTCCTTTTTCAGGTCCATCCCAGCCTGTGATTTTTGTCTGCACGGTAAGAGACTGCTTATTCCCAGCCAAAACATTACATTAAATCAGACACCTTGGGTTTCTAGAAAGCTGTTCTCTTCATATACAATTTTAGCCCTATCTACTAATAAAGAGTGTCTTAAGCTACACTTACGCTACAATGGCAGGCATCGATGGAAGCCACTACTATTTTAAAGCTTTCAGATTTATTTGCTGATTCTTCAATGACAGCTTATACAAAATGATCCTACTTTCCCTTTTCTCTCTTCACTTTTTAGTTCTTATCACATTTCCCTGCCTGTGACTCTGTTATCATAGCTTACTTTCAATGAGATTGTACCGAACCATATCATGTACTTCTTAGGTTTGAAGATGGGAATACGAATTTGATCCGAGAATATTCTAGTGATGAGGTCCTATCTGAAAATATAATCAGACTTCTGATTTGAAATTACTAAATTTACAAAAACTAATTGCTATCAAATATTTGTGAAATATTTGATCATTAGCTCGAATGAAATATGCTCAGTCACACAAAATGATACCAAACTAGACGAGCTGGCCTTGAAACTTGATCGCAACGACCTTTTCTAAGAAGAGCAAGGTAGATTCACAATCTCAAAGAGATGATTCCTTAAATACTTAGCACCACTTTCCACTTTACAGTGTATTCTTCTGGCGTTTTTCATACTGTTGTATATCCCCTCGAAATCAGCTGGAAATCAGCTGGAAAAGAAATCACAATCTCTTGCAGAAAACAGAACGACAGGTAAAGTTTCTTCACATTCCATACTGTAGCATCGGAGGAAAAGGTCTTACACCTGCCCAAAGACGAGCAGATGAAACGTGGGAACAGGAGAAACGACGATGCAAGGGCCGCATGCGTTTCCCTGGCAGCTTTGTAAAAATGACCTTTCTCCTTCAACTGTCACTGAAAACACTTTGAGAAGCAGATGGGCTTCTTATTTCACACCGAAGAGTTGGGAGACAACTTAGACACTGCATTTCTAGCACACTGCCTTAATTTTCACTTCTCACTCACTGCAGAAAAACACCACCCTACATGTTTATTAATCAGTTTTCCAAAAGTAAGTTGACAATGGGTCCTGTAATCCTCCCACAAAGAGAAGGGTGTTTTATTAAAGCCTATTAAAGGGCCTACCCTAGAGTGAATAAGGATGGAGTTCTCTACAAACTGTAACAAACACACATGCTTCTCCCTTTCTCTCTCACGCAGGGAATCCTTGACTCTCCTTCCCCAGAACGCTCATCATCTCAATTTTCTGCTGCTTTTCAAATCATGTTTAATTAGAGGATTTCACATTCCCATGTGATACGATATTCATGAGTAAAACTTGCAATTGGAGTGACTGTGAATTAGTCTATTAAGTGCCAGATTTGTGATTTTAAACAATGATGGAGATTATTGTTATTATCTGCTCTCAATATTGTGCTCTGAGATGTGAGGACTACCTTAACTAACTTTACATCTGAAATACAAGCTATTAACCATTTATGTCCAGACTTAGTTTTTGTTCCCCCCTTCTTTCTTGATTTGCAAATTATGCTGGGAGAAATAAGAGAGTTATTTTTCTATAGTGGTCCTCAGGGCATGGCTCATGGCCAGTGGTGTGCTGGGTGGGTTTGCATGGTATACCCTCACTTCCATAGTTCTGGACTTATATTCATCTGCGTTGGATAAAGTTTTTATGAGTACATCAGAAACATGATTTCTCAGTAGTTACTTTTTATACAACCTATTTAAACGAGACGATTTATGAAAAATATGAAGTAGATAGTAGTAATAAGTATATGCAGACAAGCCAAAAATGGAGAATGGCAGGAGAATGACTCAAAGAATGTTGACTGGGCCCTAAGGGACTATAAAAACTGTGTCTGGGGAAAAGGGCATACAACCTTCCTTTCCCATTGCTATTCCTAGAGTAGTGCTTCTCGAACTTTATTACAGATATAAATCCGATTCGGTGGTTCTGGGTGGTGGGGTGGCGCACGACTATGCATGTGGAGTAAGCCCCCAGAGCTGCTGGGCCATGGACCATAACATGAGTACCAAGGATCTTGGGTGTTCCCTGATCTGTATCTGACCTAAAAATGTCTATGCTTAAAGAAACAGTCACAAGGATGCCCTCTTTATAACAAGATGGATGGACATAGATAAATATGTAAGGGGGTGGCACTGGGCAACCTCCCCAAGTAATTGTTGCAAACTCACAGAAATGCTTGCTGGCTCAAAATTATTTAAAAATTAATGCAAGGCTGTATTTCTTTTTTGTTTTTTAAACGTAACAAAACAGGTAAGGCTGAAGGAAGTTAGCACAGGGAAAAGGTCACTTTCTGTTTCTGTTTAACAAACACCAATTTTACATCAGCACAGATCTGTTGGGTGATATGGTCAGTGATTAATGTTTACCAGATATTACACTGATCAAGATTATCCCAGAGTAAACTACTGAATCAATGAGTTTGAAAACTTCACAGTCCCCAAACTCTAGGTCTGCTTTAAGTATCTTCTAAGCCTGGTTCATATCCCTGAGGATGTATGTGAGGAAAAGCAGAGTCACAATCAACTTTTTAGGAAGGTTAAGTGACAGTCTTGAATTTTTCTAAGAAATTAGGGTATACTAGGAAGGCAGGGTTTCCATGCACTTGGCACAGTACCATATTCAGTCAAGGTCCCTTCCCTCTGAAAAATGAGAAAAACCTATGAAAACATACCAACTCATAATATGCACACACTCAGTGGGGTCCACACAATGTCAAATGGAGCAAGAAAGCATACTTTGAAGATTTGCAGATGTATCTTAATTTGTAATGGACTAAAATATATCTAGTGTCTCCAACTTCTGATTTCACAGATATCATTTCTTAGAATGAGGCTCATTTTATTTAAGAAATGACTTGATTTAAAGAAAATAATACAAATAATCACATAAGCAGACAGGGCAAACCTCACAACAATGGGGCGCATATTCAAACGACTCAAGTTTGGAAAAGTAAAAGCTCATAAAGTAGTCCTTGAGGATCCAGTCTGTAGCTGGGTTAACTTCGCAGGTTGACACTGACAAAGTAGCAAGTCTCTGAAGACGTACTTTAATTTGAATTTTCACAGGGGATGGCAGAGCCTCACGGTCGTTCTGGACTTAGGGGTCAAAGACCCACAAAGGCCCCAACAGCACAGTGTAGTGTGTCTGATGCTTTTAGGACTAGAGCTTCTTCCTCCAGATTTAAGGGCATCTCATTTGTAAGCTATCTATGTGACCAGCAACTGGCTGCTTTACCAATGGTAAGAACCTGAGGCTAGGTGCCACGAAAGGTAGTAAGTCTGGCAGTTATTTTCATCACTAACCATGTCACCAATCTCCCCTATCTCCCCCCTTTCCAGCCACACTGGGCAAAATGTGCCATCTTGATTCCCAGATGCCAGGAGTATTTATGTGGCATAGCAGGAGAACGGAGCAGAGAATCAGAGCTGTAGTACTGGAGGCTGGTTGGTGTGCTTGGATCACAATGCAATCGCAAACAGAGCAGGTGATGACAAGCACAAAATGCCTGTATTTGCAAGGTGATGAGTGAAGGAATAAATAAAGGAAAAGAACAACAAGAGGCAGAGGTCCATCTTTTGTTTCTGACACCAGTAAGGGCTATTCTGAGTTTGTAACTAAAAGTTTACCACTGGCAGTATTAACACTGGGATCTCGTTAAGAAAACAGAATGCTTTCCAAAAAGTGGTGTGAGCAACTGTGTCAATACAGACATAGGGATCACTAATCCAAAAGTTATTAACACCATTAGGCAGGCATTCTCATTATGTCAATGCAAGTGTGTTTGCACTGGTGAGTCACAAGGTCTATGTGGAACCTTGTCCATATGTTAGAGGAACCAATGACACCCAAAAAAACCAACGACCGTAAACAAAGTTCCAATATTAATTCTTATTTTCTTCCCCTCCCCAGTATGCTATGGAAGTCAGCAAAAGATTTCTAAGAGTTACATCATACTTCAAAAGCAGAACCATACACAAGGGCCAGACCAGAAAGCAGGAGATGAAGGGACAAGTTAGCCAAAGATACAAAATGGCTCAAAACTATCAGGCACTTGCTTATGTATTTCCTTAGAATTACTCCCTACTTTATGTAATTACATTTATTTCTCTATAGCACAAGATGCCTCATTAACATTCACTGGGTTAAATTCTTCTCTACATTTAATTCAGCAGATTTAATTAAACACCTACTTTGTGATAATCATGTTAGGTTCTTAGATCAGTCTCCAAAACTGGGATGCATATGACCTACATCATATATTTAAGATTTGATATTACATATATGAGTCACAATATTAAGATTTCTGTATACACATATTAATATTAGAACTTGAAAATGTATATATACATTTCTCACCCTCTTAGCCACCAATTTTTATAACATAAGGAATATATATTAGAAACATGTATATAATTAATAAACATACTTAGTAGGGGTACACATTCAACACTTTTATACTGATGGGTAAAAAATCAAGTTTGGTGGTCACTGGCATTGACTGCAACTTTAAGTAAGTTCTCATCCTCGGAAAGAGTTCTACCCAATTCTCTAGTTGGGGAGACAGTGATAACTGAACAGATGGCTGGAACATAAAGTACTGTAACATTTGATCTGGGCCTTAACGTATCAGTAGGAGCTCAGGTGATGAAAGGAATAGAGTGAGAGCAGAGAACCGAAGCACACACACAAAAAATCTAGGAAGACAAAACCAGAGCCCTGATGAATGAAATTAAGGCCAAAATTGAAATTTTTTTTTTAAATTTTGCTCCATAAAATAGCTTATATTGGGCCACAGTCTTGAGAATTTTTCTCTCTGAAATGTTGAGTCTTGGCTCTGAAACCTGTATTTTCCTAAGTAATGGTAATCCAGATCACTTATCCGTCACTTTGAACTTCGGTAGAATGCCACACCATAAGGATACCAGGTGGGGACGTTGTAAGGCAGTGGTTCTCAGAGTACGGGTCTGGAACTTGTAAAAGATGCAAATGTGGGGGCCCCACCCCAATTTACTGAATCAGAAACACTAAGGGTGGGGCCCAGTAGCCTGTATTTTAGCCATTCCTCCAGGGGGATTCTGAGGCAAGCTAAAGATTGAGATGTACTTGTAGCAGAAACTTAAGTTTTCTCATGGTTTGGAGCAGCTACAGGTATCGACAACAGCTAACCAGGTTCTCTTACAGAAGTGCTCGCCAACCTTTTTGGCACCAGGGACTGGTTTCATGGAAGACAATTTTTCCAGGAACTGGGGGGCAGGGAATAGTTTCGGGATGATTCAAGCACATAATATTTATCATGCATTTATTTCTATTATTATTACATTGTAACATATAATGAAATAATTTTACAACTCACCCTAACGTAGAATCAGTTGGGAGCCCCGAGCTTATTTTCCTACAAATATAGACAGTCCCATGTGGGGGTAATGGGAGACAGTGACAGATCATTGGGCATTAGATTCTCATAAGGAGCACACAACCTAGATTCCTTGCATGTGTGGTTCACAATAGGATTCACGCTCCTGTGAGAATCTAATGCCTCGCTGATCTGATAGGAGGCGAAGCTCAGGTGGTAATGTGAGCGATGGGGAGCGGCTGTAAATACAGATGGAACTTCACTCACTCACGTGCCTCACCTCCTGCCGTGTGCCCTAATTCCTAACAGACCATAGACCAGTACCAGTCTGTGAACTGGGGTTTGGGGACCCCTGTCTTACAGCACCTGTGGCCAAAGAGTGGCAAGTATAGAAGTACTCTTAATGGGTTCTTGACCTTTGACATCTCATTAGTTCACTTTCTTCTGAACATTTCATGTAGTCTCTGCAATGAAATTTAGGGCCTACTATATGCCAGGCTGGCTTGTGCTGGGTGATGGGGATGTGGCAATGGACAAGAGAGTTAAAACCTTTCCCTTACAGCATTCATTGTGTTAGAAAATCTCATGTGAGGCAGATGTAGGGGGAACATACACACACTATGATGTTCCACTAGTGCTCTTTTTTTTTTATTTTTTTGAGACAGAGTCTTGCTCTGTCACCCAGGCTGGAGTGCAGTGGTGTGATCTCGGCTCACTGCAACCTCTACCTCCCGGGTTCAAGTGATTCTTGTGCCTCAGTCTCCTGAGTAGCTGGGATTATAGGCATGCACCATCATGCTCAGCTAATTTTTATATTTTTTGTAGAGACAGGGTCTCACTATATTGCCCAGGCTGGTCTCAAACTCCTGGCCTCAAGTGATCCACCCGCCTCGGCCTCCCAAAGTGCTGGGATTGTAGGCATCAGCCACCACGCTGGGCCCATTTTTAACAAGTCATGCCCTCTGTTACGTTTTGCATATACTTCTATCACCATAGTTATTAATAATACATTGACTTTCAAGTGTCTGTTTCTATGTTTGTTTTTCTGATTAGCTGTGAGTTCCTGAAGGGGAAGAACTACATTGTGGTCATCTTTTAATTCCCAGAATCTACAGAGTTATTATATAATACATGCTCAATACGTGTGGTATGAATGAATAAATAGCTTTAATAATAATTAACAATAAGTTAATATTTATTGAGGACCTACTATGTGCTCAGCAACTAAAACATATATTAACTCATTTAATCCTCACAATTTGATCTAAGACGAGGTAAGGGCTGGTAGCATACCCGATTCAGGGGTGGGAAACTGAGGCACACCAAGCTCAAGTAACTTAAGTAGAGCAGCCTGCATTCTTCAGTCCAGTCTTTGAGGTTAAACTGGGTTAACTAGGTTAAACCCTTCTCTACCTTTAATTCAGCAGATTTTATTAAACACCTACTTTGTGATAATCATGTTGGGTTCTGATAGGAGGCTAAATACCACCAAACAACACAGTGGCCTGACATGAAACCAGTATGGTCCATAACGCAGCCAAATATCTTCTATGCCTGCCTCTGCTTCAGGGCCTTTGCTTCTGATGTGCCCTTAGATTGGAGGGGGTCTTCCCTTTCTTATTCACGTTTGTTCCAGGGCCACCTACAGGCTTTGCCAGACCAACTTACCCCAACAGTAACCTCAGCCCCACAAATAATACTTACTCCCTTTCCTACTTTTTCTGTTTCCAGAACTTAACCGTTCTTGTGTAAATGATTTGTTTGTTCTATTTCCCTTCTACTGCAGTGTCAGCTCCCTGAGGACAGGCTGTGGAGCTCACAGCTACATTCCCACACTAGGACCACACCTGGCCTGTGGTTTGAGCTTGGTAAGTTTGGTTGAATGGATATACCTTGGAAGTGTCCTGTGACTTCTGTCCCACTGAGGAACACATTTTTTCTTGCACTTTGGACAACTTCCCATTTATCCTTGTTGAGTTTCTTTTTATTTCTGTCTGTACAGTCCTCTAATTTATTCAAACGCCACTGGATTATTCCAGCTCTTGGTGTCAATTTTTTTCTAATTAAAGTAAACTGCCATTTTTCTCTCACACTGATCTTTAACACGAGACATCTTGTTCTTGTCATAAATCTGACTCATATGGAAAAATTTAAGTTGAATATAGGGGCTCATATGTACCACAATGTTTCTATCAATATTTCAGACATGAAAGTAGAGTCACAGACATAGATATCCGCCTGATTCTCAGGTCTATGGTCATGATTTCGGTGGAGTGTTCGCTTTTTGGATGTATGACCCAGAATTCCACTGATTACTAAAATGACTCCTTTGAAAGCAAATATCACATCATTTGCACAAACACTTCAGGTTTCCTCTTTCCTTCTGCCATAGTACATCTTCAAACACTCAACATTCACAGCCAAGATGTAAAATACACAATACACAAAAGCTCCTTCAAAGACATATCTCAAAGTACTGTAAAAAAAGCAATGGAGAGAAAGAGAGAGATCGGCTTGCCATTAGACTGATTTCCTTGAAGACTATAAAAGGAATGAAATTTGAAGGTCATAAAAGTCTGTCTATTTGTTTAGGGAAGTCTTACAGGTAGTATAAATATCATCAGCTACAGTTGCTATGGGGTCTGTTTGTTTACCAAACAAGAACACAAATAGTTACACAAAAGCAGAACAAGCCTTGGGTATATAAATGGAGAAGGCTTTTTGCCTCCTGGTGAATTTTCCAAAGTGTCTTTTTAAAAAGTCCCTATTTTTCACCCTGTGCACTGGGAAATCTCTGTTTTCTTGATTCTTTGCACTTCTCACACCTCCAGCCAATGTTTTACTCTCAGATTTCTGAGGCGGATAATGATTTTCTTTTTTCTTTCTCTTCTTTCATTTTAAGACTTAGAAACCACAAATATTAGACCAACAATCCAAACTGGACAACCAAAATAGTTTTCACAATGGAAAATGCTAAACAAACAAACAAACAAACAAAAAACAAAAAAAGAGGTGGGGAAGAGAGAGCAAGAACAACAAAACCCACTAATTTCTAGAAGAATCCTAGTACAAGTATGGAGTCCTTATGTTAACACACAACCACCCAGCCAGAAAGGTCCATGTGGATGTGTGTTTTTAACTGACTTTCTATGAACCAAGTGTGTTTCATGCACTAGAATTGTACCTGCTGAGTTAACCACGTGCTTCAAAAAATAAAGGGGGAGGAAAGGAAGCCAGCAAGGCTATTTTCGCATCTCTTCTTGGTTGAGAGAGTACATGTGAGTGTGTGTGCGTCATAACTCAGATCTACAATAAAACAAACTGCACAACAGAGGCTGCCTGAGTGGAGGCCTGCTCTTCACACTACATTGACCGCAGTACCCGCCCGGCGCAGCCCCGATGCCTTCCTGTGAATGGGACAGATTGCCATATGGATGAAGACACTGAACAAGCTGTAAAACTCTTGGCGACATGTGCCCGGGGGGATTGTCCCATATTAACACCACCTGGGCTGTGGCAATTGTGCTCTGTCTGTGCAGTGGCACTGAGGAGCCCAACAGGATGTTATTTTAGAGTACACACAAAAAGGAAAATTACAGTTAAGAGAATTCTCTGGCTAGCGTATCTGTTGCTCAATTCCCGAAATAGTTTCCCAAAGGAACGGTTATCTTCTTTATTCACACAGGCAGAAGTGACAAGCTGGAACACATATTAACAATTTCCCTTTGTGAGCTTCCACTATTGTTTTAATGAGGAGAATATAGTTTATAATATACTTAGGCCTTGACTGATTACAAAGGGGTATGGAATAAAGAACTTCAGGAATGCTGTACATATCTAACGCACTCATTTGCATTGCCCCAGTGAGCCAGTCGGCAGAGAGGTAGCTCCCTCGGAAAGACCTATGGAGCCAGGCCACGGGGTAACACTGGTGCGAACACAGCAATAAAACAGAATAACTGCACAAAAAAGCATCTTTGCAAATCTTGAAAAGGAACATGACATCCGCTTAAGTCTCCAGCATAGGTCCCCCCTTCATCTGGCTCCAGTATTGGCTTAAGAGCATAAGACTCCCAGCTGTCATTTATTATAAGAATAGGACTTTTCCAAGCCCCTTTTCCTCTCAAAGGGAAGGCCCTTGACTTCCCTTTGCACTTTTGGTTGGTTTCAATATCCATCAAAGAAAATCTTCTGTCTAATTTAAGTGGTGAAGGTGTGCAATTCAACAACAACTTTTTATAGGTAAAAGAGTAAAACCGAGTACCATGGACAATACCATCAGAGTTTCCAAAAGGCTGGTTCTCACTCTTCTCCTGCCACATGCTTTCCCTCACACCCCTGGTGTGGAATAAATGTTAAGGAAAGCTAAGACACAATTGGGAGGAGGGGACACAGGCCTTTCCACTCAAGCGCAAATACTTGCAAAATGCCTGGGTGCCAACAAAGGAATTTGGCAGAGAACCTGTATCAGCGGCAGCGGCGCATCAAAAAAGAATGTCTACCTTACAAGGTGAAAGAAATGGGGGGTCCAAAGATGGTTTTGGGTGGGAAATCTGGCACATTAGACACGGAATAGCCTGTGGCTGAGATTCATATTATACAACATCCTAATAAAAAAATTCAAATCAACCAAATTTAAGAGTAACTCAGAAAATGAACATCACTCTCCAGACCCATGATGTCATTTTATTGGAAAGCATTTATCATTTAAACACAATAAATAGAAAGAGATTTATAGAGTCTAAAGATGCTGTGTTATGGTAAAAGGCACTTTATTGAGGTAAGGCACAACAGCTGTTAGAGAATAATGGCTGAGGTTTTTTTGTTTAATCACCCCACAAAGTGAACAGTCAAAAAAAAAAAAAAAAAAAAAAAAACAACCCATAAACCCTTCCCTTATGGCATGCCAATATTTTAAAGATTTTCTCCCGGTGCCCTCCCTGCATGTGTGAATGACAGGCGGTGATACGGCACCATGCCACATGGCCCTGAGAGAATCCTTTCTCCCACTTCTAAGTCCCAAAAGTGATTGGTTTTAAGCAATCAGACACATCACAGTTCTTCAAAGCACGATGGCTGCCAAACAACAGGCAGCATGTTTAGGGTACAAAATGCTGATTCGCCCCCAGGGTGCTTCTGTCTGACCTCAGCAGGAACAGCTTTTGCCCTAAGTAGGTTACCTCCCCGACAGATAGACATGGGACAGGTGATGCTGCCAAGAGTCTGCTTTGGAGCAAAAATAAGTACCTGTATCTTAGGCCTCTGCAGTTAGCCACACCTGGTCCTCTTTCCGGTCCCCTACACCTGACAAGACATGCCCAGCACGCCCTCTATATTCTCCACTGTGCGTCACTGGTTTCTAACCTCCTGACTTCCCTGCCAGCAAAAAGATGAGGTGGGTGCAAAGGAAACTGGCAACGGGGATTTTCCTGGGGGCTTCTTCTAAATTACTGCTGAAAAGATAGGTCTGGCCCCAAGCTACAACCAGTGGAGGCTACCATCTGGACTTGATCCGGAGCTTAACCCACTCTGTAGTCCAATTCTCATCAAAAGTCTGGGCTGTAGTGAAGGTGGTCTGGGGAGCAGCCCACTGGGAGCCACCAGAATCTGGCAGTCACTGCAAGTCCCTGAGGGTCAGGGAAATCTCAGGTCTAGTCCCTGTATGGTCACTAACTAGCTATGTGACGTGTGCAAGCGATAACATCATTCTGGGCCCCAGCTGCACCCTCTGTACAAAGGGGAGAATACCCCATAAGGTTACTATGAGGATTAAATAGGAAAATCAAAAAATAAAAATAAAAAATAAAAAAAATTAAAAATAGGAAAATCAGTATAGTATCAAGCCCTATGTCAAGTCTGTTGAGCATTGTGTCTGGCACACAGTAAGAGTTACATAAATGTTAGCTGCATTCTCATCACCACCATCACATGTCAGGTCCTTTCATCCTTGACAAGAGCAAAACAGAACCTTAAATTTGTGTCTCTTGCCTGTGATCACAGAGCCAAGGAGTGGGTCTCAAGTCAAGGTCTCGTGGTAGCTCCTAAGGAAAGGAAGCAAATGGGGTCTGGTCCCTTCAGTCATATGATTTCTACTCTGTTGGCTCACGTAAGAATGGCAAGTCACTAGTTTTGAGGACTGAACCTGTCTGGTGGCTCCCCAGTGGGCTGCTCCCCAGACCACCTTAACTACAGCCCTGACTTTTGATGAGAACCTGTCTGGGATGTGAATCAAGTGTCTGGAGAAAAGTCCTGTTCTTTCCAAGTGTCAAAACCTCAGTGATAAACACACAGCTTCCATTGCTTCTCAAACTTGAACATGTATTCCAAACCCCTGAGGCTCTTGTTACAATGCAGATCCTGATGCAGGTCTGGGGCAGGGCCAGAGACTGAGTTTCTAACAAGCTTCCAGGTCACAGCAGAGCTGCTGGTCTGCAGCCTCTGAGTAGCAAGACTCCAGGGTATGTAGGGCAAATGCAAATTCCTGCACCCCATCTCAGACCAAGAAAGTCCAGGTTTCAGAAGAAAGGCCTAGGAAGCTGTGTGTTTAACAAATACCCTATGAAAATATCATCAGGGAATCTGAGAAACACCAGGCTAATGGTGAAGGTCAGGGGTCAGCAACTGTTTCTGTAAATGGTCAGATAGTAAATATTTCAGTTTTCGTAGCCTATATGGTTTCTGCTGCCACTACTCAAGCTTGCCATTGTAGTGTCAAAGTAGCCGTAGACAATACGTAAATGAATGTGACTGTGTCCCAATAAAACTTTATTTACAAAAGGAAGCAGTGGGCTGGATTTGGCAGGCTGACCATAATTTGCCGAGCTCTGTTATAGTGTTATAGATTGTTTAAATGCCTTGACTCATGTTGGCAGGAAGTAGCAGTTAACAATTTTGAAGACAATTTGGTGGAATTTGACCACAGGTTCTCCAAAATGCTCTAACGGGGAAGAAAGATTTAAAATAACTAGCTTGCTCAGTATTTCAAATCAAAATAAATACAAATTGTCCTCTGATTTTTGGGGAAAAAAAAAAACTGAAATGAGGAAAAACTCTTCAAAATAATGGGAGCTAGAGTTTACTGCTTAAATTTCAACAGGTCCTACATATCACAGAACATGCACCAGTTAAAGGCTTGTGTATCTGGAACAGTTCTGAAAACTAACTTCTAGAATTTTAGCAAGTAAACCAAGAGCACTGACATTTATTCACAAACACAGAATTTAGTTTAAAAAAGAAAAAAAAATGCAACACTAGACATGTACATGTTTCAAAGTTCCTTGCCTTTTGAAAATAACAAGGCCTGTAAACACAAATGTTATTGTTACATAGTCAAATACATGGCAACATGTCAAGAGGCCACAAATCAAAAACAGAGACTGTGTATCAAGTGAAACTGTCTATAAGTACACTAGCCAGGCGGAAACCTTCAGGGGTTATTTGAAGGCAACTGCCAACTGTGGAGTGGAGAAAATGCAAGCGACAGTAATACACAGGGCTCCGTCAATAAATGATGAGAACGAGGCAAGGACTATCGTGACTGAAGAGAGCATAGGTTAAACCTCATAGAGTAAAGCGCCCAGTGTGCGTCCCCTGTTTCTAATATGATACCTCAAAAAAGCAGAGACTGCCCAACCACCATCTGATCAGGGTTTAAGGAAACATCTTTGACCAAATGCTTAAGGACACCTTGGAACAAATACTTAGAACAGCTATGAATCCGAGAAATACTCGAGTTATAAAACATCTAATGATGGTGGCTGAACTGAAAGCAAAAAAGCTGGGATGAGAAAAAAGGGAATATTTCTGATTTGGACTATAGAGGACAGCTGAAATGAAATAAAAAGCATATGATGTGTTCATTGAGGAAACACAGGATTTATAAGGCAGGAAAAAAGTGGGGATACGTTATTTTGGATCTGCCTGTGTGTAAATCCCCCATGAGGTTCATTTATGTTCTTTATGTGCTGTTTCAGACCAAAATGATTTATAGCTTGTAAATCCCACCTATCCCGCTTCATGAAAGGCCTGGTAAATATGAATATACACCATAAAAGAGAAAACTCTGGTATTTTCTTTTAAACGCAGTGATTTGCACACAGTAGGTTAACTTAATACGTGTTTTGTCAAATTGAATTTCAATTAAATTTAAAGTATCTTTTAGGGACACTCATTTTATCGTAATTTAGTATTCACTTCTATGCTGAATGAAAACTTTAAGTACTATTTTGCAGACTAAAACACAGATCTGAATTTGGATCTTGGATATGCCACTAACCACCAGTTCTATGACCCTGGGTTAGTTATTTAATTTCTATTATTCGATTTCCTCATCTGTAAAATGGGTATAATCATCCTTACTGCTTCCTGAGTGGTCAGGTGGATAAAATGAGACATCACTCCATATGCAAAAGTCTAGCCAGTGCTTGGCACAGAGAAGGAACTGATTAAATGTGAGTTCTTGTCCCTTTCCCTAGTGCACCATAATGTAATGTGATATTTCAAATTTTAATTTAGGCAATTACTTAAGTAGTAATTGCTATTAGTATTTACATAGCTGCTTTGATCCAAGAAGCTCAAAGGGCTTTACTAAATTTAGCATTTTAATAGATGTTTCATTTGCATTCTGTTGATTCTGTTTACCCACACCAAAACCTGGAATTTTCTAAAGCAAGACAATTAGACAGGGAAACAAGACAGTATCTTCATATGTACCGGTATCCCAGGCCTGAGTTTTGTCTGTTTCCCTAAGAAGTCGAGACTCTCTGTCCCTATGGAATAAAATGACAGCAAGAGGCTTGAATGCACCTGCTTCCTCTTGCTGCTCCCCCTTAGCTGCGCCATTGAACTTGATCCCCACCACACTTTTCTCAGGCACTGACAACACAGGCATGTTTATTGCACCAATGAATTTATATACAATCAGCACAATAAACATTATTAAATTGTCGGAGAAAATCAAAGCACGAAGCATGGTGCCAGTACTGAATTCTAATGATGCTGAATGTCCATGATTACACAGGGACAGGATCTTAACAAGCCTTGATTTGAACGCTGGCATCCGCCTCACAAATCACATGGGCCGCTCCTCCCGTAATAGTGCTGAATATTGATAAATGTCTCTACCCTGCGCAACAGGGAAGTGGGTTTCTATTGGCAATCTTTACCAAAGTGTGTTTTTTCCCTTCTCTACACTCAAGGGTTTACCCTGAATGATTTAATTATAATTTTCCTTGTGTAAGACAAATTAAAGAGGAGAGTAGGAGTGTCGTGCCAAGCACATTATTTATCTCCTTAACAGATTGCAGCTCACCAAACCCCAGAGCTGCTGCTACTGCAGTGGCTGCTCACAGGAGCCAGCAAAATGCACGGGGGCAAGAGTGGGGGAGAAGGAGTTTTCCAAATGGCATGGAAATACATATGCAACTCAGTTGAGATCATTAGCCATCTCACTACTTTGAAAACAACAGTAACTCTCACAACACTACCTTTTTCCAGCAAATTTTCCCATCGAGCACCCCCAGATCATGTCAGAAAGAAATCTTAAAGCTGCTAACCCACGATCAAGGTCATGGGGTCAGATAGTTATTCAGTGTGGCAGAGACTCTTTCCTTGCCCATCAGAATGGAGGGAAAAGAATATTACACAGAAATCAAAGAAGAGCTTGGAAGGACACGTATTTCACAAATGCATTGATGAGTAAGAGAGAAAACTTATCCAAGGCAGTGACAAGAGACTCCTGAGACAACTGGCACATCAGTGTACAGTGAGACCATACCTTTATAGTGACAGCTTTGTTTTGGTATTTAACTGGTTATCACACGTGATTTTTAAATTAAGCCTAATAAGGTAATGCTACATAATATGCATTTGAAGTATTTATATGTATACGAAGCTGGCTAACTAATCATTGCTTTTTTTTTTTTTTAATTAAGAGACAGGATCTTGCTTTGTTGCCCAGGCTGGAGTGCAATGGTGTGATCATGGCTCACTGCAGCCTCAAACTCTTGGGCTCAAATGATCCTCCCACCTCAGCCTCTCAAGTAACTGGGACTTCAGGTGCATGCCACCATGGCAGGCTAATTAAAAAAAAGTTTAATGGAAATTGGGGTCCCTCTATGTTGTCCAGGCTAGTCTTGAACTCCTGGCCTCAAGCAATCCTCCTGCCTCGGCCTCACAAAGTGCTGAGATTACAGGCATGAACCACTGTACCAGGCCTAATTGATTTTTTAATTATCAATTCCACAAGCTTAAACTGAACTATCTTTAACTGAAGGTGCTCATTTGTCTTGATGGCTACATTCAGTTAAAATGTGCTGACTGGAATTTTCTTTTAATCCAGCCACGTTTAGGAACCTACTAGATAATACAAACTGAGAGATTCAAGAGATTAAGTAGTGGCATATAATTTCATAGTTGCTTCTTTTTTGCATGTACAATTGGAAAACTCAGCCTGCTTTTACATCCAGATTAAGGCTCATTGGAATCTGAATTCTTTTCTGATCCATATTCTAATTCTGGTGTGTAGTATGATGAAGATTAAGCACAACTTTTGTGCAGACAAATAAGGACCATAAAAAAAAATTCAAACAAACTTAGTCTCCCAGAATTAGACTGTCTCTCAGATCCACTTACTTTCAAATGTGCCTTAAGACATGAAAAGGGCTATTCTTCTCCCACTTGCCTCCTTGCTAATCTATCACCTGACTGCAGATACATAACCTTTTAGAAAATGAAACTGAGCACAGCGCATCTAAACAAGAAGAGTTTTCTATGTCACAGGAAATCTGTGCAGGCTCCACAACAGCCGATGAGATTGCCACAAATACCTTAAGTGCATCAGTCGGCGTTTTTCAGTGTATGGCCTCCTGCTCTGCCTATGGATAAAGATGTAATTCAATCGCTCTGCAGCAAATGGACGCATCAACCTTAGGGCATCAAAACCAAGTATAGCAAAGGACAACAGCCTAGAACCTTTTCTTTAATGCTCTCTAAGGTTTTCTTTCTTGAAAAAAAAAAAAAAAAGAAGACATCATAAGAGATTGTAAAGCAAGAGCTAAGATTGGCTTCCAGACATACATATCTATCCTTGCCAGAAACAACAGAAGCCACATTTCCCTCAATGGCTCCAAAGATTGTCAGTGTCCACCATTCTATTCCTCTATCTATTCTTCAAACTCTTCCAAACCAACATGCTTAATGCATCTTTTAGTTCTTCGGTGTCTGCCTCAGAAATTCCAAAATGACCTTGGAAGGATAGTTGAAAATTTTAGTTAAAACATATGTATTATCCTCAACTCTGGTAACCACTCATGGTTTTACACTTGAACATGGTGTGTGTGTGTGTGTGTGTGTGTATGTATGTATCTCTGTGTGTGTGTGTGTATCTGTGTGTGTGTGTGTGTTCAGATAATATTTTTCTGGTATAAAGATACACATCTAATTAAACAGTAGGCTTCTTAAATACTCAATATTTTGAGAAATATATGAAATTACATTTGTAATTGCATAACTGAAATATATAATTAAATGTTTTTTCACTGAGCCATTTTTATTAAAAAACACAATACAGAATTTGCTTTCTCCTGAGAGAAATGGCATTTACTGTCACATACTACTTTTACGGTTTCTTTACCTCTGTGTGTGGAAGCTCTGCCTATGAAATATATAGAAAACAGTTTAGGAATAGCAAACAAAAAGTTTTCAATTTTAGGGGCATTGTATTTTCTATTCTTGAAAAGCACTTCAACAGTGGTATTAATGCTTCTGGGTACTAAGAATACCATAACATGAATTAACAGCTTTATTTTCTTAGAACTGCATGCTAACATGGCATATTCTGGATCTCTAAAACAAGCTCAGCTTCAAGTAACATTCATGTAAAGCCCAGGGCAATTCAAAAATAAAATGTCTTAACTTCTAAATAGGAATACAGCTGCTGAGACAATACTACACTATATCCCACAATGAAGAGAAAGTGTGCTGTGTCTGTTTATGTGAGTATATACAACAGATCCCCCACCTCCACCAGCCACCACCACCACTACCTCTTCTGTCTCTCCATCCTCCAAACCTTCACTCAGAATACATACGGGAAAGACCATGTGCTCCAGGGCACAATGATGAAAAACATGGGCGCCCAGCCTTCAAGGGGAGCAATGTAGAGTAACATAAGTTCTATGTTTTCTCAAACCATAATTCAAAATTGCCCACAGCAGACACTACTATTCCCTTAGAAGGCACTTCCAGCCAAGGAATTCAGCTTGTACGGAGTGAGCACTTGGCAGAAGGAGTAGGCCTGGAAGCCTGGAAATCCAACCCATCCAATGAGAAACTACACGACTTCTGCCCGGGTTCCTAAGCTGAGAGTAGATCTACATAAGTGCTAATTCCATGTTGAAAAGGTGAAAATAATTAGATGCTTCACACCCAAACCATACTGAATACATTCCTCAGTAATTATATGCACATTCAAGTCACATGGATCCAATTAGGGATCACTGAGATATGACGAGGCAGGGCCACCCACCCCTCTCATGTTAAAGGCAGTTTTGGACCCATCTCAGTGGCTGGTTCCTACCTTTCCCTTTTGGGAGTGTGGACTGAGAGCTGTCCATTGGTAGAGGCATGTGGGTTCATTATTAAGGAGGTCTTGGAAGGTGCAGAGGAGGAGACACATGTCGTGGTCAGATCCAAACTGCTGTGATTGTTGCCTGTGGTTTCTTCTGCAGTATGAGCACTTGTCACTTCTTTCCAGAGCTGCTGCAGTTCTGTTGGAATCATGCCTGAAACAAACAAATTGGATAATTAAATCAATTAACAGCTAATTCCGTCCTCTTCAAACAGCAATTAAATCAAAGAGTCAGTAAACAAAGCCTAGTGTTAGGGGGGTTTTTCGGTGTGTGCAGTTTTTTTTCCCCTCCCAACTACGGCAGATGCGGTAGTAAAAAGTGTGTCCTCTTACCGAGCAACTGAGTGGAAGTTGCCCTCATCGCACATAAAAGACTCAGGTGAAAGTGACTCAAAACACAGTTACTTTGCCACAACAGTATGCCTCTAACCATCCCAAGTGTTATTTCTCAATTTTGATGAAAAGTAGATAGATGTTACCTTAGTTTTAGACACAAAGAAGGGCTCAAAATAAATTTGTTCAACTATACTATTATGACAACATGAACTACAAAATGAATAATTTTTGTGCTTAAGTCTTAAATGATGACAAATAGCTTTGTTATTAAATATAGTTTTTATTAATCACTTTTAGACATAAATTATGAATTCATATCGTCTTCCTGAAATGCTTTTCAACTTTTAACAGTCAAATTGATTATACTATGATTATTTCATTAACACACCTATCTTCCTCATTAATTTTGGTTTCTAGTACCACATGCTTAATTGATGGATGTGTCTACTGAAAAACTGTGTAACTTTTTATACAAGTAACACTATTATTACTGTCATTTCTTAGATCAATGGTAATGAACCATTGCAGAATAAAATGCAAACGTAAAATAAACTTACAGTAATGAAGTTCTCTTGTTTTTTTAAAGGGGATCTAAATGGACATGGGTTTTAAGGAGTGAATCCAGTATTTTCCCCCAAGAAGAGATACAATCAGTATGCCAATCTCACTATTGTGGGCCTCTTCGTCTTTATCCTGCTGGCATGCCTCTGTAGCCCAGGTTTCCAAATCCCACCTCAATGCATATTCTAGCCCACACATGCACAGAATAAAGATATTCTAGATGACAACTAACAAAAACAACAACAACGACAACAAGCAACAAAACTTCCTTTGGAGGAACACCGAAAAGAAAACATAAACCCTGCACATCCTAAGGCAATACCACATTAGAAGTGGACGTCTGGATTGCAGTTCATTGTTTCAATCAAGTGTAACACAGCCATCCCAGAAAGCCTGCCATTTTCTGACTATATAGCAGCAGCTGAAACAGGCATGTTTCTTACCAAACCTAAGGTATCGAATTAAAAAAGAAGGCTGTGTGCATTATATTCATTTGAAACACATAATAAAAAATGCCAAGGTCTAAATTTAATTTATTTTTGTCATTTAGAATACAATGGATAGATAATCATCTCAACGTGATCAGCCAAACATCTTTACTTTGCTAAACTGTTAAAGATTTTAATTATGCTAGCATTGGAGAGCACTGGTCTAATGAGGCGATGGACTCCAGAGAATCCGAGTGGTTAAGAACTGTGAAATGAGTCTGATAGGATTTTTTTATATTCACCGTGGATCGTTTGCATATCAAAGAGGAGTAAATTATTGCACAGCAGACCAATAACCTTCCCCGCCTTTCTGAGAGGAGCGTTAACAAAAACAGTTGGTCCCTCCTAACGGTTCTCCACGAAAATGTTCAAATGCTCAAGCATTTGCAATTAATATATATTATAAAGGAGGCTTCAAATGATACATTAAGTGGTCAGATATTCTTAGGAGGCATCCTCGACAGACAAGTCGGTTTTCTTCTCCCTTCATAAAAATCAAATGCCAATTATATTTTGATGGATTTTGTCCCAAATGAGCATTTAGTTATTAGGCATAGTCAATTATTACTTGTCCCCTGAAATTAAGCCTCAGAGGCAAATTAAACAAAGGGGAAAGGTCACTCCACAACCCCATGTCCGGTTTTGCTGCATCTGAACTATTATTTTCCAACACCTTTCGAAGTGACAGGTGGGATGCGTTTGTAGCTAGCAGGCCCGCTACTGTTGTCTGCACACCAACAATTACCTGTGAACATGGGTGACCCTCAGACCACTGTTTACTCAATGGAAACAATAGTTAATAGGCTTGTCTGTTGATGATGGCATACTGATATAAAACCACACAAGTCAACATCTATTTTTATTTTCTAGAGAGTAAACACATGAAAAGAACAAGCCACCTATTTCTCAACTCAAACTAAATGATTTCTGGGTCAGCTGCATGGGAGGTGGGAAGACTAGGACAGGGTCCTAACAACTGTGTTAACTCCCGCTTTCTCTCGAAGAAAAGCAGAACTTTGATGCTGTTTTAAAAGTAAGCTGTTTATCCAGCAAATAAAGACAAAGACAAATGTATTTACCACTTGTTATACCTACAGGGTGCATTAATGTTACTCTACTCTCCCATCTATTCCAATGGGCTGGCAATCAGTTCCATTATCCATAGAGAAAAATGGTAAATAAAAATAGTAACTCATTAAGTGACAACAGCGATACTTCTGGGTCAAACTGCAATGTGATAATTACTTTTAAGAACATTCTCATCACACTTAACACAGAAGCAGTCAAATCGCTTTCCTCCATCAATGCCATATATCGTTAGTGATGTTAAACTGTTAGTTCAATGAGCGCTACCTACCAAAGGGTGTTGTTATTTGACAGCTAAGATCTCATGTTAGACAGATAAAAGGTAACCCAGTCACTCATCAGACTAAATGGATAACAAATTTCCAGAAAGTATGTATTTCTTCCAAAATGGTAGACTAAGAATAATAGTACGAAGTTAAACAAATCCATTAGCAGGTACATAGCCAAGCATGTAATTTTCTGCTACCTAGAGTTTACATTTTAAAAATTAAAAGGTCAGAATAAGACTGAAAGAATATTTCTATATGAAATTACTGGTGCTAGGGAGGATGAGATGATTAAAGAGACCAGGGTGAAAAGCAGATAGGCTAATTATGTAAAACAGAAAGAAGACCCTACAATAACCTTAAAAACAACACAAAATATCCCTCCATTTCCTATTATAAAACCTTCAGGGAAAAAAAGGCCTTCAAAATATTAATTCTCTATCTATTCCTATACTTGACATTTACATGTTTAAGGTTAACTCGGCAAGGCCATGAACAGGTATGTAAAATAATCTTGATGATTTCATTATGAAGTGGGCATTACCAGTATTTTTAACAGATAACCCCCAAGTCTTGCAACATTTCTTTTTCCAGGACAACTGGCCCCTTCATTATAAAAGAAAATGCAGGCACAGGTTTAAAAAATGTATGTTGTGGGGACAGATGACAGATTACTGTTCATGGAACTCAATTTTACAACCCCAGGTATCACTGGCTCAAAGACAAACAGAGTTGATCAACCTTTTTTTGTCCTTGTACATCCATACCCAGGTGACCATGTTCAAGCAAGCAGAAAGTTGATTTAAACCTCATAATGACATCAGTTTTAAGCCATCATCTCTCTGATAAAAAAAAATTGTGTTCTAGTCCAACATGACTGAATTCTCTAGCCACTTGAGGTGAGGGAGTGGGGGGACAAAACCAACCTCCTGATTCAGAGAGATGGAAATAACACTGGTAGTTCACTTTACTGCAAGAACCTGACACCAGAAATATTTATATTTACATTTATGCCATCTTGGGCACACACAGAGGCACCCCTTAGATTTCAAATATGCTTCTTCCTAATGCTGCAGGGGCTAATAGTTATAGCAGACTGCTAAGCCTATCAATCAATGCCATGACTAGTGAATTACCTACCAGTGTCTCTGATATGTTACTGCAGAGATTACACTTCATGCATCACCACATTCATTTCTTTCACATTACACATGAGCTTGTCTTGTCACTGCCCAATTGCCCTCTTTTGGACAGCTTAACTGATGTACTATAACAATGAACCTTAGTGAGCAAACTTGATGAGAGAGGTTGGAGCTCAAGTCCGGTAGGTGTGTCAGAACAGCCTGCCATATTTCCAACAATAAACCCAAAGGTGTAATTAACACACGCTATGACATTCTGCAAGCACAAAAATGCATTAACTGATGTACATATATATATTCTTTCTTTTCTCCTTGTATTGCTCAGTTACGACATCTTCTATTTTGACAATGGAGATGCTGAGTATGTATCAAGCAGCTGAGCAGTCATGGCAGAAAGGAGTGGAGGGGCAAGAGAGAAGTTAAGAGGAAAAAGCCCTGGTCTCGATACTAAAAACAAAATCAGCCTCATAAGGGACAGAAGTTGGGTGTGGTGGACTCAAGGGAAAAGATTCAAATGCAGACATGCTTCCCTGACTTCACTTGACACCAAAAGTTACCAAACAAATGGCCATGCTTTAAGCAACACGAAGGAGTTTCCACATTTTTAACCTTCTTTAGAAGGCAACTGAATCCAAGACAGCAGTGGCTTTAGCTATCAGCCTTTAAGGTACATATAAACCAACATCCAAATCTACTAGAGTTCAAAGAACTGCTGCCCTTGAGGAGGCAACTCAAATCTGCCCTACCATGCATAGATGGAGGAATTGTGTTTCAAAACACAGGCATGGCACTTTCTACTTTCTCTTTCCTTCCTGCCTGCCTGTCCGCCCTCCCTCCCTCTTGACATCCCTTCCTCCTTCCCTCCCACCTTCCTTTCTAGTTCTGAATAATCCATCTGCTTTCACATTACATATGTGAAAGTCAGAGTTGCTTAAACCAAGAGGATGTCCTAAAAACACCTAGAGTTCCCATTTGTTTCTGATGTCCATCACCCTTGGGATAAAATGTCAGTGGGCTTTGTAAAAGAAATTTACTAAATGTATAAAATCTTACTTTTCATGTGATCTCAGTTGTTGAGGAACTGGAGATGGAAGTGGTACCTGTTCTGATGAGTGTAGAACTAATTTGCTCAAAAATCAACAGATGAATGCAAAAAGAAAAAAAAAGGAAACTAAACAAAGTTTTCCTTTTTATAAGAGAAAGTGGTTGATTTCTATCGTTTACAGAAAAATAAACCTGAATTTATCCCTAGATATTAAAACATGGCATTTATAAAGCATTACTAAGATTTAAAATAGCACATGTTACATGGTATAAAATGTCTTAAATGAATAATAAAAGCCCTCAGGAAAATTCCTTTGTGGTTCCAAACAGAAACACTGCAAGAGTCCATTAAAATGCTCAGTAAGTGAAAAGTAGCGCCTCATTCTCTTACTCCAAGAGTGTCCAACAGTGGGATTGCTCTGTTACAGCTAAGCCTTCAGACCACCCTGAGACTTCATTTTGGCATCAACAAGCATTTCACCTTCTACATGGGTCCATCATTATCCCACTCCACTTTTCTTAAAAGAATCTATGTGCATGTTTTGATGGACAATGTCCTTAACAAATATACCAAGAGACAACCCACCACCTCCACCCAAAGTCTTCACAGAGCTATGCCTTCTGTAAAATCAACGCATACCTTGAGCAAGAGGTTGAAGGGGAAGGGCAGGCTGCCCGGGCTGAATTGTCAGAAGGCCTTGGCGCTGCAAAGACAGGAGGTGCTGCTGCTGTAACTGCTGCATCTGTAAAAGCTGCTGCTGAAAAGCCAACTGCTGGGTAGCCACCTGCTGTTGCTGTAAGAAATCAGGAAGAAAAAATGAGATGGCCACTTCCCAAGGAAGGTTAAAAGTATGGACACTTCAAAACTCACCATCATCATCAAATGCTGAGAATGGTCACTGGAGCTCAGTGGAGGGCTCCGTGTCAAGGTTTAAAAGGGACAAAGCATACCTCCTCTGAGGAGGGGTGGGGAGATGAGCGTGTTATCTTTCTACTGCCCGCTCCCATAAACACATAATTCGTCCATCAAGCCAGCTTTCCCCCCAGTTTGAAAGGTCTGAGTTTTGTCATCAAGATGTAAACTTTTAGACTTTGAAATTTTTAATTATGCACACTAGAGAGAAGACTGCATCACTCTAGTCTGAAGGGGTCTGAACCCCGAACCTTTGAGGTGTAAAAGAACAAGTTGCCTCCCTCCCTGCCTGCACCGGCAGAAGCTTTTAACTACTCTGTTTATCACTTCTGACATAAATAAATGAGAAAAAATCAGACCTTTGAAGAAGAAAAACTTCATCTAATATTGTTAATTAGCCATGACAAACGATGAAATAACATTGTAAATCTTTCACAGAAACAGCCACTAGATTTTAATTACACACATTCATAATTTAGCAAACAACATCGTACTCGACTGTGAGTTTAACATGAACGACAGTCTAAGCTTCAGATGCCTTAACATGGCTTTAGTCTCAGAAACTCCCAGGTCTGGTGGCTTGTCCTGCTTCCCCCATCTGCTTTGTTCTTGAAAAGAAGGGGCTTTACGATATGATAAATATCTTTTTGTTGATTGGACAATGACAGGAGGAAAACTTTTGTTGTGTAAAACATCAATACATCATTCCTGTGTTTAGCAGGCCTTGCTTCAGCCAAAAAAATTAATGTAGATTTCCTCAGTAATTATCTGAGTGATAGAAAGATAATACAGTGCAGTAGTACAATAAATAGAAGGAAATTATCTAATATCCTTAATCTGCTAGCAATCGTATCGAGGTGGAGGTCTTAGCCACATTATGGCTAACAATTATAAAAGGAAAACTAACCCTTCCCAAACTGTAGCAAAAAAAAAAGAAAAGTTTCTTCAAGAAAAGAACAAGATCAGTGTTCCTAATTCTGAGTATGATTCAAAAGATCAGAGAGACTTTTACAACTAAAAGGACTATCCAAGCCCTTTCAGAGCTTACATGTTCTGGCTAATAACTATACTTTACAAACAACTGCATTCACTTAACCTAACACATGACCTTGATCTGATACATCCATAAAATGGTATGTATATCAAGACCTTCTGATGCAAAGTTCAAAGAAAGAGAAAAATGGTGGTTTCCTTTCGGTCTTCATGTAGTTTATTTTACAGTAAAAACCATCATTCTCATATTAGCAACCAATTTCAGACTTACTACCATGCCACTGAGAAAGTTAATTGAGTTTCACTCCAAAAAACAAATTCTATACCACTAACAACAAAAATTTAAATAAATTTAAATGAAAAGCCAGTGTTTTCATTTTAAGAACAGCATGCATAAAATGATCCAATTGTTTTCACCCCTTCCCAAGTTATCACATTAATGTAAAACCCAGTGATAGTTATATTCATGTCAAAACGATTTTTTCACTTCTTCAACAGATATTAACTCACAACATTACAAAAAAAAGGGAAGAGAAAAAAACAACATTGACACAATAAAAGATCAGGGAATTAGCTTTTCTGAAAGCAGACTATAATGGGGGGGGTACAGCTGGAGGTGGGGGAGGGTGTTTCCTGCCTTACTGTAAATGAAATGTTTAAAAATTTTGTATTTATGTAAAATGACTGATGCCTTTTCTGTTGTCTCTGTGGCCATCCCTAGGAAAAAGCTCATGAAAGCTGTCTACGTTTGAAAAGCCAGGATATAAAAGTATACAAGGCCCATTGTCCAAAGAAAGAATTTAAAAGCAACACCGGTTGCCAAACTGCGCTCCCCACCCAGTTACCAAACACAGGATACGGGTCCATTTGTTTACTTCTCACAATTGAATGCATACAAAAAAGGTCTCCGTGCAGTCCCCTCGGCAGGTCAGTAGTCAGTGTTAAAATGCTAAAATGCCCTGATAAACCTCGAGTTTCGGATCCCCTCCCTAGAGCTGCAGTCAAAGGTCTGTTTTCCTTTCTTCGGCTACTCCCTACTGCCTAACATAAACTGTCATAACTGCCCGGGACAAACGGCCCTTTTAAAACAATCAACTTAGCCTACCTCACCCGCACAGGATGGAATCTTTTTTTGTAGCTCGATTTAAAATGAATTCTGCTGTCTATTTTCCTCACCACTTCTGTCCAATATTCATGAGCAGTCACTTCAATAGCTGTATTGGGCCTACATCCTCTCTTCCTCCCCTACCTAAGAGCACGTATCTTCTTAAGGAAGGTCCTGTCTTGGTCCAACCCAATATGGAGCCAAACTTTCCCAAGGAAACATCTCAAGGCAACTTTAGGAGGGAAGGAAAAAAAAAAGAGCAAAGGTACATCGTTCTGGCCAAAGATCAGGTGTCTTATTGCAGAGGTAATCAAAACAGGAAAAAAAGGGGGTGGGGGGAGCCTGACAATATAAAATTATGAGCCGCTAATGACTGGGGACTCAGTAAATTAACATACTTGTTCCATCTGTCAACAACCAAGTTCAAACCTTGTTAAAATCATAACCACCAGTCCACATCATGAAAATGCTACCGTGTGACTCCATCTCATTTTAGCACAAAAGGACCACCACCTGCATGATAATTCCAGGAGACTGGTCCCTACCTCAGGAAACTACAGATCTCCTAAGCATTGTTACCCTGGGTCTCAGACAAATCCACTGGCACCATGAATCCAAGGAGACCCATCCACTGGTCTGCCTACCTCAAAGGATATTCAAAGCAACCTATCTCCTGGGTCACCTTTGCCTGGGAAGTGGATGACAAAGCATGGACCACAGCAAACCTAGCGACCTGGAGATGCAAGAATGTTCCTACAATGTCTTGCTTTCTCCTTGTTTAGACACAAAGTGTTCTCCTTCTCCCCTACACTCCCCACCCCCTGCCACTCCCTTCCCAAACTCAGGGACCACTATCATCTTTGTGCTCTGAGATGCTTTCCTTTCTGACAACAGCAATTTGGGAGAGGTAACTTTTATCCTTCTTTCTGCTGTGTAACTTTCCCCTTCCCATTTCTTTATGTGCCCTCTGAGCTCATCTGAACTTTCATGTTCTCCCAGCATGCAGACGTGCATTCCAAACTATGTCTCACAGACCAAATAAGAGGTTAATAAGAAGTGGCAACAGAAAGGAAAAACGCAATCCCTGGTAACTGATAAGAATGACAGTGGCAGCCCTTTTTTGTTTGTCTTCAAATATAGAGTTAAAGATCTTTAAAAAACTAAATTTTGATGCCTTTGAAAAGAAAGAAGCACAAAATAACAACAGGGGGTTATTGCCTGCAAGCCACAGGGGAGAAACTCCATAATTCTTAT
Source organism: Homo sapiens (assembly GCF_000001405.40). Classification (NCBI taxonomy): domain Eukaryota; kingdom Metazoa; phylum Chordata; class Mammalia; order Primates; family Hominidae; genus Homo; species Homo sapiens. The sequence goes on from NC_000003.12 coordinate 71,050,567, forward strand.
TCTCCCTTTTGAAGGCTGTTAGCAATCTGATTCAAAAAAGCAACAGCAGAAGGGGAAACCTCTTGAGGCTGTAACCATTTCCTGTGATCATGCATAATGTGCTTCAAAAGTGGGTTTTTACCAATTCTGTTGATCAATTGCACCTCCTTCATACCCCTTCTTTTTTCTGCTGTGTTTACATCTGATGTGACTCAATGACAAGCACTGTCTGAGACTGTGAAACAGGCCTGTCATGTTGATTTATGGGCGCATCAAACCACAACTTGTCCAAACTGAAGCTCGCAGTTCATTAATTAGAGAGTTGTGACTTTGAAGTCAGCTTTCAGACTGTGGTTTTTAACATTTGGCTTAATTTATATGCTCTTGAATGTGGATCTCTAAGGAAAAAACTGAAATTCCCTTCTTGTCTTTGAACTTCTTTTGACCGCACAATAATCATTTCTTTGTCCAGAGTGATGCCTGCAATCCCAGAGTCATTAACGCGCATTGAACTGCCACTGATGAGTAAGCCCTGCTGAATTAGAAAAACAGCCAGCAAAACAAAGCTGAGAGCCTTCTGCACAGTGATATCTCACAATTACATGCCTTCCCTCCCTGTGCCATTTCCATTTTAATTACTGTTAGTCCTTTAGATTTACATTTTAGACACTTTTTAATCTGTTCCCTTTTTTATTATAGCAGCACCCGGTAGAGCGCCACTGTACTTAAGGTTGTGTCAGCATTTTCATTAAAACACCTCCTCCCCTTCACCCCAAAACTGCCCCTACTCTGCAGGGGTTTACATCCGGCTGCTCAACAGGACTCCAGGGTGAAAACTTGGCAGGACATGGAAAACGTCCCCAATTTGTGTCAAGGGAGGAGGCAGCAAAGGGAGAATGTCTGGGTCACTCCCAGGGTGTAAAATTAGCACAGCCCAGCATCCTCACTTAGGTGAGGGACAGGGACGTCGAGTCACCTGGTAAGACTCCCTGCAAAAGAACAAAAGTGGCCACCTGCTTAGGGCTGGTGAAGAAGCTGTTAAAGTGGATGAGGTGCTGTATATAGAATTATAAATTGTGTCATCCCAAGGAGAACACTTAAACAAAAAGAATTTTCAGTCCACTGTAAAAATATGAGGAGGCAAGTTAAATTGGATAACTCTGGAATGGGTAGAAAGATGTCATAATAACGCACACATGCACACGGATACTCCCACAACTGAGTCTCACCCACGCAGAACTGAATAGAAGGTGAACTGGTAACTCCCTGGAAAGAAAGGCCTTATCATTTATGGGACGAATGCTGTCAACCTTCATGGTGTGGCATAATGTGATAAGTTATGGACACTACCAAGCGTGGTGCATATAGAAGCTATTATGATATACTTTTCTCCACCCTGCCCAAGAAAACACAACCCAAGCTGGAGTCTTCTCTAACTTCAACTCATGCTCTCTGGCACATGCCTTTAGCAATTACATTATGTACAACTTGCAGGAAGAAGTTAAACAAAAGATGTGGATGTTTAATCTTGTTCTAACATTTTTGTTTGTTTATCCAACCTCACAAGGGGTTATTCTTCCAATGGAAAAGGCCATCACCACACACCCAAGCTCTGTGAGCTGGGGAAAAAAAAAAAAAATTAAGTGTGCATCCAAGTAAAATTTTCCTGAAAGCACTTCACTTCTCCCAGCTCCATCCTGGCCCTCAGTTGTTACCAGGTTGCAAAAAGTAACCTGAAGACTCTGTCAACGATGCCTCTCCTGCTCCTCACACAGGTACACGTGCAGTGGTGTTATAAAATATGTGGCAGCAAGCAAATGGAACCCAGAAAAATCTGAGTGAAAACAGGACAATAATTCTCAGTCTGAAAGCTGAGAACCGATAGAGTCAGCTCAGTTGTGCAATCATTTAAAAGATGAATGACAGTTTAATAGCCACTAGATAGTCCTCTGGGATCTGTGGTTTGAAAGTAAAATATGTATTGTCGGTACCTCTTTAGGCTGTTTTCCAGCATGTTGTTGTTGTAAAAGTTGAAGCTGCAACTGTTCCTGTTGTTTTTTATAAAACTCTTGAAGCTGCTGCTACAAAGGAAAGAGAGGACGGTAAGTAACAGAGGGTAGCGCCAATCCACTGTCCCTTTTGGTGCCATACACAAACTGTGATTTGAAAAATAGCATCCTTTTATCTGTAATGGCCTGACCTTTAGTTTGAAACTCGACAATAAATTCAGCGCACACTGACTATTCTTGGCATTATTGTTTGAAAAGTAATCTCCAAAATGAACTGATGAAAAACATACCATTTTCTACACAAACTAATTAAAATAAGGCAAAGAATGACCTTTGATTGTACAACAAAGCTGAAATGCCCTTGCTGAGAGAGTCTGGTGAATCTCTTCTGCATGCTTTCTAAATGACAGGGCTGGGCACTATGCAGTGTTATTCAGTGTGTGCATGGACAGCCTGGGAGCTTCCGCTGCATCCTGTCCCCACCACCCCAGGCCAGTGACTCCCAACGCTGTAGTTCCGAATCTCATCTATTTGGTTCAGGTGGCTGTGAAGTCTGAATATTAGGTCCCCATAGTGCAATGACAACCAGAAGTTCATTTCAGCAACATCGTATGTGGAAGAAGTAAAATCAACTCTGGACCTTAAAATTAGCAAATTCTAGAATGCTTCTTTATGTTTAAAGAAAAAAAATCTGTAAGCTTCTGAGTCGAAATGGGGACATCAAGAGCTGTCATATTTAAACCACTCCCAACGTGCTCCTCATTTTGCTTTGATTCACACCATTTAGGAGCCATGTAAACCTAAAAGATCTTACTGCTACCAAGTCCAATTACAGCCCTGATCTCAGTCCATCGGGTACTCTCCAGGCCCAAACACTAGTCACCATGGCAGGGCTCCTCTCTTTTGGGCATGCAAAAGCACATCGATTATTCAGGGAGTGGTCTGTGTCCTGCCCCACCCACGCTGCTTTACTCTTCACTGAGCAAAGGAGCTGCTCTGGTGGAGGGGAGATTGCGAATGGAGTGATGGGGGCCCCTGGGTTCTGGGGGAGACAGGCTGGAGGTGGAGGAAGGACAATTACCTGTTGAAGCATGAGGGCCTGCTGCTGCTGGAGGAGAACCTGGAGCTGCTGAGGGCTCAGCACTTGTTGCTGGAGGATCTGCTGCATTTGCTGGGGAGTGATAACTTGAGGTGTCATCATAGCCACTGACACGGGAACCTAGAATGTTAATGAAGGATAAATAGGAAGCCAGGAAATCAGAAGCACGCAGCCTCCCAGGTTCAGCAGCTGACTGCCATCAGCCTGCTTAAAGAGTTGACCAATTTCCCATGCAACATGTATTTATCCAGAGGGGATGCAGCAACAGATCCTATTTAATCTATCATGGAGTTTATTTTAAAGAAAGAAAAGTAAAATCTTGCAGTACTGATGGGGGTTCCAGGCAGCCTTGCAAGCACACAAAAAGGACAAACTTAATAAATGCTAACTGGAGTTAAGATACGACAGTTCTCAATTGCTTATTGAGAGTGAGTTTTTGGTCAAAACCATCTGTGGGAAGTTAACCCAGACTTGAATTTTGTTTGAGAGAAGACAAATGGTAACCAGCACCTTTGCAGGTGGAGCCCATATGAGCACACTTGCTCTGTGGACAGTGATTTTAAGAACAACCAATCAATGCTTATACTTGCTGGGAAGGGAACCTTGGACACACCTTCCGAACTTAAACACAGACCCTTCGCATGATGCCTTTTACTCTTCCTTATTCACCCAGCACACAGATGTCTCAATTCTTTCATATTATGTGCAATACCATTAAAACCCGCTTTCCATGACATTTCAGTGACAAACAGCTACAGTGATGAACTTGATAGCATTTCATATTTGCAACTGTTAACACGTTTCTGCACGGGCATCTTTGCAAGGAACCTGCACACTGTATCTGAAAGGATGATGTCTTGTTCAGATAAAACACTGACATTAAAATGACAGGCTGTCTTGGCCAAGGTTACACAAATTGTATTCAAGCGGATACCTAATGACAATGCTATGAATTCTGCAAGCTTTCTAGAATGTAATTTAGCTATTCAAAATAATCACTGCACTTGTGTTTAATTTGCAGACTACATGAGACCCATTTTGTCAGTCCCCGTAATGCAAGAAGACTATTTCATGAAAAATCACCCCCCGCCCCAAATAAAAAGATAAGGAAAGAAAAAACAATGAAAGAAAAGACAAAACCTGTATGTCTTCTAACCGTAATATTTAAGCATCTTACTTTTCTTTGGTTTCTAATCAAACATGTGACAGCAAGAAGCTAGAAGCAGTAAAGGATATACTTTGTTAAAAAGGATATGCTGTCATCTCATGTATTACAATAAAAGGTAATAACATGTTTTGCACTTTGCCTGTGTGCTACTTAAAAAAAAAAATCCGGCAGACAATAGCTGATCAGAAGATAAAAGAATTAAAAAATCTTTCAGGGGAGCAGTAAGCAAAAGGCAGAAATGCAGTATTAATTTTATGTAACATAATGTCTTAATATGCAGTTTATCCTGACTTTTTCACATGATTTGTCCTGTCATTTGCATAGCGAGCTCTCATTCCTAATTTCACAGTCATTATGCACTGATGTCCCGATTTCTCAGCATCACTAATTTTGATGAACTAAAAATGGTTCCTGAAGGTCAGATTCATGCACAGCGAATGTTCTCCACTGTTGTTGTGGGCTTGTTTCATGTGTGGGGATGTTGATGTGCCAGTGTCGTGTGTTTGGAAAACACTAGTTAGAACATTCGAAAAATTTCATTAACCCAGCTCTGGAAGGTCATCCATGAATTCTTCCTATTCCAGTGGCCTTTTAAGTGTAGATGTAGATACACTGTAATTTAAAACAGATGGGCATGTCTGAATATTTTCATATGCAAAATGGGACAGATGTATATGAATGGATAAATTACCCTTTTAAAAAGATAATTTGTAGCACGAAATATCACCAACGATTGGAACAGTGAACTCGCATTCAGTTTAGGGCAAACACCAGGAAGACATTATCAAAACATCTAACCATCTACAAATTAATTCCAGTTAGTCTACTTTGTCTTCATACAGAAGAAACTTTTCGGATTTTTAAGTATCTTTTGGGTGCCAATCGGTATCCTTTGAGCTGCTAAAGCCAGCGTATCACAATAGAAGTTTACTTTTCCTTGAGAGTTGCATCATCATACGGGGAGGTTTGATTAAGCAAACAAAAGAACCATGTTTAAGGTTTCTTTTTTCCTCTGCGTTTCTTGGATGATGTACAATATAAATATTCTTGAGCCAAATTCTGATGGTGATGAACAGGAAAACAGACAGGAATAGGGTGGTGTAAAATCTAAACTGGTGATGAACATGAACTTAACAGAGTTAGAGCAGAAATCATGATAGAAATAACCTCCTGGTCATCGTTTTTAAAAGAGCTATAGAAACCTTATACTAGAAAGGGGCACAGGTGAACTTTTGGGGGCGATGGAAATGTCCATATCTCGAGTGAGGTGGTGCTCACACACGTGTATACAATCGTCAAAACTCTTCCAACTAGACACTGAAAATCAGTATATTTGAGCGCACGTAAATCATCCCTCAATAAAACTGATTTTAAAAGTTACATATGTCTCCTAAAATACTTTTTCCCCTTAACTCAGGTAAAACTAGAAGCATCTTCTTAAAGGAGAAACAACATTGTCCCTTAACTGTCAATAATAAAAGGGGGAATCATGGAAAGGACTGACATATACCTGTACAGACAATTTTTAAAGGCTGACATCAAACCAGTGGCTTAAATCTCCTTTTCCCATAATCATTTATTCATTTTTTTGCAGTTACGGAACAGGATAATGAACTTGAGTCTCCCCTTCTTTTTCCTTTTGGACATTTTGATGGAGGTGCTGATGAGTAATAATATGCTTTACAGCAGCAGGCACTGCCAAAGGAGGGAAGGAAGCAAGAGGCCTGAGTAATCCTCCAAACGGGCTGATCACTTCTGAATAATCAGAAGTGGGCTATTATATCCTGATGGCCTTAACTTCGCTTTTACTATCTGAAACCACGTTTTCATGCCAGTTAGCTCTGGGCCTCCAAAGTGGGCTCCAGCTTCATTTACAAATGTTATAAAACCAAGATTTCCCCAACGTTTCTGTTCTAACATATCATGAAAAGAGGTTATGGAAAAGCTTTAACAAACATATTCAAATAGACCAGAAACTATGGTGGGGTAGAAAAGAAATTAAAAAAAAAAAATCTGAGCAGTTTTTAAGGCTTTAAATAGTTAAGAATTATAGCCTATATATCCACTCCCTTAATTCCCAACGTCCAACTTTTTCATGTAGCTAGTCCCTACTAACACTAGGAATCAAAGGGCATGCAGTACCAGCGAGAGGCTATTACAGCCCACACTTTATTGCCCATTACTACTGAGGTCATTAGCGGCAAGAGTGATTGTAGCAGTCTTAACCTATTGATCACTGTAACTACTATCATTTAATCCTGTGTTGAATGTCTGGAAAGCGGCTAAAGGCACACAAGAGAGAGTGCTTTAGCACTGAGAAATATGGCCAAAGCTTCAAAATTACACTTTGATTCATAAAATCTAGCCAGTGGTTTAAATCAATAGTATTTAAAACAGTCATGTGAGTTTTTAACTACAGCTCTCTAATATTTATGGGCCCCTCTTTAAAAGTATTCAGTAAAAACGAAACTTTTTTTTTTTTTTTTTTTTTTTTTTTTTTTTTTTTCAGATTTCATGCCTTCTACCTTAACCTCCTTGAGATAACAACATTCATTTCTGATGTTTTCTGTGCTACAGGGTTCATGCCTTAACTGGGAGTTCAAGCTAATTCTTGATTTCTTTCTCAAAAGACGATTTAAATATAAGGCAAAAAAAAAAAAAAAATTTCCGATACTGTAACTACCTTAACTGTTTGAGTATATAGAAATGAGTATGTTTTATGAGTTAACAATGAATCATAGAAGGCAATTTATGAAGAACTAGAATGATTCTGTCTAGCTGCCTTCAGGGATCAGAAATTCAAATTAAACTTCTGGCAGACATTTAAAGAATGCTAGCATACAAAACTGAATTTAAAAAAACGCACACAGTTAACACTCCTCAGTGGAGTTTCAAGAGGAAATCATGAATTAAAAAAACACACGGCATGATACACTGTTGACTGATACCAACTGGGTGTGGTCGATCCCAGGTGCACCCAAACCTGCGGGAATGGCAGAAATACAGCTGTGCTTGGGCCATCACAGCTCTGCTAGTATGGGCCTGCTGCTACCTTAATACCAGCAACTGGGAAAACGGTGTTAGCACTAACAACTGCTGCTAAAAGCCCATACACACTGCTGTGTAAATTCTGCCTGATACGGTTTTTTCTTCAAAATGACTCTCTATCATCTGAATGCTGAAAGACTATTAAAATAATATGCCATATTATTTCCTTTAACGCCCAATGGGGAAACGTAGATGATGGGAAGGGAAAAATCTAAAAAGCAAACAAACAAATAAAAACACTCAGAGAAACAATACTTATTTCTAATCTAGGAGACAATTGAAGGAATTGGGTGGGAGGGGAGAAGACACAATATAAATACTGAAAATAACATGTTATCATTTTCTTCTCTCTTCAGTTTACACTCCAGTCAACTACAAGTAAATACTACCTAGTACACATACACATAAATTTTGCACGTTGGGTATCATCTCATAATTACTGTGTATACAAATAATAAAAAGAGAAGATAAAAAATGCTAAACACTGTTTCATTTTTATTAATTTGGTTAATAATTTAGAAACTCTTTTTACCCTCTGATCATTCACCACATGTATGTCCCAGGAAATTCACTTCCGTTCTAGCCTTCAGGCTGTATTTGGGTGATAACTGACCAGGTTTGGCAGTGTCACCTGGTTAATCAAATAGCAGGAGCAAAACAAATTAAATTAGAAGGCTCCAGAATGTCACAACAAAACCAAACAGAGAAAATAGCTCCATTAAAAGAGAGAGAGGAGAAAAAAAAAAAAAAACTATGCCAAGTTTTTTATGACCATATACAAGCTAGCCTGTATAGAAGAAAATTAAACATCATCACCTCTGGCCCCCTGTGGAAAACAAGTTTTCATAATTAACAAGTCAATGGATACAACAGATGTATTGGCAAACAGAAAAGTTAGAAAGCTTCTATTTCTCCATGGTATTAAAAAAACAAAACAAAATGAACCAACCAGGTACCATGCAAGTAACTATCATACAGGAAAGAAAACACACTTCTGATATAATATTTCGGTCTTAAAAAAATAAAAAAAAAAAAGCATGCTATTTATGTGGAAAGTAAAATTCTGTTTCATTATGGAATTCTGCTTTTTGTATAACTCCTTTAGGCTTAGCTATTTTGCCACAATACTGTACAAAGCACTAAGGCAGGTAATGGTTATTATATTAATGCAAAATCATCTAGGTAGTCAGTCATTAGCATAACAGTTCTCTCAGTAACAATACAACCAACTATTAAAAATTTTTTTTCAAAAGACCTCTTTAAAATGCAATTAGCATTTCATTTTTTATCATTTTGTTTATTACATTCTATCAAGAAAGGCTATCTTTCTTTCACAAAAAAATTGTAAGGCCAAGGCTCGCCTGCCAATCAGGAGTTATTTCAGGTTATCAACCCTAATAAGCAATCTCCAGCAATGCTCTCCGAGCTCTTCTTTTTGTCTTTAAATTCTAAAAAGTGGCATAAATGCATATTTGTTTACAGCAGAGGTATTAGTGGAACATCAACTGCTCTCCTCTAACATTTCCCAGGCACACAAGGTTACTCCACTAAGTGCCAGTATAATTGTTTTAGCTCTAATAAATATCAGCTTCATTTGCATAAAAATGTAAAGTTTACATAAATTAAATCGCTTCTCCCATTAGCAATTGTTAAATACAGGAAACAATGGAAGCTACACATGAAAATAATCACTCAATAAGCACTGATTCTTTCAACCTAGCAACTATTATTATTATTTAAATCAAGAAAATGCCTTCTCTTTCCTACTTCAACCACTTTCTCCTGTAGCTGGGATGGAAAACAATTTAGGGCATGTGAATTAAACATGCTAATGGCATTTTATATTAACAACAACAACAAAAATCATGTTTAAGTGCTGCAAATGGGAGGAGGGGAGGACTATTCCAAGAAGGTACCCCAGAAAAGATTCTATCCACAGATCTTTAGTTCTTAAAGGGAAAAGGAAGAGGCCTTGGCTAAATAAGTTCTCTTAAATTGAAGTATTACTCAAAAATAATGAAAGAGACAGCAACTGTTTCCATCCTACCTGAGACACATACATGATTAAAATAAATAAAAGATAACTTGTGGATACAGTTTTAGATCAACAGTTACTGTTAAATGAAGAAAAACATAATGTCTATCTTCTGTCTAAAGAAGATTTTTCTAACACTAAGAATTAAATTTGTAGCTCTGCTTTCTCATGATTTAATCAGCATAGAAAATTTCATAGGGAGCTTAACTGCAAATATGTATTTTTTTTCCCATATTACTGAAAGGGAGAAGGGACTATAATTGAATTTCAACACATAGGTAGGCCAAAATTAGACCATTTCCGAAGTTTTATAAGGCCTTACTTAGGGTGCAATCACTCTTTAGAAAGAATTACAACTCAACTTTCTCAAATTGTAGTTTCTCATGCCTATTTCCAACACCTTCACCTTATACATCACAGTTAAGCTAAAGGGTGCAAATGAGATTCTAATGAGAAAACATCACTTGCTTCTTTGACAATCTCACCATTCACTGATTTATTTATAATGAAGACAAAGCCCAACCAAAAGCTTCCCATAAGTTAAAGGTCAAAATATGTTCAAAAATGCCTAGTAAAATCAAGGCAAATGGGAAACCCGTGCAGACCCGCCTCATGAAGTGGTGTGACAATTAGAGTAATTGTACAAAAAGCCATCTTCAGGAAAAAGTAAAAGAAATTAAGCTGCCACAACTGTAACAGGTTAGATGAAAAAAATCAAAATTTAATGTATTCTCCCCTGTGTCATCTTGTTTTGTCAAGACATCAAATAGAATTGGGAAGTACAAAATAACAAGCCCTTGAGAAATCACAGAAGCCGACCTTTTTGATGTTGTTGATTTACCTTGTTCTCAGTTATTTGAACAATGATGTTTCAGATTTAAGGGCAAGATAAAGCTTAGAAATTAAAACATGATACCAAGGTATTCTAAAAAGCTCACCATAACATTTAGCCTGCATCTTCATTGATTAGTTGCTTTTAACCGGATTTGAAAATGAGGCACAATGTATGTGTTCAGTATTCATTTTTCTCATTCGAAATTAATTTCTCCTCAAACAACTCACAGGTTGGAAGAGGGACTCAATGAAGAGCATTCCTACAATCCAAAAGTAGAGGCCCAGATTAGCTCTTCTCAGATAATTCAAGTCTCCACAATCTGCAAAGGCTTGTTTAGCTAAGAGATACCTGAGTTTTCTTTTTTAAACGAAAGAAAATAAGGCTGAATGCAAAATGTCACTTGGTGGGGGTGGGAGGGAAGTATTGCACGCTCTGAAAGGACTAAAACAAGAGTCCAGAAATACGCTGCTTCCAAGAAAACAAACCTTTTATCAAACAACAAATTTAGCTTACAGTGTTAAGACTATCCCCAAATCTAGCCATACAGATACACATAAAGCTACCCTTTTGCCCCAAGAGAGCTACAGCTCATCACCAATGTAACTTGCAGTCTTACATGAAATGTTACGTGCAAAGATACATGAAATCAAGCTATCACAAGACAGCATTCTCAACTTTTTTATGTAGGCAGTTCCTTCTACTCAAGCATATATATAAATCAAAAACTGCAGCAGTTAAAACTATCTATTTGAGGCACTAAAAGTAACCTAATATTTGCAAGCGTTATAATTTATTATACCTTGACAGTTAATAAAGCTGTTTAATAATTCCTTGTCACTGAATGCATATTTTAAAATGTAACACACATATAGACACAATTTATGTATTTATTTACTCTAACCTTCTCGATCAACTGTTGCTACATTATCCCTTGTTTGCAAATCAAGGAATGATGAACTACCTGAAGTGGAATCTAACTGACCACTACATTTGCCTAGTTACCAAGAACATGGTTTTCAGGTTCTCTTTAGTGATGTTCATCTACAACTAAACCACATAATAAAATAAATTCCTCCAACCTTCGTTTTTGCCAATTCAAATTTTACTCAAATGTTAGTACAGACTGAGAAGCTAGTCACAACATTCTCTCCTGATTGTCTCAGAAACATAGTAACTCAAACAACGTTTCTGCCACATTAACCAAGACAAACCTGAACTTTCATTGTTTTTAATTAATCTAGATTTTAATTTCACCGTATCTTCCAATTGTGTGGAGGTTGGCTGAAAAGTTGTAGAACTGGTCAGTGTCATAAAAGAGTTTATCTTTCAAGTGACAGGTCCTGACAACGTGTAAATGCAAGGCAGTGACGGTGAGGGTTTTGTTTTTTAAGGTACATTAAACTACAAACAACAAAAAAAAATTCAACCATTCCTATCATAAGCTTTCTGATGATTTATGGTTTACCAACTGAGCAGGGTTACGCAACACTGCATGCCTTTAGATGCATTATTTCAGCTAGTTGAGATTTAATTAAGATCACAGCCTCTAAAATCCCTGTCAAATGAAAATTCAGAGAAGACAATACACTATATATCCTCGTGCAGAATGTTTCCATTCCATCCCTGGAAAAATATGAGTTAATCCGCGTTTCTATGGCTGCAGACAAAAGTTCGCTAATTTTGTTTTCTTTTGACACTTAGGTTGTTTTCTATTACATGTCATGAGATCATTCCCTTCCAGAGAAAGAAGAAAAAAATCGAGAGTGATACATGTTGCAGAAAATGCACTTGACATTATTAGCCGACATTATCATAGCTTAGCCATGATGCCATCACATTTTCATGTAATCAACCCATGCTTACAAGTTTCCTTTAATAAAATGTTTAATAACACAACACAAACAGAAAGCCTACCTTACCTAAATTACTCGGATTAGATAATTGACATGTTATACCTCTCATTTCCTTAACTAACCAACTTTTCGTCAGACAAGCTGCACATTTGGGCAGGAAACAAAGTTCTTAAGGCAAACGGGTGAATATAAAGCCCATTACTTTCCTTCTATAAGTCGTTCTTAGGGTTAAAAAATAATCCTCAATAGATTTCTTTCTTAGACGCTGGTATTGACCCATACTATTTTTTTAAAGAAAAAAATGTATTACTATGTGCCCCTTTACCTAGTCAAATGTATTTTTATTTGCATCTTCTTAATATTTGGTTGCTTATCTCATGCCTTAGAAATGACAGGTGCTTGCAGTCTCACTCTTGACAGGCAACTACACAAATAACTGTCTTGCCTGAAAGGGCTAATGCAGTACTAATGAACAATAAATCAACTTTGATTATCAAGTGTCAGCCGAATGCGTTCTCAGTTCAGCTCTATCACATCCTACAGTAAGTCAGCCAGTGTCTCTGGGTAGGCAGTCTGTATTTTGGTTTCATTTTTACACACTTTTCACTGAAATGTGTCAGGCAGCTACAAAGAATCACATAAAACAGATATAGACCTTTTCTCAATTTATGCAAAGGGCATCAATTAGGACAACGTGCTTCTGTCTTCAATTGATTTACTTAGTGGTCAATCTTAATAACCAAGGAAGCTTTGTATTCTTTTAAACAACAGTAACAGCAACACACACACATCAAACCCTAAACTAGAATCTTAATGTGATCATGTTCCAGCTCTTTGGCAGTGACATGCTAGCTTGCGCTCTTTACCACATAAACCACCTCTGATTGCATCTATACATTCCTCTTGGAAAACTCGTTATATAAAAACAAAAACAGCAAAACAGGGCCGCTTTTAAAATAAAAATGCCACTTGCTTTAAACTTTAAAAAATCTGGCTTAACACTGACTTCCTAATGATAAAATAAATGTAACTTATTTTTTTTCTTAAGCAGATTAGTCATTGATAGTATGATTCACATTTCCTGTTATCAGGCTTAATTTTTCCCCCACATGTGTCACTTTTAGAATGCTGGAATCTATGGAAATGAGGTGATTTGCATTTTAAAATTGGTTTGATTAGAACATTTGGTTTGTTTGGACAAAAATATAAAATTACTAGATATTTTACTTGTAACTGCCAGGACTTGAAGGAGTTAATCCCAAAGAGGAAGAGTCTATATGTACTTTGCTCTAAAACTTTACCACCCACTTCCTAAAGGTCCTCTCCTTCCCAACACCGTACTTGGGGAGGAGAGGGGTAAAAAGTCCCGTTTCCACTGACCGTCCTTCATGCAGTTCTGACAGTTGAGTTAGCTACATTCAGAGCCGGTTCAGCTGGGAGTACCCCGTGGCAATTCCTCAGTCTGCTGCACGTCCAAACCCAAACCCCGCTCACTACTTAATTAACCAGCCAAGTAATGCAACAGAGGCTTAGAATCCCCAACCTGCCAGAGTGTTCCATTCGCTCGCTCGCCTGCTCCGGTGTGGGGCTCTGTGCCTCTCCCTCCCCCTTTACTGTGTGTGAACTCGTCGAATTTGAACAGCTAAGCTGAAAATAGCCTAGACAGATATAGAAACAAACTATCAGAAGCAAAGAAACATCCACATGGGTTACACTGAGATGGAAGGCTCCTTGTATATTTCACACGCTCTGAAAGTGACAGAAATCACACCCCAGATACGTCCCCCGAACGGAGTGATGGCGAGGGCTTCACCAAAGTGGCTGCGTGAAGGCCAGACCGGCAGAAAATGAATCGCAAACGAAAAAGAGAGAGAGAGAAACACACAAGCAGGACTTCCTCCAACTCTCAACTACACCCCACCCATGAACATTTAAAAAAAGAGAGCGAGAGTGTGAGCCAAAGAGCAAGGGGGGTGGGGGGGTATCTCTCTCCAGGACCCACAGGCCTGCAGCTCCTTTTTCTTGCCCCTCCACTCCCTCCCCGCCTCCACTTCCAGAGCGCAACTCCTACCCAACTTGGTAAACAGCGAGGATGAGGATGATTTTTTAAAAGACTCAACTTCAGAACCCTCGGGCTCTCCTGCCTTCCCCAGCGAGGCCCCCAGGAAGCGGGCGCCGCGGAGCCGGGGGAAGGAGAGCGAAACCGGCAAAGATCAATCAGAAGGACCAACCTGACACTCTCCATGTAGCCGCCAGGCGCGCGGAGCCGGGCTCGGGGCGCCCGCGCGGGCCGGGCGTGGGGTCCGGCGGCCTCGGCGTGCAGGCGGACTGCACGCGCGCAGGGGCGCTCCGGCTCGCGGGCTGACAAGACGCGCCGCGCCGCGCCCACCCGCCCCGCCCTGCTCCACCAATCACAACCCGCCTCTAAACACCCCGCGCCGCGCCGCGCCGCGCCGCGCCCCACACAATGGGCTCCGCGGCCCGCGCCCCGCGCCCGCGCGCCCCGGCCCCCTCCGCGCGGCAGGTGAAATCACGCTCGGGTGCCACCCTGCTTTTGTCTGGAGAGCAACTCCACTTAATAGCTGTTAACCCGGTGACCCGCCTCCGGCTGACGTCTGGGTCGGCCGGGCTCGGCGCGCACCGCTCCCTCTGGCCGGGGCTCTGCGGGGCCGGGGCTGCCGGCGGGGCGGCGTGTTTGTTTCGTCTTTGAGACTGACAAAGAGTTGTCCTAACCTTTCCGAGAAACCCGGGAGGCCGAAGAGGGGCACCCGGCGCTCGCGGCGCCAAGCCGACTGCTCCGAGCAACTGTTCGGCTTCGGGAGGGTACGCAGGTCTCCTAGGCAGCGCAGAAAAGCGCTTTTCCTCGAAAACCTCCCTGGGAGGAGAACTTTCGCTTCACGTCGGGGGTTTCACAGAGCCTTGGCCTCCCCACACCCCTTTCTTTCCCAGAGTCGGTCTCGCCAAAGTGTGCCAGTGCGCACCGAGGAAAACTAAGCCGACGCGGGGTGGAAATAAATAACAACCAAACGTGCCTCGTCGCTGAACCAGGCGACTTCCCCTCTAGAACGACAGCTGCCGAAGAAAGCATCTGCCACACGTTTGCTAAGAAATAATTCTTTAAATTCCTTTCTTATTTATACAACAATAGCAACAACAAAAGCTACTCTCAATAAGCACTTTAGGATGACCTTCTCTATTAGAAATAGTCACTGCTCTTTCAGGCTATTGAAAGCTGAGTATAGTGTTTTTTTAAAAAGTCAACAATGTGCTAAACTTTGTTGGCTCAACTGACACGACTTAAGCGTCAGGTTAATCTAGTCCATTTCGGCGACTCTAAAAAAATCACCTATTTACCACCTTCAAACTTGGAGAAAAACTTCCTGGCCTGTATATTTTTTAAAGACACACACACAAAATCCCCACACACATTTTTATTCTTTTTCTCAAAATATTAGAGGAAAAGGAGTAGTGTGACATCAATGAATGCCTATTTGCCTTCAAAAAAAAAAAAAAAAAAAAGGCAACAAAATCTGACCCAGTAATCCCAGGAATTTTACTTGAAAGTACATTTTGATGTGAAGTGTATTAAATGCAGGTTACTACAGACCAGAAAGAATATTGGTAATATTTCCAATCAAGCAAATGCCTGAATTTCAACAGGGTCAGCGGGGAGCAGACAATTCCCTCTTTACTCTGGCTGTAAAAGAGACAAGCGCGAAGTGACCATCAAAGTATGATCAGATGTTAAATGGGCACAGCGCAGATCGCTCTTCACCCTAAAGTGTTTTTGTGTCAGATACCAAATTTATTAATGGGATTTTTTCAGGTCACAAAATGTGACCCCACCCTCTCATGAATATTCAACAGAGAACCAAGGGCTCTTTTGCGAGGTAGAAGGACCTTAAATCTGCCAGAAAGTCCCCCGACTATCAGTAGAGTTCTGACTCTTAAAGAGAAAAGGTGCTCTTTCCGGAGGGGCTGGCAGAGAGCCCCAACGGCAGGAAATACAAATAAAGGAAGTGCTCTCCAACCAATGTACAGGGAGAAAGTGGAAAGAATCATTTCAAAACGCCTAAGTGACTTTCTTTTTCCCAAAGTATTAAAATTGAGTTTTAATGTTTATAAACAAAAACTGGGATGTACTTTGAATATGCAATGTGTTTTTATTTTAGAAACTAAGTTCTTCATGAGGCATCCATAAAACTCATGCATGCTTTCAGAAGGTGGACTAACTCCTTAGCAGGTCAGTGTTTATCAGCTAATAGTCTGCAGGTGCATCAAAACAAACAATAAACAAGCAAACAACATTACAGACGCTCATGACCCAGCTGTGGAGACAAGCCTTAAACAAAATAATTAGAGAGTGATGCAATGCAGTGCTTACTCAACTACTAAATTGCACGGTGGTGGCTGTAAGCACCATGGGACCACAAAGAAGGAGGAGATCACTAGGAGGAGGGGTCTGGGAAGGCCCACTGGGGAGGTGGCATTTAAAGGCTGATGGTTTGGGTAAGGGGGAGGTGACAAAAGAGAGAGGGAAATGGCTTGGCATACTAACTTAGAAGCCACCTGGAGCCCATCTCGCCCTGTCTCCAGACAGACAGATGATATGGTGACTCAGAGACTACTTCTGGGCAAGGAAATGTCCCATCAGTGATAAACCTGGATAAACTACATATGCCCAGGCCACTTTGGTTAATTCTAAACTCCTGTGGTCCTGTGTACTTGCCCTGTATTTGGGATTCAGGAAGAACTGGAACTTCCATAAGTGGAATATAATATAAAATGTTAAAACCAATAGTAACTCAGAAGACTTCGTTAAAACCATTTATTAATCACTGTGAGCACCAGGTCATTTTAGAAAAGCTGAATAAGAAAGGCCAACAAAAAAATTTTGGATTGTGGGTGTTTTAACAGTCTCATGCAGTTGTCATAATCTGAACACAAATTCCAGCCCTCATTGTACAGAGGAGGAAACTGAGGCTTAGAAAAGCAAAGTGATTTCTCCCAAGAATTAAACATGGCCAGGTGCAGTGGCTCATACTCATAATCCCAGCACTTTGGGAGGCCAAGGCAGGAAGACTGCTTTGAGGTTTGAGACCACCCTGGGCAACACAGTGGGACTCCGTCTCCAAAAATACACACACACACACACACACACACACACACACAATTAGCCACGTGTGATGGTGCATGCCTATAGTCCCAACAACTTGGGAGACTGAGGTGGCAGGATCACTTGGAGACCAGAAGTTCAAGGCTGCAGCAAGCTGTGATCGCACCACTGCACTCCAGCCTAGGCAACAGAGCAAGAAACTGTCTTAAAAAATAAAAAATAAAATAAAAAAAAAATATATACTACAGGCTTCCAAGAGGAAGCAGATACTGGATAATTATAAAAAAAAAAAGCCATAATAATATAAAATGAATACCTGTGGTGGGGGGGAGGGGATATCGAGGGGTAAGCCAACGTTTAAGGAAGAGTAAAGGAAATGCTAAATACCATACTTTAAAAATATTTTTGATGCCCACATCCTAACACCCACAACAGATACAGCTCTTGTTCAAACACCACATATTAAGAAACCTGTCAGTTGCTAAATGAGTCCATTGTGCAGCTGGCTGTGCACTTAAGAACAGATTACTATGATCCCACACCAAACTCTAACCACCAAATAACACACCTGGGACTAAAATCATGTATTATATTTGGTTCTGCTGAGCCTTAGCTTTGAACACAGAAGAAAGTGAAAGGTTTTACTGCCCATTCAGAGCTGAGAATGGAGATAAGATGTATTAAAGGAAGAGTCAGGAGGAGCGTCTCCTCAGGACATTATTCCATACACTGATGAATGGCCCTGTGGTGAGGCAGATACAGCAATGGTCCCTGGCCCACGTGGTCCTCAGTTCCAACGAAAGGCCTGCTTTGCCAGAAGCTGCTTGGAAATAACTAGAGAAAGGATACGAGCATGGGGTGAAAAATCAACTGTGTGATCAGAGGCCAAAACCTTAATTCAAGTTTGCTGTCTTCTTCTGAACAACACTTGTGTTAACACAACACACATTTTCTTTCCCCTTTCCAATTAATTTAATGGAGTATCCAGGACATATTCTGAAATGACAGAACTTAAAGAGATTCAACCAACTGATTCCAATTCCGGAGAGAGAAAGCTAAAGCAACAGGAATACAAAATGTAAGCCCAGTAACATGCCTGATGGCCTACTCAGGAAAGCGCGCCTCCCCAGAAGGAGGACTGCTTTAAGTATTTCTCCAAAGAATGGCAATGGGGCAGCCAATTAGAGTTACTAAATTGCAACAGCAATGCCCCATTCCTGAGATCTGGGGATTTGTCTCCAAGGAACCACCATTCTGTCTTGATTTAAGCAGTGCTTTTACTTAAAAATATAAATTAATACATCATCCATCTACAGGGAGCTAAGGCAGTTAGCTCCATATTGATATTGTTTATGTCACTGTTATGCATATGTTGACAATGAAGCTAATTATGTTGTTTTTCTTCTGTGCCTGCAAGTTTGGCCAAGGGAAAACACTGAGTTCTCACTGTTCCATAGGAGTTTAAATTCCCCTTAATGCATCTTCCAAATTGCCATTTGCATTTTCATGTAATGCAACATTTTATAAAGCCATTGCTTCTGGTTAATTTGTATATACACAGTGTGACATGTCAACATTCAGGTGACTTGTAAGTATGATGAGCTATGGAAAACATCAACCTAAAAACAAATCCCTTACTCTAAAAGCATTCATAAGCATCAGAGGTAAACAAAATCATGACAGAAAAGAAAAATGACAACATCCTTTCCTAACTCTGCATTTGACAGTAATAAATTACCCTCTCTCATTTATGATGAAACTATAATCCCCTGTTTTAACATAATGTAAAATTTGTTAATGGACTGCTTCTGCCATGGGGTTAGAACAGATTACACTGAAGTGTGCAAAGTTCTTGAAAAGGTACATGTTTTGGGGCAGTAGAGCATGTCCCAAAGTGCTGTACCCTTCAGATATCGGGGGGAAAACATCACTGCCACCACCACCACCAAGTGTAATTTGTTATTTCCCTCCCGAAGAGTGACAGTATTTTTGGCCCACCCACAGGCAAACCCTCGATTTTTAAGCATAACCAGAAATGGGGCACTGAAGGGGAAAGAAAAGACGGCTCTTGGGGAATGAAATTACATTTTAATTTTTTTAACGTTTACTTATGTAGAAATCGCTGAATATCAGATAAAGGCAACTGACCACCTTTATTTAGTACAGTCAGCTTTTCCAGAGATCTGTGGTGTGCAGCAGGCCTGCAAAGAGGCAAAGGGAGCGTGTCCCATCCTGCCCTCAGAACAATGCTCACACATCTTCCTCCCATGCAACACCACCCTCCTCTGACCCTAGGTTGACACACCCTCATGTCAAAACCTTCTTTACGCCTGCCCTCTGCTGGCAAGCCTGCCAGGATTAGGAAATTTTGACTACTTCAACTTATTCAAAAGACAACTTTTAAAGCCAGACAGAGAAAGGACATGTAATGAACTATTAACTGGAATATATAAATTAAGACATTTAAACAAAATGGGGGGAGAAAGGGGGACACCCCTAGTGAAATATGGCACTTTTAATGTAAAAATGCACATTCGTCTACTCTATTGCCTCCTCGCTCACAGCAGGGGAGTGCCAAACTCGATATTTTAGCTCACCTAAGAGAACAACCTGTATTACTGTTGGGCATCTTGCCTTCTTTTGCTCACTCTCCGGGGAGAGCATGTCGGCGCATTTTCAATAAAACACCTTCTTAGCAGTAATGGGCCACTGTTCCCATTTCAGTGGTCCCTAAGGTTTCACGATACAGTATATTTGGCTGACTCGCAGTTCGAGTTTTCTTCTGGCATTCCTAAGATCCAAAAAACGGAAGAGAAAAAGCAAAAGAAGAGTACTTGCTTATCCTTTGTTTCAGTAAGAAAACAGTCAACTTTGAGACTGATTAGCTGGTAGGACTTACACAAAACAAGGGCACTCTCGGGCCCTCTCCCCTGCTACGGGAACCCTCCGCGCACGTGTGGGCCAGACTCCCAGCTGAAGGAGGGCTCTGGGCATTAGGGGGTAAATTTCTGCAGCAGCGTGCTGGGGTTTAACAGTGCAACTCCTGTCAGTGTCAATGGGAAGCACAAGGCCTGTACAAATCCCTGCATACCATTTCAAAAATATATCTCCAAGACGGGAAAATGAAGCTTAGCAGTTGCAACCTCAAAAGCATTCAGGAAGTAGCACTCTTGACAGCGCTTTAGATGCCGAGTAAATGGTCTTATAAAGAACACCCAATCCAGCCGACAATAAATCTTACACCGGGGAAGCCGGCACAGGGCTGTGGAATCCCCTCCAAGATAATTGCCTTCCACACTGTGTGGCATAGAAGCTGCTACACAGAAAACATTTTCCGGGGCTCTGCGCTCGCTATGGCTTGCTTTTCTTTCCCTAATAGTCACCAATTACACAGACACTCACACCCTGTCTTTAAGAGTGACCACATAAAAGTCTCAAGGTTTGTCTCCTTTTCTAGAAAAAAAGGTTGTAAGGCCAGTTCTAGTGGGGAGCGGGTGGGAGAGGGAGGTTGAGAACAGAGGGTGTGTTTAAGAACTCAGGAATGGAATCTGACACAGGCATCCAGGTGAGCAACCCTGGGTGTCTCCACTTTCCAGTCTTTGACGGTTCATGTAGTTTCCAGACAGCTCCAAGTACTGGGGCTCATCTACAGGCCGCTGAAGCGGTCAGCACATCTTTTCTAGTCCACAGAGGCCTCAAGCAGGCTGTTTAACTCTGAGATAGTACAGGAGTACTACATATGACTTAGGATTCTATTAATGACTTTGTCAGGAATAATAGTGTGATTGTGGGCAAGTCACGTCACCTCTCTGCGCCTGCACATTTCAGCTAAACAAAGAGGAAGATGGATGAGATCTCTCTATAATTTCTTTTTTTCTTTTTTGAGATGGAGTCTCGCTCTTGTCACCCAGCCTGGAGTGCAATGGCGCATCTTGGCTCACTGCAACCTCCGCCCCCTGTGTTCAAGCGATTATCCTGCCTCAGCCTCCCAAATAGCTGGGATTACAGGCACCTGCCACCACGCCTGGCTAATTTTTGTATTTTTAGTAGAGACGGTGTTTCACCATGTTGCCCAGACTGGTCTCAAACTCCCGACACCTCAGGTGATCGGCCTGCTTCAGCCTCCCAAGGTGCTGGGATTACAGGCGTGAGCCACTGCGCCCAGCCTCTGTAGTTTAACAACAACAACAACAACGACAACAACAACAGCTATCATTACTGGTATCCTTACACCTATCATGTACCAAGTGCACATTTTACATTAGCAAAGGACTAATCTCTAGGTATTTCCTGCTTACAATTAGGATCCTATGTAAAACTACCAGAAATAGGGCTGGGTGCAGTGACTCATGCCTGTAATCCCACTGACTCAGGAGGCCGAGAGAGGAGGATCACTTGGGGCCAGGAGTTCAAGACCAGCTAGGGCAATGTAGCAAGACCCTGTCTCTAAAATATTTTAAAAAATTAGCCAGGCATGGCATGCATCTGTAGTCCTAGCTACTCCAGAGGCTGAGGCAGGAGGATCGCTTGAGCCCTGGAGGTTGAGGTTGCAGTGAGCCCTGATCACGTCATTGCACTGTACTCCACAGCCTGGGCAACAAGAATGAGACCCCATCTCTACAATGAATGAATGAATGAAACCAGAACCACCAGAAATATGGATTAAAATTATAAATAGGATTTCAATGCTCAATAATCTCGAACACTGTCATGTCTACAGTGAGTCAGGGAACAACAACCAAAAAAATGTTTTTTGGGAAACAACCCAAAACGTTTACTGGGACATTCTCTAGGTCATAAGCCCTATGAAACATCAACAACTTGTAGTACATACAGTAAGTCACATACATGCTTTAAGACTTGGTGGATTTAGTTGAGGGGGGTCAGATGAAGACTCCAAAACAACTTGACTTCTAAACATATTTATGTTTTTTTGTGCTTGTGACTTTTTCATCCTCTTCCTTAACCACTTTGGTTCTTTTATTTCAACCATGCCTGCTTTCACCAAAAAAGATTTCTGAATATCCAACCCAGCCTCCCAAACCACTTGCTTGCTTCTGTTGGTTGCATATTGGAAAGGAGAAATGAGTTTTAAGCATCAGGTGGCTGCTACTGATAGGGGGTGCCTTTTCCATCTCAGATTGAAGCCACAGCTAAGGTTTAGACTGGATTGCAAGGGACATTTGGAAGAAAGAGTAATCTCACAGAGACATCAGACCCCTTTTGTATTAACAGTTTAATAAAGTCTTGAGAAAATGCGTCTAGCCTGCAGGCCAATTATTTATTTTTTATTATTTCAAATGGCATTTCATCCTTCATGAGGAAAAGCAGTAGATGAAGCAGGAAGCTTTCAGGTCATACAGAACTTCCCTCTTTTCAAACAAATAAGGCATTGTGTGTTTGAACAATAGGAGGAATGTCTAATTGATCTTAATTAAATTCAGCGATGTCCAATTTTTGAGATGGGTCAGAACACATCTATGTAATGTCACAACCCAACAGGCCAGAGCTTTGAAATCAGGGCGCGCTGTGGTTAACTGTTCTCTGACACCCTTTTTCATCCGTTCACCCATCCCACTGGGCTACTAACTTATTCTTCCCTCTAACTTTGTTCTCTGCTTACACCCTTCTCTATACCTCATGTGAATCCTCACCTCTTCCTGCCTTGGGGCTTATATTTTAACAGCAGCAACAGCAATCCCCCTTATCTCTGAAGTCTGCAAAGCCCTGTCAACATTCTTACGACAACCTATGAAACAAGAATCCTATAACCTCCACTGCACATAGAGAAGGCTACCTGGAGTTTGAAGCAGAAGAGATGTGAGTTTGAATCCAGTATTTGTTACTCATCAGCAATGTAGGTGAGTCACAAAAGTTTATATTATCCGCATTTCCTCATTTGTAAAGTGGGAATGATTATCTGCCTCAGAGTAGATAGATGTTTCTGTTATTATTTTCCGAGGGGGTGTCAACTTCTAAATTAATGTCTCCTGATTTGAGAGCATTGGTGTGAATATTTGATCCAATGTATCGCAAGCACACAGTGTCTAGCAAACCCTCCAATGTTGTTCACAGCTGGGGGACTCATCTGAGGTCCTTTGGCTGGTGAATGGAAGAGCTGGGATGTGACTGTGTCCTCCAGGGCTCAGTCTCTTGCATTAGGGACCCTCTTCATTTGCTGGCTACAGAGCTTGGGCAACTTTGAGACAATGCTAAGATAACAAGGACCAGAGCCACTCATGAACAGAGAGGTGCAGGAAATCCTCTAAAGAAGCCACCAATCACAAACTGGGAAGCACGTACTGTGACCCTGGCACAGGATTTGACAAAGAAAGGGAAAATGAGGGAAGGCTTGGTGCCTGGTAACAAGATGGCTGAGAAATACAGCAGTACTTATGGGAATGTGTGATGCATTTGGCATTTCCTATAGAAGTGCTTAATCCTCCAAACAACCGGATGAAGTAGGTATTATTGTGCCCACTTAACAGACAGATAAACTGAGGCTCTAAGAGCTTACATTATTATTATTATTATTTTGAAATGGAATCTTGCTCTCTCATGCAGGCTGGAGTGCAGTGGTGCAATCTTGGCTCACTGCAACTTCTGCCTCCGGGTTCAAGCGATTCTTCTGCCTCAGCCTCCCCAGTAGCTGGGACTACAGGTGCCTGCCTCCACGCCCGGCTAATTTTTGTATTTTTAGTAGAGACAGGGTTTCATCCTATTGGCCAGGCTGGTCTCAAACTCCTAATCTCAGGTGATTCACCCACATAGGCCTTCCAAAGTACTGGGATTACAGGCGTTGAGTCACTGCACATGGCCAGCTTAAATTATTTAATCAGTATCTTGAAGCCGGTCAGTGGGGTGTTGAGACTTGAATGACTCCAAAACAAGGCTTCTAATCCCATATGCCAATCTGGAGACTAGGCTTGGGGGTAAAACTAAGCCTGGAAGAACAAAGAGGCTGGTTCAGTCTTACTCCCATGGAAAATAAATGTGACCAAGTGTCACCGATTAGTCAGCATGAATGGAAGCTAAAATAACACAAAGTTAAAATTCTGATGTCCTCTTTGATTCTTACAGGAATCCACAGTGACAACCCACAACTGGGCTGGCTGGATGTGGGAGTGGGAACATCGAGGGAGTGAGACCAGGGGCTCATGCATTCTTTTTGAGTTACTTCTCCTTGATTAAGCAGTTTCTTATACTCCCATCTCCACTGCTGGAAAGAGAGACAGACAGACAGACACCGATGATCTTCTCTCATCTCCTTCCGACACATGACTGAGCACCAGGCAGAGGCCAGCAGCCTCAGTGCCTGAGTTCTCCTGGTAATACACAGTGTCTCAGATGTAAACATGAAACATCAGGGTGGTGGAGCTTATTTGGTCTCTAATCATAAAAGGCAAGGAGAGAATTCAGCATGGTGACTCTGGAGAGACACTGCCATCGGTTCTGATCCTGGTGGTACTATTCTCTGGCTGTACATTTAGTAAATTGCTAGTTTCTATAGACTTCAGTTTCCTCATCTATAAAAAAGAACTAATCTTAGTACTTCACCCACACAAGGTTTAAATGAGATAAAACAGATCAGTGGCTGGCACACAGTAAGCACTTAAAATGCTTCCTAATGTATCATTATTACTATTACTACATACCACTTTTCCTTCAATTTCTTCCTTTTGCTATAATGAAATTACAGAATCCAAAATTTATTTTAGTTTCTTAGACTTCTTATTTTTTTGTGCTGTAGGTACTGTTGATCCTCACTCCAAAATTTAACTCAGCAGCGGCAGATCCTTCAGCCAAACAATGGAAGAAGACATTTGGTTGTTTTTTAACCAGGGTCACTAGACCAAGAATCATCTACAAGAGGCAAAATAGCAGTCCCACTTAAATCTCTAGGTTGTGGTGTGCTACATACCCCAGCCAGTTCATCACTTGCATGTGGTGAAGGAGTATGGTGATTTGCTAAACACTGAGCTCTCAAGGACCCACTGGGTTTTTTTTGTTTTTTTTTTTTTAAACAAATAGGGTCTAACTCTGTCACCCAGACTGGAGTGCAGTAGCACAATTATGACTCACTGCAGCCTCAACCTCCTGGGCTCAAAGGATCCTCCGGCCTTAGCCTCCCCAGTAGCTGGGACCACAGGTATGAACCACCAGGCCTGGCTAATTTTTTATTTTTCTTTTTTGTAGGGATGGGGACTCTGTATGTTGCCTAGGCTGCTCTCGAACTCCTGGGCTCAAGTGATCTTCCTGCCTTAGCCTCCCAAAGTGCTGGGATTACAGGAGTGAGCCATTGTGCCAGGCCCTGCTGGGATATTCTAAGGTGGGGTCTCTGCCCCAAGTGTCAAGAACAATGAACTGTAGGTTGACCAACATGAGACCTAATTTATGGAATCTTCGGCCTATATTTTTTCAATGTTTTGTTACTCACGGTGGAGCCTGTCTCCAGAAAGGCTGGCTTTCAATGTAGTCCCAGCCACCCTGGCTCCAGAGAGGGCTCAGCTTGCACCCAAATAGCATCATTGTTTAACAGGCCTACTTTAAGATTATTTTTCAAGTTCCCAATACCCAACTAACTCGAAGGAAGAAATGGAAATCTATTTTCTTTTCTTACCATCATTTGATCATTTGATCATTTGCTGAATTAACAAATACGTACATACGCAGACATCAGAAAAGAAGGGCTCCTACCTTGGCCTCAGGGGGAAAAGGGAACTTGTAGAATAAGACAAGAGTTATGCTGAAGATGAAAGGATAATGCTCTGCCGTAGGGAGATGGGCAGGCAGGACCGGGAAGGGCATCTGAGCTACTGGAATGGCACGTGCCAACATTCATATGGCAGACAACATGAGTCAGAATACCAGAGAATGTGAAGGATTTGGTGTGGCTGGGGTGATTATAATTCATGCTCCAGCTCCCTTCCTTTGAGATGAATAGTTTTTCTTCTTTTTCTCAATTTCACCTGTATTTCCTATCTCAAAAATTTACTTATCTCTTCCTCTTCTCCTTCTTCCTGTTTTGAGCATGGTCTCTGTTCTTCTTTATCCATGTCATGGCCATGATTAACATGATCTCATCCAGCCTTGACCTCAGCTGGGTCAAACACACATACATAGTTTTCCTCCAAGTTAGCAGAGTTTGGTGTTCTTTACTCCTATCCTGGCACACTCTCAACTGTGATTGCTAAGCTTCTAAGCCAGAGATGTTTGAGTCAGTGGATCTCTAATATGTCTCTGGATTTTTTGAAGGGCTAATCTAACATTCACACAGGGATTGGAAACACATAAAGTTATGGAGCATGGGCTCATGGGTTAGATATTTCAGTCACCAAGTTTTTAAATAATATCACATCAGACATAGTTATCTTATTATACAATTAAGTAGAACAAAGCTTGAAGAGAGCTCACATCCAAGCAGGGGCAAACTTCTAAAACACCAAGGACTTGTATGCTAATCCTTCTTAGATGTCTAGAAGAGGAAATAGAACTCTAACAAAAACGGCATAGTCAAGGCTACCACTGACCTTTCACATGTCACTCCCATTCTGCAGCAAGGTGTCAATCCCTGAACCCTGAGGTCTCTTTTTAGTGCACTCTCTCCTAAGGCAGCCTCGCTGTACTGAAGTGAAGGTAGCTCTTGTTAATTTTTATTTACTTGTTCCTTATGACCTAAGTGGGGAGTGGGGGAAAGACAGCTAAAGACCTGTTTATAGTACAGTGAAACCGAATGTCATGAAAAGGAGCCAAGTCTAAACAAAAAGTATTCCTCTGTTAGGCAAAATTATCCTTTTTAACAGGAACGCACATACACACGAGGAGAAGAGGTCACCAACCTAGCCATCTTCCCAACCATGGCACTAAATTTGGGGTGTTCCCACTTCCCCGACTTCCTACAGCATTCACTCTCTGTGCTAGTCACTTCATCATTCCATTACATATTGAACTAGCTCATCAAATGCCGTTGTACATAACCCTGTACATACCACTCGTCAACAAAGATTTCATGAATTTATAAACAAATGAATAAACCAACGAATGAATGTTTTCTATTTTCTCTTCTTTGCCTTACTCCCCTCTCACTTCCTCCCCTCCTAAGAAGCATTTATGTTTCCTGTGCATATATTTTTTTTTTTTTGAGATGGAGTTTCACTCTTGTTGCCCAGGCTGGAGTGCAATGGCGTGATCTCGGCTCACCGCAACCTCCACCTCCCGGGTTCAAGCAATTCTCCTGTTTCAGCCTCCCGAGTAACTGCGATTATAGGCACGCGCCATCACGCTTGGCTAATTTTGTATTTTTAGTAGAGACAGGGTTTCTCCATGTCTGTCAGGCTGCTCTCGAACTCCTGACCTCAGGTGATCCGCCTCCCTTGGCCTCCCAAAGTGCTGGGATTACAGGCATGAACCACCCCGCCCGGCCTCCTCTGTATATTTTCTCTAAACTGTAAGCTCTGAGAGATGAATTGTGTGCTCTTTCTTCTTTCTCCACCTGTGGTGCGTTTCACATAGTGTTAAGGAAAAAGTAACTAAGTCCTTGCTAAATAATAGCATCTCTATAGGTAAGATGAATATTCAGTGAGAAGCATCCCTATATTGCCATGTTTAGGGACTAAAATCTTTTGATGACAATTTTATGACTGAGTGACCTCATCACGTGCAAAAAGTGCATTTGTACACAGCAATCAATGATTAGACTCTTCGAAAATTAAAAAACAAAACAAAGCTGGGTACAAACCATGATTCAGAGATTACACAAATAATAAATGTCATTTTATGGCTGTGAGTAAACTTGAATGACTTACCCTAATAAAACTGTACCTACTAAAGGTAGACAGCTACTCCAGGGTTTTAAAAAATCATCTGTTTTTCATTTCTCTTGCTAAATTTTGTTAAATGAAAAGAATCCTTCTGAATGGACATAAGACTGGAAGGGCACGAAAAGCAGTTTTTCTAAACTGCTACCAATACCAGCACATCCTGCAACTAGATAACGTTGCCCAAGGAGCTTCCACTTCATTTTGTTTTGCCTCCAAAGGCTCTTCACTGATGCAGCTAAAAAAGAGGAGGACGAGGAAAGACCCACAGGAAGACTGCAGCCCAGACTTCATTGGAGCCACTAGTCATAAATAGTGGCAACTTTAACCCTTCTCCTTGGAAGCACAAGAGCTAGTGTGACCTTTGCTTCTCTTTCGTTACCTGGATTCTGGGAACTGCAGACTTAAGAACCAAGTTCATCCCACCAGTGGATGCTATGGAACTCCTGCACTATAACAACTCCCCCACTTCCTACCACGCCCACTCACGGTTTGGTTTTGCCCCTTCCTGCTAAAGTCCTAAATAGGTTCTGGTTTTGTTTAAAGCATGTAGCCAGTATTTGGTAAGTGACAGGCAAGGCCACCCACTCTGTCTTGCCCCTGCGCCCCTCCAAATAGAGTGCGCAGAAATGAGCATGGTGGGACAGGTGTCTGCCCCTCTAGTCCAGAGGAGGACAGCAGCCCAACTCCTCATTATTCTATTAATACAGTCTGAATTCTTTGCCCCTGCCCCCCACCTAGGTCTCAACTGGCTCCTACTGGTGTTACAATCATTCCTCACTAATTGTCACATGAACTGCTGTTAAGTTAGAGCTCTTCACTCTACACTAGTACCATGGTATGGGCTTTGCATTCATGCCCATTAACGATCTTTTTTTCATTTTGATTGAGAACTTCAGCCTGCTGAGACTTTGTTCTAAAAAAATCTTCATTCTTCATCTCAGCATATTAACTCTTCCCCATCCTCCCTCGACACAGACAATTTCTATTATCTCTAAATTTCTTGGATCATATTCATCTGAGAGATATTGTGATCAGTTTTCTAAATGTGTGCACTCCAATGTTTCACAACATCTAAACTGGGGTGCTATTGTTACTATTTGACAATTAAGAAGACCTGTTCACGTCAGGGCTTATTCTCATGTATCACCCACTCCAGGTGTCGGGTTATTCCCACTTATTACCTGTACCAAGAGAGGTCCGGCCCTGCCTCCTCCTGCCACCTTCACTCAGCACCCAGCACAGTGCCTGGCTCTCAGCAGAGGCTTCATTGACAAAGGTTTTTGAATGCATAGATGAGCGAGCTTACTTAATCTTTATCATAATCCTATGAAGATTCTGTTTTCAGTCTACATTTTATAGATGAGAAAACTGAGGTCTAGAAACTTAAATAACTCACTCAGAGTTAGGCACCTGTTACACAGAACCAGCATTTAAAAATAATGCCTAGAAAGTATAAACAACATGCACAAGACACGCCAATTGCTCATTTCAGAGCAGGACCCCCAAATCAGGTCTTGTGCTTCTCTTTCTTGTGAATCACTAGTATGGACCATACCTCTCCAATCACCTCTCCTACCAGCTTTCTGTTTCTCTTTTCTGCAGAAACAGACGTAGCTAAAGAAATTTCCAAATTAAAACCTGGCAATGGTTTCTATATTCTTGTTTCCTAAACCTATAAATCAAAAGTGTCTAAACAGGTCATAAATGTTCCTCAGCAATATAATGGGAAAAGTTCTGATTTATAGTGCCGGTGGAATAATTTTAAATAATTACATAAGAGTTTTGAAAAAATGCAATTAACACCTTTAGAAGTTTTTTGAGATGAAAATGAATCTCTGGAGATGACTGTTCCCATACATAAAGATAGCCAGTTAAAAAATAAAAATAAAGCTACAAGATGCAACTGTGTCTGAAAGATCCTATGGAGACAGAGAATAGGAGCTACTATTTACAATGGGAATTCACTAGCGTGACCACATCAATAAATGTTTAACTTTGTCGCATTATTACACGATAACAACACAATCATCAAATGTACTATTGAACATTGCAATTAAATCACCAAATAAACATCTTATTTCTATTCAGCCCCAGCTGATGGCTTTCTGCCTCTGTACTGCTTTGACACATCCTACCACACTGTCCTTTGGAACACTTCAAATCCACCTACCTGCTCTTGCAAATCTGGCCAATGTTCTTCCCTTCCTCTTTCTCTTCATTTGTGATTCATCTCCTTCAGAATCCAGCCTTCTACAGATGAAGTCACTCCAAGCAACCATCCTTAACCCTAATTTCCCTGGGTATCAAAGAAAGTCTTACCATCTCTGAATTTCCTTCTTCTGGCTTAGCAAGCAGTAGTAGTTATGATTTGACTCAATGAACCCATTTCTCAAGCGCACTTAAGGTACTAACCTTTCCCTTTTGTCTCTCACTGGGTGATCTTCACTTTGGCCCATTCTACCAGCACTTTGTCTGAAACCTTTACCTCCACAGGATTTGCAACTCTGAAAGTGGCAGAAGGAGGCAACCTCCGACTAAACTAATTTTTAAAGTATATACTGCTTAACGCTAAGTGTTCTGCATTTGTGTCCAGGTTTACCTTGGATACGACACTAAACAATAATGAAGCAGAACTTGACTTTCCTCAGGGCTCCTTCAGATCCCGTGGCAATCTGAAAAGTGTTCTAACACTCCATAATTCAAAACTGAAATGGCCCAAGGTATCTCCCCAGTTCTTTCCAGCACCTGTACTCAGCTCAGTAATTACACAAAGAGAACCCTCAGCCATTATCCTGGTCATCCGAATTAAGAAAAAGACACAGAATCATAGAAACTCTGATCTGGAATAGATTTAGCGATCATCTTAATCCCACCCCCTCACTCCAGATAAGGAAACTGATGCCACGGAGGGAAACATGAAGAGCCAAAGGTCATACCTCTAAATAGTTACAGGCAGAACCGAGACCAGAACCTAAAACCTGCGACTCCTTATTAAGCATTCTTTCCATTGCTTCACGCCACCAGACAAGGAAGATACATGAGGAACCACAAAACTAAAATAATCAGCCTCCAACACTTAGAACTGCTTTGGTTGGGGGATACATAGGGAGAAAACAGTCTTTCTGTATTTGTTGGAAGGAGCAGTGCTTTTTATTTCCACTACAAATTATGAATGAAAAATACAACTAAGTATTACTCACCAAAGGCACAAGACAAGATTTAAGTCATCTTCCATGGTCACTCACATTTCACTTGTCTACTATGTAGCTAGATTTTGTCATTAACCCAGGGCTGAATTGTCCAACAGTGTACACAGTAGTCACAAATGGCTATCTAAATTTAAATGAATTACACTTAAATAAAATAATTTAGTTCCTCTAACATATTATCCACATTTGAAGTGCACAATAGCCAATGTGGCTAGTAACTACCATGCTGCAAAGTGCAGACATAGAATAGACGGTGCTGCGCTGGGCGCGGTGGCTCACGCCTGTAATCCCAGCACTTTGAGAAGCTGAGGTGGGCAGATCACTTGAGGTCAGGAGTTTGAGACCAGCCTGACCAACATGGTGAAACCTCATCTCTACTAAAAATACAAAAATGAGCTGGGCGTGGTGGCGCACGCCTGTAATCCCAGCTACTCAGGAGGCTGAGGCAAGAGAATTGCTTGAACTTGGGAGGCAGAGGTTGCAGTGAGCCGAGATTGCACCACCGCACTCCAGCCTGGGTGACACAGTGAGACTCTGTTTAAAAAAAAGAAAAAAAAAAAAAAAAGAATAGACGGTGCTGATGTCTAGAACATACTAGTCTGTGAAATGGGCATCATATGAAAGCCACCACATAAATTATAAGTTTGTAAACAACACACGTTCTCACTCGTAAGTGGGAGCTGAACAACATGAACACATGGACACAGGGAGGGGAACATCACACACCGGGGCCTGTCAGGGGGTGGGGGGTAGGGGAGGGATAACATTAGGAGAAATACCTAATGTAGATGACGGGTTGATGGGCGCAGCAAACCACCAGGGCACATGTATACCTATGTAACAAACCTGCACGTTCTGCACATGTAACCCAGAACTTAAAGTATAATAAAATAAAAAAAAAAGAAAACAACAACAACAAAAAAAAAACAGACAAAAATTGTAAGTTTATTATATAAACTTTTTACAGTAACAAGGGACTGCAGAAATATTCTAGAGCAACTTTTTCTGGTTTCTAATGAAGGAACTGAGTCCTAAAACATTTATTTATACTGCGCTCCCAATCCAGGTTTGGGATTAAACGTCGAATTGTCCAAATCTAGGAAGTGATTTTTCCGCTAACCAGCTGACTGGCTAAACAATATGGCTAGCAATATGATATGGCTCACCTCTTTAAGATAAGGAGCAAAATGTCTATATAGCACTTACTCCTCCATCTTCTAAAAGGAACCTGAGTGGCAACAAGTTACTCCTTATCTATTCTGGATCTACGTGGTTTTAAGGGAGCCAACATCATCCGGGGGATGCAGGGGTGGATATAATGCTAGGTCCCACTGATATAGTTTGAATATATGTCCCCACCAAATCTTGTGTTGAACTGTAATCCCCAGTGTCGGAGGTGGGGCCTGGTGGGAGGTATTTGGGTCACAGGGGCAGATCCCTCATGTCTTGGTGCTGTCCTCGTGACAGTGAGTTCCCCTGAGATCTGGTTAAGTGTGTGCCCCCTCACCCCCAAATCTCTCTCTCACTCCTGCTCTTGCCATGTGACATGCTGGCTCCCCTTCTGCCTTCCACCATGAGCAAAAGTTCCCTGAGGCCTCCCCGGAAGCTCAGCAGATGCTGGCACCATGTTAATGCAGCTTGTGGAACCATGAGCCAAATAAACCTCTTTTCTTTATAAATTACCCAGCCACAGGTATTTCTTTATAGTGACACAAGAACAGCCTAACACACTTACCAATCAGCACATCTCCTCCCTTCTCCACAGTGACTGGTTCATGTATAGATAAGTGACCCAAGTCACTCAATTGATTCAAGGGATTTCGCTGGAATTACTGAGCAAGAGATACTCTCTTTCTGAGGGGTTGCTAAGCTGTAAGTATGTGAAGCAGGGACTCTCAGAAGCCCTCTGGCCTCAGCAAGGGAAAAACTTGACAAAGAACGGAGCCAATAGGAAAGAAACAGAACAGAACAGAACAATTGGAACAGACCCTTCCTGATGACGTTACCTGAGTGCCTGGTTCCAGCTGGGTCTGAGGCCAGGCTAACCCTTGAACTTTTAAGCTCTGTGAGCGTACACACTCTCTCACCCCAACCCCTCATCACTTGCCAGTCTGAGCTGGGTTTTGACATTTGCATGGGAAAAAGTCTTGACTAATACAGGTACCTCCTTCCACAAGAAGATTAGGAAGTGGTCATAGTGTAACACTTCCAAACAACCTAGAAAAGCACTGCCTGAGGGAAACCCCAAATTACAAGGCACACCATTGCAGTTGCAAATCTTGGTTCATCTGATGCCATTCTGGGAGGGATTCCCCAAGTCAACCCCAACTGTACACGGCCTGTCCCAGCCATGCACCATTCACCAGGTTTCAGTTCACCACCTGTGCATTTTTCTTTCGATCACCCCAATTCACAAATTTCTTTCAAGGGTATGCCTGCAACATCACTTTGAAATTCAGTAAAGTATCTTCTATTCACCAAGCCCTGGGAATTTCTTCAAGACATTTTCACCCTCTAAAAAAAATAAAGAAATCCCCTCAAAGTCTTATGATGACCATACTATTAAGAGTTCTCAGTCCAGTGGGTTTTCACTCAAAATTCTTTCAGTGTGTGTGGTTTTTTTTTTTCCCCCAAAAACAAACTCTACAATGATTCACTGATTCCTCACCCATGGGTTTGTTTCTCATTTTTCCTGAATCTGATAGTTTATTTTTTGTTCTTGATCCACTCTGCCAAATTATGATAATCTCACTTTCATAGAGTCTGGTAATAAATGATTTAAAGGAATTCATTAGCAACTATTTTATTGTAATACATACATTCTGGAGAAATACACATTTTTCTTCATGGTGGCCTCTTTCAAGCTATCTGACTGAAATCACTTACTGAGACCAGGCATGTTAAAATATAGAATAGATTTTTCATGAATAACCTGCCCTTGCATAGTTAACACTATTTTTCAAAGTCTTTGCTTTCTCCTAAATAAAATGATTTTTTAAAATAAATCATTGTTGGCCAGGCGCAGTGGCTCATGCCTGTAATCCCAGAACTTTGGGAGGCTGAGGTGGGGGAATCGCTGGAGCCCAGGAGTTCGAGGCCAGCCTGTGCAACACAGCAAGACCCCGTCTCTACTAAAAACACAAAAATTACCTGGGTGTGGTGTTGGGTACCTGTTAATCCCAGTTACCAGGGAGGATGAGGCACAATAGTTGCTTGAATAAATAAACAAACAAATCAATCAATCAATCATTGTTTAAATATATGGATTTGGGCATAAAATAGTCATTCCTTGTTAGTGGCTGTTCATTTCTTTCACTCAAAGAATTTGCCAAAAGCCACTTATTTCTATGCATTTTCTGTCCAGCTCTGTAACAGCTTGCAACTACTTTTTTTCTTCCACTTAGCTTTTTGCTTTTCTTTTCTGAGACGAGGTCTCACTCTGTCCCCCAGGCTGGAGTACAGTGACACAATCACAGCTCACTGCAACCTCAACCTCCCATGGTCAAGCAATCCTCCCATGTCAGCCTCCTAAGTAGCTGCGACTCCAGGTGCATAACACCACATTCAGCTAATTTAAAAAAAAATTTTTTTTTGTAGAGATAGGGTCTCCCTGTGTTACCCAGGCTGGTCCCGAAGTCCTGGCCTCAAGCAATTCTCTTGCCTTGGCCTCCCAAAGTGCCTCACATCACAGGTGTGAGCTACTACGCCAGGCCCCACTTAGCTTTTTTTACTTCACCCCATTAATATTTAGTATCCCAAAGTTTCATTTATTTTCCTGTTACTGTGAAATTCCAGGTGAAGATTACTGGGCTCCTATGGCTTCAGCTTTTTACTATTAAGGAATATTATATTAGAATCATCAACAACAATCCAGTGAAATTCTAATAACATTATTAGCACCTTTCGTTAAGCGTATGTCACATGCTGTGTGTCTCTAGCTGGGTGCTTTATGTCCAAGTTTTCATTTGGTTCTTGTATGGTGGGTATCATTTATGGCCTTTTTTTTTTTTTTACATGGAGTCTCACTGTGTTGCCAGACTGGAGTGCAGTGGTGTGATCTTGGCTCACTGCAACCTCCGCCTCCTGGGTTCAAGCGATTCTCCTGCCTCAGCCTCCTGAGTAGCTGGGACCACAGGCGGGTGCCACCACACCCAGCTATTTTTTGTATTTTTAGTAGAGACAGGATTTCACCATGTTGGCCAGGATGGCCTTGATCTCTTGACCTCGTGATCTGCCCGCCTTGGCCTCCCAAAGTGCTAGGATTACAGGCGTGAGCCACCGCACATTTACGGCCATTTTATAGACAAAGAAACAAAGTTTTCTATTTTGCCCAAGGTCATGGTGGCAGGTCACGATTCAAACATGAATCCTTTGTTTCTAAAGCCTAAAGAGACTCAGGATGACATGGCTGAAAATTCTAGCATTGGAACTGCAAATATCGGATTGAAATCCATCACAACTGTATTCTTTGTAGCTGCAAACCTGAAACCAGTGTCTCATGTTGACAACTGGCCTTGCCCATGTTTTGTCCTTGGCCAAGGGGCAAAAAGAAAGCTCTGCCCTCTTTCAGACTGTGCCCATTACAGTTCTAGCTTACTTATCTAGGACTGCTAGTTAATTTCATATTAAGGAAATCTGTGAGCATCCCATGAAAGGGGATCTTCTCTCGTTCTTGCTTATGTGACAACAACATATACAAACATCATTATTATGCAATGTACCGGGGGGAAAGGGAGCACATTTGATAAATGTCATGATAATTTTATTCTTCGGGAATCTAAAATTGCTGTTGCCTTTTCTAATCTCCAGTGTCTCTAGCTGGTCCAGAGATAACGGCTCCCATCCCAGGCTAGAGACTCCATCTCTAATTTCCCCAAGTCTGTCAATGAGAGGCAGGGACTGAAATCCCAAGTTCTGTCTCACCGGATATTTTCCAGGAATGCCTCTCTTCCAAATCATCAGCGACATTTAACATGACCCTGAGCAGCAAACTTCTGCCCCAGAGGAAAGCAGAAAACCAATTTATGTAAAATTAAAAGCGATTTGCTTGATCCATCACTTGCTTCCACTCCCGTCCCACTTTCAACTGCAACACATTCAGCTGGAATTACAGGCTACCTCTTCGTCCTGCACTGGGGCATAGAATCTATCTATGCACAACCATGGAGAACAAACATTACAGAGAAAATAATGACTTTGGAAGCACCAGGCACCCTACCCAAACACAAGCTACATGTGTGTTCACAGATGGAAACTAACGGCTGTTTACCCTGAAGGCCCCATAAGAAAAATGCAGTCACCATAACAGTAAAATGCAACTTACTATTCAACATGAAACAAAGTGAGATAAAGAGAGGGCTAGGGACTGAATTCCAACAAAGAGCTCTTATAGTACCTTGGATTTCCTCGGGACAGTCCACACCATTCAAGAGCTGTGCAGGCCCTGAAGAGGTGAGCTGCACAACTGATGAGATCAAAAGACCAAGGCAGGAAAAGGGTTGCAGGTTAGCTCAGTTCTTTGTTGGGTGGGTCAGAGAACAGAACTCATGTGACA
This sequence comes from Homo sapiens, assembly GCF_000001405.40. Lineage (NCBI taxonomy): Eukaryota > Metazoa > Chordata > Mammalia > Primates > Hominidae > Homo > Homo sapiens. The sequence continues at coordinate 71,087,292 of NC_000003.12, forward strand.
TCATTTTGTGTCTTGCTCTGGAGGTGCACTTAGCAAAGCCAGAAATCCAATGTTAATTGATCAAACAACGACAACAAAATACCGGTTTTGTCTGGCAAAGGATTATGCAACATATTGATGTAAACGGCATCGAGCCGCATCAGAGGTACTCTGACCATTTCCTTGATGCAACAAATAAGGGCACGCATTCCTTGTCAGTGCATCACAAAATGACAACAAAAGTCATCCAAGGTTTCCTGTTGAGAGATGCCAGCTGGTATTGACAAAGGCTTAAGAGTGTCTTTCTCAGACCTCTGTGGTTTAGCACTTTGTCAAAACAGGATACTATTTAAATTAAAAATTTACTGATTCAAGTTCAGAAAAACCCTGCTTTGCTGTTTTTATAACCAAATTTGTGGGTGGGGAAACTTTGACCTTTATTTTTTCTTTTTTTATGACACCTTATATGGGTCTGAGAAGGTACTATATTTAGCAGGCTAGATTTGAGAACTAAGGTGTCTAAGCAAGATGACTATCACTTTCTATGAATTACTGTACATGTGAAATCATGGGCTTGTTATATTATGCAAAAGCGACTCATGTGAAACAAACAAAAATACCTGTTTGCATGTATAAGTTTTGTAAAATCTTTGTGGGGAGAGAAAGGGGAAATACACACTAGACTAGGCCACGGCATAATGTACCTCCCATGTGAATCTGGCTTAGTGTGCAAATGTATGTTTTCAGAGAAGGCTAAGCCAGGGCTGTAAGACTATGGTCAAAAAAGCAAAGCTGACGGTCAACCATAAGCAGTGCAGTGGTGAGAACCAAGATGCTGGGGAATAGATGGAGTCTCTGGAAATTGCGAAAGAGCAACCAAGCTTGTTTCTGATTGGGGGCTCTTAAACTTGCTCTTCCCCGAACCTGAAACTTTCTTCCCTAGATAGACGCAAGACTCAGTCCCTCACTCAGTCAAGGTCTCTACTCAAAGACCATTTCCTCAGAGTCCTTCCCTGGCCAGCCAGTCAAACATGGGACTGTCATCACCACGGTGTTTATCTTAATCTACTTTGTTTTCTTACAGATTTCATCGTCACACAACATGTGGTGATACATTGTTTTGTTTTTTGTTTTTTTTTTTTTGGCTTACCAGTTTAATGTCCCATAAGAATGTAATCTCCCGGCTGCTTTCTCTGCTGCTCACTCTAGGTGCCTCACTCTAGGTGTCTAGGTCAACACAACCACCCAATAATTTGTCAGATGTTTGTTGAACAGGGAATCTCATGAACAGTCTATTTGAGTTGCGTAAAGGATCTCATTATTTTTCTTGAACTTTCACCTGTCTAGCTAACTATTTATGGGAAAGGTACTAACAAAGTCATTCCAATGATGTCAAAGACTTCTGAGACACCAGAGATGCAGTTAGATATAAATATTAAACTACTTATTTTGCCTTAAAATCACTCTGAGATTATCTTTGAAGGTCTTACAGCTTTGAGAATATGCAACTTCCCATTGTTTAGGGGGAAACGCTGGAGGAAATTTGCATAATTTGAGAAAGAAATCGAACTCACCAAATACCTTAGTGCAGTTCATCTCTTTTGTCAATCTCTCTTTCTTATTAGTACAGGCAAATCTTTTAGTGAAGTGAATAATACTTTGGCCAATGACCTTACGCCAAGAGTACACCAGTGCTCAGGTCACATTTTGACCTTTCTTCCATCCAACATAGCTGAAGGATATGACACTTTATAAACAATTACACTGACTTGCTCTTACTCTGATTCTAAATAGGGCTAATGAGGAGGTTGGAATCAGTGGCACCCAACCTCCGAAACAAGCCCCAAAGATTCTCACCATTTGGTATTCATGCCTTGGATAGTACCTTCCAACACCATGTCAGGGCCGGTCTCTGTGACCAATAAATATGGCAGAAGTAATGGTATGTGATTTCCAAGGCTAGGTCACAACTTGGATCACTCTGGGAAAAGCCAGCTGCCACATCACAAGGGCACTGAAGTCACACTATGGAGAGGTCCACAGCCTGAGAACTTGAGGCCTCCTGCTGACAGCCATGTGAGCGAGCCATCTTGGAAGCGGCTCCCCTAGCCCCAATCATGCCCCAGCCTCACATTTTGACTGCAATCTCATGAGATGCTATGAGCCTGAACCACCCAGCTAAGCCACTCCCCTATCTCTGACTCACAGAAAGTGTGTAAAAGAATAAATGTTTAAACTGTAAGACACTAAGGTTTGGAGTAAATAACAGAGTTATCCAAATCTGATCATGAGGGCAGTTGCATGTCATCTGGCTTGCACACACTTTCTTCCTGCAGGAACACTCTTCCCTGCCCCATCCTTGCCACATGGGGATCACTACTACCCACAGTCCTAGTTAAGAAAGAGGAACTCTAATTTTCACAAGGCAGCCAGTTTAAAAAGACATCAGTCTATAATCAGGGTACAAAGATACAAAGAAATCAAGAATTCCAAAATGCCTGGGCTCTAGCTGGGCCACTATAGCGTGCTGTTGCCTTTGAGACTCTGAGGTGAATCTGTTCATGAAACCTTGAGCCACTTAGAAGAGGGATAGACAGCAGACAGGCAGGCTACTGAAATGAGTTGAAGTCCATGGCAAAGTGGGAATGGGCAGCATTTCTCTGCTCCAGATAACTGGTGCTATGTATATTGCTTGAACTTCTGATTTTTTTCTTTTTTAGGAGATGACAGAAAATGAGATTTTCATGGGAAATCTCCAGATTTTTTAAATCTTTGCAAAGAAAAAGAAAGCCTTCAAAAAGTTCGAACCAAAAAAAGGTTAAATGTTGTGTGCATAAACAAAACAGTATCTAGCCTGCGGGCCATCAGTTTGCAATCTCTAATGGGGAATCAATTCCTTACTTTCTTCAACCTTGCTCCCATCATAAAACAAATCTCTCGATTCCTATTTTCAAGAAATTTCATTTTCTAAGCTTCTTTCACATTTTTCTTGGATATTCCCATGTTTTTCAACTAAACAGTACCTCCCTGTTTGTAACAGAGTTGTCACGATGGCTGTTAGAAAACATTTGCCCCGTTTTTCATAAGTGCAGTATGTAATGTGATAATACAGAAGTGAAAGAACAAGTCTCCTGCAGGTGTGAGGAGAACCACCCTTGGGGGGAAAAAGTAACAGGGCAATGAAGAGTAACAAATTACTCAGTCCCCAGGAGAAGCAAGTCAACTCTAACTAGAAGGCTTGATGAAAAGATAATTTTATAATCCATGCTTCCCTTCCCAACACATCAAGACACAATAAAATGAGCATACTCCCTGATCTTCTTTGCATATATGTAACTATAATGTCAAATAAAAAATAACTGTGCAACTGCCTCCTTAAGAGTGCAGGGAAGAACTAGGAGGGGGTCAGAGTGGGGAAGCATGATCATTGCACTCTGTCTTTTCTTCTCAGCAGTTGCACTGCCATTACAGGAGAGCTAGGGTCCTGCACAGAAGACCTACAGAAGTGAACAATTCACTGTAGAATTTGCAACCCATCTGGCATATATCAAAGATTCAGAGACGATAACATAGGTATATGATAACATAGGTATGGCCATTCTAAATGCACTTCGCTCTGAAATGCATAGGGGGTTGACAACTGCCACTCTCTGCCCATCTACTACCATCAGAAAGCCTCAGTATTATATAAAATTCAATTTTTTGTGTGTCCAGACCACTGTAGGATCTCACAAGTAATAACCCAAACCAACATCATCATAATATAATGATCAGAACAACAGCTATAAGAAGGGCAGGTAACATTTTGAGCTACAGGTGCCAGATTCTGTGTGTGTGTGTGTGTGTGTGTGTGTGTGTGTGTATTCTTAAATTAATCCTCTGAATTAATCTGCTGGGTAGACATTTCTACTTTATAGAAGCTCAAAAGTGAGCTTTAGCCCAGGCACGGTGGCTCACGTCTGTAACCCCAGCACTTTGGGAGGCCAAGGTGGGTGGATCACCTGAGGTCAGGAGTTCGAGACCAGCCTGACCAACATGAAGAAACCCCGTCTCTACTAAAAATACAAATAAAATGAGCTGGGCATGGTGGCACATGCCAGTAATCCCAGCTACTTGGGAGGCTGAGGCAGAAGTGCTTGAACCCGGGAGGCGGAGGTTGTAGTGAGCCGAGATCGCACCACTGCATGCCAGCCTGGGTGACAGAGCAAGACTCCGTCTCAAAACAAAACAAAACAAAACAAAACAAAACAAACAAACAAAAAAAAAACTGAGCTTTACTTGGACAAGGTCCCAGAGATGGTAAATGATGGTTTTTAGAATTTGGGTCTATCTACTCCAAAGAGTTACCAAATTAAGCTTAATTGTCTCATCAATATCTCAAGCTCAAGATTAAGGGTAACCCCAAGCTTTTTCCTAACCAGTTAACATATTCAACCAATGAATGTAATGCTATGACATTATGAGTCTAAAATAAAATATAATTCTCAATTATAGAATTATTAATAAAACAAAGACCAATAAACTTCACAGCTGGGAGAGAGGTATGAGAAACACAACTGTAATCAACATTTGGAAATAAGAAACAAAGTTCAAGGATCTGGCTTTTACAAAAGCCAACAGGAAAATCACGATGTAGGCTGAGTGCCATGACTCACGCCTGTAATTCCAGCACTTTGGGAGGCCGAGGCAGGCAGATCACTTGAGGTCAGGAGTTTGAGACCAGCCTGGCCAACATGGTGAAACCCCGTCTCTACTAAAAATACAAAAATTAGCCGGGCATGGTGGCACACGCCTGTAGTCCCAGCTACTTGGGAGGCTGAGGCAGAAGAATCGCTTGAACCCAGGAGGTGGAGGTTGTAGTGAGCTGAGATCGCACCACTGCACTCCAGCCTGGGCGACAGAGTGAGAGACTCTGTCTCAGAAAAAAAACAAAAAACAAAAAAAAACAAAATTAGCTGGGCATGGTGGTGCACGCCTGTAATCCCAGCTACTCGGGAGGCTGAGGCAGGAGAATCGCTTGAACCTGGTGAGTTAGGGAGGAGGTTGCAGTGAGCAAGATGGCATCACTGCACTCCAGCCTGGGTGACAGAAGGAGGCTCCATCTCAAAAAAAGAAAAAAAAGAAAACCAGGATGTGCCAGTCTGTGTCTCTAAGAGGGAGGGCAAGTACAGAGACCCTTGTGGGACCCTAAAATCAGTATCAGCGGAAACTGAAGGTCACGTTCCTCCCCCTCAGATTGAGGACAGGAGGAGGCTGGTCTGTGGAACCGAAGCAAACCTTAGATGGAAGGAAACTTTCAGAGGAAATGATTTAAGCTTTTTTGGTAAGTAGGGTATTTTTCAAATTCTTTTAGAAGTTCTTATTTCCATCTTAAGCCTGCACAAATAAAAATAATTGTCAGTTTTCAAATGTGAGGGAGGGCGTTTGGCTTATTTTCCTTCAAACTTCCAGGTCTTGGGAGTTTTTCTTATTTTGAAGGAAAACTTGAGCTCCCACAGAGAAAATGGAGGCAGTAGATGTTCCCAGAGATGACTGGAGTATTGTCTTACACTGGTAGCAATACAGTAAAAGAAGGATATAGAGAGACACGTGACAAAGAGTTGCACAGATATACTTTAGAGATATATGAAGACACCACATTAAAAGAGATTAGTTCTTGATTTTTCATCAGGAAGACATATTTACCAAATGCTTTAAAAGGCAAAAAAGCTCAGGCGTGGTGGCTCACGCCTATAATCCCAGCCCTTTGGGAGGCCAAGGCAGGCAGATCACCTGAGGTCAGGAGTTTGAGACCAGCCTGGCCAACATGGTGAAACCCCGTCTCTACTAAAAATACAAAAATTAGCCGGGCATAGTGGCACACGCCTCAGCTACTTGGGAGGCTGAGGCAGAAGAATCGCTTGAACCTGGGAGGCAGAGGGTGCAGTGAGCCAAGATCGCACTAGTGCACTCAGCCTGGGCGACAAGAGCAAGACTCCATTTCAAAAAATAAAAATAAAAATGAAAAAAAAAAAAATTAAAAAAAGCAAAAGAACATTCTAGATAGCACTGTCCAATAGATCTTTTCACAATGATGGAAATGTTCTATATCTGCATTAATCAAAATAATAGCCACTGGCCACATATGGCTATTTAAATTTAAATTTATTTAATGTAAATACAATTTAAAAATCCAACTCTTTGACTGTACTAGCCACATTTCAAGTTCTGTTCCTGTGTGTGTTCCCAGTTTAGGAACAGAACTTGAAATGTGGCTAGTACAGATTACCTCTGTTAGTACATTTATTACATCATATTATAATTCTCTGTTCAGTTTCAACTGTGATATAAGGACTAAGAAATATGCAATTCTCTACTTCAGTACTAAGCAGGATCGGTACACTACAGGCACATAATAAATGTTAGAATGAGGATAAGTGAATAGATGGATGGATGAAAGAATCACTAAGCCTCTGGTCTGTTCTCACATTTACTTCCCAGAGGCCTTGCTCTCAGAATCGCTATGTCATTTACACCAAACTTTAAAACCAAATGAATCCTATGATTATAATAATATCAATAAAGATCAAAATGAGACTTAGATATTGTTGATGGTGATGGTAACGATAAAAATCAATAATCTTCTCATGAGAATGCTGTATTCTTGCCTCTCAGTAACATTGTTCTCTATCAGTTCCCAAACATTTTGGTAAGAAAGCTGTTTTCTTGTTTTTCATGTGTTTTTCCCTATAAATTCAGTAAGTTTCTAGATGCCCAAGCTCCTTCTCCCAAAGGTGTCCTAGAGACCAAACCTGAACTTTGAAGCCAGGGGCCAAAAACTTTCTCTATAAAAGGCCAGAGAATAAATATTTTAGGCACTGCAGGACGCACAGTCTCTGTCGCACCCACTCATCTCTGCTGAAAGCAGCCATAGACAGAAAAACAAGTTCACAATGGCTGTATTCCAATAAAGCTATAGTTGTGGACACTGAAATCTGAATTTCATATAATTCCCTTTTTTTTCTTTTCTTTTTTTTTTTTTTTTTTTGAGACAGAGTCTCGCTCTGTCGCCCAGGCTGGAGTGCAGTGGCGTGATCTCAGCTCACTGCAAGCTCCGCCTCCCAGGTTCACACCATTCTCCTGCCTCAGCCTCCCGAGTAGCTGGGACTACAGGCGCACGCCACCATGCCCGGCTAATATAATTTTCATGTTTCATGAAATATTATTCGTCTTTTGATCTTTCCCCAACCATTAAAAAATGTAACAATTTTCTTGGCTCCTCAGTACTATAGAAACAAGCTTCGGGGTTTGGCCCATGGGTTTACAACTGCCAACTTCCATTCTAAGGCCTGTTTCCTGATCATGTGCTTCCCACTAAAAGTTTCAGGTCACAGAGTCATAGAGATATCCTGAATCTAACAGAAACTAATTGCTTATTGTATACAACAGATATTCAATAGCTCTACAGTCCAGCAGTTCCAGAGGCCAACCAGGAGCCACACCAGGAAGTGTTGGTTTGGGGACGGGGAATGGTGGAGATGAGAGCTATCCTTTATTCACCCACCTACCCCTGGTGGCAGCTCCAGCTGTGGTCACCATCAGCTGAGCAGACAGATGAAGCCTCAGCTGGTCTCAAGATCCTTTTATAAACCAGTTTTGTCCAGACTTCTATTAGTCAAAATCCTGATCTACATAAGAGTTTCTGCAAGCCCATTAATTATGCCTTTGATCTGCAGTTACATTATCTTCAATTAAGCATTAATATATTGTGTGTGAACTGACACCGTGTCATGCAAAATGGTGAGGCCTCTGGAATACGTTTCCAAAGCCAGCCTTAGAAATAGAGCTGCGTAGGCAGCGAAATATTTATTTTCAAATTCATCTGTGTACATTTTCAAAATTACTGCTCTCTAAATTTTCTTTGAAATGTCTGACCTGCTGTTCATAAGTCAAAAAATATAATCTCTCTTTTGTAGGAATCCAATTGGTAAATTGTGTTAAAAAAAATATTAGACTGCCTACTGCCATTAGATGGTGGGTATCTGGGCCTCACACGGTTGGTCTTACCTTAAAGAAAAACTGCCTTAATTGCCATGTGGCCCTCATGGAACATGCTGTAGTAAGGTGATTTTGCCTTCATCAATTAATGGCCCCAAAATTCCAGAACAGTTGTAGAATGAAGAGGATTCTATTTGTTAAAAGCCAAATGATATGCTAATGTAAAACAGATAAAGAGGTAAGAGGCCCAGTTGGTCTTCCTAGTTCCACACTGGCAGTTTTTTCTTTCCATATTTTGCAGAATGAGCAAAGAAGGTATTTGTTTTTAAAATACTGGCAGAAGAAAGCTCCTAGATCAACACAGAGTCTACATTTTAAATAACATTTAGGCTGCTGAATGAGGTATGCCCTAAACTCCTAGAGACCAGGTGTGACACTGAGACATGGGCCAATTTCAACACTTACCTGAAAGGTATCCAAATCACTTTGGTCAGATATCAAGTTAGCGATCTGGTGAGACACAGTATTTCCCAATTTGGGCTGAGCTAGGAATATTGTAAAAATGGATGCATATTACAAAAAATGTGGCATAATCATTTCAAAGCAGAAGTGCATAAAATGTGTAGAGAAAAGGAGATGAACTGTACATTTTAAATCTCAAGGTAGACCTTCAATATACCAAATGGACCACCCATTTTTGTCACTCCCTGGACTTCTCAATAGGACTTTAAGATTAACAGGGTGGGTGGCCTACTTAATTCTTGTATTAGGATATTCAGCTTCCTGTCCAATGCTACATCCTGCATAAATTTACACAAAGGCAAAATCTAAGACTCCTGAGCTGGGATTTCCCAATATCTTCTGATGACTATAGATGGCTTGCATTGCTGAAATAAGGTCAGAGAGTTCATTTCTGCTACCCTAGAAGAAGGCTAGGGAATGAAGAAATGAGGAAAAAGCAGAATGAAATCAATACTAAGACTTTAAGTTGGAAATGTACTTAGCTGTCTTCTTGACTGGTGGTCTTCAAACATGGGTGGGCATAAAAAGCACTTATGAAGGTTTTTAAATATACACATGCTTGGGCCCCATCCTAAGATTCTCATTCAGAAGATAAGAGTTCCGGAGCCTAACTGTGAGTTTTAAAAGCTTTGATCCCTAGATCTTGATAAGGGTAATAATTACCTTAGTTCTGATGCACCCCTAGGATTGAAAACCACTGACTAGTCATTTATAGATAAGAAACTGAGACTTACAAATGTAAGTCACTTTGCCAAAATCCAACATGCTTGGGTTCAAAATACAAACAATGGAGGAAAATTATGTGAGCACCTGACTGGGCATCTTAGGAGGGCTCCATGTTGAAGCAGTCCCATTATGTCTTGGATTCAAGACAGAGCTGTATGCATTTTAGATACTGTAGATCTATATAACCAGTAAGATATTTCTCAGACAGATAGTAGTGAAGTGTTTTAATGTAATACAATCAGATATATTATGAAAATATTCAGAAGGACGAGAGTAAAGTGTCTTGAAAGGGTACCTTCCTCAATATCACACAAGTATGTGGTATAAGCCAACTGTAGCCCTGCCAGCTGTGGCCATTTTCCTGAATCTCAAAATACCCAAAAAATTACTAGTTTCACCATTACACCTATCTTAATGCACGGATAGATTTCAAACTAACACAATGAAAAGGAAGGAAAGTGGGGTGTTAGGTGGCACCTCTGCGCAAATGAAAAAAATGGATGCCTCTTCCTCCAAGCTGACACAGCCCCAGTGCCATGCCAGGGTACACTGGGATAAACAATTGCTAGATTTCGGCCCTTGCTAGTCCCCTCAATAAGGAATCCTGGTTCAATGAACAAACTGCATGATCATATCCAGTCATCTAAAGCACAGGTCAGCCAACTACAGCCCAAATCTGGGCTGCCACCTGTGTATGGCCCTTGAGCCAAGAATTGTTTTTATATTCTTAAATAGCAGGGAAAAACAAAAGAAGAATGTTTTGTGATGTGAAAATTATGTGAAATTTATACTTCAGTGTCCACAAATGAATTTTTATTGGAATACAGCCATGCTCATTCATTTACATATTGTCTATGGATACTTTTACATGACAAAAAACAGAGTAAGTAGTTGCCACAGAGACAGTATGGCCCACAAAACCTAAAATATTCACTATCTGGCTCTTTACAGAGAAATTTTGTTAATCCCTGATCTAATGGGAAGAAAAGAACTACTAGTAAACCAAATTCCTTTTGCAGATATCATAAAAAGTTCCAAGCAAACATGGCAGGTGAAATAGTTTATACATACAAACTTGAAACTGAGACAACGATGGAGGAAGGTCAACTTCATTACCCAGCCACCTTGACAGTACCTTTAAATGTCATCAATCAGAATGCGCCTTGCAGGACTTGCAGGGGCTCATTATAAATTACAGCACACGGGCCACTGACACAATCCAGGGAGGGTAACAGGGCTCTGGTGACGTAACATGATAAAGAGATTTCTTTGTAGAGCTCTACATGGCACAGAGCTGGAGAATTTCCAGGAAATTGAATTTCTAGAGTGCCACCTTTGACTATCCAAGACAATTCCATCCAAGCACCGAGCATCTTTGAAGAAAATTTTATCTTCTGGAAATGCTTGCCACTGGGTGTCATCCTCAAAAATATAAATTTGAAGCTATTTTTTCCAGTGAGACAGACTAAATCCAGGATGTAGATTTTCCAATTAGACTCCTTTTAAACATCTGTTGGTAGGCTGCATTTAACATTAGTTATTTGTGCAAAGGACAATTTGATTAGACTGTCTGAAACCAAGCCAAAGTCTGCAAAATAATAGCTCAATTAAATTCTGTTTTGCTTTCATTTGTCTTAGATTTCCCTGAGTGTGATACTGTTGCAAATAATCAAGTAAACCAATTCCTTTCAAAATGAGAGATTTAGGTGTATTTTCCTTCCTCCCTGCAAGTATATTCCATCTTCACTATGCTTCATTGAACGTAATCTTGACACCAAATACATTTCTGTATTTTGCCTTTAGTCTCCTTTAATTTTCTATACTTACGAATTAAAGTTCTATGCCATTAATATTATACCTTAAATGGATTAGCAAATGTACAAAGGCAGGCACAGGGCATTAGGGTAGTCTAACCGCACTACAGGAATGTTCTGATTTTCACTCCATACCTGGCAGGATTCATTTCATCAACCCAATGAAAGATTTAGGCAGGACTGACACAGGATTTTTTTTAATGCTGTTTTTATGGTCTTGAAATGTTTCTAGGGGCTCGCGAACCTGAGACCAGTCTGAAGCCTCTTCAACTGTGAACCAGTATCAATTTTCCTTTCTTTTTGGCTTAGGTATTTTACTCCTTCATTCAGTCACTCATTCATCACTCAGTTATTCACTAACTCATTCATGAATAAGTGTCTATGCTTTATGTCAGGAATGGTGCGGAATGTCACAGCATCAAGATTTCAGATTAAGGACCAGTTCTTTGCTGGTGAGACTACCTATCATTAATTCATGTAAAATTCTGGAAGACAAGAACAAAAGAAAGACCAGGATGGAATTTTTAGAAGACCATGACCCTTATTTGTGCCTAAAGTGACACATTTAGGAAAAACACTGTGCAATCAAAATAATGCTGCTAAAAGTAGTTAGTAGCACGGATGATGACAGAAGCTAAACTTTATTAAGTACTTTTTATATGTCTTTCTAAGCTATTTACAGATGTTACTCAGCTAATATTCATAACAACACCATGGGATAAATGCTATGATTACCACATTTTACAGATGAAGAGCCTGATGTCCTCCCATCAATTCCGGTTACCCAAAAGTTGATTATAAGCAAAACGATGGTCCACATTACACAGCTAAAACACGCATTTGAAAAATGGCCAGTACCTAGTGAACTAAATATAACTTGGAATTTACTAGGTTATTTTCCCTTTAAAAACAGCTTTTAGGTTGCACACAGTGGCTCACGCCTATAATCCCAGCACTGTGGGAGGCCGAGGTGGGCAAATCATTTGAGGTCAGGAGTTTGAGACCAGCCTGGCCAACATGGTGAAACCTCGTCCCTACTAAAAATATAAAAAATTGGCTGGGCGTGGTGGTGCGCCCCTGTAATCCCAGCTACTCCAGAGGCTGAGGCGGGAGAATTGCTTGAACCCTGGAGGCGGAGGTTGCAGTGAGCTGAGATCATGCCAGTGCACTCCAGCCTGGGCGACAGATCGAGACTCCATCTCAACAAAGCAAAACAAAACAAAACAAAACAAAACAAAAAAACCCCACAGTTTTTACACAGGCACTTTTCATGCATTAATCAGTTAATCTTCACAACTGCCTTAGGTAGGTGAGGTTACCAGCCACATTCTCTAGATAAGAAAACAGAAATACAGAGAAGTTAAGCTACTTTTCCAAGGTCACACAGGATTAAAGGTGGTACCGGGACTATAACCTGCCAGTCAGACACCAGAGGCCATGGTATTAATCACAATGTAATGCTGCCTCCTCCCCCAACATATTCTGACATATACAATCTCCAAAACTCAACCATGCAGCTGAGTTTGTGTGGCAGTCCAGTGTAAAAGATCCTGTGGCTTTAAAGGACAAATCACATTTCAGAGCTGATCAAGAAGAGACATGGTTTTAGGATAAGAATGCAATTTGCCCAGTCTCATTTAAGGTTACAGGGAAAAACACAAAGCATATGTTTAAGTTTAGATAATACTTCAATAGTTACCACAGAGTCTATTAGACTTCCCAGAGAAAAAGACCTCTCCACTCTGACATGGATCAGCATAGACTATGGTCAGATAGGTCTATGGCAAGCTTGGCAAACAGAAGGTGCACATAGCACTTCTCCCATCTCCAGTGCCCATGGCAGACATACCTAATCAATCGTGGCACTCTTCAGAGCCCATCTCAGACCCACAGTCCTTCAAACAGCACTCTAGGTAGAGCCACTTCATATCCTCAACAAAGTTGGTAGTCACAACAAAACCTCTTCGGTGTGTAATTCTATGTGGTTCAGACTCTTATTCTGTTTCTAGAATAAATAACAATCCCTTTACGCTCTCAAACAAACAACAAACCAGACATAATTTCACTGATGTCTTATTAAAAGCAATTTCATTAAGTCTGACAAAGCGGCTCTCCCATGTGCAGACAAGGGAGTGTCTCGCCTTAAGGTCTTATAGTCAGAGGAGATCAGAAGAAACCTTCTAGGGGGCAGTGGTAGATACCAATGGAAAAGAAGCAGGCAGTCACATGGTGGAGAACTTAGGAACGGGACAGCCCTTCACATCATGTGGTTTTTAGTTTCTTTCTGAAGAAAGCAGACAAAGATAATCTCCTGAAATTAAACTCACACACAATTTAATCACCAAAGGTCTTCTCTCTAAACAGCAGGCAACACAGTACACAGTATCTGCAATTCTGGATTTTGGGGACTCTGAACTGTTATCAAATGGACTGCACTTTTATCCAGCTCCTTACAAAGGAATGATGACTCTGAATTCATGACTCTCTCCCCTCTCCCCAGTCAGAAGGCTATAAACTTCTTCTCGGGACATCTAATTTAATGCAAAGCTGGAATGCTAATTAACTAGATGAAGGCAGCAGGATGGAGACATGGTATGATACATAACGGTTCTGAAGAGCAGAATGACATGGCGTTCGAGGAGAGGATAGGAGGTGAGCGATGCATAAAGAACAGAAGATTCTTTGAGGGGAGGGGGTGACGGGTTGGAAAAAGTCTTTGCCAAAATCCCAGCAGGTGGCACCTGAAGGGACAGCTCTAGAATAAGGTGGCAGCAGGGGAAACACAGAAAAAGGAACGGACAGAAAATACCAGCGGAAGGAAAAATGGCACATGTGAGGATGAATAACATGCTGAGGATGAAGGAAATTCCTAGGTCAGTGATGAGTCAAATGACTGTGACTAATAAGACCTGGGGACAAAAGGGATCTGCTGGATTAGAGATACTGAAATTCATGTGAAGGCGAGCTAAGAGAGAACCACAGGTAGGCACTTAGGAGCAGTACAACAGGTCTGGAGGCACCCATGTGTGTGAAGGTTCTAGAACAAGCACACAGCCCAGATGCACTGAAATTAAAGGGGATCAAAGAAACTGAACTTGGGGGAAAGAGTGAACTTGGGTTCCAGAAATGAACTGGGAAGCAGAAAGAAAACAGCATGGAGGCCAGGGGGTACTGATTTGAAGAAGTTTAAATGATGGCATTTTCCAAAAAAAACAAGTTAGCCCATGCAATGTATTACTAAGAAGGCCAGACAGGTTAGAAGGATGGAGACATGGCCACTAAATTTAGTGACAATAAAATTCAAGAAAATGATGAGGAGAAAAGCCAGACTTGGGAGGAGTTTAGGAAAGAAAGTGACTGGGAAAAAGCAAAAAAAAAAAAAAAAACACCACAAGGAAGCAGCAGGCACAATATTCTGAGTCTAAAAGCTTGGCAGCAAAAGAAGGAGCTAGAGGAGAGTAGCTGGGAAGGATCGAGTCATTCAAAGTTTTGGAACTACCCATTTAAACTCCACATTTACCATGAACACCGCTAAACGTTGAGCTCTGTCTGCTTGAATATTTACCAAAGTTCTTCAATGGGACATAATGTAAAAGGACAAGGGCCGGCGCTCTTTGCCCAACTGTGTCCAGCAGCTTTAAATTCTACTACTTAAGTAGTTAAAAATCTGTTCTTTTGTTGAAGGAGAGAACTTATGAATAGAAGGCAGCAACCCCAGACCCTTTAGAAATGACTAGTATTCAGTCCCTGTAATTTACCGGGCAATAATTTCAAACTCAAACAATCCCAACAGCAAGGTGGCTGAAGTCCACCAAAAGTTCAAAATGGGATATGTTCTCTTTAAAATTTTGAGAGCGACTAAATATGACAACCATCTGATGTATGAAAATTATTCACAACCAAAAACAGACAGTCTGGAAATAGCCGGGATGACTTCATTTAGACAGAATTACCCAAATCTGTTTCTAATATACACAGTACACATAATAAATTTTTACAATATGACAAGGAAAACAAACTTAATAAAAGTTCCCGATCTTTTGTTACACAAGCATGCTATATCCATGCTATGTTTATAATAGTTTGCTCATGATATCACAGCTCAGTAACAAAGGCCCAAGCAATACAAAAACAGTTACTAGGCATGACATCAGCTCACAACTACCGTAATTACATCGGTACACAAATTTCCCAAACTGTACATTTTCCAAACTGCTTCTCAATTTCAACGGCTGCCTTTAGACAATTACTTGCAGAGCTGTCTGCAGGCTTTGAGTAATACCCGTCTTTCTTCTCTTTCCCAAGCGTCATTTCCCTTTAGAAAGTGCATATTTCAATTATAAGCACTATTTTTCAAATATGCCCATCAACATATGTCCAAATTAGGAGACGGTGTGGTCTGGTGGTTAGCGAGGAGCATTAAGCATCAGCAACTCTGATTCCATTCCTTTTGCTTTCCCTGTTTGCGGGGCCCAGGTGGTAGCTCAGGGAGAGGCAGTAGAGTGTAATGGATGAAAGCATAGACTCTTGAGCCAGATTGTGTGGGCTAGAATCCCAGCTCTGCCACTTATCAGCTGTATGGCCTTGGACAAGTTAACTTCTCTATGCTCCACTTTCCTCCCCTGTAAAATGGGAATAATAATAGAACTTACCCCATATGGTTGTTGTACAGTAGTTGGCTCCTAGAAAGTACTATATAGTATTTACTATTTAATATGATAACTATTATCTTTCTGGGACTCAGTTTCCTGTTTGAAAACCTGGCTTAAATTAACCTGACTTAGGGTAAACTGTTTAATTTTTCTAATGTCAGGGTAGGGGGTTGCAGCCTGGTCACATTATCTCAAGATAGTGAAGTTCAATGAGTAAAGTTTGAATGAATGAATGCATGCATGTATGAATGAATGAATGAAAATATAGGTCCTGAAAATAACCCATAGTTACAGAAGTGAAAAATACTATATTGTGGAACTTGAGCTTCATCCTATTTTCTCTAATTGCTTATTTTCATGTTCCTGCAATGAATGTTGATAAACATCTCTGACCCAATAGAAATAATAAGTGTAGGGAAAACAGATATTGCCTTGTGATTTTAGAAGTGTATTTCTCTAAGCACCAAACTTTTCGAGCTCATCCTATATGCACAACCTCTGTCTCACCGTGTTGTGTGGTCAGCTGGCTTTCCTGACCGGGCAGGGTGCCAGGGGAGTGCGACTACCTCCATTGTCACTTCTGGTCCATGGTATTGCACCAAATGCTGTTATTCTAGGCTCCAGGAAATTTTCTAACCACTGGACAGGGTCCAATGCTGTGTGCTAATGAGTTTCAGATTGGAGGACCTCACTGTGCATGTGTCAGAAAAGTGCCACGGTTTATAGCAAGGTGGGGGGAGGGAAGAAAAGACACACCAAAAGAAAAAACAGTAGTTAAAAAATGCTGGCTACTCAAATTGACAGGGAACGTGACCTCTGCACTTCAGCAGAAATTCTTGCAGACTTACAAAATAAAGGAGTTTGCTTTTATCGCACACTGTGAGACTCATATGGAAAAATGGAAAACACTACATCACTTGACCTCAGCGTGCCCCCTTTCAACCACAGACGAATATTGTGTACAAAAATTCTAAATCAACTTAAGATGTTCCCCCCCCAAAAAAAGAGAGAGGCTTTAATTTTCTACATTAGACTTGATGATCACTATTTTGGTTCTGAGATTTTGCTCAGAAGATTCACACAGGAAAAAGACTCAAAATTCCAGGAAGAGTATTTTACCACTTTGGGGATAATGATGTAGTGGTCTCTATTGGCGGGGCGCATCATCGTCTATACTCCCATTGCACTGGAGAATACTGAGCAAGCCTGACTCGCCCAGGCCTGAAAGTCACTCAAGACTAAAATCATGATTATTTGCTTACATTAACAGAACACTAAAACCAATTTTAAACAACTTAAGGAAACTCGAGCCATCTTTGCTGGGTGATTCACTGCCATGGGAAACCAAGAAGCTCTTTTCTCCCTTCAAGGCAACCAATAGGCTTGATAGCAAGACCTCATTGTGGGATCACAGCCTATCCAAGAAGAAGCCGCCCTTCTGCTGCTGTTGCTGCTGCTTTTATTTTTTTCGTTAAGAAGAATCACTTCTTAGGAGTGTCTAACAGAACTTTTGAGTAATGAGATTACATTTCAGTTTTTTTTCTTTTGCCACACTTAGTCCTGGGGACTTTAAAAATCCAATTCTTTCACATCCTCTAACTGTCATCAACATTTTTTCAGATGGTGTCAATAAAATTGATTGCTTGCAGTTCTGAATTCTGTTCTGCATATGGAAACAATATAATTTATTTTAAAGAATTTTCAATAGGGATGGAAGGAGAAATGGAACCTCAGGAAACCCATCCACAACATTTGGGGAGGGGTGGGAGGGAGCAAATCCAAAGCAAAGTAAACATCCTGAACATTACCGGACGCTGGAAACTTTGACAAAACGTCCTGATATATAAACCCTAAACCTGACTGTTGTGCTGACTGATACATCTTTCTGTCAGATATGAATGATGTTTCTGGAGCATTAATATGTTCATTAAATTCTAACTCCCTATACTTAAAATATTCTCTACTTTGGCTCAGAGGCATCTTGACAGCTTTGTTGTAATCATATATGTGAGGCCCCCAGTCTACACAGTTGTAGAGATGCCTCATACCTACAACCAATCTGTTGCTTTTACAAGTTCAATCTAGTTATTAAGCAGCTGATTGTGGAACCACGTTGCTTCGACATCTTCAACTCAGCTGTATATCACAGAAACCACTATGGGTGGTGACAGAGTCCCATGATGCCTAGCAACTGTACATGCCCCTAACTCCTTAATCCGTGATACTACAAAATATGGCTTGCGTTTTCTTTTTTTTTCCCCCTCTTTCCCTGAAGCACAAGTGGACGACCAGCAAGGGTCCGACAGTGTTATTCCTAATTACCTTTTTTTTCACTCTTGATCCTGTGGCTCTCATAATTAGTTACCTGGGGCTGCAATCCAATTTGAAGTGATGACAAGAAAGTGATCCATGAAAAAGTAATAAGTTAAATCCAATTTCAGCCTTCCTCTAATTAAATGCACATGGAACTAATGACTCCAACCCTAGCATTTTAGTGATAATGGTAATTAGCGAGGTGGGAGTCACTCTCTTTTTCAACACTGGAGGTGTAAACCACAAGGTAAAATGGCAGGAGCACTCTTAATTACATGTGTCATTTTGTCAGCAATTTACACATTTTTGACCAGTCAAGTATGTTTTTCCCCTGTCCCTCTCCACCTCCTAGCCCCAACAATGATTATAATAAACTAGTCCATGTTCCAAACGCATGGACGCTCATAAGAGCACTTCAGACTTGAAAATAAGAAATAACTTTGCTTTGCTGTTGTTGATCACCTTTCTGTCCCCACCACACACACAGACACACACAGAGACACACACGCACAGGCACACACACAGACAAATAAAGATATACTTAGGGTAATTATGCAGATCTGAGTCCTCTTAATTGAAATCCAGATATTTATAGTGGAACTGATTTTTGTTGGTTTCAGCTGTCTTTTTTTTGCTTATAATATGGAAAATAGCGTAATTTACTTATTTATGGAAAATATGACACTCAGTAGGTGCTGAGTAAACACACATAAAAAGAGAGGCAATAATTAACCTCTTGACGGCACACTGGTTATCTGTGGTTCTAAAAAACCTGGCTTCCCATCCTGGTGCTGTTACTACCTTTGTGCTGTGTAGCAAGTCAGTTAATCTCTCTGTTTCCATCTTCCTCATCCATTAAATGATTTAAGGACACTGCCTATACTACAGAGTAGCTAAGGAGCTGGCCCACGTTCAGCACTGACTAAACATTCATTATCTATCACACTTTGCATGTGGTGGCAAAGACATGATTACATATAAAATATTAGCATCACATTTGCATTGTAATTCTTAGATACATTTAAACTAGTGATCATATAATTAAAGTCCAAACTGAGTTCCTTATTTTTTGTTTCTTTTTGAGACAGAGTCTCGCTGTCGCCCAGGCTGGAGTGCAGTGGCGTGATCTCGGCTCACTGCAACCTCCGCCTTCCAGGTTCAAGCGATTCTCCTGCCTCAGCCTCCCGAGTAGCTGGGACTACAGGTGCGTGCCACCACGCCCAGCTAATTTTTGCAAGATGGGGTTTCACCTTGTTGGCCAGGCTGGTCTTGAACACCTGACCTTGTGATCCGCTCGCCTTGGCTTCTCAAAGTGCTGGGGTTATAGGCGTGAGCCATTGCACCCGGCCACTTTTTTTTTTTTTTAATCGAAATAGAGTCTTGCTATGTTACCCAGACTGGCCTCAAACTCCTGAGCTCAAGAGATCCTCTGGCCTCAGCCTTCTTAGTAGCTGAGATATGGTGCACACCACTGCAGTTGCACCTGGTTCAAATAGGGATTTTTTTTTTTTTTTTTTGAGCTAGGATCTTGCTCTGTTTCCCAGGCTGGAATGCGGTGGCACCATCATGGCTCATTGTAGCCTCTACCTCCTGGGCTCATTCAATCCTGCCACCTCAGCCATCAGAGTAGCTGGGACTACAGGCACCGGGCCCGGCTAATATTTTTGTATTATTCACAGAGATGGGGTTTTGCCATGTTGCCCAGGCTGGTCTCTAACTCCTGGACTTAAGTGATCTGCCTGCCTCAGCCTCTCAAAATGCTGGGATTACAGGTGTGAGCCACTGTACCTGGGGATACCTTCAAGAGTGGGAATTATGAATAAACAAAACCAATCAATAGCCATGGAGTGGGCTGTCCTGGGCAGACTGGGACACAGGGCCACCTATGCACAGCTGAAGTTGAAATAACAAAAACGAACGAACTCATTATATTACAACTTGCACCAAAATTTTGGAGGCAAGGACAAAACAGACTATCAAAGAAAAACAAAATCTTAAAGCAGGAGTATCAGCCTGGACCCCAAGGTGAACTTCTTGAAGTTCATGAAATCCCTAAAACTGGATGTGACATTCTGTGTTCATGTGCGTTTTTCTGGGAGGAGGGGTCACTGTTTCTATCATATTTGTAATGGTGCATGTAATCAGAAAGGCTTAAGAACTATTTCTAAAATATTTCTGTTTTATTATTTCTTATCGAGACTTATTTTTAGGGTTTTGGGATTCTCAAAAGTCATGTGATAACAGTAACATCTTAAAGATATCAAAATTTCAATGCTTTGTATCAATTTAAAATGCTAGGGGTGCCAATTCTAGACTATGTTAACTCTAGACATTAAAAAAAAAAGTTTGCTTCTCTCTCCTAAATTATCCTCCTTACTAATCAGTGCATAGGGCTATTTCTTAAGGGTCAGTACTTCAAAACCATTCCATTTCACTATCAACAACATAAAGTTGTAGTTTCCTTTACAGGTTTCCTCTTGCCAATTTCTTCTTTAGTGAATAACGTGGAAATGATATGAGCTACTAAGATTATATGCGGCATTAATGCAAAGCAAAATGCTGCCTAAAGCATGTTTTATATAACTGCAAATAAAAATGCTAAAAAAACACCTGCTGAATCTTGTATTTTAACCTCCTCCACTTAAAGCAAGAATCCACATGATCACCCTGAGCTTCCAAGTGGACTAAAGGGCCGGCCTTCTAAGTGGGTTTCACTTTCCCTGCAGTGAAATGGCCTTCTGAGTAAGGGGCTCACACATGACATCACCTTGGAAGGAAGGGCATGGGCAGGAAGGAAAACTATCAGATGACTGGCTTCAGGTTCAAATTCTTTATAGAGGGCCTGAAGCTGGTGAGCTTTCCACTGTAAGCAACACACAAAGTTTACTTTCTTTCCTAACTTTAATGCTGCCAGAATACACATGTACTCTTACTTTCTTAGGAGAAAATGTGTCATTTGATTTCCTTCCAGTTTATGTACTCGTGCCAACAACTAAAATGCTTAAAGAACCAAGATGAATTACTACCCAGAAACGGTGGTCAAAGTTCCAAAATTTGATCAATAAAATTGCTCATCGACTCACAAATTAATCTTCAGCCAGTAAAGTTACGCATTTTCGAGGTTATGAGTACACCTGCACTGTTAAGCATTTATTTCACTTGTTTAAGCAATCTTCAGAAGTATATAAATATTTATAGAAGAAAGCCTATGCTGGGCACAGTGGCTCATGCCTGTAATCCTAACACTTTGGGAGGTCGAGGCAGGTGGATCACCTGAGGTCAGGAATTCAAGACCAGCCTGGTCAACATGGTGAAACCAAGTCTCTACTAAAATTACAAAAATTATCTGGGCGTGGTGGTGCATGCCTGTAGTCCCAACTACTTGGGAGGCTAAGCAGGAGAATCGCTTGAACCTGGAAGACGGAGGTTGCAGTGAGCCGAGATCGCTCCACTGCACTCCAGCCTGGATGAAAGAGCAAGACTCCATCTCAAAAAAAAAGAGCCTACTATTTTTACTCATCTGTAATTTTCGTTTTGCAGCAAAATCTTGTTAATTTGTTTACAACTCATAAGCCTCCTGAAGGCAGGGTGTGTATCTTCAACAGTTCTGTATCCCATGAACACCAGCACCATGCCCAGCCTGCTTTGGAAATGTTCACCAACTTGCACTTAATTAATTCAGATCATTCTGATTCTGAATTTATGATGGGGCCAATTTTCAATTTTCATTTGTATCATTCATAAAAAAATTTGCGAAGCAAATGAACAGACTAAGTAAAAAGATAATTTTGGTTACTAAGTAGAATATTTCTCAAGAACTTCAGAAGCAATATCTATACCCGATTAATGCCTTCATTAATAAACCACATCACCCAAGAATGTGACCAGCTCAGATTTGGTTCAGTATGTGGATCTGCAAAGAGTGCCATTTCTCTCTTATTTACTCTCATCTCCCTGAAATTAGACCAAATTGGTGATGTTTGACTATATTTTATGATCTCTATCGAGTAACCACTTATAGCCTCCTCTAACTTTCCATTTTCTTTTGTTTGTATCATCAGCCTGTGAAACCAGAGAGCGCTGCCAAACATAAAGCAGGGAAGTGTGAGATATGCTTAAAATATGAGTCACAGTATATTTGGGGATTTGGGGGTTTTTTTTTTTCCCTCAAGCTATCAGCAGATCAAATCCTTCTTCCCTGTCAAGCCTTCCTCTATGCAGAAGATCTGAAATTTGCTAAAATCGGTCTCTCAGTGTAGTTATGAAGGGTGAGAAGATCAGAGATGAGCACTGTTAAGATTTGCTGTAGGATTTCCCTTTCATTTCAGAGCCACTCCGGCGGAGACGCCTCAGCAAGGATGCAGTATGGCAAGATATATTTAAATATGAAGGTTATTCCTTCTGTGAATCACCAGTCTATATGCATATTTTTATAATGAGGTAATATACCATGTGACCTAGGATAGTAATTTCTCCTCTGTTTGTGGAAGGCCAGCCAACCTAATAAAGCTTACTGAATGTGCATGACCCTATCAGGCAGCTGAGGGGTCCTTCAGCAATCGTCTGTGATACACACACACACACACCAGTCCACCAACCTTTTAGATTTATTTCCCCCGGCCAAATCTTAAAGCTGGTCTAAATTCTCTGCTTGTCAATTCCTCTACTTGGGGGGTAGGGGAAAAACTCAAGACATCTTCTTTACCAAAACCAGCGTTCAAGATTACCCCTTCTCCCCCTACTTTTTATACAGACTGAAGTGCTCAGCAGAATGTGTGAGGTTGGTTTTGACACTGTCCTTGCCAAGAAAAACGGAGCCCTCTATATCATCCACTTCTGCATGGTGGCTAAAAACCCTGTAACAGGCAAGAAGAAAAAGAGCCCTCAAAAGGAAATCCCCTGAAACTTTACTTCTTATATTTAGCCCTCAAGGAACTTCGTTCATCTTGGAAAAGAAGTTACCTAAAAATGCCATATGTTTTTAAAAAGCAAGTATGAGGGAAAATAATTCTACCATAAAAAAAATCACAAATGATATTCAATACTGAAGAGCAGTGTGATCAGACAGATTGTGTATGTGTGTGTTTTTTTATTATCTCTAACCAAAGCTCTACTATGTGTAAGATTTCCCCCCCAATAATATATTTTCATTTTCCCAATGCACTTGAGGCCTGATGAATTCAAGAGGACTCGGGGTATTTTTAAGGCTGTAAGAGCTCCAAGAGGGAGGCAAAAAGAATGGACCATCATTTGAATCACTGAGTGACAGGCTGGGCTAGCTCCCTGTATACATTAATAAATTAGAATTTTAATTGTGTCTCTGTCCACAGGAGATGCCCCAGTACTTTAATATGTACCAACAATTGGCTATGTTATGGAATCTGCAATGTGGCCTCCGCTGCTGACCTCTGAAACACAATTCCCAGTCTGACTACGGAAACTGTTCAGTTTGATCCTTTCAACTTATTTGAATCCTGACAAATAAGCTCACAGCTGAAAGGTCAACATAGTCGTATTTCATCCTCCAGAGCTGTTCTTAAGACATCTGCACAACAAAGCACTTCTTATAGCACCTGACATGGGCCCTCAATGGCACTGTACCTCATTAAAAATGTCCCCTGCATGCGCACGCATTCCAAGGCACATGGTCTGGTGATGGTTTACCAAATAAGTGTTTACAGAAGGGTTAGTAAACAAGGCAGATTGTCAACTTTTCCAATAAAGCGTCACTATAGTGCTGAACTCTCTCTGGAAAGTGACAGTTTCCCAAGTACATGTAGAAGAACTAGAACTTGTTGGTCAAGGTCAGTTTGATCTTTGGGGATAATCTGGGAACAGGCTGTGGTTCACCCTGACCTGTGAAAAGTAAACACAAGCTAGAATTTAGGTTGACCTCATTATCCAATTAATTGGCACCAAGTTATATACCTATCAGCTACCGCTTATAGATTCTGTCCCCTCCTGTGACAAGGATGCCCACCTTCAGCTATGAAAGTAGTCTGAACCACTTAGGACCCGGGTGCCAAGTGCCCTCTCTTAAACGTGAGCATGAAGACCCTGATTCAAGTCTCTTTGAAACTTCTATTACAATTTTCTACTTTGAGTCAAAAACCCAAATTAGATTTTTTTTGTTGTTTTTTGAGATGGAGTTTCACTCTTGTCGCCCAGGCTGGAGCACAGTGGTGCGAGCTTGGCTCACTGCAACCTCCACCTCCCGGGTTCAAGCGATTCTCCTGCCTCAGCCTCCCTAGTAGCTGGGATTACAGGCACCCGCCACCAAGCTTGGCTAACTTTTGTATTTTTTGGTAGAGATGGAGTTTCACCAGGTTGGCCAGCCTCGTCTCGAACTCCTGACCTCAAGTGATCCGCCTGCCTCAGCTTCCCAAAGTGCTGGGATTACAGGCGTGAGCCACCATGCCTGGCCCCAAATTAGATTTTTATAAACTTACTCATTCTTCTACTCCATTAAGCCCTTGCCTTCAATGTGCCTGAAATCAGAAGTTGCTAGAACAACCATTTTTGTATCTTTACATAAAAATTTCTTGCCATTTAAAAATTATTGACCTAGAAACATTCTGAACATATCCACTGAAGAATTGGGTATATATTATAATCATTACAAGCCATAATGTTAAAAGTACCACATCCTCCTCAGGCCGAGTCATAGTTCTTGATGCTATTGACATTCTGGGATGAATCACGGTGTGTCGTGTCCTGTGCATTGCAGGATGTTTGGCAACATCCCTGGCCTGTACTTACTGGATGCCAGCAACACCTCTGCCCTGCTAGTTGTGGCAACGAAAAACGTCTCTAGACATTGCCCATTGTCTCCTGGTGGTGGGTGGGGGGGTGGGGGGGTCGCCAAAATCTTCCCAATTGAGGATGACTACACTAAAGTAAGGTGTGTGTCTGTGTGTGTTTATGCCATTTCTAGACCCAACATAAGAGAATGTGGTGACAATTCTGAGTACTATGAACTTTTCTCATTGGTAACCTACACTGCCTATTAGCAACTCAACACTTACAACTCCTTATCCTTCTATTATATTCACTAATCAGCAGATCTTACTCCTGACAATAAAACTTTTGGTCAAATACACATTTTCCCCAAAATGTTACAACTTGCTGGTAAACCAAAAATGCACTTTCCACAGAAGATTTTCTTACATGATTTGCAATGCTCAACACAATCCACTCCTGAACTGCTTGTCACTTATCCCAAAGGGTATAATGTCAATTTAAAAAGAAAAAGAATTGTTACCTGAAGAGCTGGTTGTTTGTCATTCCTCTTGGGAGATTTTAATCCACTAACTTGCTGCTGCTGTTGCTGCTGAAGAAGGAGCTGTCTTGCCACCTGAAGTGCCTGGAAGGAAAAACAAGAAAATCCTTTGCGTTACTACACAGGTTCAGGGGACTCTTCATAAAAAAGGATTCCAGGAAGTGCGCTTTGGGACTGGGTCCTGACTTTCCTATTTCCTGGCAAATGAAACAGCAAATGAAACTTCCCACCAGTCTTAGTTGGAAAACTTTCCAGAATTTGTTTACGTTCCCTTTGACTCGGCCAGTTTCATCCACGGTTCCACAGGCATCTAAGCAGACATTTTATTCCTACTAAAGATCTGACATGAAATTTAAGACCATGAGTGATTGAGACTCTGAACAAAGATGACAGAGAGACCAGGAGGGACCCAAGCAAAGACGAAAACTTGGGAGACACTACAGGGCCCTTTTCAGGGTCACCTTCACCCTCCCCAAATTCTTCTTGGGGAAATGTAGCGACTCAAGTTGAAAGTAATACTTTCACCCCATCTGAGTCCAAATAAAGAAAAAGAACTAAGTGGTGGACCACAAAAAAAAATATACTATGGATTAGGCTACGTAGAAAGGAAGATTAAACAGATGAGACATACCTAGGATGACCTTGATAGAAATCAGAGAGGAAAATTTGGCAAATCTGATCTCTAGTCATCTTAAAGAGGCACATTATGTATCTGTGAACAAAACTGGTTACGTTTATTATAAATGACCCTTTCAAGCTTACAATATGGGATGGTTTCTCCTTAAAGGTAGACATTGGGGAGGTAGTATGAATTGGAGATAAAGCAGGAAGAAAACAGAAGAGTCCTCTAAAATGTTTAACATATGACTGACAAATCTTTTTAAAAGTTCAAGCAGGCTGGGCGTTGTGGCTCACGCCTGTAATCCCAGCACCTTGGGAGACCGAGGTCAGGAGTTCGAGAACAGCCTGGCCAACATGGTGAAACCCTGTCTCTACTAAAAATACAAAAATTAGCTGGGTGTGGTGGCAGATGCCTATAATCCCAGCTTCTTGGGAGGCTGAGGCAGGAGAATCGCTTGCACCTGGGAGGCAGAGGTTAGGGTAAGTCGAGATCGCACCACTGTGCTTCAGCCTGGGTAACAGAATAAGCTTCCATCTCAAAATAAAATAAAATAAAATAAAATAAAATAAAATAAAATAAAATAAAAGGTCAAGTAAAAAAAGAAAAAAACAATGTCATCAATAAACCGCCATGAAGACATTCACTGCCAAAGAATTAAGAACAGGAATACTGGCTAGCCACACACCTTTCCAAAGATGGCACTAGGACCAGCAACAGAAAACTGAAGTTTGAGGATATCATGCTAGAAAGTCATATGAAAAGTTGGGTTACTTGAGTCAATGCAGCTGAGAACCAAGAATGTACACATGGCAGAGATGTCAAGAATGCTCATTAAACGATGTGCTTAGAGTTTAGACACAAAATGAGACTTCTTATTATATCAATAATAATTTCTATATGGTAACCAAATTATTTGCGCATCAAAGAAGAGGCACACATAGATGTCATCAATACATCAAAAGGACCTGAAGCTATAGCCTTAGAAAGTTAGCATAATGGACTTATGACGGTAGTGTGTTCCTTAAAAAGGAACAGGTGCTTCATTTACATAAGAAAACAACATGGATATTTACAAGAAAAGTTACAGGGACAATAGTGGAATGGAAGAGAGGTAAGGGGGCCTGCGTGTCCCTGTGCCTGGAACTCAGAAGAAAGAGAGAACAGAGTGGTCTAGAGGATTAATGTTCATGAGCAGACACGTAAAAACGTGGAGTGTGCAAGAGCAGTGCTTCTCCTAAAAGGACACGCTCACTGAACTGTGCTCATAACTAGAGTTGTAACAAATAATACTTTTAAGACACTGCGTAAGGTTGAGTGGCGCCTTTGTGTTTAAGAGGTGCAAAGGAAAGCTAAGAAACACAAGCACCGATAGATGAGTGACAAAGAAAAGACCATGGGAAAGTGGAACCCTGCTATCCCACCTGCCTACTGCATCCACCCCCGTGTCCCAGGGAGGCCTTCTGCCTACTGAACTCACCACGACCAGCCCTTCAGATGTAATGCACAGGCTAGTTCATCTGTGAAGGGAGAGACAGATTCGACAAGGCCTGCCTGGAAGAGCCTCGAGAAAAGGGGCTGTCTGAGTGGGGCATCTGGAAGCCAAGACGCCTGGGAGAGTTGCCTGAGACTCTAGCCTGCTGTCTCAGGGAGGATTCACCATCACTGGACTCCGGGTTTCCTTGTCTCCTTGGAGACGCTCAGTACATGCGTAGGTGTAAAAGTGGGCAGAGTGAAGATTTCATTTATATCATATAAGAAAAATAGTCCCCTTTGCAAGGTGCCTGCAGGAGCAAAAGCCTCTTCTCCTACTATATATGTTCCCTTAGCTATTGCACATGAAGGTTTTATGGCTTTTTAATGTAGAAAGGGAACTGTTATATATTTTAAGTGCTATCATCAGAGTTCTCAGAGTAATAGACTGATCAGCAAAGAAGGGTTTGGTTGCTAGTTGGAAAGGCAGAGAGAGGGACTATAGATGACAGTGCAGAGAAAAATATGGTGGGGAAGAGGAGAAAGGTTACACACATTTAAGGCTAAAATAAAGCAAGCAAAGAAAAACAAAGTAATGAAGACTCTATATAACTTACCACATTCCACCAAATACTGGGAGAATGGGCACTCAATTATTATTATTATTATTATTTTATTTATTTATTTATTTATTTATTTATTTATTTTGGAGACGGAGTCTCGCTCTGTCACCCAGGCTGGAGTGCAGTGGTGCAATCTCAGCTCGCTGCAACCTCTGCCTCCCGGGTTCAAGCAATTCTCCTGCCTCAGCCTCCTGAGTAGCTGGGACTACAGACGTGTGCCACCACACCCAGCTAATTTTTGTATTTTTAGTAGAGACGGGGTTTCACCATGTTGGCCAGGCTGGTCTCTAACTCCTGACCTCAGGTGATCTACCTGCCTTGGCCTCCCAAAGTGCTGGGATTACAGGTGTGAGCCACTGCACCCAGTCTCAATTTTTAAATAGTCAAGTCTCAGAGCAGCTATAGTCAACTCCTCACTTCAGCAAAGTGTCTTTAAGAAAAACATTCACACATACACACAAAACTATTCTTTTTTTTTTTTTTTTTTGGACAAAGTCTTGCTGTGTTGCCCAGGCTGGAGTGCAGTAGTGCAACCTCGGTTCACTGCAACCTCTGCCTCCTAGGTTCAAGCAATTCTCCTGCCCAAGCCTCCCGAGTAGCTGGGACTACAGGCACCTGCCACCATGCCTTGCTAGCTTTTGTATTTTTAGTAGAGGCGGGGTTTTGCCACGTCGGCCGGGCTAGTCTTGAACTCCTGACCTCAGTGATCTGCCCGCCTCAGCTTCCCAAAGTGCTGGGATTATAGGCGTGAGCCACCGTGTCCGGCCATCACAAAACTATTCTTACATGAGCATGGTCTCATAAATGTACATAAGGAAAGGAAAGTATAGAACTTAAGTTTTCAACAAATGCTTACTGAGCTGGCTCTACAGAATGATCACACATTTCAAAATTAGCTACTGGGATCCTCAGATTTATTCTTCTGGTTTGAAGGGGGTAAAAAAGTCATGTATAAGTTTTTTTTTCAGACCCAACATAGGGTACATGAACTTAAATAATCATACTGTAAACCCCAGCCTCTTCATACCATCTCATACAGAGGCCCACTAAAGATGATAATCCAAGATACAAGCACGGGGGGAAAAGGTTTGCAAACTTGTATGAACCCAAGGGAAACTGCAGCCGACCTACTGAACAGAGAACACCACGAGATAAAGATGTGCAAACTGACTTCCAAATTTCAGCCCCCAAATGAATAAACACAGGTAAAATAACTTTAAATATTTGGGATGGAGAGACAACACTAGTGCAGAGAATAATTCATTTTGATGTGAATTGCTATGAATTATCCCACAATAATTCCCCAGCTTTATCATGAGTATGTTAACAGAGTAGGAACAAATTATTATCCATATCCTCCCCAAATTAAAATCCATTTAAAAATTGCCTTAGGTCTCAGCAGGAGTTTTAAAACCTAACTGAACAGAATTTATAACATGCTTTGAAATCAACCACTAAAAGGTGTTTTCTTTTCTAATTTCCATGATCTATAAATCACTGTGGTCTAGATTTTAAATTGTCACATGCAAGGAGAGGCAATAAATCCTTAGTGTATAACACTATGTATCTGGGCATTATAATACAAATCTCCACCATCTATGATTTGTAAAAAGTAAAAAACATGCTTATTATAATGTTCAGTGTTGATCAGTGGAAAATGTGGAATGACTGATGGGATCCCCTTTGGAATCTGTGTCAGAGACCTATGTTCACCATGTTTCCTGCAGATGATGACTTGATAGCCATTTTTACCTGTTATGTGATCAGAACAGATTATGTCCTTCATCTCCAACTCCAATGCCTAATCCCCAGAGATAAATCTTTTTTTTTTTTCTTTGAGACAAGGTCTCACTATGTTACCTGGGCTGAAGTGCAATAGCACAATCACGGCTCACTGTAGCCTTGACCTCCTGGGCTCAAGCAATCCTCCCACCTCAGCCTCCTGAATAGCTGGGACTACAGGCATGAGCCACCACATCCAACTAATTTTTCCATTTTTGTAGAGACGGGGTCTCATTGTGTTGCCCCAGCTGGTTTCAAATTCCTGGGCTCAAGCAATCCTCCCACTTTGGCCTCTCAAAGGGTTGGGATTACAAGTGTGAGCCACTGTGGCAGGCCAGATATTATTCCAATACAACTGAGGAGTGAGAATGGACTTTTCTTATTTTTATAACAATATCTCAACCACAATTAGAGAAAAGTCCCTTAGGATACATTGTTTGAAGATAAAATTAGATTCTCTGGATACAGAATGCGTGTGAATATGTGTTTGTGTGTATGGGAGAGGGAGAGAGAAGGGTGAAAAAGGAAGAAGGAGAGGGCAAGCAGCAGAAAGAGAGAGACAGAAAGGATATGAATAAATGAAAGAATTTCTCTTTTAAGAAGCAAGGATCAACTCTGACTCAAGTTCCAGATCAATTGCTAATGTAAATAACTTAAAAGGTCCAATCCCATCTCTGGAGACCTTTTACTCTTGGGTGGTTCCTGGGTGGGTTGAGTCAACACTTCCTTTATAACAGATGTGACAATTGCCTGGCACTGGATAACCTGGTGCTGTATTTTCATGCTAGGCTCGGGTTACAGTAAAGACACAGTTTGAGGATGTCACAGAGTGGAGGTGAATGATAAAACCAGGCACTTAGAGCCCAGTTGCACACATTCACATTTATTTTCCTTCAAGCTAAAATAAGTGGCTCTCTGAGCTAAAAGAAGAAGTGGGTGGGTCAGGGGGAGTGGTGGCAGGCACGCATCACTTTCATCTCTTCTGTGGATTGACTAGTCTCCCATCTATGCCCGGATCTGCACAAGGAGTTGGAACTGCCCGATGGCTGGCATGTCATGGTCCACGGCCAGCTCTCAGCACTCAGAGCCAGTGAGATGGCCCTCTCGCTGCTGGCTCGGTAGGTCCTGTTTTCATACTAACTTGGAACCTGGACATTTTTGACACACCTTCCATTCTATTGGTCCAAGATTACTTCATTCTCATCAGTGCCTTCATATTCTTAGTAAATAAGTGCCATCTGTTATTTACAAATTATGTTTTACATAAGCGTGTTTACAACTTCTGAGCTATTTACATTCTAAGATCATAGCAGGTGCTTATAGGGGCTAGGTAATTCTATGTTTAGCATGTTTATCAAGGTAGCCGATGTTCAAAAACATGTCTACCATATTTTAAGAAACATCAACAAGTTTATATAAAATATGGTTTGAACAGGCATGCACACATACATAAAGCAAGCTGGTAGAAGGAGAAAATCTTTCTAAAATGTTTTGCATAACACACTTGGTGACGGGGTCTGAGATAACCAACTGACACATGGAGGTCTTCAAAAAATATGACTAACTGGAAAGTTTCTAGTCACGGGTCAGCAAACTATAGCCCGTGGACCAAATTCGGTCTATCACCTGTGTTGTATCATCTGTCATATATCAGCTCATGATATAAGAATGGTTTTTGCTTACTTAAATGGTTGAGAAAAAAATAAAATAAGATTATATTATGACATGTGAAACTTATATGGTATTCAAATTTTGGTATTTACCAATAAAATTTTATTTGAATACAGTTAAGCTCATTCCCTTATATATAATCTATGGCTACTTTTGTGCTACAAACGGAGTCAAGGACTTTTGACAGAGACCACATGGCCCTTCAGACCTAAAATATTTCTTATCTGGCTCTTTACTAGAAAAGTCTGTCAATCCCCATCTTAGGTTGCTATCTGTAGTCTGAGATCCCCAAAGATTTCACTGGATAGAATCCTATATAAACACATCTTCCAATCAGTTCCCCAAAATAATTTTAGAGTTTGGCCAAGGAGCAAGAACATTATTAATTAGCTGTTCTTTAAGCTCAAATTCAATGTTGATGTTCTGAAAAGGAAATACATCCATGTGCTTCTTGATCTGAAACTGTTTAAAACTTGCCTCAAACTTTGAAGATGTGTTTCTGCTGGTAGGTAATTGATAGCAGTTCAGATCAGTATGAGATCCTGAGCACCCACAGAATGAAGACAGCATGTGCCTTATTGGTGGCCAGTCGAGAGTTGGTTATTTCCTGTCTGCCCTGAGAAGTTGTCCCATTTCCAGCTTGAAAGGCTGGTCTGAGTCAGCCATCCTTCTTCTAATTTCTTTTCCTAGACTCTCTCCACCC
Organism: Homo sapiens; assembly: GCF_000001405.40. Lineage (NCBI taxonomy): Eukaryota > Metazoa > Chordata > Mammalia > Primates > Hominidae > Homo > Homo sapiens. The sequence goes on from NC_000003.12 coordinate 71,119,425, forward strand.
CTCAAGATCAAACCTGTTTTTCAGATAATTTCATGGACTAATCAACAGTCACTGTGGATATAGGGGTGGGAGGAAAAGCTTGTAAAAAAAAAGAAAAGCAGCATAGGAACATTAGTAGGAAAGGAGTCGTGTTCTCTCCTCTGTTTCTCATCCTCTACATACTCTTTGACTCCCTGTAGAGAGCCTGGTTCCCCTAAACTAGTTTGCTATCTTTGTTCAACCCCAGCAACCAAAGCAGTGATCATTTAACACAACCTGACAATCACTCTGTAGCAAGACCGAGGACTGAGTATGCAAGGAAACTTCATCACCTTCTTCCTTTAGACAGAGCAATCACTCCAGTGCAGGAAGGAATTAAGGGTTGTGACTGACTTAAAAAAAAGAAAAAGAAAGAAATGACAGTCACTTGTAGAACTGGAAGTATTCATACAGAGTCAATAGTATTCCAAAGCAACAGGTTCTTCAAACAATTTTTTAAAATTTTATTTTACAAATAGAACATTTGGTTGTAACAAGACAATGGAAAAGTAAGTTAATCTCATGGAAGGATTCTGGTGATTGTGAAAATATTAGATGTTCAAAGAAAGATTCCAATACTAATGACTGTGTAAATATTAGATACACAAGAGAAGAAAGAAAGCACTGCAGTAAATCATTGAGTCAGGTTATTGGTGTCATAAATAGAAAACAAAACACATTCTCCAACAAAACTTACAGGGGGTAATGACCATTCACAGACAGCCTTTAACAGTTTCTTTGTACCAGTCACTGTTTGGTCTACTCTATGATACTGCAAATAAGGGTGTGGACTCTGAACATTCATTGGTAGTAAATTCACTTGACTCAACCCCAAAAGCAGGTGCAGTAGACAGCCAAGTCTTACATCAACTGGGATATACTGAATTTGAATCAGTGGCTGAGAAGGGAAAGGCTCTATGTAGCATCATCCATCCTCAAGAGTTCCAACAGCTGGACAAATTGTCCTATGCTTACAGAGCATTTAATAACAGCTGATATTTAGGTAGGACATTTTGCATGGATTTTAAAAAGTGTTCCAGTCTTTGCAAATAAGTTTATGAGACAATGTCAAGATAGGCATGGAGAAAAATCAGAGCAGAGATAACTCCACACCTACAGCATTCCAACATTATGTGTTTGAGTCAAAGTGGAAAGGGACAAGAAATAGAAAAGTCACTCTTCTCTTTGGTCATCATTGTCCTAACTGCAGAGGAGTTACAGTCATGGGTCATGGGCAGTGTCATCTCTGCGTGGGGACGGTGGGGAAGAGGTAAAGGCCAGGCCAAAGCACTCCCTCCAGTACTTGGACCACTTTATCACCCCACACCAGCCTGAACCCCTCTTCTAGATCTACTTCCAATGTTAGGTTTCACATATACTTACAGACATGATTTTATATTCTTTAAGCTACACGTAGGGTGGTTATCATTGCTATGATGCCGATTATGTATATTCCTTGCTTTTCTTTTACTTTAATGTTTAACAAATACCGCAAAGGTAGGTTTGGGAGTTGTGCTTTTTGTTTCTTTTAAAGTCAGCAACTTGAGTATATTTTCTTGGGGAGGAAAAGATGGCAAAAAATTATATTTTTTCTTTCTTTCTTTTTTTTTTTTTTACAAGAACTGGGACTAAAGAGAAAAAATTACGCAAATGTTTTCCTGCACCACGTCATGATTTGCCTGCATTAGCGTTGTGAGCTCAAATGCCATCCTGCGCACCAACTACAGGAGACATGGACAGAGAGAGATGCCGAAGGCTCTAGATAGGAGGTGGCATTCTGCTACAAACCCCACCGCCAATCAAGCCCAGGAAGGGGTCAGCAAACCCTGTATCCGCTTGCAATTATGAGTAACCTTTTTTACTTGAAAGGCACGTACAGGATACTTCCCAGCCAGCAAGGTAAAGGATAGGATTTTCATGACACCAGAAAAAAAAAAGGGGGGGGGGATATCTATGGTCCTCTTGCAAAATTAGATGTAGTAAGTTTAATGACTACAAACAGTCAGGAAGTCTGCTTTAAGTCTTTGGGAAGAGCTAAAAAAAAAACCCACCATCATACTCCTACTCCCATTAACATAGGGCCCTATAACCACCTTGCTGAGGCACTGGCTGGTTGCCCCTCTTGGAGCCAGTGCCAGACGCTGAATCACTACACCAAGTCTCCGGCACCTGAGTTGTCTTTGGAGGGATTCCATTCAAGCAGTGCCCAAGCCTGAGCCTGTTTAGCTCACGAGAGCTGACAAGATCACAGCCTAGGATGCTATGACTGTAGGCCACATTAGCATTGCAGTGAAGTAAAACAGAAGTGAAGTTTATTAGAAAATGTCTAAAATGTTAAGTTGGATGCTGCATCAAACTCTTTTTTGCCTCTGTTTAAGACTAGATTGTGTTTAAAAATAAATAAGTTGGACCCATCCTCCAGGTTCCCAAAGTAGAAAAACTTGGGGTCAAATGCAAGGATAAATGAATCAAAAGGCTCTATTAACTCACTGTATTTAACCCACTGTTTTTTGCAATTGCCTTTTATGAGGTGCAGCTCAGCAACTCTCATTATGAATAATTCAGATTCACATCTTTTCATACCTCAGAATGAGACTTGCTAATTTTGAAGCTTGTGGAAGAATCTAACTAGAATTATGCTCAAAATAATGGAGGATTTTCCATGATTTTCCTAGTAACACTGAACCCAGTTCTTTCTCAAACAAATATGGTACTGTATTCCTTTTTTTCTTATACTGTAAGTCACACATACTCGGGATGCCCTAAGAGGCAATTAACACCTATGAATGCTTTGCTTCACAAAGTACCTTCCTTTTCTTGCCTGAATTTGGGCAAAGAAGCAAAGAGTAAAAATGATTTAGAGGCAACATTCCAGCAGAGATAGAAGACAAAAGAAAGAAACAGAAATGGGAATATAGGAAAGGGCCAAACAAGAATAATAATCCAAAATGCGGAACTACTCACTACTGGCCAAATATTAGGATGGGGGGGAATCCTAATATTCTCCATTAATTTACACTCCTTAAAGCAAGTTATTTCGAATAGCTAAGATTGTATCTGTATAACAATTTAAGAAATGAGGCACATCTGGAAACATAGGGACAAGTGCAGCATAACTTCCCTACATTTAAGACACTAAATAAAAACACTGTATTGAATTGCTTACTATGAACCAGACACTGTGCTAGTTAAGGTGCTCTCTACACTAATCTCATTTCTTGTTCCCAACTTTTCTAAGGGAAGTTCGGGAAAGTTTTGTAAGTCTTGATTTAAAATGGGCAAACAGAGACAGATTGTCAAGTTCAGTGACTTGCCCAAGGTCACAAGTCTACAGAGTGGCTAGGATGGAAAAACAAAAACGAACAAAACATTGTCTCATGAGAACTTGATACTCACACTGTATCAAGGTCACTGATTAGACCAAAGATGGCCACGGGTAATCTTGGCAAATGGCTATGCAGACCTCCGGAGCTAAAAATGCATGACTGACTGTGGGCCCTTTTGCCTCCAGAATGAAAGGAAGGGTCTTTTCTCAGTGTCACACCTTCTAACTTTAATCTCCCTTCTTTTCCCCACACAAAAGACTTGCTTTTTTTCAACCAGACCTTTCCATGGCCAGGACTCTGTGAGCCATAACCATATCCACAAGTCTGCCCTCCCTGTTCTCTGCCCACATTTACATGGCATCCAAGTATCTTCTTTCATCTAAATTCAACCTTTGCCTAAAAACTCTGTCCACAATCCAATTCCTTCAAGCAGCAGTGTCCCCTGATATCCCTAGACCCAAGGGACCAGCCCTGCATCTGAATCCCTGCAGCAGCATCCTGTGTTTCTACTGTTGTGATGGCAAACTCCAAGCAGGCGGACAGGAAGGAATTAACAAGCCCAGCTATCTCTGCTCTCTCGCACGCTGTGTTTTCACCTCTCTGGTTAACTGAGTTCACTCATCTTCTCTTGGAATATTGATGTTGTCCCCATCATACCTTGATTCTCAGCTCTTCCTCAAGCCCCATTCTGGACAAGTCCCTCGTTCTCTGGTTCAGCTAAGCCAAGGTTGGATTTTTTTCAAAACGAGCTTTTCATAAAGCAAATAATAGAAAAGCAGAGCTAAGAGAGTACAGGTCTTTTCCTTTTTAACCCAAATTTCACTAAAGTCCAGCCACAGTTAATGCCTCTGGACACCTGTATCTTACACTTCACCTCCATCTAAGTGAGATCTCTTCTCCTGACCCACTCGGCATGGCTTTTAGGTCCAGTGGGATTTCCAGCTCTTTTTTTAAGCCACTGTAGACTCTTGCACTCTGCTATAAATACATTCTTCTTCTTCTTTTTTTGGTGGAGGTGGTATGGGTGCTAAATTACTGTGTTATTAAACCTGCCCTGGTCCCTGGTCATTGGGGATAAGGAAGATAATTAAAAATTGTAATGTTTTTAGTGTTTATTGCCAGACAAGTACTAAACAGTGCAAACCCATTATATTATTTATTTTTTCACAATGCTTTGAGGTAAATTATACCCAGTTAACAGATGAGGGAGAGAGACAGGGAGGGCGACAAGGGTGAAAAAATTAACTATTGGGTACTATGCTCGGTACCTGGGTGTCGGGATATCCCCAAACTCAGCATCATGCAACATACCCAGGTAACAAATCTGCACATGTACCCATGAATTTAAAATAAAAGTTAAAGTTATATTTTTTTAAAAAAAAAATGATACAGAGGGACTCCATTATGTCTATTATCTAGTTTTTCACAAATATTTTAAAACAAAGTCATTTCTATTTGTGTGTACCTGCATAGTCGTTTGACAGGCCCAACCTGAAAAAAATTTCTTTTCAGGTTGGGCCTTTCTCAGTTTTTGCCTTTTGAGCAGTCATATGCTTACAATTTTTTTTTTTCCTCTCTGGAGAGAAAAAAATACTGGACAATTCTTGGAAAAAAGAATATTTAAAAAATCCCCAAATAAAAACACCACAATTGTTTACTATAAATACATTGTTTAAAGTATGTAAAATAACTACAATAGTTAAATTATTTTACCTACTCCAAAATATTTGTTACTTATTATGCAAAGCCTATAGAAAAATGTTTCAAATATCACTATTACAATTGATACTTATAATACAGCATGATGTATGCAAGTGTGTGGTGCACATATTATGTTTGTGGTTACTTTAACTTGTAGATCATAAACTGTGTGTCAAAAAAAAAAAGAAAAAAAAAAGAGAAACATAAGACCAGAGAGGATAAATTATAAAGATTATGTGACATGTGTAGGTAAAGTCCTTAGCACAGCACCTGAAACATGATAGTTATTCAGTAAATGGAAACTAAAACTATTATTATATCTATAACACACTGCCCCCAGGCATAAGAGAATATATTTTCTCAATGGAAAGCAAAGATTCCTTTCTCCCAGTGATCTCAAACCATTGGTCGTCCTCTTTACAGAAACACTAAGAAAAGTTGCAGCATCCTCTCTTGAACCCAAAGGGATCTAAGGCAGTCAACTTTAATTGTACAAAAAGCAAACTGAGGACAAGAGGGGTACATGGTTTATCTGCAGTTACACAGATGACATGCAGGTGAGAATCCTGGCTCTTTCCAATGGCAAATGTACTTGAGCAACTATGACTCTGACTCTTACCAAACATTCACCCATGCCTTGCCAATTCTCAATGCAGGAATGGCTGCCTAAGAGGCCAAATATTGAGCTAGGGGGAGATGATGATACTGGTGGTGATACTATCAATGAAGAAAATGGTAACTAACACTGAATCCCAACTACGATTGGTTCTAAATTACTTTATATAAACAGAAAGTTTATGTAATGTGGTCAAGGTCACGCAGCCTGGATAGAATCCCTTCACTGTATTCAAGAACGACATACACACAAAAAGTCCACTAATCCATAGACGTATGGATTTGGAGTTCTTCCATTCACCTGGAACTAGAACTACTTGCTTGACATGACCGATTAAAAAAAATTAGACACGTATAGAAAAATATATTCGGTTAATCTAAACCACACAAAAAGGTAACTTTGTAATGAACTTTAGAAAGATTACATCTTATGGAGGCAAAGAAATACAGATTTGATTGGTTTGGTTGAGGAATTAGTAACTCTTTAAGAGGGAATCTGAAAAAAACTTTGGTCATCTGATACACAGTTGTGCTCACAGAGTTGTGCTCAAAAAGTGACAATGATCTTTTGAACTTCCAGTAACCATGGTTTAGCATAAGATGGAACTTGAGTCTCCAGGCATGAAGAAGTAAGGATTCTCTGGGAATATGGGGGAATTACTGACCCTGAGAGAATAACAGAAATTACAAAGAAATAGAAGTTTGCTTTGAAAAACATTAATGTATGTCCACAGAAGCAGCATACATAGTGGTTGAATGCACACCAATCACTGTGTCTGGATTTGAAGCCCAATTCTACCATTCGCTAGCTGTGTGACCTGAGACAAGTTACTTAACCTCTCTGTGTCTTAGTTTCTTCTTCAATAAGAATGGGAGGAACTGAAAGTACCTATGTCAAATTGATACATGTAAAGTGCATAGTCTAGAGCCTCACACTCAATAAGTAACAAGTGATTTTGAAAAGTGCTGTATAACTATAGATTATGAAAGTAATAACTTCATGGTAGAAGATATGTAAAATGTATACATGAATTGGGAGAAAAATAAAAAATATGACACCATCACCTGCAATGACACATTGTCAGCATTTGGGGATATGATTAAGAAAAGAAATTTTTGGCCGGGCGTGGTGGCTCACACCTGTAATCCCAGCAATTTGGGAGGCCAAGGCGGGCGGATCACCAGGTCAGGAGATCGAGACCATACTGGCTAACACAGCGAAACCCCGTCTCTATTAAAAATACAAAAAAAAAAATTAGCCAGGCGTGGTGGCAGGCGCCTGTAGTCCCAGCTACTCTGGAGGCTAGGGCCAGAGAATGGCGTGAACCCGGAAGGCAGAGCTTGCAGTGAGCCGAGATGACACTACTGTACTCTAGCCTGGGCCACAGAGTGAGACTCTGTCTCAAAAAAATAATCAAATAAATAAAAATAAAAAGAAAAGAAAAGAAATTTTCTTGGGCCAAGCACTGTGGCTCACGCCTGTAATCCCAGCACTTTGGGAGGCCGAGGCAGGGAGACCGCTTGAGCCCAGGAGTTGGAGACCAGCCCAGGCAACATGGCAAAACTCCGTCTCTACTAAAAATACAAAAATTAGCCAGGTGTGATGGTGCACACCTGTAGTCCCAGCTACTTAGGAGGACGATGCATGAGAATCCCTTGAACCCGTGAGATGGAGGCTGCAGTCGGCTGAGATAGCACCACTGTACCCCAGACTGGGTTACAGAGCAAGACTCTGTCTCAAAGAAAAAAACGAAACAAACAAACCAAAAAGAAAAAAAAAAACAAACAAAAAAAAAAAACAAAAACAAAAAAAAAAAGAAAGAAGAAAAAAGAAAAGAATATTTCTTAAGCAAAAACTGGAATCATTTTGTATGGTCTTTTGAAAATTACATTTTGAAATTAAAAGCACATTTTGAGTAGAGATTTTTTTTTCAAATCTAATTTCTATATTCAGGTTCCAACAAACAAACAGCTTCAGGAGCCAAACAACCCAGGCACCTCCACCCTACTGTGGAGTTTTCTGGAAAAGCTTTCAACGAAGGAGTCTGAACAGTAAATGGCACTTGTCTAATTTTTACACTGTGCTTTAGAAACCCAGGAAGGAGGCCCACGGCACTCCAGAATTGAAGAATCACACAGTACCATACCAGGTTAACAGCAGGTTTCAATTCTTTTGCCCCCAAAGCATGAAACTACAGAGCAACCGCTGACTTAACTTTGCAGCGCCCATAAGCAGTACTGTATCTGTTTCTTCACAAAGAACAAACTTGACTTGATTTTTGTGGAAGTTAAATTGCCAACATCATATTGAGTTAAAGAGAAACAAAACAAAAATCAGAAGTTTCAGCCCATGCTGTATCTTTAAAAAAAATACATCCTTTGACCCTAAATAGATTAAAATAAAGAACGATTAGTCTTCACCACCTCCTCCCTCCCCCAACCATCAACATCATGCACTAGCTATATTTTCCAGGCCAGTTTCTTCATGGTAAAACACTTTCTCATGAGACTGCCTGTGGTCAGGGCTGACTATGTCACAGGAAAAAATGCTTCTCATGATCTCTAGATCACAGCGCTTCCAGGTCTAGCCTGAGCATTAAATACAGACACACCCGGAAATTGTAAATGATTTTAACAACAGGACATTTTCCCACCTCAAAACTGGGATAATCTTTGCAGCCTACCTATGTCCCTGGGGTGTTCTGAGTATTAACAAGTTAGCATTAGTCAGGCACTTTGATTTCTACAGACAAAGGGCTCCGTATAAATACAAAGTATGATTATCCAACCCAACTGCCTTTTGGAGAGAGGCGGAAAGGCCACTGCTTCCATCCTTGTCTTCTCAAGGGCAAAGCAACCTCCTAGTTATCTGCAGGGCAATACTCATGAAAGTTGCACTGTATCTGAGCCTCTGCTGCACCGTTCCCTTATATAGTCAAGGAAGAGGGAATCCCTTCTGTGTGCATATTTTCAATTCACATTCCAAAACAGTATAGGCAATGAAACAGATTTTCAGTTGTGATTTATAGGTCTTGATACGACTGGGCCAGGCACTGTGCTAGAATCACGCACATCACTTCTTCAGGATGTGGAGAAGTAAGGAAGCCCCTACAGAAAATCATGTTCCGGTATTTAAAGAATGTGCCAGTATGCGCACATATATCAGTGAATGCCTACATATTAAGAATGATTTCACAAAGCCATGCAAACCCCACTTGAGAACTAAAAAAAAAAAAAACGCAAATTTTAAATCTAAATTTAATATAGATTTGAGCCTTTCCCTTGGCCTCTGGAGGAATCAATTTGAGATAATGACAGCCTTGAAGATAATGAAATGGGTTACATAATATTAAAGACTAGAAGGTATTTCTGAGGGACACAGACATATAAGTAGACTCTCTGTATTACAGCACCTGCCTAACATCTTTAAAGAGAGGGGCAAAATGTTGGCCTCTGATAAATTACGTTGTACCCTAGCCACAGACACTATGGTATACTTTCCTTTAGTTGAGCTATTCATGTTTAGCTTTAAACATCAGAATATAGCCTTCGACAAAACGGTAAGAGTCACTGGTTTGTCCAATGGTATTATTATTTAAAACACACACACATACACCACACAGTCGAACTACTGAGGCAGACATTCCTAAGTGAACTGTCTAGAAAAAGCTAAATTAATGAACCAAGTAATCCTGGGAAATCCTGTCCCATAAAACCATTAGTTGCAATAGGCTAATTCTCAATAAAAAGCCTGGCAAATTCTCAGAAGGCAAAAAGCCTCCTGAGCCTTAAGGGTTAACTCACTTGCCTTAAAAAAAAAAAGACACATATAATTTCCTTTTATCATAAGACAATGCATTTATTATTTTCTGTATATCTGTTAAAGGGCATGGCTTTCGGAGTGGAAAACAAAACAGAACTTGGTCACATGTTTATTTGCTTCAGCTACTCCCTTCCCCTTCTGATAAATAATCAAACATGCCATCCAGAAAAAACAAAACGAGCGAGCTGGGAAATTTGATGGTCATCAAATAGACTAAGATACCAAGAAAAGCAGCCCACTGTTCCCACACTGAGTTTTCGGCCCCCACACCTACACTAACATCTGAGTAAATACCTTCAGTCACTCTTTCCATTTTCCCTGCAATTACTCCTACTGTTAAACAAATTGTCCTTAAGGCAGTCGCAAACATCTTATTTTTTCTTGCAAAAGAGAACAACTTCTGAACATTCAAAAAAGCCACCATAGCGATAGCAATACACACACATGCACACACACATACATACAATTATTTTATGTATCTAAATGTTTCTTCTATGAGAGGTTTGGACAACCCCAGAGCATATTTCTTTCTCTATTCTAATAGATGCTGTTTTAGATACTAAAATTTAAAAATATTTAGACTGCGGACTAGCAAACGAGGTTCACAGTAATAACAATTCTCTTAAGATCAAAAGAGCTTATTTTCCATTTCCTGTCTATTCCCTGACCACCATATAGTTAAAAAAGAAATATTAACACCTGGCTTACCAATTAAACTGAAGTTGGGGGTCAGGGAAGGGGGGTGTGGAGGGAGGGGAGAGAGGCAAAAGGAGTGACTACAGACAGGAAAAGGTGGAACCTTTTTCAAAAATGTCAAATCATGTGTTTAAAAAGTCATTTCAACAGAAAGGACTAAGAGAGCCGTTAGATTGCTCTTCTACTCAGAGCCAGGAGGCAGCCCAAGTCCAAGGGCTTTTCCTGCTATACTGATTATCCACAAGGAAAATTTTGAAAAGAGCCTTCCAACATCAAAGTTAACAACCATCACGGAAAGTGAGGCAGGCTTTCCCTTTCCCTCTGCAGCCCACTCCGTTGAAACAATAGGAATATGAATGAGATAATGACCGTGCGTGTTTCAGCAGTCTGACTTTTATTGGCATGAAATTGGTACAAATATTACCAAGACCGATTCACAAATGATGACGGTGTCGTGATGCAAACATCAGGGGACAATTCTGTAGATGCAGAATTACAAAGGCACCATCCCCACATTCTCTTACTACTTGTGATAACAGGAAGAAAAAGAAGGCAACACGAAACAATGTCACAGTAAGCAGAGAGAGGTTCCAATCTACGTTTAGCCTATAAAACTATCCTGACACCACCCGGCTGCTTACTTAGCTGATTATATCCAAAGACATATTTGAAAACAAGAGTGAATTAAACAAGGAGTTAGAAGGAAACGGTCCTCTCAAATCTCTAAAAAGAAAAAAGCCTCTGATGGAGAGAGGAGGGAAGGGGGAGGAAAAAAAGCAGTAAACAAGTTGGATCACCTTATTTCGCCCTTCAGAGAATGTCTGCACAAGAACGGATCCCTAGTTTAAAAGTTTAACCCAGCAAAAAAATGTTTCTTTTTCTCTGGACACTTACAGAGAAAATGAAGAGTTTGGCGAAGGGAGCCCGTACTGTCTGCCTTTGGATTTCCGTCTTCTTGCTGTAGATGGGTTCTGGCTGTTTCTGCGAAGCGGGGGTTGCCGAGTGGTAAAAAAGATGTTTGAATAAACAGGAAGTACTGTGCGGCTGAAGCACACTCGAAGAGAAAACACACTGGAACATTGCCCTTTGTAGGCAACCTCAGGGAGGTTTGCCTCCACAGTAGCTGGCTGGGCTCTCACTAAATGACAAAGAAACCACAAGAATTCCTCAAGTAATTCTTCACTTTCAAAGTTGAAAGATCAGTTGGAGCTTGCAGGTAATTTTCAAAGTTGCATTTAGCACTTAAAGAAATCTATTAATGCCACACATATCTAAACCGCTCCAGGTCTGCAAGCAGCGACACAGCACACGCAGTGCGCCCTGGCTAGACCAAGCCCTAGCCAAACACAGCTCATTCACGCAGACAAATACACACCAACAGGGTTTCGGGAAACCTGCTCTTGAGATATTTTTGTGGTGACATTTACATAGGCAGGATGCTTTAAAAGAAAAAAAAAAGAAGAAGAAGAAAATTCAGATTTTGCAGACTTTAGAGGATTTTGTCACATGTATTTTTAAAGAACACATCGTCCCGTATTCCAGGGATATGCCCTGGATCTGGCTTTGACTGGCTGTCCTTTACATTTTCTTTCTCCACCATCAACCAAACTACCTGTTTATCTCCAGATGCCTAGCTTGCCTAATGGAACACTCCTTAACCCGCCCCAAAATGATTGTCACAGTCCTGTCTTCCGTCACCGGAGTAATTCAGCAAATACTGTGAAGAAAAGTAAACTGCTGAAGGCACAGCAAGTCAGCTTGAAAAACAGGAGGAAGAGTTGAACAGCCATATTCAATAACAAAAAAAAAAAAAAAAAAAGGAGGAAGAAAAGGATTCCTTCTGAAAATGTATTGCTCTTGTGGCAATGTTCTTCTGCCACAGAAGCTACTGATTTGTTATTTAGCATGGAATGCTGGACTGTCTGTCATCCAGGTGCTAATACTCGGCTAAAATAACTCATTGGGAGCTGTCAGTGGGATGTTTACATAGGCCCCAATCTTTTCTTCATAGAAGGAAATTTTTTACTGGAATTCATCTTCTTTTGATCTCACATTCAAAGCAACGGCAGCTTGATAGACATTCAAGTCTGAAAGCAAATCCAGACGCTGAAGATAAACCGCCAGAAAATGACAGGCAGAAGCATCTAAAGCTTATAAAAATGAAGAGAACAGCATGTCGCCTGAGTATTACAATAGCAGAAATCAAGAGACATATTAGGTGGAACTGATCAGCCACAAAAACAGTTCAAAAGGCAGATCATAGAAACAGAAGACTAGGCTGGGGGAAAAAATGGGAAAGATCTGGTTTACTGCCTCATCTCCCTTCTGAGTCTCACAGTGCTTCCACGCCTGCCTTCTCCACTTTGGGGAGGGGTGGAGTATCCAATGCAAATGTTCCTCTCTAACTCAGCTGGTCCAGTTAGAGACCAGGAAATGATTTCCTAGCAATCCCTTTTCAAGGGGCAGGAGAAAAAGGCAGACTCTTACCTTGCTCAGTGTCCAAAATCCTGCATTTTATTAGCATCCCCTGCAGCTGCTCTGCGTTGCAGTATCAAAAGGCACACAGCCTGGGCGCCATGAAAGTGGGCGGTCAGGAAAACCATCTCTCAACAGAAGAGCTATAAGTAGTTCGAGATGGGGCTAGAGAGCTCTAAGCAGTCCAGTTCCCTAAAATGGCTAGTTATGGAATGAACACAAATGTTCCAGCCTCAGTCACACAAATAGATGTGTTCTGTCCTACAGATATGTAACTGCTTAACACCTAGTAGCTTTTAAGCCAACTAGGGCAGTTCTGTAAAGGAATTATCACAACTTTCTCAGAGACATGCAATTAAAAAAAATAAAGCCTCTTATTTTCAATAAAGTCAGTGCATACAATCAAATAGTAATTCTCCCAACAATTTTGTTCTTAAAGCTGTTTGTTAACAAACACTGAATGTGAACAGGCAGCATCAGGTTAAAGGGCAACAGAATTCCACATTATAATTTAGCCTGCGGTTATTCCTGATTGCAAGCACCCTCTGGGACTGCAAAGCAAGATCTTCTTTTGCAGCACGCTTGGATTTTTAAAATTAGTGCCCCTCTTTTTTTGCATAATAAACCAACATTAAAATATGGATTAAAAAATGTACAAACCAATTTTTAAAAGCTGTAATCAGTTTAGCATTTGCCTTGTGCAAACGAGTCCTGGGTAACTAAGTTACAAATGCAAAAAACAACACAAACAAACAAAGCCAAAGCCCTACTGGATCCTAAGAGTGTTTTTTCAAGACACCTCTGCCATGCCTATATAGCTATCAGATGTGCTAAAGTCGATGATTTTCCTTTGAACTGTACTAGTTCAATCTGTGAAAGTCGCCACAGTTGTTCTCTAACCATAAAAAAAAAAAAGCAAGCAAACATAGTTGCTTTCAACACTTACTCCAAACATCTCCCAACTAAATATTCCATGTTGTTGCAATTGTTAGATTTACAAAAAACACAGAAAGGTTTGCCGTGAAAAGCGAAATGCAAATTCCCTTATACATTATAAAATATGTTCTTCCTCTACAAAGAATGCTGCCACCACTGCTGTGATGCAAGCAGCAGCAACAGTCCATTTCTCATGGCCATTAGAAGTCTTTTTTAAAAAATCTGACACGTATAAAGACCTTCATTAGTATAATTAAATGACTGTTGGGTTTTTGTGATATAAACAACTTTTGATATGTCATTTAAAAACCTCATAATAACATCATTAAAGGGCCACCATTTTTAAAAGAGAAATTGTCTGCTCAGGGCCATGGAATAGTCGTCTCGCTCTGGGCCTCTTCCTCCTCTCCCTTTCAGACTTCTCCTGGACTTGAATGTCACCATAGACCTTGAATCCTTGAATGTGAAATGGCTTCACGCTAATTGCTGTAATTGCTTGAAGATGTGCAGGCAGGTGAAACCTGATCCCCGTGGCCATTGTAGAGACCAAGAACAACACGGAATGTTTACACAGTGGTTTGATTTTAATAGACAGAAGGGCTGAGTTTAAGACAGCAAAAACACAGCTAATAGGTGACCTCTTAATGTAGTCCTCCTCTAAATAAAAAAAAAAAGGACACACAACAAAATACAATTTCATGTTCTAAAAGGCAACATCCTAAATACCAAGGTTATTTGCTTGACTCTTGGAGTTGAGTACACGTTACATTGCACCTGACATTTTATACCCGAAAGTCTACCCCGAATATGTGTGTGTGTGATGTTTTTTTTTCACTTTAAAACAAAAAAACACTTTATATGTCAGTCACCTCACAAACAGATTATGACTCTATAGTATTTCCTAGTAAGTGCATTCATTTAAATTTTAAATTGAATATTTTTCACAGCTGTAATACTCCTTGTCCCTTAAACGGGAAGGCTTGGGTGTCTCCTTGTTTATTCCTTTGCCTATTCTGTCCCCACCCCCATTTATGGAATTCTTGACCCTTGTCCATTTCTTGATTGCAGCTGAAGTTGAGCCCAAACCCGCTCACACTGGTGCTTCAGACATTTGTCTAAAGGCTTTCAGTATCTTGTTTCTTTGTTGCTGTGTGGGACTGTGGTCTGCTTCTACCTAGACAGACTAAGGTGGCCGTTAGAGCAGCCAAAATAATTATTCAAAAACGGTGGCTATTCTCCTTGATATTTTTACAATTTCGAATGGACACCAAGGTTTAATGATGGCTCCCCAGGGCCCTCTCTTAACAGGGCACAAATGTAACCAAGGCTGGACAAGAAATACATGATAGCAAGGCCAAGAGAAAAATACAGCAGCACCTCCAAGGTATCATTAACAAAAGGAAACCCACAAAGATTAGGGGAAGTGTTAGATAGGTATTGAGATAGGTAGGTAGGTAGATAGACAGATAGCTCAAGGATCCAAATGTATAGGAGCATTTCATATATAGCCAAGGAAATACTGCCAAACAGAAAATGAAAATGAAACATATACTACAGTAGGAAAAAATACAGCGAAACAATGGAATTATTTTAAGGTTAAGCTGGGCAATTAAAGCCAAAGATACACCTTGTAAATGAGAACAGAGAAGCACGAAATAGCCCATACAGCTGGGAGTATTGTCTAACTGCTGCTCTGCCAAGTTATGCTGTATATTAACTTCTGATGATGAAATACAAAATGCAGCAGAAAGGGGGGAAAAGCCCTCTTAAAGCTATGAAAACTTTAACTATATAAGCTAAGTAATAAATATAGGCACTTCTTTTCCTGGACTATTTGTACCCCCCAACACTGAAAGACAAAATAATGAAACAAAAATAACTGCATAGAACTTCCCTTTGAATCACAGCCACCTCACATACATTTCTAGACAATCCTACCTTCTTCTAAAAGTTATAATCCCCGGCCAGGCACGGTGGCTCACGCCTGTAATCCCAGCACTTTGGGAGGCCGAGGTGGGCGGATCACGAGGTCAAAAGAGATCGAGACCATCCTGGCCAACACGGTGAAACCCCATCTCTACCAAAAATACAAAAATTAGCTGGGCGCGGTGATGCGTGCCTGTTGTCCCAGCTGCTCGGGAGGCTAAGGCAGGAGAATTGCTTGAACCCAGGAGGTGGAGGTTGCAGTGAGCCAAGATCGCACCACTGCACTTCAGCCCGGCAACAGTGAGCCTCCGTCTCAAAAAAAAAAAAAAAAAAAAAAAGTTATAATCCCCTATTAAGAAGAAATGTCCTTCCCTCTGAAAAAGGAGGGGGGACCAAAAGGAGGGGAGACCAATATCCATTTGTACATGTAAAGATTAAGTATAAACCAGTCCAAGCCAGTGAGAGGAACACAGAGGAAAAAAGTAAACAGGCCCCTACCCCCTACTCCCAAAATAGTTCCCCTTTGAAAGTTCTAAGCGGTGAGTGCCTGGTACCGAGGGCTGCCCTGTTCCTTGGAGGGGTCAGCAAAGCTATGCTAAACTGACAGGTTCAGTTTACAGCAGGCCAGAACTTTGTTTGGATATACTGGCCTTGTTCACCGCCAGCTTAACAACAGATGGCTAGAAAACTTTCATTATGTTGCACAGGACTGAACTGCAAACAACCCAGAAAACTGTGAAAAGTTTAACTCCCTCTGAACCAATGTGCCAAACCAGGGCCTGCCCAGAGCCAGTGAACCAGCTTAAGGCCAAGGGGACTGTGGAAGTGATGGTTAAAATAACACTGCCCAAGTCAAGTCAAAGCACCTTTCCAGGCTCCAAAACGGCAGCGACCCACCCAAATCTTTATTTAACTCTTCAAGGGCCAGGCCATATAAGGAGTTGCATCGACTATGCCTTCTTTACTTTTCCAAAATGTACTGTCAGACTTTCCCTCCCTTTGGAGAAAGAAAATCTTCCTTCAGACAGTTCCCAATCCCCAAGCTCCCGTTCTGCCTTTCCTTCTCCTGGAAGTTGGGAGCGCAGGACCAAATTGTCTCACCCTAACACCCAGAGTTAAATATGATTTATCTAAATCTGTTTATAATTTAAATATTCATTAAGTAGATTCAATCACATGAACCCTAATATCTCCTAATGCTCTGAGACAGGTTATAAATGCACCTTTGAAGGTTTAATTCAATTGGCAATCTGAGAAGTCTTATCACTGGAAATGTGTTATTTTCATATTATTCAAGAAATGAACAAATGTGTTTTCCACAAATGTATTTTAGAAGCTACCCTTTCCTGTTATTGAAAGAAAATTGTGTTTATTACTCCTTTAGCATAGTGTAAACTCATAAACGTCAACAGAGAGTACAAGGAAAACTGTCAACTAAATATTGTTTCCTTCATGAGCTGTTCTTCCAAGTCAATTACGCCTTTCAACTTCTGGGGCATTGTATGATAAACTGGCAGTAAAAATCATTCACATTAATATACCATGGTGCCTTGCCTGCAAAAGGTAATTAAAGAAGTAAATGACTCATAAGAATAGACATATTAGCTGCAAAATGAAAGGCAACTGAGCTGCCACATAAAAATATGTACCATTAAGATACTGCATTTTCATATTCCTGTAATCAGCTTCAGTAGACTAATGCTTATTTAATCCAGTTCTGTGCTAAGTCCATCAACAACTGTTTTTTGCTGTTTTCTCCTTGACTGAACATTATGAGAGCAGGTTTAGAATAAACACTGCAGTGAGATTTTTGCATACGCAATTGAAGAACAGGTTTTTACATTTTAAAATCTATTTTTCTTTCTCTGAGAAATACAACAAAAAAAAAAGATTACTGGTGGAAAAAAGTATATATGTACATGGCTATCTAGACATGTCCCTTTAAATGGCAGAACATTTCAGTGAAATATTTGTTTCCATATTCACTATTTCTGACCTGTACCACTATCAGCATAAGGATGTCATGCCTCCACTTGCCAGATCTCAGCTTCCTTTATGAAGCACTCCCTTTTGTTAATAATGTCTTCCATTAGCATTAGCAGGATGAGGGCAATTTATCCTTTGGCAGGGATGGAAAGAGAAGGCAAGATATGAGGAGGGGGTTAGTGTAGTGGGTGGTGGGAGAGTATCTCAGACACGCCTAGCGGCCTCTGAGTTCTTTTCCTTCCAGGGTGTTAGCTACCTGACTGGATAAACCTTCTCAAAGAGAAGTGAATTGACCCTCAAAATAACTGCTCTATTTTCCAATCTCTGGCTTTCAAACTGACACTTTGCTCTCTTCTCCATATCCCTTTATATTTCAGCACATCCTTGCCAGCCCAGCCAAGGCACAGCAAAACATCCTCGCCAGCCCAGCCAAGGCACAGCAAAACATCCTCCATACGGTCTGAGATTTTTCACTTCACTTGCTCACTTCTCTGCTGCGGGAAGCTTAATCTTAACCAGTGAGATGGGTCCACCATTTGTACTATTAATATTTTGGGGAACATTAGATGCATGAGGTTTCCTGGAGGCTGGAGAAATGCCTGTTCTGATTGTGGAAATCAGGGCTCTTTGTTGATAACTGATGCAGCCTAAAGCTTTTGTGGCTCCAGTTTGGGAGTTTTAGCTTTCAAAGCTCATGCAGCTCCTCCGATGTCCAATGCCAGCAGTGAAAATCAGCCTAAGGTATCTGGTCTTCTATCATGTTTGTCAACAATTCGCCCACCTTCAATAACATCCGAATGCATCTGGATGGTGCCCACTAACCTACCAAAAAATCCAAAAGATAATTCTATTTATTTATTTATTTATTATTATTTTTTTTTTTTGGTGCAAGACCATGGGCTTTCAATAAAGGTAAAGTTCTAGATTTCTATACAAGTTGTGCCTTCTCCCCTTCCCTCCTCCTGTGAATACAGAAATCTCTTTGACTTTAAAACTGATGAGCACCCACCAGCCAGGCCCTCAAGGACAGTGCAGGATGTGAGAACGGCCTTACAAGGACCCTCCAAGATATATTTATCTTTTCACAGTTCTTGGAACTGTGGAGAGCCTCTCAGATTTAGGCTGGATCTCTCCTTGTAATGTATTATTGCCTGAGTGTTTGAGCAGACACCACAAGGAACCACAACTAATGAGCTCTAGTCCTTTTTCTAATTAAGGAACAAAGGTTCCTGTGTGCGCAGAATGGTGACGCTGTCTGGAGAACACACGTGGAGGAAGAAGCGAATGCTTCTAATTGCCTCAAAATGGGATTTTTAATATTTAGGAACGTAATGGGATCGGGAAATAAGAACACTTCCAACATCCTTTATAAATAAGCCTTTACAAAATATTGTTAGCTGTTAATAATACATCATTATCAAAAATGGAAAGTCATGAATACAGTGCATGTAACCTTTGTATTCACGTGAATTAACCTATATGTACGAATACAATGATACATGAATTAGTTTTTAAAAATACATTAAAAAAAATAAAAGGCCCTCCTCTGAAAAAGAAAGGCGAGAAGGCAGCTCCTCTGAGCCTGATATTCCTCAGACCTTAGCAGATTAGGATTCAAACATGTAATTAAGAAAGATAACCCCAGTTTTTATAGTAATTAGGGGCTGTGGGAAATAGGATACTATCTCTCAAAAGTGATACAAATATACCACACTTCTAAATAACCTGCAATGCTTGGAAAGTATACTCACTACCAAGGGCAAAGCTGCTATGCAGTGAGGGAACAGTAAATGACAGACTGGCGTTCAAGTCCATTAGCTGCTATGTGATAGGAGCACATTCACTGGCACGCGACCTGTGAAAAATCTTAGATCTCTTTAAATCTTTGAATTGGATTACTGCATTAATTCTTAAGAACTGCAATCCTTCAACCAAGTCAAATTACCCTCATTAACAGTGGAAAAACTGCCTCTGCAATAAGTTAAAAAAAAAAAAGATATTTATTACCTATAATCACTTACACATACTTCACCTAGAAATATGATGAACGGATGCCAACAACTCTGAAAACGGCATCCTGGTTTCGCATGTTAATTTGGGTTAAAATAAAAATACAAATGCAAGTATCTGCATGCTATTTAAAATTTGTTTCACATCTACAGGAAATTTTCTTTTATGATTACAATCCTGAGATAAGTAAATAGCTCCATTTTACAGGAGGGGAAATTGGGGCATACATAGAGATACGGAGCCAGTTGTCTAAGCTTTCCCGGGCTAATTGGGGTAACGCAGAATCTCCTGGTCCTCTGTTCTGGGCTCACACTGTCTGAATTAAATCAGAAATTCAGACTCATAATGGCACTGTAATACAATGCACTGACTTCTCTAAATCAAACTCAGTGAATTAAAAGGGAGGCAAAATAAATGAGAAGATAGGAATGCAGCTTTAGGTATAGAAATGATAACCACAGTAAATACTACAACAGAAGCTGCCTCAATTCTTCCATCACCACATTTGCTATTAGTGTTTAACCTGCCTTGAACATTCATTGAATGTAGAGTGATTAAAAAAAAAAAAAGAAACGTTAATTGATCTACTCTGCCCTTGTTACTCCCTAAAATAGTCTCATCTGAAATGTGATGACAGCTTGACCGACTTTGAACAACTTTGGATACTTTATGGGAAATGAACTCTTTCAAGCCCCACTGACTTCTGTTCCTCGGCTCTATGGATGTCACTGCTTTGGTTCTATTACTTCCCAGCACAAGCCAGGGCAGGAGAGTCCTCATCCCAAGGAAGCCAACCAAGTGGAGACAGGGCTGGGCACAGGCAAGCCAGTCTGCATTTACTGAAACAGACTCTTTCGCTATTATGTGTTAAGGAATGGGAAAAGGTGAACAGGTAGAAGTTGCTTTCCGGACTGGATATGAATCAATACTTCTAGGCAGCCACAATAAAATGCTAACTGGAGTTCATAATAAAACCCAGGGGCACTACAAGGTTCCTAAGTGCCTCTGAATTTAAAAAAAGACAAATTGTGTTCACGGTGGTTGTATGCAGAACGTGTTTATTTCAGTCTAAAGATTTTAAACAAAGTAGTCCTCACTTAATATATGATAATAAAAATCTGTTACATAGAATATCTTCTCCATTGATCCTAAAATCTACTGTAACTTTTTTTAAGGTTGAGTACTCCTTATCCAAAATGATTGGGATCAATGATTTCAGATTTTTTAGGATCTTGGAATATCTGCATACACATGGTAAGATATCTTAGAGATGGGACCCAAGTCTCAGCATGACATCCATTTATGTTTCATATACACCTTATACACAAAGCCTGAAGACAATCTGATACAAGACTTTTGATAATTTGGGGCAAGAAACAAAGATTTGATCGCATTTATGACTGAGACCCATCACATGAGGTCAGGTGTGGAATTTTTCGCTTGTGGTATCATGGTGGCACTCAAGAAGTCTCAGATTTTGAAGTACTTCTGGTTTTGGATTTTCCTGTTAGGGATTTCAACCTGCAACTTCCAAAAGCTCTGTTGTTAAGATGAGCATTTCAATTCCACACCAGATTTGCAGTCATAGTTAAAATAATATAGTCTAATAATTGTGAAAACAGCATTTATCAATCTCACTTTATGTCAGGCATTTGTATTCGCTATCCTTCCAATGACTTTTCAAGGTGGGAATTATCATGCCTATTTTACAGGGAAGGAAAACAAAGCTCAGAGTGGTTGACTATCTTGCCCAATGTCACACAGCTTCTAAGTAGGTATCCAAATACTGTGACTGTCTGGAGGTGAAGCTTAAGGGAAAATCAGAGAGAGGAACTTTTCGAAAGAGGACTTTGAGAAAGGAGAGGCATCTGTCTTGGGATGTTAAAAAAATGTGTCAAGAAGCCAGGCATGGGGCAACCGTAGTCCTAGCTATTCAGGAGGCCAAGGTGGGAGGATCTCTTGAGCTCAGAAGTTTGAGGCCAGCACAGGCAACATAGTAAGACTTGGTCTCCAAGAAAAAAAAAAAAAATTGCCAAGAAACTGTGATCCAGGCTGGGCGTGGTGGTTCATGCCTGTAATCCCAGCACTCTGGGAGGCCAAGGTGGGTGGATCACGAGGTCAAGAGATAGAGACCATCCTGGCTAACTCGATGAAACCCCATCTTTACTAAAATTACAAAAAATTAGCCAGGCGTGGTGGCAGGCGCCTGTAGTTCCAGCTACTAGGGAGGCTGAGGCAGGACAATCAGTTGAACCCGGAAGGTGGAGGTTGCAGTGAGCCAAGATGGCACCACCGCATTCCAGCCTGGTGACAGAGCAAGACTCTGTCTCAAAAAAAAAAAAAAAAAAAAGAAACTGTGATCCAAACATCAGACTGTCCATGACTTGAAAAACTCATCACACGCCTCCTTTCCAGTGACACTGCATGTTTTCAAGGACGACACAAAAATCATTCTTCTTTGGCTCTACCATTTGTAGAGTCCCCTCCCCCACTTTTAAGAGCTTTGTGACTGTCAATCAGGTGCTTTTCAAACAATAAACGCTTAAGCAGTGACCTCATGATTAACTCGGTTTCACTACTCAGGCAACCTTTCAAAACAAATGTTAAAGTTAACCGTTCTACAGGCACCAGAACATTAGCTTCTATTTACACACCAATTAAACACATAATTTTTGGTGACTACTTTGTACTAAGCACAGTCTAGGCACTGGGCCTAGGAGGGAGAACAAGACAGACCTGGCCCTTCCCTTTCTGATACTACAGTCTAGCAGGAGATAGAGTAAGACATCAGCAATCAACAAATCCAGAAATAATTAGAGCCACTGTGAAGGAAGCCTCAGCCTTCATTAAAAAAAAGAAAAACTTAACTTCTCATTTTTAACCTACTCTAGATAAGTCCATCAAGGAATTCATCCACGAAGAGGTGACATTTAATTGGAAACCCACAAGTAAAGAAGAAATCAAATAGCCAAGGAGCAGAAAGAAGGTTCAAGAAGATGGAGCACAGAGGCTGAAAAGAAAGCATGAAACAGTGCTTAAGAAATTAACTTATTGAATCGTTAGTGAAACAGAATTGTGTTGTTCAACTAATCCTATGTCTACTTCATTCTTCTTCAACCCTTTTAAGGTAAACAGAAGTACACAGATTACAAATATGCTTTCAATCAAATGACTTAATAAATACAAAATGTGTCATGTTGACAAACAAAAAAAAAAACCTGTAAAAACATTAAGGAATTGATATAATTACCACAGAAAACAAATACCTTGGAGGTGGCCCTTGGTCCTGTCAATGTGTACCATTTTTAAGGTTGTAATGTCATGTGGTTGGCAGAATTCTCAGGTGACCCTTACATTCCTATGCCTGGTATAACACACCCCTTCCCAGAGAGTCAATCGTGCACTAATCCAGGTGCTATGTGAAGGGGTTTTGTGGATGTAATTAAGGTCCCAAATCAGCTGACTTGAAGAAAGGGAGATTATCTGAGTGGGCCTGATGGAATCACATGAACCCTTTCAATTGGAGTTTAGAGCCCAGAGATAGAGGAAGTCAGATTCTGAAGCACAAGAAAGACTGATGTGCCCCTACTGGCTTCACGATGGAAGAGACCATATGGCAAGAAATGTGGGTAGACTCTAGATGCTGAGAGCAGCTGCAGGCTGACAGCCAGCAAGGAAGCAGGGACCTCAGTCCTACAGCCAGAAGGAAATGGATTCTACCAACATCCTGGATGAGCTTAGGAGCAGATTCTTTCCCGGAGCCTCTTGACGAGGAATCAGTGCAGCTTCCACTTGCCTCCCTATTCTCTGAGGAGAGACTCCATTAACAGTGCACCTGGGCTTCTGACCTACAGAACTATGAGCTAATTTGTGGCAATTTGTTATGCAACAACAAAAAACTAACACACGCAGAAAAAGAGATGAAATCACACTGCTTGCATCTAAAGTTTATAAAAGAGTTTCTCTTAATGAGTAAGAACTCAGATGGGAGGGAGGTGGGAAGAGAGATAAGGGGGCAGGAAAGAAAGGGCAGGGCAGGGCAGGGCAGGGCAGGGCTTGCATACTGGTCCCACAAGGAACGACATGGTGACCCAGGGGAGCAATCGCTTCTCCTCTCTGGGCCTCACTTTCCTCATCTGCAAAAAGTTGGCAATAACAATGGGTGGTGGTGAGGGACGTCTTGGGAAAACACTAAGTGAAAACAGTTTGAAAGTTGAAAAGCACAATCCAAGTTATTTTATATTCTTTCCTGGACCATTTTCATTTTTAGCTTCCTTTTCTAATTATTTTGATTACTTATTCTAATAATGATCAGGACACAAATACGGAATTGTCCTTGGCTAGAAAAGAGAAGAAGCATTTTAAGCTATTGTGGATCTTCTTGGCAGACCATGCAAGGGATGTGGGGATACCTCCCTGGGAAAAAGTGAAAGGAGGTCAGCATGAGGTCCCTGGTGAGGAAAACCCTGTCTCTCATCTTCCTTCCCCTCTTTGTTGCACAGTCTTCTGGAAGATGAAGCCAGAGGCCTGCATTTGAATCCTAGCTTCACTCCTGACCTTAGGCAGTGATCGAACCACACTGCACCACAGTTTCCTCATATGTAAAATGGAAATAATAATGACACCACCTCCTAAGGCTGTTGTGAGGAGTAAGTCATTTAAAATACATAAATTAGGCTGGGCACAGTGGCTCACATATGTAATTCCAGTGCTTTGGGAGGCTGAGATGGGAGGATCGCTTGAGCCCAGGAGTTAGAGGCCACCCTGGGCAACATTGCAAGACCCCATCTCTACAAAAAATAAAATAAAATGCATAAAGTACATGTTAAGAGAGTGTCCAGCACTTCATAAGCACCATGTAAGTGTTACGACGATTACTTTTACCACTGCTATGAATAGGAGCTGATTTTTATTTTCCAGAAAATCTGTTGTCCCTCCAAGGGAATTTGGAAGATGGGGCTAAGTAAATATATAAAAATATGTTTATAATACGGCTTTTACTAATGACTTTTCACGTCGCACTATAAAACCCATCTAACCTCTGATGAAAAAGAAAACCCTTCTATACTCATGATTTTTGCCACATAATTTTACTTTTACATGAATAGGAAAAAAAAAAGTATACAAGTCTTAAAACTTTGGCTTACTGCTTTTTAAGAAGTAGTTTGGGCAAAACCAGCAAAGACGATTCCCCTGCTAAAAGAGCCATGAAAGGTAAGAAATTTCAGCAAGAGGGTCAGAGATAAAAGCACTCAGAAAAAGAAGGCAAAAGTAAAACCAGACAAAGGCTGAGTCCACCTCCGGAGCAGAGACCTCTCATCCTCACTAGTGTATGTACTGAACTCTCTGTGGCCTCTTTCTCAGGGCTGGAGAATGAGCAGTGGAATCAGCTCTTCCCAAACCTACAACCCAGCATGCAAGGCAGCCAAAGAACCAGGCAATGAGAGTGGTGCCCTGGGAACCCTGACAGGAGCAAGAAATGTCCAAGACTGGGTGTTGTTCAGAGGTCCCAGTGCGTGTGCTAGAGTCTCCACACCTGAGCTGTAAAGAAAGCATCTCATTCGGCAGGTAAGATGGGTTGGCAGAAAAGTGGGCAGGAGAGGTTCTTGGGCAAAAGGCTGAGCGTGATTGTGCCCTGCTAGAAAATAAAAATGACCACAAGTGTTCGGGACCTGACAGAACGGGCGAGGAGGCTGAGAAGGAACTGGATGAATCACAAGAGATAGGCTGGGCTGTGTAGAGCATGTGCAGCAGTTTGGACTGACACATTGATTTTTGGCAGGGGGGTACAGAGTATGAGTCTCCTCACATGCATGGATGTGTATAATCACCAGCACAGTCGGGATACAGAAGGCCTCCACCACCCCCCAAACTCCCTTGTGCCAACCTGTTGTAATCACACCCTCCTCACCACCCCTGGCCCCGGGCAACCACTGATGGAGTCTCTATCACTGTTTTGTCTTTTCTGAAATGGCATATAAATGGAATCATATAGTGTGTAATCTTTGGAGATTGGCTTTTTTTGACTTAATACCTCTGAGACCATTCTAAGCTGTGGGTCTGTTAAGAGTTCATCCCTTATTCTTGCAGAGTAGGATTCCATTGTACGGAGGTGCCACAGTCTGCTTACGCACATGCCCAGTGAAGCATGTCCAGGTTGTTTCCAGCTTGGGGCAACTATAAATACAGCTTCCACAAACCTTAGCCTATAGGTTTTTGTGTGAACATACGTCCTCACTTCTCTTCAATACATATACAAGAGTATGAGTAACTGTATGTTTATTTTTATTTATTTATTTTTTTTAAAGAAACTGCCCAGGCTGGGCGTGGTGGCTCACACCTGTAATCCCAGGACTTTGGGAGGTCAAGGCAGGTGGATCACCTGAGGTCAGGAGTTAGAGACCAGCCTGGCCAACATAGTGAAGCCCTGTCTCTACTAATAACACAAAAATTAGCTGGGCGTGGTGGCACATGCCTGTAATCCCAGCTACTAGGGAGGCTGAGGCTGAGGCAGAAGAATCGCTTGAACCGGAGGGCAGAGGTTGCAATGAGCTGAGATCGTACCACTGCACTCCAGCCTGGGTGAAAGAGCGAGACTCCATCTCAAAAAAACAAAAACAAAACAAAACAAAAAAAACTGCCCAGCTGTTTTCCAAGGTGGCAGCATCACTTTATATTCCCACCGGCAATGCATGAGAGTTCACTTGCTCCACATCTTCACCCTCACTTAGAATTACCAGTAATTATTTTAGCCATTTTCATAGGTGTATAGTGGTATCGCATCCTATTTTTTTCCCTTTCCCTATAATTTTAAGTTGCATTTCCCTAATGTCTAATGATGTGGAATGACTTTTCATGTGCTTATTTTTGGTCAAGTCTCTTGCCTCTTTTTAAACTGAGTATGTTTGTTTTGTATTATAGAGTTTGGAAGGTTCTTTATATATTCTGTACACGAGTCCCTTGCTGGAGAAATGATTTTAAAACATTTTCTTACAGTCAGTAGCTTGTCTTTAATCAGGGATTGTATCTGCACTTTTGAAAGTTCTTTTACACTATGCTATGGAGAAAAGACAGAAAGGATGTTGGATAGCAGCAACTTACTAGGAAATGAAAAATGCAACCCGGAAGCTGTGGATGGGCCCAGCGTCTTGAGTGCACAGAGAGGGAACAAACAGGATGCTGTCATGGCACAGGGAAGACTGGGAGAAGCAGTCCCTTCAGGGTGATGCTTTTAATGCTGTGACTAATGATGCCACGTAAAGGTGATGTCTTCCCGTCCTCTGTTTTTAGTGCTGCTGAACCATCCCAGGTAATAAATCAAAGAAGCCAGGGTGGCTATTTGTATGGCAAGATAAGGAAAATTAATTTCAATGCCCAAACATGGACCTCCTTATATTAAAAAATGACTTAGCAATACCAGTCCTTTTCATGAGAATGTCTTGGAAAGCCAGCACTTGGAAAACACACACACAGGGCCAATCCACCCTCTGTATTTTCAAGGGAAATACTGTTGTCTCCTGAGATTGGGGGAAGTTAAGGGGGAAGAATACATTATACAATGAAGAGCAAAAAAATAAAAAATAAAAAATAAAAATCTGATTGAACAAAAAATGTTTGTGGACCTTCACAAAAGAGAGGATTATAATAATAAATTGCATGTAGCAGTCACACACTCACTTCTTTTAAAAACCTTCACTATACTTTACAAACTACTCTAATTGTCTCATTGTCTCCGAAATTCAGATACTTTTGAGTTTAAAACGTGTAAAAATATCAACACTAGGACTGTGAACGAGAGCATAACTAACAATAGTGAGACTCTGAGGCAGCAACATGGCTAGAACATAGAATTAATATCTTGGCTGAAACACTAAGCGGAAGACAAAGTGCAAGGAAAGCCTGGAGACTCCTCCTAGTCCCCAGGGGCTGTGCCCTCCTCCCGGCTCTGAGCACAGCGCGGGGAACAATGTTAAGCCATCCATCACCAGCGAGCGCTGCTCTACTTGCTGGCGCCCAGTGAGCAAGGTTACCACCTGTCCAGCTTGCCTTTGAATGGTCCCCCACACAAAGCCCCTCGTGCTCCAAGTTCAAACTAGCATTTACTCTGGATGCCTAAATTACCTGGCGTTTCAGCCAGCATCTGTGCCCTACCTCTAACTTGGAGAAGTCTTAGTTTAACCTTGGATCTACTGACTATATTCTGGGTCTGCACCAAGTAGGCACAATTTTCCTACACAACCCTCTCTTTGCTTCCCTTCTTGCCCCCTATAATCTCTTCCCTGCATAGCAGCCAGAGGAATCTTTTGAAAATGCACATCAGGTCATTTTGTTGCAAAAGATTTTGTGCTCAGGATCAAAGCCACATTCCAAAGCCTGCCTTTCAAAGATGGGGTCTTGTCCACACCTTCCTGTCTACCTTCATCTCATATCACCTTTACAACTGCCATGGTCTTGCTGCTCCAGCCATCTTCATGATCCCCTTCCCTCTCAGGGCTGTTCTTCCGCCATACACACTATTACTTATATCTCAACACAGCTGGAACCCGAAGATGTTAGCTGATCTTATCACCTCAGAGGTAACATCCTCTCCACCATTAATGCCCCCCATCATTCTGTTCCACTGTCCTCTCAGCAATTCCACCATCTAAAAATATTATGCTTATTGATTTACAAATAAGTGTGAAATTTATCTCTCTCTACTGGATTGAAAACTGCCCTGAAAATTTTCTAGTCAGGTTCATCTCTGTCTACAACAATGGCTAAATCAATGTCTTGGTTATATCAACAACCAAATGAATAAATGATCATACCAAGGTAGGGAGGTGCTTCCAAGATCCTAGCCTTATCGGCATTTATTTTTAAAATAGTAAAAAAAAAATTCTCGTCATCTCAGAAGTGGGAATGCATTTTCAAATGTAATTACGAAAAATTTAGGAACCATAAAGAAAACACTTGATAAATAGAATTATGTTAAAACTGAATATGTCTAAAACAGCATAGCAAAGACAAAAGATCGCCAAAACACTAGAGAAATATTTGCGTGTCAGAACCTAGAAAGAAATTATAATTTTTATGGTTCATAAAAATCGCATAAATCAATATGGAAATAAATAAAATCCAATAGAAAATTAGCCAGATAATATGAAAATACAAATGTCGGCCAGGCACGGTGGCTCACGCCTGTAATCCCAGCACTTTGGGAGGCCGAGGCAGGCAGATCACCTGAGGTCAGGAGTTCGAGACCAGCCTGGCCAACATGGCGAAACCTTGTCTCTATTAAAAGTACAAAAATTAGCCGGGCATGGTGACAGGCACCTGTAATCCCAGATACTCAGGAGGCTGAGGCAAGAGAATCACTTGAACCCGGGAGGCGGAGGTTGCAGTGAGCAGAGATCATGCCATTCATTGCACTCCAGCCTGGGCAACAGAACGAGACTCGGTCTCAAAAATAAAAAAAAAACTAATAATAACAACAACAAAAAGTCTCAAACATTTTTAAAAGGTTATTCAATCTCACTCTTAAAGAAAACTTGCATTTGTTTTACTGATTTGTTTTTATTACATTTTTTCTCATTTATTTTTGAGTCTCATACCCAAGAATAAGCATAGGCCCCTGAATGACAGGCAAAAACTGAAGCATACTAAGGCAAAGTAATTTAAATGCATTACTGTCTTCTTCCTTTGACATATACTTATTGCTTAAGTGATTATGAGCACTAGCCTCAGTTTATTTATCTGTTAAATGGGAATATAGAACTGTCCTTAATTTATGACAATTTGGTGAGAATACATATAAAGCACCATTGAATCTATGGTTATCTTTTATTATTATGCCAGGTAATGGGAGGGTCACCAAACTAGAGCAAATGGAAATCCTGCTTTTCCAGTCCAGCAGGAAGGCAGACATGGGTGAAGCACTCTACTCAAAAGAGAAGGTGGTATATCTATAGTACTAGGAGTAAAGATAAATTGCTACATGAGTTCAAAAAGGAGGCAAGGGCACTTCCAGTTCAGGATGTCAAAGATTTCCTAGAGGAACTGGTGTTTAAACCAGAGCTTGAAGGGTAAAGACAATTTGGATAGGCCTCAGACAACGTGCTTGTACAGTTAGTCAATAATAGTTCTTCTGCAATTATTAGGCCAGGTTCTGTGTCAGGCGCTGAAGACAAAGTAGAAGAGAACACAGACAGCCTCTACTCTTGGGGCATTCTGAGTGTAGTGGGAAAGAGAGTTTAAGTACGTTTAAGAAGTAAAGCAATAACAGGCAGAAGGGTTGCCTGTCTGCGTGGGCTATGGGAGGAAAGGCAAGTTATAAGTAATGAACAGTTCTTGGATTGAGAGGCAGGGTATTCATAAATGTTTCTTACATTATGCTTTATAATTCACCAGCACATTGTATATTGTATTTAATAGAGTCTAAAGTACATTGTTTTTTTCTTTCCATTTTAACATCTCTAAAATTGGGATGCCTCTTAAAAGACATGGGATAAGAAAGCATTATGTGCTAACTAGCTTGGCTGCATTTTTACTTTATTACTGGTTTATAAGATAAAGGGCCTACAGAAGGCCCAATGAAATACGGCATATTCTTTTTTATGTATCAAGTATTTTTTAGAAAGATATAAAAATATTTTTTAAAACTACATTTATGCCTTTTATCAGTCAAATAAGCTCAGTATTATTTTGTTTGCTATTAAAAAAAGACAGATATGGAAGGTATAGCCGATAAATACATAGATGAATTATGCCTCCATCTAATTCAGCTCGTGATGTAAAATCAGATTCTGTTAAAACTAAATGCATGACTTCAACTCTGTTTTCATCCATATATGCAATCAATGCATGTTTTCATTCTTCTCTTTCATTCTCTCCTCTCCCTTTTCTTATTCTTGGTGGGAAGGAGAGAAGGGAATGCGACAGGATTGGAAATCATTTAGCAATAAAAGCAGCCATGAGAATTTACTAAAATAATTATCAACATCCATAACAATGCAAATATTTTAGTCCCTGACTAATCCAGGTATCTGGATCATCTTGATACACAGTCTAATTTTGAAAAATAATTTGGTTCCACAAAAATCAGAGCTGCAATCCATTTGGAAGTGTTTGGTTGGCAGTCTAATAGCAGGAAATGATTTTGCTAAAGCCATGGCAATTGCTTGACGCAGATTCTGATGCTCAGACTATTCTTCCTTCTTTTCCTCTCTCCCCACCCAATTTCCAAAGGAAAGCCACAAATCGGCTCTGCTGTGAGATAAGGGCGAAATCAACGAGTACTAGGGAGGATGCTATTTGGATGGAGTGGGATGCCCTGGCAGTGGCAATGCATGCATCTCTATTTTCCTTTAAAGAGCAATTATGGTTTAATATGGTAAAATTATATCATTAAACCTACTCAACTGGAATAAATTCTCCTTCTGATATGCATTTAGAAAGGCAGTTCATATTCTACCCCTAGAATATATCTATTACATTTTTGTGTCTATCCGCCACTTCTCTTTTTACCATGATACTTGAGATAAGTTTCAGACAGTCTGGCAGGAGGTGAAAAAAACACAACAACCCTGAAACTCGATACTTATCTTACTCATCGAGACCTTTTTGATCTCTGTGAGTGAAAATTAATCCTTAACACCCTCCAACTTCCCAAAGCACAAATTTCTAACATCTTTTTACATTCTCTACAACAGCCATTACTTATTATTATTACTAGAATTTCCCCTTTGTTAAAAAAAAGCACTCTAATTTAAATTAATGAGTTAAGTTTACACTCAAATGCAGAACTGTCACATGCTTATTTTCCAGTTATGAATCTTTACCGCAAGCAGATTAGAAGTATCGCTTGTAATAGAGTTTTCCTCTAGTTCAACGTTAAGTATGTGGCATGGCGGTGTTTTGTTGTCTACCCCGTTACGGTCTCTTTTTTCCTCTTTTCGTATTCCCCAGGATACTGGCCCTGTGAAGCCAGTTGCCATGTCCCCATCTTTCAACTTCCTAGATTGTAAGATATTTGGAATACTGGAAAGACAAAGGGAAGGCATATGGGGGTCAAGAGTAGGCTCCAAGTCTGAAAATTATCGCCAATATTCCAGCTGCTTACCTTACTGGTTTAAGAGCACTGGCTTTAGCACCTACCACACCTGTGCAAATTCCTTCTTAGCCCCTTGTTACCATGTAACAAAGAGCCAGTTATTTAACTCATCTGAGTCTCAGCCTTCTCAACTGTGAAATGGGAATACTGCTACCTGGGAGCACAGACTTATTTGAGAGATTAATATAGCCAAGTTCTTGCAAGGTACACGTCATGAGTGGACATTCATGCTGTATTTTATTGATCTTCTTTTGCGAAGACCCGGACTCTCACCCATATAAGTTAAATTGGCAGCTTTCACTACGCGCGTCAGGATTTATATAATAGGAACACTGCCTAGTTCAATGTGGGAACAAAGTTGTATTGGGGGAGCACTTATGATTGTGGGGAAACAGGACAAAGAGATTCTGAATGCTGCTCATCTGCCTGCCTGCCCAAAGACCACTAAATGTGTCCCTTCCTTCTTTTTTATTAAGGAGTTTGTAAAAGTAACCACTTGGGAAGAAACACGAAGGAACATTTCAAGGG
This sequence comes from Homo sapiens, assembly GCF_000001405.40. Lineage (NCBI taxonomy): Eukaryota > Metazoa > Chordata > Mammalia > Primates > Hominidae > Homo > Homo sapiens. The sequence goes on from NC_000003.12 coordinate 71,151,556, forward strand.
CAAGGGATATAGCCACCTCTGCACTAGATAGAAAGACACAGGTGTGAAGTCCAGTAGTTTGGCAAAATGAACTCCCTTTAGTCGAGAGGATGCATGTCTAAAACATTTTTTTTTTTTTTTTTGCACAAAGTTAATGAAATAATTATTTTTTGGTCATACCTTGCACGGAAAATCTGCCAATAGCATTTGACATTTAGACCCACTAGGCATCTTAAGTAGCCTGCTACTCACAAGACCTACCTTTTCCCACTGCCCTATTTTACAAACACTCTTAGCTCTGTCTCCTGCTCTCCTCTCCTCCAGGAAGCTGGAGAACAATCCACGAACAGTAGTGACTAAGATGGCCCCTAATGACCATATGCTTGTATTATGGCCTTCCCTTGAGTATGGGCAGGATCCATGAATGGGATGGAATACATTCCTTTGATTAAGTTATGCTGTGTGGCAAAAGAGATTTTGCAGGTATAAAGTCCCTAATCAGTTGACTCTGAGTTAATCAAAAGAGAGCTTTTCCTCTGTGGGCCTGGCCTAATTAGGTGAGCCCCTTCAAAGAGGGTCGGAGGCTGTTCCTGAAGACAGAGATTCTTTGGTTGGGTTTTGAAGAAGCAAAGGGCTGTGTTGTGGAGAGGGCCACACATAGGAAACAGTGGGTGGTCTCCATGAGCTTGCAGCCTCAGTGCTCTCCCTGCATGAATTGAATTCCACCAACAGTTAGTGAGTTTGGAAGGGGATCCCAAGCCTCAGGTGGGACCATAATCAGGCTGACCCCCTGAGTACAGATTTGTGAGACTCTGAGCAGAGAACTCAGGAAAACCAGGCCTGGCCTCCACAGAAACTGTGGAATGACAGATATGTGTTGTTTGAAGCTATTAAGTTTGTGGTAATTTATTACGCAGCAATGGAAAATGAATTCACACACCTGTGAAACCTTGCATAGTATATGAATGGGTTCCCCCAGAGGTGGGCTGAGCCCCACCTGAAACCGCTTTGTGGAGGAGGCCCCCAGCGTGTGGGGGACAGCTGTGGCTCTGACCCCCACACAGACCTGCTCCTGTGCCCTAGGTCTGTGACTTACTAGTTCTATGACCTTGAGGAAGTAACCTGACTCTCTGAGGCTCTGTTTCCTTATCTGAAAAATGGGTATAACACCAGTGCTTACCCCACAGAGCTGTGGCAGAGATTAAAAGAGACAACACTCAGAAGGCAGTGAACCCAGGGCCTGGCACACAACTCACAGTGATAGAAGTTAGCTTTGGTATTATTGAAATACACATTCCTGTTCACTGGCCTCAGTTTACCTATTTCCAACAACAAAAAGGGTGGAGTGGAAAGGTTCTGAGCTGCCTTCCCATTCTGACGCACTTACAGAGTCTTTGCTTAATAACTCGGCAAGTCCTTGACAAACTTTCCATCCCTTCCCCACCCATGTGTACGGCAGGCACTCCCAAGTCACCAGCTTCCAGAGCCCCACGCTGGTCCATCTAAAGCCAGAATGCTGAACTTTGTGACTGAGTGCTTGCAACTGTTGTCACTATTCAGATAAGCACATCCTGCTTTCTGTTTACCGACCAGTTAAAGGCACAGAGGGGTACCCGGCAATTGTGCGGCACTTGGTGAAGGCGCCTCCCACACACCTGTGTCTCCCAACCCACCCAGCTCCTGCAGCCCTCTCAGGAGCAGAGCTCAGGCTAGTGAATATACCAGCAGGAATACCCCAGTGAGATGGGGAGAAGTGGCTAAAAGTTACTAGAATGCTGTCGCTGCCAAGTTTTATTTTAGCCCTCATCAATCCAAACCTTTATTCCTGAATTAAGTATTCTCCAGGGACGTTTCCAGGTTTGCAGCTATTTCCTCCTAATGATTCTAGCCCAGCACCAAGCACATTTCAACTTTCTAAATGACTGGAAGGCTTTGAACGTTGACCACAGGCTGCCCCCACTGCCCCCCGCAATCATCTTGACCCCACCTAAGAATTAGTACCATGCTTGAGAAAAAAAAAAAAAAAAGCTATTAATACATCAATGCCTTCTAATCCTCTTGGTTAAACATGAAATGACAACTGAAGATACACATCATGGAATGGCCCTGTTGTATCTGCTGGGGTGTATGTAGGTGTGTCACATTAACCTAAAGAGGTGGATTCCAGCTTAACAAAATAAATCCACTCAAAGCTCCACTCTGATCAAAGGGAATTATTCTAAGAGACAATCATACCTGATGAGATAGCACCTCCACATCACAAGTCAGACAACCTAATGGAATAAATGACAGTAAATTGTAAATACTGTATACTTTCCTTTCTAAAGGTGTGTTTTCAGAGGTACGGCAATAAACATTAATGAATAACATTTATTGGGCCCCTACTATACACATATGACACGTAGCATACTAGGTCCATAGTGATTATGTACAATTGACACAAGGCCCTCAAACACAAAGCAAACATTTATTGTGGTCTAGATATTGTGTAATCTATTTGTTCTCATATAACTCTATGGAATTTTGTTTTTCCCCTTTGCATTCTTCTTCTTCTTCTTCTTCTTTTTTTTTGCAATTGACTAATAATAATTGAATGTATTTATGAAATATAATGTGATATTTTGAGAAAAATTAAATTAAGCTAGTTAATATATCCATCACCTCACCTACTTATCATTTTTTTGTGTGTGTGGGTGTGGTGAGAACATTTGAAATCTCCTCTTTCAGCAATTTTGAAATATATAATACATTATTATTAACTGCGGTCACCATGCTGCACAACAATTTACTAAAACTTCTTCCACCTCTATCCTGGAATTTCTTAAGACTGATTCAGACTGTAATGTGCCTGGGAATCAACGTATTCCTTAAGGAAAACTCTAAAACCATGACATATTTAAGCCTACTGTATGAATTAGAAAAAGCATTCTAAGAGGAAGTATCTCACATATACACTGTCAAATCACAAGAATAGATGTCCATGAAAGCCAGGATTCCTGTTAGTATTCATTCACTGTTGGTTCTTTGGTTCCGTCTTCTCCTCACTGGTGGACAATATTGGGCGGAGGCAAAGAACACGGCTCTAGAGCTGGACTGCCCGGGCTCAATGCTTCGCTGTGTGACCTTGGGCAAGTCACCTAACCTTGCGGTGCCTCAGTCACTGCAGCTATTAAATAGAGATAAAACTAGGTTTTTCCTTTTGGGATTGTTGTGAGGATAAAGTAAGACAGTTCCTGAAAAGCACACTGCCTGGTTCCCCATGGCTCTCAGGGAACATTAGCTGTCCCAATTCCATTACTAGCAGCTGGAAGACAACATAACAGGAGCCAAAGGGTGGGTTGTTTGTTTTTTTAACATTTGCAATAAGATTTCAAAATAGAAAATTTGAATTTGTCAATCTGGGGAAAATACAATCATTTAATTATAGTAATAAAATGTCTCATAATATTACTGAAAAAATCACTGCATTGTCTCTTGCCTAACCACAGTGAGGTCAGAGGGATATTATTTCTTTTACACAGTGGAGGAACTTAAGATTCAGAGAATTTAAGATGCTGAGAGGCAAGCCACAAACAAACAATTGAGATTGAAACTCAGGTTTGTCTCAGTCCAAGGTTTGTCTCAGATATGCCATGTCTATATCATGACATGTATTTTTAAAGGTAACCAGGGAACCAAAGGGAAGGCCTAGAAAATACATATAAACCAAGCAGTGCTCGGGTGCCCTCTGAAACACAATCTTACATTTATGCCTTTAGTATAGTGCTGTCCAAGAGCAATATAATGTAAGCAACATACAGAATTTTAAATTTTTAGTAGCTGCACTTAAAAATGGTAAAAGATAACAAGTAAAATTAATGTATGTATAATCAACATAAAATTGTCAATGGGCTATTTTGCTCTTTCAAAATACTAAGTTTACTAAGTCTTTAAAATCCAGTTTGTATTTTCCACATCTCCATTTAGATTACCCATATTTCAAGTGCTCAAGAGCCCCATGGGACCAGTAGCCACCATACTGGGTAGTACAGTGGTCACAGCTCTTTGCAATGACCACTCATGCTAAACAGCACTGAAAGAAATCATTAGTGTCATTTGAAAGCAACATCTAAGTTTTCACCTGGCAGACCCAGGATTTAGATACAACCCAAGCCATTTGTGTTTCTTCCCCTCAGCTACAATCTAACATCACATTCTTAGTTACAAAGACTTGATACGCTCACTTCTAGTGCAGAACATTCAGCCCTCATTCAGGATACTGTATCCTGCTCAACTCCATGCATACATTCCTTCTTGAAATCAGTGAAAACTCCACATGTGAAACAGAACTGAAACAGACAAGACAGCCCCGCAGTGCAGGTAAACATGAAGCCAATGGGTGGTTTTTCTCCCCTTGTGCTTTGGACAATCAAGGAAAACAAGCCCTTATTTGCTAAATAAAAATGGCTTGGCCATGAACTTCTTTGGTAAGGGAGGTAGGGCTCAGTTGGGGTTCTCACTGATTGCCTGTCTGACAGCAATCTCTCCTGCAGGGAGGACACAGCCCAGAGATGAACACTTAATTGAGAGAGAAATCAGGAGGACTGCTGAACGACTGAGTGATCTTTCAGAGCAAAGCATCACAAGGAAAAGGGAACCAGCTCCAGGGGGAGGGGGGGTGAAAGTTTTCAAGAGAAGGTGAGTAACCTGGGGATCCCATGATGCATGGCTCTGGGAATGAAGGATGGGTCCTCTTCCTCATTCCTGCTCTCTTACCTTCTTCCCTGTATCACTTTCTTTCATCATGCACTCAGCACCTACTCAGCATCTAGCACTGAACACAGAGAGGTAAATACAACATTGCCAGCCTCAAAGGCCTTAATTCAGCCATTAACTACAACCCAGCAGCATTTGTGCTTCAATGGAGGGGTGCACCAAACAGGAGGAGAGGGGAAAGCCTTTCCAAAAATGAAAGAATTTAAATGAGCCTGGGAGGGGGGGAAAAGAGTGAGCAAAGAGAAAGGTATTTTGCAGAATGAGGCTAGCATTTGCAAAGGCACAGAGGTGTCAGAAGCCTGGAGAGTTCAGGGTCCTGCCAGAATTTGGGCTTGGAATGGTGCAGGGGAAAACAGAGGATAAGCTCTTTTCTAATGGGCAGAGGCCATAGCATGAGTGGTAATTCAACATCATCCAAAGGAACTTGATTTTAGTGCCCAAAGGCTAGTTGGACATCTAGAATTTTTGAAATGGGCAAAAAAGAAGACAAAATCTCTATGATTCTGACATGCTTCCATACACAGCAAGGAGTCCAGGAGATAAAAGGAAGGAAGGTGGGCCTCCTAGGCTGCTCAGGTCCAGCACACCTGGGCAACCATTGGTCCTGCCTGCCACACTGGGCCAGGCTGGCTAATCAGGACTGAAAAGCTGGTGAACAGTGCATGTCCTGACCACGAGGTGACTAAAGAAAAGCCAGTTTCAAGGCCTAGTAAAAAGAAAGACTGCCTGGTTCAGAGGGTACAGGAAAAGCACAAGAGAGTGGAGGAGCATACACTTCCAATGCAGAGAAGCAAAGCAGATGATGCCACCTCAGGTTAATTAAATCAAGTGGCTTCAGGTCTGGATCTAACCTTGGCGGCAAACCACCAGGAGAATGTTGATAGGACAACCAAACAGGTATAGATTTTCAAACATGTTTTTGGAGTGTTGGAACACAGAACGAAAAGAGACTGCTGAGAAGGTTCAGGAGAGGGAGGGGATGGAGGAGAGAATAACACAGAAAGGACTTCTCAATCTTGAATGCCTCCAAATTTGGAATGCCTTTTTAAAAATAGTCTTTTGGATCCAAGAACAAAATCACACCAAAATATTAAAAAGATAAGGCAGTGTGAAAAAGTTTACTCCTGAAATGACTCTTAAATACAAATTGGAATGTTACCGACATACCTGCCCCACAAAAAGGTGAAAATTAAAGTCAAATCATTAAATCTGAATATGGTTGTAAAGGTGAAGAGTTGTAGAGATTTATATAACTTTTAGAACACATCCTTTAACCTATTGATTAAATAGGAGAGGAAAGGAATGCCAGTAATATCCAGTGTACTGCCAAATGTCACACTGTGAACCCACAGCATTAAGTATGTAAATCTTCTGATACCAGGTTGTTCCTTCACTTCTTTTCTGGCCTTTCATGAAGAAATCTTTGCTAGTTAGAGGCTAGTGATACAAAGTTGGGCTAAGAAGCTAGTCAAGGTGCCTGTCCTCATGAAGCTTCTATTCTAAAGTGTGGAGGGAGGCCAGGAGTAGTGGCTCATGCCTATAATCCCAGCACTCTGGGAGGCTGAGGCAAGCAGGTCACCTCAGGTCAGGAGTTTGAGACCAGCCAGGCCAACATGGTGAAACCTCATCTCTATCAGAAGATACAAAAATTAGCCTGGTGTGGTGGTGTGTGCCTGTAGTCCCAGCTACTGGGGAGGCTGAGGCGGGAGGATCGCTTGAGCTTGGAGGGCAGAGGTTACAGTGAGCCAAGATTGCACCACTGCACTCCAGCCTGGGTGGGAGGGTAAGACGAAAGAAGGAAGGAAGGAAGGAAGGAAGGGAGGGAGGGAGGGAGGGAGGGAGGGAGGGAGGCAGGGAAGGAGGGAGGGAGGCAGGGAAGGAAGGAAGGAGGGAAGGAGGGAGGGAAAGAAAGAAAGGGAAAGAAAGAAAAAAGAAAGACAGAAGAGAGACAGAAAGAGTGAGTGAGTGCCTGAAGGGGAGAAGTCAGGTAGTAGATCAATAAATAAAAGTGGTAACTGCAGAGCCTGAGCTTGTTAGAAGACACAAGTAGATGATATAATAAATAGTGCCCAGGGAATGTTACCCACTTACCTGCAGAAAGGGAAAGACAAGTTGCAGACAAAGTTAGGAGGCCCCTGAGCTGTCCCTCTGAGGCACTCATCCTAAGGTATGGATGACAAAGACACTGCCATTTAGGCAGGGGTGAGCAGGGATCATGAAACCAATGAGAGCTCAGTAATCAAAGCATGTTCCCTTTTCACTGTCTGCTGAATGCTCTGCTCTAAAACTTTTCATATATGGTACAGGCAACAGAGAAAGTCTTCATGTAAATAACATAACAGAAGTAAACTAAAAGGACTCCAAATTAACATACAGATAAACACAGACTGAAAGGTAAAGTCATTTGACCTCTGGAATTCTCTTTCAGCCCACAGACCAAAAAAAAAAAAAAAAAAAGGTAAATGGTGATCACAAATCCTGATATGTTACGTTGTCAAAGGTTGGCTTGAATGTGGAAATAAACAGTTGAAAAGGGCCAAGCAAGGTGGCTCATGCCTGTAATCCCAGCACTTTGGGGGGCCAAGGTGGGTCATCACTTGAGCCCAGGAGTTCGAGACCAGCCTGGACAACATAGGGAGACCCCTACCTCTACAAACAATACAAAAATGATCTGGGCAAGATGGCGCATGCCTTTGGTCCCAAATACTCTGGAGGCTGAGGTAGGAGAATCCCTGGAGCCCAGGAGGTCGAGGTGCAGTAAGCCATGATTGCAACACTGCACTTCAGCTTAGGTGACAGGGCGGAACCCTATCTCAAAAAAAAAAAAAAAAAAAAAAAGTTGAAAAGTACTTCAAAATTAAAAGAAAAACAACGCATGAAAATCAGCAGAAACTGAGAGTAATGTATAAAGGACCTGCTTCCTGATTTCACGTTTTTAGAAAACTGTAAAAGATTGGAGAGAATCCAGAGAAGGGCAAGTAAAATGATTAAGAGGATGGAAAATGGAGCCTCCGAGGAAAGGTTAAAAGGGTTATGATGGTTTAGCCTGAAAAAGAGAAGGCTAAGGGGTGACTTAATAACTGCCTTCAAGTATATGACAGGTTATTACAAAGGAGATGCCAACAAGTTATTTTCTATAACAAGAGAGGACAGAGGAAATTGCCTTAAATTGCAGCAGAAGAAAGAGAGCTAGCAAGTGAATTGAGTAAGATTCAAGAGTAAGTTCCTTGACCGGACCCAGCTTCATCAAGGGAGGCTGGCGAATTTCTCTTCCTGGAGAGCTTTTTACACAAATAACCCATTCTCTTTGATTATAAATAGCCCTTACTGGGTACAGTGAGGTGGAGTTGAGACCAACTGACCTTCAGCAGTCCTTTCTATGATATTTCAACTTTTGGTTCATAAATGCAGGAAGGCTTTACTAATATTCCATTTCCTACCTTACAAGAGGTTTAAAAAAAATCAAGATCTAGGAAGATCCACACACAATGGGTTTATCAATGATAATACTTTATAACACAATAAAATGGATGCAACTTTTCCACTGATTTTTTATGACAATAAACATAAGCAAAAGAAGAACTAATTAACACAGTTACGCTCATAAGAAAAATTAGCCCAAATGTAAGACAGCCACAGGTCCTGATTCTGCTGAATTACAGATTAAGTGTAGAACTGTCATGCACATGTGCTAAATTCAAGCTGAACACAAGGATTCTGTTCACTTCCTTCAAGAAGAGGCATTTACTGCAGAAGGCTCAAGAACCAATAAAAAAGGTAATTTCGCAGTATCTCCACTGTGTCCCAATCAACCAAAGGGCCGAAGGCAGCTCCATCCTCACCACGCTGTTCTTGCCACCCGGCTGGTTTTCAATTGACACTGCCGTGTATGTATTTCTTTTTTTTTTCCCCAACTTGGGCCTATTGGGGTTTTGTAAAACACTGCAACTCCACACTAGCCTGTTGGTCTCTGTTTGGGCTGTGGTCAAAGGTAAAGGATGATTTACACTCCTAGAGATAACTGGTCTCAGCATTGGCTCTAGGTGGAGGTGAGGATTCTAAATGCAAGAGAAAATTTAAGGTAAGAGGGAGCTGGTCAGGTACTGGGAAAACTTTGGCCACTGGGTTGTTTATCTGTGGTCCTGAAAAGTGATCCTGAAGAGCAAATGCTGATAATCTTGTGAAAATCAAGTGATAAACCACTGTTGGCGTTAAGTGAAAACAGATATTTCCACTTGAGTTCCAGAGAATTCTAAAACCCTACTACCCCAAATGGTAGCAACTAGCCACATGTGGCTATTTAAATTAATTAATTACAATTAAATAAGAATAAAGAAGTCAGTTCCTCAGTTGCACTCACATTTCAGGTGCTCCATAGCTACATTGGCTAGTGGTTACCTCATGGGACTGCACAGATAAATCAACAATTCCATGACCAATGCACAGCATTTTATTGGGCATCTGTTCTAGAATACTGAAGGCTGAGACTTGAAAAATCAGCCAGATAATTAATACAAATGTAGAAACGAAGGCCTCCACAGAGAATGTTACTTGCTCAAATAGTTAATGATCATCTTTCCCCCAACCTCATACCAATGTAGATTGAACTACAGAAGCCTGAGAGAGGTCAGAAGTCACTGAGTCATGGGGGCCTTAGGAAAGACCAAAGACGGGAGTGACTGAACTTAAGGAATTTCCCAGGTACAAAGCATAGAGTATAAACATATTCTAGGAGTAAGATATAGCATAAGCAAAGAGAAGCACTAATCATTTTTGTGGGTTTCTGAGTCACACGTGCCTGACATTTTAGAAGGTCTAAGAAAATGTAGAATAAGAATGGGAGGATAAATTGAGGCTTGCTTTCCAAGGTTCCCGCTTCAGTTCCCTATTCCTTTGTAACAAACTATCCTAAAACGCAGAAGGCTTAAAATAACAATTTGTTTTTTCTCAAAATTCTGGGGATTGGCTGGGCTCAGCTAGGCGATTCTTTGGTTGGGGTAATTTATGCAGCTGCATTCAGCTGGTAGCTCATCTGGGCCTCCAAGATGTGGGTACTTCAGTTCTTCCTGTCTGTCTCTTTCTCTTTCTCATCCTCCCTCCTCTCTCTCCACGTGACCTCTCATCATTCAGCCATTTGGCCCAAGCTTCCTGACACAGCAGTGGCAAGCATGTTCCTACAGAACAAAGAGAAAGCCACCAGGCTTGGAACTGGCACAGTGTCACTTCCACTGCATTCTACTGCCCAAAGCAAGTGAAAAGCGCAGCTGCCCAGAGTAAATGTGAGAAGGCACTTAGACTCTACCTCTTGAAGAAAGGAATGGAAAAGAATGTGTGGCCACTTTTAATCCACCTGATTCCCTGCATGTCAAGCAAGAGAATTTAAGCTCAATTTCCTAAGAAACAGGGAGCAAGACAATGATGCCATCAGAGTTGTGCTTTACAGAGAATAACCAAATTTTGATGAGTGGGATGAACAAAAACAGTGGATACAGAGATCTGTTAAGTGGTTATAATTTTAGCATCACTTAACAACACATTCAGATGTCCTTAGAGGGAATGGGGAAGTCACAAGAACCACTACATAGATAAAAATCAACAGTGATGAGCACCTATAACTGAAGGCACTGGAGAGAAACTGAGCCAACATTCCACATCACAGCAACTAAAAGAAGGATGCATTATTCACCCAAAAGGGAAAAGCTCCCTTAGTATAGATAAGTTTCAGTTCTGGACCAATTGAGGAAAAATCCCTACCCGCAGTTTATGTGCAGAGTCAAAAAGAATAATGATAGCCACAGGCCAATCGAAGTAGACACCAAGCATACAGCCAGATGTACCTTAAGTGCTTTTTAACCTGGTTTCAATCATCACTTACAATTTTTTAAAATTCTGCTGAACAGGTAGCTCCTCTGAATTAGAAAGTTAAACAGCATTTACCATTAGCAAGCCATTATTTGGAGAGCTGAAACCATATACTAAATTACAGGGTATAAGAGATGCTTAGCTAACTGAAACCTGGCCAAAATACTAGGACAAATGCAACTAAATACTAGCCCAGAATTCTGATTAACCACTGCTTCCCACAGCCTTTGTTCATACATCTCTACTGATATAAGCATTGTCCATATGATCCTTTTAGAAGTTTTATTCTGACTGAAGGGGGAGCCAGTACCATTAAGACATCCAATGTTAAGATGGTTAAGACTTTTTGAATAACTGCCCATTCCAATCCAATATCTATTGGGTTCCTACTATTTGTCAAGCACCAAGGATATAGCAGAGAACGTCATAAACAAGGTCCCCACCTTATTGGAACTTACATTCAGTGGCAAAAGTCAAACTGATAGAGACAGGAGGCACAGAAACTTAGACAGGGGCAGGTGTCTGGTGAAGCCCCACCCATTGTTACTTGCCAACATGTGGAAAAAGAACCCAAAAAGCTTCCTTTGGAACATAGTACCCCTTTATCCACATATGTTAATTAATCAAAGCCCACAGATTAATGAGGTAGGAGACCTTGTCTACTGATAGTCTAGCTACTGGGTACTTGAGTTGAAGGCTGATCTCTTCATTTTTATTTTTTACATTTGATAAAATCTTCCCGGTAGCATTTATTATTCCAGTTACGGCTGTCATCATTTTTCCAAGTACCATCATATGTCTTTCCCCATTAGAAGATGTATCAATGCAACAGAAAGAAACTGAAAAAAGCAAGCTGGTGTTCCATCTAAAATGTGTTTTCTGTAATTATATGCACAAACAAATACAAACTAGAAAGAAAACGGACTTTGAGTTAGAGAACTTTGACGGTAACTAGGATTGGTTTCAACCAAAACGATGCACGTGAATAACAGTTAAATTAGTGGATCTGCTTCCCAAATCTTTTTTTCCAGGCACATCCAGGGTATGTCTTTAACAGTCCTGATACTTCAATGAAAAATTGAGGTGCCAATGATTTATAGGTGAAATTAATGTTAAATACTTCAAAGGAGTGGACAAATAAGTCAGCAGCAAAAATTTTATGAGTTCACTTCCTTCAAGGGAACTTAGAGAGCGGGATTTTATTGCTGTGAATTCTGGTCACCCTTTCTACCCCTCAGCATCTGTTTGAAATATGTAGTAGACAATTGCTTTTTTGGCTGTGACTCAGGTGGTGGAAACACAGGACAAACAGACTACTGTATATAAGCTTTCCTCCAGCACTGAAAAATTTTATTAACTCTCTTGCATAGCAAACGTGGCGGCTGCTCAGTGCCCAATCTCTGCAGCATTATCAAGGAATTTGGCTAATTATGAATCGTGCTGGCCAAGCAAGAGGTGACCATGTTGAAACTTGTCAACTCGATATTTTCTCACATTTCAGAACAAGCAGGGAAACAACAACAACAACAAAACCTTATATTCTGTTTAGTTCATCATTCCTATGTGTAAAATTCCAAGTTAAATATTACATGTGAGCTTGCTACATAAATATGTCAGTCTTGCCACCGAGGCCAGCCAAAACAAACAGTTTCAAGCAGTCCCACAGTTTAGAGCGGTAGAGTTTTCATAGAAGCCATGCACTTGCCCCCTTTTAATCAGTTTTTTAAATTTTTCTCCCATGACAATAGAAAAGTTAGAAAGTAGTCCACAGAGAGTGTGGAGAAAGGGCTTGCTCTCCTTCACAATGGCGACTGTGAGAAGATCAAGGGCTGAATGTCTGCCTGGCAGAACATGAGTCTGTCTGTAAAATTCTGCACAGACGAAAGCTCAATCCCATGCCATCAGTCCAATCCCCAAATAAAGAAACAGAGTTGGTTCCAAAGTAATGAGTAGCCTATATAATCAGATGGTTTCTCTTCCATGTTAGGGCTAGAAATAAACATGGATGCTACCTACAACTTAGACTGCTGTACTTATTTATTTATTTTTATTTTTTATTTTTTTTTGAAACAGAGTCTTGCTCAGTCGCCCAGGCTGGAGTGCAGTGGCGCAATCTCGGCTCACTGCAAGCTCCGCCTCCCGGGTTCATGCCATTCTCCTGCCTCAGCCTCCGGAGTAGCTGGGACTACAGGCGCCCGCCACCACGCCCGGAGAATTTTTTGTATTTTTAGTGGAGACAGGTTTTCACCATGTTAGCCAGGATGGTCTCGATCTCCTGACCTCGTGATCTGCCCGCCTCGGCCTCGCAAAGTGCTGGGATTATAGGCGTGAGGCACAGCGCCCGGTCCCGACTGCTCTATTTAAAGTAATGAAAGCACAGTTGGCTCCAAAGGAGAAAACACATTGCTAGAAACAGTGAATGGAATTTGAACAGAAACTTCCCAATATTAATTCCCAGAGACTAATACATTTTTATAGAAAGTCTATTCACAAAAGGGGAAAGATTATTTTCACCAAAATCTTGTAGCTAATCTCTTCACGTGTACACATTTTTTAGAGACCTGTTTTATGTTTTCTTATAATAAATCTATTGACCATTTTTTCAATGAATAAAGCTTACTTTCTCCCTTCATTCGGAAACTAAGAAATGTTTTATCATACAACCAACAGCAAACTTTCTTTGAACTTCAAATCCAATGTCCCCCCTCTTCCTACATTCCAGCGCATTATACTTGAAATTATTTGCCTCCAAAGTTATAAAGAAAAAAGAGAGTAGTTAAGATGACCAGAGTTACAACTGTTATTTTCTTCCTTAAACCAATTTACATAGCCCTTAAACAAATTTACATAGCCTTTTTCCTAGCTATCCCAAAATGTAGATTCTTCAAGGAATATTTCAGGCATTTAAACGGAAAGTGAACTCCCATGAATTTTGGCAAAAATAATGGAAACAAGGACTGAAACAAAAATATCCAATAAAACACTTTCTCTTTCCTGAAAGGGATGGAAAGGAAATAAAACACACCCTGAAAAGAAGATGATTTTATAAAACGTTACTAGGAATAGCTTTTACCAAATTGAAAGCTATTTTTTTGTAAAAAAAAAAAAAAAAAAAATCAAAACCTGTTTCCCAGAATGACTTCTCTAAAATCATCAGCAGCTCACGAATGTTTTTGTGTTTAATGAACGTTTACCTCATTTAAGCTTTCTTTATATTCAAAAAATTAAGGAGACCAATTCTGCCAAAAGGCATTTTTAATCATTTCGAATAAAAAACAAGTCAGTCACAAAGGACTAACCAGACATTTCAAAAGTGGTAATAATTTTTTCTTAGGTGTGAGAGCTGGTTTCGCTATATAAAAATTTCTATTGAAATGTTTGTTTTAACTAATGTATACCTTCCTTCCATGGGAGAAATTTCTTCGAAGACAGAAGTTTCTTGTCTTAATGGCTGGTTCTAAACCCCACCTTGCCTTGCCTTAAATTTGCCATGTGGTCCATGGAGGCAAACTAGGAGGGGGACAGGTGTCGATTTAAGCCAAACAAAACAAAAAAAGAAAAAATATGGCCAGAATGGTCTAGACATCACCCACCCAGAGGCATCCGAGACAACCAGAATGCCACATGGCATGCCACGAACCACTTGGAGGTCTGTGCAAAATTCATAGGTGAGGCAGGCAACAGGCTCCATCAGCCACCAGTCCAGGTTGTAGAATGAGAAGCAACGTGATCATCAAGTAACTGTGTTGCTGGTGGTAACAGAAGCACCACGTTTGAGCAACTGAACTCAATCTTTCACTTTGTATGAAGACAGAAGGCTAAACATTCTCACTGGATTGCTTGACATTAAGAAAACAAGTTCCCCAAAAGAATGACTCCAGGTTAAAACATTAGCCAAATTCTGGTGACCAATAATATCTTGGGAAGTAACAATCACTCTGAGAAACACTTAAGAAGACAGCCCAATACTTAGCGCCTCCTTGGCCCACTTGCCATTTTCTGTGTAGTATGTGCAGGGAGTCTTCCAGGAAAATGGGGGCACAGACACAGGAAGAAAAGGCAGCCCTTGCCTTCAAGGAGCTTACAGTCTTATGAGAGGAAAAGACAAGTACATGAGAGGAACACAAGCAAGTGGGGGGTGACAAGAGCCGCTAGCGTGACCATCACAGAGCCATGAATCATTAATGACACCTGGAAACCTGTTACGGCCCCCATCTTCCAAAGATTCACGCAGTTCCATTCTTTAAACTTTTCTTGAACTTTCTGTGTAATTAAACACCAAATTTGGCAACCCATGCTAATTTTGAAAGGCACTCCCTGGGAATTTAGTAAAAAGTTTAAACAACTTGTTTACATGTGTTTGGCCCATCTGTTTAAACTTCTTGTTTATTTTAATAGGAGCAACTCTTGGGTGCAAGCTCCTTTTGTGCTTGAGACCACTACTGGCCTCTTCTCCAGCTCTGTTTCCCTAATCTGCATTCTAAATCTCTTCTGTAAACAAAACTTGAATAACAACTTTTTATGATAAATGCTGAACACCTCCAAGATGACTGCTGCAAAATAAACTACTTTTACAACCAGAAAGCATTCTAAACACACAGAAAATACTTTTTTAATGCTGTCCTTTTCTTAAAAAAACAAAAAGCAAAAACAAAAACACACACAAAGAATTTTATTTTCTCTGTGTGTGTGTCTACATATATATGTTCTTGACGATCCTTCTGAATTGTGTGCATTCCCATCATGCTCCAGTGTTTTTCCAGCCCCGTAATGCCCTCACTTTTGATTGTGGAGATGATGTTGAAGTGCACAGGGTATTTACTGATCCGGTTATCTTGTTCTGTGACAGGCAGAATCAATCAATCAAGAGGCCAGCTTTGCACTTACATATTCCAGGCACATCTCCGCACTTCAGGATACGAGATCACAGTGTTATCCAGCCAAATTTGATCAACAAATGCAGTTCCCCTGTGCCACAGCAATCTCAGATGAAGATGTTATTATGTGGAACTGAGCAAAGTGATAAAGACAGTACAGCAGAGCCTGGAGAAGCCCGGCTGGACCGCACTGACAGCTTTTATATACGAAGGCGGTGATGTCCCTTTCTTTCAGATTATAAAAGTTCCCTTGATTTGAAGAAAATCACTCTGGACATATACAGGTGACCCCCAACCATTGCGTTTCCCCATCTATAACTAAAATCCTCAAGGAAGAAGCAACATACATTAGTATAACATTGCAGGCAAAATCCTTTAATAACAGGGCAGTATTTAAAGCGTAAGAGAGCACGTGTGAATTTTCAGAGAGCTTTTCTGATAGTTTCTTGTTGATGTTGTTATTATTATTGATTATTATTATTTGGTGAAAGCTAATGTCGGAAAGATGAAAAACATGGTTTTAGAACTTAATCAGTTACAAATAATTTTATTTATATCAAATCTCTGACACTGTGTGTCAGTGTCAATATTTTAAGTGGATCCCAAGAAAGTCTTAAGAGGATGTCTTACTGCACCAATAGCTTTCACTTCATTACTGCCCTGCAGTTATTTTACATTATTTAATCCCAAATCCCATCTTTTGGATTCTACCTTCCTCTTGCATTTTAAATCTTTAATGGGAGCCTCTGGCGGTCCATGGGTACAATGATTAGATACCTGCAGAGAGAAACTGAAAAATTAATCGTGGTTTCCATTTTATATTTTTGTATTACACTAAAAATTACTTACTTGTAGAGCTAACTTCTACACTCCTGCAATATGTTCCTTAACATTGCAAATGCTGAGAATGATTTCAGATAAAGCATGTCCAAACTGAGCCAGTAAACAGCCTTAAGTTATTCTTTGAGATTTGTATGCTGGGTTTTCATCCAAATTTCATTTCAAATAATTTTAATTAAGACGCATTTATTGATAGAGGTTTGTTACATGTGGCCTAAAACCAGGGCAAGAGTACCCCAGGCTAATCATAGGAATGACGTTAAAATTGTTTATTATCCTTTTATGAATTTTCCTGCTTAAATTACCGAATTTCGCAACTCTATGCAAAATGTGAAACACTGTAACCACATACAGTTTATTATAGAAACTGATGTATGCATTAATCTGACCTTTACCTAAATACCTCCTTAACCACAAGGAATGAGTTTAAAAGAAAAAAAAAACAAAACAAAGTCAGCTATCACATCATGAGTACCATCAAACTGCTAAATCTATTAACTTTGTTTTCTTTTTTCACTATTATTAAACTGGAAAGAAAAATTCAACTGGAAAATTGTGCCTTGTCGGTTCCCTTGTCATCATGTAATAAGTATGAGAAATATATGTGCAATGGCCAAATGGCCGGTAGACAAAACACCCACTCTAAGTGACGTACTGTTTTCCATACCACTCAGACAAAATCAAAACAACAGAACTGCTGCAAACAAAAACAAAATAACATTTCCCATCAGCATTCCAGACAGAAAATTTACAGGAAAAGAAGCTGGGAAAAGAACCAGAATGAAATAACTGCTCATACCTCCACTCTTGGTAGAGCCATTTCTTCAGACAAACAGCACTTACTTGAACAGTGAAATGTTTAACAATTGATAAAATGTTTGCCAGTGCTGGAAAACTTTTTTCCCCCGTTTTTAGGCAAACATTTGCACTGTTTAAAGTGATGAAGTACTTCTATAGAACCAAGGGGCCTAGATTTTTCTTTTTTTAAACAGGGGAAACTTAAGATAAGGAAAGAGACAGGTTATAGATGGGTACAGAGGTAACTTTGCGATTTAATTACTTCTCCTTTCACAGAGAAATAGAGAAGAGTTTCTCAGTGCTGCTGAGCCCGCATGGGAGGAGAGCGTAAAACTCACTTGAAAAAGTGAAGATGAGCTCTTTTTACAGCTGAGTCACATTTATGTAACTTGATTAAGGTGCCAGCATCCTGGAAGTTACTGGATCAGGGTTAAGCATAGATACCTGCTCATAAACTGAGGTGGTGCCGTGACTATCAACAGCTGTATTTGACTATTTCATCGAGTCAGTTTACAGTGTCTCCATCACAGTGGACGCCTGTCAGCTGCACTCTTGCTAACACAATTCCTGTGTTTTGCCTGGCAGTAAATGGACGCCTCTGCCCTAGCGTCTTCTAAACAACTCCGTTAACATTTGCCCCCGAGCGTCTCTCTCTTTGTCCAGTCCCTGTCTTCTAACAGATGTCATCCAAGCCTAATCAAGCATAAAATGGTCATAAATATTTCTTTCTGGTAGATTTCACATTCACATTTCATGCAGGGACATGATATTTTTCTGCTACCTCCAGGGAGAGCCTAATGCAAAAACCAGTTACTTACATTCTAGCCTCATGTTCCTTTAGTAAAATGCAGAGCATGTTCTCAGTTCAAAGACATAAAAAGGTGTAAGACTTTATCTTCTGGCTTTTGTTTAACTGCACCTTTTATCTTTCCTTCCTCCCCCACCGCCCCCCGCAAATGTATCTTCATCTTATAGTTTATCCTGATGCATTAGAAATGTTCTTTTGTGCCTGAGAAAATATAAAACAGGGTCTAAAATGAGCCCATGTCTACCATATTTCAGTTACTTTAGGTTTTCAACATTAGGCTCCTTAATTACTGGCTAAAAAATTACTGGCAAAAAAAAAAAAAAAAGATTTTTTGCTCAGATATGTAATTCAAATAACAAGCTATTTAAAGAGTAGATAAGAAGAAGGCTCTTCTATTTTGGTTCATTTTACGCACAATTTTGCAACCTCCATCATATTTAGTTAAAACGATGGGATGAATCGAATGTACAAATTTAAGTTTCATGCCAATTAGCATTGAAAAAAGAAAAGATAATCACGAGATAGGCCCCATTTCCAATACTTAAACTTTGATCAAGCAGGGGGAGCTACTCCAGATAATTAATCAGCCTGCTTAATGAGAGGAGAACTGGTAATCAGCACAATCGTATTTATCTTCAGCAAACTTAGTAAATAATGAGTCTTAATCTAAAATAAAACTGTCCTAATAATACTTTCAAGGCCATATGTCTGTGTTTCTCTTTCCTATCCCTTTTGTCAAAACAAAAATCTTATATTGCTATTTAAAGTGAACTGCAAAACACTTAGCGGTATATATCACAACAATGACGCTCCCCCCACGCCCTCACTCCGTTGAGCCTAATATTTGATTACTGCTAGTCAAATCAAGCTTTCAGGCAAATAATCTCCATTTTTAAAGTTAATGAGATATGGTCATGTCGACAACAGCTTGCAGAAACTTTTAATTTTAATTCCTGCAGGCTGTGCTGGCCTCTTTTACAGCAACTACTGTATGAATGAGTCAAATTTGCCAACATGGCTTATGTAGACAAGTGCACACTAATTAAAAATACCCACTGGTATCATAATTTAAATACCATGAAAATAAACTGTGAAAGTCGCTCGGATCCAGTCTTCATGGTTTCCTTGGAGTGTGCTTCTTTTGACTATAGGATGTTTTATTGCTCGCGTATTCTTAGCTGAAAACCATTTTGCATCTTTGAGGAATTTGGGATTTTGATGTAATTATACAATTTGTGTTAATATTTGTTTCGCATAAGCTGTTAAGCAGGCCTCCCAGAACGACCACTAATTGAGAAAACCATATTGCTGAGGCATGCGGCAAATTTATACTCTTGATTCAGCGTCCATCTACAACTTCCTTCCATGGGGCCGTCTCTTTCCTCTCTGAGCTCCAGCCACAATGAATTCAAAATAAAAACACAGTTGTTTTAGTCCGTCTTTCTTTTCTTCTTTTTGTTTGAGTTTTCACTCTTTATAATATCTGTACTTTAACTGGTCTTCTTCCAAACCAGGAAGGCGGGCATGATTCTTCACCTAAAACTAACTGCAAAATGCTGCTATAACTTCTTTTCAGCCATCCATCCATCCAGCCTTCCATCCATTCATACAAATACACACTCACTTTTTTTTTTTTTTAATTTAAATAATTTTTTGGCTAGGGAATTTCTGAGTCTGCCTTTGCTGGGATAAAAGTACATTTTATACAGGGTAAAAAGTTGGCATCGTGAGGGTTAAAGCTATTTGAGGGGTTAAATATGCAATTACCGCTCACTAAAACCAGAGAGACATATAGATAAATAGAAGAAATGAAGTCCCCAGGTTCCCTTCAGAAGCCTCCATCACATTACTACCAGACAGAAACTCTTTAAGTACCATTTTCAGATGTTAAATCATTGTTCGCGCTGCACATATTTTCGCTATTCCTGGGGGAACAATATCTGAAGAGAGCGTGCTAACAAATGCAATCCCGTAAACAGGCATTTTTCCTCTTGTTGTTAGTACCTTTGTATTCCCGCTCCCGGCTCTGTCATCCATGGCTTCTCTCTGCTTTGAAGTTAAAGTACTGAATGAGCAGTGTCATCTATTATCCAGAGTGTGCATGTAGATTATAAATAAGAAATAAAAGTGACTTTCAGTACACTGCTTTTGCATTAGCAAGTTGCCTCCTCTCTTACCTCCTCTGTCCTTCATACTTGCAACCAACAATCTATTAGCAACCTGAATTTCAGGGTTTCTTTCAGAGGGAGACACAGACTGGAAAATGTGTATGTAACAACGTGAAAAGTTGTATTGACACACAGGGCTGGGGTCTGGGCCAGGCCTCTGCATTCACCTTTTCTATCTTTAACCCTATCTTACAGATGTCCTTCAGGACGTGTGTCTGGTGATGGGACCGGCTCTTCATTTACATTTTTCTGTTGACAAACAGAGTCCATGAATATTAATTATTCTGAAGTTTATTTGCAGAAAAGGCACTTTCTAATCCTTATCAATTATTTATTAAAAATCTCCCCCACCTAATAATCTCATTAACATTATTATACTAAGGCCAACAGCAAATATTCCTTTGATAAGTAACAACCCAACCTGCTATCCTTCCTGCCAAATCTCATGTAGCCTCCTTTGCTTAATCATGGATATCGTGGCTTTTGTTTTCTGGAAGCTCGAGGGTAGTCCTCCATTACTTTTTTTTTAATACAAGAAAATTCACAAACAGTGCCTTTTGTTATAAAATGAAAAGTTTCTGATACATTACACTAAAGGAAAAGAACAAAAATCTTGGAAAAATAGAATATGCCTGCTTTTTAATGCCCTGTTGGTTATGTGCAGAATTACTCAACAGAAATCCCAAGGAACTAAATCCCTGCAGTCCTACAACAACATGAAGGGTCTCGAGGGAATCCATCGGGTTTCAAAATATGTGAGAGTCTCAAAGAATGTAAAGCAAATGAAAATCGCATCCAATAATGGTGACACCTACATTTATGTAGTGTTTCATTGCTTACCAGGCATTTTGACCTATAACACTTCACTTGCTTCCTCTAATACTCCTCTGAGGTGTGCAGGGCAGTTATTATTAACCTTATTTTACAGATGAAAAAACTGAGGCTAAGCAACTGCCTAAGGTCACCAGGACAGAAGGCAGGAGGGCAGGGACTCCGAATCCTAGGTTTTCTCACCAAGAGTTTTGCATCCCACCTTGTTGATTGGTCCTGTGTTCAAAATGAGGATTTCCTTCTATCTTCCTTCCCTCTTCCTTCTGGATTCACTGTTGGTATTTTTACTTGTTGCTGGGAAATTTCGTTAGCTGCCTGGAATTCCATTTTTAAAGGGCTGCCCTGCCCACTGATTTGTGAGGTACCACCTTCCCCCAAAATTACTGAAGCGCCAATTGTCTCAAACTGAGTCTGATTTCTAGTTTACTCAGAAACTTAAGATAGGAGAAGCAACATACAGTTTCAGAGGCAAAAGTAAACTTAGAAATGAAGTCGTATCCAGAGGCTCAAAGAGTGAGTGACTTGCTTCAAATCACAGGGTAAGTTACAGCAGCAACACTCAGGCTGGCTGAAACCTCTATCAACATTCTCAGATTTTTCGCAAGAGCCCATGCATTTTGCAAACTTGAGAGATTGCTTTTTTTTCCCTATTGGTCCAGAGGTCACCTTTTTTCCCCCTCTACTGAAAGTTTCTCATCTATTGCCTAAGAAAATGAGTCAGTATCCCTAAAGATTTCTGAAAAATCATCATAGTTGGATAGGAATAATCAGCCAGTAAGATATTTCATGAGACTGTCTCAACCCCAGTCTCCATTCTCTTCTCCTCACCATCACTACCCAATCAGCCTGACTCTATTCACAAAATTTCTAGAATGGGAACTGCCTCAATTTAGAAAAAAAAGAAAAAATTCACACACACACACACACACACACACACACACACACACACTTTTTGCCTTAGTTCTTGCCCTGCATAAAAAGTCCTGCAAGCATAGGATAGCATGATCTTCTGATGCAACATATTAGCTGTCATACATTAGTAAAACCATACATTAGACATGGAGAAGCAGAAGGCCTAGGCCAAAGTTAAGATGCTACACATTCCAGTTAGAAATTCAGTGAAAGGCAACTTTAAAGTGAGGGTGGGGGTGTGGGTGACAATAGGCCAGTTCATGAAGACTATGAATATCTAGTAAGGAATTACCGAGGTTATCTCCTGCATGGCTGATAACAATTAGATGTGGAGATGAGGGCTGAAGTCATCTCACCAGGGATTGCTGGCATATTCTGGGAAGTCTAAGCCTCTTTCCAACAGCATTCAAGAAAACATGGGCTTGAAGTCATCAGGAAAACCACAATGAAGGAAGCTTTAAGGAATGGGAGTTGGGAAACCAACCATGGTGGGAAGGATGAAATGGGGAAGTTTTTGTTGTAATTGTTGTTGAAGAAGAAAGTGACAAAATAAAGTTACCAATCTTACAGTATCATGTGATTAGCAGGGGAACTTTACCACCCTCTACACAGAAAAAATACCCATCTATGCATGGTCTAGGAAGGGTTTTGCAAACTACTGCCCTAGTCCTCTGTTTTTGTAAGTAAAGTTTTACTAGAACACAGACAGATCCATTATTTATGTAAGATCTATAGCTGCTTTCATATGGAGTATTTGTGACAGAAAGAACAGCCTCCAAAGCCAAAAACAATTTTTTTACTACTTAAAAGAAAATTTAGAGTTTACAGATCCTTATTGTAGAAAGATTACTGTGGAGGGGGGAAAAACCCACTTCCCAATAACTGATAGTGAGAATTTAAGAGTAAGCTGGGTGCAGCGGCATGCACCTGTAGTCCCAGCTACTGGGGAGGGTGAGGCAGGAGATTTGCTTGAGCCCAGCTGCCTCTAAATAGCCACTGCACTCCAGCCTGGGCAACACGGCAAGATCCTGTCTCAAAAACAAACAAACAAACAAAGGAAACCAGGAAAACACAGACATACATGTACATAGTAATACACACATACCCTATGTATGAATTGTTGTTGTTAATAGTGTCAGTACCATAGAAATAAAATTCCTGATTTCATCCATCTTCACAGATCATGGAAGGGTCCACATCATACCCCACAAGACTGTTTCTGAATACATCAGGGGTATCCATGCAAAAGTTAATCAAAGGACAAAGCCTTTATTCTGTCTGAGCTTAGTTTCTTCATCCATAAAATGTGAGTCTGGATCATCTAAGGAATTTTAGAAATGCTATGACTCTACAGATAAGGAATAAGGAGCAAAGCGAATACACAATGTATGCACATGCATACACACACACACACACACACACACACACACACACACACACACCCCAATATACCCCAGGGTAGGAAGAGAAGGGTAGAAGAATCAAGGACACAGCAGATTGCAGGTATGACCAAGTTGGAGTACATAAATGTTTTTTTTTTTTTTTGAGATGGAGTCTCGCTCTTGTTGCCCAGACTGGAGAGCAGCGCCATGATCTCAGCTCACTGCAACCTCCGCCCCCGGGTTCAAGCCATTCTCCTGCCTCAGCCTCCCCAGTAGCTGGGATTACAAGCGCCTGCCACCACGCCTCGCTAATTTTTTGTGTTTTCAGTAGAGACGAGGTTTCACTATATTGGCCAGGCTGGTCTCGAACTCCTGACCTCGTGATCCATCCGCCTTGGCCTCCCAAAGTGCTGGGATTACAGGCTTGAGCCACCGCACCCGGCCTATTTTGGACTTTCAAAGTAGCTTGAGGGGCAAATATGTAAGCCACCCAGAAACATGCATGTACTTCATTTCTCATTCTGGGAATCAAAAGAGCTTGACTTACTTCTTTGGCCCATCAAGTGTGTCTCTTTTTTGCACTGACAACACGTATGTGGCCACGATGACACCTTCAAGGAATGGAGGCTCCCTGCCTCTCCAATAGCAGCCCCAAAACTGGGAGATTTTCAATTGATGACTTTTCTTCAAATAAGATTGCTTTTCAGCCTTTTCCACTGTTCTTTTCAAAAGCAGACCCATCAGCTTGTTTTTCAAAGGTGAGAGAGAGATAAAGACAGACTAAAAATGATCCTCTGTAGCCTAGTTAGTTGGGCTTTTGTGCTGATCCAGAATGGTGACCAACTAAGATGTTAGTGATTTCATGGTAAAGCAAGGACTCACGGACTCCGGGTAATCAGCTGACTTCATAAAATAAGCCAGGAAAGGTAAAGACTTTCCTAAACCGGAAACAAATATATGCTTTTGCTGCTAGGGAAATGTACATAGTTTGACTTGTAGGTTATGAATCTTTAAAACTCCTACCCTAAGTCCCATCATACCTCGTTTGTGAGTACTATCTTTTATTTATCGTGCTAAGCAATTGTTCTTTGTTGACTGGAGCAGTGTTCTATGTGAGCAAAGCAGGTGAGACACAGACACAGGAACACAAAATACCACTCAGGGAGCAAAGGACATTTTCTCAACAGAGCTAATCACTCTTGAAGCAAAATAATCCACTCTCCCCAGTTATTAAAATAACGAAAGTAACTGTGGCAACTTCAAAAGGACTAACTCATTAATCAGTGAAGCTGGGTGAATAATTTCCTCAAGAAACACAAGGTACCAGAAATATTTTATCCAAATACATTTTTGTTGGTCAGAATAGGGTTCAAGCCTGTTACATAATCCTAAGAAAACACAGAAGGTATTTCCCTCATCCTGTCAGTGTGTGACAGCTGTTTGGGGCACCTGGAGAAAGTCTACAGTTTAAGTCTTCGGGTTCCATGTTCCCAAACACAAGGGCAATAAAGGGGACCATGTCAAACTCAAAATAGCTGCTTTTCAGTTGTCTATAAAATACCAGTTGCAACCACCACTACTTACTTGCAATTTATTATGTGCAGCCTTATTAATAAACCCAGATTTCCGCGTTCTTAGAAGCAATACTTCCATCCCCCTGACCAGTCAAAGGAGACAGCAATCAGAAAAGTTTTCTGTGCTGGAGGTATGGTTCAGATCCTTCAGGACCCTAATGCCTTAGCTTTATTGCCTATAGCATGCTGCAAACGTCACCACCAGAGGCACTGCCGAATTTCTGCTATTTCTGGATAAAACAAAGGCCTGCTGGCTGGGCCTGGTGGCATGTGCCTGTAGCTTCACCTACTTGAGAGGCTCGGGTGGGAGGATTGCTTGAGCCCAGGAGTTCAAGGCTGCAGTGAGCTATGATTGGACTACTGTACTACTCCAGCCAGGGCAACAGAGCAAGAGGCTATCTCAAAAAAAAAAAAAAAAAAAAAAAAAAAAGAGCCGGGGGGCGGGTGCGGTGGCTCACGCCTATAATCCCAGCACTTTGGGAGGCTGATGTGGGCAGACAGCTTGAGGTCAGGAGTTCAAGACCAGCCTGGCCAACATCGTGAAACCCCATCTCTACTAAAAATACAAAAAATTAGCCGGGTGTGGTGGTGGGCGCCTGTAGTCCCAGCTACTAAGGAGTTTGAGGCAAGAGGATCAATGGAACCTGGGAGGCGGAGGTTGCAGTGAGCCGAGATCGTGCCACTGCACTCCAGCCTGGGCAACAGAGCAAGGCTTGTCTCAAAAACAAAAACAAATGAAAAAAAGGAAGAAAGAAAACAAAGGCCTTCCAATCAAAGTGTTTTAGAAACAGATGGAATCAGGCTAACTTCGGTCTGACGGTGCCAGGCTTGGGTGTTCACTGGAAGGACACACTGCAACAGGTGTGAAGCAGGACTCTCTCCCGTTGAAATGAAATGAAACCAACCTAAGTTACAAGGCGCAGTTGCTTAAGAGTAAAATTAGGTACATCTGCTACAAATAAGGGCTCCATCTGAAAATAGGAGAGGGTGGAAATGGAAAAGCTGCTGTCTATGGGAATACTTAGTATTTGCTTTCTGAACTCAGCAAGAAAAGTTGGGTTGAAGTGGAATGATTCTGAATGACAAAACATTTCAGGAAACTCAATGGGGAAGGAGAGCAGGCAAAATGGGAGAAATCCTTTCAGAATGAACTGATCATCACCACAATAAACAAACACAGTAAGAGATGCTTGAGAGCTCTGATGAAGAGCTCAGGCTCTGGAGTCGGGCAGATGTAGGGTGAAATCTGGGCTTGTCCAGTCGTAAGCTGTGTGAACGAGCGTGGGCAGCTAATTAAGTTTCTTCCTGTGTAGAACAAGTATTTTAAAAGTACTTAGCTCACAGGGTGCTTGTGAGAAGGAACTGTACTAACACAGGTACAGTACTAAGCATGAGTATGGAGAGCAGAGGCTTTCCATAAATTTTCCATTGCTATTATTATTACTTCTACTACTCTTACTACTAATAATACTGATAGTTTATTTTCTTTTCTTTCTTTCTTTTTTTTTTTTTTTTTTTGAGAAAGGGTCTCGCTCTGTTGCCCAAGCTGGAGGGCAGTGGTGCGATCATGGTTCACTGCAGCCTTGACCTCCCAGGCTCACCTTTCATCTCAGCCTTCCTAGTATCTGGGACCACAGGCATGTGCCACCACACCTGGCTATTTTTTATTTTTAGTAAAGATGAGGTCTCGCTATGTTGCCCAGGCTGGTCTTGAACTCCTGGGTTCAAGAAATCATCCTGCCTCGGCCTCCCAAAGTGCTGGGATTTACAGGTGTGAGCCACCACACCCAGTCAGTCTTTTTTTTTTTTTTTTTGAGAGAGTCTTGCTCTGTCACCAGGCTGGAATGCAGTGGCGCGATCTCAGCTCCCTGCAACCTCCGCCTCCCGGGTTCAAGCAATTCCCCTGCCTCAGTCTCCCAAGTAGCTGGGATTACAGGCACGTACCACCACACCTGGCTAATTTGTTTGTATTTTAGTAGAGGCGGGGTTTCACCATGTTGGCCAAGATGGTCTCAGTCTCCTGACCTCGTAATCCACCCGCTTCGGTCTCTCAAAGTGCTGGGATGAGAGGCGTGAGCCATCGCGCCCGGCCAGTAATTTCTAACCCATAAACATCTTTGACAGCTGGGTGCAGTGGCTCACTCATGCCTGTAATCACTGCATTTGGGAGGCCAAGGCAGGTGGATCACTTGAGGCCAGGAGCTTGAGACCAGCCTGGTCAATGTGGTGACACCTTGCCTCTACTAAAAATACAAAAATTGGCCGGGTGCGGTGTCTCAAGCCTGTAATCCCAGCACTTTGGGAGGCCGAGGCAGGCGGATCACGAGGTCAGGAGATCGAGACCATCCTGGCTAACATGGTGAAACCCTGTCTCTACTAAAAATACAAAAAAATTAGCCAGGCAAGGTGGCAGGCGCCTGTAGTCCCAGCTACTTGGGAGGCTGAAGCAGGAGAATGGCAGGAACCTGGGAGGCGGAGCTTGCAGTGAGCCAAGATCGCACCACTGCACTGCAGCCTGGGCGACAGAGCGAGACTCCAACTCAAAAACAAAAAACAAACAAACAAAAAAAAAACAAAAATTATCTGGGTGTGGTGGTGCATGCCTGTAATCCCAGCTACTTGAGAGGCTAAGGCATGAGAATCATTTGACCCTGGGAGGCACTCTGTCTAAAAAAAAAAAAAAAAAATTGACAAGATGTTCAGGATTTTCAATAAAAGGAAGAAATATACTCATTTATTGAAACTAGGATGGCCTACCTATTTTACCATGTTGGAAGTTTCCTCTTAACAATCTTTTTTTTTTTTTTTTTTGAGACGGAGTCACTTTCTGTCACCCAGGCTGAGTAGCACAACCTCAGCTCACTGCAACCTCCGCCTCCCGGGTTCAAGCGATTCTCCTGCCTCAGCCTCCCGAGTAGCTGGGATTACAGGTGCCTGCCACCACGCCCAGCTAATTTTTTTGTATTTTTAGTAGAGACAGGTTTTTGAACTCCTGAGTTCAAGTGATCCACCTGCCTCGGCCTCTCAAAGTGCTGGGATTACAGGTGTGAGCCACTACACAAGTCTTAACAATAACTGTTTAAGAATTGTGCCTAAATATGGAATTACCTGGCACAGCTGGAAGAAGATGAAGAGGGGAGGAGTTAGAAAAACATTAGCCCATGAATGATGCCACTTGAAACCAAGAA
Organism: Homo sapiens; assembly: GCF_000001405.40. Lineage (NCBI taxonomy): Eukaryota > Metazoa > Chordata > Mammalia > Primates > Hominidae > Homo > Homo sapiens. The sequence continues at coordinate 71,179,530 of NC_000003.12, forward strand.
CATGAATTTTCCCTTAAAACTGTAAACACACAAAATGTGAAATTAAAATTAAGATGAAAATGTGAAACACCATGTAAGAGAATTAACCCTCACAATTCTCACTCATCAGCAACATTACTGCTAGCTCTTTTCTCATCTATAATGTTCGATGGTGGCAATGAGAATACAAATACATAAAATGAGAAGACATGATTTTTACAAGAAAGGGAAAACAGGGTATCCACTGAAATGTTAACAGTTGTTACCTCCATTAAACAGGATTGCAAGCGATATAGCTTTTTTCTCTGTTTGCTTTCTTAGTTGCATCTTCTAATTTTTCTACAACGAATGTGTCATTAATTGTGCCGTTGAAAATTCAAAATTATTTGCTATTCAATTTCCAATTGAAAACATCTGAATTGCACCCAAGCATTACACAGAGCCAGTGCTGAGGATTTCACTCAGCTCTGGCACATGGGATATTTTGTAGGCACTGGTGGAGTGAAGTGACTGTCTCGCCACCTCTTCCAGCACACTCAGCAACCATTCTCTAATTATGCCATAGTCTCTCTGCCAATATTTTATGGGAGTTTTACAAGATGCACCTACAGCTACTTATACTCAGAAATCGGAAGACCTTCTAAAGTTCTTGCTTAAAAAAAAAACCCACCTTTTTGTTTTTCTTGTTCTTGATTCTTTAGAAACTTCCTCAGCCTTCCAGAAATCAACACGGGCCACAAGAATCATGTATTATTTCAGACTAGAACCTAAAAAAGAGACTCACCAGGTAACAGCCTAGGAAGCTACTGATTATATGTAGTATATAATTATTTGCTGTCTTGGTTCTAGGTACTAATCCCATGGAAAATATAGAAAGACGGCAGCAAGGAACATTGAGACATGAAAGTCTTTGCCACGTGTAAAATCGTAGATGTTTTAAAAAAAAATGCAGGCACAAGAATTTAGCAAGAAAAAAAAATAGACATGCCAATAAAAAAGCTGCTTCTTAAAATCTGGCTGGCAGTGTCCTTCCTCTCCCCAAAGGATACTCTTAGTAAAGAAAACATGGTAGATTTTTTTCTCCCTTGCCTGTATTTGATTTCCAATTAAAATTAAATATAAACTGAAACGCCACCTGGATTTCAGCAAAATCCAATCCCCGCCCTCCACCCTTCCTTTTTTAAAAAGAAGAACCTGGGCTTACATATACAAACATTTTGCTAAATGACCCGTGGCAAATTGCGTAATGCCAGTAAAAGTTGTGTTTTTTAAGTTATGAGCCCCAAAGATTTTATCTGAAATAAAACCCTGATTCAATTCAGATTCTGGAGGCAAACTGTGTCCTTAACTCTGCGTCTAAATTTAAAACATTTGTGTGTGGGGCCCCTTCAGTAACGTTGCTAGTAGGTATGGTGGAGAAATTCTGTATTGATTAGGATATGTGTTTTCTTTTCTAAAATGGTAAATTGGGGCACTAATTGCCCACAAGAACCGGTTCCCTGCAGTCTCCAAGTAGAGGTCAGTTTCTAAATGAAGGTTTGCCTGTCAAATAAGAATTCGTACTGAGTTCCATTTATCGCCTCAATGAGGAAAGACAGAACTGTACTTCCATGGAGAAGGGTTCTCCTTGGAGGTCTCCAACAGCCATATCTACAATGACCCAAGATGATTGGATTTTAATATAAAGCGGATGAGGTGGGCTAAAAAATGGAACGGTTCTAAGAACAACTTGATTCCCTCCTGACCTCCACCTTTGGGTCCCCAAGACCTCAACCATGGCTTTTCCCAGTCTTCAAAAGATTCTAAGAAAGGACAATAATAAAGTAAGGAGCACGTTTTAAAGGGTTGGCTATTGTGCCAAGGTCAATAAATTATTTAGCATATTCATCACATCGACCCTCTCAGGAAGTTATCTCTATTGCCCTGTTTTACAGATGAGAAAAGTGAGGCTGTGAGAGATGGCAAAACTTGCCCAACTTCACTCATCGAGTGTAGGCGCTGGTGGGTGGGTTTTCAACTCTCATCAGTGGCATTCCAAAATGCCTCCAATAAAATATTCCTCCTGCCCTTTCCAGCTCCCCAGGGCAGTTTAAATCAGTCTCTAGCAGAAACAACATGAAATGGGGTAAGCAACGAAGTGTATCTGTAATGACTGTGGACATGCGACATGATTAAGCCCACACAGACTGGGAAGAAACTTAGAAGTGGGGAGCAGTGGTGGAAATTTAAAGAAAACAAATGTGGCCGGGCGCGGTGGCTCACGCCTGTAATCCCAACACTTTGAGAGGCTGAGGAGGACGGATGATGAGGTCAGGAGATCAAGACTATCCTGGCTAACATGGTGAAACCCTATCTCTACTAAAAAAATACAAAAAAATTAGCCAGGCATGGTGGTGGGTGCCTGTAGTCCCAGCTACTCAGGAGGCTGAGGCAGGAGAATGGCGTGAACCTGGGAGGCAGAGCTTGCAGTGAGCCGAGATCGCGCCACTGCACTCCAGCCTGGGTGACAGAGCGAGACTCCATCTCAAAAAAAAGAAAAAAAAGAAAAAAAAAGAAAAAGAAAACAAATGTGGTTTTTTAAAAATCCATACTCTTTTTATTGACAGGAAAGTGATTTTTGTCACAAAATGTTAGATAATGAGTAGTGGTTGTCAAATTTGATGGTGGAAGCACCTAGAAGTGAGGCAGAGATCTCCCTGTGGAGAGATAACACCAGGGAGCAGCTAAGTGGTAGCGGAAAACTTAAAGACATTATGGGAGAAAATCCTTGTACCTGCACAAATTGTATTCCCTTATTCCTATGCAAAAAATAAATCTTGTTCAAGGTGCAGGTATTCTCTGCCATTTATATATATCATTTTTATATATCTCACAAGAGTTTTCCAACAGTGTGAATGTGAATTAAATTAAAAATAACTGTTCATTTTTATTATAAAGGCAATACATGTTATTGTAGAAATTTGGGGATATACAGAAAAGTGTAAACTATATATATGTGTGTGTGTGTGTGTGTGTGTGTGTGTGTATATATGTATATATTCTTTTTTTTTTTTTTTTAGTAGAGACAGGGTCTTGCTGTCACCAGTCATGGCTCACTGCAGTCTCAGCCTCCTGGGGCTCAAGTGATTCTCCCACCTCAGCCTCCTGAGTAGCTGGGACTACAGGCAAGTGCCGCCATGCCCAGCTAAGTTTGTTGTTGTTGTTGTTTTTCTTAATTTTTAGTAGATACGAGGTCTAAGCTGCCCAGACTGATCTCGAACTCCTGAGCTCAGGTGATCTTCCAGCCTTAGCCTCCCAAAGTGCAGGAATTACAGGCATGAGCCGCCATGCCTGGCTTAATGTATATAAAATAAACTATAATCCCATTAACAGACCCCCCCAAAAAAAACCATTGACAGCATGTTGCTTTTAGGTTTTTCCCCCAGCAATCATTACATTATGATAATTTTTAAAGTAATTAAATGTTCTACATTTTAATGGGTATATAATTAATATTATATCAAACTTATATGTTAGCATTTTTTAACCTTCTTCTAAGGTTAGAGATTTAGGGTGCATTTAATTTTTCATATTGTAAATACCATTACAATGAACATCCTTAGGCATAAATCTTTCTGCATGCCTCACATTATTTCGGTAGGTTAAATTCCTGGTGATGATGATCATGGCGGTGGTGGTGATGATGATAAGAATACCAAAAGTTGGCCATGCATGGAGGCTCATGCCTGTAATCCCAGCACTTTGGGAGGCCGAGGCGGGTGGATCATTTGAGGTCTGGAGTTCAAGACCAGCCTGGCCAACATGGTGAAAACCTGTCTCTACTAAAAATACAAAAAAACATTAGCTGGGCAATAGTGGCGCGAGCCTGCAATCCCAGCTACTCAGGAGGCTGAGGGAGGAGAATCGCTTGAACCCAGGAGGCGGAGGTTGCAGTGAGCCGAGATGGCCCCACTGCACTGCAGTCTGGGCGACAGAGTAACACCCTGTCTCAAAAACAAAACAAAACAAAAAAAACCCAAAAGCTAATGTTTGCAGACAATTTACCATGTGGTGTGCAAACTTCCAAGCATGATACATTTTATTTAGACTATTAAATGCTAAAATTATTTCCGTTTGATGGATATATAAACTGAGGCACAGAGAAACTTACACAGTCACCCAACTAGCAAGTGGCAGAGCCATGACTCAGGCCAAACATACTGACTCCACAGTCTATGCTGTTAAACTCTGCCAGTGGTTCTTCAACTGGCAGCAAAGAAGAGCTAGAAATAGATATGCAAATTTGGAGGCCCTGCCCCAGATCTACAGAATAAAGTACTTTAGGGGTGGGTCCAGTAATCTATGTTTTAAGAAGCCCTCCAGCGCCTGGCGTGGTGGCTCACGTCTGTAATCCCAGCACTTTGGGAGGCCGAGGTGGGAAGATCACCTGAGGTTGGGACTTCGAGACCAGCCTGACCAACATGGAGAAACCCTGTCTCTACTAAAAATAAAAAATTAGCCCGGCGAGGTGGTGCATGCCTGTAATCCTAGCTACTTGAGAGGCTGAGGCAGGAGAATCACTTGAACCTGGGAGGCGGAGGTTGTGGTAAGCTGAGATCACGCCATTGCACTCCAGCCTGGGCAACAAGAGCAAGACTGTCTCAAAAACAAACAAACAAACAAAAAAGCCCTTCAGATGATGCTCACGCACATAAAAGTTTGAGAACCACTGCTGACTGCCATAGAGCCACTCAGTAAAATTGTATCCCTGATTCAAAGGGTGTGGCTGTTTTAAGCCTCTTGATGTCCAATGCCAAAATACCCTCAGAATAGGGTGTACAAATTTACACTGCCTTCAGCCCTATAAGGGGTTGTCTGTGCACTTACTGTAATCTGTGCTCATTTAGTCAAAGATCTTTCAACTGGTTTATAGGGTTCTGTAGTTAGAAGAATTTCAAGAGTGTGTAAATCTGGTGTTTACATTTCAATAGACATGAAATGGCTCTTGGTACAGATTGCTTTATATGACCTTACTTTCCAGAGTTTGCTTCAGAGCTGGCGTGTACAGTGCTACATTTTAAATACCTGAGAAATTATTCCAGGGACATACTGGGAAGCATTCTTCCAAAAGAGGAACCCTTTTCCAAATTAAAGATAGACAGGTCACTAACATAGTTAACATCAACTAATCATAGAAAAGCCTAAGAGTATTTGTCAAAAGATTGAAACATTTGGCAAATCTAATTAACATACAGAATAGCTGTGTAACGTTTTTTTTTTTGGGGGGGGCATATTGTAGATGAAATTGCAATCGCAAAATTACACATACAAACACACTTTTCAGGGAAAAAGTTATTTGGGTTTCATCAAATTCACAAAGGAGGGGCCATAAACCTGCAAAACATAAAAATGATGGTATTAGAGGCTGGGTGTGGTGGCTCACGCCTGTAATCCTAGCACTTTGGGAGGCCAAGGCAGGCGGATCACCTGAGGTCAGGAGTTCCAGATCAGCCTGGCCAATATGATGAAACCCCATCTCTACTAAAAATACAAAAATTAGCCAGGTGTGGTGGCAGTAGCCTGTAATCCCAGCTACTCAGGAGGCTGAGGCACAAGAATTGCTTGAACACGGGAGGCAGAGGTTGCAGTGAGCCGAGATCAAGCCATTGCACTCTAGACTGGATGACAGACCACGACTCCGTCTCAAAAAAAAAAAGTATTAGAAACATGAACTATGCCAGTACAGATTTTTGCAAATTGTGAGATATAAGTGATCCAATTACAAACTTAAAAACAGAATCAAGAAAGTAAGAAGGGAAAGAAGAAAAGTTGGAAGGGAGAAAATACAAGGGCAACACCATCTCTTCAGAAATCCTGTCAGTTCATAAACAACTAAATTGAGCAAATGCCTTCGAATTTGGCAACTATTTTTAAATTAGGTATTATGGTTTCAGTTATTTCAGCTCCATTATCAATAGAGGTAAATTAGCTAAAATTCAATATAAACGTTTGTGAAATATGGACAACACCAACTAAATTATCACACTTGTCAGCCCACATCTAATCTCTGGAAATCGTACAATCAACTTTGCACCTGGGTAGACAGATAGTCCCAGGCCATTTCCTGGAGACCAATAAGCTCAGATGCTACAGTATGGTATAAGAAGACCTCTCCTCACCATGTGCCTCTAGTCTTTCCAAGTGCAAATCCAAACTTACTTGTCTCAAAATTTAAAATGGCAAAATGGAAAAGACACAGCTTTGGGGCCTTTAAAATCTCTAAGTCAGAAGCCAAACCCATATAGTTCAGTGTATACTTACCATCCATTATCTCCTGATGGAAGAGGTTAAAACAAATCAGCAGATGTGCACATACTGAGACTCTTTCCTAACTTCACCAAGGTCTAGAATCCCACCAACATAGACACAGATTCATCCTCTCCTGGCTACTGAAGATTTATTACCTAAATCACTCACCTATCAATTAGTCATATACATCTCTTCTACAGTTTATCTTCAATTTGCTTTAAAAATTGTAAGAACTTTTCATGTTATCTGTTTATGTCTTACTGCACCTTTACTAAATTATGAAATCTTTGAATGCAGGGTGATACTGAGAATAATATATTTTTATATCCTCTAGCCAACTATAGGACTATGAACATAAGATAGGTTATGTTTTTATGTTAATTTTCTTTGGCATGGAGCCAGGGCCAAGGACATCTGTCTGCTCTGTGAGTGACTCACTAAGTGAGTCCAACCTCCATTTCCTTACTAGACTGGCTGAAGATTCTTTTAACCACCAATAACGTCAAAACTTTTATCTTGTAAGATGCTGTCAGCTGAATGATTAGAAAGGAACTCTAGAGGAATGATGACAATTAGAAGTAATTTTGCCACTCCAGAAATTGTGAAACAAAGTCTTAAACAATAGTATACCTATGGCCAGGTGCGGTGGCTCACGCCTGTAATCCCAGCACTTTGGGAAGCCGAGGCAGGCGGATCACGAGGTCAAGAGATCGAGACCATCCTGGCCAACATGGTGAAACTCCGTTTCTACTAAAAATACAAAAATTAGCTGGGTGTGGTGGCGCAAGCCTGTAGTCCCAGCTACTTGGGAGGCTGAGACAGGAGAATCTCTTGAACCCGGGAGGTGGAGGTTGCAGTGAGCTGAGACAGGGCCACTGTACTCCAGCCTGGCAACAGAGCAAGACTCCGTCTCAAACGAACAAACAAACAAACAAATATATATAGTATAAATAAATAGATATTTTTCAGAGAGAATTTAGAAAAGAGTGACGAATGCTTCCTCAGTTTTGTCACTGTAAAGTAAGGGTAGAAGTCTGTAGAAGGCAAATCTTGTCACATCTGCCATTCATTAATCCAGAGATTGACAAACTTTCTGCAGAGTGTCAGATTAATATCTTAGGCTTTGTGAGCCACACAATCTCTGTTGCAACAACTCACCTCTGCTGCTGCAGCATGAACGCAGTTATAGGCAACAGTAGGCAAGCGGGTGTGGCTGTGTTTCAACAGAACTTTTATTTACTAGGTGGCAGGCTGGATCTGGCCCAAGGGCCAGTTTGCTGATTCCTGGTGTAGTCTGCAGAGTTATAGTGCCTTATACCTAGCCCCTACTCAAAGAAGGTACTGAATGAACAGCTGAGACAAGTTTAAAATTATGTACAGAATGCAATCTTGACAATTACAATTGTGAATCACTACATTACAGAATATAATCTTGATAATTATAACTGTGAATGTCACATACTCAGCTTATGCGTGATGCTTTTCCTGTCCCAAGAACCTATTAATGGGCTGGGGGTGGTGGCTTACACCTATAATCCCAGCACTTTGGGAGGCTGAGGCGGGTGGATCACCTGAGGTCAGGAGTTTGAGACCAGCTTGGACAACATGGTGAAACCCTGTCTCTACTAAAAATACAAAATTGTGGGCATGGTGGCGCACATCTGAAATCCCAGCTACTAGGGAAGCTGAGGCAGGAGAATCACTTGAACCTGGGAGGCAAAGGCTGCAGTGAGCTGAGATCGCACCATTGCACTCCAGCCTGGGCGACAAGAGTGAAACTCCATCTCAAAAAACAAAAAAACTACTAATGATACAGTAAGTCTATATAAATACATGTGATATATACATATAGCACACAGCACAAAACTTTGTGTTTATAAGAAATAGAAATTGAATGAGAAAAATCAGAATATAATCATAAAAATACACACTGTAAATGCATTTTCACTTAATGCTTTTGGATGTTGAATTCCTACTGAGTTGAAATGGAAATATCATCCATAGGAAGAAAAAAATGAGGAAAGGTAAGCAATATTATCACAGTATTATTTATCATACACATTAGGACTAAAAATAGTCAGGAAAGAAAGAGCATTATGTCATTCTCTCCCAGTCTTTAACCTTGTAAAAGGTTGTTGAGTTTGTAAAGGGTATATCAAGAGTGAATACAGGAGGCTATAAAGAGAACTACTTCGTATCATGCAGCCCTGAAAAATTAACACTTAATAATTATAATAATAAAAAGTCACTTTTGCCCTGCTTTAGGATGCTACCTCTTATTTTGTTAATTTTTTCCAAAAATATTCCTTCCTTTGGCTCTGAGAGGCATGACTCTGCTGTTGAAAAGCAAAAGACATTTTACGCACAATTTTCCCTCTACTAGGAAGAGGTATATTGTGCCCTTCAGTGAACATAAAATTGATATTATCATCTCTTAGTTTATATCTCACTACTTAACCTTCAGATTAAAAGTTATTGGATTTGAATGACTAAGAAGACATCATGTCACCTTCCCTTCAATGTGGAGAGACCGAAGTTGAAGATGAGACAAGGTAATGTGATAAAAACACGAATGTAGGATCAGTGGATGCTTTGCCTCTTTTTTTCTTTATTTTTTTTTTCCTTTTTTTTTTTTGAGATGGACTCTCGCTCTTGTAGCCCAGGCTGGAGTGCAGTGGCACAATCTCGGCTCACTGCAACCTCTGCCTCCCAGGTTCAAGTGATTCTCCTGCCTCAGCCTCCTGAGTAGTAGCTGGGATCACAGGTGGATGCCAACACGCCCGGCTAATTTTTGTACTTTCAGTAGAGATGGGGTTTCGCCATGTTGGCTAGGCTGGTCTCGAACTCCTGACCTCAGGTGATCCGCCCACCTCGCCCTCCAAAGGGGATTACAGGCGTGAGCCACCAGCTGCTTTGTCTCTTTTAATAGGTGGCTGTGATACTGACAACTCAGTTGTGTTTGTGTGGATAATAAATTCTGAAATTAATGGTCTACCTGAAGAAACTTTGCTGAAGATTAATATGTGTTAGGAAGTTCATTTTATTTTTGGTACAGTCAAAAAGGAGCTGTCTAACAATAGGGATAAAATAGTTAATTCAAGGGGAACACAGGGTTACCAACCTTAAAAAAAAATCCAATATCCTCCACAGTTGGTATCTGCACTATCAGTTTATGCAGAAGATCCTGCAAAATGTCCACATGGAAGGACTAAAGAGAAAAACAGAGCTTGCTTCCTGCCTTCCCTCTCTGGGCATGGCTAAATTTAAATACACAAAGAAGACTGGGCCTTTATGTCCCCAGGCAGTTTAATCTATACCTCCTAAATGAGTCTTCCAATAGCACCAGCTGTTTAATAATTGCACATTGTACTTTTCCAACAAAAGAAACACAACATACGCTCCCCCACCACCTTAAAAACAAAGTCATTATAAGAAGCTTGTGTCAATATGGAACAAAGACTTTATCAAAGATCTAACTTCATAGTTTTGTTCTCTCAAAGAGATAAGCCCATTCCATGATCAATGGGAACACAAGCATTTTATCAGTACTTCCCATGTGACTTTTGGAAGATGTATTCATTAGTAACTGTCAAAGGCTAAATGGAAAATACTTGATAATTTTAACACAAATAAACATATGCAATCAAAATAGTGAGTTTTAGCTACACAGAATGTCTTTCTGTAGAAGTCTTTTTAAAAAATGACTTTTTCAAAATAAGCCCATCCTTTATTATAAGTTCTTAACCTCCTAGTGGCAGCTAAGAAAGGAGTTCAGGTTCTTCCCCATGCCTCTCTCTTTCTGTTTCATTGGTGCCCCCATTTTGCCAGTCATTAAGATGGAACATCCTGACTCATCATTGGTAACTCCCACTCCTTGGTATTTGCATACCTCATAATTCAAAAGGTCCTGTTTTTCCCAACACTCCCCTCAACAATCTCTTCTTATCCAGTCCTTCCTTTCTCTTTCTGTGTCACTCATTCATAAATAGTCTGTCACAGAACTGCCCTACATCAGGTACTGTGCTGTGTGCTGTGGAAGTACCAGGTAATGAGGAAGGTGATCCCGGCCCCCATTCCCTGATGGAACCTAGACTTCACTAAGGGATTCAGATGGAGGAGGAGATGTTCAAGAAGCCAGGAGGGATCAACAACAGGGTGCCCTCAATTCACTGGGGCCACGTTAGTGGCCGATTACTAAATGTCAGACCAACTGCAGTAGCGCTGTCATGGCCACTCATCTCTCCGGGATTTCTTCCCTTCCAAGCCAGCTAGGTTCAACCTTCTCATTTACTTTTAATACACCACCTCTTATATGATCTTTCTTCTCTACTTAGAACCCTCCCATAAGCCGAACCCAATCTGCCTTTTCACCATCTTCCCATCTTCCTACTGCCTCCATAGTTATTCTTCGGGATCTAGCTAAGTAAACTCTAAGTTATTCTCCCATGTTTTCCTAGCACCTAACATATCAGTTCCCCCTCCACCCCCATTTTCTTCCACATACGGAGGCTCAATAAATAATAGTTAAATGAGGCTGGGTGTGGTGGCACATGTCTGTAATCCTGGCACTTTGGGAGGCTGAGGCAGGAGGATCGCTTGAGCCCAGGAGTTCAAGACCAGCCTAGGCAATATAGTGAGACCCATATCTCTACAGGAAAACAAAAAGAAAAACAACAACAAAAAAAAAACAGCTGGCCTGCCGTCCCAGCAACTCAGAAGCCTGATGGTGGGAGAATCGCTTGAGCCCGGGGAGGTAAAGCCTTCAGTAAGCCATGTAAGCCATGATCGCAACCCTGTACTCTCTGTACTCTAACCTGGGTGACCGAGCTAGACCCCATCTCCAAAAAAAAAAAAAAAAAAAAAAAGAAAAAGTTAAATGAAAATATGCAAATGATCAAAGAAATAAATTGCAGCTGTTTTCTAGTGGAGCTCACTTATGAGCCCACTTGCAACAAAGCTGAGACAAGGTCAGTATGGGAAACTCTTCATGACATTTTCTTGTCGGCAGGGGAGGGGAGATAATGTGGCTCTATTTTTATGAATCAAATCAAACACAGTATTTAGCAAAGGGTCTCTGGAATGTTACAAGTAACACTTCATAATTACAATAGATTTGAGTTCAAAGACAAAGTGATGAAAAGAAACTTTCTAACATGGGGTTCAATTCCCTACATAAACTTCCTTCTTGTGGCTCAGTGTACCACTGGCATTTATATTGCTATTCTTCTTTGTCATAAAAGCAGTCACCTTGTAACCCTTTTTATCAAGTAATCTATGCACTACCTAAAAGTACACTAGACTCCATCAGGCGAGCTATAGGTTTACATTATATAAACATTCCAATTCTGCCTGCTCAGCACTAGTTGTTGATAAACGCAAGCCATTGCAAAACAGCAAAGTAGGTTCCTTGCCTTCAGAGAGCAGATAGGACCTGCCAGTTCTGCAAAAACAAACTCTTGGCAATCACTGAAACTAATCTGTCAACAAATTACCATTAAAGTCATACCTCCTGAAAGTTCAAAAACAGACTTGTGAGTAGACAAGAGATAGGGCGTTCTTTTTTTATGATTATTTTTATTAGCTCACCGGTCAGGGCTTAAAATTATCTTTTCAAAGTGGCAAAGCTTTCTCTTGAAGTCAAGAGGGTACACTTCACTCATAATGAAATGTGGCACCTGGCTTTCTATTACCACATTCTCCTCTGTTACAGGTCTTTTTTCTTCTTTTGCTTCTTGTGCCATTTTAATTTTCAATGGAGAGATTAATGACACATAACTGTTTAGTAATCAAAACTTGAAAGAATTTCATACAAGGCTCAAATCACAAGTTACATAAATCTTTGACAACAATATTTTGATGGAAGGCAGGTCTAAACTAACAGAGTAGAGAACTAAATTTAGCATTCAGGGTGAAATATGCCTTTTCTAGAAACAGCCCCAAAGGGAATTAAGAACATGTTGGGGGGTCAGTGTTGTGGCTGCTTTTTCTTTATTTGTCAGAATTATCTGAATCCTGTCTCAGTTTTGTTTCAATTTGTTTGTACGGTTATCACTAACATTTTGGTGGCATTGATTCCTACACAAAATATTTTTGACCATCAATACTTTTCACGTTATTTGAACTATGCAAGGTCTTCAATAAAAGTGTATCTCAGCATAGCAATTCCTTTAAAATTACAGCTGGGTTTTTACCTACTAGCAAGGGAAGGTGCTAGCCCCCAGCACAGTACCTGGCCCCATGAAAGCATTCAATAAATACTAATAATACCTTCTTCTATGCCCCCTTTCTGGAAGTTCCCCTTCTAGGACACAGAGGTGCTGATCAGCTTTTCCCTGTCAGCATCAAGAGACCCTCCTTTCAGACACAGTCAGTCTCCAGCAGCTACAACGGGAAAGGCCAATTGAGGGCATTTCTAACAAAGTTCATAAGCCACCTTTTTCAAAGAAAAAAGTGGTAGAATGGTACGGCCAATCCAGCCATTGCTACCCAGTCTTTACACCTATAGATCCATACCATATAACCTGCGTCATTTCCCATAAGGTATGAAACAAGGCCAGGAATGGCCTCTGGAATTTTAATATGGTGCCCCAGAGGCCTATGGGTAAAAATGAGATCCAAAGAATGAGATGCAATAAGCACCTTCATCCAGTGGTGGTTGCTGCCAGTACAGACACCAACAGCTATTTCTTGCAGGCATTGTTTCTCACAGAGGCAGTTAAAAAGCTGGAAATGTTTGTGAGACAGCTTTCTTCTTCTACTCAATGTCCACCAGCAATTTCACTAACAAAAACTAATGAAGGGATGGATTTTGCCATTTTGAATGTGAAGAAAATAATTTTCATTTGCTTGTGTATTTTTTGTTTCTTGAAACAGGGTCTCAATCTGTCACCCAGCCCAGGCTGGAGTGCAGTGGCAAGATCTCAGTTCACTGCGGCCTCGACCTCCCATGCTCAAGGGATCCTCCCACCTCAGCCTCATGAGTAGCTGGGACCACAGGCATGTGCCATCACCCCTAGATAACTTTTGCATTTTTTGTAGAGACGAGGTTTTGCCATGCTGCCCAGGCTAGTCTCAAACTCCTCAGCTCAAGGAATCTGCCCGCCTTGCCCTCCCAAAATGGTGGGATTACAGGCATGAGACACTGCACGCAGCCTGCTTGTATATTTCTTTATGCTGAAAAGAAAAAAGTATTTCTACCCTCCTCCCCCACTTAAAACACTGATACTATGGTCCCTCAAATACCATTTCCCATGTTCAGAGGACCCTGGGATATCAATTCCTGATTCTCTCAGGTTCCTCTGGCACTGTATTTTCTACATCCCCTTTGTTTGTTGTTGTTGTTGTTGTTGTTTATTTGTGTTTTTTTTTTGAGACGGAGTCTTGCTCTGTTGCCCAGGCTGGAGTGCAGTGGTGGGATCTCGGCTCACTGCAAGCTCCGCCTCCCAGGTTCACGCCATTCTCCTACCTCAGCCTCCAGAGTAGCTGGGACTGCAGGCGCCCACCACCACACCCGGCTAATTTTTTGTATTTTTTAGTAGAGGCGGGGTTTCACCATGTTAGCCAGGATGGTCTCAATCTCCTGACCTCGTGATCTGCCCTCCTCAGCCTCCCAAAGTGCTGGGATTACAGGCGTGAGCCACTGCGCCCAGCCGTTATTTGTTTTTTTTTTTTAGACATATTCTCACTTTGTCGCCCAGGCTGGAGTGCAGTGGTGCAACCTTGGCTCACTGCAACCTCTGCCTCCCAGGTTCAAGTGATTCTCCTGCCTCAGCCTCCTGAGTAGCTGGGACTACAATCGTGCACCACCATGCCCAGCTAATTTTTGTATTTTTAGTAGAGATGGGGTTTTGCCATGTTGGCCAGGCTGGTCTCCAACTCCTGGCCCCAAGTGATCAGCCCGCCTCGGCCTCCCTAAGTGCTGGGATTACAGGCATGAGCCACCACAGACAGCCTCTACATCCCCTTTGAATGTACATAACTAGACTCTTTGCCTGAGTCCCACCCATTTCTCTGAGCTTCTTGCGTTCTGGGAAATGACTAATCTTTGACCTCCTTCAATGGTTCATTGGAAAAATTCAACCCGATGGGTCCTCTTTACTCCCCTTCTTCTTTTTCAAGAGAAGTTCCCTATCTACCGTTCCCACCTCCTTGCTAGTCATTTCACATTTTCTCTCCTTCTTTTACATTGTTAACTTAAAACATACTCACTGTCTTCTGGGCCACAAGACCCAACACCTTAAACCAGATGTCAAAGAAAGAAGCCACGGGAAGTAAACACTTTGCTTATCCACACTTTCTAAATAATACATGTTCAAATTCTAAATATGGCATATCTTAAAAGTTTTTTCTCACAGATTCCCTCTAAACTGCTCTCTTCATATAAAATGATAGCCACACCTCAGAACTGCAGCAACCAAAGCTCTCTCTATACTGACTTGCAGACAATAAAACTGCCAGGTGGTACCAAAAAAAAAAAAAAAAGAAAGAAAGAAACCCCACAAAAACCTCATCATTAAATGGAATGTTGTTAAGAAATAGCTGTTTTATTTAACAGCTATTCATTTTTATTGAATAAACATTTTCTAGTATGCATTCTGTTAATTGACCTGACAGCATATGCTGTATATGGAGAAACTTCTAAACATTATGCTCTATGTAATATGCTTATCTGAAAAAGCTCTCATTTGCAGCAATATGGAAATAAAATTCTGCTTTCTAAAATTCAAGACTTTTAAAATGCATTAATCCACACAGTTTATGAAATTGTTCTGGACATTTTAAAATCCTTTCTTTAAGGAAAAAAAAAACTTTAGTAATTGCTAATAGTATTTGTTGCTGAGTTTCATAATGGAGCAGTGCACATCCAATACAACTTTTACAGACATAGAAATGGTGCAGGGATAATAGGAAATAAAAAGCAGTTATGGTATCGGGTAAAGAATTACTCAACAGATAAAAGAAAATGTTCAGAAACTCTATCAAATTATATTATTAGAAAACTATTGTTATAATAGTTTCATGGCTCAGACATAAATAGAGTTGAAACATTACAGAGATAATACATTTAGTCTTGAGGAAGAAAGACAGTTTGTGAGTGTGTTGGCGGGCTCTACCAGCTAATGGCAGCACCTCTCTTGGGCTGATGGCTTCTGAGTGATGAGTCTACCTTCCAGCCCAGAATCGCCAACTCCGCTACCTAGAGGCATAAATGAGCAATGCTGCTGGTGGGAACGAGAGCAGGCTGGAGGGCTCCCTGTCTTCAATAGCAATTCATCTCCCAACAATTGTTGCCGTTGTGGGACTATCAGCCCAAGGTTACCAGATATTCTAATTTTTCAAAAGAAGATGGAAAAGCCAGATTTGCCCCATTTCTCTAGGTTGTCAACTAACTAATTTTTAGAAATGACAATACCATTTGAACGCAATTAAGCCAACCTATAAACAAAACTCACTATGGAACTAGTGCACTCCATAGTGAATCTTTGTCAGGGCCCTCCCATTCTGAAAACGGCATTTGCTGTAATTTGTAATTATCTTTGATAATATGAAGCAAACATGGAAAGGTTTGCATTTATTTATTTTATATCCTGGCACTGAGTAAAAACTCTCCCCGTATCCTCAATGATGGTATTGGTGCAACTGGAAAATCCTCCAACATTCAATATAACACACAGCGTAATTAACTCGTTTTTATACCAGGCCCTTTTAAGCCAGATCTTTGTGTTCCATGGACTTCTAACATATTTTACAGTTCTAATTCTCTTCCACTGTCCTACATTAATCAAAGCTGTAACCCCTGTTGTCTTTGTACTACGGAATCTGAATGTGCCCCTGGCGAGGAATGGGGGAAAAGTCAACAGGAATTAAATTTCAGTGCAACTGTTTACTCAACTGTGGCCTGCAGTTATTGAAATTTTATCCGTGGTTTTGTGTGACTACCGCAGTAATGAATTCAGCATGGCTATGATTTTCTCACTGCTGGTATTCTCACTTCAAGTAAAAACCTGTAGAATAAAAATGATGAAAACAACCATAGTCCATTGTAGAATGCTCACATTTCTCCAAACTGTCTAATTGTCGCAGTTTTCAGTCTGGAAGAAAACTCTGATAACTCTAGTCCTGTAGAAATATTTTCAGGCCTGTAGTTTTTCTTATTTCATCTACAGATTTCCCTTTTCCCCAACAACCTGTTAAAAGCCTTATCATATACTTAGGGGAGTTGAACAGCTGTCAATGTTATATTTTAAAAGACTTCAAAAGGCTTTGCTAATCACAATACAGGGGGTTTTAGCCACAGTGATAGACCCCACTGCTTTGTTTCTTCCCAAAATGTGTCAACGACATACGGAGAAAAAACTGTCATAAAAACATTTAAAAACAGTATAAAAGTCTAATCATAATACATTTCTTGACCTTTGTGTCAATAACCCATAACAACAAATTTTCCAAAGTGGACACAGCCAAAGGAAGATGTGGATAAATATGTTTGCAACTGATACTTTTTAAGGAAGATGTTGGTGAAATATGCTTTTATAATTTTATTCTATGTAGCCAATTTGTTATCACTGTTGTGTGTGTGGGCGCATGTGTGTGTGCACATGTTTTGATGGTTTATATGTAAAGTTTTTTGGCTGGCTTACTACTTTGAGATCCTGAATGATTTTTAGCTCCTCAAAAAAAATCAGAATTTCCCATTTATGTAATTAATGTACTCTAAATATTAATTATTTAGTATCACATCAGTCAGTAGTAGCCCCATATCAAGTGCTCAAGTGCTTCATAAAGAAATGGGCAATCTTGACACTTGTCTGGTAAGGGCACAGAAGATAGCATTCAGCAACATTAACTATTTGTTCTGAATAAAATGGCTGAGAACATCACATGAACATGTACTTGCACAAATACACGGAGACCCTTTTACTATCTACTGCTGGGTTTTGCTAACAACCTCACTGGTTGGAATTTGGCCATCTGCACTAACTTAAATGCACAAAGTTTATACACAACAAGCATCACAAATTCCAGCTGAAGTGAGCCAGTGGTGCAGGCACAAATGGGTTTGGGCTGCCAATGAAAGAAAGATCAAATCACTTGCAGGAAGTCCTCTGAATTAAGACTTTTGCTGGTCTGTTACTTTTCCTTTCTTTCGCTTTGTTGCATCTTTCTCCCAACAGGTTCCACAGGCTCATGTTGGTTCCACCACCTTGTAAGGAGCTAACAGTCTAATCATTCCTTATTCCTTAAAAAACTCTTCGCAAGGAGAAAATAAAACATGCTTTATAGCTTGTCTCCAAGTTGCATCCCAAACAAGCTTAGCTTCTCTGACACAGATTCCAAGAAAATGGTTTGAGCACTTTGTCCCTATCTTCTTCCTCCCCACAAGAGTTCCTGCAGCTTTCAGAAAGGCCCAAAGATACTTCATTCTTTTTAATTCACCTGTTTCTGAGTGGCGCCATAACTATGTTTTGAATAAGTAAATCAAGAACAAAACCGGTCATAAACCATCTATTATTATTAACAAAGCCTAATAATATTTCCTGATTCCGAGGAATCAGGAAAGGCGGGAAAACCAAAGCCAGTCTTCAAGCAAATGTTGTTTACTTATTTGAATATTTATCAACACTTTGACAACAGAACACTATTTCTTGGGTCGCCTGTACCATTCGGAAATATTTTACCAGTCACTCACAGGTACCCAGGTCCATACCTGTAAAAAGTATAACTAACAGGAATGAGTACATCCCAACTTATGTACATTTTGGGGAGGCACCAATAAGAGCTAATTTAAAGCAGTAAGACTTAGCCACAAACCCAGTGCTGCATGAATACAGGGAACATATGTAAATACTCTATACCCCCAAATCCTACTCGTAGAGGGAAGCAGCTTCCTACAGTGATGCCCGTGTTCTAGATGTTTTGGCTGTTATCTCGCCATCTCCGCCTGTCTTTCTATGTATTTATTTCAACTCTCCTTACTCATCTACTCTTTTTCTCTCTTTTATTCCTTAGCTCTTATTTCCTTCTTCACAGGCTTAAGCCTGTTTTTCGTTTAATTTTTATTTTTGCATGAAAGCAGTGGGAACCATTTCTCCAAAGAATAATTTTATTCAAAATGGGGAAGGGTTAGGCTGACACACAGGTCCACTCATCTTCGTCTCAGCAACTGCTCCCCACAAGGGGACCTGCAGGACTTCCAACTCCCAAGGGCTTGAAATTAGTCTCTTAAGCCAACTGCTGGGACTCCTAGAGGGCTGATGGTTTATGAGATGCCACTGACAGACAGAAAGACAGATGGACAGACAGGTGAACACAAAACACTGATCGCGAGATCGCGATTAAGTGTAAAATTCAGCAGTAAAATTCGCACCCACCACCTCCACCTCCCAAGACTCCAAAGCCCAGTACCTGTTGCTGCTGCTGCTGGGCGTGGGCGAGGTCAGCTGCCCCGATGTCCACGGCCGGCGTCTCTCCGTTGGACCGCCCCTCCCGAAGACCGCCGCACTCTAGTAAGTGGTTGCTGCCGCCCGACCCATTCTGGATGGCTGAACCGTTACTTTTTGTCTCAGTCCCAGATTCTTGCATCATGACTCAAAAACCTGATACAAGGATTTCCAAGATGGGGGGAGGGAGGGGGGGAGAAAAAAAAAGCAGCTGTTAAAGCAGTTGTTGTGCATAAGGAGAAGGGCCTTGGTTTAAATGTTGCCAAAATCTGTAAACAGTTGTCATTTTCTTTCACTCAACTTATCCCCTCATTAGTGGGCCATGCCCCTAGTTTCGGGTCTGAAACTGTCATTCCCAATTCAAGTTTCAGTAGTATTGTTTTAAATATATTACTTTTTTACCCTTAGAAAAACTAGTATTTGTAAGTAAACCTAGAATTCAAGATTAAATTTTTCTTTTTTCTTTTTTTTTTTGAGATGGAGCACGGCTCAGTCGCCCAGGCTGGAGTGCAGCGGTGCAATCTCGGCTCACTGCAACCTCCACCTCCCGGGTTCAAGAGATTCTCCTGCCTCAGCCTCCGAGTAGCTAGGATTACAGGTGCATGCCACCATGCCCGGCTAATTTTTTGTGTATTTTTAGTAAAGAAAGGGGTGTTTCACCATGTTGGTTAGGCTGGTCTCAAATTCCTGACCTCGTGATCCACCCGCCTCGGCCTCCCAAAGTACTGGGATTGCAGCCACTGCGCCGGGCCCAAGATTAAATTTTTCTTCTATCTGGTTCCTTTGCTCAAAAACCAGCAAGTCATCCTATAGAGCATATTAGGTATAAACATTAAATTTTAACATGTGCAGGCACTATTTGTTGGTATTACACTTTTTTTTTTTTTTTGAGACAGAGCCTTGCTCTGTCGCCGAGGATGAAGTGCAGTGGCGCTATCTCTGCTCACTGCCTCCGCCTCCCGGGCTCAAGCAATTCTCCTGCTTCAGACTCCCAAGTAGCTGGGATTACAGATGCCCACCACCAGGCCCAGCTAATTTTTGTATTTTTAGTAGAGACAGGGTTTCACCATATTGGCCAGGCTGGTTTTGAACTCATGACCTCAGGTGATGCACCCGTCTCGGCCTCCCGAAGTGCTGGGATTACAGGCCTCGTGAGCCATGGCACCTGGCCTAAGGTACTAAAATTCTAATAGAAAAAATATATATAGGCCTGGGGGCGGTGGCTCACACCTGTAATCCCAGCACTTTAGGAGGATGAGGCAGGTGGAACACTTAAGGTCAGGAGTTCGAGACCAGTCTGGCCAACATGGTGAAACCCTGTCTCTACTAACAGTAGAAAAAAAGAAAAAAAAAATTAGCCAGTCATGGTGACAGGTGCCTCTAATCCCAGCTACTCGGGAAGCTGAGGCATGAGAATTGCTTGAACCTAGGGGGTGGAGGTTGCAGTGAGCCAAGATCACGCCATTGTACTCCAGCCTAGGTGACAGGGTGAGACTCCGTCTCAAAACAAAAGAAAAAAAAATAGGGTGCAAAATGAGTAGCTAGAAAATATCACTTAGGGCCAGGCGCGGTGGCTCACGCCTGTAATCCCAGGACTTTGGGAGGCCGAGGCGGGTGGATCACGAGGTCAGGAGTTCAAGACCAGCCTGGCCAATATGGTGAAACCCTGCCTCTACTAAAAATACAAAAATTAGCTGGACATGGTGGTGTGTACCTGTAATCCCAGCTACTCAGGAGGCTAAGGCAGGAGAATTGCTTGAACCGGGACCTGGGAGGCGGAGGTTGCAGTGAGCTGAGATCGCACCACTGCACTCCAGCCTGAGCTACAGAGCGAGACTCCATCTCACAAAAAAAAAAAAAAAAAAAAAAGAGAGAAAATATCACTTAGGTGTAAATACATTTCACATTCACTCTTATTACTCTCTGGGCACAAAACCATTATCCCAGAGAGCCGATTCAGCACTTGGCTCAGAAAAGATGTTCAAAGATGAGAAAAGACAGATAGCATTTGCTAATACCAACTGCTACCATCTACTGATCACCAGTGTTGGGTCAGGCAGGCCCTAATGCAGGTGATTTACACATATTCTCCAATTTAGTGCTGCTGATGATTGTTACCCCCAGTTTGCGGATGAGAAAACTAAGGATCCACAAGTTATTTAGTTTGTCCACTACATGTCACAGCTAGTAATGGTGGAATCAGGATTTGAAGCAGTTCAGTTAAGTCAAAGCCCTTTACCACAATGTGTATTTTTAAAGTTGAGGTTCAGTGGGGGCAAAACAATGAAAACGGCAGGCTCACACTCCAAGTTCACAGACCAGAATTTGGAAAAGGAAAAGCAACAATCATTAAAGGAAGTGAAGAGTTCAAACATGAAAGCTGAGAAATGCCTGAATAATTAAGACTTTAATGTGAAATACCAATCCCAGATTAAAGGGCAGAAAATTTTTAGGCAAATGTGTTCCAATTGTGGAAGGACATATGTACAACCAATGCTACAGATTTCTGCCCCATACATGAAATGTGACAACAGGGAAATTTCAATCTTTGGGTATCTTTAGAGGACATTGTTTTCTTGCTAGAAATTGGATGAAGTCTGTTTTCTACAGACTTGCACAAAAACCAAATGGAAAAATTAAAAGCAGAAAAATTCACATGTTTCTTCATTTCCTTTCACTGTATAGCATGATCCAACTTGATACAGACTCTTCATAAACCCAAAGACGTATATATTTTTTAAGTTGATTCAATTCAAAAGTGGATTGAGAATGGCATTTTTCACTAGCAGGTGGGAAACAAACTCAGAAGTAACAGCTGATTCACTCTCATTTTTTGATTTCTATTATTATTTTTTCATTCTCATGTCTTCAGATCAGACTTTCTAATAACTACAGTCCTTTAGAAATTGCAGTTATATTCTTACTGTCCACAGAGTAAAGCGTCTATCAAAAATAACCAAAATCTTCCCTAAGATATAAGAATCAGGTAACAAGATAATTTGTGACAACATGAGTGCCTTGTTCATCACCAAAAAAGAAATGAATTAGTGAAACCTAGGTACTTTTCCCTGGGCGTTTCAGTCTCTCTTCCACAAACTTGCCCCTTTGTACAGAACTAAAGGAAAAGAGCCGGGTGCAGTGGCTCATGCCTGTAATCCCAGCACTTTGGGAGGCCAAGGCAGGCAGATCACTTGAGGTCAGGAGTTCGAGACCAGCCTGGCCAACATGGTGAAACTGCTCTCTACTAAAAATACAAAAAAATTAGCCGGGCATGGTGGCACATGCCTGTAATCCCAGCTACTCGGGAGGCTGAGGCAGGAGAACTGCTTGAACCCAGGAGGCAGAGGTTGCAGTGAGCAGACAGCATGCAACAGAGCAAGGCTCTGTCTCGAAAAAAGGGGGCGGGGAGAGGGAAAAAAAAAAGAATTATAGGAAAAGGCACAGTGTTAGGTATTTAAGCAAGAGAGCATTTGTCTTAGAGTAGGTAGCAAGGAAATCCATCTAATTATCGGGATATATCTCAAATATATATAAAGAAAAAATCTATAGATATAGATTTAAAAATATGTATATATATAGATATTTTTCCTTCTGGGAATACCTTCCCATACCAGGGACTTGATCCCCAAAAGACAACAACATTGCACATATATAAACTCTATCCCTGCCCTAAGAATGAGGCATAAATATTTAGCCAAATATCCTGTCCTGATGGAAGAGAACTGCAGGTAGAATGCTGCTTTCAGACTATGTGACCATCGGGATCCCAGGCCTGAGAGCAGGTGTCTAAGAGATTGGTCCTGCTTTTGTTTCCTTGGTGAGACACCATTCTGGTGGGTGGAGTAAGAACAGTCTCCAATACACAATTTGATGAGAAGGCCCTGTTTTTGCTCCATGCAGTTCCAAAGCAGACTGCCAAGTCCTCCAGTACAAGTTTTGCAGGCATCAAGCCAAGCAGCTTGGCTTGTGAATCAGGTTTGTGAGAGTGCAGGCTTTGGGACCAAAATTGCAGAAAGGATTATTTTGGTCTGAGGATGTCCTTAATTAGTCAAGTGCTAACAGTAGTATGTAGGTTGGAAGATTTAAAATTTCCCATAATCTCCCACACCAATCAGGAGAAAACAGCTTTTTGAAAAGCACATGTGAAAAAATAGGAGTGTCAATGTCTAAGAACATTTCTAACAGTGTCTGGGCCAGCAATATTTCTATCAAACGTTCCAAGTCATTTAATAAGCCTTTATATCTGTATCACACTTCACAAATTGCAAAAGCCCTCTGATGTGCTTTTCAAACTTGTAACAAGGCTAGGAGGGAGATAAGGCAGGTAAATGTTATCCCCATTTCACAGATAAGAAAACTAAAGCTCAATCGGTTAAGGGATAGATGTAGCCATAACTATTCTGTTTCAGACATGAACTTGTCCATTATTAAGAATCTCCAGTTTGTAAAGTCCTGTGCTGGGTAGTGGATAATGAAATTAATGAAAAGAAAACTAAGGAAATTCCAGAAAAGACAACAATGAGAGTGGCAGGTGGACAAAGAAAAGCATTAAAATACAATGATATAAGCCATCTGCACTATTTTGCAAACAACTGTCTTTTTCTTTTGACTTTTCACTATTAGAGTCATCTGAAATCAAGTCAATATATAGGAGAGGAATCTATCTTCTCCATCAAGGGACGTTGCACCCTCTTTTCTTCGAGGAAGCTTGTCTCAGGCACCCGGTATGCATAACCTCTGCTTCTCTCTGGGGGAATAACTAACTCTATAACTAACTAACTGCCTTGCTCCATGACATACTGACAGCAGGAAACACTGTGTAATCATACAAAGTGCCTGAATACAAAGGTATGGCCACACCATACCCACAAACAAGTCCTTCTTCCAGAAACAAGACCAAATCTTCCTCTGCTTTCCTGTGTGGCATCTCCAGATGAACTGAGCCTGTTTAAATCACGTGATCCATTTAATATAACCCTACAAAGGTCAATGCTGCAATTGCATAGATGTCAAAAAGCCTAAAGAAGCCAAAATGATCTACTTCTCATCTTGCTTGGAAACATTACAGAGCTACTGACTTCAAAGGTTCGATTTTTGTGCTGGAGGGACTTGTAGAAAAGGACAAGGACTGAGTTTAGCATGCTTATTTATTGTTGTTGCCAACAGAGCTGCTCTCTGGAAGTATTCTGGAAAATTCATAATGTCCAGGCCAATGTATTTATAGTAAATTAAAGCTGTGCTTTATTATTATGATTATTTCCTTGGTTACAGTGTTGATGCTGAAAATTTAGGGAAAATAAAGCCCTTGTTATCATGCTTGTGAAAGATTTTAAGCTAACAAAAAGTTCAGTCTTGATTCCAGGGCAGTTAATTAAGGTTGACCAAGTCAGGCAGAAGTAAATTAACTTGGCTGATCAATTATTTATATGAAGCAGAATAAATGCCCTTAAAGAAGTTGGTCTCTTCATAAAAGGATGTGTAAATTAAACTAAACATAGTTTTGTAAAATATGTTTCTATTTCTATGGGGAGAAGAGAAGTTAATGGTGAAATCACTATTAGGAAAATTATTAGAGTAATTACACAGTCCACCCCCCATCCGAAAAGAAAAATTCTCTTTCTCATTGTTCATCCATGTGCAGAGAAAAAAGGAAGATGGCATGCAATTCTGAAGAGATAACAGAAGCTCATGGAAAAGGAAGGAGGAAGGAAGGAAGGAAGGAAGGAAGGAAGGAAGGAAGGAAGGAAGGAAGGAAAAGAATGTGAATTTCACTGTGTAGATTTCATTATTTTGGAAATATTGAACACATGCCTCTTACTTTATTGTCAGTTAACTCCATGCAGTTAGTAGACTGAGAAAGAATAAGGATGAGACTCAGACTAGCTTTAGCTCTAAGAGAGGTACTTTTAAAATTACTCATGTTGCATCATTAAGATTTAAAACCTTCAATAATCGTGTTCATGCCACTGAGGAAAAAAGAAGACCAACCTGTCTATATTATGATATAAAGCATACATTTAGTTCTGGTTCTCATCAAGCAAACGAACTGGTTCCCTTTTAATGTGCAAAGGGTTTACAAGGCAACATAAGACAAACAAAGGAGTTTTAAGCAGTGGGGTGCAGCTCCACAGACTTTTTTCCCCTAGTAGGCAAACGGTAGGGTGGCCTAGGATATTAAACCAGTTCTGTACTCTTTAATGCTCATGTGGGTGTTACTCTCTTCACAACAGAGAGGGAATCAAGCAATGGAAATCCCAGATGAAAGCCACAGACTCTCAGTAGAGGACTGCAACAATGGAGACATCACATTTGCTAGCATGAGGGCCATGCTTTTACACTGCTCACCCGTCACCTGGCGAGATGCTGCTGGAGCAGGTGGCAATGAGGAGATGAGGCACTGACTGGTGGAGGGGATGACAAATGAGACTTAGTGGTTAAGGAAGCAGACAGAAAGATGGCAGCCCCAAGATGTAGAGTTACTGTCTACAAATGGGCTTGGATGGGCTACTCTTAAGAAAAAAACAAAAAGGGTAGATGGGAGGAGAAAGAACAAAACAAGAGAAACAGAGTTAGATCAGACAATTGTTTTCTCACCTGAGATAACTTCTACAAATTATGAATGAACCCTACAGACACACCATTTGTCTATCCACTGTCCTCCTGACCCGGGTCCCATTTCATGGAAAGACTACCCAAGAGCCAAGTTTAGGAGGCAAAGTCAGTGTGCTGACTGTGTTATGAAGGCACCGTCTTCCAATACCACATTTTCATAATTATAACAGAAAGGCGTAAATTTTCTAAAGCATGGCAGTTCAAAAAGTAATCAAGGGAATGAGCCGGAGGGCTATTTTAATGTATGCAAAGCTAGTGACCCACAGTAAATGGGAGGTAAGCTACAATGAATGCAAAGTAATGCACACATACTACAGTCCTGGTCTGATAAGGGACGGCTAAAATTAACACCCAATTAATTTCCGAATTGACAAACAAATGAAACCCATAAATCTACTTTCTCATTAATTTTCTTGTGGTATAATTTAAAGCAGTAATATGAGGGCCAAAACTGAACATTATCCATCATAAATATCAGAAGGATAGCACTGTAACACCATAAATTATGCATATTACCTGTTGTTAAAAATGATTTATGTATTATCAACTTTATCATGCACCATAGATGTCTATCTACATGTATCTTTAAAAATCTGGAATTTCATTTAGCCCCTCTGGAAAAAAAGTTCAGGAGCAATGAAATTGTCAAAAGCATGTTTTAAAAAAAAACAAAACCAAAACAAATGTGGCCACTCATTTAGCCATACAGGAGGATCAGGTAAAACTGGAATCATTCCAGGTCTCAGGTGAGTAGAGGCTAAGAACCCATGGAAGTGAGGAGTCGGGCCTCCCCAGGGAGGAGAAACAAACCAGCTGTAGGGGCACCCCTCCTAGAGAACACAGCATCTGTGTCCAAACGGCGCCACTGACCTGTCCTGCCCTCTGGAACGCAGGAGGTGCAGGGCTTGGTACACGTAAGCAAAGGCAAGATGCATTTGAATGCATCTGACATGGCCAGTGGGGATCATCTATAGCTATGATGACCAACGCAAGCAAGGAACACTAAATTGGCAAAAACTTAGAAAACCCATGCTTATTTTCAATAATGTAATACGGCAGCTTTCTTGCCTTCAAAAGAGGAAGAAAAGAAATAGGAACTAACTTGTATTTATCAATTAAACCAGGAATAGTTTATATTTATCAATTAAATGGAAGAAGCATTCAGATTAAAATAGTTTGCTTGTCCACTTTCCCCAGCTCCATTTGTTTAATAAGAATAATAAATAAATACATCTTTTATCTCAAGTTTAACTTTCAGGTATGCCTTGCACATAACAAGAATTTAACACATAATTACTAAATGTTTGACTAAATGATTAAATGACACAAAATTCCAAGGCCAACCTCTTGATCAAATGAGATCAAGGGCTTGTGCTGGCCTCCAACTTTTATATTCCAACTTTAAAAATACTCTATTTCCTGTACACTTCTTTAACTGTTTTGGTGTTCTGAAACTCCAAAAGTAACAAGCCATTAATTAAATCTGTTAGGTCTTAAGAGAAGTAGGATGATCTCATTAAACATTGAAAGATAATCAACCAATGAAATTTCCTACAAAAACCCATTGGAAACACTGAATATATATATGGACAATTCAGATGGGCTGGAGAAGGTAGACAATGGGATGTTTAATTTTCCCTGTAATTCATGACTCAGAATAGAGTTGGCGGGATAGGGTGGTAATAAAATAATGTTCCTAACAAAAGCACAGGCTTCCCCCTTCTTCACCAGGCTTTCAATGTGAAGACAGGAGACTTCATATTTCCAAGGAAAAAAAGGATTTCTGCATTCCAATGCCAAGGCAGTAAAGTTGTTCAGAGCAACTGTAAATGTCTTATTCTTCAGAACTGTCTTCATCAAACTTTCTTGGATAACGTAATCTTTATAAGACACCAATGAGCACAGATAACAAGTTGACCCCGCTCCAAAAATTACAGATGTCTCAATTTATATTTTTTAGCTTTTCAGCTCTGGTGGGTCTTGGTTCGCTTCTTTCCTAATAGACAAGAGTTTAAGTGCCGTAATCATAGCAACTGTGGGCAAACGAGGGAAGTTAGAAAGAAGCCGCTCTAGGAAACAAGTACAAAGCAGAATGCATACCCACTCCCTCGCATATTAATCCTGAGGAGCTCAAATAATTAAATAGAGACTGAAAAGGAGCTTTGCCAATCCAGTGCTAGGCTGTTTGCTTTGCCACAAGGAAGCCTCTGAAGGTCAGGCATGATGGGGCCAGGTGTTCTGGGGAGCGTAATTAAAATGCATTTTTACAGAACAAAATAGATTTTAAGTTTGAGAACTAACAAAGCCCACGGAACTTTAATCATTTGAACATTCAAACAGCTGAATTCTCACAAATAGCCCAGTGGAATAAAGTGACCAACAACCAGTTCAGAAAAGTCTTTTTTTTTTTTCATTTCTATATTTTCTATCATTTAATGTACACGAGGCCAGGTTCATAACATAGATTAATGACTGGCGTGATCTATGACACACTTCACGTATCTCCCGCTTTGGCTCAAGCCCCTCACCGCTCTAGTGGCCAAAGTGAACAATATGTTCACAGCATCATGGTAATGTAGTGAATGTGGGCCATCAGAATTCTGTTGCTTGCATTTCTCCGTTGTGCAAAAGGAACAATTATTTAATTTTATCCTTCAAAAACTCCAATATACATATATGTATTTTCCCCCCTGAAACTTGCTCTCACAGACAGATGAGCAAGGCTTCTCTGACATAAAAGACCACCATTTGCCTCTGCAGGTCATGACCCTCCAGCCTCCACCCTCACCCTGGTCGGTGTTGTATCTTTGTAATTTACAGCAAATGCTAGGAGAGCATACCTCATATTGAAACACAAGGCAAATTCAGAAACAGCAACAAACAATAACTTAAAAAAAAAATGATGATATGATGCGAGCTGAGAGTTTTCTCTACTGTTTGCAAAACATGACAAAGGCCAGGCTAATGTTCAGGTCTTATCTAAGGTGGCTCCCAGTGTCCAAGGGACAAGCGTCATGTGCACACACCAAACTAGATAAAGAGCCACATGCTTGCTTTACTTAACTAGAAATGATACAAAGCATAAACTCACTTTAAAATGGACAGGTAAGAACCACAGGTAAGAGTAAAAACACTGGCTTTTAAAAATACATTATGCATATTAACTGTGTAGTTTCTTCCCAGTTAAAATATCTTCATTTATGGCAGGGGGGATTTATTCAGAACACATCAAAGTAAAAGTTAATCCTCCCTTCTCAAACTTGACAAAGAGTACATGCATCCAACAGGATCATATCAAGCCTACAGGACAACACGCAAGATAGACACAGTAACACAAAATCCAAGGATTGTACCTTTCAATGGTGACTGCCTTGTTCATAGTACTAGACTTTTTCTCCTACACCTTCTAAGTCCTTGTTTGTTCCACAAAGAAATTTCTAGCCATCTGATGCTCTATTACTGAGCTAGTGGCCTTTCAGGAGAGCTCTCTCCCTTCAGAAAAAAGCAAACAACTGCATAGATATCATTACACTAAGGAAATCTCTTAGAAAAACCAAACAACTTGCTAATCTCACCAGCCCCTTCATCCAAGCAAAAGATAAGAAAAGCAAACCTAAGTCTGTTTCAACCACATTCCAGGGACAAGTTCCCCTTTTTCTTTCTTTATCAAAATTCTAGCATTTAAGTTTGTGTGTGTGTGTGTGTGTGTGTGTGTCTGTTAAACAGACCTTGCAGGATAAACTGCTGCTCACACCCGCAAACAAAGCAATATCTGTTTAATAACGATTGCTGCCATGGGTACAGTAAACAAGGGGCCCAGCATTTGTGTTTATGAACAAACACATCATCTTACAAGAGCAATTTAACATTAACCAGGTGGAATAATCAACAGATTTCATAGGTGACAGCAGGGGCAGGGCTAACGTAAACAGAACTGGGGAGGAGAAAGAGGCCACTCTTTGAGAATCAAGGTCGAGGTAAATGCATTACAGAGTAAACAGCTGGGAAGAAGGCAAGATAAACAAACAGTCATTCTGACATTTAGAGAGGCAGAAAGGTTGTATGTTACATAGATCAGCTGCTGACCACCATGAAATCAAACCGGTTGGAGACCAAGCCTGCTTGTTTGCACAATGCCATGTTTGCTTATAAACAACAATTTGCTGTTACCAACATCACATTACTCACCATCATATAAGCCAGAGTGAAGCCAGTCAGATCCGCTTAACTCTTTACTGGTGACATTACTTAGAAATTAAAAAACAAAAAACAGGCCCCTTTAAGAAAAAGAGGTCAGTCACCCCAAAATAAGACCAAGAGACCTCAGTCAATACCCTTTTATTTCCTGGCTTGCAGATAAAAATAAAGCATCCACATGGTTTAAACTACTAAAGGTTGGATTTGAAAACAGCTTTAAAACACTATAATGTTTTCATGCTTCAGTAACTCTGCATTCATTTCTTGGGCTCATCTTCTTTTATCAATGAAATATATGGGTCAAACACAGATTCGAATCTTTAATGTTTCATCCAGAAGGAAAACCTTAATGCTCCAGTCTCCTCATATCAAGCTTCTATTCTAAGATACCTTTAAGCCCAGTGGGCCCACAAACAGATGCAGAGCATTCTCAACTACTCTGCAAAAATCCAACTATATCAGTTTATGATGTTTTCCTTACAAAATATCAAAAAATAAAATAATCAGTTGATGTCCCATGTAACCACTCAGGGGTTCATTCTGTCAGCTTATCAATAAAATCTTAGCTCTTCAAAGCCCAGAATGAACAATAAGTTCGGTGTGTCCCTAACAAAAGTGTTAAGAAGAAACGTTTAATCTCTAAAAATTTCCCTGATGTGCACTACCACATAAAGCAGCTTACTGTGTGTTACAAGAAAGTTATCATGCCTTATCAGAGATACTATATTTAGAAACACAATCGGCAATTAAAACATTAGTTTCAATCTATTTTACAGATACTTTAACACCATTAATTTAATTTTGATACATGTGAAAAACCTCCTTCCATTACTTAAAATTTAATAAGCAAAACATACTGAAAAACAGTTTGGTAATTTATCTATATCTTACACTTATAATCAGTTAGCTAATTTTTTTAAATTCTGCGTGATGTCAGTGCAAAGTGCAGCAAAACACTGTCTGCTGGATATCCAAAGCAAAATATGGAAATGAGAAAAGGATATTAAAAAAATAAAGATACACCTAAGTGGATTCTGGCAATTACATGATTAACAATCAGGTTATTGGAATTTTCCACTCTGTCTAAAAAGAAAGTAACAAAAATTGTGTTGGTCTGCCCCAACCCCCACAACAGATATCCCCCTCCGGAGTTCCACTGTGAATAAACTCCTCAACCTTCTCTAGCTGCTCTTGTTTCCAGGCCTTGCTTGAATTATCTAATCTTTGTTCTGCAAACCTAAAGTCACAAAGTAACTAGTGTGTTGTCTTTCATGTTTTTGTTTTGTTGCTCTGTGGTTTGTTCCCTAAGTCCCTCTCTGCCAACCATCATCTTTCCCCAAATCAACATAGTCCCTGAGGCCTCGACAATGTCAGGGGAAGAAAATTTCCACTGAGCATTCAGTGCCCTGGTAGGAGGCCATTTTTCAGGCTCAAGGACCTGTTAACACCTGATGGACATGCAGGGAAGAGACATCAAGAACTTCCCTTAAAAGCCCTCTAGGGCTGGAGCTGTTCTACTGCCCTTGAGAAAGAAAATCAGACTTGCTCAACTGATTGATGATGCAAGTCCGGCTGCTGGAACAACTAACAGAGAGAATCTTCCCTCTAATGTTTTGAGAACAGAACGTTCTCAGATTCCGTGCTCACTACCCTATGGATGACTAGGAGGTAGAGAAAAGTGAAGGGGCTTCTATAACCAACACCCCAGTGAAAACCTAAGAGAAAAACAAAATGAAAAAGTCAAAGTGGAGGGCTGTGTCCTGGTATCCTCACTGTCCTGTCTTCAGGAGAAAATGCTGATGATTCACTCTCTGCACTTCAGCTCTTGTCCAGTTCTCCTGAGCTTCAGTTTTTATTTTCTTTTCCTGAACCCTGGATGAACCAGAATATTAGTAAAGGATTATAAACATAGTTGACAATTCTAAATGGTAATCCAAAGAGTTGTAACAATTTCCCTTCATAAAGGGAAATCATAATTGAGTCCTGGAGTTTTGAAAACTAGGCTAAACCTGGGCATATAATCATTGCTTGAATGGGGTACTCTTTTCTGTTTGAAGATGGTTTCACCTATTCCTTATCACGAGCAGGATAAATAATGTGTCTTCTTTCCTCTTCCCCAGCAGTGGTGTTACACTTGCCCTAACCCACATTTAGTTCTATTTTTCCATTTTTATTTTTGAGATGGGAGTCTTGCTCTTTTGCCCTGGCCAGAGTGCAGTGGCGCAATCTTGGCTCACTGCAACCTCTTCCTCTTGGTTCCAGTGATTCTCCTGTCTCAGCTTCCCGAGTAGCTGGGATTACAGGGGTGTACCACCAAAACCGGCTAATTTTTGTATTTTTAGTACAGACAGGGTTTCATCATGTTGGCCAAGCTGGTCTCCAACTCCTGACCTCAAGTGATCTTCCCCCCTTGGCCTCCTAAAGTGCTGGAATTACAGGTATAAGCCACCATGCCGGGCCCACATTTAGTTTTACTTCTATGTACCCAGTTTACTTATTTTATTCCCCATGAATCCCAAATTGTAAAAGTTTTATTTTTAAAAAAGTACATTAAGAAGGCTTTTATATAAGCTGTTCAACAAATTATTTTTAAAATAGAAAATAGTTCTAAAGAGGCCTTGGGCTAACTCAAGATTGGGAAGGACTGATTTTTCTTTTCACAACTCCTCCCCAGAATGAAAATCTTACAAATTCTGAGAATCTCAGAAAGGTTGTGGCATCTTAGTGGACACCGGAGCTAGTTTCCCAAGCCCCATGCATTCACTTTTACTTCTGTCTTCATTATTTTCACCATCTCCATCCACATCTACCATATTGTTATTTTAAAAAATGATTCACTTTTGATAAATAAATCTACCTTCAGAGGAAACTTTGTATCACTTCTTCAAATGGAAAACCAGTATGTAACCCTTTGTAGGTGAGAAAGACTTTTATAATGCATGTTATAAAACCTAACCAATGATATTAAATTCTGCTAGAACCTGCTGTTTCTCAGAGGCTCTGAGTGGAACCATGTTCTTTCTTTGTTAAATAATGAGCTTACAACTGGGAGAGACAGATTAAAGATACTAGTACCAAATTGAGACTTTCTCCTTGGCTTTATCAGAAGGATTAAAAAAGAATTGAAAATGGAATTGCTTCAACATTGAACCACAGTAATGCGAATTGGTGAATGATTTACGAGCCACCAAAAAATCCTCTCCCAACCTATCCGTGAGTGGTACAAGGCTCATATATTGGGCAACTGAGCTACAGGAGACTTAAGAGACCCTCATGAACCTCCACGCTATAATCTTGACCCTTAAGCACTGGATTCCTAACAGTGCAATTCACAAAGCACGTACTGAGGGGCTACATGGACACTTACACTGCTAAAGACATAATCAACCAAGAAGCCAGATTCTTTACACTTGCCCCCAAACCAAATGAGGCTCCTAGTTCATGGGTATTACGCTTGTAGAAGACACCCTAAAAACCAGTAGCTCCAACAATGAGCCTCCCATCCAGGCCTGCCTTTTCTCACACCATCAAAAAACTTGTGCATCAGCCACTTAAGTCATGCCGCCTTTCCACAATACAAGTTCAGAGTTTATTTAGTAGCAAGTAACTACTATAAGAACTATAAGCATATCATTCAAATGCTTTATTGGTCAAAAAGATGAATGCTTTTATTAATCCAACCTTTTTGTAATGGAGTGCCACTGATGACCCAGCATTAGCCTCATTCCCTGCTATTAATCACACTTCTAAGAGCTCATTTTGCCTTAAAATCTTAAGAAATTGCTATAATTTAAAGACATGGTGTCTACGTAATGGGAAATGCTTCATAGATTGTATCATTTCAGAAAATACAGTATATTTTTATGGGAACAATGACATGATGCTAAGGAATTACAAAATGGGAATATATATATATATATATATATATGAATGAATAAAAAGAGAAAAATGTAAGCCTCCTTTCGTATTTGTAGCTTCCCACATCTGTAAACTTTAATCACTACCTTTGTGAAGTCCATTAATCCAAAGGCATGGGCATATAGTTTACATAGATTAAATCCAAAATAACACTCCCAAACAAATGAAAATTAAATGAAGGGAGAAACTCTAATGTAAAAAGAAAGATGTGGAAACACACGGTGTGTTTTAAGAAAATTCCATCAGTGGTATATTCCTCATTCATCATCTGTAATTCCTGTGCCTTGTTTGTCCATGTGAAGACAACTAAGGCAAGCCCTTCAGTAAAGGATTCAGGACAAACTACAGGCATCTGCCTATTTACATTCAGCAGAATTTTAACAATATAATGATGTCCTTAACACATAAGACCTTTTCTCATTAAGCTACCCTTCAAGACCATTTAACACAGCTGAACACTATAAAGAACTGTATCTGAAAGAGTTTTTTCAAAATACAGAGCTAAAGTAAATCTTTTTTAAGGCACCCCTTCAATTTTTACCACCACACAATTCAAATGCAGCATACACATGGCCGGGCATGGTGGCTCACGCCTGTAATCCCAGCACTTTTGAGAGGCCGAGGCAGGCGGATCACAAGGTCAGAAGTTCGAGACCAGCCTGGCCAATATGGTGAAATCCTGTCTTTACTAAAAATACAAAAATTAGCCGGGTGTGCTGGTGGGTGCCTGTAGTCCCAGCTACTCGGGAGGCGGAGGCAGGTGAATCGCTTGAACCCGGGAAGTGGAGGTTGCAGTCAGCCAAGATCGTGCCACTGCACTCCAGCCTGGGCGACAGAGCAAGACTCCATTTCAAAAAAAATAAAATAAAAATAAAATGCAACATACATATGTATATATTCAAATCTTACAAACACATAAAAATGGTAACATTGTGTTACATGATGAATGAAGGGTGCAGTGGGTTCCAATCAGGTACTACGATGATGAATGGATCTAGAGTGAATGGCTGGGAAGTACAAAGAATCAGTCGGCCTAAAAGTCAAGAATGCAGATATTGTCCCTACAGTTAGCAAGGATTGAACTTGGAATCTGAGAAACAGCCAGAAGCTGGTGATAAAGCGTACTTAGGTGGAGCTGGGACAAAAGCATCTGCCTGCTTGGTGAGAGGCAAGTCCAGCTCTGGCTGAGGGGCCCCTTTGCACAGAGATATGCTCCGCCCATCCATCCATGTGCTATCATGTGGTCTAAATAAGCACCTAGACCTTGGATCTCCCCCATGGGGAAGTGCTGAGCCTGGGAGGAGATTTAGAAAGAAACAGAAGTCCTTTATCAAGCTACCTTAATCATGCTGTCACGAACATGCCAACGAGAAAGACAGGGCTTGAGGTGCCCTGAATAGGTAGAACAGGTACCAACAGTGGGGCCACTTCTCTTTGCCTGCTGAGTGCTGGGGCCACTGGATGACTACAGGGTCAACGGCGGGACCATCTGATGTCTGATAATGCCAGATTCTCAACAGGATTCATTCATCAACTAAACACCCAAAGAAACTTTTGAAAGGGTGTTGCTACTCCCTGGCATGCCCATGGTAGCTGTGAGGGGTGGAGGTACTGGACATCTTTGGGACAGGAACAACACTCTAAAATAGGGAATTAAAATTACTAGTCTTCTTCACCTGTAAACGGAGACAACAGGGCTCCTAATAACGAGCATGCTAAATACCTGAGTTAAGATTCATCAAAGATCACAGCCATTGTTGATCACGTTCTCCCCCAAAAGAGAGAGAGGAGCGGGGGAGAGAGGATCATAACCTAGGCACAACCAATTGATGAGAAGAGCCAGTGCATTTATCCAAGAGTAGACCCCTGTGGCACCTTCCAGAGGAGACTAGTACAAGGGATCTGTCTCATGACAAGGGTTTCCAATAGAACCACATATACCTCCAACAGATGAGAAAGTGATCAACCTGTGCACTGCAACTGTGTTGCAGGCTATGACTACACAAAGCATGGTTCTGTGGACAGCCGCAAAGGCATCACCTGGGAGCTTGTTAGATATGCAAATTCCTGAGCCCATCTCAGACCTACTAAATGAGAACCTGCATTTTAAAATATCCCCAAGGTGATTCACATGCATATTAAAGTTTAAGAAGGCAGGTCTGGTGGAAAACAGGCAGACATACTTGGGCTTGATTTCTAGCTCAGCCAATTTTTAAGTTTTCAACAAGATATCCCACCACTCCCTATTCTCATTTCCTCATCTATAAAATCATGCTGTTCTGCATCTGATTTCACTCGTCCTTCTAAGCAATATTTATTCTATAGTTAATACAAAATATGCCAGGCCCTGTACTGAGTGTTAGGGTGCCAACATGGAACAAAAATCAATACAGTTCCATCAACATGAAGGTGATTGTCTAATCAAGAAGACACAGATTAATCAATTAGACACATAAATAAGTGGAGATTAGAATTGTGATAAGTGCTACCATGAAAAATGCACAGTGTTCTGAGAGCACAGAGGAATAATGTATGTAAAGTGTCTTGTATGTAGTAGGTGCTCAATAAATCACAGTGATTATTACTAGCTCATAAAACCCAGCCCTTTGGGAGGCCACTGGAAAATTCTCAAGTGCAAATACTCTTCTCCCCATCATAAAATGAACGTGAACTAACACTGAATTCTCAGTTCAACTTAAAGAAAAAAATGTGTTTTGCTGCTGTCTCCTGGCTATATGAGGACTATAACATCAATAAAGTCAACATTTCTTCTAATGACAGCTTAGAGAGCAACACTAACTTTCTGGGTTATTGTTAAGAATCAGCTCTTGTTTACCAAGTTGTAGTTAAAGGGAAAAATGCAGAGCAGGGCAGAGGGTAATACTGCAAGCCAGCCCTGTTCAAAGCAGTCTTTGATTACCATTTTAAAGCCTCGAAATCTAAAGAAAATCTTTAATTGGCTTTTCAGCAGCATTTCTCCTTTGTATATGCAGTTTGTTGAAGTCAAGAAGGTACATGCTAATAATTGCAGGTAGGATTAGCATCCTGCACCTTATACTGTGGATACAAGTGGTTGATTATTAGTGCACCTGGCACGTGTCTATACAGCAAGAAAACTGGACTGAACAGGAATCAAACAGGGCTCCTAACCAAATCCCCATCACTGACAACTCCCACCCCAGGAGCAGAGGCGCCTTGAGTCCATCACACTGAATGAGAAGCTTGCACAGCACTGCACCTGGGTGTGTTCACTTCTCCTTAAAATAGCTCTCCAAAGTCCCACCTCTTCCTTTGCCTCATTTCGCGTGAACTCACAAACTTTAAGAATTTAAGTATGATTGAATAAGTCTCCATGTATTTACAAATTTCTGGTTCTTTTCCACAAATGTGACTTCCTTCCAACAGGTGTAGATTTGTGATGGGAGAATTCTGACCTCACTTTTATCTGAATGCCCGTCAACTCAAGAATGTCCAAACAGAATGGTTGATTTGAATGGGCTGGGAAGCTGGGGCAGCTGCAACGTGCTTCAGGTAAGCCCTCAAGATCTTAAGGTATAGTAGCCGCATGATACTGACCATCAGTTCACACACTGGGGCTCCTACTTTGATTTTTCTGAGTTGATGTATGTAAGATGGGATAGGACCAGCACCACTAGCAGCTTGGTAAGCAGACAAAAATGGGTGGTTTCCATTTTTATTGCCTGGAATGAGACGTACCTTGAGTATAATTTCCTTTGGGTCCAACAATTAAAAATGCAAAGTATGAGGGAAAAGGATACACCAGGAATTAAAAAAAAAATCAGGGAAAAATATCTGCCTAACAATCTGTCCTTCTACAGCAGTCGTTCTCAACTGATGGTTAATTGTCCCTCCCCCACCAGGGGACATTTGGCAATGGCTGAGGACCATTTTGGTTGTCACACCTGGAGGAGGGGGCTTGTGCCACTGGAATCTGGTGGGGAGAGGCTGGGGATGCTGTCGGACATCCTACAATGCACAGCAGAGCCCCTACAGTAAAAATTACCTGGTCCACGCATCAAGAGTGCTGTGACAGAGAACACTTCTAAAAGAATTTGTTCTATTTTTATTTTTATTTTATTTTATGCTTTAATGTATTATTATTTTTTGAGATGGAGTCTCATTCTGTCACCCAGGCTGGAGTGCAATGGCATGACCTCGGCTCACTGCAACCTCCGCCTCCCAGGTTCAGGGGATTCTCCTGCTTCAGCCTCCCGAATAGCTGGGATTACAGGCATGTGCCACCACGCCCAGCTAAGTTTTGTATTTTTAGTAGAGATGGGGTTTCATCATGTTGGCCTGGTTGGTCTGGAACTCCTAACCTCAAGTGATCCACCCGCCTTGGCCTCGCAAAGTGCTAGGATTACAGGTGTGAGCCACTGTGCCCAGCCTAGGATTTTGTTCTTTTTTTTTATTTAGGGATCAAAGCAATGAGTTCTACTTCTTGTTCAGAAGTAAATTTATTATGTTCCTTAAAACTTTAATGATTTGTGATTTTTTTTGCTTCTGTTTCTACTTCATAAATACTACCAAACTGAGCACCTATTATAGGTCAGGTTAGCCAAGACTTAGGTGATGCCCAGACATTTGAGTAGAGTAGTATATTTCAAGAGGCTGGGAGTGGAGAAGAGAGAGATGGGCTGGGGCAGGCAAGCAAATAGGAGAAAAGAAGTGGCCAAGCTTGACAGAGAAGACTGGAGTTGGAACCCTACATTAGCAGAGAGCAGGGAAGGGCTGGGATGAAATGAGCTTTACAGGAAGTGAAATCTGATAGAAGTACTCAGGATGGGGCCAAAGCAGAGAGAATGAGGGACAAATTAGGACACTTTCATCCACTTCTCCCTGCTTCCAGAGTGCCCTGCTCATCGAACACTCATCTCTCCAAACTCTACTTCTCCCTCCAACAAGTAGGTTCGCCAATCATAAAATCATCTTCTCAACCTCGAGTGTCTCTCCCTGGGATTGCCAGCTGCCTGAAAGGACTACACTTCATTGTGTCGACATCCTCCCCTCCCCTGGCTCCACCTCTGCAAGCTCGCTTCTGCCTCACCTCTTTGCTGAAACTGTCCCTATCATATTACTAATGAGCGGAGGTGACTTGAGTCCATCACACTGAATGGGGAAACTTGCATAGCACTGCACCTGGGTGTGTTCACGTCTCCTTAAAACAGCTCTCCAAAGTCCCACCTCTTCCCTTTCCTCATTTCCCGTGAACTCACAAACTTTAGGAATTTAGAATATGATGTAATAGGTCTCCATGTATGTACAAATTTAATGAAGGTAAGTAACTGATAGTGATGGTAACTCCAATGAGTTTCCAGGTGCTAAATTCAAAAGAGAGTTTTCAACCCTTACCTTACTTAAACTTTGATGACACAAGACACTGTCATTCATATCATTTCTCTTGAAAAAGAAAATCTCTCTTCTGTTTGCCTCCAGGTTGTCCTCCTCATTCCTGGTTCTCTGGCGCTATCTCTGATGGCTCCTTCTCATTCTTTTTAATGAGCATCCCCTTCCTCTGCTCATTCTTCAATATTGCATCTTGTCTAAAGTTAAGGCCTCAGTGCTGCAAAACTCTTAAAGCAGGGGTCTGCAAACTTTTTCTGTGGTGTTGTACAGTAAAATATTTTCAGCTTTGCAGGCCAGATGCTCTCTGTCCCAGCTACTTAGCGCTGCTGTTGTGGAGCAAATATAACCCAGCCCATCTGTAAACAAACGGGTGTGGCTGTTTTCCAACTGTTCCAATAAAACTTTATTTACAAAACAGGCGACAGCTGGATTCAGCGCATAGAACTGTAGTTTGTGGGGCCCCTACTCTCAAGCACTATCCCTGGAAGTCCTTAACGTTTCTGTGGCTTCAACTCATGCCTGTATCCTGGTGATTCCTGAATTATTTTCCCCAACCAAAATATCTTCTCAGAGCTGCAGTCCCTTGTTCCTACAACCTTCTGGCCACTTCCACTTTGATGTCCTAAAAGAGCCACAAATTTTGCCTCAAACTGAAATTATTTATTTCTCCAAGCTCTGAAATCAAGCTAGCTCCTATTCCTGGGTTTTCAGGGAAAGAATCCTATTCCAAATAAGGAATTATCTAATAATCTTCCTTCTCTTTTATTTCCCATCTTACCAATTCCCACCCACACTACCTCCTATTTAAATATTACCTGCCTCTCCATACCCTTGCCTGGGAGCATGCCCTCATCACATGCCCTCATCACTTTGTAACTCTGAATGTGAACAAATGCAACTCCTAGTCTGGCCATGCCATAGCCCATCTGATCATGTGACCTCACTTGATTTAAATCCTGGGTCTCTATAAGGCCTATATCCTCCAGGCCTGTTCTGTCCAACAGAAAAACCACTGGCCACATGTGGCTACTGAGCACTTGAAATGTGGCTAGAGTGAATATAGGACTAAATTTTTAATAAATGTGTGATTTTCATGAAAGTTTATTTAAATTTAAAAACCAATACCTAATTCAGTCATCAGAAAATGTTTAAGTATGTCTTGAACAACTTGGGTATGTGAATCTCTTCTTTTAACCGTAAGTTTTATGAAATCGAAATACAGATCAAGTATTTCCAATGAAATTTTAATGTCTGAATTGAGATGATTTTTCAAAAACTTAGTATGAAAGAAGAAAATGAAAAATGTGTCTTTCATATATTTTTAATACTGATTACAAGCTGAAATTATATTTTGGGCAAGTTGGATTAAATAGAATAATACTATAATTTGTATCTTATTCTTTTTACTTTTTTGAATCCAGTTACCAGAAAATTTAAAATTCCTTGTGTGGCTCTCCTTTTATTTCTACTGTGCAGTGCTGCGTGCAGCACACACTTCAGGATCTGGCCTACCTGCCCCTGCAGTGCTCTCCCCACTCTCTCTCTCTCCTGTTTCCACCCTATCTATCTACACTGTAGCCACACTTAACAACCAGCTGCTTCTCAGGCATGCAGAGTACTCCAAGGCCTTTCTGTCTCTACCTCTCCGCCTCCACCATGAACCCTGGTGGGGCTGATTCCTACTGAACCTCACAACTCACCTCTAGCCATGAAAGTTTTTGCAGACCACCTCCACCACCAGATCTGGAAGAGCCCCATCAAGTTTTATACTAAACTCTTGCAGAGTAATCATTATACTACATTCTAGTTTTCTGAATGTTTACCTGTAAGCTAGGGATCATGTCTTGCCCCTAACAGGATACCAGGCAGTTTGATAAATAATTTAATGTCAGACGAGTGAATGAATGAATGAATGAATGAAATATTATACAGCTAGAATGAAAGACCTGGTAACTGATTATAGGAACTGAGGCAACATGAATGACATTTCTCAGCCCAAGTGACGCTTTTGTGAGAATGGCCAAGTGAGGGAACAGGCCACTTTCAGAGTAAAGCAGAAATGAAAACAAAAGCTAGCAGGGAGGCATCAACACAGAGGTGACACTTGAAAGGGAATGAGTCAGATGGTGAGGGGAGGGCCAGCACCCTGGCTTACGCCTGTAATCTCTGCACTTTGGGAGGCTGAAGCAGGTGGATCGCCTGAGCTTAGGAGTTTGAGATCACCCTGGGCAACATAGCAAAACTCTGTCTCTATCAAAAATACAAAAAAAAAATTAGCCAGGTGTGGCAGTGCACGCCTGTAGTCCCAACTACTTGGGAGGCTGAGGTGGGAGGATCACCTGAGCCTGGGAGGTGGAGGTTGCAGTGAGCCGAGATCGCACCACTGCGATCCAACCTGGGTGACTGAGTGAGACCCTGTCTCAAAATAAAATAAAATAAAATAAAATAAAATAAAATAAAAGATTATGAGGAGAAAAGAAGGGTCCTCAGAACAAACCATAGGTAATTCCTGTACTTAGGAAACAGGAAGAATAACATTTACTAAGTTCTGGTCCTCACAACTACTTTGTGAGG
The DNA here is from genome assembly GCF_000001405.40 of Homo sapiens. Taxonomy (NCBI): domain Eukaryota; kingdom Metazoa; phylum Chordata; class Mammalia; order Primates; family Hominidae; genus Homo; species Homo sapiens. The sequence continues at coordinate 71,220,905 of NC_000003.12, forward strand.
TACATATTAATCCTCTTTTTTTTTTCTTTTAAAGAAGAAAACCTGTAGGCCAAGAATACTTAGACTTAGACACACATATATAAAGCTAGCAGACAAAAATATGAGCATCAAACTCATCCAATCTCCACCCACTACATTTTAGAGCGGGGTCCCCAGCTCCCCAAGGGTCTGGGGCCTGTTAGGAACCGGTCGGTAAAGCAGGAGGTGAGCAGCAGGTGAGTGGGCATCACCGCCTGAGCTCCGCCTCCTGTTGGATCAGCAGCTGCATTAGATTCTCATAGGAGCAGGAACCCTATTGTGAAACGTGCATGAGAGGGATCTAGGTTGCTTGCTCCTTAATCATCCCCAACTCTTCCCCTCTCCTGGTCAGAAAAATTGTCTTCCACGAAACTGGTCCTTGGTGCCAAAAATGTTGGGGTCCACTGTTCTAGAGGCACATTCCAGGGTAGAGTCTTGGAGAGTGACAGAAGACTTAGAAGGGAGTTTCAAAGAAGGAAGAGGTGGCTAATGGTTTCAAGTGGCTTAGAGAAGTGGAGGATGATACGAAGATGGCGAAGCAAAAGGGAGATCCCCCATCCAACATCAAATACCTTCATCCTTCTGCCCTCCCTTCTTTCCTTCTGAAAATAAGAGGCTGTTCACTTTCTACATTCACTCTGAAACCTGTGTCTTCCAGGCTTATATTCTTCCAGCACCAACCTCCTTCTCTCTACCGCATCTCTACCGCCTCCCGCATTTTAGTCTATATATAAATATACTCAAGGCACTCAGACCAAAACTATTCTGGGTTACTCTTCTATCCCTCTAGTTCCCATCCTGCAACCTCTTTCCTCCATGCAGCTAAGCTTTTTGGAAGGGTCCTGTCTCTATGTTTCTACCTCTTACTTACAACTCTGCGTTGCAGACTCAATGCTTATGGCTAGGACAGTAGTTCCTCAACTCTGAAGCCAATCAGAACAAAGTCCTTCGTCCGGGTGCAGTGGTTCACACCTGTAATCCTAGCACTTTGGGAGGCCGAGGCAGGCGGATCACGAGGTGAAGAGATCGAGACCATCCTGGCCAACACGGTAAAACCCTGTCTCTACTAAAAATACAAAAATTACCTGGGCATGGTGGCGTGCGCCAGTAGTCCCAGCTACTCAGGAGGCTGAGGCAAGAGAATCGCTTGAACCCGGGAGGTGAAGGTTGCAGTGAGCCGAGATTGCGACACTGCACTCCAGCCTGGTGCCAGAGCGAGATTCCGTATCAAAAAAACAAACAAACAAACAAACAAAAACCCAAGTCCTTCACCCAGATCCATGAGAGGGGCTGGGGCGGAACCCTGGAGGCAGCATTCACAACACGCTGGCGGTCCCTGGACACACCTGGTAACACTGCCAAGCCCAAGAGACCAGAGGGTGTCTGTCACACCTGACATGGAGGCCACTTTGAAAATTCTTCCATGGCTTCCCTGATAGCACATCCTCTGGTGCTCAGCCTGATTCAAAAACCCTTCACTCCCTTGGTATTTTTATTTTTATTTTTATTTTTTTGAGATGGAGTCTCGCTCTGTCGCCCAGGCTGGAGTGCAGTGGCGCGATCTCAGCTCACTGCAACCTCTGCCTCTCAGGTTCAAGCAATTCTCATGCCTTAGCCTCCAGAGTAGCTGGGATTACAGGTGCCCGCCACCACGCCTGGCTACCTTTTGTATGTTTCGTAGAGATGGGGTTTCACCATGTTGGCCAGGCTAGTCTCGAACTCCTGACCTCAGGTTATCTGCCTGCCTTGGCCTCCCAAAGCCTTGGTCTTTTTCAAATACTTCACTGTCTTCCCCAACCCATTCGCTGTTGGTGTTCCTCAAGGTCCCCTTGCCCTCCACATATACTTCACCTTTGCCTACTCATTGATGATCACAGATTGGATCCCCAACAAGCCCTTCTCTCCTTTACCGATTATTTCTACCACTTAAGTTCATCAGGCTCCCAAACTCAACATTCTTTCCTCCAACCTGCTACTTTGCCTGATCAGGGAAAGGTCACTGTCAACTCCTTTGATGTTCAGTCTTTCATCAGGACCTGGCAATTCTTAATCTTATATATTGAATAAATTTTTCCCCTTTCTTTTCATCACCACTACGATCATCCAGCTGTCATCATCTTTCTCCTGAAATCCTCAAAGAACCTTCAGCTGAACCACAAACACCATTAAAAACAAAAACCATTCTGATCAAGTCACTCCCTTGCCAGGAAAGCTCCCCAAGCTCCCCCATTCTAAAAAGAGTCTCAACTCCTTTGAATGGAATAACAGGTCTCCTGTATAATTTCCCAGACTTCTTTCCTGCTTCCTCCTCCACGAACCCAGCACTTTTCCTAGTTAGTTGCTGTTTTCCAAACATACCTTACTCTTTCATACCTACATTATGCTATTCTCCTCCTCTTGGAGGCACTTTTTTCCTACATTGACCTGAATTCCTATGAATGCTTTCAAACCCAGTTCAAATATTACCTTTAAAAAGAAAATATTTCATTCTAGCCGGGTGCGGTGGCTCATGCCTGTAATCCCAGCACTTTGGGAGGCTAAGGTGGGTGGATCACAAGGTCAGGAGATCGAGACCATCCTGGCTAATATGATGAAACCCAGTCTCTACTAAAAATACAAAAAATTAGCCGAGTGTAATGGCAGACGCCTGTAGTCCCAGCTACTCGGGAGACTGAGGCAGGAGAATGGCCTGAACCCAGGAGACGGAGCTTGCAGTGAGTAGAGATTGCACCACCGCACTCCGGCCTGGTGACAGAGCGAGACTACGTCTCAAAAAAAAAAAAAAAAAAAGAAAATATTTCATTCTAAAGTACTCGAGATGCATTTTATTTTTATGCTGACCAAAGGTCAGGTTCATTGCAATATGATAGTGACCAGATGGCTCTCCGCTCAGGCCAGGAGTACCCCATTACTGCTTCAGTAAAGCCTAATAGTACTGGATACTTAGGAGTCACTCAGCAGAAGTTTGCTGGATGGATGGATAGGTGGATAGCTCATGGGCAATGGAAGGATGGAGAGTCTAGGCTTGGATAATCACGCTCCCTAGTATGGCAGCTGGTCAGTGAGTTGCTAATTTCTTCCTCCTCATAGACTAAGGAGGTGATCAAAGAAGAAGAAGTTGGAGATTCTGAATTTAGAGGAATTAAGATTAACGAGTTGTACCATCTGTATAGTAAAAGAAGAATCAAATCATCTGCTGAAATCTGGTGAGGATATAGCAGAGGCTCAAGGGTGGTGGTCAAGTTCTAGGATCATCACTGTAGTGAATGAGAGGACTCTAAAACCATAAACACTGGGATTGATGAGCCCATGAGGGATTGCTCAGTTACGTCTAGGATGCAGAACTGCATACAGGGACTCAGCATGGTTTTGGGAGAGCTACCAGCCATACTCATTCCCTTAGGAAGAAGAGTAGATGTGATCGTAGATGGAGTTGGGGGTTGCGAGAGCCACTGCAGTGGCAGAAGAAGGGATAAGGGAGGGAGAGATGGTATAGAGGGTACTACTGAAATGGCTACTTATGGACTCTCTGCTGGGTGTGGAGGGATGTGGATACAGGACAGTGATTAAGTACAATCCGCACAAGTGATGGGCAAGAGGCAGAGATGGGAAGCTGTGATCAAACGGAGGACTGGAAGTGTCTCAGAAAACATACACAGCAAAAAACCAGTGAGACTGGACAAGCTTCTAAAATTATCCAGCAAGTCAAAGGGAGAGGGCCCAGCACCCAGCACAGTGACACATAGTAGGTGGACATTTGTTGAATAAACAAATCAATGACCAGATGGGACAGAACCATCCCCTCACCCAGTGGTTCTATGTGAGTTGCCAGCATCAAATTAGAAAATAATCACAGATTAGCACTGTAGGCCAAGGACACCCGACAGACTGGTTGTTGTGACAAGGTTATATTTGACATTATTCTAACATGATAATGTAGGCAATGTGTTTAAGAGAATTAGAAATACTCAGCTACAACGGTACCCAAATCTGCCAGGACTTGGCACATCACAGTCAATATTTTGAATGAGTGAATGAGTGCCTAAGTGGATGAATGAATGATAGAATATACATGACCTATACAATACCTGCAATAAAACACAGCCACCTTCAAAACCACACTCAAGGAACAATATTCACAAAGCCAGACTGAACAAGCAACATTGGATAAGGAGTTAAGGCATCTTGTTTCTCAAAAATTTCAATGATACAAAGGCACTAGCTGGGAGGCGGCAGTGTGAGAGAAGTAAAGATGCCTGTGATTCTGTTGCCATGTTATTCCAACACATTTGCGGCATAAATGCTAAGCTGTCAATCCCCTTTGCCTGGATAGCCACAGTTCAGAAGTGGCTCAATCTGATCAGCAGTGAGCTCTCTATTTAATACCTCTTACTTCATAAACTACTAGTGTAGCTCAATTCTCTGAACAACTGGAAAGGAAACAGAGCTGATAAGAGAATTAATACTTTCTTCCCAAATCACATCATCTAGGATAATAAAAGCATGTTAAACAAATAACTCTTAAAAGAAGTAGGAGAAAAACATTTTAACGTGAAGCTCTAAGCGATACTGATGTTTATAATTATGACGAGGAAGGAAAAAAATTTCTGAGCTGTCATAATTGCTAATGCTACGGATTTGTTCCCTGTAGAATTCTGTAAGATAAACAGAGATTTGCATATTTTGAAGGTATTTTGTCTGTCTGTTAAACACTCCTGTTACTGTAAAGATGTTTTTCCTTGCCAGAAATAGCTAGCGATTTTTCTCATCTCATTTCTAGTTCTCTGCCCACTTGCTTTCCCCTCCCTAGGTTTTGGGAGTTCTCCCTCAAATACTAATGGTGGAGGAAACAAATCTTTTGAACAGTGGAGACATGAACAGAAACCCAATCACATCTATGGAAAGGAGCTGGATATGAGGACATATTAGTGCAGAGGAAGAACGGGTGCAGCAAAGAGAGACTGGGCACGGGGGCCCAAGACGGACTGAGAAAAATCATGTCTTCAGATATTTAGGCAACACTGAGTTTCAGAGGGCTTACCAAAAAAAACTTTCACTTTCTAGAAACAAATGGTAGCTTTGCAAGCTGAGTGATGCCAAGTTTTAAACAGCCTGGTTCAGATTCAGGAGAGACAGGGGCAGAGAAAAAACTTCTGAGACACTACTTCTATTTTTACAGTCACTTTGCTTAGACATCAAGGGCATGGGCACTTTTTTGGCAGCCTGTGCTGCTGGACGCCTCTGAGGAAAAGAAGTTGAAATTACATCAATTGAATCTTCCCATTTCCTAGAGCTAACTCAAGTCCCTCTGGTTAGGAACTGGTGTGTCTTGCTTTGGCTCTTGAGGTCTGAAATGGTAACAATCTTGGGCTCTTTCTTGCAGGGGAGGCTGGGATTCTTCAAAGTACAGATCCTTGTTCTAAGCCTAGATGGATGAGGCTGACATCAGAGCATTGCCTTTTCAGTTTGGGCTACTTGCCTCAGGCCCAGATGTGACTCCTGCCAGCCTCACTGCTCAACTCCACCCGGCAGCCATCCTGAAAATGCCCGTCACCTATGCAAGAGCCTCTTCCAGGCACAAGTGATGGCAGGGTCTACTCTGGGGGTCCCTATTGCTTCCCGGGGTTCTCTCTCTCTCTCTCTCTCTCCTGTCTCTCTCCCTCTCACTCCCTCCCTACCCCCTTCTGCATCTCATTCTGGCTCAATCTCTTTCACTCTGTCTCACCCTGTCACACAGTCTCTTTCCCTTTCAGTTTGCCATCTTCCTCTTAGTATCCCTTTCTCTCTGCTTGTCATTTTCCTCTCGCAGTCTTGCTCTCCACCTCCATCTCACATCCTGTCTCGCTGAGTCTCTCTTTTGCTCACTCCCCGCACGCACTACCTTGCTCGTTCTCAGGCTCCCTGCAAGGGCACTAAGTGCGCTGTTCACCGGCCAAGAAGAGGGATCCTGTACAGTCACACTGGTCAGACTGGGGTAAGAGCCAAAGCACGCAGGATGTCAGACGGCAGCTGACAGTCCCCTCTGATGACAGGGCAGAGCGCACAGGACGACTCTGGTTTGGCTGTGGGTGGGGAGAGTCATTTTGGTCTTCGTGGTAATGGCGGTGCCGGGCCTCCTGGACCACATGAGAAGGCTGGTGCGGTTCTAGCGATGCAGTGGTTCTCACACTCTTAGTCATCCTTCCACTGACACACAGTGGCTCAGAGCCCACTGCAGTCCCCTGCTCTTGTCTAAGTCTGCCTTTACAGCCCCACAGGCACGCGACCATGGTGACATCGGGCAGCTTTTATGATCCTCATGTCTCCTCGGATCCCCTTCCCACACAACTCTAAGATTCGGAACACAAATAGCGTTTACGTGAAGACCACGACCACAGGGCATCAAAAATTACCGTGTCTTCCTATTGGAAGCAACAGAGCCCTCTGATATAATGAGTCTGTAAACATACACTTGTCAAAACAAATTGAAAACACTCTCCCGCCAAAGAAACCCCCCAGAAAACTATTAGTCAATTTGAAATTATTCTAAGGTCCAGCTTAGTCTAGAGCTTATCTAACGGTCTATTGAGTTCTCAGTAAGTCATGTGAAAGGAAGTCCTATGATAACATTTCCTGAGACTTCTAGACATTTGATTAAGGAGTTATAAATCTTACAGTCTGACTTGTCACAAGCAGAGTGAGATTACACCCAGGGCTGTCAAGATTAAGTAAACTTGTCTTGTTCTCTTACAGGTCTTTCTCAGCCTTATACCATAGATTAAAGATTTGTTTTGAGATTAAAAAATGGTTACCATCATGCTCAATGTTTTTAAAAAAAAAAAAAAACAGTCAAAGGAGTATAAAGTGACAATTTTCAATCTTCACATCCTGAAACGTATTTACCTGCTATTCATCGGCAAGATTTTAATAAGCAGTAAGTAAAGAGGAAGGAGGAGTGCCTTCTGGGCTAGTCCAAAACTGTTGCCAGATTAATTCATTACAGCTAAAATGAATAACTATATTAAATCGAAGAATGTGTATGACTATGCAGCTCCCGATCTTCCAGTAACCAATTCCAAGAATGTGGTGGAATCAAATCAATATCATGGTGGGGCGGGTGGGGGGCGGGGGAGGTGTCCAGAAACCTCTTTGCAGAAGCCCCTGTCAAATTATATTGCTAATTTTGAATTGACACATTATTCTAGGAATGACCAGCAGTTACCATCAGCAAACCTGTGGAGACTGAGGTTTGAATCCAACACATCACGGAAAGAGAGGATATTTAGGGAGTTCTAGGTCACTGGGATGCTTCCTCAGTTTAGTGACAAGAGATTTGGTACCTAAGTGGAGAACTTACTGTTTTCAATTCTCTATACGCACCGAAATTATTGGGTTAAATAAAGACATGACAAGCCATAAATCAACCTGCTTTTTTTTTTTTCCTGTGGAGTTTTTACTCAGGTGTACTCTAAATGTGCATTAAACTGCAGCTCCATTAAGCAGTTACAATGAAGGTAAAGGGCACAAGGCTAAACACCACAGGACCTTGTATGGATCTCATAGCTTTAATGGAATCAGGTTTTTAACAACTCTTTTTTCGTTAAATACAGTCAGTGTCAGGAAGATGCGTCCCACTCATAAAGCAGCGCAATGACAATGTACAGTGGCACTAACACAAGGACATAGTTCATCATGACATTTCCAGCAATTCCCAACTGATTAGGGTCATTATGTTGGAGGTCTGATTTATGTTGTCATTTCCTCTCACCGATCCTGCATCAATGAATCTTAATGAATTGGTAAATAAGGGTGAAGATTACACTCTATGACACTGAAACATTCCTCATTCTCAACACCCGAGATTTATGTAGCCAATTAGTGACTAACAGAGAAAATTGGCTGGCAGAAAAATAATATTCTTTATGGTACAAAATGGAAAAAGCTTTCTCGTTGAAGGGCAATGCCACAGCAAAAGTCCATAAAGTAGCTTGATATGTGGAAACACAAAAGATGTTTAAAATGTGCTCTAAGAGGGTTTCCTAGTAAAATGCTTTTACTGTTGGTTGTTTTTTTTTTTTTTGATGTCTCATTTTTTAAAGGTTATTGGTTTAATGAGCAGACCTGTATTTTATAAAGGGGGAAAGTTGGCCTTTTAAGGGGAAAGAGTTAAGTACACCCCTATATTATACAAATGCTAATGCTTTGTATTTACTGGGAGAATGGGAAAAATAAGCAAAGACGACACCAGTTTTTCCCCCAGTTTTAGCCGAGATACCAGTTTCTCCTGACTTCTTGCAGACAGGTAGCCATAATGATTTGTACATAATCAGAGAACATTAAAATCTTTCATTCTGATTAATTACTAGTAAGTGTACTTAAAGTACTGAGCATGTTTCAAATACCAGAACTTTTTAATTTAAAAAATAGCCTAATCATTAACACAGAAATCACTCAGCTTACTAGTATTATTTTACATTCACCTGTTCCTGACCTCATTATAAAACCAGATGAAATGACTGTCATAAACAGGAAAAAAAGGTAAAAATTCCCCAATGAAACATAATTCAGAAAATCTTGGCTTCACCTAGTGCTTGAAGCGTAACCCTATGGAGTGTGTTCATGAATGCAAAGCATAGCTTCAGAGTCATTACTGCTTAAGTATATACTTAATGTTGAATACTGTCAGGGAAAAAAAGGGTTCTCAAAATCCACGTATTTATTCAGATTTCATCATACAGGCTCCACACTATCCTTGTAGAATATGCAAATGGGCCGTGTCTCTTTCTTTCAGCTGTTTTCTAGTCAATGTCAAGAATGGAGCTTTGAAATTTAAAAAAAAATAAAATAAACGCCGGAAGTTGGATCAGCTACAATGGGTTCTCCGTACCATCTCCTTAAGGTACCCACTGTCTAGTAAACAACAACAACAACAAGAGCTAATCTGCACTGACAGAGGAGCCCATTCTGTTCAGTTCTGGAAAGCTCCACGGCCACTCGAGTATCCTCCTTGAGGGTTACTGCTTCATCTAGGACTTAGGGATAATTGTGCCACTTCTGTCAAGCTCAGATTATCTCAGTGGCGCTGCAACCTCCAGGACTCCCTGGAAACTTGCTACTCACAATTAGAGCTCCTAAGGCAGCCTCAAGTTCTACAAGGTGTGCCAAACAGCAGGGCTGCAGGAAAAGATACCAGCAGCCAAAGCAGACACCACTGGGGAGGGGTGGGTGGGGGATAAAGGAGAAAAAGACAAAACAAAACCTTGCAAAGGCCGCAGGCTTACAAGAGCGTCACTGTGCGGCTGTGAAGTGTTCAGAGATGCCAAGCAAACTGTGTAGCTTTTCAAATGGATCGCTTTCTTTAAAAACTGCTGTTCTTTGAACCAATTTCTCATAGAACAAATGCAGTGAAATTCTAAGGGCATGTGGTGCTCCTGACTTCTGGTGCCAAGAAGCCTCTACTTACATAGCAGAATGCCTTGGGCAGACAAAACTGCCCTCAGAGGTAGTACTGTGTGTTCAATGCCCATGAATGATTAAAGTCTTTAAAACCCTCCTCTACCTGGAAACAAAGGAACAGGAGGGGGTTAAATGCATCTCCTTTACCTATGACAGTAAACAGATAGTATTTTAAAGTGCAAAGTGCAACTACCATCCAAAAAAGAATAATTAAGCACAAATATATTAGTAGTTAATCCGTAGCTAAAAACCAACATCTAAAGTCTGCTAAGCCAAACCTGTGAGTAAAGTAATACTCGGGGAAGAAAGAAAGATTGGTGCATAAACTCAAGAGTACAGGGCTCACTGTGAATTCTCAAAACTGGGAAGAGCCAAGAGAAAACTCTACACATGTTTTATTTTAAAATTACTATTTGATACTGATTCCAAAACGAAAGTGTTTTGTAAAATATTTTCACAGTAGGTGGCATCACTTATCAACTGTAGGAGGGGGGTGGTGGCTTGAAGCATTTTCCTTTATTAAGTTATCAAATAATCATTTAAATGGCTTTCACACATTCTGTTCCATTTGAGATACACCTACAAGTAAGACAGGCTTGCCAGAGAACGGGAAAAAATTCCAGTAGAGTCTGACTATCCAGATACTTGTTTTTCCCTCCGCTCTTTAATCATAAGAAGGGGAAAAAAGCAAGTTTGCAAATCTACTTTTTTTGTTAAGTAACAGATCATTTTGGTGAAAAATCATGTTTCTGCAGCTGACAGCAAAAGTCCCCTTTTCTTTCAATGAGGACAATTTGGTTTAAAATAGCTTCTTTACTTAAATGAACCATGAATCAATTTTATACATCCTGACAAGGAAAGATGAAGATGTAGGCTTTAAAACTCAAAAAATAACTAAACATAAGCACAGTGATGTTGAGACATGATAGCACCTGCAAACATGCTTCCTTCTTGTTTTGCATTCAAGAGAAACAAAGTGAACTGATTCTCCTTTTTACCTTATAAATACAATGAATCAAAAAACATGAATTCTGATGCTACAAATAAGACAGAACCAATCCACCTATAGCTACCTTATAGGAAAAAAAAATAGGAGAGATTTTCTAATCTTTCAAGAGAGAATTACTATAATTTATTATAAATGTCCAAAGAGGGGAAAAATACACAACACCAACTTGTTGACTCAGTGGTTATTTTGGAGAAACTATGAATTCTGGACACTTCAAATTTCCATGCATTAGGCAAAAAACATAAATGGACTACAAGCACTGTTTATCAGGCAACATTTTTAAACTATAAAGTTAAGACAGAAAAATTCCAGGGAAATATAAGTTAAAATAACGATGAAAGATGAGTGAATAGAAAAAGCCTCCCTATTTTTCTTTTTCATTATGGTGCATAAATAATTCTGGTAGATTCAACTAGATTATGGTCTATGGAGATATCAAAGAATGTAGGGTGTCAGGACCTAGATTCCTAGAAATTTAGAACGAGGGGAACAGGCAATTTGCCAAAGGGCAAAGAGTTCATACTTCAACGTTATCTCCTGTAGGAAGGCCACATCCATTTCCTGGGTGATCCTTCAATTGCATGTGCAAAGAATTATGTACCTAAGAAAGAGTTATACAGCTCAAAGAAGAACTGGTACTTGGCCTATTTCAGCATCGTCACCTGAAAGGGATTTCTGGGGGTTGTCTGTCTCTCTTGTCAGGTCACATCTGAAGAAAGAGCATGTGTTTAAAAAGCTCATTTGGAAGGGGCTAGGTGGCTTAGCAAACTGAGATAATATAAAAAGAATCTGATAGTATCAAAATAAAAGATGTGCCACTATTTATTAATAATATCTCATCAGCCAATTTCACATGTAGTAAATCACAACAATTAGAGAAGGGAGGGGAAATACATTTCAGTCAAGTGCTATCGATTATCAGTGGCTGGCACTCCTTGAGAGGAAGATTCATAGGCCACAGTCAGGCTTGCTGAGAAAAAGTACTGTGATCAATTAGCAATGTCTGCTATGAGAACTGACAGAGAGGAGAAGCAGCACTAATAATAGTTATTCTACCCATCTGCTAGCTGTCACTCTACAGGACCCCTCAACTGATGCTCCATGTCATCTCCATGGTAGTACACAAAAGCTACAGAAATAAATAATGATGTCTTCTTTACGGCAGGAAGCTTATTCACATCCATAGATCTCAAAAAATGAAACAGAGAATAGAAACTCCGACAAAAAAAACAAAAAGAAGATAGGGTCAGGGCTGGGTGTGGTGGCTCATGCCTGTAATCCCAACACTTTGGGAGGTGGAGGTGGGAGGATCCCTTGAGTTCAGGAGTTCGAGACCAGTCTGGGCAACACGGTAAAACCCTGTGTCTACCAAAAATACAAAAAATTTAGCCAATTGCAGTGATGCACACTTGTAGTCCCAGCTACTTGGGATGAAGAGGGAAGATCTCTTGAGCCCTGGCAATGGAAGTTATAACGAGCTGAGATCGTGCCACAGAGCAAAACTCTGTCTCAAAAAAAAAAAAAAAAAAAGCAAGAAAAATGGGGACCAGGTGCAGTGGTTCTCTACAATACTACTACCACCACCACCACCACCACGACTACTACTACTACTACTACTAATAATAATAAAAACATAAGCTAGGTGTGATGTGCCTCTAGTCCCAGCTACTCTGGAGGCTGAGGCAGGAGGATCGTTTGAACCCAGGAGGTTGGGGCTGCAGTGAGCTATGATTGCACAACTGCACTCCAGCCTAGGCAACAGAGTGAGACCCTATCTCCCCAAGAAAGAAAAGAAAAGAGGGAAAGAGAGAAAGCGAAAGAAATAGAAAGGTAAGAAAGGGAGAGAAGGGGAGGGAAGGCATGGGAGGGGAGGGAAGGGGAGAGGAGGGAAGGGGAGGAGAGAGGAGGGGAGGGAAGGGAAATGGTTTCCACTTTGTATCAAGAAAGGTCTATGGTCCAACTCATAAAAAACTGAGGGAGCAGGAGCTGAGCTTCTGTAAATCCACAGCTTACCATGATTGAAAGGAAGGTTAAAGCAGCTGCTATAGTTTTTTTTTGTTTTTGTTTTTGTTTTTTTGAGATGGAGTTTCACTCTTGTCACCCAGGCTAGAGTGCAATGGCGCGATCTCAGCTCACTGCAACCGCTGCCTCCGGGGTTCAAGAGATTCTCTCACCTCAGCCTCCTGAGTAGCTGGGATTACAAATGCCCACGACCATGTTTGACTCTTTTTTTTTTTTTTTTTTTTGGTATTTTTAGTAGAGACAGGGTTTCACCATATTGGCCAGGCTGACCTCAGATGATCTGCCTGCCTCGGCCTCGCACCCCCCCAGCTGGTGCTATAGTTTTATACATTGTATTCTCTGATTCCTGGGGACCCCAAGAAGGACAAAAGAGGATCAGGACTTGTATATTTTTGGAAAACAAGGAAGGCAGCTAAGAAAACTTTTTAAAATGCATAAAAGTGGAATCAAAAAGAGAACTTAAGACCTTGGTAAAATGGACATTCCTTTTAGCCCAAATCAAACATCATTACATGACAGAGAAATTTTGCTCTTTCTTCGAGGGTTTGTGTTCTCAATGTTCTCTGGAATTGCCGTTATTATCTGGGGTGGGAGGGCTGCTTCCAGTCCTGGTTTTTATACAACCCACACTGACCTTTGGTGGTGCAAACTTACTTCCAGACTGTTCAGTAGTGATGTTTCTCGCATGCCCATTTGGGGAGATGGAGGCAGAAGGGTATATCTTCAATGAAAAGTCATTAAAATCGCTTTTACATGTTTAATATTATAAGTAAAAAAAAAAAATAAGAAAAGTTTAAAGCATTAAATCAAAAAACCAAAAATCTTTTTGGATAACCAGATTATTTGCCAAATGGCTGTCAGGGACAAACACCTCAAAACACAACGGAGTAAAAGGACACTAACCATTCATTATATTCCAACTCGGAATTAATCCAATCAGCACACTCATCCTCCACCACTGGAGATCATCCGACAAAATGGACAAGCCAAGAGTACCAAAGACTGTCCTTCCAAAACATGTCCTCTGCCTTCACCCTTGCAAAAGAACTGACAATAAAATATGGGTGAGTGGGGGGAGGCGAGGATGCTCTTCAAATCCTTGGAGGCACAAGTTGCACCGCCTACAGAAAGTTTCGTCACCCCAAGGACATCCCCAAGAACAACTCTTTGATTTTGTTCAGAAAATGGGTGTGCTGTGGGCAGAGATGGAGGCTGTCCTCTCTGAGGTGTCTGCAAAGAAATGTTTAGTGCAGATGAGTCTAAGGCATTTTCCTCTCCAGTTATGCACAGGACAAAAGCTAACATTTACATTATTCCTCTGTGAATGTTCAAAGAGTGACATTAGGCCAACTGTGGATAAGATGATTGAAAATGGAAGCACTGTATGGAAAATATCAGGCAGTAATCATATCCAGGAGCCAGTGGCCCAGAGATAGAAACACCCTGAAAACCAATTGATACTAATGAATCTGCAGCTTCAGGGCAGAACAGGGCAGGAGGAGGGGTGAAAATTTTAAGCACTTAACAAGTAAGTGGGCGCATTTCATGCTGGGTACTGATCTTTGCCAGGACCCAGTCTTCCTATGGTCATCTCACATCTAATACCCTGTCCCTTGACTTCTGAAGGACCAAAAAGTAAAGTGAGATAATATCCCACTTGAATGTCTGCTTTTAATGGACAATGTGACAGCTATAATTTCCATGTGCTCATTCCAGTGAAGGCTTCCATTTATTCTGATGGGGAAAAAAAAAATCTTAGCAAAGCGACTGTAGATCTAAGTCCCCTTGGATTTTAAGGACTGGCATGGATGTTTAGGGAAAAACTTTTTGGTGTATAACTCACTTTTCTGTAGGGGTTGGGGTTACTGAAAATTTACAATTAAAATTATGCTTTCCCTAGATCATCTATATAATAAATAGAATGTAGGAAAGATGTGGATCTTTAATGAACACCGATTACGAAACCTCTAGAAAAAAATTAAAGACTCTTTTTATAAGCCAAACAACATTGCTTTGATTTGGCAACCATTGAATCTTGACATCTTCGGTTGAAGCTATGACATTTCTTACCTGCCTTTATGTAGTCAACAAGCTTCCTGAAGTCAGGGAGCCCACCACGCCTAATAAGGCAGGGATAAAATCAGTATTTGTTAAGTGATGTACATTCATAGAATGTTTCTCTTTTTTTTTTCTCTTGAAATGGAGTCTCACTCTGTTGCCCAGGCTGGAGTGCAGTGGTGCAATCTCAGCTCACTGCAACCTCCGCCTCCCAGGTTCAAGCGATTCTCCTACCTCAGCCTCCTAAGTAGTTGGGACTAAAGGTGCGTGCCACCATGCCCGGCTAATTTTTTGCATTTTTAGTAGAGATGGGGTTTCACCGTGTTAGCCAGGATGGTCTCTATCTCCTGACCTCATGATCCACCCGCCTCGGTCTCCCAAAGTGCTGGGATTACAGGTGTGGGCCACCGCACCCGGCTAATATTTCTCTCTTTAAGAAACTATACTTACACAATACTGTAAGGTAAATTCTGTACTAGGTAAAGAACATATATTAGGAGAGTATCAAGGAGACAAATGCATCTATTTACCTAAGACAAATGCCCCAGTAAGAGCCTGTGGCTCCAGGACCGCATGTAACAATTCTTGCAAATAATCAAAGCCCAGGATAAGAGAATCACCTAGGAACATTCAAGGAATCCCATTCTCTCCTCTCTGCTGACCTATGCTCATGGAATCATCATAGCAGATGAGCCAATATTTACTGGCATCCAGGTCACAAGCTGGGTATAGAATAGAAACATTTTGCAAATCCAAGTTCTCTAAAATAGTGGGGTAGGTGCTATATTCTCAATTTGATTAGGAAGGGCAGGATGTTGAAACAATGGAAGGGATTACCTCTTTAGTGTTTCCCATGTAGAAATATTTGCTGTGTGTGGCTTCATCCCCAAGTATTTCCTGAGCCTCTGCTATGGGCCAAGTTCTCTGTAACATGCTTTCATTGCAGTTCTCGATTGACTTTTTGGATAAATCTTTGAGCTACCACCCTCCAGCACCCACGATCTACCAGTCATCCTGTCTACAGAGATATCATGTAGATTCTAGAGCTTCATTGTCCCACAGGCATATAATGAGAGCCACAGAGGCAAGCCACATGTGTAATTTTAAAATTTCTAGCAGCCACGTATAAACAAGCAAAAATGGCTGGGTGTAGTGGCTCACACCTGTAATCCCAACACTTTGGGAGGACAAGGCAGGAGGACGGCTTGAGCCCAGAAGTTGGAGACCAGCCTGGGCAACATCGGGAGACCTTATCTCCACAAGAGACAATAAAAATCATTAGCTGGGTGTGATGGTGGTTTCCACAGTCCCAGCTACTCAGGAGGCTGAGGTGGGAGGACAGTTTGAGCCCAGGTGGCTGAGGCTGCAATGAGCCATAATCCTGCCACTGCACTCCAGCCTGAGTGACACAGCGAGATCCTGTCTTAAGGAAAAAAAAAAGAAAAAGAAAAAGAAAAAAATAAAATAAAAAAGAAGTAGTGAAACTGGTTTTAAAAATACAATTGGGCCAGGTGCGGTGGCTCATGTCTGTAATCCCAGCACTTTGAAAGGCCGAGGCGGGCAAATCACGAGGTCAGGAGTTTGAGACCAGCCTGACCAACATGGTGAAACCCCGCCTCTACTAAAAATACAAAAATTAGCCAGGCGTGGTGGTGCACGCCTGTAATCCCAGCCACTTGGGAGGCTGAGACAGGAGAATCACTTGATCCTGGGAGGCAGAGGTTGCAATGAACTGAGATTATGCCACTGCACTCCAGCCTGGGCGACAGAGCAAGACTCCATCTGAAAAAAAAAAAAAAAAAAAAAAAAAAAAAAAAAAATTGGATTTTACTTAATATATCCAAAATGTTTTAATTTCAACATGCAACTAATATAAAAGATGAATGAGATAGTTAACCTTCTTTCTTCTTTTTTTCTACTAAGTCTTTGGATGCCAGCATATATTTTATACATATGGCCTATCTTGATTGGGGCTAGCTAGCCACGCTTCCAGGGCTCAAGAGCCACATCTGGCTGGTAGCTACCATAGCAGACAGTGCAGGACTAGAAGCATTTCAAGATCCTGGCCTGGAAGAGTTTCTGTGTGGTAAGGGAAACTGACACTTTACATACTGTCATCACTTCCCATGCTTGAATTGGGATTGCAGAGCTATGGAGCCAAGGAACGGTGCTAGGAAAGGAGTATCAGGAAGCACAGAGTTTCCTTGAAATGTTCCTACTGCTTTCTCTACATGTGGCCTGCAGTGTGTATAAATGAAAGTGCAAGCAATGAATCCATACGTGTACATGGGGATATGTGTAAACACATATGGACCCACATATCTATAAGTTCCACAGCTGATATTCATTCTGTCACCTGTCAAGATAACAGTAAGGAAGGCTTCAATCAAAGGGAAGGAGACAGCACAGCATTCTCCTCCCCCAGGAAAAAGGATAATTTAACAACAGTCTCATTTATGTGTCTGGAGGGGGAAGGGGAGAAGGAAGAGAAGGTGGCTCCCTGCCAGGAATTGACGTTATACTAAAAGACTGAGAAATTAGGAGATTCTCAGTTACTTAAGGCGCACATTTAGTCCGACTCTCCAAAATATAAGGTAACTACGAAAGGCTTTACATCCCATAGGCACTCAAAATATATGAAATTAATAAATCAATTAAACAGTAAGTTAACTAATTTAAGAGAACAAAACACTCTCAGGCTACATATAGATTAGCGGGGACCATGCAGTGGTGATTCAGTGAACAAGGGCTTTGCAGGCAGACAAGCAGGGCTTCAAAGCTCAGCTTGGTCACTTTCTACCTGCATAAGCAAGTTATTCAATCCGAGTGAATGTCTGCTTCCTCATTAGTAAGTAGGGACAAATTACAGTTACCTTGCCAGGCCTCTGTGAAAACAGAGTATGTAAAGTGCCTAGGCTGCTACCTGGAACACTACTGCCGTTCAATAAATGAATGTACAAAGTATAAGCATGCCTCTAAAGGGGTGTGGGGGGGTGTGTGTGTGTGTCTACAAGGAAAGGGAAGATTCAAGTGCAACAGCCAGGAGTGAGGACTCTGGGGTTTTCCTGAAGGAATACTTGTCTTGGTTCCAGACCTAACAGCTGTCTGACCTGGGACAATGTCTGCATCACAGTTGCCACATGGAAAAGATTAGAATAACAGCACCTATCCTGAAAAGCTATTGGTAAGATTCTATGACATTAAGTATGACAAGCGTTCACAACAGTTCTAGACCACAGCTGTAGCTCAGTAACCAAGAGTGACTATTATCGTTACAGGCATTCATAAATAATCGGGGCTGAGGTGGCTTCCCATCTAGGATTGCTCCTGTCCACCTGCAAGCACTTACAAGTGGCTCCCCCACACAAGGGAGGGACCCGGGAAGAGGAGGTTGAAGAGGTTTACAATCTCAACATCATCATGTATATTTAATAGCTTTACACTTTAGAGAGCATTTTCTTCTGTATTTTCTCATTTGATTTCTTTCTTATTTCCTCAAAAGTCTTCAGGAATAAGCAAGTCCATTTCAATCAGGAAATATTTCTTCAATACCTACTTATGTGCAAGGCATTAGTGTAAGTGCTGAGAATTCAGATAAACATTCCTTGCCTTCAGAGAGCTTATGCTCTCTGTTTTCCCACCTTCCTAAAAGTAGGAAATTTCACAGTGGGAATATGTGATTGCATTTGAGCTTGGTCTGTACTGAGAAAATCCAGTCTACATGCTGGGATAAAAATTAAAAATTTCCACACTATTATATAAAATCATTTCTCCTCTTCCCTGTCTCCCTCAATTATATTGAAAACCAAAAAGCTGCCCAGGCACGGTGGCTCATGCCTGTAATCCCAGCACTTTGGGAGGCCGAGGTAGGCAGATCACGAGGTCAGGAGATCGAGAACCAGCCTGACTAAGATGGTGAAACCCCGTCTCTACTAAAAATACAAAAAATTTGCCAGGTGTGGTGGCACGTGCCCGTAATCCCAGCTACTCAGGAGGCTAAGGCAGGAGAATTGCTTAAACCTGGGAGGCAGAGGTTGCAGTGAGCCGAGATCACGCCACTGCATTCCAGCCTGGGCAACAGAGCAAGACTCCTTCTCAAAAACAAAAACAAACAAACAAACAAAAAGAAAACCAAAAAGCTCCACATTTCAAAAAAGTATAATATTGGATATGGAATTATAGCCATAGTACAAGTATTTCTACAAGGTTTTTTACACACACTTTGAAGCCCATGGTATTTTTGAAAGCATGTAAAAGCAGGAAAAAGAATAACGCTTTTTAAGTGTTACACTTTGCTTTAAAACAGTCTGACATTGTGTCAAGTGTGACAGCCTTTGCTTAACTCAAACACAACTGGGAGACATTCACCTCCCCTGAGATTTCCAAAGTTGGACGAAATTCCATATTCCAGTTGCCACTGCTACCAGGCTGAGTGAGCCCTATGTACAATTTGCCATGGCAATACCAGGAAATTTCTGCCTGTCAAAATATTAGAAAAGGCAGCCTCCTATCAGAGAACTGCTGGGGGCAGGGTTGACAATCAACTAGGAAGAACTTTGGGTCAGGGGATGGAGAACTGGGGGGCTTCGAAAGGAAGTACAAGACTTTCACAGTCCCAAGAAATGAGAATGGAGGCAGCCGATTTCTATTTTATTTTAATACTTTTTTCCATTTGCTAAGGAAGTAGCCTGCAGCAGAGTCAAACAGCTTGAACTATTTTTAGGCCTATGACCCTTTTAAAAACACAGTGCTAAATTCAATCCTCAGTTACACCCACTCAACTCCCACTGGCTTCGGCGAGAGCCATGGGGAGAATCCGTTCACGATGTAGAAGAGTTTAGTGATGCTCTTTGCATTCTTTGGTTTGAATGGAAGGGCAGTGTACTGGCCAAAGGCCATGAAAAGGCACATGGCTGGTCTCCTGGCTCAAGCAGGGTAGCAGCGATGGGCCTACAAATGGAAGAGCATCTATGTGCAAAGCGTTTCCATTCTTACAGAAGTGGATGAAATGGGTGGTTTTTGGATAATCCAGGCAGAATGGGGGGAAAAAAGAAGTTCCTTTTGAAAATGTCATTCAGTCATATCTCAGAATTGTGTTTTTTTATTTTTTTTTTTAGACGGAGTCTCGCTCTGTCACCCAGGCTGGAGTGTAGTGGCGCGATCTCGGCTTACTGCAACCTCCGCCTCCGGGGTTCACGCCATTCTCCTGCCTCAGGTCCCGAGTAGCTGGGATTACAGGCGCGTGCCACCATGCCCGGCTAATTTTGTTTTTGTATTTTTAGTAGAGACAGGGTTTCACCATGTTAGCCAGGATGGTCTCGATCTCCTGACCTCATGATCTGCCCGCCCTGGCCTCCCAAAGTACTGGGATTACAGGCGTGAGCCACAGCGCCTGGCCAGAATTGTTTAAAATTATAATCTCATCTATGAAGGCCCAGATTTGAAGAATCTTAACAGTCAAGCTAAATTAAACTTTTACCTTCGCTGGGCGCGGTTTCTCACGCCTGTAATCCCAGCACTTTGGGAGGCTTAGGCGGGCGGATCACGAGGTCAGGAGTTCGAGACCAGCCTGGCCAACATAGTGAAACCCCATCTCTACTAAAAATACAAAAAATTAGCCGGGCATGGTGGCGGGTGCCTGTAATCCCAGCTACTCGGGAGGCTGAGGCAGGAGACTAGCTTGAACCCGGGAGGCGGAGCTTGCAGTGAGTCGAGATCCCACCATTGCACTCTAGCCCAGGCGACAGTGTGAGATTCCATCTCAAAAAAACAAAACAAAACAAAACAAAAAAACAAAAAAAAAACTTTTACCTCCAATTACCATAAGGGAGCACAGGAAATTCACTACTGCTGAAAGCAACACAATTTGTGACCATAAACTACAGAACGGTGGGGGAAAAGCCATCATTTTAAATAATAGGTCCCAAGTCTGACTTAGGGGCGAGTGGAGAGCATTTGGCGTCTCAAATTACTTTAACAGGGGGCCCTGTCATATCCCATGGAAAGGACACTCCGGTCTCCCCTCCACCCTCTAATCCTTCTTTCTTAAAGGAACACTCAGCAAGATAATGAATCCTTTAAATGTTACATCTTCTGTCGTGCATTATTGTGGTGCCGAAACTCTTCACATCAAACAGTCATCAGGACTATTACAAAGTGGGCTTATAAGAGAGGGGCTGAAAAGGAGCTGTGTGAAAAGAAGTGGAAAATTAAAGCTGAAGCAGTCGAAGAAAGGGCTTAATTTACTGGCATGTACAGTATGCAAATGAGATTACTCTCAGCTTAACTGCATCATTTATGTCCATAATAACGGCATCATCATTACAGGGCTCAAATTAAATTACACCATAATTAGCATATCAAAGTGATTGGTTAAAGTTTAAAACAAATACCCAATTTTGTTAATGAACAGCTGTAATTGTCATGTACACTTCAGTGAAAACTCTCTAAACAAATATATGTTTTAGAAGAGAGGAAGATTTTTTTTTAAGCAGACAGGTCTGTAGCAGAGGTAAATTGCCTAAAAAAAGAATGACATGGACTATTCTATTAATGTTAATATATGCTGATCATTTTCAGGTAATAAAACATTCTATCAAAACAAGGCTTCGCTTATATTTAGACACCTTCCCTGCTCTTGAAAGTGACAAACCACCAGAAACCTGCTTCTACTTGCAGCAATGATAACAATGCAGGGGTGACCTGTCTCGAACAAGCAAAGGACATGTTCGGTAACATGCTATTACTAACCCCCCATATTCATTTAAAAGACATTCGTGTTCAAATCGTGCTGAGTCAAAGCTGATTTTTTTCCTCATTCCAGCCCAAAGAGGGAAGAGTGACAGAAAACTTGCTGCACCTATGGCATAGACCAGAACGCTCCTAAGCTGATGCCCTGATAACATATTAGACAGCCTCCAACTCAATTTCTCCTCATCGAATCATAGCTACACAGCAGTTTGAAACACACAGCTGCACTAGGGAAGTTTGCTCTTCCATCATTAAAATACATCAGGAGGTACAGCTAGCTATTGTCAATTTTGGCTGGAATCAGCATGCACACAAATTTCGTATATGTGAAACCAGACACTAATAATAAGCTTGTTTCCAAACCTTTTTGTTATAACCATTTAATGTCAGAAGAGTTTCTATACAAAAAGATTTGTCAATAATCTGGAGGCTCACATGTGAAAAAGCTTTCCGCCTAAGATTGTCCCATTTCTTAACAACGTACCCCATATGTCCTCTGAGACAACTGTGAGGGTACATCGCTGTGATACACAGCATGGCAAGCCAAAATATATTTTGCCCAAAAAGGAAAAAAAAAAAAAAAAGCACTTTCAAATATACTTAACAAGCAAATTGAATGTCTTATTAAAATCGTATTATCTAAACAGTGTTCAAAAATTTAAAGAAAGTAGCTTTTCATTTTATTCATCGAAGAATCCATTAAAGCTTAGGCTCTGAAGTAGTATGTAAATTATGTGCCTTTCAAGGTAGAGCTAGGGCAAATTCACTCCATCAACTAATGATGAACCTCATTATGTGCAGGGAGGATTCATAATGAGGAAAGAGCCACCCGCCATTCCATGTTCTAACATAAATCCCTGTAAAATTTGAATATCTCCCCGTCTAATTAAAGGCTACTAATTCCAATCACCCCCTCCATGGCCCCAAAGTAAAAATAAACCTCTCTAAAAGCACAGACTACAGTTATATTTCTAAAGCAGTACTCGATCCTGTTTGGACTCAGAACCTTCCACTCAGATGTGTTTTTCGACAAGCATAATTAGCAGCTTTCTAAGATAGAAACTTAGGGGCTGCTCAAGCTCATTTTGGTTAAATACACTGAATTTCTATTTTTCAAAGAGCTTCACCTTGACAGGGCTACAGTGCATGCACAGAGATGATCCGCAGCCAAGAAACCAACAGGAATGTGCGAGCACAGTCATAACGTAAAATAAAATTCTTAGCACTCGAGTCCCGTGCTGAAGCTGAGATGTTCAGAAAAAGCCAAGCACTGTGGCATGAACCCGAGATTGCATTTGGACAGGGATGTATTCAAATCTGCTTGGGAATGACATACTTGATTCTGGAACAAACTGCTCACTTTTAACGTGGTTTGAACTAATGAACAAGTACGTCCCAGCATCTATAAGCCAAAGAACTATTCCCTCTTCTAATCACCAACTTTGATTTTTTTTAACTGAAAACTGTAGAAAGAAAATACATCGTTGCCAAACATATTTATTATGATTAATAGCCTGTAATATCCCTCACCAAGGCTTAATTTGCACTTGTTTTCAATTATGAAGCTGCACCACTCTAGTCCAGTCCCCTTTTCAGGTGGAGATGAATTTCTTGTGGTCTTTACTCTTTCTATTGTATTGCCACCCAGCAAGGCACAATTAGTTAAAAACAGTAAACCTCCACCTTGGCTCCAACAGAGCACCAGATTACACAAAATTAGAGAAGAAAATAATTGAGAAATAAGTGAAGGTGTCCAAGGAATTAAAGCAATTAGACCAAAGGGGAAAAGAAAAAGTACATAGCCAGTCACCCAAACACACCTTCACATTAAAATTTAAAAGAAAAGAAAAAAGTCCTAAATCTGTTATTTAATTTTGATAAACTCAATACAGTCCCTCATCAGGGAATCTTAGCTGCTGCCATAAATTCAAGCATCCCCAAATGTCTGAAACCCCAGTTTGGTAATAAAATGTACACATCAGTGTTACACCAGTGTGGATTATCCAAACCTAACGAGTCCATTCTACTAAAGATGCTGCCGCTACTTTAAGTTGCATAAAAATAAACTCCACTACATAAAAGCTGCCACAGTGCGTGCGCTCTCATCCCTCGGCTCCAAGCATGATCTCTCCCCCCTCTTTTAGGTCAGCCACTCATGCATTAGGAAGACATCCCTCCCAAAATAACTTGGCCCTCCCCCCGAAGCACAGAGTTGAGCAACCTACCTTTGTTCTGGAGTTGCAGATAATAACAGGCAAGCCTCAAGACCATGAGGATTTGGAAAAGATCAGGAGAGTTGAAAAAGGGAAAAAAAAAAAAATAGAAGAAGAAAAAGAAAAAGAAATACGCCCAAGTAGAGAAGAATTGGAAGAAACAGCAGGAAAAGGCTTCTAATGAAACTGTTGTGGCTGCCACAGATCGGGGGTGTTTTCAGCAGTGTTTACACCACACCAGTGAGTACACACCTCTGCTACATCTCATCCACAACTGGTGGCATTTTTTTTTTCTGAATCCATGCATGACAATTAAAAGCACTGCACCTCTCTGTTTGGGAGGGGGACCACAAAAGACCTCCGCAATATTTCTTTACAATGTCTATATCACTGATGAGCATTAGTTTGAGTGACAAAGGTCCCAGGCTAAATCAACATTCTTACCTTAATGTTCCTAGTAAAAGGCTCCAGGAAACATAACTCATGAGATATGTATGCAAAGATATGTCTCAAGGAATTAATCCAGAGCCCTCAGATGAAGTGAGGGGGGAAAAAAAAAAAAGGAAAAAAGAAAAAAAGAAAAGGCAGTGGCTTACATTTCCAAACAAACGCAGCTCAGCCTGGGGAAGCGATGGCATAAAAACAGGTTTGCATATACAGAGCTCAGTGGCAGAAGCGAGAGTTCCGTAGGATTTATTTGACACTTATTTTCCGGGAAGCCTTTTGTGGAGTTGTACCGTTTGTTTCTTATTGTCTGAGAAGCAGTTAGGAGCTTTCTCCCGGAGGGGGCCTCTCAACCCCTGGCTTGGCCTCCTCTGACGGGGAGGTAACCATATTAGGATGTGTATGGTAAAGTAAACAATAACATAGTTGCAATGAAATGGAATTTTTTTTTCTCCAGCTAATGGTGTTGGGGTCAGTCCTGTCTTTTCAGCCATTCCTACTAATTTTGTTTCCTAGTTCAAACAGGCCCTCCTCCTCCTTTTTTTTTTCAAGTGTTAGCTGTTTCCAAATATCTGACTGTAAATTTGCTAAGAATGTTTGCAATGTAAGAAAAGGCTTTTAACATCCAAATAAAGACCGTGCCAGTTTAATCATTAAAAGGGATGTGAATTTTCAATCCCTTGCAGAGATACAAGCCTTCTCTACCCACCCACCCCCTCCCCATCTTTCTCTGAAGGTTAAAATTACTTGGTCATTTAGAAGTACCTGCTAAATAAATCAGATTTTTAAAGAACAAGACCGTTACCTTCATAAAAATTCCTCATTCACATACTGTGTCACTGAGTGAAGAGTCTTAACCATTCATGCACCTGAAAATTTATTACCTGAAATTTCTAGGATGGTTACTTTTACATGATAAAGCTCTTTCCCACCTCCTCCAATCACCACCCCCCCCACCCACAAATAAACAAAAAGCATAAAATACTGTTGTCAAATCATCCTTTAGAAATTAGCTAATAAAATAAAAAATATTATGAAGAATGAGTTCCCAAAATGTTACATTTTTAAGAAAAGTTCTGCAGGTCCAAAGACAACAATAAAAAGTAAGGCTGCTTTCTTGCCATGATCACTTAGTACGAAAACCACCCCCCCCCCACCACAAAGCAGTGAGTGAAACATCCCACTCAAAGGTCAGGGCTAGGCTGATAAGGAGGGTAACAATGCTGATGGGGACCACAGAGAACTAATCTGGAGGCAGCTGAGCAGCAGCGAGCCAGCTCTGGCCCCGACGCTGAGAAGGCTTCCATATCTTTATTCCCTAGGTGAGAGCCGTGGCTGCTCTTGAAAGCAGTTTCCCCATGAGATCAGCCAAAATGAGGGTGCTTCGGTAGCGGCCAGCCCTCGGTGTGCAAGGACGGGAGGACAGGGACAGTGATGCTGCCTGCGAGAACCCGAGAAACCTTCTGTGTACCAGGCATCGAGGCAAAACATGTGCCATGAGCAAAAGGGCACAGGCAGGGGGATAAATGATACATGTAATTAAGAATGAAGCCAGGCTGATCTAGCAAATAAAATGCATGTGGCCCTGGTGAAACTTCCAAAGCTCAGAAAGAGTTCCTCCCTAGCCTGGAACCTCTGGGCTGCCCTCTAAACTGCCTTGGTTCTTATCAGATCCATATCGTACAGAAACCTAAAACCCCTGCAACTCATGTTTTATTAAAACATGTTTAGCATTCTTTTTAAAGATAGGTTTTAACCCCAAATACCCATGAAATTAAATCTCCTATGCCACTTATCTGCACTGCTGGGCAAAAACTAAAGTTGAGCTAAACAGAGAGATAGCAAAATCAATAAATCACACGAAACAAGTAGCAGTTCAAAAGTTCAAAGATATGATGGCCAGTTCAGCGCGTCTTAGCACTCACCCAATAATAACTCGTCTCCGTCACTCTTCATCGTATAGACAATTTCATGGCATCATTTTCATTAGCCTGTCTCAGAGAAAATTGCTAGCTATTTATGTATACGCTCAAATAAATTAGCCATTTCATCGAGCAATGTGATTCTTATAAAATACATTAACACAATACTCGATTTTCCAGTTGCAGTAAATAAATAAATCAATACATTCAATACAGGGTGATTCTTTCACTGTGGCGCTACAGCTCTCAGCATAAGTGTTTTTATTGGGTTTATTTGTTTCAATAAAAATTGAAATGGGCCAGTGATCTCAGTGCTAGCATCTTAAAAAAAAAATCCATCCAATATTGGGGAAAGTATTGTGCAGAACATTCAAACTTATAATTTTATTCAAGAATCATTTTCATTATGTATTATTCCACAACCTGGTTCTGTTGGAAAATTTCACAAAGGGAAAGGGGGAAATCCTGCCAGGTGTTTGACTCTGGTGGCGTTTCTGTGCTGCAGACCCCAGTCTGAGGGTGATGCTTCTGAGAGACAGCAGCACTTGGCTGAGCTGCGACCTTCTGCCTGGAATGTGCCTCTTCCCTGGGCAGGGAGAAACGACAATGGGACAAGTGCCAGATGGCCTCCTCTGTCACACCTTACGGAATGCCATTGATTGTGGCTCAGAGAAGGCCATTTATTCCAACCTCTGGGGGAAAGACCGGGGTATCATGACTGCAGGGAAGAAGAGAGAGGTGTGCTGCTGCTGTAAATAAAATCAGGCCGAGGGCCTGCGAGCGACTTTGGTGGCGAAATCAAGACACACCAGGCAGGAGATTTTCTCCAAGTCACTAGCACAATGAAAAGGGAAATATGGTAGTGGATATCTGTTGTTTTTGTCTGCCCAACATCCATGCTCCCCTTTCTCTGATGACACTAGCCTGATTTTTCTTTTGGGGAAACGCCCATTCTCCACTCTCAGTCCTAATGGTTCACAGGAGGCTGATGCATCTCTCAGCTCCAGAGGGTGGAGCCATAACCCAAGTCTGACCAATCAGTGAGTTCTGCTCTGCCAGCAACACTGATTGGCTGATGGATGGACATGTCCCAAGAATGATACTCAACTACTAGCATTCCATAGGAACTATTGGGAGACAGAAAGGCTGTCCTTCTGCTGGCTTGCTAAACTTTTAAATGCATGAATCGGGCTTGCCTCCACAAAAAGAGAGCTGGCTGAACAGAGGCCAGGACACAGCGGCAAGAAGGTGAGCACAATAGCAAGACAGATTCCTAACAATGCTCACAGAGAACAGGCCTCCTCTTGGACTTGTCAATTACACAAGCCAATTAAATTCCCTTATTTGCTTAGCCAGCTGGAGTTGGCTTTGGGTCATTTGCAACCATAAGGTGCCACACAGGAGCCCAAAATAGATAGTGTTCTATATGTAGCTCTCCTACTCTACAATATATGTTAGCCTTTATGGGAAAGCAAACCAACTAAGCACACACAAATCAATTAACTCTCATAACTAATATTCAAAATCTGTAGGATCTCGTGTTTCCTATGTAATTAACCAGTTCATCAGCCATGCTCTCTTCCTGCTAATAATGGAGTTGGAAAAAGAAGTCAGGACCCACAGTCAGAAAGAACTCAAGATGATCTCAAAGCAAACTAAACTGGAGGTCTAAAAAAATCCAGCATGGCCAGGCACGGTGGCTCACGCCTGTAATCCCAGCACTTTGGGAGGCCGAGGCAGGTGGATCACGAGCTCAGGAGTTCAAGACCAGCCTGACCAACATGGTGAAACCCTGTCTCTACTAAAAATACAAAAATTAGCCAGGCATAGTGGCGCGCACATGTAATCCCAGCTACTCGGGTGGCTGAGGCAGGAGAATCGCTTGAACCTGGCAGGCGGAGCTTGCAGTGAGCCGAGATTGCACCACTGCACCCCAGCTTGGGCAACAGAGCAAGACGTCATCTCAAAAAAAAAAAAAAAAAATTCAGCATGAAGTCGAATACAAACTTAAGAAGTTCCTCTCCAGGCTCCTCATAGTTATGGTTCAGTCAGGGATGGACCAACCTATGAGATTAGGGGAATGGCCAGCTGGTTCACACAATAGGCCTCAGGCCTGGTGTGGAGTCCTTAGTCTTGTGGTCACTGATCACAAAAAAGCCAGTGGGAAGGGTAGGAAGGAGAAAGAGCTGCATTGGTCATTGAAACAAGGCCAACACAAACTTCCCAGCCCCAGCACTTTCTGAATCCTTTTGTGTAGAATTTCTGCAGATGCTGGAAACCCAGGAGGAACCAAAGTGAACATCCTAATTTAGCATTGGAGGAAAGAAAATAACTGAATGGAGTTTAGAGTCATGTGGATGCCAGAGGCCATAGGC
Organism: Homo sapiens; assembly: GCF_000001405.40. Taxonomy (NCBI): domain Eukaryota; kingdom Metazoa; phylum Chordata; class Mammalia; order Primates; family Hominidae; genus Homo; species Homo sapiens. Next base: position 71,249,151 of record NC_000003.12, read on the forward strand.
AAGCTAGAAACAATATAGTAAGAATATTTAAGCTGGGATGGAGTGGGCAGGGTCCTGGCGCCTGCCTGGCATTTAGCCCTGGCTCCAGCCCAGCCAACCCAGCAAACAGGGCCTTGACTTCCTCTTCCTGGGTGGGAATGAACCCCAGATCAATTCAGTCAGCCTTTCTTGGGACTAGTAACCATAGTAACATAAACAATAACAAAAACAACAATAGAAGCTACCATTTATTCTTAAATATGCCGGCAGTTATACTAGTCACTTTACATGCATTTCCTCACCTAATCTTTACAATTGCCTTGCAAAATGCAGGCTGTTATTATTTCCATTTTGAAAATGAGGAGACTGAGGCTCAGAGAGGTTAAATAATCTGCTCTTGGCCACACAACAGCTAAGCAGTGGAGTCCGGATCTGAACCCAGCCCTCTGGCTGAGACACCTGATCCTTGGACACCATATTGGCATCCAACTGCTGCTAAGCAGGAATGTCAGTACCAGCCCCTGTTGCTCACACAAATGCCCTGAATAATGAAGCTGGCCTGGAGTACAAGCCAATCCACTATACCCCAAGACATCATGACTTAGATGGCTGGCTCCACTCAGTTGGAAGGGAGAGGGAAAGTGAGGAGGGGAGAAGACAGAAGAATAAAGGGAAACAACACCATGGCTGCCCTATTTCTTCAGCCTCAGCAGCATCAGTGTCAACCAGACTCCCCATGCAGCCCAGTGGATCCTCCCTTGCCTCTAACTGGGGGCCATGGGACTCAGAACAAGTCTTTTCTGAACGTAATCACAGGTTTAACCCTACTTAGCACCAATATTATATCCAGAACACATGTTGTCTGACATCTGTATAAAGAGAATTGCTTTAAAACTTGAACTGAGGAGCTGGGGGCCACAGAAGTCCACCCCACCAGACAGCAGGATTTTTTAACCTCAGTACTAGGAACATTTTGAGCCAGAAAATTAATTATTCATTGTGTAAGCTACCCTATGCATTGCAGAATGTTGAACAGCATTCCTAGATGCTAGTAGCACATGCCCCCACCGCATTCGTGACCTCCAAAAACGTCTCCAGACGTTGCCAAATGTCCCCTGCTGGGGAAAGTCATTCCTGGTTGAGAACCACTCATCTAGAGCATCACTGCCCAACAGAACTTTCTGTGACAACGGAAATGTTCTATGCCTACAACATCCAATAGGGTAGCCAATAGCCACATGAGGCTCCTGAGCACTTGAAATATGGCTAGTGTCACTGAGGAACTGAATTTTTAATTTTATGTAAGTTTAATTAATTTAAATAGCCACACATGCCTAGTGGCTGCCATATCTTGGACTGTGCAGTTTTAGAGGGGGTCATAGAATTTCCATATTCATGACAATCGGATCTTAAGCAGATGGATACTTGGTTTCCAGTACAAAATTCTTCATATTCATTAAAAATTGTATTTTCTTCTCAACGGAAATTAATAAACTCTAAAATTGAAAGTGTTTTTTGCGTTGGGCGCAGTGGCTCACGCCTGTAATCCTAGCACTTTTGGGAGGCTGAGGTGGGCAGATCACCTGAGGTCAGGAGTTCGAGACCAGCCTGGCCAGAATGATGAAACCCCATCTTTACTAAAATACAAAAAATTAGCTAGGCATGGTGGCGCACGCCTGTAATCCCAGCTACTCAGGAGGCTGAGGCAGGAGAATCGCTTGAACCCAGGAGGCGGAGGTTGCAGTGAGCCGAAACTGCGCCACTGCACTCCAGCTTGGGTGACAGAGTGAGACTGTGTCTCAAAAAAAAGAAAGAAAGAAAAAAAAATGTTTTTGGTAATGACTTTTTTAAAAATTCCAATCTTACTTTGAATCTTTTCATCAAATTTAAGTAAAAATTATTTTTTATAAACACGGTTTTGATTAGAATTGTAGATTTATATAATTGAGTAACTTGAAAGCTTTATGCCTGTAGATTAGAACCAAGTGCACTCTTTAAGAAGCTAGTTGCAAAATGATTTCTTTTTTCACTGTTAGAAAAATGTACTTGCTACTCTCTTTGGGACACATTGAATGTAAACTGTGTCTTCAGAGACATCAGCTATCCTGCAGAAAGTGCTCTGCTCCAGCAACTCAAATAACTCATACCATTTGGAAACGAGAGTAACACTGTGAAAAGTCTCTTAAGCAGTCACGTGCCTCCATCCTGTCCCTCCCCTGAAAAACCCAAAATGCACACAATTCAGGTGAAGCTTTCCACTGTAACTCAAGGTGTGATGGATTTTTCAGCTTAGCGAGAAAGATTAGTATTGATGTAACAAAGTGACTGTAAAACCAGCCATACAACGTTATAAATACATCATAGCTGTCAGGATGTTTCTTTCGCAATGGGCAAATACAGAACCAAAGACCATTTGGAAGCGGGGGTGGTGGTCATACACAACACCATGTGTGGGGTGGGAAACATCCAGAACTATGGCGCTGAGCAGGAAGCTGAGCCATCTACAAAATATTTCCTGAGTGATATATAGAGAGCTTAAGATGGGATAAAGCCTGATGATGAACAAAGTCAACAAAGTGCGTTGGAGTTACCCACACTGTCTTGATACCAAGAAATTTTAGCTTTAGCAATGATATGAGAATCCAAAAGTACACTGTCATTCTGAATAATTGTATATGTATCTCCTTTGTAGGCTCAACGTAGACTTTAGGTTAACCTCCACTGGTCAAGTATGAAGTGTTATCCATATGGCACACACTACCGGATGGCAACCCAACAGCCAATCCCAACTCGTTCTTTCTCTTCTCCCTCCCTTTTCTCCCACCTCCTACTCCCCAAGCTGAAAAAATGAGATGCTCCCCCTTCCCAGCTTTCTCTGCAGTTAGGGATGGTGATCTAATTTAGTTCTGGCCAAAAGATATAAGGGGAAGATGACTGAAAAGATATAAGGGGAAAATGACTTTTTTTCTTCTTGATAAGAGGACACTAAGAGATCTCTTTCTCTCTCTCTCACCGCTCTGTCCTTTTCCTTACTTTGTGCCTTTAAATGCAACCATGTAGGAAAGTGATGCCTGGTGCTTCAGCAGCCATCTTGTGGCCCAGAGGGAAAAGTTGAAGGAATCAAAGAGCTTCCCTAACCCCACACTCAGACATTATTAAGATGCCAAACCAATCCTGGCACTGCCTATCTTCAAACTTCTGGGCAAGTAAATAATGAATTTCCTCATGTTTTTAGCCACTGTGGAGTAGTGAGGTGTTCCATGAACACATGCTAATTGATATATCCCAAATTCCAAGAAAGACGAAAGAAAAGTCACTTCCTTGAGAGAGTGGAGCTAATAAAAAGTGTAATTACCAATCTCCCAGTATCTAAATTGGTTCTCTGAGAACTTGTCACTAAGAAAACAATTCTTAGTCCTTAGAGTATCCCTGAAGAACAACAACAATGCCTCAGGCCCCCTGAGTGCCAACTTCATGCAAGGCTTTTACTGAAGTGGTTTACTTACGTCACCCAGTCTTCTGACACCCTTACTTGACAGGTACTATGATTTTCCCAGTGTTTGAGATAAAGAAACAGAAGTGGATGGAAGTGAAACAAAATGTCCTAGGCCAACAGCTGTTACAGAAAACCTGGTCCCACAGTAGGGAAATGGTTACACATGTGGCCTCAACTGCAAAACATGGTCAATGCCAACCGAGTGATAAACCTTTCTTACTCTAACATGTAACAGCAGACACCTGGGCTCAGGGCATAGGTTACACACAGTCATTACAGCTGTGCCTCAGTTTGCAACAGAAACCAAAGGAAGGATTCATAGGCTAGTCCTGCAATGGCCCCAGATGCTGCCTGAGACAGAGGTGACAGCAGCATCCACAATGCAGCTGACACCATGAGCAGGCAAGGGTGTCGCTTCATGGCTATCTGTTTCCAGGTACTGGGCCAAGTGGGGCATGGCCTGATGCATATAGTGCCTCCATCCCCCAATTTTAACACCAAAAGAAAAATTAAAAGGTCAAAAAAATCCTTCAAGGGAAGTTGCTAAAAGGGGGCCCATGTTAAACAGAAGTCACTTAGAAACATTAAAAGGCAGGTTGGTGTGTTGGATAGATGCAGCAAATGCACTGGTGTGGACAGCTGGGCATGTATCTTAGGGTAGATAAAGAACCATCCGGCAACTTGGCTTCATAATTTTTGGCTGTGTGATCTTGAGTAATTAGCTTAACCTCTCTGAACCTCAGGTTTTCCATCTTTAATATGGAAATAATAGACGTGTTTAACTTTAGTGAGTTGTGGTGAGAATTAAATGAAATGATACATGTCCAAGTTCTGATCTTTTACACAGCAAGTACACAATGATACTTAGCTACCATCATCATCATCATCAGTATTTAATGATAATAAAGTGCAATATTACTATGAAGTATGTAACCCAGTACTCAGCATGTGCTAGGTTCTCAGTAAATATTTACTCCTTTTCTCTTCTCTCTCCCTTCCACAAATAACTCGAAGATTTAACTCTGATAAGATGTACCTATTGTAATTTTAAAAAATATTAATAAGCTCATCCCACTAAAATGGTACTGGACTTGGTGTTATGGTAGATACAAAGACAAAGAAAGCTTCAATGGACATATGACCACATAATAAATACGCCAAATGAAAAAAGTATGTACCCGTTAAAAATGTAATTAATTAAATATATGTAGCACTAACATTTAAAAAAATGTTATACATGTAAGGATAGCCCTTCCAGTTACTAAGTTTCTCTGGGTATTAAGAACAGAGGTAGTTACGATTTTAAAAATATTTTGCCTTATAGTTCAAATTTTCTGCTATGAACATGTACACCTTACAAATTTGGAGGAAAAGACATTACTTTGCAAAAGATAAAAAACAGAAGTTTCTACCTTCCTGAATTGGTTTTCTAGGGGTGAACAGTTAATAATCTGTCAACCACATAAATGGTAACAAATCTATAAGAAATTTTAAAATTTCTAAACATTTAACTAATCCAACCTCCATGCCTTAATAAGTTACTCTGGGTATTTTCCTCCCCCCTAACTTCCTAGTCTCACCAGAAGTAAAATTTTCCCCTTGGTTTCAACCTGCTTTTGTCTTCCCTGTAAGAATATTGGGAGGAGAAAATTCAGAGTACATCTTCAAGGCCCCCGCAAAGTGTGACTAGAATGTACAGGTAGGTAGGTTGGGCACACAAAAATAAATAACCTATTAAGAGTCATGACTACTGGGCTGACCTCACTCATGGAGGTATTGTGGACCGGCATTTGCTAAAAAGTTTTTCCTTATTGGTTGGCTGGCCTCAAAGAGCTCTGCGAATGCCAGGACTTATGATAAGCTATGACACACTTAACTGTTACATATTAATGTTCATGATAATACAATCTTTCATTTGGGTGATTTAAAAGTCCCTCTAGTCCGACTTACAGTTAGATATACACTGAATGCTTCATCAATCACAACCATTTTTATTCTCAATCTTGTGCAAAAATACTAGAGAAGGTGAATTCCAGTTACACACTGAAGAGGGCTTTACTGTTAGCCCTGAAAAATTTCACTCTTTTCACATGTACACTGGATTCCAACAGTTTCTGCCTAAGCATTCTATTTACCTGTGTCTTTCACTGTAGCTGATCTTATCTACAGGGTAAAAGCAAATCCACATTCATATCTCTACTATAGGGTCAAACTCCATATCTTATATGGAGAAAGCATTTCAGTTATGAGCTTGACAAAATGCCCAGCATTGCAACATTTGAAATACTTGGGAGCAAGCAGCATGAGAAGGTCACAGCAACTTGAACGGAGCTTTTTAAAAGGAGGATTTAGAACCACCTCACAGCAATAACCAATGGGCCCACTTAACGCCAAGCAGTGAGTCGGTGATCACACCTACCCTAATAAATGCACTTGAAAGAAACTACACCCTTTTTCCATTCCTGTAAAGGCTTGCTGTAGTTTCATGGCCAAAATCTTCCCACAATTAACCTCGGACCTATAGATCATAAGGCAACTCAAGACAGAGGCAGCAATCAGACTAGCCACCATCCAAAATGGTCTTGTCCTACCTTGACTGCAATTATCTTCTAAATTAGAAACACAGGAATTGTTTAGGTCAGAATATAATAGCCCGTTAGCCTTACACTGTCCCCATGTGCAACATAGAAGTAAATGCAACTATAGAGACAGAAAAATCTGTACCCCGAAATGTTTTGCTTGGGGTGGGGGAGAGTTAAGCCTAACCCTCTAAAATGAAGTTTTAAAAAAATACCTAACATATATGTATTCAATATTTACATTTTGATTTTATTATGTTTCCTCGCTTTCATACTCTTAAGTTCTCCCATCTTAACAATCTTCTTTTAGGCTAATAAATTTCTTTTGATGCCTAGGTCATTTACTGGTTGAGCTCTTAAGGCAAGGAAACACTAAATTATTGGAATTCAGTGGGGAGATGCTTCCAGGGTAAAGGTTCTCTGTTTATTAGCAAAAGAAATGCATTCAACTAATTTGACTTGTAAGTCTGATAAAATCTCCCTGGAAAAATTGATTCGATTATGATGAGTAATCCTTGGAGATGAAAAATGACAAATACACATATTATGTTTTATTATATATTAATTTTAAAAGGGTCTGAAACGAAACTCAAGTAAGCCATCTTTTAGACGTTGGAAAATGGCAAACTTCCCCACAAACTACATGCAAGAAGTAATTAAAGTAAATGAACATGAAATTAAACAGCACCCCTATAAAGTAGGATATAAAAGTAAAGATTATTAGGGAAAAAAAGACTGTCTTCCTGGTCTATATTAATCTCATGAATTGTGCATTTACTCTATTTCTCTTTTATTATTTGATGATGAGTTTTTAGAGCTTGGGTTTTATTAGGACTAGTTGGACGAAGGTCTTCAGCAGCAAGCTAAGCTACAGGTCTTGGTATGTCATTACATCTTTCCCAATGACGTAAATACCAGATGAAGACATCCAAGGTAAAGGCAGGCTCATCAAACTTGCTGTGATGCAAAGCTGGAAGGTTTCCTCACATCGTCAAAGACAGAGTCAATAGCCTGCTCAGAAAGGAGGTTGAAAGTCACAAAAGATGGGACTCCAGAGAGGAAACTGCGCCTCTCTCCAATCAACTCCACTATTCCTGTAGAGCTCAGGGACAGCAGGGGTTTGTTGAATTTGGTGGTGGGGGCGGGGCATCCAGAATCCATTCTCACTTCAATTTTCTGTTTTCTTTTCTTTTTTTTGAGACGGAGTCTCACTCTGTTGCCCAGGCTGGAGTGCAGTGGTGCCATCTTGGCTTACTGCAAGCTCCACCTCTCGGGTTCACACCATTCTCCTGCCGCAGCCTCCCGAGTAGCTGGGACTACAGGTGCCCACTATCACACCCAGCTAATTTTTTTATTTTTAGTAGAGATGGGGATTCACCATGTTGGCCAGGATGGTCTCAACCGCTTAACCTCATGATTCACCTGCCTCGGCCTCCCAAAGTGCTGGGATTACAGGCGTGAGCCACCGCGCCCGGCCTCTCACTTCAATGTTCTTTTAAGGAACTACTTTCCCCCACTGTTGCATGTAGGCTGGGACTCTTAGTCAAGATCCCCTGCCCTGTCATCGCCATGGGGTAGATATGGGACTTAGACTAGGCCTGTCTGATTCATCTGAGTAGACTGATGTGAGGACAGAAACATGTTTGAGGAGTACTGATTTTAGCAGTGGCTGCGACGAGCTGGGGAAGATACTGGCACTTCCTATATACTGGGACTGTCCTGCTTCCTATCTTAGCCATCTTCTGTTCATTCTGAGCTACCAGCTATTCATCCAATATCTTCTTTTAAGGATTACCTTTAAGTTGGCCAAAGGGAATCTCTGTTAGTTGTGACCAAAGAACTCAAGCAGTATGATGGGAAGGCCCATGCTTGATGCTGATTCACGGGAGGAAGCTGAGTTTATTGAACTCTTGCTGAATATAATTCACAATATTGTGATATAGTGCTTCTTTGTTATGGGTGCTCCTAAATTATAAAAATTTGGCTAACAGTCACTTAAAGAAAGACCAGTGGCTGAACCTGCAAGTCAGGAATATTCTTACTAGTTCTTTGCAACACAGTTTTGGCAATATTTAAAAAACGCAGAATGGGACCAGGCATGGTGGCTCACGCCTGTAATCCCAACACTTTGGGAGGCCGAGATGGGCAGATCACCTAAGGTCAGAAGTTTCGAGACCAGCCTGGCCAACACGGTGAAACCCCATCTCTACTAAAAATAAAAAAAATAAAAAATAGCCGAGGGTGGTGGCAGGCCCCTGTAATCCCAGCTACTTGGGAGGTTGAAGTGGGAGAATTGCTTGAACCCAGGAGGCGGAGGTTGCAGTGAGTTGAGATCATGCCATTGCATTCCAGCCTGGGCAACAAGAGTAAAACTCCATCTCAAAAAAAAAAAAAAAAAATGCAGAATGGGTAAAAAGAGGAGGTGACTAAAAGGAGGAAATTTCCAGGATGCAGAAAGAAAAAGAAATGGAGCCACGGGAGTATTTCTTAAAGGACTCAGGACTCTTAATCTGGATTTCCAGGGGCCACAGCAAATCATTATAATGTATTTCTCAGGCATTGTGGTGAAAACAACATGGACTTTTAGAAGCATGCAGACCTGTGTGCAAATGTCTGCACTTCCACTTACCAGCTATGTGACCCAAACAAGACACATCATCTTTCTGGACCTAAGTTTTCTCATCTGTAAAATGGGGGTAACAATCACAGCTAGAACTCACTCATAAGCTACTTGGCAGGAGCAAACATGACAGTGAACACAAAATACCTCGCAGTCCTGATGCACAGTAGGCCCTCAACAAAATGGTAATTGTTATTACTGCGCTTAATAACATCCACGGAGCGCCTACGAATATCTACATAGTATGCTCTGGGCACACAAAAATAAATTAAATAGGTTCTTACCTTCAGGCAAGAATTTGTGGCTTTCGAATCTGAAAAGAACCCACTAAAATACAGAGCAGACTTGAACAAAGGTTATAATGAAATACAAACACACACTTGTGGGAGCCCAGACAAAAGAGTGAGTCACACAGGCTGGGTTCAATTGAAAAGGCTTCATAGAAGTCATATTTGAGCCAAGCCTTGAAGGATGAGTAGGATGTTAATAGGTAGGAGAGGAGGAAAAAAAAGACAGAGGATTGGCATCCAACACTGAAGGAAGCAGTAACAGGAGCTATAGAAGTTCAAGGGTAGGGCAAACAAAGGGCAGAATAAGGGGTCTGGTATAAGCTCTGTGAGCATTCCTGTGTCAATCCTGAACTCCCAGCAGAGGGCCAGTCCCTTAGGTGACACCCAGATATTTTGTGGAAAGCTAGGCTGGAGGAACTTCTAGAAGACACAGAGACTGGGGCCAGGGGATGAAGAGCTTTGAAGGCAATGCTAAGGAGCCAAGTCTTCATTCTACAGGCAGGAAGGCAAGGACAGGAAGGGCAGAAAGCAGGAGAGACTTCAGAGGTCAAATAAACAGTGTGTGGCAATTGGAAGGATGTAGGAGGGGAATGGAGAAGAGAGAGCTTTGCTTAAGGCTTTAAGTGTGGGAACCTATCTTTTTGAACTGAAGCAATTCTGTGTCTAGGACTATCACTGATAATATTAACAAAGTCAATGTTGACCGCAGAGAAACCTTTGACAGTAGCCCTAAGAATGGGATGGGCTGAGGCCGGGTACAGTGGCTCATGCCTGTAATCCCAGCACTGTGGGAGTCCCAGACAGCCGGATCACGAGGTCAGGAGATCGAGACTACCCTGGCTAATACAGTGAAACCCCTTCTCTACTAAAAATACAAAAAATTAGCTGGGCATGGTGGCATGCGCCTGTAGTCCCAGTGACTCAGGAGGCGGAGGCAGGAGAATTGCTTGAACCTGGGAGGCAGAGGTGCAGTGAGCTGAGATCGTGCCACTGCACTCCAACCTGGGTGACAGAGCTAAGACTGTGTCTCAGAAAAAAAAAGAAAAAAGAAGTAAAGAATGGGATGGGCTGCCCCATGGGCATGAGTGGGCACGGCAACCAAAGGCTTCTAACAGAACCCAGAAGAGCCCAAGCTTAAAGCACAGACAAGCTACAGTGTGACCTTGCAGAGCTCACTTCACCTCTCTGTGTCTTAGTTTTATGACCTAGAAAATAGTGTCAGCTGCAGTATATCTTTGTAAGGTTATCATGAAGATGAAAAGAGAAGACATGCGTAAAGGATTCAGAATGGTTTGCTGAACTGGCACATACAAAGTGTTTGGTAAATATTACCTCCTATCATTCCTATTATTTTTCTTATTGTCCACCAAGGATAGTGAAAAATGAGTACCAATGTCCCAAATGACTCACTTCCTAAGTCTATGATCCCTGTGTTGGAAGAAAACTAAACCCTATGGGCGTCTGGTAAAGGGAGACGACCCCAATCGACTGATTTTTCATAGACGAACTAGATGGTTTGTGATGAGTAATGATAAGAAGAAAAAGAAGGATGAACAACTGTAACTGAAATAGGGTTGTGATGAAACAAAAGTGCCTACAAATCAATTAACTATCCATATTAAGAGGAGGTGCCTATCACTTAGAACAGCATATTAACAAGCACTGGGGAAATACTTAGTGATGTGGATGCCACCTGCTAGTTACGTATAAAGTCCCTTAAGACAAGTGAGCCCAGATTAAGCTCCACAGGTAAGCCCCTTTGGTGGATAGAGGGTGGGGGTGCTGCTGGAGGCTCAGCGTGGTACCCAGTTAGGCAGGGACATGAAGGAAGAGGTGAGGAAGGGCAGCAGGGAACTAACCAGGGACACTTTCTTTTCTTTTCTATT